>NC_000003.12:96205574-98705574 GCF_000001405.40 Homo sapiens | reverse complement strand
CACTTGTGGGTATGTAAAATATAAGTGTTTGCATTTCAACTAAAGATAATATTTCTATGGACATCACTGGAAGTCAAATGCCATAATAGTTTCTTCATCCTCTAAGCCTTTCTTATGAAAACCAAGAGCTTACTATTCTCCCAGAAAATGTAACACATGGAGCCATTATTAGTCACTAACAACTTAGCGTAAACAACCATCCCAGTTTGACAAAGACTGAAGGAGTTCCCTGGATGTAAAAATTTCAGTGCTAACATTGGGGAAGTCCTAGGAAAACTGATACAAGTTGGCCACCCTAAACTTAGTGTGTAACCCTTTTAGCCTCTGACCTATATGGTCCAGTCCATGCATACAGTCTCATCCATAGAAGCTCAGACCAAATATCTATTTAGTAAGAAAAATGGAATTATGTTCTAATTTTTGTGCTTTTGAAAATGTATTAAAGTTGATTCTTTACCAACCCCCTGGCAACAACCCGTTTACCTTTTTCCTTCTTCCCCAATTATCTTACCTCCACTTTATTCTAGCACCTTTCATTTGCCCTCAATTTCCAAAATCCTCTTATCTGCTTATTTTGAAGGTTAGCTTAACTTCATTCCTTTCTCCTCCACCTCCCAGGTTTCACCTTCACTGCTAACATTCAACATGAATGTATGAAACTGATTTGACAGGGACAGGAGAAAACACTTCTTGGGTCAATGGACGGACTTTTTTTTTTTTTTTTTTTTGAGACAAAGTCTTATTCTTGTCCCCCAGGCTGGAGTGCAATGGCACGATCTCGGCTCACTGCGACATCCACCTCCCGGCTTCAAGCAATTCTCCTGCCTCAGCCTCCCGAGTAGCTGGGATTACAGGCACCTGCCACCATGCCTGGCTAATTTTTGTATTTTAAGTACAGATGGGGTTTCACCATGTTGGCCAGGCTGGTCTCGAACTCCTGACCTCAGGTGATCCGCCCACCTCAGCCTCCCAAAGTCCTGGGATTACAGGCATGAGCCACTGTGCCCAGCCAATGGATGGACATTTTGAGGAGAAAAACCAAGTCATCGGATCATCATTCTCTTCTGTGAGAGAAGGAAAATTCCAGAATTGTAGAATATTACATATGTGATGAGCTCCTTCCCAATAAGAATAGCTGGAAGTGAGGCCAGGCGTAGTTGCTCACACCTGTAATCCCAGCACTTTGGGAGGCCGAGGCAGGCAGATCACCTGAGGTCGGTAGTTCAAGACCAGTCTGGCCAACATGGTGAAACACCGTCTCTACTAAAAAAAAAAAAAAAAAAAAAAAGAAAATTAGCCGGGCGTAGTGGTGCTTGCCTGTAATCCCAGCTACTCGGGAAGCCGAGGTAGGAGAATCACTTGAACCCAGGAGGCGGAGGTTGCGGTGATCCGAGATCGCGCCATTGCACTCCAGCCTGGGTGACAAAAGCGAAACTCTGTCTCAAAAAAAAAAAAAAAAAAAAAAAAAAAAAAAAAGCTGGAAGTGGAAGCAGGGAAATAGGGAAATTAGAACATCATAACAGTTGAGATTTGATGAGATGCAAAGATGGGAAGTAAGATATCCACAGATAAGGTACTGCTTGGAGTAGCTGTGGAGGATACAAGGCTGGCAGTACTCAGTTCCTGAGTCTTTAGCAAGGGGCAGAGGTAAAGAGTAAGAGCACTAAGGCCGGGCGTGGTGGCTCATGCCTGTAATCCCAGCACTTTGAGAGATGGAGGCGGGCAGATCACGAGGTGAAGAGTTTGAGACCAGCCTGGCCAACATGGTGAAACCCCGTCTCTACTAAAAATCCAAAAATTAGCCACGCATGGCGGTGCACGCCTATGATCCCAGCTACTCAGGAGGCTGAGGCAGGAGAATCGCTTGAACCCGGGAGGCAGCAGAGGTTGCAGTGAGCCGAGATCGCGCCACTGCACTCCAGCCTGGGTGACAGAGCGAGACTCCATCTCAACAACAACAACAAAAAAAAGTAGAAAGAGTAAGAACACTAAAAAGGGAAGAAAATTTGCTGTCTCACAGCCCTGGGTGAAGCCAAAATTATGGTCCTCTGGTAACACCCTTATCTTCAGCTCCTTTCCTCACTCAACATTGAGACATTTCAAACATAGCTACCATTTGGCCAACTAAATTGCCTTTTCTTCAGTGATTTGAAGTCAGTACACCTCCCACCACAAAATCTTTAGCCAAAGTTTTCTGAAACACTCAAACTTTGAAAAAAAAATATTAAACTGTAAAGTCACTACTGTGATATCAAAGGTCCATGGACTTAAAAGAAGATCTAACGAGGCCGGGCGCGGTGGCTCATGCCTTTAATTTCAGCACTTTGGGAGGCCGAGGCAGGTGGATCACCTGAGGTCAGGAGTTCAAGACCAGCCTGGCCAACGTGATGAAATCCCGTCTCTACTAAAAATACAAAAAATTAGCCGGGCCTGGTGGTGGACGCCTGTAATCTCAGCTACTCAGGAGGCTGAAGCAGGAGAATTGCTTGAACCCAGGAGGTGGTGGTTGTAGTGAGGCAAGATGGTGCCATTGCACTCCAGCCTGGACAACAAGAGTGAAACTCTGTCTAAAAAAAAAAAAAATGATGTAACGCTTCTCATGTGTAGAAGCAGTAGCACTTTTAGCACTTTTAGAAAAAGTCTCAGAAGGAGTCCTGGATTTTTTTTTTTTTTTTTTGAGATGGAGTGTCACACTTGTTGCCCAGGCTGGAGTACAATGGTGCAGTCTTGGCTCACTGCAACCTCCGCCTCCCAGGTTCAAAGGATTCTCCTGCCTCAGCCCCCTAAGTAGCTGGGATTATAGGAAACTGCCACCACGCCCGGCTAATTTTTGTATTTTTAGTAGAGACGGGGTTTCACTATGTTGGCCAGGCTGGTCACAAACTCCTGACCTCAGGTGACCCACCCACCTCGACCTCCCAAATTGCTGGGGTTACAGGTGTGAGCCACTGTGCCTGGCCTGGATTTTTTTACTCTGTGAACTTCAGTGGTCTGTTCCCCAAATAACCCTCATAATTCATATTTTGAATGTCATAAAATTGAAATTATTTCCTTAACTTACAAAAACCATTTCTTCCATTTGGGGAGCATGATCAAAGCATCTCGAAGATAGGAAGGAACTCATTGCTGGGAGGGGCATCTATTTCTGTTTATAAGATCCTGAATTCCACAGAATGAAGATATTCTCATGCTTCAGGCATAGTGACTCAGCTCTTCCTTTTCCAGTAAATTTAATTGTTAATGAATCTTGCCCTGCCTTTCTCAGAGGCAGATGACACTTTTAATTTCATCAAATCAAATTCAATTAGTAAGAGTGCTTTGAACTCCTGAGTAGGTTGGATATGTTTTTGTGTGCTCCATCTTAACTTTTTTTCTTTTTTTTCTTTTTTTTCGAGACGGCGTCTTGCTCTGTTGCCTAGGCTGGAGTGCAATGGCGCGATCTTGGCTCACTGCAACCTCCGCCTCCCAGGTTCAAGTGATTCTCCTGCCTCAGCCTCCCGAGTAGCTGGAATTACAGTCACGCACCACCATGCACAGCTAATTTTTGTATTTTTAGTAGAGACAGGGTTTCACCATGTTGGCCAGGCGGTCCGAACTCTTGACCTTGTGATCCACCCACCTCGGCCTCCCAAAGTGCCAGGATTACAGGTGTGAGCCACCACACCTGGCCCCATCTTAACATGTATTATAAAAATTATTCTATTTTCTTCATAACCATAATTTCCCCCAACATTTCTGTATTGAAGATATATTATCCCTTTGGGCTCTGTATTACTTTTGTATTGCTGTTGTAACAAATTATCACCAATTTAGTGGCTAGTAACAATGCAAATTTATAATCTTATGGCTCTAAAAGTTGGAAGTCTGGGCTGAAATCAGTGTCAGCAAGTCTGCGTTGCTTCTGGAGGCTGTACTGGGGAATCTGTTTCCTTGCCTTCCCCAGTTTCTAAAGGCCACATGCATTCCTTGGCTCATAGTCTTTTCTTCCATCTTCAAAGTCAGCAGGATAGCATCTTCAAATCTCTCTGACTCTTGACCTTCTTCCTCCCTTTTCCACACTTAAAGAGTCCTTCTGCTTACACTGAGTCCACTGGGTAATCCAGGATAATCTGTTTATCTTAAAGTCAGCTGATTAGCAACCTTAATTTTATCTGCAAACTTAATTCTCCCTCTCCATGTAACCACATATTTGTAGGTTCTGGGAAGTAAGATATGGACATTTTTGGAGACAATTATTCATCTACCAGCTTTATACAGGAAGTGGTCCAACTAGACTTCCGATGTTGATGGAAGCTTTATGTCACCACAACTGGGCTTTACGTCACCAGAATTGAGCATTCATGAAAGCAGAAACTCAGAGTCACTGGGGGTGGGTGGGAAATGGAGGGGTCTGAATGTGTCCTCAGGCAAATGCTGGCTTTGTTTTTTGGTTACTTCTTAGATTTCCCACTTTTACTTTGATTTTTTTGGCTTTTATGGCTACCTCAGTTTCCTTGCCATGCCAGAGCAACATTAAATATGTGTTATACTTCCTTTTTTAAGGCTTAAGTTATTTTTATTGATTGAAACATTTAAGAGAGCAATGTTCCATTGTGCCACAGATTTTACAATTGTTCTTAGAAAATACAAGTTCAGTCTTATCTAATATAATTTACCTCTATTCCCTGCAGTTGTAACATCAAAACTGAAATTCTTACCCGAGTAGCTACTCCTTCCTCAGTCTGCTTCAGACTTGCAAATTTATAGTGGAAGAAAAGGGCACTTTGGCTTCATTTCTTTTCTTTCCCTTCTGCTTCCTCTTGTATTTGCAGCTGTTACTTTGGACTCATCCATTATCAAGTATAATGGGAAGAGAGAGAGAGAAAGCTATTTTCTCTAGATTATTGTCTACATAGAAAATTTTGGCAGAGGCATTGTGTCTCATGCCTGTAATCCCAGCACTGCAGGAGGCTGAGGCGGGAAGACCTATTGGGTCCAGGAGTTTGAGACCAGCCTGGGCAACATAGTGAGGCCCTGTCTCTACAAAAAGTAAAAAAAAAAAAAAAAAAAAAGGAAAGAAGGCCAGGTGTGGTGGCTCACGCCTGTAATCCTAGCACTTTGAGAGGCCGAAGCAGGCAGATCACGAGGTCAGGAGATCGAGACCATCTTGGCTAACACAGTGAAACTCCATCTCTACTAAAAATACAAAAAATTAGCCGGGCGTGGTGACACACACCTGTAGTCCCAGCTACTTCGGAGGCTGAGGCAGGAGAATCGCTTGAACCTGGGAGGCAGAGGTTGCAGTGAGCCAAGATCACACCACTGCACTCCAGCCTGGGTGACAGAGTGAGACTCTGTCTCAAAAAAAAAAAAAAAGAAGGAAAGAAAAAATCCAGGCATGATGGTGCTATTCTTATTAAACTCTCAGCTACTCAAGAGGCTGAGGCAGGAGGATAGCTTGAGCCTGGGAGGTCGAGGCTGCAGTGAGCTGGGATTCTACCACCACTGCACTCCAGCTTGTGTTGCGACAGAGGGATATCGTGTCTCAAAAAAAAAAAAGAAAGGAAGGGAGGGAGGAAAGGAGGGAGGGAGGGGAAAAATTTTTCAGACACCCACAGACAAATTATTACAATTAAGTCATTTGCACTTTGATACACCTGCCACAATCATTTGGAAAAGTAGAATTTTTAAAATCTAATTTAGATTAGCAACAAAATAATATATTTATAAATAAATCTAAAAGATGTATGAAATGTTATTTATGGATAGAAAGAGTCAACATTAAAAATATGCCAGTTCCTCTAAATGTATCTATAGATTTAACACAATTCCAGTGAAAATTTCAACAGGGTATTTTTTGGTTCCACTGTACTTGATAAGCTCATTCAAAATGTATAGAGCTGAAAAAAAAGCCAAGAATAGCCCCAGGACTCTTCTGAAGGAAAAGGTGTGTATGGTGGGGAGAGATTTGCCTCAGCAGATATCAAGCTATATTGAATTTTAGTATCCAACTGGTGTAGACACAGACAAGTAGACAAACCACCCTCTAGCCAACTCATTTGCCTGGAATAACAGTTATGTTTATTTTATAATTTTTAAGTCAACTATTTTGGCTGGGATCAATTGGATGCTTTTCTCAACTGGCTCATTTAGTTCAGAGTGCCTCTGAGCAGGTAAAACTTGCTCTGACAGCTCTGCTCCTGAAGGTTGATCAGCTGTTGGCTGGGTGACAGCGGTGGTTGGGACACACATCTCTTGTCATCCAGCAGGTATTCCCTGTGGGTTTGCAAGGGGCAAACTGTTATGTTTAGAGCCAAAGTGATCTAGGCCTGAAACTATTCCTTCTGCAGATGAGATCCTTGCACCACAGTCTCATCTAATAATGGTTTGGGATCTCATAATCTAAATCAGATCAGATGAGTCTCTTCCGATATTGCTCTTCTAGTTTTAGAAGCCAATGAACTAAAAAGACAAATTATCTGCCCCAACACACGTGATATATAATGATGAAGCAGGGACAGGATTATTTCAATAAACATATTGAAATATCTGTTTAAGTCTTCTTGTATAATTTTTACAACCATTTCTTTGTCCACATGGTCAAATTCAGATTCAAGGAATAGAACAGAATTTACCTCTTCATGGGAGTAGTTGCAAAGTCACATTGTGAATGGATAAGCATACAGGGATAGATAGAATTTGTGGCCACTTTTGCAATTTATCAATAACATCGATTTTTTTTTTTTCTGAGGGGGACAGAGTCTTACTCTGTTGCCCAGGATGGAGTGCAGTGGTGCTGTCTCAGCTCACTGCAACCGCCGCCTCCCGGGTTCAAGAGATTCTCCTGCCCCAGCCTCCCAAGTAGCTGGGATTACAGGCACCCGACACCACGCCCTGCTAATTTTTTTGTATTTTTAGTAGAGACGGGGTTTCACCGTGTTAGCCAGGATGGTCTTGAACTCCTGACCTCGTGATCCGCCCGCCTTGGCCTCCCAAAGTGCTGGGATTACAGGCGTGAGCCACCACGCCCATCCAATAACATGAAATATTTTAAAGTAGTAGTTTAAACATTTATTTTGTGGCGGGGCGCAGTGGCTCACATGTGTAATCTTAGCACTTTAGGAGGCTGAGGCAGGTGGATCATGAGGTCAGGAGTTCGAGACCAGCCTGGTCAACATGGTGAGACCCTGTCTCTACTAGAAATACAAAAATTAGCCAGGCTTGGTGGCAGGTGCCTGTAATTCCAGCTACTCAGGAGGCTGAGGAGGAGAATTGCTTGAACCCGGGAGGAGGAGTTTGCAGTGAGCTGAGACCACGCCACTGCACTCCAGCCTAGGCAACAGAGTGAGACTCTATCTCACGAAAAAATTATTTTGTATATTAGCCACCTATATAACGATAATGTATATAAATAGATATTTCAAATAATATTCTTGGTAATTTTAGTGTTTCTGGCAACAGCTTGTGGCAGGAATAAAAGTGTTAGCCCTGCAGTTTTCTAATTGTTCCCTCGTACATGCATTATTAACACCTTCAATTCTTTGCTGGAATAGATTTTTTAGTCACCTACCCATTTTGTGAGGACTAGTTAGGTTAAAATCAGAGCCAGAATATGTAAATTCACTTAACAAGGCACCTGTGTTCTGCAATATATAGCAAACCAATGAGCAATGGTGCTGTTGCGTTGTCATTGTGTATCTTCTACTTGTCCCTTAGGCCCTTTTCACATTGTACATGACAGGTGATTGGCTGACAATCATAAGGGAAGTGTCAATATATGTTTTTAAAATATTTTAAACTAAAACTACATATAAAGAGAATGCATATATCCTAATACAGCATATTCTACTTGCACCCTAATGGATTGTCTGGTGTACTCTCTAGAGATTGTTTGCACCGGTATTTCGATAATTTCCTCATCATCAAGGCTACCCACAACATTTTGGAAAACTTGCATCACTTTAACTAAGTCATTTGTACATAACTTTTAAGCGGGGTAGTGGGAGGTCTGGTCATTCTCTTTTTGGAAAGCAAAGAAGCCTGTATTATCCAGTCTGCCCTATTTTCAGTTCTGGCTGAGAAAGAATGTAGACCTTCTTCTAAGTCTCAGTAGATAGATGAACTGACAGACAAATAGATAAATTAGATAATTCATAGGCAGAAATGTATCATTTTATTTGATTAACCTGATTTTTGTTTTGTTTGCCCTCAAGCTTTAGGAGAAAGAAATGAATCACAAGAAAAGCTAATAGTCAGAAGTTATTCATGAATCTAAATTCCTGGTTATGTCTGGTGGTCAGTACAGAATTTGACCCAATGCTTTCTATGTGTTTAGCCCTTCAACAGTGATTTCAAATGTTCCTATTCGTAATTCCTAAGGTACTACAAAAATATCACCTTTCCTTTATGAAAAGTTTATATAGAGAGGGGTTATATATGAGATACGTGTGTGTGTACATATATATATATTTATCATATATATGATAGTTAATTTTATGTGTTAACTTGGCTGGGTCATGCTGCTCAGATATGTGATCAAACATTATTCTGGATATTTCTGGATAGGGGAGTATGGATGAAAATAGCATTTAAATTAGTGGACTTTGAGTGCAGCAGCTTGCTCTCCATAATGTGAGTAGACATCATCCAATTACTTCAATAGAACAAAACAATAGTTTCCCCAGAGAAGGGAGAATTTTCCAGAAGATGGCCTTCAGTAGTGAACTGCACCATTAACTCTCCCCTGGTCTCCAGTCTGCTGGCCCAACCTGCAGATTTTGGATTTGCCAACCTCCATATTCATGTGAGCCAATTCCTCTATCTATCTATCTATCTATCTATCTATCTATCTATCTATCTATCATCTATCTATCTATCTATCTATCTACATATATATACATGCACATACACATCATGTTGCTTCTGTTTATATATAATTTGTATATAAACATACATATGAAATTTATAAGAAAAGGAAGTAGATGAGTTTAAAGAGAGGTTTACAGCAATGCATTGTCATAGAAAGGAATTTCTGGCCTAATAGAATTTGCCATTCTTTAATTATACTAAATAAAGATTCTCCTGTGCTTGCTCAGAATTCACCAGTGCTTACGAAATTCTGGTTTGGGGACACTCATTTAGGTTTTGAGTCCAACTGCTCGTTAGAATCCTGGTTCTGCCATTTTCTGGCACTGTGACCTTGGGTAAATGACTTCATTTCTCTCACCCCATTTTTCTCATCTACAAAATGAGGCCGTTTATACCTACCCTATGCCTAGGACAGTTGTGAGGACTGAATCAGCTAATTATGAGATGTTTTCAATAGTATCTGGCATGAAAAACATGAAAGTTCTTTAACTCTCTTCTTTAATTTTGAGTGAGCTTATTTGGTTTCTGTCCAGAGGATACTTGTTGTCTTTTTGCCACACTTAGTACTTTGATTCTTGAAAGGAAAAGTATCATAACCCCTTAGGTTGTGGCAAAAGAATTATCCAGAGATATATGGAAAAAATGGTTTTTATAGAGACAATAAATAACATCCTGAATTTGTATTAGGTGGCCAAAGAGGAAGATGACTCATGAATCATATGAAAATTCTTTCAGAAATGCAAATATTTCTCATCTACTGTTTTAAAGGTCTGGTATGTTCTCTTTTTCACCTCATAGAATTTAAATCTCCTGAGGGTCAAAGGGTTTCAAAGAGGAATTTGCATTAAAAAAAATTATTCCTGATATTTGATAGAATTTCTGCTTCTTTGGTAAGTGGGAGTAGAAGGGAGCTGGGAAATTCTTATTTCATACATTTCTGATGGAATCTTATTGACTGAGTAAGCAGGGGGAAATTTTTATGTAAAATACTTTTATAATCATCATGATAGGCACAAGTTAGGAGCAAAGTGTTATAGATTTATAAGAGGATTGGAAGGAGAGATTAATTCTATGTGGATTTTTTTTTTTTCATTCTGTCACCCAGGCTGGAGTGCAGTGGCGAGATCTTGGCTCACTGCAACCTCTGCCTCAGGGTTCAAGTGATTCTCCTGCCTCGTCCTCCTGAGTAACCGGGATTACAGAATTACAGGCCTGCGCCACCACACCTGGCTAATTTTTGTATTTTTAGTAGAGATGGGTTTCACCATGCTGTCCAGGCTGGTCTTGAACTCCTGACCTCAGGTGATCCACCCACCTTGGCCTCCCAAAGTGCTGGGATTACAGGCATGAGCCACAGTGCCCGGCCTCTAACATGGATTTTTAGAGTATTTTTTTTGAGAGAGTTTGGGGATTCATTCAGTCCTCACAACTGTCCTAGGCATAGGGTAGGTATAAATGGCCTCATTTTGTAGATGAGAAAAATGGGGTGAGAGAGATGAAGTCATTTACCCAAGGTCACAGTGCCAGAAAATGGCAGAACCAGGATTCTAACGAGCAGTTGGACTCAAAACCTAAATGAGTGTCCCCAAACCAGTATTTCATAAGCACTGGTGAATTCTGAGCAAGCACAGGAGAATCCTTATTTAGTATAATTAAAGAATGGCATATTCTATTAGGCCAGAAATTCCTTTCCATGACAATGCATTGCTGTAAACCTCTCTTTAAACTCATCTACTTCCTTTTCTTATAAATTTCATATGTATGTTTATATACAAATTATATATAAACAGAAGCAACATGATGTGTATGTGCATGTATATGTATGTAGATAGATAGATGATAGATAGATGATAGATAGATAGATAGATAGAGAGATAGATAAATAGATAGATAGAGGAATTGGCTCACATGAATATGGAGGTTGGAAAATCCAAAATCTGCAGGTTGGGCCAGCAGGCTGGAGATCAGGGGAGAGTTAATGGTGCAGTTCACTACTGAAGGCCTTCTCCTGGAAAATTCTCCCTTCTCTAGGGAAACTATTGTTCTGTTCTATTGAAGTAACTGGATGAGGTCTACTCACATTATGGAGAGCAAGCTGCTGCACTCAAAGTCCACTAATTTAAATGCTATTTTCATCCATACCCCCCTACCCAGAAATATCCAGAATAATGTTTGATCACATATCTGAGCAGTGTGACCTAGCCAAGTTAACACATAAAATTAACTATCATATATATATGATAAATATATATATATGTACACACACACATATCTCATAGAGTAGGTTTGTGTATCACTTTTTGTGTACACCATTTGTGTACACCCTTTTTTGTGTACACCATTTGTGTATCACTTATCTGTGACCTGGAAGCTGTCTCCCCGCTTCCAGTCTTCCTGCCTTTGCTTCAAGTTGTCCCGCCTTTCCAGACGGAACCAATGTACTTCTTACATATATTGATTAATGTTTCCTGTCTCCCTAAATGTATAAAAGCAAGCTGTGCCCTGACCATCTTGGGCACCTGTCATTAGGACTTCCTGAGGATGTGTTATAGGCTTGTCCTCAATCTTGGCAAAATCAACTTTCTAAATAAACTGAGACCTGTCTCAGATTTTCTGGGTTCACAACTTGTTAAAAAACAAACAAACAAACAAACAAAAAATGCTATATTCTTTTGGCTGATGGGTTAAAGAGAGGGGAAAGGGAATGGATATTTCTACTCAGTCACTCCTTGCCTTTCACTTGATGGACATCCTTTCTCTTAAATCTTAAGAACCTTCTGAGGTAGACATCATAACCTTCATTTTGGTGATGAAGCAACTGAGTGATATTGAAAGAAGTTGACCAGCTTGTCCAATGTCACTCTGCTAAGACACGTGGGAGCCAGTATGAAAACCAGATCTGTAGGTCTTCAAAGTCTGTTCTTTTAAAATAAACTGTGTAAATTTATATGCTCCAAGTGTGGGGTTTAAGACAGGAGAAAGATGATAAGTAAATGAAGATGGGGTAAATAAATCTTATATATTATTAACAAGGTGCCAAGAGTGAGCACATTAGCAACCTAGAATGAAGAAAAGGTAAAACACCACTTTCTTAGTCACAAAAATCAAACTAAAGTAAATTTATGAATTCCCCTCTCCTTCCCAGAGGGTTGTTTCAGGATGGGACAAAGAAATGTCATGAAGCTTAATCCAAAATATTACTTTGGTCTGGCCAGACAGACTGGGGAGAACTTTCTTGTTCACTGACCCTAGGACAGCTTCAGATAGCTATAGCAGAGGGCAAAAAAAGGAGGCTGAGAAGCTTGGTGAGTGTTTCCTGTTCTCTCAGGAAACACTGATTTCCCATCTGCCAGACTGTCGGCACTTTTCACTGACTGGCCTCACAAGGAAAGCTCCCAACATCACTTCCCATTTGGCTCTGCTGTGTTGAGTCCAGAGGGAACCTGTTTATGTCACCTTTCTCCCAGAACCACCCATGCCATAGTCAGGAATGACATGGGGAGAAGAGGAAGCCAGAGATGGGGCTGGTCTTCGACATGAGGGGTATATTGGTAAAGCCCTTTGGAGCATGTCCTGGAAGCGGGTAGGCAAATAAGTGAGACTGGGCCTAAAGAGCCTGAAACTGTTTGTTAGGAGAATTTGAAATCAAGTGTCCAAGTCCCTGGGTGGAGAGCAGAGAAAAATGTGTCCTCAGAGAAGAGAAACCATAGTGATGTAATCCGTGACAACCTGCAGTGGTGCAATCAGTGACAGCAGTTTGGCTTAGTCTCTGCTAGTCCTGTTGGCAGGACAGAAACATTTGCCCTGTGCTGTTTCCCAGTCTGTTCTAGAATTTATTCTGTCACAGCAAAATTGACAATAGTGACAGCACTGTCTGTCCCCTTCCCTTGCCCTATGTATACAGTTCTTTCTTCCTTCTTTCACTGCTTCCCTCCTTATTTTTCCTTTTTTATCCATGTATTCCATTTAACTGCTAACACCTATAGACACTGTATAGCTTTTTTGTTTGTTTGTTTTGAGACAGAGTCTTGCTCTGTCACCCAGGCTGGAGTGCAGTGGCGTGATCTCGGCTCACTGCAACCTCTGCCTTCTGGGTTCAAGTGATTCTCCTGCCTCAGCCCCCCGGGTAGCGAGGTCTATAGGAATGCACCACCACGCCTACTTTTTGCATTTTTATGGAGACAGGGTTTTGCCATGTTGACCAGGGTGGTCTCAAATTCTTGACCTCAAGTGATCCACCCGCCTTGGCCTCCCAAAGTGCTGGGATTAAAGGTGTTAGCCACCACACCCGGCCTCTGTATAGCCTTCTTGATGCCTTTAGAACAAAAAAAAAAATGTCTGATTGTCACCTATTTGAGGATACAGACCAAACCTACCACAAGAAGTACCACAATCAAATATATATACACACATATATATGCATTTACATATATTTCACAGAATTTTCTATTGGCTAGTGAAATTTATTGTGCTATAGGAGAGTCAAATCAGGAGCTTTTTATATGGGTGCCATGAGAAATTGAACTTAATCTAACCTTACTGAGGACTGTTGACAAATGTGACTAATTGTATGTGCTAGATAGTGTTGGACAACTGTAGGAAGTGCTGACAAAGACTTATGAAGAACAAAATGCCAGTAAGCCTGATCAAGAGGTGTGGAAAACAGGATGTCAGAGTAAGCTCAACATAGCTACTGATGCAAACTGAATAATTGCTTACCGTCTACTGAAAGTGCAATGATGAACTGTAGGTTATAAATAGATCTGAATATCCATCATAGCTTTGTAGCCATTTGCTGACTTCTTATAAGAATTCAGGTTTTTTTTGTGTTTTTTTTTTTTCAATAACAAGCTTAGCTAATTCTATGTTTTTGTTTTGTTTTGTTTTGTTTTGTTTGAGACGGAGTCTCGCTCTGTCGCCCAGGCTGGAGTGCAGTGGCGCGATCTCGGCTCACTGCAAGTTCCGCCTCCCAGGTTCACTCCATTCTCCTGCCTCAGCCTCCCGAGTAGCTGGGACTACAGGCGTCCGCCACCACGCCCAGCTAATTTTTTGTATTTTTAGTAGAGACGGGTTTCACCGTGTTAGCCAGGATGGTCTCGATCTCCTGACCTCGTGATCCGCCCGCCTCGACCTCTCAAAGTGCTGGGATTGCAGGCGTGAGCCACCGTGCCTGGCCAACAAATTCTATGTTTATTAGTTATGAATTTGCCTATTCCTTTGGGCTTTGATTTCTCCCTACCCAACCCACCCGCCCCCAGTGTTAAATAAATATCATTATGACTGCTGGTTTGGAAATGGGCTCAAATTCCCTGTTCTGCAACTAGCGGAAATATCAGATAAGTTTTAAGCTCTCTGAGTTTCAGTTTTCTCATTTGTAAAATCAGAATGATAATAGCTACCTTGCAAGATTGTTTTAAGGATTAGAGGTGTTTGTGTAAAACCTCTAGTATATATTTCTTAATACTCAGGTATTCCATAAATGAAAGGAACGCTGTTTATTATGTTAAGTCAACTACAGTTTTTGGTTTTTTAAGACAGAGTCTCACCCTGTTGCCCAGGCTAGAGTGCAATGATGTGATCATAGCTCATTGAAACCTCAAACTCCTGGGCTCAAACTATTCTCCTGTGCCTCAGCCTCCCAGATAGCTGGGACTGCAGGCATGAGTCACCATGCTAGCCTAATTTTATTTTTAGTAGAGACCAGGTCTCTCTATGTTGCTCAAGCTGGTAACTGCCGGACTCAAGTGATCCTCCTGCCTTGACCACCAAAATGCTAGGATTACAGGCATGAGCCACTGGGCCTGTCCAATTATAGGGTGTGTGGTTTGTTTTTCTCTTTGTTTCTTTCTTTTCTTTTTTTTTTCCTGTTGTTGTTGTTGTTGTTGTTGTGGTTTTTTGAAATGGAGTCTTACTCTGTAGACCAGGCTGAAATGCAGTGGCACGATACTGGCTTACTGCAACATCTGCCTCCCGGGTTCAAGCGATTCTCATGCCTCAGCCTCCTGAGTAGCTGGAATTACAGGCACCTGCCACGATGCACAGCTAATTTTTGTATTTTTTAGTAGAGACGGGGTTTCGCCATGTTGGTCCGGCTGGTCTTGGACTACTGACCTCAGGTGATCCACCCGCCTCGGACTCCCAAAGTGCTGGGATTACTGGCATGAGCCACTGTGCCCGACCTTTCTTTCTTTTTCTTTTTTTTTTTTTTTTTTTTGGTATGGAATATGTATCACCATTTAAAATGAAAGTTGAGGCCGGGCGTGGTGGCTCATGCCCACAAATAAATAAATAAATAAATATTTAAAAAAATACCTGGGCATGGTGGCACACACCTGTAATCTCAGCTACTCAGAAGGCTGAGGCAGGAGAATCGCTTGAAGGTGGAGGTTGCAGTGAGCCGAGATCACGCCACTGCACTCCAGCATGGGCAACAAGAGCCAAACTCTGTCTCAAAAATAAATAGCCAGGCGCGGTTGCTCACCCTGTAATCCCAGCACTTTGGGAGGCCGAGGTGGGCGGATCACGAGGTCAGGAGACTGAGACCATCCCGGCTAAAACAGTGAAACCCTGTCTCTACTAAAAATACAAAAAAATTAGCCGGGCATGATCTCACGCGCCTGTAGTCCCAGCTACTCGGGAGGCTGAGGGAGGAGAATCGCTGGATCTTGTGAGACGCAGGTTGCAATGAGCCCAGATCGTGCCACTGCACACCAGCCTGGCGACAAAGCAAGACTCCGTCTCAATACATAAATTAATAAAAATAAAAATAAATAAAAGTTCAAAAGACTTACTATGGAATAAATGCTTCTGGTACAATAAGTATAGATGGAGGTTACAAAATCTGATAGATTTTGGGGGCCCAAATATTGTCATATTTATATGTCTCATCTTGGAGGGGAGAGCCATCTTGCAAGTATGAAGGTACAGAGCCAATGTACCAAGGAGGGTGGGAGGAGGGTCCCACCTCCTAATGAAATTGCTGAACTGCTCTAATAAAATTAGAAATATTTTTCTCCATACTTCCTGGTTCCACACTTCTCCTGTTTATAAAGCTACTTTTAGCAGTGTATTGTTACTTGAAGCTGAGTGCACACTACCTGACGAAAAAATTTAGTCTTAAGACTGAATTTTTTAAAAATTAATTCTTAAATTTTTCTTGTTTTCCACTACATATTATAGGAAAAAAAAAGAAACTCCGTTATATATATTATATATATTTCCATATATATAATATATTTTATATATATTCCCATATATATAATATATTTTATATATATTCCCATATATATATTTCCATATATACAATATATATTATATATATTTCCACATATACAATATATATTATATATATTTCCATATATATTATATATATTTCCATATATTATATATATTTCCATGTATATATTATATATATTTCAATATATATATTATATATATTTCAATATATATATTATATATATTTCCATATATATAATATATATTATATATATTTCCATCTATAATATATATTTCCATATATAATATATATCATATATTTCCATATATATAATATATATCATATATTTCCATATATGTAATATGTATCATATATTTCCATATATATTTATTATATATATATTTCCATATATTATGTGTTATATATATTTCCACATATATAATATATAATATATATTTCCATATATAATATATATTACATATAATATATATTTTATATAATATATTATATATTTCCATACACATAATATATAATATATTTCCATATATAATATAATATATATTTCCATATATAATATAATATATATTTCCACATATAATATAATATATATTTCCTCATATAATATAATATATATTTCCATATATAATATATATTTCTATATATAATATAATATATATTTCCATATATAATACAATATATATTTCCATATATAATATATTATATATATTTCCATATATAATGCAATATATATTTCCATATATAATATATTATATATATTTCCATATATATTATATATCTGCCATATATGTATATATAGACATATATACATTTATGTACGTATATGTATATATACACATATATACACATATGTATATACAGATATACGCATATGTACATGTATGTATATACACACATATATACACATAGTACATGTATGCATATACACACATATATACACATAGGTACATATATGCATATACACACATATATACCCATATGTATATATACACACATACACATATGTACATATATGTATATATGCACGTATATACGCATATGTACATATACATATATTACCATACATATATGTATATATACATATAGTACATATATTATACGTATATGTATAATTTATTATATTATTATATTAATGAATTAATTAATTCATTCATTAATATATTAATATATTATTATATTATACATATACGTATAATATATGCATATGTATATATACATATATTACATATGTACATATGTACATATACACATGTATACGTATATATGTGTATATATACATATATTACATATGTAATATATGTATATATGTACATATATGTATACATGTGCACATATATATTACATATGTACCTATATGTATATATCTGTATGTATACATATATAGTGGACATATATGTGTATATACATACACATATATAGCGGATATATATGTATATATACATGTACATATATATAGCAGAGATATATACATACACATATATATTTATATTATACTTTAAGTTCTGGGATACTTGTGCAGAATGTGCAGGTTTATTTCATAGGTATACACATGCCATGGTGGTTTGCTGCACCCATGAACACGTCATCTACATTAGGTATGTCTCTGAATGCTATCCCTCCCCTAGACCCCTACCACCTGACAGGCCCTGTTGTGTGATGTTCCCCTCCCTGTGTCCATGTGTTCTCATTATTCAACTCCCACTTATGAGTGAGAACATGTAGTGTTTGGTTTTCTGTTCCTGTGTTAGTTTGCTGAGAATGATGATTTCCAGCTTCATCCATGTCCCTGTAAAGGACATGAACTCATCCTATTTTATGGCTGCATAGTATTCCACGGTGTATATATGCAACACTTTCTTCATCCAGTCTATCATTGATGGGCATTTGGGTTAGTTCCAAGTCTTTGCTATTGTGAATAGTGCTGCAGTAAACATACGTGTGCATATGTCTTTATAGTAGAATGATTTATAATCCTTTGGATATATACCTAGTAATAGGATTGCTAGGTCAAATGGTATTTCTGGTTCTAGATCTTTGAGGAATTGTCACACTGTATTGCACAATGATTGAACTAATTTACACTCCCACCAACAGTGTAAAAGCATTCCTATTTCTCCACATCCTTTCCAGCGTCTGTTGTTTTCTGACTTTTTAATGATCGCCATTCTAACTAGTGTGAGATGGTACCTCATTATGGTTTTGATTTGCATTTCTCTAATGACCAGTGATGATGAGCTTTTTTTCATATGTTTGTTGGCCACATAAATGTCTTCTTTTGAGAAGTTTCTCTTCATATCCTTTGCCCACTTTTTGATGGGGGTTGTTTGTTTTTTTTCTCGTAAATTTGTTTAAGTTCTTTGTAGATTCTTGATATTAGCCCTTTGTCAGATGGATAGATTGCAAAATTTTTTCTCCCATTCTGTAGGTTGCCTGTTCACTCTGATGATAGTTTCTTTTGCTGTGCAGAAGCTCTTTAGTTTAATTAGATCTCATTTGTCAATTTTGGCTTTCGTTGCCATTGCTTTTGGTGTTTTAGTCGTGAAGTCATTGCCCATGCCTATGTCCTGAATGGCATTTCCTAGGTTTTCTTCTAGGGTTTTTGTGGTTTGGGGTTTTACATTTAAAGTTTTAATCCATCTTGAGTTAATTTTTGTATAAGATGTGTGGAAAGTGCCCAGTTTCAGTTTTCTGCATATGGCTAGCCAGTTTCCCCAACACCATTTATTAAATAGGGAATCCTTTCCCCATTGCTTGTTTTTGTCAGGTTTGTCAAAGATCAGATGGTTGTAGATGTGTAATGTTATTTCTGAGGCCTCTGTTCTGTTCCATTGGTCTATATATCTGTTTTGGTACCAGTACCATGCTGTTTTGGTTACTGTAAACTTGTAGTATAGTTTGAAGTCAGGTAGCGTGATGCCTCCAGTTTTGTTCTTTTTGCTTAGGATTGTCTTGGCTATGCCAGCTCTTTTTTGGTTCCATATGAAGTTTAAAGTAGTTTTTTCCAATTCTGTGAAGAAAGTCAATGGTAGCTTGATGGAGATCACATTGAATCTATCAATTACTTCAGGCAGTATGGCCATTTTCATGATATTGATTCTTCCTATCCATGAGCATGGAATGTTTTTTCATTTGTTTGTGTCCTCTCTTATTTCCTTGAGCAGTGGTTTGTAGTTCTCCTTGAAGAGGTCCTTCACATCCCTTGTAAGTTGTATTACTAGGTATTTTATTCTCTTAGTAGCAATTGCGAATGGGAGTTCACTCATGATTTGGCTTTCTGTTTGTTATTGGTGTGTAGGATTGCTTGTGATTTTTCCACATTGATTTTGTATCCTGAAACTTTGCTGAAGTTGCTTATCAGGTTAAGGAGATTTTAGTTTGAGATGATGGGGTTTTCTAAATATAAAATCATGTCATCTGCAAACAGAGATAATTTGACTTCCTCTTTTCCTACTTAAATACCCTTCATTTCTTTCTCTTGCCTGATTGCCCTGGCCAGAACTTCCAATACTATGTTGAATAGGAGTGGTGAGAGAGGGCATCATTGTCTTGTGCCATTTTCAAAGGGAATGCTTCCAGTTTTTGCCCATTCAGTATGATATTGGCTGTGGGTTTGTCATAAATAGCTCTTCTTATTTTGAGATACATTCCATCAATACTTAGTTTATTGAGAGTTTTTAGCATGAAGGGGTGTTATATTTTGTCAAAGGCCTTTTCTGCATCTATTGAGATAATCCTGTATTTTTTGTCATTGGTTCTGTTTATGTGATGGATTACGTTTATTGATTTGCCTATGTTGAACCAGCCTTGCATCCCAGGGTTGAAGGCGACTTGATCATGGTAGATAAGCTTTTTGATGCGCTGCTGGATTCAGTTTGCCAGTATTTTATTGAGTATTTTCGCATGGATGTTCATCAGGGATATTGGCCTGAAATTTTCTTTTTTTGTTGTTTATTTGCCAGGTTTTGGTATCAGGAAGATGCTGGCCTCATAAAATGAGTTAGGGAGGAGTCCCTCTTTTTCTATTGTTTGGAATATTTTCAGAAGGAATTATACCAGCTCCTCTTTGTACCTCTGGTAGAATTCGGCTGTGAATCCGTCTGGTCCTGAGCTTTTTTTGGTTGATAGGCTATTATTTACTGCCTCAATTTCAGAACTTGTTACTGGTCTATTCAGGGATTCGACTTCTTGGTTTAGTCTTGGGAGGGTGTACGTGTCCAGGAATTTATACATTTCTTCTAAATTTTCTAGTTTATTTGTGTAGAGGTGTTTATAGTATTCTCGATGGTAGTTTGTATATCTGTGGGATCAGTGGTGATGTCCCCTTTATCATTTTTTTATTGTGCCTATTTGACTCTTCACTCTTTTCTTCTTTATTAGTCTGGCTAGTGGTCTATTTTGTTGATCTTTTCAAAAAACCAGCTTCTGGATTCATTGATTTTTTGAAGGGTTTTTCGTGTCTCTTATCTCCTTCAGTTCTGCTCTGACCTCAGTTATTTCTTGTCTTCTGCTAGCTTTTGAATTTGTTTGCTCTTGCTTCTCTAGTTATTTTAATTGTGATGTTAGGGTTTCCATTTTAAATCTTTCCTGCTTTCTCCTGTGGACATTTAGTGTTATAAATTTTCCTCTAAACCCTACTTTAGCTGTGTCTCAGAGATTCTGGTATATTGTGTCTTTGTTCTCATTGGTTTCAAAGAACTTATTTATTTCTGCTTTAATTTTGTTATTTACTCAGCAGTCATTGAGGGACAGGTTGTTTAATTTCCATGTACTTGTACGGTTTTGTGTGAGTTTCTTAATCCTGAGTTCTAATTTGATTGGACTGTGATCTGAAAGACTGTTTGTTATGATTTCTATTCTTTTGCATTTGCTGAGGAGTGTTTTACTTTCAATTATATGGCCAGTTTTACAATAAGTGTGATGTGGTGCTGAGAAGAATGTATATTCTGTTGATTTGGGGTGGAGAGTTCTGTAGATGTCTATTAGGTCTGCTTGGTCCAGAGCTGAGTTCAAGTCCTGAATATCCTTGTTAATTTTTTGTCTCATTGATCTGTCTAATACTGACAGTGGGGTGAAAGTCTCCCAGTATTATTGTGTGGAGTCTAAGTCTCTTTGTAGGGCTCTAAGAACTTCCTTTATGAATCTGCATGCTCCTGTATCGGGTGCATATATATTTAGGATAGTTAGCTCTTCTTGTTGCATTGATTCCTTTACCATTAATGCCCTTCTTTGTCTTTTTCGATACTTGTTGCTTTAAAGTCTGTTTTATCAGAGATTAGGATTGCAACTCCTGCTTTTTTTTTGCTTTCCATTTGCTTGGTAAATGTTTACCATCTCTTTGCGTTGGTATGTGTGTCTTTGCACGTGAGATGGGTCTCCTGAATATAGCACACCAATGGGCCTTGACTCTATCCAATTTTCCAGTCTGTGTTTTTTAACTGGGGCATTTAGCTCATTTACATTTAAGGTTAATATTGTTATGTGTAAATTTGATCCTGTCATTATAATCCTAGCTCCTTATTTTGCCCATTACTTGATGCAGTTTCTTCCTAGTGTCGATGGTCTTTACAATTTGATATGTTTTTGCAGTGGCTGGTACTGGTTTTTCCTTTCCATATTTAGTGCTTCCTTCAGGAGCTCTTGCAAGGTAGGCCTGGTGGTGACAAAATCTCTCACCATTTGCTTGTCTGTAAAGGATTTTATTTCTCCTTTGCTTATGAAGCTTAGTTTGGCTGGATATGAAATTCTGTGTTGAAAATTCTTCTCTTTAAGAATGTTGAATATTGGCCCCCACTCTCTTCTGGCTTGTAGGGTTTCTGCAGAGAGATCTGCTGTTAGTCTGATGGGCTTCCCTCTGTGGGTAACCTGATCTTTCTCTCTGGCTGCTATTAACATTTTTTCCTTCATTTCAACCTTGGTGAATATGAAGATTATGTGTCTTGGGGTTACTCTTCTCGAGGAGTATCTTTGTGGTGTTCTCTGTATTTCCTGAATTTGAATGTTGGCCTGTCTTGCTAGGTTGGGGAAGTTCTCCTGGATAATATCCTGAAGAGTGTTTTCCAACTTGATTCCATTCTCCCCGTCAGTTTCAGGCACACCAGTAAAACGTAGGTTTGGTCTTTTCACATAGTCCCATATATCTTGTAGGTTTTGGTTGTTGCTTTTCATTCTTTTTTCTCTAATCTTGTCTTCACACTTCATCTCATTAAGTTGATCTTCAATCTCTGACATCTTTTCTTCTGCTTGATCCATTCAGCTATTGATACTTGTGTATGCTTCACGAAGTTCTTGTGCTATGTTTTTCAGCTCCATCAGGTCATTTATGTTCTTCTCTAAATTAGTTATTCTAGTTAGCAATTCCTCCAACCTTTTTTCAAGGTTCTTAGCTTCCTTGCATTGTGTTAGAACATGCTCCTTTAGCTTGGAGGAGTTTGTCATTACTCACCTTCTGAAGCCTACTTCTGTCAATTCTTCAAATTCATTCTCCGTCCAGTTTTGTTCCCTTGCTGGCGAGGAGTTGTGATCTTTTGGAAGAGAAGAGGCAGTCTAGTTTTTGGAATTTTCAGCCGTTTTACACTGGTTTTGTCTCATCTTTGTGGATTTATCTACCTTTGGTCTTTGATGTTGGTGACCTTCGGATGGGGTTTTTGTGTGGACGTTCTTTTTGTTGATGTTGATGCTATTCCTTTCTGTTTGCTAGTTTTCTTTCTACAGGCCCCTCTGCTGCAGGTCTGCTGGAGTTTGCTGGAGGTCCACTACAGACCCTGTTTTCCTGGGTATCACCAGCAGAGGCTGCAGAACGGCAAAGATTGCTGCCTGTTCCTTCCTCTGGAAGCTTCGTCCAAGAGGGGCACCCACCAGATGCCAGCCAGAGCTCTCCTGTATGAGGTGTCTGTCGACCCCTGCTGGGAGGTATCTCCCAGTCAGGAGGCAAGGAGGTCAGGGGCTGACTTGAGGAGGCAGTCTGTCCCTTTTCAGAGCTCGAACGTTGTGCTGGGAGATCTGTTGCTCTCTTCAGAGCTGGCTGGCAAGAAAGTTTAAGCCTGCTGAAGCTGTGCCCACAGCCGCCCCTTCCCCCAGGTGCTCTGTGCCAGGGAGATGGGAGTTTTATCTATAAGCCCCTGACTGGGGCTGCTGCCTTTCTTTCAGAGGTGCCCTGTCCAGATAAGAGGAATCTAGAGAGACAGTCTGGCTACAGTGGCTTTGCCAAGCTGTGGTGTGTTCCACCCAGTTCGAACTTCCCGGTGGCTTTGTTTACACTGTGAGGGGAAAACTGCCTACTTAAGCCTCAGTAATGGTGGACGCCCCTCCCCTCACCAAGCTTGAGCATCCCAGGTCGACTTTAGACTGCTGTGCTGAGAGCAAGTATTTCAAGCCGGTGGATCTCAGCTTGCTGGGCTCCATGGGGGTGGGATCTGCTGACCTAGACCACTTGGCTCCCTGGCTTCAGCTCACCTTTCAGGTGAGTGAAAGGTGCTATCTTGCTGGCATTCCAGATGCCACTAGAGTACACACACACACACACACACACACACACACACACAAAACAAAACAAAACAAAACGAAAAAAAAAAAAAAAACAAACTCTTGATAACTGCCCAAATGGCCGCCCAGTTTTGTGCTTGAAACCCAAGGCCCTGGTGGTGTAGGCACCCAAGGGAATCTCCTGGTCTGCAGGTTGAGAAGACTGTGGGAAAAGCATAGTATTCAGGCTGGAATGCACCATTCCTCATGGCATGGTCCCTCACAGCTTCCGTTGGCTAGGGAAGGGAGTTCGCTGACCCCTTGCACTTCCTGGGTGAGGCAACGCCCCACCCTGCTTTGGCTCACCCTCTGCGGGGTGCACCCACAGTCTAACCAGTCCCAGTGAGATGAGCCGCATACCTCAGTTGGAAATGCAGAAATCTCCCACCTTTTGCGTTGATCTTGCTGGGAGCTGCAGACTGGAGCTGTTCCTATTCGGCTGTCTTGTCAGCTACACCAACTCTGCTATATATATATATATATATATATATATATATATATATATATACACACACACACACACATATATATATACACACACACACATATATATATACACATATATATACACACACACACATATATATACGTATATATATGTGTGTGTGTATATATATATATGTGTGTGTGTGTATATATATATATATATGTATTTTTTTTTTTTTTTTGAGATGGAGTTTCGTTCTTATTGCCCAGGCTGGAGTGTAATGGTGTGATCTCGGCTCACTGCAACCTTTGTCTCCCAGGTTCAAATGATTCTCCTGCCTCAGCCTCCCGAGTAGCTGGGATTACAGGCGTGCACCACCATGACCAGCTAATTTGGCATGCTTAGTAGAGACAGGGTTTCTCCGTGTTGGTCAGGCTGGTCTCGAACTCCCGACCTCAGGTGATCCGCCCGCCTCAGCCTCCCAAAGTGCTGGGAGTACAGGCATGAGTCACTGTGCCCAGCAACTCCGCTGTATTTTAAAGAGGAGATTAATCACCTTTTTTATGGCCCTACTCATGATTAGTACTTTAGTCATAATGGGAATTTCTGTAAGATGAATGATACAGTTAGTGATTAATCTGAATAAATTATATGCAATTAGACATTGAAAACATCTACTGAACTTATGTGAGGAGTCAATATGTAGATATGGGTCAATTTATTGCTGTAGGTGAGAACCTGACCTCTTGGTGACTCATTAGTTGTACTGTGAGGATAATGTCAACTAGTTTTTAGCTATGTTTAGATGTTAGTGGCATATGGGGTTAATACTTTTTATTACTTTAATAAGATCTTTGAAAGACAGCAGAGTTTTTTTTTCTTTTCTTATAATGTGTAGTAGTTTTTAGTTGTAACTCTAGAAACAACTAAATTGCTAGTCAAGTTAAAATTAATGTTCCTTTTACCTAACTTTTAAACAAAAGTGAATTATCTCTGGAAGATAATATTATCTAGAATGTTAAAATATCTGTAAAATTTATCATATAGGCTGTCAAGTTGTCAATAAAAAATTACTAGGCATATCAGGAGATGAGACCACAGAACTCAAAATCAACAGTACAAATAGGTTATAAAAATATACCCACTGAAGATTCAAATATTGAAATCGTTGTACATGGACTTTAAAATAACTGATGTTAATATGTTCCAGAAATCAGATGACAAGATGGAGAATCTCAGCATACAACTAAAAAAATCTAAAAATTCTTCAAATGATAATTCTGGAACTGAAAAAATCTATAATAACTAAAATTAAAAAGTTAATAAAAGCAAATTAGAAGCAGTCAATGAAAGCATTAGTAAATTGGAATATAGATGGAAGAAAATATTCAGTACAAAGCACACAGAGAAAATAGAAAGAAAAATATAAAAAATAATTTAAAAGCGATAAAATATGGGAAATAGTGAAAATATTTAATATATATGCAATTGAAATCCTAAAATCAGAAGAAAGGGGAGGAGGAGAAGGGGGATGATGAGGAGAAGAAAGTAATGAACAAGTGATGTATGAAACAGAGACAAAATTTGAAGAACAAAATGGCAGAATTTTACAAAACCTCAAGGCATAAATTCAGGAAGTCATAAATCCCATGCAAATTCAATACAGAGAAAACAACATATAAGTGTATCATACCAAAACTGCTAAAAATCAAAGGTAAAGAGGAAATGTTAATACAAACTGGAGGAAAAATGAGTATAATCTTCAAAAGCAGCAAGAAGACTGACACTTGAATTCTTAACAAAAGAAAGTAAGCCATAAGCATCATAATAAGTAAGTAAGCCATAAAACATAAAAGAAAGTACGCCATAAACATCTATTAATATAAGGTCAAAGCTAAAAGAAAATAACTGTACTAGGATTCTACACCTGTTAGAAATATTTTTCTAAAGTAAAGGTGAAATGAAGATTTTTGAGATTAAAAAAACATAATTATTTATTAATAGATTCACACAAAAAAATACTAATGGGAGTTCTTTAGTCAGAAGGTACATGGTTCCATATAAAAATTACAAAGCAATAGGATGAAATAAAGGACAACAGAAAGGATAAGTACATGAGTAAATCTAAAAATATGAAATATATAAACAATAATAATATGTGGGTTTAAAATATATGCAGGAGCAAAATCCACAACAACAATAGCACAAAAGTCACAAAAGATAGAAGGATAAATGGTCTTAATGTGCTTCATGAATGTTGCATTTTTTTGGAAGTAATATAAAAGTACTACTTTATATCAGATTTTAACAGGTTAGAATGCACATAGTAATCTCTAGAGTAACAACTAAGAGAACAGTAAAAAAAATGTGTAATAAGCTGAAAGAGTTGAAAAATAAAATAATAAAGTGTCTAATTAATTCAAAAGGCTATAAGAGAGGAAGAAGGAACAAAGGAAGAGAAAGAGCAAGAGAAAAACACATAGAGAATCAACACTAAATTTAAACCCCTAAATATCAGAAACTATATCAAATTTTATCAGAGTAAATATTCTAATTAAAAAACAATCATTTTCAGACCTGATAATAACAGTACTATATGCTACTTATAAGAGACACATTTTAAATATAAGAATGCACAAAAGGCCAGGCTCGGGCCTGTAATCCTAGTGTTTTGGGACACCAAGGCCAGCAGATTGCTTGAGCCCAGGAGTTCAAGAACAGCCTGGACAATGTGGCAAAATCTTGTTTCTACAGAAAATACAAAAAATCAGCCAGGCATGGTGGTGCATGCCTGTAGTCCGATCTACTTTGGAGGCTGAGGTAGGAGAATTAACTCAGCCCAAGAGGTCAAGGCTGCAGTTAGCAGTGATAGCACCACTGCCTTCTAATCTGGGTGACAGAGTGAGATCCCGTCTCAAAAAAAAAAAAAGCACAAAGATTAAAAGTAAAAGGATGGAAACATACAGCCATACAGACACTAAATAAAACAGCGCTGATACACTAATATCAGATAATGTAGGTAAAAACATTTACTTAGAGATAAAGGACACTACAAATGATAAAAAATTAATCCACCAGAAGATACAATGTTCTAAATGACAGAATATTAACCAAATAGCCTTCAAAATATTTAAAGCAAAACCATACTAAACTAAAAAAACCAATGAAGCACATCCACAATCATGGTAGAAAATCTTAACACAAATCTCTCAATAACCGATGAAGCAATAAAAAAAGTAGACATTCAGAACATTTGAACAGCATTGTAACCCGTAGCTATGGAACATACATTCTTTTCACATGTACATAGAACATTTATCAAAATTGATAATATGATAGGCCACAAATGAAGTTTTAACAAATTCTAACAAATTTAAATTATGCAGAAGATATTCTCTGATCACAATTCAAAAAAAAAAACAGTAACCAAAAGATAATTAGGGTTTAAAAAAGCCTCAACCCATACCTCACTTCATAGACAAAGATTAACTCAAAATGGACTATACACCTAAATGTAAAAGGAAAATTTAGAAAATTTTTATAGAAAATACAGGACCTTTGTTACCTTTGGTAGGCTAAGGTCCCTTATATGATACACAAAATACACTAGGTATAAAAAAGAAAAATTATAAACTGGACTTCATTAAAATAAAAAAAATCTAGTCTTCAAAAGACATCATTAAGAAAATAGGAGAAGATAATATAAAAAAATATTTGCAACTGAATAAGAGGACAAACAACCTGAGTTTAAAATACGTGCACATGATTTGAATAGACATTTCACAAAAGAATATATAGAAATGACCGAGTACATGCAAAATGCTCATCATCATTAGTCATCACAAGAAATATAAATTAAAAACAATTATATACCACTGCAAAACAATTAGAATGATTAAAATTAAAAGGGTTGACAATACCAAGTATTAGGATGTAAAGCAGCTGGAACTCTCATGTAGTGGGAATAAAAAATGGTACAATCAATTTGGAAAAGAGTTTCATAATTACTAAGTAATTAGTAAACACCATCTCACCCAGGGATTTCACGTTAACCAAGAGAAATGGAAGTGTATGTGCACAGAAAGAAATATACTAATATATATTCACAAATGCTCATGTGAGCTTTATTCAAAAAGCCCCAACCAGACAAATCCAAATACTTATCAACAGGTGAATGAATTAATAAATTGTGGCATATACATACAATGGAATATTTCTCAGCCATAAATGCTAACAAACTGCTGATACCCACAACAAAAATAGATGAATCTCAAAAACATATATTGACAAAATAATTCAGATAACAAAAGATAACATTCTGTATTATTCCATTTATATGAAATTCTAAAGTAAGCAAATCTTAATCTGTAGTGACAGAAACAACAATTGTGTTTGCCTGGGGTCAGAGGTATGGGAATTGACTGCAAAAGGTCATGAGGGAACATTTTAGGGTAGATGGCAAAGTACAGTATCTTGGATTTGTTGGTGGCTAAATAGGCACATACATTTGTCTTATATACTTAAAATCAGTACACTTATGTTAAATTATGTCTCAATAAAGCTGAATTAGAAAAGAGAATTAAAAGAAACAAAGTAGAAAATTTCCAAATGCTTGAAAATTAAGCAATATAATTCTAAATAGTGCATGTATCAAAATAATCACAATAAAATATAGAAATATTTAAACTGAATTAGGGTGAAAATACAGACTATTGAAACTTAATTGGATGAAAACGCATGCTTAAAAGAACAATTTATAGCTTTAAGTGAAAATATTTAAAATGTCCATTGTAAGTTTTGGGTTTCTTTTTAAGAATATCTATAGATTATCTAAATGTCCAGCTCAAGAGGTTAAAAAAAGAACTGTAAATTAAACCCATTGAAACTAGAAAGAAGAAAATAACCAAGATAAAAGTAGAAATTAATGAAATACAAATCAATTTTATTATAGAGAAGATGAATATACTCAAAGTTTGGTTCTTTGGAAGGAGTAAAAACATTGATAAATTCCTGGAAAAATTAATCTAGAAAAGAGTAATAAGTCATAAATTATATCAACAATGAAAAAAAACCTACTAATTCAATGAATATTAGAAACATCATAAGAGGATGTTTTAAATAACATTATGCTAATAAATTTGGAAACTTGAATGAAATAGAAAGATTTTCAAAAAAAATCAAAATTGACCAAAATGTATACAACACCAAACAAAAAGTATAAACAATCCTATGTCAATGTAGAATCTGTAATTAAAATTATAAAAATAAAATTCTAGGACCACACACTTCAATGGGAAATTCTTCCAAATAACTTTAGGAAGAAACAGGACCATTAAAGAGAGTAGAGAAAGAGGTGACTCTTCCCAACTCATTTTATGAGACAAACACAACTTTAATATTAAATTGGAGAAAGATTTAACAAGAAAATGACGTTATAGGCTAGTCATTGATGGAATAATCCTAAATAAAATGTTTTATATATATATATGTTTTGTCACATATATATATATGACAATACATCATGAACAGGTATAGATGTATTCCAGGAGCTCAAGGTTAGTTTGGCATTAAAGAAAAATCTCCCAATGGATTTCACTACATTAAAAGAGAAGAGAAGATAAATAATATAATCATTTAATAGAAACAAAAAAACATGAGATAAAATTTCAATGTTTTTTCTTCTTTGACAAACTTGACAAATACAAGCAATGGGGAAAGGATTTTCTATTCAATAAATGATCCTGGGATAACTGGCTAGCCATATGCATAAAATTGAAACTTGACCCCTTCCTTACACCATATACAAAAACTAACTCAAGATGAATTAAAGACTTAAATGTAAAAACCAAAACTGTAAAAACCCTGAGAGACAACTTAGGCAATACCATTCTGAACATAGGCACGGGCAAAGATTTCATGCTGAAGATATCCAAAGGAATTGCAACAAAAGCAAAAACTGACAAAGAGGATCTAATTAAACTAAAGAGCTTTACTCAACAAAAGAAACAATCAACAGAGCAAACAGATGACCTATATAATGGGAGAAAATTTTGCAATCTATGGATCTGATAAAGGCCTAATAAGGAACTTAAACAAAATTTACAAGAAAAAAACAAACATCCCTATTAAAAAGTAGGTAAAGGACATGAACAGACACTTCTCAACAGAAGACATACATGTGGCCAACAAGCACACGAAAAAAAGCTTAACACTGATCATTAGAGAATGCAAATCAAAACCACAATTAGATACCATCTCACACCAGTCAGAATGGCTATTAATAAAAAACAAAAACAGATGCTGGTAAGGTTGTGGAGAAAAAGTTACGCTTATACACTGTTGGTGGGAGTGTAAATTAGTTCAACCATTGTGGAAGACAGTATGGCAACTCCTCAAAGACCTAAAGTTAGAGATACAATTTGACCCAGCAATCCCATTACTGGGTATATAACCGAGGAATATAAATCATTCTATTATAAAGACACAAGTATGTGTATGTTCATTGCAGCACTATTTACAATATCAAAGACATGGAAGCAACTTAAATGTCCATCAACGATAGACTGGATAAAGAAAATGTGGTACATACACACCATGGAATACTATGCAGACATAAAAAGGAATGAGATCATGTCCTTTGCAGGGACATGGATGGAGCTGAAGGCCATTATCCATAGCAAACTAACACAGGAACAGAAAACCGAATACCATATGTTCTTACTTAAAAGTGGGACCTAAATGATGAGAACTCACAAACACAAAGAGGCGAACAACACATACTTGGGCCTATTAGAGGATAGAGGCTGGGAGGAGGGAGACAATCAGGAAAAATAACTAATGGATACTAGGTTTAATACCAGGGTGATGAAGTAATCAGTACTACAAATCCCCATGGAACAGGTTTACCTATGTAACAAACCTGCACATCCTGCACATGTACCCAAGAACTTAAAATAAAAGTTTAAAAAGTCAATGTTTATCCATTATAAAAATTCTTACAAAATTAGGGATAAAAAAGGACTATCCGATAAAGATGCCTTAAAAAAACTTACCACAAACATCATGCTTAATGGTGAAATATTGAAATATCTCCCCCAATTTCACGAATAAAATAAGAATGCCTGCTACCATCATTTCTGTTAAACATTATTCTGGAGGAACCAGCTTGTGCAATAAATCAAGAAAAAAAGTTGTAAGCATTGGAATGGAAGAAATAAATAATTGTTAGTGTGTACAAAAAACCCAAAAGGATCTATAGGTGAACTATTAAAATTAATAAGTGAATCTGTAAGATTACTGAATACTTGCCAATATACATAAATCTATATTTCTTAATACTAAAGTCTTGAGAAATTAACATTTTCAATAGCATCAAAACAGCAAAATCTAGATATAATGTAATGAAATGTGTAGGTTCTCTACACAAACCATAAAGCATTATTGAGGCCGGTTGTGGTGGCTGACACCTGTAATCCCAGCAGTTTGGGAGGCCAAGGCTGGTGGATCACTTGGGGCCAAGAGTTCGAGAACAGCCTGACCAACATGGTGAAACCCCAACTCTACTAAAAATTAAAAAATTAGCTGGATGTGGTGACAGGCACCTGTAATCCCAGCTACTTGGGAGGCTGAGGCAGGACAACAGCTTGAACTCAGGAGGTGGAGGTTGCAGTGTGCCAAGATCATGCCACTGCACTCCAGCCTGGGTGACAGAGTGAGATTCTGTAAAAAACAAAAACAAAAACAAACAAACAAACAAACAAAAAAACCAAAAAAAGTTATTGAGCATAATTAAAGAAGATATACATAGAAACATAGAAGAAAACCCATGTTTATGGATTAGAAGACTCAACATTTTCAATATGTCAAATACATCCTAAATAGCTCTATACATCTATAGATCTAATGCAATTTCAATGAAAGCCCAAGCAGTTTTTGTGAAAAAATTGACAAGCTAATACTAAAATGTGTATAGCAATGGAAGAGACAAGAAGAGCCAAGGTAATCTTGAAGAAAAATAAAAGAGTTGTAGAAGTTATAGTACTAAATATGAATACTTACCCTAATGTTACAATAGTTAAGAATAAGCAATTGACTACTGGAATGAAATAGAGAATCTGAACAGACTCATACATACAGAACTGAATTAGTGAGAAAGGTGGCTCTGCAAAGAAGTGAGGAAACAATATTCTTTACAAATAGAAGGTGCTACGTCTATTGGATCTCCATATGGAGAAAGAAAGTGAATCCTGGCCCCTTTTTAACACCATGTTAAAAAATCAGTTCCAGGTGGATTTATACCAAATATAAGGGTTAAAATGCAAAGCTTTTAAAAGAAAGCACATGAGAATATTATCACGATCTTGGGGTAAGAATGATTTCTTAAGCATGGTGAAAGCACCAATAAACAAAAACAAGATAGACAAATTGGGCCATGTTAGACTTGGAAACTTTCTTTTCAATCAGAAGACATTTTTCGTATAGTTACTAGGCAAACCACAGAGTAAGAAGGGTTATATATAAAGAAATCCTTAAAAAAAAAAGCCACAGATAACAAAGTAAAAAAAATGCTCAAAAGACATTTGAGCAGACACTTCACAAAAGAAGATAGCTAAATGTAAATCAAACCCCAGTGAAACAGTAATCTATCTGTCTCTAGCAGAATGGCTAAAACTTAAAATTATAAATACCAAGTGCAGAGCTGTGGAACAAAAGGAACTCATATACTTGTTTGAGAGAGAAAACTGGCACAGCAATTTGGAAAACTATGGCAGGGTATACTAAAGCTGTACCTGCACATAACACGTGATCCAGCAATTTGGCTCCTATTCATATTCCCAGCAGAAATGCATACACATACATACAAATTGTCACACAGTACTATGTATAATAGCTCAAGTCTGGAAACAACATGAACGCTCACCAACGTAAGAAAGGATAAATATAATATGGCACATTCAAACAATGGAAAATCTCTTGAAAAATGAACATGAACAAATTCCTGTTTAGTGCAAAATCAGAGCAAATTTTACCAACATAATGGTAAGTGAAAAAAGCCAGATACAGAATGATATAGACTATATGATTCATTATGTATTAAATTTTAAAATCAGGCATAACTAAATGATAGAAGTCAGGAGATTGTTTACATTAGGGGATGAGGTAGAGGAGGTAATGATCAGAACGGACACAGGAGGTTCTTCCCTGACATTGGGATGTCCTAGTTCTTGATATTACGGTGATTATTAGGATATGTTCTTTCTGTGATAATTCATCAAATTCTATGCTTATGATAGTCTTTTCTGTATATATATCAATAAGGTTTGTTAAAAAGGGAGATCAAAAGAAACCATTGTGGCTATAACAGAGAATAAAATGAGTATTTCTTGAAGCCTATGTCCCTTTAAGTATGTATTTGTTTTCTTCTTCACTATCACCTCATGAAAAATATACTTAATTTTTTTATTTTACAGTTGAAAATACCAAGCCTTAGAGAGAGTAAACAACTTGTCCAAGGTGGCAAAGGTTGTTTTTTGTCTCCAAAACTTCTGTTTTCTGCACCGTATGTATATAGTTTTAGTTTGCTTCAGAGTTCACACATTGTCTTTTCAGACAATAACTATTTTAATAATCTAGATGGTTGAATCTAATCACATAAACTCCAAAGAAAAATAATTAATTTTATATAAATCTGTCTTTGCTTTCCAGATAATCCCTTGAGAATGCAACTTCTCAAAATAATAGGGAAGCCAAGGGTACTTCTCAGCAAGCGTAGGAATCCTTGCTATGAGTTGAATGAAGCTGAAATGGGAGAGTAACCAACGTGATTTATTCCAGGCACTCAAAGTAAAGAAAATGTAACATTATTTTATTTTCCAAATAAAATCAATCTGACCTCCCTTCCCCAACAACACCCATCAAAGGTGAAAGAAAATCTAATTTTTATGTGGTAGAAAATCTTAATTTTAACTGACAATTCTACAGGAATCCTAGGGCCTTTGGTAATTTAAGGACGAACTGCTGATCTTGACCCTATGTTTGTCACGTGAAAATGTTCATTTTTCCAAACTGAACAATGCATTCTACACTAAGCTTTACGATCAGGAACCACTGCCTGTTCTCACATAGGGGATGCCCGCATAGCTGCACCACATTGAGGTTGTGCAAAAAGATTTCCACCACTCCCCTTCCTCAAGTCCAGGCCACTCCTTTCCCTCTCAACCCTTGGAACCCTGACCTTTTCAAACAACCCACCTCCTAGATGCCATTCTAGTTTTTTGTTGTTGTTGTTGATTTTTTGTGTATTTATTTATTGAGACAGGGTCTCATTCTGTTTGTTGCCCAGGCTGGAGTGCAGTGGCACAATTTTGGCTCACTGCAACCTTGACCTGCTGAGCTCAGGTTATCCTCCCACCTCAGCCTCCCAAGGAGCTGGGACTACAGGCGTGCACCACCACACTCAGCTTTTTTTTTTTTTTTTTTTGTATTTTTTGAAGAGATGGGGGTTTCCCATGTTTCCCAGGCTGGTCTCAAACTCCTGGGCTCAAACAATCCACCCACGTCAGTTTTCCAAAGTGCTAGGATTACGGGTGTGAGCCACTGTGCCTGGCCCATTCTAGGTTTTTGAAAACAAAGCCCTCAACTTTTTTCTTTTTTTTGGCAAAAGTGAAACTCAGCCTCTCAATGGTCAAAACCTTGCCAAACCTCTTTAGAGCAGGAAAAAAATAATGTTTGAGTTCACATCTAAGAAGAAAACACACACACTCACACACATACTTATGCACATATAGTTACAGGAATTCTGTCGAAAGAACCTGAGGGGTTTATAACCAAAATACTTTGGGAAAATCTCAAAAATGTTTGGGGTATAGTTTAAGCAGATGTGTATGTGTGCAGGTGTGGAAATGTCCAGCAAGTAGGTTGGTGAGGTTCCTGCCAAGACAGTAGGGAAGTTTAACTTGATTCTGTAATCACAGCTGGTGTGGCTGGGTTATTCCCCCAAGGAACAAGACCATCTTTTGAAGTTTTCCAAAAGTTATGAATGGGAAAAAGCAGAACCATATACTTGGGATGAGGATGGCACTTTGGTGAGACAGGTCATCAGTGCTAGAGGAAGATGAGTGGCGGTGGCACTGTTGATGCAGGACAGCTCTGTGGACACGCACAGACAACCAAGGAGGAGGTGTGTGGGGCATTCCCTCTGTTCTGCAATGGTGTTCGCCACAGTGAGAGTCCCAGGAAAAGGGAGGGGTGCAGAAATAATTCTTTAATTGTAACTCATGCCTCTATTTGGTTTTCTCATGGTTGGTGCGGTCTGGGAAACAAAGCTCCAGTGTATGTGGCTCTGTGCTAATTAATCAGGGATTTATCATCATAGTAGTTACTCCAGGGAATGAGCCTCACCAACATTCCAGCTATTGTGCTAAGTGCTTAATATTTACCAGGTCAATTACCACCCTGCAAAAAAGTGACATTAGCCCTATTTTATAGACGAGGTAACTGGGGCAAGTAAGCCTCAGAGTACATAACAAATAGCAGAGCTTGAGTTCAAATCCAAGTGTAAATCCAAAGCCTGTGTGTTTATCATCATTCCACATTTTTTCTTAAGATAAAACCAACTATATCATGTTGCTTCTTTCTTCCTAACAAAGCAGAATGTATGAGAGACTGTAGGCTCTAGAAGTGACATTAGACATAGTGCATTTAAACTTGCTGGGACCAGTTGGGACAGAATACAAACCTTATGTGAGCTGGGAAATAAAGAGGAAATTTACTGCCAGTAATGGACTCAGATTTAAAAAAAAATCTTGTTGGACTGGCTTGATATCTATTTGGATGTTAGATCCAAACATAGTATTTGGAATTATGTTCACTACATGGACACAGTAGCAATAATTTTTCAGTAGAGCTTAAACAAATTCAAATATGAGTCCTATTTGTACCAGGCAATTAGATCTACTGATCTCTTGCCTCATCTTAAAAGTTGGGGGCCGGGTACGGTGGCTCATGCCTGTAATCCCAGCACTTTGGGAGGCCGAGGCAGCGGATCACAAGGTCAGGAATTTGAGACCAGCCTGAACAACATGGTGAAACCCCGTCTCTACTAAAAAAATAAAAAATTAGCCAGGCGTAGTGATGCGTGCCTGTAATCCCAGCTACTCAGGAGGCTGAGGCAGGAGAATTGCTTGAACCTGGGAGGCAGAGGTTGCAATGAGCCAAGATCCCACCACTGCACTCCAGCATCAGCAACAGAAAGAGACTCTGTCTCAAAAAAAAAAAAAAAAAAAAAAAAGAAAGAAAAAAGAAAAGTTGGCTGGGTGCGGTGGCTCATGCCTGTAATCCTAGCACTCCAGCACTTTGGGTGGATCATTTGCAGTCAGGGGTTGGAGACCATCCTGGCCAACATGGTGAAACCCCATTTCTACTAAAAATACACAAATTAGCCGGGTGGTAGTGGTGTGCACCTGTAATCCCAGCTACTCAGGAGGCTGAGGCAGGAGAATCACTTGAGCCTGGGAGGCAGAGGTTGCGATGAGCCAAGATCGCACCAACACACTCCTGTCTGGGTGAGAGAGTGAGACCCTGTCTCACCAAAAAAAAAAAAAAAGTTTAAGTCATTTTTAAAAATAAGCAGTCTATATATGTACTTAAAACCATTCAATAGTACACTTTAAACAGATGAATTTTATGACATGTAAATTATATCTCACTAAGCTGTTAAAATAAACAAATGCTTTCATATTAAAGAATTATTTATATCTCTACATGGCTTTTTCAGTTGTATACATGCATGCATTGGCTTTGCCTAGTCATAATCACTTTACCCTTGTTTGTACTTAAGATAGTTTTGCATTCACTTTTCTACAATCTTGTATTTGTGTTGTTAGTGGTTGCACAAATTTCCTCATGACACCTGTCGTTTAATCAGCCATTGTGTAGCTGCTACACAATCAGATTGTTTCAAGGGCTTTGCTCTTACAAATGCCGCTGTTTTACAAAGGTGTATAAATAAAGCTTTTATTCTTTAAATTTCCAATATTGGGATTATAACGTTGAAGCTACAAACTTTTTAGGGTTCTTGCTATATATTGCTAGAAATAGTGCATCAATTTTTATGCCAGTAGCAACTCTTGAGTTCACACATATCTTATTGGTCTTTCCAGCTCCTACCGTGATTTAACATAAGTATTTGAGTGTCTAATATCCACGATATAGTCTATAATTTTAGAAAAGCTCAATTAGTATTTCTTATTTCTCCCCTGTGTAATAGGAAGTTTCATAAAAGTTAATATTTTATTATTTTATTTATTTATTATTGAGACGGAGTCTCACTCTGTTGCCAGGCTGGAGTGCAGTGGCACAATCTCTGCTCACTGCAACCTCCATCTCCTGGGTTCATGCGATTCTCCTTCCTCAGCCTCCCAAGTAGCTGGGACTACAGGCACACACTACCATGCCTAGCTAATTTTTGTATTTTTAGTAGAGATGGGTTTTCACCATGTTGGCTAGGATGGTCTTGATCTCTTGACCTCGTGATCCACCCGCCTCAGACTCCTGAGGTGCTGGGATTACAGGCGTGAGCCTCTGCGCCTGGCCAAAAGTTAATATTTTAAAGAGGAAATATTTCTGGACTCTGTATTCTGTTCCGTTGGTCTATGTGTCTGTTTTTATGCCAACATCATGCTATTTTGGTTCTTATAGCTTTATAGTAGATTTTGAAATCACATAGTGTGTTGTTCTAGGCTTATTCTTTTGGCACAAGATTGGTTTGGCTATTCAGAGTCTTTTGTGGTTCCATATGACTTTTAGGATTGTTTTTATATTTCTGTGAAAAATGTCATTGGAATTTTCATAGGGATTGTATTGAATCTCTCTATTACCTTGAGTAGCATGGATATTTTCACATTATTAATTCTTCTAATCCATGGACAAGGGATACCATTTCAATTATTTGTGTCTTTTAAAATTTCTTTTATCAATGTTTTATAGGTTTCAGTCTTTTACTTTCTTGTTAAATTTATTCCTAAGGGTTTTTTTTTGGTATTATGAAATTATTCTTTTAACTTTTTTCAAATAGTTTGTTAGTATATAGAAATGCTGCTTTTTATGTTAATTTTTGTATCCTGAAACAGTCCTGAATTCCTTTATCAGCCCTAACAGTTTTTTTGGTGGAGACTTTAGGGTTTTCTATACGTAAAACCATGTCATCTACAGAGACAATTTAACTTTTTTTTTTTTTTTTTTGAGATGGAGTCTCACTCTGTTGCCCAGGCTGGAGTACAATGGCATGATCTCAGCTCACTGCAACCTCTACCTCCCAGGTTCAGGCGATTCTCCTGCCTCAGTCTTCCCAGTAGCTGGGACTACAGGCGTACACTACCACATCCAACTAATTTTTGTATTTTTAGTAGAGATGAGGTTTCGCCATGTTGGCCACCCTGGTCTCAAACTCTTGACCTCAAATGACCCACCTGCCTTGGCCCCCCAAAGTGCTGGGATTATATGTGTGAACTACCTCGCCTGGCTTCCACCATGCCTGGCCTGGATGACTTTTATTTCTTTTTCTTACTTAATTGTTCTGCCTAGGATTTCCAGTATTATGTTGAATAAAAGTGGCAGGAGTGGACATCCTTGCTTGTTCCTGATCTTAGAGGAAAAGCTTTCAGTTCTTCACTATTGAGTACAGTAGTCCCTCCTTATCTGCTGCAGTTTTGCTTTCCATGGTTTAGTTACCTGTAGTCAATCACAGTCCAAAAATAGGCGAGTACAGTTCAATAATATATTTTGAGAGATTGAAAGAGAATATATAAGGAACTCAAACAACTCAATAATAAAAAAACAAATAACCTGATTAAAAAATGGGGAAAAGATTTGAATACACATTTCTCAAAAGAATACATACAAACAACAAACAGGTATATGACAAAATGCTCAACATCACTAATCATCAGGGAAATGCAAACTAAAACTGCAATGAGATATCATCTCATACCTGTTAGAATGTCTATTATCAAAAAAAAAATGATAACAAATGTTGGTGAGGATGTGGAGAAAAGGGAACCCTTCTACACTGTTGGTGGAAATGTTAATTAGTACAGCCATTATGAAAAACAATATGAAGGTTGCTCAAAAAATTAAAACTAGAGCTACCATATAATCCAGCAATTCCACTAAATGAAATTAGTTTCTGCACTCCCACGTTCACTGTGGCATCATTCACCATAGCCAAGCTAAGGGATCAACTTAAGTATTATAATATATCTATCAGTGGACGAATGGACAAAGAAAATGTGGTATATATACACAATGGGATATTATTTAGCTTTCAAAAATAATAAAATCCTGTCATTTGCAACAACAAGGATAAATCTAGAGAATATTATGTTAAGGGAAACGTCAGACACAGAAAGACAAATACCACATGATCTCCCTTATATGTAGAATTGTCAGCCTCATAGACCAGAGACTAGACAGAGGCTAGAATGGTGGTTTCAAGGCACTTCGGAGGAGGTTGTAGAGATGGTCAAAGGCGTAAAATTTCGGTTAGACCCAAAGTTTGTTGTAAAACATGATGGCTATAGTTAACAATGTATTGTATACTTGAAATTGTTAAGAGGGTAGGTTTTAAGTGTTTTCACCACAAAAAAAGTAAAATAATGTGTATGTTAATTAGCTTGAATTGGCCATTCCACAATGTATACATATATCAAAACATCATGTTGTACATAATAAACATACACAACTTTTGTTTGTCAAAATATATTAAAAAGATGAAATACTGCTAACTCTCAGTTAAACCAAAATGAAACATGCTTTTACAACTTTTCTAAATAAAAACAATGAGCTGCTTCCCTTACTTTTCTTTCTTACATTTATTTTTTTCCTGTTTGCAGTACAATTTCTTCTTTCCTTGTTGTTTTAAAGCTGATTATAACTTCCCCAGGTAATTAAGACAATACTGAAAACTTTAAAAGCATGGCTTATCTCATTTCCTAAATGTAGTTACAAATTGTGTAGAATGTTGGTGCAAATGCCCATCTATATTTATTATTTGGCCATATCTTCATTCTATATATTTAAATAAGAATTTGCTAAAAAAAAAAGTGGGGTGAAATTAATATAACTTTTGCATTAGCATTGAGGAGTTTAAATTAAGACTGCAGAGTAAACTGTGGCAACTGGATTGTAAGAAATTCAAAGGCTAAAATGATGTCTTATTCTTATATCATGTACTTTCATAGTATAAAGGAAGTGGTTAATATGTGCTCATTAAATGGAATTAAAAATTTAGTACTGGGAATATTTTCATGATTCCAGATCAGTAGGAGGATATTTCAGATGTGGTATCAGGCTGGGTCTGTTTATAGTAGAAATAAGAGTCTGTCTTTCTAGTGAAAACTAGAAAGAAAAGGTTCTAATGACAGCATTTATCATCCAACAACAATATGTTAGTCATTAAGAAATTACTAGCTTCTTTTGTTTCACTACAATCTCTAGAGGTACAGTGTAATTATCCGTGATTACATATGATAAAGCTGAAACCTCAGAAGTCAAGTGATTTGTGGAAGATCACACAGTGAGTGGAAGAATTAGGACCAAGCCACAGGTCTCTAGCTCCAAATCTTAGGTTCTTAGCACTTGACAAGCTTTTCCCAAACTGTTGTCTCAGGACGCTGATCCAGGGAGTACCTGCTGTGTGCTCCATTATCCTATTAGAAAGTCACGGCCGGGCACGGTGGCTCACGCCTGTAATCCCAGCATTTTGGGAGGCCGAGGCAGGCAGATCACGAGGTCAGGAGATCGAGACCATCCTGGCTAACACGGTGAAACCCCATCTCTACTAAAAATACAAAAAAAATTAGCCAGGCGTGGTGGCGGACGACTGTAGTTCCAGCTACTTGGGAGGCTGAGGCAGGAGAATGGCGTGAACCTGGGAGGCGGAGCTTGCAGTGAGCCGAGACAGCGCCACTGCACTCCGGCCTGGGCAAAAGAGCGAGACTCCGGCGGGGGCGAAAGAGCGACACTCCGTCTCAAAAAAAAACCAAAAAACAAAACAAAACAAAAAAACAAAAAAACAAAAAAAGTCACGGCCTGGCTTGGTGGCTCAGGCCAGTAATCCCAGCACTTTGAGAGGCGAAGGCAGGTGGATCACTTGAGGTCAGCAGTTTGAGACCAGCCTGACCAACATGGTGAAACCCCACCTCTACTAAAAATACCCAAATTAGCCAGGTATGGTGGCAGGAGCCTGTAATCCCAGGCTGAGACAGGAGAATCGCTTGAACCAGAGGTTGCAGTGAGCCGAGATCGCGCCACTGCACTCCAATCTGGGCGACAGAGCAAGACTCCCTCTCAAAGAAAAAAGAAAAGAAAAGAAAGTCACACATATCAGAATATTAAATATGCCAACACATAGATCTGCTCAATTTAGTTTATCTTGGGGTAGAGGATAATAAAATATCAAAATTCATTTTTTAAACATTTAAGAATTTATTTAAAATAACTTAAAGAGTACAGTTGAATTGTTTGTAACTCAAAGGATAAATGCTTGAGGGGATAAACACCCTATTTTTCATGATGTGCTTATGTCACACTGAATGCCTGTATCAAAACATCTCTTGTACCCCATAAATACATATACCAACTATGTACCCACAAAAATTTTAAAAATTAAGAAAAAAATAAGAATTTAGTTAGGCCCATTTTTTTCCTTGTGAAATAAATAGCAATTTTATTTACTTATAAGCTCATAAGTGCTTTTTGGAATGCCATGTCAAACCAAACTGGTCTACATAAACCATTATACTACTTTACTAGAAGGAAATAAAATTCATTTGCTGTTCTTTTATTTGGCTCTCAGTGAAGTATTATATAACCCCTCATATTATGTTAAAACAAAACTGTAAAGAACATAAAAAAATTCTCCTTGCTCTTTGCTTTATATCTTGGGAAATGTTTTGGGTTTCCTCAGTGAGTGTTTTTTGTTCATAGACATGATCATCTGTTATGTGTGTTACAGGAGAAATGAGGTTTAGAATTGATGAGCCAGCCACCCTCCTCCCCATCTTAGAGGTGAGAACTCTGATCCTAGAAAGGTAACAGGACTTGCCAAAAGTCATTGTTGGAACTGAGCTTCTCATCAGGACTTTCATTCCATGTCATCTGCTGTAGTATGAAGTTTTTTGCCTGACCCAACCTAGGATATCGTTAACAATGAGTTCAAGTTCATGTGGGAATTAAGGATATGAGCCTCTTTTAAGAAAATAAAATATGCTGGCCAAGCACACTGGCTCATGCCTGTAATCCCAGCACTTGGGGAGGACGAGGCAGGAGAATTGCTTGAGGCCAGGAGTTCAAGACCAGCCTGGGCAACATAGTGAGACCCTATCTCCACAAAAAAAGAAAAAAAAGAAAATTAGCTGGGTGTGATAGTGCATGCCTGTAGTCCCTGCCACTTGAGAGGCTGAGGCAGGAGGATCACTTGAGCCTGGGAGGTCGAAGATGCAGTGAGCTATGATTGTTCCACTGCACTTCAGCCTGGGTGACAGTGAAGAACGAATGAAGGAATGAACGAATGAATGAAAGTGAGAGAGAGAGAAAGGAAGGAAGGAAGGAGGAAGGAATGAAAGAAGGAAGGAGAGAGAAACAGAGAGAAAAGAACGAAAGAGAGAGAAAGAAAGAAAACAAAAGGAAAGGAGGAAGGAAGGAAGGAGGGATGGAAGGAAGGAAAAAAGAAAGAAAGAAAGAGAAAGAGGAAAGAGAGAGAGAGCAAGCAAGCTAGCTGCTGAGAGGCACAGAAAGACAAATTTTATAAGGACCAGCCCTGAACTGAAAATTTCTACTTCTTTTTCTCCCCTTTCCAGCCAGAACTGCAGGTCACCAGCAAAGGTCACAGGTAGGCAGACAGGGCAGCTAATGATACAGTGGAGGAAAATTCTTTCCTTTTGTTTCAGGACTAATTTGAAAGAACATAGCCATATAATAATATCATGAAATCTTGTACTTTATTTTTGCTGGGTTTCTAATTCAGTTAAGTACTATAGAGATGTATTAAGATTTGGTCTTTTTTCTTGAAACCATTTTGTAAATTTTAAAATAAGTTAGAGAAGTAGAAGTTTAAAATTTCACAAACAAAATTTACTACAAAAACTATCAGGTTTAGATCTCCTAATAGTTTTCCATTGAAATTGCTCTGTTTCTATAAAATGATGAGATAGATTACCTATCAGTAGCTGATACCATCTCAGAATCTTTGAACAAAAACTAGCCCCACTAATAAATGCCTTATTAATTTCAACAAAATGTGACTTCTAAAGCCAAGAAAAATAATTGAAAATACTACACAAATATGTGATAAAAAAGTTATTTCCAAAAAATATGGAATGTATTTAAAACACTGCCAGCATGATATACATGTGTCTGTATCAATGTAATTTCCCTTGCTTTGGTAGTATTATTTGAAATATTTAGCTATCATAGTTTGTTGTTGTTGTTCTGATCCAAAAGCGAAATGAAAATTTAGGTATGGACTAATTTTATGGCAATATGGAATTGATGAGTTATGCTGTTATGTGAAGTATCCATCTGAAATATTAAGAAAAAGAAAGGAAGGCATAATCTTCCTCATTTTTGGAACAGAAGACATTATAATTTATTCCACCTTTCAGTTCTTCCCATTTGGTCAATATTCTATCTATCCATAAGTACTTTGATGCTACCAAATGTATTGTTTTTACCCTTTTTACTATTTTGTGATATCTACCTATGTTGTTTGTTGGTGGTTAATCTTCCCTGCAAGCCACAAAGCACCATAAGATTTTATGGAATACCTACAAAATGGAGGCTTCAGCTCATCTATGTCTTGCAAAGATATAAACATAAGAAAAGAACAGCATTGAATTCCAGAGGCTGATAAATGTCACTTCTTTTTTTTAATATGCTTATTTAATTCAGATAAATAGAACTGTTATGAATTTGAGAGGAATGAAGATATTCAAACACTAACAGAAAATCGTTAGCCTCATATTAGAGCACTCAAATGCTTATGTAACTCTTCAATCCATCTGGCTTCATAAAACCGAAACTTTGAACACAAAACAAGTGGCAGAGTTCACATTACCTTTTATATGTTCCTAGGTATGAAATTGCATCAATTTATTATGAATTAAATTTGAAAAAATCACAGATTTAAAAACAAAGTACAGCAGTGCCTGATTCTTTTTAATTCCACAAATATCTAGCATCTCAAAGTATCATGTAAACAAACTTCTTTGCTGCTCAATGAATCCTTCCAATTTTGATAATAAACTAAATAGTATCAGATCTGGTATATGACTTTCATGTGTAAGTTATGGTTTTATCCATTACTTTGACAATATTACTGATGTAACAGAGAAAGAAAAATTTTCAACTATTTATTTAAAACCAACTGACAGGTTCAAGCACCTGTCTTCAGAAAAGCCAGCAGCATTTTTTTTTTAACATACTCAAAGTAAGATTTGGCCTAAGCCCTTAATACCTTCCTGAACAGACATACAAATAAACACCCTCAGGAGATGTTACACAAGGGAGAGAAGAACATGGAGCAATTTGCACTTTTTCGCCTAGATAATATTAACAAGGTAAAGCAAATCCAGATCTTTATGAATGAACAGCTGTCATGTTTAATACACTTGCAACTCTATAAAACTAGAGCCACTATCACATATGCTTATATAGATACATATGTATTTTTAATAAAGTCTCTCACTTGCTTCAAAATTTAAGGATGATCTTTTTCCTGGTCAATCATTTCAAAGGACAACAAATAAAGTAGAAAAGGATGAAATATGTTTTGCATATTGCTGTGGAAGAATGGAAAACATACTTTGAGAGGTTCAGAAAATTCACTGTACAGAATGAACAGCTTATATACACTATGTGCAATTTTTCTTGGCTGGGGTATTTGAATGCAAGAGATCCTCCAAAATAAGAAGCCACATTCATTCTTGTCCACATCCCTCTGTCTCTTCTATTGCAAAAAGAAGTTTTTCCTTTAGTTGTTCATAACTCTTATATGGTGGTAGATCCAAGAGATTAAAACATGTATGGCTTCTTGGTAACCAAGTATCTTTGCCAACTTTTTCAATGCAAAACTTTTGAGGCCCATTACTTCCCATGAGCTCAGCAAATCCTCCTAGAGATAAACGGCAGGTTCCAGTGACGAACTGCAATAGTAGCATTCTTACTTCATTGTCTGTCTCTTTCACAAACTGCCAGAACCGAATGATTTGCTTGCTGTTTCTTGTATAATGTTGATAAACAGTATTTCTCTGCCAATCTGCCAAGTCAACCTGCTGTGTGCCACACAACGTAACCTCTAATTCTTTTTCATTGAAGTACTGTAGCCACTGATGAGGAACAACTCCATTAAAACCATCAAGGAAAGCTTTGGTCTGTTCTTGTACTCCTCGAGAAAAATGCCATTCTGTCATTAAACCAATATATTCATCTTTGTTCTCCTCAGTCACCAGAATATTGGAAACTCCCAACTTCAGGTCATGTGAAGTAACTTTTCCCCAACTCTCCATGTCAACAGAAAAGTACAGTTCTAAGCCACATTCTTCAATGTTGTTATCTCTTATCCAGATAAGGGAGTTATAAAATTCAGTATCAATAGATTCCAAATCCTTAATAGTAAGTTTTTTACTTAACATATGCTTGTAGAATGGTAAAGAGAAACCAGTATCTATAAGCTTTCCATGAAATAGTGCCATGGCAATAAAACGACCAATGAAACAGTAGTATGAAAGATGGTCTGGATTAATGGTTGATGCTGGATTTATCTGCAGAGAATAGTTGTTCTTCCCCACATACTCAAATAAGCATTACATTGGGTTCAAAACTTCATGTGAAAGCAAGAAAAGCCATTCTCTTGCTAGGCCACCATAATCAAGTCCTTCTTCTCCTCTAAATATTACATATAAGCACCTCCTCAAGTCATAAGGTTTTAATGCCATAATCTGTTGGAAGGAATCTTCAAACAATGTCTGCCGGGACACATTGATCTTTACATGACTGGGTAGTGCATTAGACTGGCACAAATAACGGAAGTGAGCAAGTTTCCGCCTAAAGCTGTGTTCATAATCAATTTGTGGACCACCTTTAGTTATGGATGACTTCCCATTGCAAGGATCTTTGAATGTTGTTGTTCTTGCATTGTGATTAACAAAGTACCTTACACCTTCACGAGTATATCTTATTTCCCAGCCTTCTGGCAGAGGTTCTTCATTCTGTAAGCCTTGAGTTCTTGGATCTTCCCACTGGGTTGTTTTTGTATTACGATTCACAAAGTAAACCCTGTCTGTTGAATCCACTCTTTTTTCCCGGCCTGGTGGCAAAGGTCCATGAGGGTCATTTTCTGCGGCTAACATTGAAGCTGAATAGAGGTATCATTGGTTAAACTGTTGCATAGCTCCCTGAGGTTGGTTCTGCTGAGATTGCCACTGTTCAAAATTTCTGACCCATTCCATGGTAGGCCGCTGCCATGTTGTTCTTCTGGTGTTATGATCCACATAATAAGCTCTTCCACGATCATCAACTCTTCTTTCCCAACCTGAAGGTAAAGGTTGTGGTCTCTCCCGTGTGGTAGTTTGAGTATTATGATCCACATAATAGGTTCTACCATGAGGATATTTTCTTTGTTCCCACCCTGATGGCAAGGTTTCTGTGTTGGCATTCCCAGACTCCTGCTATACTGGATCCATACACCCATCTGGCTGTCTTGATTTGGCTGTTTCAAAAGCAGAACTACTTCCAGAATTAGAGGTGTCAGGGTCTAATATACTTCTAGATTCAGATCCCAATTCTGCACTGGTAGAAGGAATGCATTCATTGTTTTCTGAGGAAGTCAGTATTTCTTGAACTGGAGGATCTTCAACAGTAGTACTAGTGCAATTTGGAGACAAGGCATTTTCTTCAGACACTACTGGAATACCCATGACAGAAGCATTATCAGTTGGTGCAAATGAGGATGATTCTCCATTAACAGTGTCATCGGCAGGCTCAGATGTGAGTAGTTTTGGGGCTGGTGTATTTTTGGGTCTGGCAGCAACCTGAGATGGAGATGAAGGTATGTTGTCTCCATTAACTACATACGAGCAGCATGAGTTTTGGACTAGAGTGCTTGTAGGTACATGATTATCTATTCCATTCGTGCCTTCAATAGCCAACCTGGCAGTTGTCCTTGCTGAAGGCTCTCCATTTTCATGTAAGGCATCACCATTTTGCTGTATTTCTATGGCTGGAGTTGAGCTGCAGTTTGTTATATTTTCTTGCTCAATCACCAATCCATCAAGCACAACTGTCAATTCACCAGTTTGTGCTATGCCATTCTTGTTTTCTAAGGAAAGTTTTAATTGTTCTTTCACTCTTTCCAGTTTTCTATTGTGTATCAACAGAGCTTGTTTCAGATCTGTCGTTGCATTTCCTAATTAAGCATCTGCTTTTAAAGTGTGATGACTCCAAACTCGAAATTCCAATGTAGTCTGTGGCGTAACATTTACAGTTAGCTGTTCATCCCATTTTAGATTAGAAGAACTACTGGATTTTGCTGTTTTCCTAATTTCCTCATCTACAACTACTTCTGTATATATTGCTGTTCCGAACCAGTTCTTTCTTCTCTTAAGTTTGGCACTAGAAACAGTTACCTGTAACTGCAACCTTCCACTGTGGTTATTAGTAGTATCTGACTTTGGTGAGGCAGTGGCCATGTTCCAAAATTCAGCTAAAACTATGTATCAGGAACTGCTAGACACTGGAGATACAAAGATGAGTAAGACACGATTCCCTGTTTCAAGGAGCTCACAACCCAGGCGCGAAGCTTTCGGCTCCCGGCAGCCAGGCGGCCGCGGCACCTGCACCTCCTCCTGCAGTGGGCGCCCTCACCCTTCCGCGACGAAGATCACTATCTCGCAGCAGGTGCGGCGGCGGCAGCCACCCAGGCGTCGGCCCCAGCAGCCCAGGCCGCCAGCAGTCACTGGGTGCCGGCACACCGAGCTCCAGCTCGCCGACACCTGACTCTCCCCCGACCCCCACCCCGGCCCTGATTTGCATTTTTCTGATGATTAGTGATACTGTGTTTGTGGTCCACTTGTATGTCACATTATTCCATCTGTACTTAAATGAGCTCCTGCCGGAAGGAATAGGCACAATTCCTCTTTTACCTGCAGAATATCAAGGGCTTTGGGATTCATGATGTTTTCCTATAAATTGTTACAGAAACAAGTTCTGCTCTGGGCAATATGGAAGACTAGTTTGTATATTTTTATACAAATGAAAATTTATATCAAATCATTATGTATTTAAATTTCATCGGAAGCTAGACGCGATGGTTCACACCTATAATACCAGCACTTTAGGTGGCTGAGGTGGGAGGATTGCTTGAGCCCAGTAGTTCAAGACCAGCCTCGGCAACATAGCGAAACCCCATCTCTACAAAAATTAGCCAGGTGTAGAGGTGCATGTCTATAGTCCCAGCTACTCAGAGGCGGAGGTGGGAGGATTACTTGAGCCCCGGAGTTTGAGGCTGCGCTGAACCGTAATTGCACCATTGCACTTCCATCCTGGGTGACAGAGTAAGACCCTGTCTCAAAAATAAATAAATAGACCGGGTGCGGTGGCTCACGCCTGTAATCCCAGCACTTTGGGACGCCAAGGCAGGCGGATCACCTGAGGTCAGGAGTTTGAGACAAGCCTGGTCAACATGGCCAAACCCTGTCTCTACTGAAAACACAAAAATTAGCCGGATGAGGTGGCGGGCGCCTGTAATCCCAGCTACTAGGGAGGCTGAGACAGGAGAATCGCTTGGACCCAGGGGGAGGAGGTTGCAGTGAGCCGAGATCACTCCATTGCACTCCAGCCTGGGCAGCAGAACGAGACTCTGTCCGAAAAAATAAATAAATAAATAAATAAATAAATAAATCTAATTGAATATATTTAAAACAATGATTTGACAGTTTTATTTTAAAATGTAAATTTTTACATTCTACTGAAAATTATGTCCTTTACAACTATAAAGTTATGATAAAAAATTGAGACATTAACTTTGAAATGTGTGATGGAGTCACATATTTTTACAAAATAGTTTTAGTAAATTTGTGAGCAAAAGTTTGAATACTATCAACCTACATCACATTTAACAAAGTCCTATCCATCAGAATTTGAGAAGAAATGGATGAGAGAAAGCAATGTGAGAGAGTGTGAGAGAGAACCACTATTGACCAAAATTTATTCAAATCATGTGGGAAAATTAAACAAACATGACAATGGAAATTCAAGTTTATAAAATTATTTTTAAATTTGAAGTATATTACTAGGAATGAAAAGAGAGTGGGTTTTGATTTCATTTTCTCTGATCTAAGAAGTGACAACTGAACCATTGGCATTGATCATTATGTCCATTGCTTAGTAGTTGGTAAGTAAGTGGTATTTGAGTCTAACTCACATTGATAAACACTTGCATTATAATTTTCAAACAGAGTAGTGGGCCCTAAGAAATGCATTTTCCACTCTGATCAGTGTTTTTCATAAAATAGTATAATTAAAGCTTAACTATCAACATAGAGAAGGGCATCTGTTGTGGTCATGTAAGAGCAGACGCAGGAAATATTTATTCATGGAGTCAGAAGTTAAGACTGACGTATCTGGAAATGAGACAAGGGCTGGGTGGAGCTAATCAGGCCGTTTTATTTGTAGCTGTTGCCATGGTGTAAGCATAAATTTGTGGCCCTGTCTGCTACTAACAGTGAGCCATGCCTAAAAATAAAAAAATTAATAACTTCAAATATGCAGTATACTTTCTATAAATCCTACCAGTGGTGTTCCAAGAAATAACAAGTGTAGCAAGAAAGTAAGTCCTTAGATTGGCATTTTCCGTGTGATTCTGTGTAGTGCTATTAATCTTGCTACAAGATTTGAGTGTCATGTTGCTTACATATAAATCATTAATGTTCATTGGTGTTTACCAGAGTTCGAATATTTGCTATAGGATTTACTTATTTGTGAGTGCTTTAAAATATATAACTTTTTATTTATTAAACAACTTTTGGCTATTCATAATAGGAAGAAAAGAGTATGAAGAATGTTGGAAGCATTTTACAAATAATTTGTTGTTTTGAGAAGTTTCAAGAAATCTTGAGTACCAATGTCTTCTTCTTCTTTTTTTTTTTAGACAGGGTCTTACTCTGTCACCTAGGCTGTAGTGCAGTGTGGCCTTCTCGGCTCACTGCAACTTCCACCTCCCAGGTTCAAGCGATTCTCCTGCCTCAGCCTCCCGAGTAGCTGGGATTACAGGCACCCACCACCACACCCAGCTAATTTTTGTAATTTTAGTAGAGACAGGGTTTTACCATGTTGGCCAGGCAGGTCTTGAACTCCTGACCTCAGGTGATCCTCCTGCCTTGGCCTCCAAAAGTGTTGGGATTACAGGCATGAGCCACCATGCCCGGCCCAATGTCTTATTCTTGCATCCAGAAGATTAACACTTTTCAGACATTTGGAAACATTATTCTCAGTGTCTGCTAAACATACAATCTTCTGAATGCTAGTTTATTACTTTTTTAATAGGAAAAAGGGAGAATCATGTGACGATATTGGGTAAATTCTGTAATTGGGCTTAGGTATTTATTGTAAATGAACACAATGGAATTCCAATTTATAAGTCTCTTGCATTTGACCAGCTTGACAAGTCAGTCTGCTGGATTCTGATTACCTCTTTGTGAACTGATAGAACTGAGTGATTGTGTGGTGCACAGTATGTGAAAATGGTGAAGCACTGCCTCCTGTAAGGTACTGCATGAAGCAGTCCATTTCCTCCACATTTGAATGTAAGTTGTCTTGATTTTTCTACCAGAGGAAAACAAACTATTAAAAAAAAAAAGACTGAACACAAACTAAAACCATAGGACTGAAAAAGTCTTTAAGAAAGAAAACAAAATGATCTTATACTCAAGGATCCTTGACTTTTAATAAATCACAAGATCCTACTGACGAGGCCTAGATTATATATTTTGAATCTGTCTTTTCCTACCTCTCCACTGCCAGCACTATTTTCCCACTGAACCACTGCAGTTGAACCCTAGTCACTCTCTTTTTTTTTCTGGAGGTGGGGTCTTGTTCTGTTGTGCAGGTTGGAGTACAGTGGCACAATCCTGGCTCACTGCAACCTCCAAACTCCTGGGCTCAAGTGCTCCTCCCTCCTAGGCCTACCAAAATGCTGGGATTACAAGTGTGAGCCACTGAGCCCAGCCTCTAGTGTCTATGCTTGACCTCCAAATCCAATCCATCAGCTACAGTGCTACGACAGATTGTGTCATCTAATAAGTGGCAAATCTGATCAAATCATGTCTATGTTTAAAACTCCTTGCATTGCTGTCTCTCTTTTTTTTGAGACAGGGTCTTTCTCTGTCACCCAGGCTGGAGTGTAGTGGCACGATCTTGGCTCACTGCAACCTCTGCCTCCTGGGCTCAGGTGATCCTCCCAAGTAGCTGGGACTACAGGTGCACACCACCACACCCAGCTAATTTTTCTACTTTTAGTAGAGACTGGATTTTGCTATGTTGCCTAGGCTGGTCTCGAACTCTGGGCTCAAGTGATCCCATGGCTCAGCCTCCCAAAGTGCTGGGATTACAGGTGTGAGCCACGGCACCCAGCCTTCTCATTTCTTAAAGAATGAAACTCAAGCATGTTAAGACGGCATGACAGGCACTTCCTGATCTGACTCAATGCCATTGGCTAAGCCTGAAATGCTTGATCCCTCAATCCCATCCAACTGACCTCTGGGTTATTCATTTAATCCTACTCAGGAGCTTTTTTATGCTGCGCACCCGTCGCTAGCCAGGCACAATTGGTCATGCTGCTCTATGTTCCTCTCTGCCTCACATAGGCTTTTACTATTGCATTTACCAAACAGAATTCTAGTTCTTTGCAAATATATATATGTGTTCTCTATTATATTATGTATGTCTTGATGTCAAGGCCTATTTTAACTTTGTATTCCCATCTTCTAGATGAATAGAATCCCATAATGAATAGGGGGTGCTCAATAACTTGTTTAATTGAACTGATTTAGTATGACTGAAGAGGTACAAAATCTAACAATTTTGTTTCTGATGTGTAAGAAGCTGTCTCTGCAATGTTTTAAAGAAATTACTTTCTACTGGTAACATCATATTGCTGGAAGTTAACCAGAGGCACAGATAAATTATTTGCAAAGACATAATTGCTCTTATTTCTCTTAGTATTAAAATGAACACAATGATAATGGTAATAAAACTATCTGCAAACACAAGCAAACCTCCAAGCTGTGGCCCAGTAATCTTTTGATAACAAGCAGTGTGCTGGAGGGTCTTCAAGTGTTTCGTGTTGCCCTTCCAAGAGATTGCAGTGAGATTATTTTCTTCATAATCAGACTCAGTTCTGTTCCCATAGAGGACCACAGCATATTTGTCTACATAATCTTTCTTTCCTTCTTTTTCTTTCTTTCTTTCTTCCTTTCTTCCTTCCTTCCTTCCTTCCTTCCTTCCTTCCTTTCTCTTTTCTTTCTCTTTCTTTCTTTCTTTCTTTCTCTCTCACTCTCTCTCCTTCCTTCTTTCTTTCTTTCTTTCTTTCTTTCTTTCTTTCTTTCTTTCTTTCTTTCTTTCTCTCTCGCTCTCTCTCCTTCCTTCTTTCTTTCTTTCTCTTTCTTTTTTTTCTCTTCTTTTTTTTTTCTTTTTTTTTAAATAGGGTCTCACTCTGTCACCCAGGCTGGCATGCTCATGGCTTACTGCAACCTTGACCTCCTAGGCTCAAGCAATCTTCCCACCTCAGCCTCCCTAGTAGCTGGGACTACAGGTGCCTGCCGCCATACCTAGATAATTTTTGCATTTTTTGTAGAAACCGGGTTTCACCATGTTGCCCAGGCTGGTCTTGGACTCCTGAACTCAAGCGGTCTACCTGCCTTGACCTCCCAAAGGCCTGAGATTACAGGTGTGAGCCAACATGCCTGGCTTGCTTATATAATTTTCTAACAGTTTTAAACATTTTCTTTTCACAGTCATAGGGAAATGGAAATTAAACTACAATGGGATATACTACACACTCACAAAATGGCTAAAGATAAAATATTTGTTTATGGTTTTCATCTGTTCCATGTTAAAGTATTCCTTATATGTTAATAAATTGAGCTTAATTCGTCTCCCTTTTTCTTTAATACTACCTATATAGGTGTCATGTTATTTCTCCTCCTCCTCTTCCTTCTACTCCTCCTCTTCTCTTCTTTTCCTCCTCCTCATCCTTTTCTTCCTCCTTCTTCTTCTCCTCCTTTTCTTCTCTTCTCCTTCTTTTCCTCTTCTTCTTCTTCCTCCTCCTGTCATTGTTGTTTGAGTTAGAGATTTCTGGATCATCTATTTGTAAGAATTTCCTGTAGGGGCCAGGATAACAATCTATGCTGAGAGATTTTTATTTTCCTAATGCTTTATTTTCCACAGTCAGAAAATCAACTGGCCTTCTTCAATTTTATCTTCATGATTCTTTATGAGCCTTGTCTCTTTGCATTTATGTACTTAACTGGTTCCAGAGGGGCCTTCTGTCACATCCAGTCCTGTTCATGGGCCCTCTTTGTTGGACAAAGGGTATGGATTTTGCCCTCAAGAGGAATTGCTCACATGTAGAAAGTATATGTTTTATTGTTTGTGTTTTATGACTAATGGTTTCTCTCTTCTGAACCTCCCTTCCTTTGTGTATTCCAGGCAATAACTGTTTTTGACATCTGAATTTAGCAGTTTTGGTATAAAAAGCCACAAGAGCATTGCAGGTGTGTTTAAGAACAGGATGTACCAAAAAGTTTTAGAAGTGGAAGATCTGAGAAATCAACAGTGAATATGCACTCCCAAAAAAATGGGGCCTCATCCTCAGTGAGACTGGTGTAATTGAAGACAGCAGGTGCAACGGGAGAGTTGAAGATAGAAGGGTTAGAATGTGTTTGGGTGAGGAGGCAACCAGAAGTGATAGATTCAAGAAAATAGCACTTATAAGAGGGAGAAGTTAGTGGAAGTTTGGAACAGGATCCGTTGATGAAGGTAGCTGCTTCCCTGGAGGTGGTGAAGGAACTGTAGAAGTGTGGAACTAATTGCAAGAGCTTCTGTGAGGAAGTTAAGATCTGAAATTCAGGTGAGACCTGTTACCTGAAGTGAGCTCTTGAGCTGAGAAACTGGAAAAGCTACTCCTTCCCTCACTTCAAGAGATCCTTCTTTCAGCTGAAAAAATGTCAACTCCTTCAAATATGATTGACAAAGTAATTGTGTAACTAGAACATCCAAAGAAAGATATTCTAGGAAATTAAAAGGGCAAAAAAGGAACTGAAAATAGACGCAAAACTTCCCTGAGGACTAAGAATACTTGCTAACAAAATATTGCTCCAAAGCAGAGAAAAATTGTAACACAATATTTCAACATGCATAAAGGAGAAAATATGATGTAATTGCAGTAAGGGAGGAAAACAAAAAAAACAAAAAAGATCTCAGGGAAGACATGTCCAAAAAAAAAAAAAAAAAAAGGTGATGGCCAGTCAACAGAAGGTAATGGTCAGTCAATACAAGGATATGAAATGGTAATTGGTAAAATTTAGGAAAGAAATTGGAGAAACAGACAGAATCATTTCATAAGTAAAGACTAAATTACAAGGGTCATATAGGAAAATAGACACCACAGAAAGCACAGCAAGACGGAGTATACACATGGGAAAAGTGAAGGAAATTAAAGAGAAGCAAAAATAATTTTTAAAGAGAGAAAGTGAAAGTTATAAACGACAATAAATGATCTAAAATATTAGTAATTGTAGTTTCTCCAGAGAAAAGCCAAAAGAATAGAAAACAAACATTAGAAAGTATTCTTAAACTAAGATTTGAATCTTTTCCATTTTTTTTTTTTTTTTTGGAATGAAGTTTTGCTCTTGTTGCCCAGGCTGGAGTGTGATGGCGCGATCTCAGCTCATCTCCCGGGTTCAAAGGATTCTCCTGCCTCAGCCTCCTGAGTAACTGGGATTACAGGCACCCACCACCATGCCATGCGAATTTTTGTATATTTAGTAGAGATGGAGTTTCACCATGTTGACCAGGCTGGTCTTGAACTTCTGACTTCAGGTGATCCATCTGCCTCGGCCTTCCAAAGTGCTGGGATTAGAGGCGTGAGCCACCATGCCTGGCAGATTTGAATCTTTATATTAGATGCTATATCCAAGATCTGACAAATCTGTCCCAGAATTATCAATATCAAAGCTAGTAACATTGGTTAGTAGATATATCCTACTAATACATATCTTACAAACACTAGACATGTCCTACTAATATTAGTAACAAACTTTGGGCATCTGGGCAAAAAACATTGTGTCTTTTCTAAGGGAAAGAAGCCAAGATGGCACAGCTATAGTCAATGCTAATGGAAATGGAAAATTTGAGCCAAAGATTTAAAATCCGACCAAGCTGTTCTTCAAGTGTCAAGGCTACAGGCAAACTTTTTTTTTTTTTTTTTTTTTTGAGAGAGTCTTGTGCTGTCTCCCAGGCTGAAGTGCAATGGCATGATCTTGGCTCACTGCAACCTCCACCTCCCTGGTTCAAGCGATTCTCCTACCTCAGCCTCCAGAGTAGCTGGGATTACAGGTGTCCGCCACCACCATGCCCAGCTAATTTTTATTTTTATTTATTTTTTTTTAGTAGAGACAGAGTTTTACTATGTTGGCCAGGCTGATCTCGAACTCGTGACCTCGTGATCCACCCACCTCAGCCTCCCAAAGTGCTGGGATTACAGGCATGAGCCACTGTGCCCAGCCACAGTGAAACATTTCTACAAATTCAAGGACTCAGGAAATATTGTTCACATTAGCTCTTACTGAATCATCTCCCAGAGTATAAGATTCACCCAACCATAAGATGATCAGAGTAACCTCAGCAAAAGGACTGAGATAAACATTGAATATATGAGGGGTCTTCAAAAAATTTATGGAAAATGCATATTATAAAAAACTGTGCATGGATTTCAATATGATTTTGCACCGAAATAAACTTGTACTAACAACTCTAAACAGGCTCTTAGTTTGAGGCACTAATACATCAGTTTAAAAAGAACCCCTATCAGAGTAACATGGATTCTGCTAAACGTGAAGCAAGAAAAAACATCAAATTTATGATCAGATTTGGTAAATAATGGTGACATCATTCTTGCTTTACAAAAAGTTTATGAGGACAATGCCCGAAATAAATTTGCAGTTTACAAATAGATAACTTGATTTAAGAAGGGATGAAATGAAATTGAGGATGAAGCCCATAGTGGCAGAACATCCACACCAATTTTCAAGGAAAAAGTTTGTGTTCTAATTAAAGAGGACCAATGATTAACTGCAGAAAGAACTGCCAACACCGTGGACATCTCAATTAGTTTATCTTACACAATTGATTGAAAAATTAAACAGACTTTCCATCCAATGGATGCCAAAACCCTTGCACCCAGATCAGCTGCAGACAAGAGCAAGCCTTTCAATGGAAATTTTAAACAAGTAAAGTCAAGATCCTGAAGTGTTTCTTTGAAGAATTGTAACAGGACATAAAATTTGACTCTACCAATATGATCCTGAAGACAAAGCAATATCATAGCAATGGCTACCAAGAAGTAGAAGTGGTCCAGTCGCACAAAAGCAGACTGGTCAAGAGCAAAGGTCATGGCAAATATTTTTTGGGATGCTCAAGGCATTTCACTTGTGAATCTTCTGAAGAGCCAAAGAATGATAACATCTGCTTATTATGACAGTATTTTAAGAACGATAGCCAAAGCTTTAGCAGAAAGATGCCCAGGAAATCTTTACCTGACAGTCCTTCTCCACCACAACAATATTCCTGCTTATTTCTGTCATCAAACAAGAGAAATTTTGTGAGACTCTTGATGGGAAATTATTAGGCAAATCCACCTTAGCATCCTTTATTTGGCTCTTTCTGACTACTTTTTGTTTTGTAATCTTAAGAAGTCTTTAGGGCCGGGCATGGTGGCTCATGCCTGTAATCTCAGCACTTTGGGAGGCCGAGATGGGCAGATCACGAGGTCAGGAGTTCGAGACCAGCCTGGCCAACATGGTGAAACCCTGTTTCTACTAAAAATGCAAAAATTAACTGGGCATGGTGGCGGGTGCCTGTAATCCCAGCTACTCGGGAGGCTGAGGCAGGAGAATAATTTGAACCTGGGAGGCGGAGGTTGCAGTAAGCCAAGATCACGCTGCTGCCCTCCAGCCTGGGCGACATGAGCGAAACTCCATCTCAACAACAACAACAACAACAACCAACAACAACAAAAACAAAAGAAGTCTTTAAAGGGCACCCATTCTTCTTCAGTTAATAATGTAAAAAAACAAAAAAAAACCTGCATGGTTAAATTCCCAGGACTGTCAGTTCTTTAGGGATGGATTTGATGGCTGGTATCATTGCTTATGAAAGTGTCTTGGACTTGATAGGGCTTATGCTGAGAAATATAAAATAAAGTTTATATTTTATATTTTTATTTCCATTTTTCATGAATTTCCTGAAGTCCCCTCATACCTATAAATAGAACTAGGACTAAAACAATGTCTAATATAAAGTTTGGAAAATACAATGTAAATATGAACATTGTATTATATAAACTTTCAGACTTTAGAGCCTTTTTTAAATTGTAGTTTTTATGATATTTTTAATCTAGTGTCTGCATTTATAATGAGAAATTTATATAGTACCCTTAACCCCTTTTGTTTCAGACAGTATCCATTGATTTCTACTAGCATCACATGAATTACCTTGTAACTTCTTCCTCCTCACCTTTCTCCCTAGCTTTCACTACTCAATTTTAGTCAACAAAATGATCATTTGTTATTGGCTGACTTGTGTTCTCACAAAATTCATATATTGAAGTCCAGTACCTCAGAATGTAACAGTATTTGGAGGTAGGGCCTTTCAAGGGGTAATTAAGTTAAAATGAGCTCTTTAGGTGAGCCCTAATCCAACCTGACTGGAGTCCTTATAAGAAGAGGAAATCTGGACATAAGGAGGGACACCAGAAATGTGCGCACACACAAAGCAAAGGCCATGTGAGGACACATTGAGAAGGCAGCCCTCTGCAAGCCAAGGAGATGCCGCAGGAAATACCAAACCTGCTGACACCTGACTTCCAGCTTCCAGAACTGTGAGAAAGCCATCCAAACTGCGGTATTTTGTTATGGCAGTCCCAGAAGACTAATACATTTGGTCTTAGTGTTTACCTGTATGTTCTGTACTCTTAATACTGTGCATACATAATAAAAATAATATAGAGTAACGTGACAAAATACACCTGAATATCTGTCATACTGGTAAGTATAAATATGCTTCATTTACCATTTATAAAATTACACCAAAAGTAAAATATCATTCTGACTAAAAGTGTAAAAAGATGGATGAATGAAAGCTTAGGATTTCCATATCAAAGAAAGCACTATACTAGGCAAAGAAGAGTTCACGTTGGGAAGGGAAAGAGGATAGACTATAATAAATCCACAGTAAAATATAATAGTCATAGATATCTGTTTATTTGACAGTGAATGTTTCCACATATGCCAGTATTGACAGATGACCTCCCTGTTCTTCACCACATCCATCCTGCTCCTGTGGTTTTCTCCCCCAGTTCGGCTGATAGCAGTTGCTTTTGGTGCATCTGTAATTTGAGTTTGCAGGATTTTTTTCTGTCTCTTAGTTTCATAAAAGTTATGTTTTATGGGTATTTGTCTTCATTGTTGTCCCTTTTAAAATTTGAATTATTTTGGGAGGAATAGTAGAAATATTCAGCACCAAGCAGATGACACAAGCCTATCAGAAGTTTTCTTTATATTTAATTTTGTTGTATTGGCAAGATTTCCAGGATAAAATTAAACAAAGTAGTTATAACAGGAACCCTTGCCTTGTTCCAGACTTCAGTGAGAATACCTTTAAAGTTTCACCACATGTGATGTAGGTTCTTGATAAGGATTCTTTATTAGGCTCAAGTCTCTCCATCTATTTCTAGTTTGCTAAGAGCTTTAAAAATCAGAAATGAACCTGGGTGCGGTGGCTTATGCCTGTAATCCCAGCACTTTGGGAGGCTGAGGCGGGCGGATCACTTGAGGTCAGGAGTTCGAGACCAGCCTGGCCAACATGGTGAAACCCCGTCTCTACTAAAAATACAATTAGCGGGGTGTGCTGGTGGGCACCTGTAATCCCAGCTACTCAGTAGACTGAGGCAAAAGAATCAATTTAACCCAGGAGGCAGAGGTTGTAGTGAGCTGAGATCATGCCATTCTACTCCAGCCTGGGTGACAGAGTGTGACTCTGTCTCAAAACAAATAAATAAATAAATAAAAATAAATGATTGTGATTATTAAATGACTACATATAAGCCTCTCCTCAATAATCTTACAATGTTGTGTATTGCCGAAACTTGTATTCTTGAGTTATATTTTATTTATCAAAATGGATTGATCTTTATACACTGCTACATTTCTCTTTGTATCTAATTGATTTTTGCATTGTAGTATTTGTATTTAATAGTTTTACTTCTGTCCTTTTTGGGTTTTTATTTCAATCAATAATAACTTTTTAGGAAAAGCTCGTGACTTGGCAGACAAGGAAGATGGTGGTAGGAGATGGGGCTGATGTGCAGCTTCCACTTGGATGGACAGAACAGTGTGTGGACACTATCACCATGGACATATGATACAGGAACCACTTCAGGAGTGTACCAGGGAAACTGAAATAATTCACGGATCCTTCAAAAGAAGCTGCAGGCTGCTGCAAATTCTTCAAGACAGGTGAAAAATTGAGTTCCCAAAGTGTGAGGTGTGGGGAAACCTGCCTCCAAACACATGTTGCCACTGGGGAACTCGAAAATCCAGATTACAGGAGAAGAATTTAACTTTACCTAGAGCTGAAATGGATTTAGAATGAAATATAAAAGTAGAAGCACAGTGGGAAGAGCCTCGTAGGCACTCCCCATCTCCAGCTCGAGCCCAGGGGAACCATCCCTGGCTGTATCTCACAGGGGACCTGTGGGAAGGCAGCCAGCAGAATTTGGGAGGGGTCACAGGGTGAAAGAAGCTTCCAACTGAAATGTGTACTAATTTTGACTGGGTGCAAACTCTCTTGAGCAGAATCTGGAGCCAACGGGAACTGATGCAGAAAGGAGAGCAGGAGTCGTCACTGACAGTGTGGGCAGATGAGGAGGGGTGTGGCCTGAAAGCCGTGCTTGCTTTCTCAATGGGGAAACTTACAGCCTGGGGCTAGGTCTGAGTCCCACGTGCAGGCTTCCTGGAGATACACTTGGCATTGTGAGCGGGACACTGCAGGAGTGAAACCGGCCTCACCAACTGTGTAGGAAGTGGGTATGGCCTGTTGCTACCGGCTTTCCCCCACTTCCCTGGTGACAGAGGCAGCTATAATCCCTTCTGGAACATAACCCCACTGGCCCAAGAACCACTCCCCAATCCCTCAAAGTGGCATGGCAAGCCCTGCCCAAGGAGAGTCTGAGCTCAGACAAGCCTACCCCTGCCCCAACTATATGGTATTTCTCTATCCACCCTGGTAGCCGATCACAAAAGACAAAAACTCTTGGAAGCTTTACGACCCACCCATCACCTGAGAAACCCAAATACTTATCCTGGTCAACTTAGGGCGAGCTTATATCCCCTTTCTACTATCAAGATCTGGTGCTCTCTCAGAAGTGCCACCTCCTGGTTGGAGGCCAACCAACTCATGACATTACAGCAACTCATGACAGAATAACCCCGCTCCAAATAAGGATTAAACAACAGCTAATTCCACAGTCTACAACATCCTGCATAACCAGTGGCCCTGAGTCTGTCCACGTGACAATTTCACTGTTAGCATAACCAGCATTGGAGAAAGCCAGCACACTAAACCCATCTACAACCAAGGACTCTGAGTCTACTTCTCTCCCCTGTCACCTCCACCAGAGCAGATGCTGGTATCCGTGGCTGGGAGACTGATATGGTTTGGCTCTGTGTCCCCACCCAAATCTCATGTCAAATTGTAATCCTTACATATCAGGGGAGGGGCCTGGTGAGAGATGATTAGATCATGAAAGTGGATTTTCCACTTGCTGTTCTCATGATAGTGAGTACGTTCTCATGAGATCTGATGGTTTAAACGTGTGTGGCACTTCCCCTTTGCTCTCTTTTTCTCTCCTGCTCTACCATAGTAAGATGTGCTTGCTTCCCCTTCACCTTCTGCCATGATTGTAAGTTTCCTGAGGCCTCCCAGCCATGCTTCTGTACAGCCTGCAGGACTGTGAGTCAACTAAATCTCTTTTCTTTCATTTTTTTCAGACACAGTCTTGCTCTGTCACCCAGGCTGTAGTGCAGTAGCACAACCTTGGCTCACTGCAACCTCCACCTCCCAGGTTCAAGTAATTCTCGTGCCTCAGCCTACCAAGTAGCTGGGATTATGGGTGTGTGCCACCATGCCCTGCTAATTTTTGTATTTTTAGTAGAGATGGGGTTTCACCATGTTGGCCAGGCTGGTCTTCAACTCCTGACCTAAAGTGATCTGCCTGCCTCAGCATCCCAAAGTGCTGGGATTGCAGGCTTGAGCCCCCACACCTGCCCTAAACCTCTTTTCTTCATAAATTACCCAGTCTCAGGTAGTTCTTTATAGCAGTGTAAAAATGGACTGATACTGAGACCTGAAGACAGCTCACATCACAAGACTCTTTACAGACATTCCCCAGCACCAGCCCAGAGCCTGGAAGTCCTGCTGGGTGGCTAGACCCAGAAGAGCAATAACAATCATTGCAGTCTGCCTTGCAGTAAGCCCCATCCCTGAGGGAATGGGGAGTGCAACACATCAAGGGACCACCCCATGGGACCAAAGAATCTGAACGGCAACCCTTCAGTTCCAGATTTTTCCACCGAAATAGTTTACCCAAATGAGAAGGAATCAGGAAAATAATTCTGGTAATATTATAAAATAAGGTTCTATAACACCCCCAAAAGACCACACTAGCTCCCCATCAATGGATCCAAACCAACAAGAAATCTTTGAATTGCCAGATAAAGAATTCAGAAGGTTGATTATTAAGCTATTCAAGGACATACCAGAGAAAGGTGAAAACCAACTTAAAGAAATTTTTTTAAAAAATACAGAATATGGATGAAAAATGCTACTGAGAAATATATATCATAAAAATAATCACAACTTCTGGAAATGAGTTTCAGCAATAGAATCAAACAAATACAGAAAAAACATCAGAGCTCAAAGACAGGGCTTTCAAATTAACTAAATCTTGAGGGAAGAGAGAGACCCTCTCATATTGTTTTATATTGTTTTATACTCAGTACCTGTTTTAAGAAAAAATAACGAGGAAGTAAAACCAAAGACAGGCAGCCCAGCGCCAGGCCCGAAACCAGGCCTGGGCCTGCCTGGCCTAAACCCAGTAGTTAAAAGTCAACTCATAACTTAGAAACCGATGTTATTCATAGATTCCAGACATTGTATAGAAGAACATTGTGAAACTCCCTGCCCTGTTCTGTTTCTCTCTGACCACCGGTGCATGCAGCCCCTGTCACGTACCACCTCCTTGCTCAAATCAATCACGACCCTTTCATGTGAAATCTTTAGTGTTGTGAGCCCTTAAAAGGGACAGAAATTGTGCATTCAGGGAGCTCGGATTTTAAGGCAGTAGCTTGTCGAAGCTCCCAGCTGAATAAAGCCCTTCCTTCTACAACTCGGTGTCTGAGAGGTTTTGTCTGGGGCTCGTCCTGCTACAATCTGACAAAGACAAAGAAAATAGAATTTGCAAAAAATGAACAAAGCTTCCAAGGCAATCTGGGATTATGTTAAATGGCCAAACCTAAGAATAATTGGTGTTCCTGAGGAAGAAGAAATCAAAAACTTTGGAAAACTTATTTGAGGGAATAATTTAGAAAATTTCCTGGTCTTGCTAGAGATCTAGACATCCAAATACAAGAAGCTCAAAGAACACTCAGGACAAAAAGATCATCATTCAGGCACATAGTCATCAGGTTATCTGTAGTCAAGACAAATAATTTTAAGAGCTATGAGGCAAAAACATCAGGTAACCTATAAAGGAAAACCTATTAGATTAACATCAGAATTCTCAGCAGAAACCCTGCAAGACAGAAGGGATTAGGGTCCTATCTTTAGCATCCTCAAACAAAATAACTGTCAGCAAGAATTTTGTATCCAGCAAAACTAAGCTTCATAAATAATGGGGAGAAAAAGTCTTTTTCAGACAAACAAATGCTGAGAGAATTCACCACCACCAAGCCAGCACTACAAGAAATGCTAAAAGGAGCTGGGCATGGTGGCTCATGCCTGTAATCCCAGCACTCTGGGATGCCAAGGCAGGTGGATCATTTGAGGCCAGAAGTTTGAGACCAACCTGGCCAAAATGGTGAAACCCTGTCTCTACTAAAGATACATAAATTAGCTGGGTGTGGTGGCAGGCATCTGTAATTCCAGCTACTCGAGAGGCTGAGGCAAGAGAATTGTTTGAGCCCAGGAGGCAAAGGTTGCAGTGAGCTGAGATCATGCCCCTGCACTCTAGCCTGGGCAACAGACTGTGACTGTCTCCAAAAAAACAAACAAACAAAGAATGCTAAAAGGAGTTCTAAATCTTGAAACAAAACTTCAAAATACACCAAAATAGAATCTCCTTAAAACGTAAATCTCACAGGGCCTATAAAACAATGACACAAAGAAAAAACTGAAGGTATTCAGGCAACAACTATGGCAATGAACAAAACAGTATCTCACATCTCAGTGCTAACGTTACATGTAAATTGCCTAAGTGCTCCACTTAAAAGATACAGAATGGCAGAATGGATAAAAATCCAACAGTATCTGCTGTCTTCGAAAGACTCACCTAATGCATAAGGACTCATATAAACTTAAGGTAAAGGGATGGAAAAAGATATTCCACACAAATGGAAACCAAATGTGAGCAGGAGTAGCTATTTTTATATCAGACAAAACTGATTGTAAAGCAATAACAGTTAAAAAAGACAAACAGTAACATTATATAATGATGAAAGGATCAGTCCCACAGGAAAATATCACAATTCTAAATATATATGCACTGAACACTGGAGCTCCCAAATTTATAAAACAATTATTACTAGGCATAAGAAATGACATAGATGGCAACACAATAATTGTGGGGGACTTCTCAGTACTTCACTGATGGCACTAGACAGATCACCAAGACAGAAAGTCAACAAAGAAACAATGGACTTAAACTATACCCTAGAACAAACGGACTTAACAGACACTTACAGAACATTCAACTGCACAACTGCACAATATACATCCTTTTCATCAACACATAGAACAATCTTTAAGACACACCATATGATAGGCCACAAAACAAGTCTCAATAAATTTAAGAAAATTAAAATTATATCAAGTACTCTTTCATACCACAGTAGAATAAAATTGGAAATTAAGTCCAAAAGGAACTCTTAAAACTATACAAATACATGGAAATTAAATAGTCTGTTCCTGAATGACCTTTGGGTCAACAACGAAGTCAAGATGGAAATTTAAAACATTTTTGAAATGAATGATAATAGTGACACAACTTATTAAACTCTCTGGGACATGGAAAGAGCTCTGCAAGAGAAAGTTCATAGCATTAAATGCCTATATCAGAAAGCCTGAAAGAACACAAATAGACAACTTAAGGTCACACCTCAAGGTCTAGAGAAAAAAGAACAAACTCAAACCCAGCAGAAGAAAAGAAAGAAGAAAGATCAGAACAGAAATAAATGAAATTAAATAAAAAAGAGAAAAATGAAACAAAAATGTGATTCTTTGAAAAGAAAAACAAAATTGATAGGCCATTACTGCGATTAACCAAGAAAAGAAGAGAGAAGATCCAAATAAACTCAATTAGAAACAAAATGGTAAAATTACAATCGATACCACAGAAATACAAAAGGTAATTCAAGGCTACCATGAATACCTTTATGCACAAAAACTAGAAAGTCTAGAGGAGATGGATAAATTCCTAAAAATATACAACCCTTCTAGATTAAATTGGAAGAAACAGAAACTCTGAATATACCAATAACAAGTAAAGTGATTGAAACAGTAATTTAAAAATTGCCAACAAAAAAAGTCCAGGAACAGATAGAGTCACAGCTGAATTCTATCAGGCATTCAAAGAAGAATTGGTACAAGTCCTACTGAAGCTATTCCAAAAGATAGGGAAAGGAGGAACCCTTCCTAAATCATTCTGTGAAGCCGGTATCACCCTAATACCAAAACCAGAAAAGGACATAACAAAAAAGGAAAACTACAGACCAATATCCCTGATAAACATAGATGCAAAAATCCTCAACAAAATACTAGCTAACCAAATCCAACAGAATATCAAAAAGATAATACATCATGATCAAGTGGATTTCATACCAGGGATGCAGGGATAATTTCATATATGCAAGTCAATAAATGTGATACCTCACATAAACAGAATTAAAAACAAAAATAATATGATCATCTCAATAGATTAAAAAAAAGCATTTGACAAAATCTAGCATGCTTTATGATTAAAACCCTCAGCAAATTTGGCCTAGAAGGGACATACCTCAAGGTAATAAAAGCCATTTATTACAAACCCACAGCCAACATTATACTGAATGGGAAAAGTTGAAAGCATTCTCCTGAGAACTGGAACAAGACAAGGATGCCCACTTTCACCACTTCTACTCAACATAGTACTGGAAGTCCTAGCCAGAGCAATCAGACAAGAGAAAGAAAGAAAAGGCATCCAAATCAATAAAGAGGAAGTCAAACTGTCACTCTTTGCCAATGATAAATCATATACCTAGAAAACCCTAAAGACTCATCCAAAAAGCTCCTACATCTGACAGGAATTAAGTAGTTTCAGGATACAAAATCAATGTAGACAAATAAATGGCACTGCTATACACCAACAATGACTGAGCTAAGAATCAGATCAAGAACTCAACCCCTTTCATGACAGCTGCAAAAAGAAAAAAAAAAAAAAAAACTTGGGCATACACCTAACCAAAGAGGTAAAAGATCTCTACAAGGAAAACTACAAAACACTGCTGAAAGAAATTATCTATGACACAAACAAATGGAAACACATCCCATGCTCATGGATGGGTAGAATCAATGTTGTAAAAATGACCATACTGCCAAAAGCAATCTACAAATTCAATGCAATTCCATCAAAATATAATTCTCCACAAAACTAGAAAAAACAATCCTAAAATTCATGTGAAACCAAAAAAGATCCCCCCATAGCCAAAGTAAGACAAAGCAAAAAGAACAAATTCGGAGGCATCACATTACCTGATTTCAAACTATAGTACAAGGCTATAGTTACCAAAACAGCATGGTAGTGGTATAAAAATAGGCACATAAACCAATGGGACAGAATAGAGAACCCAGAAGTAAAGCCAAATATTTATAGCAACTGATCTTCAACAAAGCAAAGAAAACATAAAGTGGGGAAAGGACACCCCATTCGACAAATGGTGCTGGGGCAATTGACAAGCCATATGTAGAAGAATGAGGCTGGATCCTCATCTCTCACTTTATACAAAAATCAACTCAAGATGGATCAAAGACTTAAATATAAGACCTGAAACCATAAAAATTCTAGAAGATAACATTGAAAAAACCCTTCTAGACATTAGCTTAGGGAAAGAGTTCATGACCAGGAACCGAAAAGCAAATGTAACAAAAACAAGGATAAATAGATGTGGCCTATTAATAATTAAGCTAAATTATAGAAAAGATAAAGATAAATAGACAGGACCTATTAATAATTAAACTAAAAACTTCTTCACCGAAAAAAGAAATAATCAGTAGAGTAAACAGACAACCAACAGAGTGGGAGAAAATACTTGCAAACTATGCATCTGACAAAGGACTAATATCCAGAATCTACAAGGAACTGAAAGAAATTAGCAAGAAAAAAACAAATAATACCATTAAAAAGTGGGCAAAGGACACAAATCGACAGTTCTCAAAAGAAGATATACAAATGGCCAACAAACATATGAAAAAATGCTCAACAACACTAATTATCGGGGAAATGCAAATCAAAACTACAATGCAATGTCACCTTACTCTTGCAGAATGACCATAGTTTAAAAATAAAAAAAAAATAGTTGTTACTGTGGATGTGGTAAAAAAAAAAAGAACATTTTTACACTACTGGATTTAATGTAAACCAGTACAACTACTTTGAAAAACAATATGGAAATGTCTTAAAGAACTGAAAGTAGAACTACCATTTGATCTAGCAATCCCACTACTGAGTATCTACCCAGAGGAAAAGTGTGTGTGTGTGTGTGTGTGTATGTGTGTGTGTGTGTGTGTTTATGTATGTGTGTGTGTGTATGTATATGTGTGTGTATATACACATATATATATATAAAATAAAATATGACTCAGCCATTCTCAGCAACTTGGTTGGAGTTGGAGACCATTAATTTAAGTGAAGTAACTCAGGAATGAAAAATCAAACATTGTATGTTCTCACTTATAAGCAGGAGATAAGCTGTGAAGATGCAAAGGCATAAGAATGATATAATGGACTTTGGGGATTCAGGGGGAAGGGTGGGAGTGGGGTGAGGGATAAAAGACTACACATTGGGTGCAGCGTACACTACTCGGGTAATGAGTACACCAAAATCTCAGAAATTATCACTAAAGAACTTATTCATGCAACGAACTACCATCTGTTCTCCCCAAACTATTGAAATAATAATAATAATAATAACCTTATAAATTATGCTAGGTTACCTTTTCTTGAGTCAATTTGACAACTTGTATATTGTTTATTATTGTTATTATGTTATTTTATTCAAGTTTTAATATTTTAATGGCATAATTATTTATAATTTCATCTTAACATTGAAAAAATCTGCTATATTCGTAATGTCCCTTTTTTCTTCTGGGATTACAGGCAACCGCCACCACACCTGGCTAATTTTTTGTATTTTTAGCAGAGACAGGGTTTCACCATGTTGGCCAGGCTGGTCTCGAACTCCTGACCTCGTAATCCACCCGCCTCGGCCTCACAAAGTGCTGGGATTATAGGTGTGAGCCACTGCACCCAGCCCATGTTGTTCAGTTTCTATCCATTTGTACAGTTTCCAAAGTTCCACTTGTTATTGATTTCTAGTTTATTTCCACTGTGGTCTGAGAAGATGCTTATTACGACTTCATTTTATTGATATGATATCTAACAAATTTTTAAAAATTTGTTGAGACTTGTTTTTATAGATGTAACTTATGTCCTGTCCTAATGTTGCATGGGCTGATGAGAAGAATGTGTATTCTGCAGCTATTGGATAAAACGTTGTGTAGATGCTTGTTAGTTCCATTTGGTCTAAGTGCAGTTTAAAACTAATGTTCCTTTGTTGCTTTTCTGTCTAGACGATCTGTCTAAGGCTGAGAGTAGGGGGTTAAATTTCCCAACTAGTATTGTATTGGAATCTATCTCTCCCTTGCAATCTAACTTTCTATGTATATCTGGGTGCTCCAGTGTTGGGTGCATACATGTTTAGAATTGTTATATCCTCTTGCCGAATTGATACCTTTATCATTATATAATGACCTTCTTTGCATCTCTTTGCTGTTTTTGACTTAAAGTGTGCTGTATTTAATATAAGTATGTTTACTCCTGCTTGCTTTTGGTTTCCGCTTGTAGGGAATGTCTTTTTCCATCTCTTTATTTTCTATCTATCTGTGCCTTTACACGTGAAGTGAATTTCTTGTAGGCAGCATATAGTTGGGTAATTGAAAAAAATAATTCACTCAGCCAGTCTATATCTTTTAAGTGGAACATTTAATTTATTTGCATCTAAGATTATTGATATGTGAGGACTTATTCCTGTCATTTTGCTAATTGTTTACTGGTTTTGTATATCAGTTGTTCCTTTCTTTCTCTTATTGACTATCCTTGCAGTTTGATGATTTTCTGAAGTGGTAACATTTGAGTCCTTTCCCTCATTTGTGTGTTTGCTCTATCAGTGAGTTTCTTATAGGGTGGTATAATAGTGATGAATTCTGTTTTTGCCTCCTGAGAAAGATTTCTCCTTCATTTATGAAGAATACCTTTGCTGGATACAGTGTTTTTGGCTATTTCTTTCAATGCTTTGAATATATAACCCAACTTTCTCTTGGCCTTTAAAGTTTCTGCTGAGAGAGGAGTCCAGCTCAAATTTGTCTCCTTGTTCTGGCTTTCAGGCAGTAATTTTATTAGAAAAGTCTTAGGAGGTAGATTCTGGGATTAGTAGGTGACTGATGGAAGAAAAGGCAAGGTGTAGAAAGTTCTAAGGCATGCACAGTTATCTCCTCATGCTACCTCATGGATTGCATGTGCAAATTCAGGTGTAGTTAGTATGAAACACATAGTGGATCGCTTCTTGGCCTTTTGGCTAAGATCAAGTGAAACACACAGTGGAAATTCAGAAGGTGAGGTCAGCAAGCTCATTCTATGCAAACTCCAGTTAACCATATTGGTTCCAACCAATTTCAGCCAGTTTTTGAAATCTCACAAGTGGATGGAGTTTCAGTGTTTCAGCAAGTTATTTCTTATCTGCCCTCCTGCAAACTCAAGTATTTGTTAGTTATTTGTTTCTTACTCTTTGAGGTACAGCTTCAGTTTCAATTATTCAGCAAGTTGTTTTATATCTGCTATCCCATAAGCCCAAGAATTTAATCATTAAAAAAAAAAAACTGTTGGAACAGTTTCAAGTTCTGACCAGTTTATGCAACTTAATCATGTCAAGATATAGAACATTACCATCACCGCAGAGAGGTCACTCATACCCCTTCTTAGCCAATCCTTGCCTCCCCAAGATAGCCATTGTTCTGACATTTTCCTTTACAGAAGTATTTTATATGTTCTAGAATTTCATGTAAATGGAACTCTAAAGTATGTACTTGTTAGTATAAAATTCTTTCAGTATGTTTTTTATATTCTTCCATGTTGTATCTGTAGTTGACTCCTTTTTATTACTGAGTAGTATCCTATTGATATGGTTTGGCTATGTGCCCACCCAAATCTCAGCTTGAATTGTAGCACCCATGGTCCCTACGTGTCATGGGAGGGACCTGGTGGGAGGTAATTGAATCATGGGGGGGGCGGGTTTTTCTTGTACTTTTCTTGTGATAGTCAATCAGTTTCATGAGATTTGATGGTTTTATAACCTAACACATGCTCTCTTGACTACCGCCATGTAAGACATGCCTTTGTTCCTCCTTTGCCTTCCACCATGATTGTGAGGCTTCTCTAGACTTGTGGAAATGTGAGTCCTTTAAACCTCTTTTTCTTTATAAATTACCCACTCTTTTTTTTTTTTTTTTGAGACAGAGTCTTGCTCTGTCACTCAGGCTGGAATGCAGTGGCATGATCTCGGCTCACTGCAACCTCCACCTCCTGGGTTCAAGCGATTCTTGTGCCTTAGCCTCCCAAGTAGTTGGGATTACAAGTGTCCACCACCACACCTGGCTAATTTTTGAATTTTTCGTAGAGATGAGGTTTCACCATGTTGGCTAGGCTGGTCTCAAACTCTTGGCCTCAGGTGATCTGGCCACCTCGGCCTCCCAAAATGCTGGGATTACAGGCATGAGCCACCATGCCCATCCCTTTGGGTATTTTTTCGTAGCTCTATGAATATGGACTAATACACTTATTATACAAATATACTACAATTTGTTTATCCATTCTCCTATTGATAGGCTATTTCCATTTTTTAGTTATTATAAAGCTACTGAACACTCTATGCAAATCATTTTGTGAACACATACTTCCATTTTTCTTGTATGATATATAGGAGATGGCTCCTGGTTCATGAAGTATTAATAGGTATATGCTTAGTTTTACAAGAAAGTGTCATAACTTTTTCCAAAGTCGTTATATAATTTTACATTTTCACCAACAATGTGTGAAAGCTTCAGGTGCTTTACCAAGTTGCCAACATATGGTGTTGGCAGTCATTTTAAATGTAGTCATTCTGATGAATATGTAGAGGTATCTCATTGTGGTTTGGGTTTGCATTTTCCCATAGCTAATGATGTTAAGTTTTCTGTGTGTCTCCACGTTTTTTCCTCATGATTGAGGTTTATTAATTCTTTAGCATTAATTTGTCTAGGTCCTCAAAATTCTGTTGGGATTATGACCAAAATTGCTTTAGTTCTATTGATTTTGGACATATCATCTTCATAATACTTAATCTGTCTTTGTTCTATTATATAAAGCTTTCATCTCCTCTAGGAAACGTTTTACTTATATAGGTTCCCAACTGGATTTGTTAGGCTTATTCATATGTATTCTTATTTGTGGATATTATACGAGTTTTTAAAAACTGTTTTCTCCTTTTATTGTTGTTACATATGGAAGGTTTGTTTGTAGCTGTTTATCCTATATCCAGCAACTTTATTAAACTTTCCTGTAAGTTGTAATAGTTTCTCAGTTCTAGTTGTGTTAAATAAATCAGTCTTTTTGCAAACAAATATATCTATAATGCAAATTTTCTATTGCATTATCTAGAATAGTGATTCTCAAGAGTAGTTCCCAAAAGTGGATTTTACGTTTCAAGAGACATTTGGCAACATCTGGAGACTTTTTTTGGTTGTCACACTGGGGGAGGAACTATCTGGTAGGTAAAGGCCAGGGATACTAGTAAACATCTTACAATACACCTGACATCCCCCCACAGCAAAGAGTCATCTGGCTCAAATTGTCAGTAGTGCTGAGGTTGAGAAACTCTGCTTGAGAACTTCCAGAAAACATTCAATAGTATTAGAATAAAGCAATGTTGTTTTACTCCTGATTTTAATGTGAATGTCTAATATTCATTAATAAGTATAAAATTAGATATAAATTAGTGTGGTCATAATAAGTATACAAGTGAGACATTTATTCAAGAGTACTTTGTAAACTAGTAATTATTCAATGGTGACAGAAGCTCACCATGGCACTAATTCTCAGGAAAGTTGCAGAAAGGTGTGAAGAGGGAGGTGAAAATGTTAATTACATGGCTGACTTTCACCTGGAGACATGCCTTTGCTACTAGAATTACTAAGGCATAAGAATTATACAAGATTGGTTAATATCAGCCAGGCTACTTTGGGCCTGCAGGTAGAGGAAACCCATGATATTGATAGTGAATGTCTTCTGTAGGTTGCAAGCTTCTATAAGCTTTCTTAATTGTTGTATATCTAAATAGTCCTATTCTTCCCTTACTTGTTATGATTCACCCAACTTACCAGCATGTAAAGAAGTTTTCCATTTGCTTTTTGCTGCTAGTATTAAGAAAGCTCCTATTAATTTGTCAGTTTTACATTCTTTGTAAGTAATATCTTTTATGGAGAGCTTTCTCGTTGTTGATGCTCTAAAATTATACTACAGTGAGTTTAATATTTTGTCAGTTTCTCTTTCTTGCTGAAGCTTCAATTAGATGTTTTTGTTAGAACTCCATTTTATAACATTTTAAATACCATTTTTAAATTCTTTTGGCTGACAATTTCTGAGATTACTTCTAGGTCACTTGTTTGTTTAGCTGTGTTTATTTGAATATTCAGTCCATTTGTTAACTTGATTTTTTCCAAGATATCTAATAGGTCCATTCTTAGAACCACTTGTTTCTGTTTCAAACAAGATACTCATTTCTGTCTAAAGATATTCAATCTTTTAAGATTCTGCCTCTGTAATCCCAGCACTTTGGATGGCCAAGGAGGGTAGATCACCTGAGGTCAGGATTTTGAGACCAGACTGGCTAACATGGTGAAACCCTGTCTCTATTAAAAATACAAAATTAGCTGGGTGTGGTGGTGCTCACTTCTAATCCCAGCTACTCGGGAGGTTGAGGCAGGAGAATCGCTTGAACCTGGGACGCAGAGGTTGCAGTGAGCCGGGATCGCGCCATTGTACTCCAGTGTGGGTGACAGAGTGAAACTTTGTCTCCCCCAAAAAAAGATTCTGCCTCAATTCTAGTGATGTGTTTTCTTATTGGAAATGCTTCTGTTATGTATTGGCTTTCCTCAAGTTTAAGTAGAAGCACTATTTATTACTAACAGAATACAAAATTTGAGCATGTGCTGTTCTAGACACTTCATATTCATTAATGTACTTATCCTTTTGTTAACTTTATAAAGTACTATTAACCCCATGTGATGGTTAATACTGAGTGCCAACTTGATTGGACTGAAAGACACAAAGTATTGATCCTGGGTGTGTCTGTGAGGGTGCTGCCAAAGGAAATTAACATTTGAGTCAGTGGGCTGGGAAAGACAGACCTACCCTTAATCTGCGTGGGCACAATGTAATCAGCTGCCAGCTCAGCTAGAATATAAGCAGGCAGAAAAATGTGAAAAGAGAGACTGGCCTAGCCTCCCAGCCTATATCTTTCTCCCATGCTGGATGTTTCCTGCCCCCAAACATCAGACTCCAAGTTCTTCAGTTTTGGAATTCGTACAAAGAGCAAGAAGAGCTCCCCAGCCTGCAGACGGCCTATCATGGGACCTTGTGATTATGTGGGTTAATACTTAATAAACTCCCCTTTATACACATATCTATTCCATTAGTTCTGTCCCTTTAGAGAACCCTGACTAATACAGATTTCGGTACCGAGACTGGGATAGTTCTAGAGGATCAGAATATTAAGGATGAAGTTCTTTCATTGGCTTTGGGTTTCTAGAGTTGGCTTATTAGACCCCAGAATGCTAAGGACTCTACTTCTAACAGTATGGAGAACACTGATAGTCCTCGGCATGAACTGTTTAGAGAGTTATACAAAATAAATGCATTTAACACTCCTGATTTGTTGCTCATGCGAGGCAAGGAGTTCAGTGACTCTATACATAATACCTTTGACTATATGTGGAGAACCAAGGAACATAATGAAGCTGGTTGGTTCCTCCTAAGTTCAGTGGACAAAGTGATTAAAGAAAATGAACTCAGGCATTCTATATCCCTGCTTCAGAAGCCGATACTGAGCCTCAAATCTGCTAAGATTGCCTGAGTGAGAGTCTTATCTCCTGTAGAGAAAGAGTTGAAATTCTGGACAGACAGACACAAGCTCTTATCATGTGAGTGGCTGACCTGCAATAAAAGGTACGTGCACAGCCTTACCAGGTGTCTACTGTTAAAGTGAGGGTATTTATTGGAAAAGAATGGGACCCTGCAGTATGGAATGGGGATGTGTGGGAGGACCCTGATAAAGCTGGGGATACTGAACTTGTAAGCTCTAATGAAACTTTTTTGCCAGAAGAAACAGCTTCCCCATTCCCAGTAGTGGCAACATTGCCTCCCCCACCCATGCTGCCATCAGCCTTTCCACTTTTCTCTGAGGAGATAAACCCTGTGCTGCCTGAGGCAACAGTGGCAGCCTCCCCTGAGGCAGTTGCCAGGCAAGACAGTGTTGATTCTCCTCAGGAGCTACCCCCAACACCCCTGTTTGCTTCTAGACCTATAACTAAAGTCCTGGCCGCCCGTAGAGGTGAAGTTGAGAGTGTGACCCATGAGGAGGTATGCTACACTCAAAAGAACTGCTTGAATTTTCCAATTTATATAAACAAATCTGGAGAACAGGCATGGGAATGGATATTTAGGTATAGGATAATGCTGGAAGGAACATAGAGTTGGATCAGGCTAAATTTATTAATTTGGGCCCACTAAGCAGGGACTCTGCACTTAATGTTGCAGCTCAGGGAGTTAAAAGAGGTTCTAAAGGCTTATTTGCTTTGTTAGCTGAAGTATGGATTAAAAGATGGCCCACTGTGAGTAAGCTGGAAGTGCCTGATCCCCCTTGGGTTAATGTAGAGGAAGGAATGGAAAGGCTTAGGGAGATTAGGATGGTGGAGTGGATTAGTCGCTTTAGACCTACTCATCGCTGCTGGGAGGGTCCAGAAGATATACCCTTGACCAATGCCTTGCAAAATAGGTTTGCGAGAGCAGCACCTGCATCTTTGAAGATCCCTGTAATTGCTCTTTTCTTTATGTCAGATCTAACAGTGGGAACCACAGTCCCTCAACTACAAAATTTAAATACAATGAGAATAATTGGATCCCAAGGTGGCAGGGGGCAGGTGGCAGCACTAAACTGTCAAAGGCAAGGTAGGTGTAGCTACTGTAATGCACAGCAGAGGCAAAGCGGCAATCAGAATAGTCTGATTGTACAGAACTCAGGCATTGGCTAATTAATCACGGTGTTCCTAGAAGTGAAATTGATAGGAAGCTTACTGCATTCCTACTTCATTTATGCAAGCAAAAACCTTCTAGGTTGAATGGACAAAAGACTAATTTGAATTATGAAAACAGAATCACAACCCCTCAATCAATTTCCAGACTTGAGCCAGTTTATGGACCTGGAACCCCTTAAATGAAGGGGAGGCCGGGTGCCCTTGAGGAAGGACCCCACTATATTACTGACAATTTATGGAGTGAATCTTTCTCCCTTCCCTCCCAAGGAGACTTACAGCCTTTTACCAGGGTAACTGTGCATTGGGAAAAGGGAAATGATCAGACATTTTGGAGACTACTGGACACTGGCTCTGAGCTGACATTGATTCCAGGGTACCCAAAATGTCACTGTGGTCTGCCAGTAAAAGTCAGGTAATTAACGGAGTTTTAGCTCAGGTCCAACTTACAGTGGGTCCAGTGGGTCCCCAGACTCATCCTGTGGTCATTTCCCCAGTGCCAGAATGCATAATTGGCATAGACATACTTAGCAGCTGGCAGAACTCCCACATTGGCTCCTTGAATGGTAGGATGAGAGCTATTGTGGTGGGAAAGGCCAAATGGAAGCCATTAGAACTCCTTCTGCCTAGAAAAATAGTAAATCAAAAATAATATCGCATCCCTGGAGGGACTGCGGAGATCAGTGCCACCATCAAGGACTTGAAAGACGCAGGGTGGTGATTCCCATCACATCTCCATTCAACTCTCCCATTTGGCCTGTGCAGAAGACAGATGGATCTTGGCAAATGACAGTGGATTCTTGTAAGCTTAACCATATGGTGACTCCAATTGTAGGTGCTATACCAGATGTCAACTCCAATTTCTTCAGTTTTGGAACTCAGACTGGCTCTCCTTGCTCCTCAGCCTGCAGACAGCCTATTGTGGGACCTTGTGATTGTGTGGGTTAATACTTGATAAACTCCCCTTTATATATACCTATTCCATTAGTTCTGTCCTCTAGAGAACACTGACTAATACACCTCACTTTACAGATGACCAAACTGAGGCAATGAAGAGGTATAAACTCAAGGCCAAGGAGTTAGTAAGTTTTGGAGCCAGCGCACAATCCTATAGAGCCCCTATTTCTTCCTAGAGGGTACTAGTCACATGAGGCCCTGAGAAGCCTGACTCAAGCTTGCATGCTCATTCTTTGCTCCTGAAAGTAATTACCCTAGTAGCTGCTAATTGGCTTACAGTGGAATGGATAGGGGCATCCACACACTTGGCTGCAATGCATTAATTGCCTCTGTGTACCCTCCTGTTGCCTACACCTACCTTGGCTATGAAATGGCACTGCACCATCCTTCACGTGAAAGTCACCCTTTCTAGACCAAGAATTGTTTTCCATCTTAGGTCTGCGTTTAATATGAAGGAACCCCTATTATATTGTATACTTAAAGTACATATACAAATAAGAGGAGAACATTGAGACTTAAGGTTTCACCACTTAATTTCTAGTATATCCACTTGTACTGCTTGCATTTACCAAATCCTGACTCTGGGTGCTAAGGTAAGGTGGGGGCATGGTAGAGGGAAGATTTTTTTTTTAGCCTAACACACCCACTGTCTCAGGAAGCTTTTTATACCAATTCCACATTGCTATTGGAGCACTGGAAGCATTAGTTCTACCAATATTTTTACACATAGTTATAATGCAAAGCAGATTTATTTGCATGCACAGCAAAGAGGATTAGGAAACTAGATAAAAAGGAAAGCAGTCTTCAGGCAAGTGGAACTGACCAAGACTCTTAAGTAGCTGACTCTGAGATCATTATAATGGCAAGACTTGCTGTGCTGCTGCCTTCAGAAGTTAGGTCTCTTCAACTGATGTCTCAGCAGACTCAGCAGACTTTTCAGACAGGCCTTTCTGCTGGAGGGACTCTTCTAATAGCTTCTGATGGTATTCCAGAAAAGCTATGCTTGCTGTCTGTTTATCTATGAACTCCTTTACGAAGTCTATGAGCTATAGAAATAAAACAGGGAAGCACCCACATTGAGGACCATGTCTGCAACAAGAATCTACCTATATTGTAGCCCAGGGACCAGCAGTCCTGGGAGCATGTCAGAAATTCAAAATCTCAGGCTCCACTCCAGATTTACTAAACCAGCCTCTGAATTTTAAGAAAGTCTAGGTGATTCATATGCATATTGAAGATCCAGCAGCACTGATCTAAGATATTCAAGACCTTTAGGTGAATACAAGCACCTACTTTCAATGGGTATGAGTATTAGGTTGTCTTATTAAAAGTACAGGTTACTTTAACAGGCTACTACTGCAATGGTTTTCAATCCTGATTATTTGAATCACATAGAGATTTTGAGTAGCTGCCCAGACCTCATTCCTAAAGATTAAAATTTAAGTGATCTGGCATAAGGTTCGAGCATTTGTACCATTTCAGAGCTCCTCACTGAGTCCAACATGTGTCTGGAGTTGAGAACTATTGTAACTAGGCCCATTTTCTTCACTTTGACTTCCTGAGAAGCTAGGAAGTTAGAAAGAAGTTATCACTTTGAGGTAGAGTGCTTACCAATAACCAGGAAGACCTCAGAGAGGTCTGTATTGTAATAGGTCACCATTAACATCTACTTTTGCAGTAACAGTCTAGAACAGTAGTTCTCAAACTGTGGCCATCAGCCAGCTGTATCACCACCTAGATTTGTTAGAAATACATTCTTGAGACCTATACAAAACCAACCCAATAAACAACTTTTGGGAGTGAGCCCTAGAAGTGTGTTTTAGTAAGCACTCCAAGTGATTCTTGTGCTCAGTAAAGCTTAAGCATTTCTGGTTTAGGATATTTACAAGCCAACAGCAACAGAACAATTGTTTTATTTAATTTTACAGAGTGCATTACTCCTAGGAAGATGTTTTCACCATACACTAAATTTCACTTTTCTTCACCAGGACAGCTATCTGCCCACTCCCGAACTACTCCTAGAAATAAGTTCCCAGACTTCCTTCCAGGGAAAAAAACACATGTTGGGTGATCTATTGCCTTGGTCCCCTTTCTCAGAAGCAAATCATAATCCAGAAGTGAAAGATGACACTGTTTGTCAGAACCAGCTAACTACTTACACCAGTTTCATCATCCTTAGTAGCTGTGATTTTCAGGTCTTGTAGGACATTGGTTAATGTGTTCTCCAACTGCACAGCAAACTTCAGGGCTTGTAAGCCATTTCCCCAGTTATCTATGTTGGGCCTCTGTTGAAGAGGAACAGGAGAGTCGCTTTTTTACTTCAGGCACAGTTTTGTTGCATTCTGCTTCCTGCATAGGACCATGACTAGGTTTGCATAGTGTAATGGTCTCCAAACTTTGAGGTGCAATGGAATCAGCTGAGAATCTTAAATGTTAATACTTGGCTCTCAATCGTAGACACTGTGACTTAATTGGTATGGGATGCAACATGGGCATCATGAGTTTTAAAAGATTCCCAGGTGATTTTAATGTGCTACAGAGCAAGGGTACTACTAGCACAGGTACACATACAAGTATTGCATTAGCTTTGGAATTCTATGATGGTGGTCCATCTCTCATTAGCACACATTTACTTCTTTTTATAAAGCAGGAGTTAAAAAACAACCAAAACAACCACCTTAGGAAAATTAGGGATGTTCCTGGATGTAATAGTCCCAACTAAGGCTCAGGTTGTTTCTTTGGAGTGTGTGCCCAAACAAAAAAAGTTTGTTTTACTACTTTAAAGAGACAGCCATATTAAATACCTGAACATGTACCTGAATTAGATTAACAATCTGAAATAGGACGCTAACACCTCTGAGAAGAAGGCATTAGAGTAGCGCTTCTCAAACTACACATACCATTAGGATCATCTGGAGAGCTTGTTAAGTTGTAGCTCTTTGGGCCTATGTCTGGGGTGAGAGCCACAAATTTGCATTTCTAGTGAGTCCCCAGGTGATGCTGACAACCCAGCGACCAAACTTTGTGACGCTCATTAAGACAAGCCAAACAAGCATTTAGTGGCTAAAATTTACCCCAAATGATGTTGACATATACTTGCTTTCAGAGTCAGTTAGTTGCTAAGAAGCCCATGTAGGAACATGAGTAACCTAAAATGTTACATAGCAACTAATCAGTTTAATTCTCTAGACCTGGAAAAGGCCCCACAGAAGTCAAAACAAAGTTTGACATTCACCTTAATAACTGGAAGGCAGATAATACCCTCACGTTTTCTTAGATATCTTAGGAACTGCTTTGCATGCTCCCTTTTCAACTCAGCCTGCTCCGAGAAGAACTTGGCAAAAGGAGGCATTCTCATATCTTCACTGTAATAACAGGCCTGGTCAAATGTAAGAAAAGGGGGAGGCTGAGGATGAGGTAAAATAGTTTTAAGACCTGAATTGCACACAAACTCACTTTGTTGTCTCAGTGGTTGTCCAGGAAGAGGCCTTCTTTGGTCAGTCTTGGATCCTGTTTGTTCTTTGACTTCAGAAGGCTCTGGCTGTCCCCCAGAACCTAGTCTACCTCAAAGATCAGCCATCCAGATCCTAATATACTGGTGCCTAATGTCTTGCTCTTATGGCTTCTTCAAGGGTCATAGTTTTGAACTTAGATGCTAGCACTTATATCCTTTAATTGTGTAGATATGACACAAATCTAGCATAAATTTACATTTTAAAAATCTATTTCATCAATCCTAACACATCTATGTTAATTTTGAAATAGCATATAGGTATAAAATTGTTTATTCAGTCTATCACCAGTGTTTGATGCCCATGTAGTTTTGGCAACACACTGGAAAGAACTGTAACTTTCCCTATCAAAGCCCATAGCTTTTAATATAGGGCCACAGAGCAGCAATATCCCAACCACTGAGTTGCTGTTTCATCTGGTATCCAACTACCAATATGGCCATAAGAACTATTATTAAGAAGATAGAAGTTATATTATCACCCAGAGCAGAGCTGAAACCTCCCTCTCAGTTGCTCAAGAACCCATACTAACCATGGATAAGTAAGCATCACTGATATGCAGCTCATAAGATGCTACTCGGTTAATAGCAACTCCACATTCTTCAGAGAAGGGACCGTGGATTTCATATTCCATCTCAGCTTTAGGGAAATCCAGCCATAAAAAGTACCACCCACTAAGGTAAGGGACTTCTTAAATACTAATAGGAATATAGCCAGCCCACTTCTTATAAGCTGAAATTCCATTCAGCTGAGATTAACAGCTACTAATCTACCAACGAGGACATTGTTTCTAGATGAAAGAACCAATCAAACCAGAGAAAACAGTGAAGAGAAAGGGGGTTAGTGCTCTTACTATCCCAGTCAGTGTTCAGTGTTTTCTCTCTTCTTCTCTCTGATTGTGGTTCTCTCTGATATATTTCCTGAGTAGTGAGGCATTAACAGAAAGGATGCATTACCTTTATTTTTTTTTTCTTTCTTCAAAAACTATTATGGCACCACATGCTGGATCCCATGGTGAATCTAAGAAGACTGGCTAAAATGCATTTTGTCTATGAGGTACCATTACATCTCCCTCCTTTCTCCATAAGACCCCAACACACATAACTGATCTTAAGGTGGGATATGATGGGAGTTCTGAGATGTCAACACCATTATTAGCTGAGGGGAATAGGGCAGGTTTTATTAGTAAATTGGCATTTTAAATTGGCCCTGGAAAGTAAACAAGAACGTAGAGAAATGGAAATGGAAGATGGGCATTCCACCTGGAAAACAAGCCTACATAGGCTGTAAATATGAGAGGTGTTAGTGGTTTCTCCAAACTACAGAAGACTGTTTCAGCTGGGAACATTTTGGCCCCCTCCTTTTACTATATCCCAAAGGTCCCCACCTGCCCCAACATACACCTTAATTTGCATCCCTTGAGGGCAAAGACTGTTTCACTTGTTTTGGTATATGTACAACCCATAATGGAGTATTTTGTAAATAATACATGCTGAAACAATGTTGATTAAATAAAAATATATTTCATGTGTAAGTAAAGAGCAAGATTTCTCATGCATCTGGTGGATTCCTAGTTTGAGCCTAAGCCGAGTCTGCTTGAACCTCATTAGAAGTGGCAGGTCACCAAAGTCTATCTCTTGAGGCAGTGAGGAGTGAGGCAGCTTCCTGAGAACTTTTGTTTCCTGACTGCTCTTGTCCCAGTTGAATTTAATGCCTTAGTCCCAAGAAGAGAGAGGTGCTTTGAGTCAGTGCTTCTCAAAGAGTAACTTGCATATGAATCACCTGGGGCTGTTGTTAAAATGCAGATTCTGATTGTGGAGGCCTGAGATTCTGCATTTCTAACAATGCTGCCGAATGCTATTGGTCCATGGACTACACTTTGAGTAGTAATGGTTTAAGTACATTCCTAAAAAGTTGTTTCAGTAAAAATTCCATAAGACAGAAATGGCACTACCAGTGGACCCTGTAATAGTAGAGGAAAAGAGAACAGTCTATGCTTCTTCTCCACAGACCCCTGTACTGCCTTGGCATGTGAGAGCTCACAGGACCTTCATGGCAGCATCTCTGGGGAGGCAGCAGCTCCAGGGCACTCTGCAGTATCCCGCCTATGAGGTTACAGCAGGTGAAGAGGAAATAAAGTGGTAACTCATTAGATAATTAATTGTTTTTTTTTCATAGTATATGTAAAACATTACCTGAACTTCCTCCAAAATTTGGGGACATTTTAAGGAGATTAGGATCCTATGTGAGCAGATGAACAAGTGTCAATGAAATCTGAATTATTACTGTTACTATTAAATCTACAAGATACTAAATCTGAAAGATACAGATTTTACCTACTGGGAGATGTTATGAGAGTTTGGATATTTCTGGGTGATCTATTGTATTCTTCCATGTAGACATTCCAGGATTCCATCATGCCACCTGGGCCAAACACAGTGCTAGATACATATGAATAAATTATCCCTGTTGGATATGGTTTGGATATTTGTTCCCTCCTAATCTCATATTGAAATGTGATCTCCAGTATTGGAGGTGGGGCCTACTGAGAGCTGTCTGGGTCATGGGGGTGGATCCCTCATGAATGGCTTGGTGCCCTCCCCGTGGTAATGACTCCATGGGAGATCTGATTGTTAAAAAGGCTCTGGGACCTCCCTGTCCTCTCAATCTTGCTCCCCCTCTTGCCATGTGACATGCTGGCTCCCCTTGCCTTCCAAGATGAGTAAAAGCTTCCTGAGACCCTCATCATGCTTCTTGTACAGCCTGCAGAACTATCAGCCAAACAAACCTCTTTTCTTTATAAATTACACAGCCACAGGTATTCCTATATGGCAGCACGAAGGAACAAACACACTGTTCTTGTGGTTAGACATTATTAAGAAATATTGCTATCTAAACACTTAAAACCAACCTTAGCAATTTGTAGAAGAAAAGAATGGGGCCGGGCGCGGTGGCTCACGCCTGTAATCCCTGCACTTTGGTAGGCCAAGGCGGGTGGATCATCTGAGGTCAGGAGTTTGAAACCAACCTGGCCAACATGATGAAACCCCATCTCTACTAAAAATACAAAAAATTAGCCAGGCGTGATGGTGGGCACCTGTAATCCCAGCTACTCAGGAGGCCTGAGGCAGGAAAATCACTTGAACCCGGGCGGTGGAGGTTGCAGTGAGCTGAGATTGAGCCGCTGCACTCCAGCCTGGGCAACAAGAGCAAAACTCTGTCTCAAAAAAAAAAAAAAAGAATGGAAAAAAACCACATCATCAACATCAGTAACAACCACATCATCAACATCAGTAACAGTGTGCTATTATGGTATATTTACAGGTGACTTTTTTCCTTTTCTCTTTTCCATATTTTTCAAACTTTTATAATCATATATATATATATATTATTCATTTTGAAAAAGGAACCTAACAAATGCCTTTTCTAGAGAATTAGCACCATGCCTTTCCTTAATAGAAGCTCCACATAGGCCAGGTGCGGCAGCTCACGCCTGTATTCTGAGCAGTTTGGGAAGCCCAAATGGGCAGATCACTTGAGGCCAGGAGTTCCAGACCAGACTGGCCAACATAGCAACTTCCCAACTCTACTAAAAATACAAAAAATTGGCTGGGCCTGGTGGGGTGCACCTGTAGTCCCAGCTACTTGGGAGGCTGAGGCAGGAGAAGTACTTGAGCCTGGGAGGTGGAAGTTGCAGTGAGCCGAGATGGTGCCACTATACTCTGGCCTGGGTGACAACAGCGATACTCCATCTCAAAAAAAAAAAAAAAAAAAGAATATCAGAAAATATAAACTTTCATGTGTGTTCAGGTAATATATGTGTATTTTTAAAGCTAAGGCCAACAAAAAGAGTTTTGAAGAGGGAAGTATATGGTAGGTCTAGAAGAGGGAAAATTTTTGACCAAGAAGAACAAGGTAGGGAGGGAGACAGACACTAATAGGACAAAAAGTGCAACATTTACCAAGGAGGGAGAGAAAGCAGAGCAACTAGAGTTGTATAACAGAGAGAATCATATGTAAAAAAAGCTCCCTCAGATATTAACAGAGAAACATAAATACAGTAGAAGAGAAGTCCAGGTAGGGTAGTACCAAAACCAAACCAAAGTGTCTAGATGATTTACATCAGGATACATGTCCAGGTCTAAGTGAGCTTTATTCTTTGGTTGAAATAATGACTTCCAGAAGTGACTTGGGAAGCGCTATTGGTAATGTTTAAAGAATACTGGAGGGAAATGCCAAAATACAACTAAAGACTTTTATGATATCTTCATGGCAAGATGCAGACATTTGCACTGGATGATAACATAGGCCAACTGGCATCTGAAAATCAAAGAAGGCTATTTATTGGATTGGGAATAATTTAGCAAAAGTTTTGGTGATATGATATAAGGCATTGCATCAGTCATGTCCTTTTTTCTAAGCGAAAAATTTAGCTGCATTGAGTTTTAACATCTAATTAGATGTAAAAATTTCACAAATCTGAAAGGAATAATTAGCATGCTGAGTGACAGAAACAAGGTCTACAGAACTTGACAGGTTAAACCAAATAGGCTAAAGTTAATATCATTAGACATAAGTAAAAATAAACATAAAATCCTATATTTCAGCCAGATGCGGTGGCTCACACCTGTAATCCCAGCACTGTAGGAGGCCAAGGTGGGCAGATCACAAGGTTAGGAGATTGAGACCATCCTGGCTAACGCGGCGAAACCCTGTCTCTACTAAAAATACTATATATATATATATATATATATATATATATATATATATATATATATATATTAGCCGGGCGTGGTGGCGGGCACCTGTAGTCCCAGCTACTTGGTAGGCTGAGGCAAGGAGAATGGCGTGAACCCAGGAGGCGGAGCTTGCAGTGAGCCAAGATTGCACCACTGCACTCCAGCCTGGGTGACAGAGCAAGACTCTGTCCCCCCCCCAAAAAAAATCCTATATTTCAGATTGGTAAATCAATATCTTATCAATAGAAAGAGGGTATCTTATTAAACAGTAGTTCATGTGAAAATGACCTAGATTTTTACTTGGTTGACTGGTCAATATGACCAGAGAGTTGACAGAAAAGCAAATACAATTCATTTTTTTCCTTCTCAGGTAGATAGAATTGTTTTATTGAATGATTGACTTATATAATTGATGAAGCCACTATGTACAGACAAGAGAGGGGATTATTTACTTATTATTTATTTCTTGATTTAGCCTTGATGATCTCCTCCTTCTTGGTCTGAAGATGCTCCTCATGGTACTTACTTGCTCCTTTGAACTTAGACCTGTGAGCCTCAGCCTAGTCAGCCAGAAGCCCTTGTAGGCCTTCAACGTGTAGACATGTTCCATGAGAATCCACTTGTTTTTGAACACATTTCCTTTTGTGTTTAAGTATGAGCTATGAAACATGTGGGGTTAAACTAGATCCACAGCATTTTCTGAGCAGCAGGTGCAGAAATCTCATCCTTCACATTCAAGTTAACTTCTTAGGCAGTCAAGCATTGACAGTCCCCTTTTGCTTACCTTCACTTATATGGCTGCCCTTTCAGGGGACCAAGGTATTTTTCTGGCATCAATCCTAGAATGAACAGTCACAGGCTTGCTGGTGTTCAGGCCATCTTTTGTCAGCTTCTGGATCTGCTGATGGGCACTGGTTTTGGTGATTACATTGGTCTTGCCCAGGTCTAACCAGTCCTCCTTTTAGCAGCAGAGGACTCTGGAGGTGAGCCTCTTCTGAAGCTTCAGGGCTGTTGTTCATTTTTCAAGAAGCAGTTTAGTGACCGGATTCTAAGAGATGCTCATCCTGTTGTAACCATGCAGTGACTCATATTCTAAGGGTCCAGCCATCTAACACACACTTATACCTAGGGCCTCGCAGAAGTAGGTGACCAGTGCTACATGGTAATAAGAGATAAATAAGGACTTGAGAAGGTTTTGCCTACTATTTCGTCATATTTGTATTTTATTTCAGGTGTCACATTTTTGTTATGTTTATATTTTAATTTTGGCACTACATTTTTGAGACATTGACAACTGTAGGATAACTGGGTGAAGGAGAGGTTTATTTATTTCAATGCTTGTGTTATAGAGTTGTAAGATTTAGAAATGCTTAAGTGTTGAAAAATTGATGCATAAAATCATTTTCAACAACCTTGCTAGGCAGCTGCTATTACTCCTTTTGTGACGGTGAAAAACAAAATCTAAGAGAGGTCAAGTTACTCACCTACAGTTGCACAGCTAGTTAGTGGCAGAGTCAATATTTGAACTCATCCAGCTTTGACTCTAAAAATCCAGGTTCTTTCTAATATATCATTCATCTCATTGTATTCAAATAAATGCTTTCTTTTTCTGATTTGTTAATGTTAAAATATGAAAAGAACTATTAGGATACAAAAATTTAAAATGCATTTAGTGATACTTATGAACTCATCTATATTAAAAAATGAAAATATAGTAAACAAAATATTCAATTTGATAAATAGTAAATACTCCTATGTACAATATTGAAATTTATTTCTTAGTCCTCTAAATATGCCTATGTTTCTTCTAAATTATTGTCTACAGCCTGGAACTTTATTATATATAGTCCAAATAAAAGCATGTGAAATTAGAGCTTTCAAAATAAATATAGTTTTGTGACTGAATGAAAGATTACTGTATATAAGCTTAACGCATTCTAAGAAAACTATACATAATTCACTTTCAATAGGCTCAGTGAAATAGCAATAAACAAGCATATTAATTTCATATGATGATGGATATATATACACATAAGTATATTTCATAGAAAATAAAATGAACAGAAAATTGAAACTCGTTAGTATTTTAGACTGTGGTTTCTCTGGAGACATAATCACAGATACCAAAAACTTGTATCTAAAGTCACTGTAATAGCCACTTCAATTGACAAATGTTGGTTTGTGATCCACTTAAATGTACATTTTAATGAAAAATTATGAATAATAATTTGAATATTTCCCTCATCCATCAAAATACAACATGGCCATCTCCCTAGAGAAGGGAAATTGTGATATCTCAAAAGAGGCTTGTCTGTATTCTATAAACTTATACTGGTAATCATCTCTTAAAATAGGAGTACACTATTGCATGAACTTTTCTACGTCTGTTTCAAACACCTCCCCGCTGCCACCACCACCACCGTCAACAAGACACTTCTACAATGATCGATAGTTTGGACACTCATTTCTTGGCCAGCATCCTTGAACTCCTGGAGTTCCTGGACTGCTGAGGAAGAAATGCTCAATATTCAGTGTGAAGACCCTGGCTGTCTGCATCTTAGAGGAATATGTATTTGGTTTTGATTTCAGCTTAATATGACCCAGGGGCTGGAAACAGGACTGCTGAACTAACAGCCAACACCAACATGTCCTTCACCTGGAAAAGGGTCATGCGGGTATTAGGTTAAGGTGTTGGGAGAAGAGTGATGAAGGTGGGTTTCTGTAATCTGTGAAGTTCATTGGCAAGGGCTAAAAGGTGGGGAAGAGAAGTATTTTAAAACATTCTTCAGGTCTTTGATTTCTCTCACCCTCCTTTCCTCTAAGAAATCTAGATTAATGGATGAAATTTTGTGATTATTTTTTATTTTCCTATACTTGTATTATCTTGATTCTTATAACTTGGATCTGAATAGGAGATTTTAAATGAATGAGTGATATTGTGAGCTATGTAATGCCATGGTTAAGAATGCAGGCTTTACCAGAGATAGTCTGGGTTTGAATCCTTTCTTTGTATTCTATTCAAGGCAATTTTCTGGGCACTAGGAATGCAGCAGCAAATGAAATAGACAAAAATCCCTGCTTTCATAAACCATGCTTACCAGCTTTAGGACACTAACTAGTCTGTAACTCAGCTTCCTTTGCAGTAGGAATTGTAAGTGTCCCCACTTCTTCGGCCTGATTGAAGTGTTAAGAGAATCGATGCACAAAATAATGCTTAGAACTAAGCTTTGCACATAGAAAGCATTTAGTAAATGTTAACTGTTACATGTAAGACCAGATTTTTCCCCTTTGTTTTCTGTTAATTTGAATTGTGAAGTATAAGCATACCAGAATCTCTGGAAGCTCCTGCACACAGCCCTTTTCTCAGCCCCTGCTTTCAGTGAATCCCAAACTTAGACACAGTCCTTCATTGATGACATTTGCTCCATATGCCTTCTCTCACTCTGTGGCTTTCATTTCACTTTTTAATAGAATCTTTTAATAAAAAGATGTTCTTAATTTTAATCTAGGTCATTTTCTCAATCTTAAGGGGTTTTTTTTGTTTTTTGTTTTTGTTTTTTGTATTCTGGCTATGAAATTCTTCACTACCCCAATATCATGAAGACATCCTTCTATATCTTCTAAACCTTTATTTTTCACTCTCACATTGAGAGTTACAGTCCATCTGGAACTGATTTTTGTGTGTGGTGAGAGATAGAGAAATGTTTCCTATTTTTTACATAGGAATGTATAATTGACTGTGCTAGGCGGAATGATGGCCCCACAAAGATGTCCATGTCCTGATCACTGGAGACTGTGAATATGTTACCTTTCATGGCAAAGAAGACTTGGCAGATGTGATCTCGAGATAAGGAGATTATCTTAGATCATGTCAGTGGACCCAATCTAATTAAACGGGTCCTTAAATTGCAAGAACAATTTCACGCTGTAGTAAGAGGGGACTGTGACTAGGGAATGACAGAGAGATATAACATTGCTCACTGTGAAGATGGAGAAAGGGGTCATGATCTGGTGTGGCACATGGTGGGAACGTGAGTGGTCTTTAGAAGTTGGAAATAGCAAGGAAATAATTCACTCCTAAAACCTCCAGAAAACAGCAGAGCTCTACAAACACTTTGATATTAGCCCTGTGAGACCTGTGCTATACTTCTGACCTAACATTAAAATAGTAAACTGATACTGTTTTAAACCATTAAGTTTGTGGTTGTTACAACAGCTATAGAAAATTAACACATTGGCCTGGCATTATTTATTAAAGAAACCATCTTTACCCATTGTTCTTGCAGTTACTTTTGTCACAATTGCATAGTCTGTTTCTGCATTTTTTAGTCTGTTTCAATAGTCTGACTGTGTTTTTGTGCCAGTACTACACGCTTAATTTCTGTAGCTTTACAATAGGACTTGGTACTCAGTAGAGCAAATTCTCCTCTGGTGTTCTTCTTTAACAGTGACTTGACTATACTTGCCTCAATATAAATTATATCATCAGCTTGTCTATTTCTTAATAACAACAAAAATAACTTATTGGGATTTTGGCTAGGATTATATTGGCTCCATGGGTCAGTTCCAGAAGTTGACATTTTTATAATATTGATTTAAAAATCTATGTCTTATATTCTCTAATTTACTTGATCGTCCTTAATTTTTCACAATAATGCTTATAGTTTTTTATGTAGAGGCCTTGTACATACATTTTGTGTTATATATCTCTAAGTGTTTAACATTATTTGATTATGTTGTAAATGGCATATTTTCTTTTTTTCTTTTTTGGCTAGTGTATAGAATTGATTTTTGTATATTGACTTCACATCTAGTTTCTTTGCTAATACACTTACAAATTCTAAAACTACCCGTAATTCTTTTGGAATGTTTACACATACAACCATATGACTTTAAATAATGATTTTTTAAAAAAATAATAAAGATAACTTCTTATTACTGTATTTTTATGTCTCAAGGTATTAGGATTACTGTTGGTAATGTGGGACTAGTCACAGTTTTTTAAAAATATAGAGTCCATCAATAAACAAATTTATTGCCATGCTTTAAGTCAATACATATGAAACTTGTGCTATTTCAGTTGTAGCATTGTTTCCATTATAAATATGTCTGAAATTTGTTAATTAGTAGGTTGGCAATTCAAAATTCATTTTCATCAATTCAGAAAAGGATAAGGCTAAATTTATCTTTCTTCTCACAGTTAAAAGGCAGACAGTTAAATAGCATTAGAAAGGTTAAGAGGAGGCTGGGTACAGTGGCTCACATCTGTAATCCTGCACTTTGGGAGGCCAAAGTGGGAGGATCACTTGAGGTCAGGAGTTCAAGACCAGCCTTGCCAACATGGCGAAACCCTGTCTCTAATAAAAATACAAAAGTTAGCCAGGGCTGATGGCACATGCCTGTAATCCCAGCTGCTCAGGAGGCTGAGGCAGAATTACTTGAACCCGAGAGGTGGAGGTTGCTGTGAGCCAAGATTGCGCCATTGCACTCCAGCCTGGGCAACAGTGCAAGACTCCATCTCAAAAAAAAAAAAAAAAAAGGTTAGGAGGTATATTCACCAACTTCTTGTAGCGTATCTCAGCTAAAACCCTTATTACTTCATTGAATTAACCTTTTAACCAGCCTCCCTTTTTCTAAGCCTTTAGTGTGTTTCTTCATAATGTTAGAAAAGTATTATTTTCCTTTTTAAAAAGACTTTATTTTTTACAGAAGTGTTTAGGTCCACAGAAATACTGAGCAGAAAGTACAGTTCCCCCATTGTCCCTCTTCTACCTGCTCCACAAACAGCCAGGAAGAGTCCATGTTGCAGTTGAAATGTGAAGACCACCTGCTGACAGAATTCCCTTTTGTTTGGGGGAAGTCAGTTGTTTCTTCTATTAAGGCCTTCCACTAATTGTACGAACCCAACCCACATTATGGAAGACAATCTGCTTTATTCAAAATCCACCAATTTAAATGTTGATCTCATCCACAAACACCCTTTTGGAAATATCCAGAATAACATTTGACCAACTATCCAGACACTGTGGCCTAGAAGGGTTGATACAGAAAATTAACCATCACAAGCTCACTCCTTGTCACCTTGGCACTCATACCCATCTCCTAAACCATATTTAAATCTTCAAATAAGGACAATAATAAGGTTATACCTCTACCTAACATGAGGTATGGAATTATGTGGGTACAACTGAAAATGCACCAATCCTTTCCCCAGAAGAAGATGCAAAGTCTTTGGCTGATATTTACTCTTCTTGATGTCCTGTAACTTACACACTGTGATGCAACATTAATAATACTTAAATTCTATGATATAAAGTCAATATATCTTATGTTACATGTTAAGGTGATAAGAAAGGAAAAATATTTGCTTTGTACACACACATACAAATGTATTTATAACAAAAATGAGCAAATATGACAATTATAGTTCTGATTTTGGTAACTGGTCATGTGGTCATAGCTGGTATTTGTAACTACCTACCTTCTTCCACTCTACCTCCAATATTCCCTTTGCCTCAGCAAGTCCCTCAGTTGGCTGTGGTTCTTTACCTGGTGAGGTGACATGAACCTTTGAAGGATTTAATGTTATTTGATTAGATTGAAAATGACATATTCAAATTTTTTTCTAGCATATAGAATTTATTTTTATGTATTGACTCTGCATCCAATATCTTAGCAAATGCATCTATTAATTAAAAAATTATCTCTCCTTTTTTTGGAAGTTTTACATGTATAGCCATGTTATCTGTGAATACTGACAGTTTTAATTCTTCTTTTCCTGATCTTATAATTTTTATGTCATTATCTTGCTTTATTGCACTAGCTAGAACTTCTAATAGAGTGCTGGATAAAAGTGGTGAGAACAGGTACTTGTCTTGTTCATGATATTGAAGAAAAACTTTTAATATTTTCACATGAAGTATAATGTTTGTTGTATGTATTTAGAACTATTTTTTTAAATCAAATTTGGAAGTTCTAACCTATCCCTACTTTGCTAGGAGTTTTTTAAATTGTATTTTATTTTAACATAATTGTGATTAACATGTAGTTGTAAGAAATAATGCAGAGAAATCCTATGTTTTCTTTACCAGTTCCTTTCAATTATAATATATTTAAAAATGATGGTACCAAAAAAATGGCAGATAGGAGGCAGGACTAACTTGCAGTTCCCACTTGGATGGACAGAGCAGCATGTGGAGACTCACACTGCGAACTTTTGCTCTAAGAACTACCACAGGAATGTATCAGGAGTGCCGAGAGAATCCACAGACTCTGTAAAGGAAGTGGATTGGCGCTGCAGGTTCCGTGAGACAGCTGAAAAACTGTGAGTGCCCAAAGTGTGAAAGTGTGAAAGGGGGATCATCTGCTCTGCCCCCAAACACACATCCTCACTGGGGAACCTGAAGGCCCAAATCATGGGAGAAGTATTTGACCTTACCTGGAGCTGAGACAAATTTAGAGAGCCAGTGAAATACAGGGGTCTCTACTTCTAAGCAACAGGAAGAGCACTGTGGGCACTCTCGGTCCCCAGGAAAGCCATTTCTGACTTTGCTCACAGGGGTCCTTAGGGAGGGCTGCCTGTGAAATTGGGGAAAGACCACAGGGAGAAGGAAACTTTCAGCTGAGCTTTGTAACAATTTCAACCCAATGTGAAGTTTTTGGGACGGAACCCGGAGAAAGGGAGGAACTGAGAGTGCGGACTCAGCACAGAAGCTGTGGCAGGCGGGGAGGCATGAAACCTGAAAGCCCTGCTTTCGTTCTCAGTGGAGGGGCTTGCAGCCTGGGACAAGTTCTCAGCCCTGCTCACTGGCCGCCTGGCTATAAACTTGGTGCTGTTGTGGGGGCAGGGTGGGAGTGAGACTGGCCTTTCTGGCTGTGTGGGAACTTGGTAAGGCCTGTAACCACTAGCTTTCCCCCACTTCCCTGGTGAACTGCATGACACAGCACAGACAGCCATAATTGCCCTGGGAACATAACTCCATTGGACTGAGAACCACACCCTCATCCCCTACAGCAGCTGCAGCAAGCCCTGCCCAAGGAGAGTCTGAGCTCAGACACCCCTAACCCTGCCCCAACCTGATGGTCTTTCTCAACCCACCCTGGTAGCCAGAGATAAAGAACATAATCTGTCCGGAGCTCTACGGCCCCACCCACCACCTGAGAAACCCAAATTCTTATCCAGGTGTCACTAGGGAAAGCCTGTATCCTCCTTCCCTATACTACCTACAGCTGATGCTCTCTTGTAAGCGCCACCTCCTGGCTGGAGGCCAACCAACACAAAACTTATCCAGACAACCCTAGGGCAAACTTGTATCCTCCCTATACTATTGCTGTTGAAAGACCTGAAGACAGATCACATCACAGCACCCTTTGCCAACACTCCCTAGTACCAGCCCAGAACTCGGAAGCTCCACTAGGTGGCCAGACCCAGAAGAGAAATAACAATCACTGCCGTTAAGCTCTCAGGAAGCCCCATCCCTAGGGGAAGGGGGAACAGCACCACATCAAGGGAACACCCTGTGGGACAAAAGAATCTTAAAGCAGCCCTTGAGCCCCAGATCTACCCTCTGACATAGTCTACCCAAATAAGAAAGAACCAGAAAAACAATTCTGGTAACATGACAAAACAAGGTTTTTTTTTTTTTTTTTTTTTTTTTTTTTTTTAAATCACCCCCAGAAGATCATACCAGCTCACCAGCAATGGATCCAAACCAAGAAGAAATCTCTGAATTGCCAGGAAAAGAATTCAGAAGGTCGATTTATTTTATTATTTTATTTTATTTTATTGAGACAGTGTCTCACTGTGTCCCCCAGGATGGAGTGCAGTGGTGCAATCTTGGTTCACTTCAACCTTTGCCTCCCGGCTTCAAGTGATTATCCTGCCTCAGCCTCCTGAGTAGCTGGGACTACAGGCACACGCAACAACACCCGGCTAATTATTGTATTTTTATTAGAGATAGGGTTTTGCCATGTTGGCCAGGCTGGTCTCAAACTCCTGACCTCAGATGATCTGCCCGCCTTGGCCTCCCAAAGTGCTGGGATTACAGGCATGAGCAACCATGCCTGGCCCAGAAGGTCGATTATTAAGCTACTTAAGGAGGCACCAGAGAAAGGTGAATATCAACTTAAAGAAATCTTAAAAATGTTACAGGACATGGATGGAAAAATTTCCAGAGAAGTAGATGGCATAAATAAAAAAAATCTCAACTTCTGGAAATGAAGAACACACTTAGAAAAATGCAAAATACACTGGAAATTCTCAGCAATAAAATTGAACAAGTAGAAGAAAACAGTTCAGAGCTGGAAGACAAGGCTCTTGAATCAACCCACTCCAACAAAGACAAAGAAAAAATAATTTAAAAAATGAACAAAGCATCCAAGAAGTTTGAGATTATGTTAAATGAACAAACCTGAGAATAATTGGTGTTCCCAAAAAAGGAGAGATATCTAAAAGTTTGGAAAACTTATTTTAGGGAATATTTGAGGAAAACTTCCCTGGCCTTGCTAGAGATCTAGACATCCAAATACAAGAAGCTCAAAGAACACCTGGGAAATTCATTGCAAAAAGATCATCACCTAGGCACATAGTCATCAGGTTATCTAAAATCAAGACAAAGAAAATAATCTTAAGAGCTGTCAGGCAAAACCAGTAGGTAGCCTATAAAGGAAAACCTGTCAGCTTAATGGCTAATTTCTTTGCAGAAACCCTACAAATTAGAAGGGATTGGGGTCCTATTTTTAGCCTCCTTAAACAAAACAATTATCAGCCAAGAATTTTGTATCCAGAAAAACTAATCTTTATAAATGAATAAACAAATGCTGAGAGAATTCATCACTACCAAGCCAGCACTACAAGAACTGCTAAAAGGAGCTCTAAATCTTGAAACAAATCCTTGAAATACACCAAAATAGAACCTCCTTAAAGCATAAATCTTACAGGACCTATAAAACAAAAACACAATAAAACAACAACAGCAGCAACAAGTTATTCAGGCAACAGATAACACAATGAATAGAATAGTACCTCACATCTCATTACTAACGTTGAACGTATTAATAAATGGCCTAAATGCTCCACTTGAAAGATACAGAATGGCAGAATGGGTAAGAATTCACCAACCAAGTATCTGCCATCTTCAAGAGGCTTATCTAACACATAAGGACTCACATAAACTTAAGGTAAAGGGATGGAAAAAGACATTCCATGCAAATGGACACCAAAAGCAAGCAGGAGTAGCCATTCTTACATCAGACAAAACAAACTTTTAAGCAACAGCAGTCAAAAAAGACAAAGAAGGACATTATATAATGATAAAAGGACTAGTCCAACAGGAAAATATCACAATCCTAAATATATATGCACCAAACACTGGAGCTCCCAAATTTATAAAACAATTACTACTAGACCTAAGAAATGAGATAGCAACACAATAATAGTGGGGGGCTCCAATACTCCATTGACAGCACCAGACAGGTCATCAAGACAGAAAGTCAACAAAGAAACGATGGACTTAAACTATACCATAAAACAAATGGACTTAACAGATATTTAGATATTTTAAATGGGTGAATTGTGTAGTACGTGAATTACATCTTCATAAAATTATTAATAAATCTGTTATGTGTAAAAATCAAAAGTAACTTATAAACTGCATTAATTGTAAGTACAAAAGGAGTTCAAAGAAAGTGAGACTTGTAGTGTCAAAAAAAAAGCAAACATTCATGCTGTTTTTAGTAATCCCTTTCTTCTTTTGATGAAAATGAGTTGTTTTTCATATTTGCATCTATCCTTTTTGTGTTTTTAGAGAAAAGCATAACATTTAGATGATTTCATATTTTGAACATTGAGTCATATGATTATAAGGTTTTAAAAATCAGACTCTCAAGAGCAAATTAAATTTCAAGGAAAATTATTTGCTTTATTTTTTTAAATGGAATTAGAAAATGACTTCTTGATACTCCTCTGATCAGAAGCCTGATAATGAACATTGATAGAGTTATTGGCTGCTTCTGTGGCAGAATTTTTGAAAAATGTAATGGAACTAGACACTGAGTAAAAGGATATTTGAGTGTGAGTGAAACGAATACTAATTTTCTGGTTTTAGTTCTGGGTATTCTGATTTTCTCACATTGTATAACATTTGGTTATGACTTTAGAGTTAGTTTTTCATCTTAGTAAGCTTTAAGGAGGATCAATTCATTCTAAAAATTTCTATGTAGTCAATAGCAAATTCATTTCTTTTGATTTTTAAAATATGGCATGAAAATTAAGGGACTAAAAAAGAACTTCTACTGATAAAACATTCAATAGATCTATACCTAGGTTATCGAGGCTACAAATAAAAACATTACTTTTTCCAAAGTGTTTATTTACAAACTACTTCTCTAGGGAGCACTTGCTAGAACAATCAATAATAATAATAGAGTGAGTTCACTTACTCTTGGACCAAAATTAGCAAGTTTTATCTCATCATCTGAAGAATCATTATGGACACTAAAATACTGATAAACTTTTGAATAAGACTGTTTCTAGGAACTTCCATGCTAATTCAAGTAAATACTATTATCCTAAGTATAATCATCTGTTTCCTGATTCCCAGATTTGAACACATGTCTGACAACTAAGCACATACTTATAGGATTTGTTCTGGAATTTTGGTCACAGTAAACATTAGCATCATCACACCTGAAATTGAGATCATCATATACACCAGTCATGCTGTCACTTCCCACTCCCATACAATACCCATGGCTGACATTAAAGCAACTATGTCTAATTGGAATTGGCCCTCATCAATAAGAAACCTCTTTGCTATCTGATTTAGATGTAGCTTATGGTGACCTCTTGATCAGTTGGGACTATGTGGAAATGATTAGATCAATGAATGGGTCAGGAGGCAAAAAAATTATTTGAAATATGACAAGAAATTGTAAAATTGCTTGAACCTACTCTTGGCTACTTATGGTTTTTTATCCAAATAGGAGCAAACAAGACTTCTAGAAGACCCTTAAATTGAATTGCTAGTGAATTTGAAGGTCTGCATAGTTTTCATCTCTTCTTCTATTTTACCACAGTACTAATCCTCGAGGAACTTTAGTAGGAGGAAAAAAATAATAAACAAATACTTATCATGCAAGGTATAATGTAAAAAAAATTTGTGAGAATGATAAGGGATTCAGAAAAGGGAGTGTTCCATTCTACTATTTGAAATGATTGAGAAGGGTCATCTTGCTATTTGATTTCTGTTTCTTCCATGTCTTTACTCCTCTATTCCTTCTTTTGAATTAATCAAATTGTTTTTGGTATTCTATCTTCATTTATCTACTATGTATTTAGCCGTTTGTTTTCTAAAGTGATTGTTCTAGTGATTACAGTATTAATCCTTAAATTATCATAATCTACTTAGAATTAGTATTGTGTTACATTATATACAGTTATATACTGTATATACAGTTATATACCATATATACTGTACATACTATATACTTTATATATACTGTATATATAAAGTATATACAGTATATATAGTATATATAAAGTATAGATACTGTATCGATACAGTATCGATACAGTATCAATACTGTATCCAGATACAGTATCGATACTGTATCGATACAGTATCGATACAGTATCGATACAGTATCGATACTGTATCGATACAGTATCGATACAGTATCTATACTGTATCTATACAGTATACATACAGTATGTATACAGTATACATAAAGTATAGATACTGTATATATAGGATACAGTATATAATATAGGATAATAGTATTTACTTGAATACAAAGTATATACCAGGTATATGCTGTATATACTGTATATACCTTGTATATATACCAGGTATATGCTGTATATACTGTATATAACTTGTATATATACCAGGTATATACTGTATATACTTTGTACATACTGTATATATACAGTATATGCTGTATATACTGTATATACTTTGTATATACAGTATATACTTTGTATTCAAGTAAATACTATTATCCTAAGTATAATCATCTGTTATATATACAGTATATACTGTATATATACAGTATATATACAGTATATACTGTATATATACAGTTACTTTATATACAGTTAAGAACTTTACAACAGAATAATCCAGTATGCCTCCTCCCTCATCCTTTGTGCTATTGTTGTCATTATATATATGTATATATATATATACATACACACATATGTTATGAAATCAGTCACACATTTTTGTTGTTTTAGCTTTAATCATTTGGTTGTTTTTTCAAAAATATTATGAAAAAAAGTCATTTTTTATAGTCTGAAAGTGACTAATTCCTTCCACTTTTTTAAATCTGAAAAAAAGTCTTCATTTTACCCTAATTTTTGAGGAATATTTTCACTGGATATAGAATTCTGGGTTGATTGATTTGTTTTTCTCTTAGGACTCTGGGTGTGTCATTCCATTGTCTTCTGGCCTCCATCAGAAGTCAACCATTGTTCATCTTATTTTTCTTTTTGTATGAATGTGTCCTTCATGTTTGGTTGCTTCCAAGCTTTTCTCTTTATCTTTGGTGGTCATGAGGTTGACTATAATATTCCAAAGTGTGATTTTCTTTGTATTTATACTTCTTGGTGTTTGTTGAGCTTCTTATATTTGTAAACTGATGTTTTCCACCAAATTTGGAGGGATTAGAGCCATCATGTCTTCAAATATTTTCTCTGCCCCATTTCCCCATTTCTGTCTCTCTCTCTGTGACTACAAGGATATATAGATCTCTTGATATTGTCCCACACGTCATTGAGGCTCTGTCCATTCTTATCTCAATCTTTTTTTCTTCTCTATTATATTGATTAGATAATTTCTATTGATTTGTCCTCAATCTCAAGAACCTCAATCTCCAGACTTCTGAAATCTTGAATCTGTTGTTAAGTGCGTCTTCAAACTTTTCATTTCAGATATTGAATTTTTCAGTTCTAGAATTTCCACTTGAATAACATGGGTAAAGTTTTGCTCATCTGAATTGACCATAAGTTTATCTTCAGAGATACTTACCCTTGGTCAAAGCTATAGAATTTATTAACTAAAGATAAAAGATGTTTTCTAACCACCTAAAGATGAAAGAAGCATTAGAAATGTGAATGTTGGCTGGGCACGATGCTCACACCTGTAATCCCAGCACTTTGGGAGGCCGAGCCTGGCAAACTCCTAAGGTTAGGAGTTCAAGACCACCCTGGTCAACATGGAGAAACACCATCTCTACTAAAACTACAAAATTAGCTGGGTGTGGTGGTGGGCACCTATAATGCCACTTACTCAGGAGGCTGAGGCAGAAGAATCAATTGAACCTGGGAGGCGGAGGTTGCAGTAAGCCAAGATTGCACCACTGCACTCCAGCCTGTGCAACAGAGTAACACCCTGTCCCCCCCCCCCAAAAAAAAAAAAAAGAAAAGAAAAGAAAAAGAAAAAGAAATGTGAATGTTTTAGGAAAAGAAATTCTAAAAGCTTTGTAACTAAAGATAAACTACAGTGTTGAATATGGGTATCAACTTTAGTCTCCACTTTCTTTATATCATCAGTTAACATTGTTGTTATTATTCCAGAATAAAAGAAAAAAGGGAGGAATGGATGAAACAAAAAGTAACAGGGCCTAGAAATTAGAGTGGATTCTAAAAGAAAAGATGGGAAGATAAAGAGAAATTTGATCTTTTTGTAATTCTTTGCAGATCCATAGTTTAGACAGACAGCAACATGGCGATTTTCTGACGACTCATGGGAGGAACATTAGCCAGTTCCAGACTTTTTCTGTTTCCCCTCTGTGTTGAAAATTAAACTCAAAACTTAACAGGTCAGGAAATGTCTACCCACCTGATTCCACTTGCTGCTGTAGCAACTTTTATTCTTAATTTACTTTGCTGAACCTCTGTTATGCACCGGTAAGATAGGAATAATAAGAAAATTTATTATTTTGATAGAATATTTGACTGAGTCAGCCAGGCGCGGTGGCTTACGCCTGTAATTCCAGCACTGTGAGAGGCCGAGGCAGGCGTATCACAAGGTCAAGAAATCAAGACCATCCTGGCCAACATGGTGAAACTCCGTATCTACTAAAAATACAAAAATTAGCTGGGTGTGGTGGCACATGCCTGTAGTCCCAGCTACTCGGGAGGCTGAGGCAGGAGAATCTCTTGAACCTGGGAGGCAGAGGTTGCAGTGAGCCAAGATTGCGCCACTGCACTCCAGCCTGGGCGACAGAGCGAGACGCTGTCAAAAAAAAAAAAAAATTGACTGAGTCAAATTAATAAGTCATCAGTGATTCACATCAGAGGAGAAACTAAAAGTTTTTAGATAATTGCTAAGTGTCAGGCACTGTGCTAAACAGCTAAGATAGGTTGTTTCGTTTTTTTCATACAAAAACAGTGAGAAATTTTCTTATTGCTATCTTATGGGTGAGGAACAGAGGTTCAACAAAGTAAATTAAGAATAAAAGTTGCTACAATGGCAAGCAGAGTCACGTGGGTAGACATTTCCTGAACCAAGTGAGTTTTGAGTTTAATTTTCAACACAGAGTGGAAAGAGAAAAAGTTTGGAACTGGGTAATATTCCTCCCATAAGTCATCAGAAAATCACCATGTTGTTGTCTGTCTAAACTATGGATCTGCAAAAACTGTGTCCAGAAAGAAAAGCGCCTTTGTGTCTAACTTGTAAAGACCTTTAATGGATGTTTGATAATGCCAAAGATGATGGTGACTAACAGCTGTTTGATAGTCTCCACCTGAATATAAGGCTGTAATTAAAACTAGTTTTCATTCTCTCTAGACAGATATGCAGCTTTGCTACATTGAACAGATTCCAGGTCAGTGATTTCCAAGTTGCAAAGTTTTGTATCCATTTCTATTGGAAATCCTTCTCTAGATCTAAATTAAACCTTCTTCTTGGCCAGGCGTGGTGGCTCATGCCTGTAATCCCAGCACTGTGGGAGGCCGAGGTGGGTGGATCACCTGGGGTCAGGGGTTTGAGACCAGCCTAACCAACATGGAGAAAACCCATCTCTACTAAAAATACAAAATTAGCCGTGCTTGGTGGTGCATGCCTATAATCCCAGCTACTCAGGAGGCTGTGGCAGGAGAATCGCTTGAACCTGGGAGGTGGAGGATACGGTGAGCCTAGATCCTAAATATCTCTAATCTCTATTCTCTACCATTAATTTGAACCAGTGACCTTCAGCTTATTTCTATGCACCCTCCCTAAGGGTCTCTCACTCTACTTCACTCTACTAAATTAATTGTTAACCCTCTGGGACTCATTTTTGTCCTTTGTAAAATGGAGGAATTCATTTAATCATGACTTTCAGACTTAGCTCTTCTTGGTCCTAGAGGTTCAAAGAAGTGATTCAGATAATCCTGTGTTAGAGGCTGACAAACAGGAGAGTCATTGCCCAGCCAGAACACTCCTGCAACAAAAGCAGCTCTGCTTTCTGTTCACATAGGAATTGGACTTCTTCATAAGATTTTATTTAAAGAGATCTCATACTAAATCAAGTCTGAGAACCACTGGAGTAGGTTCCTTTTAGCTCTAAACAGTCTAAGACAATATCCCATGATTCTGCAATCTCAAAAACTCTAACAGAAGGAAGAGCTGTTTCACTGTTTACATTTTGTATGTTTTCAGCTGAAAGATTAGAAATGTGGGTGATACCCGTGGAATACTATGCAGCCATAAAAAATGATGAGTTCATGTCCTTTGTAGGGACATGGATGAAATTGGAAATCATCATTCTCAGCAAACTATCACAAGAACAAAAAACCAAACACCGCATATTCTCACTCATAGGTGGGAATTGAACAATGGGAACACATGGACACAGGAGGGGGAACATCACACTCTGGGGACTGTTGTGGGGTGGGGGGAGGGGGGAGGGATAGCATTGGGAGATATACCTAATGCTAGATGACGAGTTAGTGGGTGCAGCGCACCAGCATGTCACATGTATACATATGTAATTAACCTGCACGTTGTGCACATGTACCCTAAAACTTAAAGTATAAAAAAAAAAAAAAAGAAATGCGGGTGATACATAAAACTTGGCTGAGTACATAAGTAGGAACTGCTCCTGGCAGAGGGACCCCCAGGAATGAATTCCTTTCTTATGCAATCATTCATACTCACTCCTCAGGTACTAGAGAAAATACTCATATTGTTATTTTCCCTGGTGCTGATAATTTAATGGTATCAGAATGGCATCAGAATTCTAGGCAGAGTCAAGGAGAGCAGAACCCTAGATAAGAACCCTAGATCACCTCTCCTCCTCTGGCCTCTCCCACCCCTGTGGCAGCTCCTCCCATTCTAGCCACTGGCATGATAAGCAGAACTGAAGTTTATTTCAGTATTTCTTAGGTCAAACACTTCAAAGCTGCCACAGTTCCTGAAAATCTACCCCAACATCTACAGGATCACCAGGTGAGATGCTGGATGTACCCCCTTCTCAGCTTCTGGTGCTACAGAGAACAGTCCAGTTTTTCTCTGGTGACTGCATAGTTCACAGGAGTTCTCCTTGCAGGATCTGCTGCTCAAAACCTAGGGAGGATGCCTGCCAGGTACTCTATCCTATATGTTTGTATAAAACAGCGGGGTGTGGTTGAGGCAGAGTACTTTATTACAAGCTTGAGCTCTGGTTTGAACTCCAAAGAAGGAAGGATTTATAATGTTCAAATTATTGTGAGTCACTGTTGTGGATAATCCTAAAGTTTTCTGGAAACCCTTTCTTGGTTGGAAAAGGAGCAGCATTACATCTACCTGACCTCCCCGATATACTGCCTCCACTCTCTTCCCTTGCCTCCCACCCCCCCATTTCACTTCCAGAATAATCTATCTCAGATATAAACCTCATTAAGCCATCTTCTGCTTTAATGCCTTTTGATGGATTTCTATGGACTTATGAATAATGTACAAGTTCTTTAACAGAGCATAAAAAGACCAGCCTCATTTCGCTCCATTTTCTATTCTGCAATTTTTGTTGCTGCCATTCCATTATCACTGTAGCTAAGAGTCGGAACATGAGGTCTTTGCCTGACTGGGTACTCACTATTAAGAGGATCCTTCTTTATTGATTGATTGATTGATTGAGTCAGAGTCTCTGTCACTCAGGCTGGAGTGCAGTGGAGCAATCATAGCTCAATGCAGCCTTGAACTCCTGGACACGAGCGATCCTCCTGCTTCAGCCTCCTGAAGCTGGGACTACAGGCGTACACCACCACATCTGACTACTTTATTTATTTAATTTTTAGTAGAGTTGAGGTCTTTCTACGTTGCTCACAGGGTTCTCGAACTCTAGGCCTCAAGCAAAACTCCTACCTTGGCCTCCCAAAGTGCTAGGAATACAGGGTGAGCCACTGTGCCTGGCCCCTTTTTAAATTTTTAAAATAGTTCTGTATTTCTCAAGAGTGACTCTAAGGTCCCCTGCTATACAATCAATAAATATGATTATTAAAAATAATACTTATAATAATAGAGCTAATATATATTGCTAGGCACTAGGTTGTGTTCTAAGTTAACTTATCTAATCATCACAACTACCCTAAGAGGGAAATGTTATTTCTAACTTCATCCAGTGGATGAGGAAATCCAGGCACAGGGAGGTTACCTAATTGCCTAAGTTCACAAATGGCAAAGCCAGTTTTCAAACCCTGGCCATCAGACTCCATGAGCCATTCCCTTAACTATGCTCTTAGAGAGTATCCCATTAAAAAGCAGGTTCACAGGCTCCTCTACAGCCTCGAAACATACACTTTTAACAAGATCCCAAGCTCTAGATGCTGGTTTGCAAATTAGTAGGTGAGTGCCCTCTAGTGTACACACGAGTGTCACACATTTGTTGATGTATCATGTTTTCTAATGTGCTCTGTAAAAAAGAGCCAAATTTCATTATGCACGTATTTCAGTGGTTGTAGTTGGATAAATTATATTCATGTCGATGACTAAACTGGTTTGTACCACCTTAAATTTATTTTTGACACAAATTCTATAAACACAGTATTGCCATAAACGCTGTCTCTCTGGTTAGACCCCAGCAGCTCCTAGAAATTCAATTTAAATATTGGAGGCCCCCCTTCCCAATACAGCTTGTTGTTAAGAATGGAGGTTCATAGCCTTAGTGCACAACAAATGCTAAGTGGAAAACATCACATCCACTCTGCAAGAGTCAGGTTTTATCCATCCTCTCTATGTTGGTTGCACTAGACCATTAATTGTCTTCAGTAGGCCGCGCTCAGCTTATTCCCTCATAAGGGGATGCCATTACATTTGAGGCCCTCAGTCTTTCTTCCTGTCATCTTTAAGTGAAAGTTAGAATAGAGATAATCCATCCACTATTTAGTGTGATGTGCATAAACTCCCTATGTTACTACGTTAGGCTACTGGTTATTCTCAGAAAGGATTCCATTCACGTATTTATTAGGTTATAATTTAGTGTTTATAACAAAAGACCCCAAAATTCAGTGGCTAAAACAAAAGTGAAGTTCATTCTGTCTGATTGAACTTTCCAGAGTCATAGTCCAAAATGCATAGTGTTGCTCTGTCATCCTCACTCAACACACAGATTTTATTTCTGGGTTCAAAGTGGCTGTTCCACTTCATGCCTTCACAGCTGTATCCTAGCCAGTAGCGAAAAGGCCAGAGGAAGCACATTTATTCCTTTTAAGAATAAACTCAGAAGTGACACACAATAGTTTTATTCACATCCTACTGGCCAGGATTTGATCATAAGCTTCAAGAGGGGATATGAGTGTAGTGGAAGCATTCTGCTCTACTATAGCTGCTAGCTGAAGCTGCTATATGCTCCACGAAACCTGGAGAATGATTATTAAAGTAAGAAGAGAAAAATGGATTTTTGTTGGACAACTAGTTGTCTCTGCCACAAACCATTTCTTCTGTTTGTATATTTTTATGTGATTCTACAAGTGTCAATTATTCACTGAAAATAGGCAGAAAAATAAGTCTCCATTATTTTAAGAATTCAAGTTAAGAAAATACTAGAATTTTTATGGAGACGCTGCTGATTCTGTTGAGAACCTTGTTTTCTTTGGTACATGGTCCTTCATGGTAGGTAGAGACTTCTTTATTATGAACCTAGGCCATCAGTTCAAAAGTAAATATAGGCAGTCATGGCATTGCATGATTCCAAGAGGCACAAATTACATTTCGTTATCATGATTTGGTTAAATATCACCAGCTCCCCAATGGAGTTCAAATTTCAGTTACCACATTAGATAACTGTGGGTAATTGTGTAAAGTTGTGTAAAGTACAAATCTGGTGCTAGCTCTTCAGTCCACAAATCACTACATAAATAACATAAATGCATCATGTTCACGACCAATCATGCTACTTTTTTTCAAAGTCTGTTGGTGATTGGTCAGTGCCCATCTGTTATTCAGTTTATGCACAATTTATGCAAAGTGTGTAGCTATGTTGTTTCTTTGTTGCCCCATGATAAACGCATGTGACATTTTACAAAAATGGATCATTGAAAGAAGGAATTGGTCAACAAAGATGAAAGTGCAGCAAAGAAACAGAAAGCAACAAAACTGGAAGTGAAATTCTAGTTGAACCTAAATGGAATTACTGAATAAATAGCTAACCAGGGCAATGTTAACATTGTTGCCTTTTGAGGCACTTAGATATGCACCCAGAAGAACGGGATTAGTCAAGGTTCTCCAGAGAAACAGAACCAACAGAATGTATATGTGTTTACATATATGGAGACAGAGAGGAATTAGTTGATTGATTTTAAGGATTATGGAGGCTGGAAAGTCCAAAATCTGCAGGGTGGGCCAGAATAAATCCAGGGAGTAACTGATGTAGCAGTTCAGGTCCGAAGGCCAACTGGCGACAGAATTTGCAAAATTCCTTCTTGCTCAGGGGAAGTCAGTCTATTGTTGTATTCAGACCTTCAACTGATTGGATGAGGCCCACTTACATTTTGGAGGACAATCTGCTTCACTTCAAGTCTACTAACCTAAATGTTAATTTCCTCACAAAAACATCTGGAATAGTGTTTGACCAAATATCTGGGCACTATAGCCCAGTACATTTGACCCATAAAATTAACCATCACAGGAACTTAGTGAAGGCAAACTTACTGACATATGTGAAGAAAGTGTTTGTGTTGGATGAAGATATTTCAGAGGAAGTGATGCTGGAAAAAAAAAAAAAAGAAAAAACCCATTTCACGTTAAAGAAACTATTAGAATATTTCGCAACACTGAAGGCACAAAGGATCAAATGTTGAAAGCTGATCCAGACTTAGAAAGTCTGACAGTTCACTGAGGCATAGAAAAGATACTTGTTTCATATCTTCAGTTATACAATAAGAAAAAGAAGGGAGGCACTGTTCAAACTACTTTATAGAAGTGTGAAAAAATAAAACACATTAATTCTCAATGTTTCTAATGTTTTAAATTACAATGCACCAACAAAAGTAGTTTTACTGTTTTTCATCTACAACCTACAGTAACTGAGTTTTTAATGTTTCTATTAAAAATTAAATTAAAGATCACGGCTGGGTGTGGTGGCTTATGCCTGTAATCCTAGCACTTTGGGAGGCTGAGGCAGGTGGATTGCCTGAATTCAGGAGTTCGAGACCAGCCTGGGCAACACGGTGAAACCCCGTCTCTACTAAAATACAAAAATTAGCCAGGCTTGACAGCGTGTGCCTGTAATCCCAGCTACTTGGGAAGCTGAGACAGGAGAATTGCTTGAACCTGGGAGCAGAAGTTGCAGTGAGCTGAGATCGTGCCACTGCACTCCATCCTGGGCAACAGAGCGAGACTCCGTCTCAAAAAGTATGTATATATTAAAGATCACATAACAATCCTAATTTCTTCCTATTGATTATTAAGAATGATATGTCTGGCTTCTGCTTGCAAGGTCACTGTCATGGTCCCACAACTATTACAAATGCCTATGTAATAGTTCATTTGAAGAGATTATTTGGTGGCTCAAATGGAATCCTTTTTTCCTAGGAGGATGGGAAAGGCTGGCAGCTCCTCTGTGTGTCCTGAAGTTCCTAGTAAGGTGCAGGTGTTTAGTAAATGTTATTGACATTGTATTAGCACACAATGACTCTGGGTCAGATGAAGAGCAATGTTGTAACATTAATAGAGCCTTAGAGACAAGGTCTAGACTTGGTCTATCACTAAACCCATCTAAGCCTCAGTTTTCTAATCTATCATGTGAGTAGTGACAATAGTGGTCCTGTCTACCTTATGGGGTTGATTGGAACCTAACACATAGAAGGTGCTAAGTAAATGTCTATAGAAAGAATAAACGATTCAGGACTCAGTTTGACCAACAAAGTTGGTCAGTTACCCTACAAAGTTCTCATAACCCTTCAGTTATAGTTGAGTTCCTGTTTTACACAGGAAGGCTGCCTGAGTGCTGGTTAGAATGAAGGTGAGGACAAATATTTGGAGAAAGCAAGCCAGATCCGTTGAAGGTACATATATTAGAACCCCAAATGGCTATTCCTTTGCTCAATCCTCTTTCTCATTCCCCTTGACCTTTATACTCCTTGAATGCAGCCTGAATGGTGCAATTTGGGAAGAGAAGAAAGTAAAACAAACCTTGAGCCTGACCATGAGGTCTCTGAGTGGCACATATTCTTGTATTTTTAGTTCTCTCTGCTGCCTCACTTCCTTAAGCAAAAACAAACAGAACCATGCTCTAGTCTTCCACTCCAAATAAAAGATCAACATCACAACTTCCCACCCTGAGCTACTGTTGTTCTATATGTTCTTTCATTTCAGCTGCCACCCCAACAGGTTTTCCGAAACTCTTGTTTCAAAGGCAGCCAATGACTTCATTATTTCCCATAGCCTCTACTCGGTACTTCTGTTCTCTGGATGATCAGAGAGTAAAGCTTTCTGCCTGCTGACCCCACTCTCCTCTTTGGTGCTGTCTCCCTCCATGTTTCTGTGACATCACACTCAAGGCCCCAAGACTTCTTGCTTTTTGTCCCTAATGTGACTGTTGTCCCATGTTCTGACATCAAGCCCTTTATCTTTTAGTTGTAAGAGTTCTTCTGAATGAGCTCATCATCCCAGCACTATGGGTATCTCAAAAATCTCTCTCTCCAGCCCTCATCCCTTTCTGGCCTCATGTTTCCATTTATATAGCTACTAATGTCTCAAGTTCAACATGTCTGCAGTAAGTCTGCAGTAAGAGAATATTTCAAATGTGCTTTTCCCTCCTCCTGCATTCATTCAACCTCATTAATTCTAGAAATAGGTCCTGGCCCAGGCTAAAGAGTTAGACATGGGGGAAAAGATCACTCTAGATAGATGCAGAGAACAAAGGGAATTGATTTTTGACTCCTAAGTTTACATGGATATTGATATGGGTCTAAAGTAAAAGGTCTTAAATGTGTATTTTTCAAGAGAGTATTCCAGTCCACCAGAGGAGATGAACTCTCAATGACATGAATGGAAGTAGCTTTATGTTTCTTGAGCAAGTACTACTGGTTGCAAGTGCCCTGAAAGCATCATGGAGGCAGGTACAGGAACAATATTAAATATCTTTCTTATTGCTGCCTGATGAGGACCATTAAACATGTACCCAATACCCATTGTTCTTTGATTGCCTCACAGGAGGAACACCTATATATATCCCAACACTTTGTCATCAGCATCTTCTCAAATGACCCACCTTTTTGGTTGGCCCATAACATTTTTAAGACTCTGAGAATGGATGGTAAGAGCATTTTATACTGAAGGGATGGAGTGGCCAGGAAGCTCCTGTATCTGGGCAAATGGAACAGCCAGAGAGCTTTAGCTAAACTGGTGGGAATACTTCTATTAAGAATTGTCTCTATCAAACTGATTATCTCCTGTCCTCCCTATAAACTCCTGCTCTGTACCTGCTAGTTCTTCTTTCTAAGTTCCCTATTTTTGTTAATCTTAGATATGTAGGCTCAAAACCCTAGAATCATATTCAAAAATTTCTCCCTCTGGTGGGCATTTATGGTACTTTCTGCTCATCACATTTCCCTTTGTCTAGAAATGATACCCCACATGATATCTCCAACTTCCCTACCCCAAAACACTAACGGGAGAGTCCATGTTCTTACATGATCCCATTTTTTCACTCATGGCTATTTTTTATTGGTTGGTCCCATGGTAGGTATTTGAACCAAGGTGGGAAACAGTCTATATCAGAAAGGCTTAAGCTGCAACAAAACACCTGGCAGACAGTTCTTTAAATTATTTTTTCTCATATAACAAGAAGTTCAAAGGTTAGTGGCCCAGTGCTGGTGCATTTGCTCATGGATGTCATCAGGACCAAGGTTCCTTCTTTCTGACTGCTCTGCAAACTTTTACATGGGACTTTCAGAGTCTTAGTCACAAAATGGTTGCTGCAACTCCAGACATTACATCAATATTACTATAGGGAAGAATTAGGGAGAAGCCACAGGGACTGAAAGGATAGGTACCATGAGTTAGTCCCTTTCATAAAACCTCCCTGAAATGGTATCTATACCTTTGTGAAAAAATAATTTCAAAATTACACCAGTTAAAGAAAAAGCAAGTTGACAACACTAAATTGCATTGGATATTTAGACTATAAATATAAACAGCTTTAAGAACCAATTATTTTAATAATCTATGTAAGCATTTGCTACTATAGACCTAAAAGTTTAAAATACAAATTCTAGGAGAAAAAAATGAATTAACATTTTAAAAATTCTACTTCCTTGGTAATCCTACCACCCCCCTCCCATCACCCCACCAAAATTTCTGATGAGTTGGGCAGAAGGATGCCAAGGCAAACACAGATTTTCAGCAATATTTTGTTACTAATTAGCCTGAGTTTCTGTATCTATCTGAAAGCAACAGAACTGAGTGAATTTGGTAATACATTTCTTAACTTTGGCTTTCAGAATTTTATAATTGTTGAAAATAGTATAGTTTAGTAAAAATAGTGAGAATTCTAGGTGTGTGTGTGTGTGTGTGTGTGTGTGTTGTTAGAAGGCAGTAAAGCTACCAGAGGGATAAACATTAGAACTCTCTCTAACATGCACCAGCAGGCCTAAAATAAGTTATGTTCAACAGGGCTTTAGGAAAAAGTTCGTAAGGATTCTGAGAAGCATGTGGAGTTTGAAAAATGATGTTTATGTACTAATACCTATAAGGCTAGGCAGAATCATCTTTGCAATAGGGTCACATAAAAAATAGTTGGAAAGCAATGCAAGAAACTAAGCTAAAAAACAGACAAGAACTTCTACTTTACACTTTACTTTCTACAACTTATTAGAAACTTTTTATTTGTCCCAACTAGTTTTCTGATGTAAGAAATTACTTAGATAGGTGATGTCTTTTTTTCTTCCCCCATACCGACAAATACAACTTAAATATAAGTATCCCACTTGGGAACAATTTGAACCTCCAGAAAGGTGATTTAAACTCACACTAACAAAGTTATTGAAGCCTTTCTTAAGCATTGAATAACAGTTTGCCAGTAGGGAGGGTGCTAGGAACCAGAGGAAGAAAGGAGTGAGGCCCTTCGTATAGAGAGGCTAAGGATGAGAGGGATGGAAACCTGGAATCTAGTATGCAATTTGCTCAGGATCAGCCTTTGTGACCGGGCAAATGTTCAAAACAGTCTGTTCTTACTTAGCTTTAACTAACTTTATGGGCTTTACTAACTTTATGGGTATTTTTAGCAGAATTAGAGCAATAATGAGGGGGTTTCTTACAAATAAACGTACCAGGGAGGTTCCTTTTCATTTGATGAGGTTCATTTATCATCACCAGGCCCAGCCCAACCCCATCACAGGCATCCAGTAGAGGCCATCAACCCTTCCTACAATGACAATTCTTATTTCCCTTCCTCCACTTCTAACTTGGCCTCCTGGCAGGTTGCACTATGACCAAAAGCTAATTGTTTTTCTTCCCTAAAAGTCGCTTAGTCACTTCTCAATCCAAGCCTTTACTTTTCACAGATTCTCAGTGGTGAGGCTTCGGCAAGCACACCCACCTTGCTAACATCATGTCCCAGTGAGAGCTGCCAGGTACAGTTGTGTGTGGACAAGATGCCAATTGATCTGACTCAAAAGCCATTGAAGTTCCATCAGTGCATCCTGCCACAAAGAAAACACTTGTGGGAAAAGCTACCAGTGGCTTAAATTATTATCTACTACTAGAAATTAAAATCATCCCGGAGACTTATGGGACAAATTAGCCCATGACAATAGTTCTCACACTTTTACGTCCAGGAACCATGGAGCTGTGGTATGGTTACAGGGGAGACAAAGACCTGCCTGTCAAATCTATTAGCTTCTTTCCTCATTTCTTTAAAGGGTGGGGGAAGGGAGACAGAGTAGGAGGAAGTGTGGATATTTGCCTTGCCTAGTTTGTAGCAGTTGTTGTAAGTATTAAACGTGAGCAATATTTGGGAGCACCCTACAGTAGTAGAATAACTATTTTTTAAATTCTTATTTGTTAATCACCAAAACACACCAAGTCAGGAATTTTCTACTGGTTAACCAAAACAGTCACGTTGCTTTTCCTTTTTCTAAAATAATCAAGTAGGCACTATAGAAGCAAGGCCTGGGGAAACCTTTTTTTTTTTTTTTTTTTTCTGAGACAGAGTCTCACTCTGTCACCCAGGCTGGAGTGCAGTGGTGCGATCTCGGCTCACTACAACCTCTGCCTCCCGGGTTCAAGCGATTCTCCTGCCTCAGCCTCCCGAGTAGCTGAGCCTACAGGTGCACGCCGCCACGCCCGGCTATTTTTTTGTAGTTTTAGTAGAGACAGGGTTTCACCATGTTGGCTGGTCTCGAACTCCTGACCTCATGTGATCCAACCGCCTCGGCTTTCCAAAATGCTAGCATTACAGGCTTGAGCCACCGCGCCCGGCCCCAGCCTGGGGAAATCTTAAGGACAGAACTGTGATGTGGACTCGATCACAGAAAGTCTTCTCCTCGACTCTCTTCCGAGTCCATTACTAGCTTCTCCCACTCTCTTTAGAAAACCATCCTTCAGCAAAGAGTTTCCCAGCCTGCCCATCCCCTCTAAAAACTCTAGAGGACCAGGACCCAGGGCGAAGGGCGGGTCTATACAGATCCTGAGCCAGGCTCTGTATTCGCAAATCCTGTTTGAAAATGTAAGCGGGACTGGGATCTCTGCCACATTTCCGCCCCAGTCCGCCCTCAGCCTCCCAGCCCTACTCTATCTTCTCTCCTTGGCTGAGTAAACAGCCGACCCGAGGTTGTACGTGACAAGAAAGCCTCTTTTATCTCTCCCGTCCCTTCCACAGCACCGTCCCCGCCCCACTCTCTTCCCTTCGGACCAGCCCTTCTGGGCGCGTCGGATTCTTATCTCCCGCCCCGCGCAGGGACGCCGCAGGCGGCGATAGGATCCGGACTACAGCTCCCAGCGCGCCCCAGTTCCCGCCCCCGCCTCCGGAGCCCGACGCTGCAGCGGCTCTTCTCGAAAGGTTCTTTCCGCCTGTGCAGCTCGCCGGCTCAATACTCCGGGGGTCTGGGTGGGGGGCTCAAACGCAGGGCTCTGGGACGCAGGCACTGCTCCAGGTGATAGTGCGGGAACATGGCCTTGCAGCTGGGCAGGCTGAGCTCGGGCCCCTGCTGGCTCGTGGCGCGGGGCGGCTGCGGAGGGCCCCGCGCCTGGTCCCAGTGCGGCGGCGGAGGGCTCCGAGCCTGGTCCCAGCGCAGCGCAGCCGGACGCGTCTGCCGGCCCCCTGGCCCGGCTGGCACGGAGCAGAGCCGCGGGCTGGGGCACGGCTCGACGTCGAGAGGCGGCCCCTGGGTGGGGACAGGGCTGGCCGCGGCGCTGGCGGGGTTGGTGGGGCTGGCCACCGCCGCCTTCGGGCATGTGCAGCGGGCGGAGATGTTGCCTAAGACCTCGGGGACGCGGGCCACTTCGCTGGGGAGGCCGGAGGAGGAGGAGGATGAGCTGGCCCACCGCTGCAGCAGCTTCATGGCCCCGCCTGTGACCGACCTGGGCGAGCTGCGAAGGAGGCCGGGCGACATGAAGACCAAGATGGAGCTGCTGATTCTGGAGACCCAGGCCCAGGTGTGCCAGGCTCTGGCACAGGTAGACGGGGGCGCCAACTTTTCTGTGGACCGGTGGGAGAGGAAGGAAGGTAAGGAGGCCGGCCCCTGGCGGGAGTTGGAGACAGGGAAAAAGGGTCAGGTTCCAGGTTGCAGACAGAAAATATAATAGTTCACAATATGGGATGGGGTAGGTAGGGGGTACCCACAGAGAGGCCGCTTGGTTAGAGGCCGCTGATAAAAAGATGGACACGAAAGGGTCACTAGCCCTCTGCTTGCAGGTATGGACCCGGATCAGCTGTCACTGTAGTACTGCATTTCAAAATCTTTGCAATTCCGTAGCAGCATTTTTTTGTAGAACTCTTAAGGGGTATTTGCAGCTAACAAGCTTAGATGTCCAAAGTTCGTTACTGAACATAAATTTCAATAGATTATGGAACACATTTTCTCTCCTTCTCTGGGTGAATTTGCCCTTTTTCCTCTTTAGGAGATGGAAAGAACTCATCTCCTGTGCGCTAAGTGTCGGCTAAACTCCTCCAGCCAGGATGTCATTGTGTCAGAATCTTCCCACTTCTTTTTACTGTTACACAAGATATATTTGATTCGTTTCTCAGTAGCACTACCAAATGCACGCATCAGATTTCCTGCTAGGAAAATCTTCTCTTCCAATATCAAAATACTTGAGCATCAAAACCCAGTTCTCGTAGAGGCGTACATTCATGACCATGTTGTTGCCCATACAGTGAAACCCCACATCTTGAGTGGAAACTTGAAAGATTCCTGACTTTTCCTAGCTGGAAATACAACAGCAGCTTCTCACCGGCAGATTTTGAGCTGTGATACTGACACATCTATATTAAATGAAGTTCAGTCTAGTTTTCCATCTTATGTTTTCAAGCAAAGACCACTGAACCAGGACACAACCTCAAGTACTAGACCAGCTGTGTGATCCTCAGAAGTTACTTTTTTATGGCTGTTTTCCCATCTATGAAATATATATGTATTTCATCTCTTTTAATCCTCATACTACATATATATATATATATATCCATATACATATATATATATATATATGGATGGAATATATGTGAAGTGCTTAGAATATTGTCTGAAGCATAGACAGCATTTAGACAAATTGTTGCAGCCACTTGTCAGCAGTTTGATCTTGGATAAGATGTTTTGCCCCTCTGGTCCTCAGTTTTCTCATTTGGAATATATGAGGGTTGTACTGGATCATCTTATGTCCCATCCAGCTCTAAATGTTCTTAGAAATAAAACAAGCCAAACATGAACTTTCATGAAACATTGCCCTTGCAGTGACCCTAATACCTTAAGAAAAAAAATTAGTAAGGCTGATACACGTGAATACTAATGTGCGTCTCACTCACTCTAAGGTTCTGAATCCCTTCAGAATTTGATTACCTACTGTTTCTTAATTGCTTGTAAATTAAAAGGCAAGCAGCCCACTGAGAAAGAAATTTTTGAAACAATATAGATCTCTTAAATTCAGTAATAATAGAACACCCTTCAAGTCTACCCATTCCTATTTTTAACCTTAGCTTTCTCTCATATATCATAACTGATAGATGCCATTCTGAACAGTAGAATCTGAAGGGAGAATATTCCAGTGATTTATTTTAGATGATGGCAGGAGAATGTTGAAGAAATATTCAGTTTAGTGATATGAGAAGGTCTAGTATTTGCCCAATATTAATAGCATATGTCATAAAGCTAAGCTAGTTATCTAATTGTATTGTACATAAAATGATAAATACACTGATATAAAAGATTTGGGAAACGGGAAAATAACCATCTTCATGCAAGTGTTGCTTTCAGTTTTGCACATACTCTTACATTCTCTCCTTTTTTACATTTCTATACACAGGAGGTGGCGGCATCAGCTGTGTACTTCAAGATGGGTGTGTTTTCGAAAAGGCTGGGGTGAGCATTTCTGTTGTTCATGGAAATCTTTCAGAGGAAGCTGCAAAACAAATGAGAAGCAGAGGAAAAGTTCTGAAGACTAAAGATGGTAAATCAGACAGTCTTGATAGTCTCTAATAGTCCCTGCAAACCTTATTTTGCCCACAAGTTTTATTTATAAAATAAATATTGCTTCTGAAAAAAGCCATTCGGGTTCATATGCCGCACGTTGACAAATACTTTTTTAAAATTATGTTTTTAAGTGACAAATTAAAAAGCAGCTTTTGAAAATTGACTTGGAAATCATATTAGAGTGAAATTGTATCAAGGCATTCAAGGTAACTGAATATAGCTCATGACTCATATTTTACTTTCCAGGTAAATTGCCATTTTGTGCTATGGGCGTGAGCTCTGTTATCCACCCCAAGAATCCTCATGCTCCTACTATCCATTTCAACTACAGATACTTTGAAGTAGAAGAAGCTGATGGTAAGGGTCTCAGGAGCTACGGAAAGTACTGTCGTGCAAAATGTGCATTTTAAAACAGATAAGAGGGCATAACATCTAAAAGCGAGAAAGAATAGTCTTAATTAGGTCTTTCAGGAGGCAATGTAAAGGCAATTTCTTGGCAAGTGCAATGGATTATGCCTGAGACATGACAAGTAAGAATGGGGCCAGGCTTGGTGGCTCATACCTGTAATCCCAGCACTTTGGGAGGCTGAGGTGGGCAGATCACCTGAGGTTAGGAGTTTGAGACCAGCCTGGCCAACATGGTGAAATCTCCTCTCTACTAAAAATACAAAAACTTAGCTGGGCGTGCTGGCACGCACCTGTAGTCCCAGCTATTCGGGCAGCTGAGGTGGAAGAATCACTTGAACCTGGGAGGCGGAGGTTGCAGTGAGCGGAGATTGTGCCACTGCACTCCAGCCTGGGTGACAGAGCGAGACTCCGTCTCAAAAAAACAAAACAAAACAAAACAAAAAGAATGGTATTGACTGACTCTAACCTTCCCATATTTCCTCCAACATAGAAGGAATGAACCTGAACTTTAGTGTGCACCCAGAGTTCTTTGCAAACATAAATTCATTACATCTGAAGGAATACCTTATGTACGAGGTTAAATTGAAATTGAGAACTTGCTTTTGGAAAATATTTTACATATGCATAGCTTTGCTAGTCACCAGGGCATTAGCAGTGGGTTTAAAATGGGATGCAGTTGATCATGCCTCCTGTGCACATAGTTCCAGCCTGTCTTTTATCTGATACTAGATGTCAGAGTACATGTGCAGTGCCACACCTATTCTTATTGGTGTCTCTGTAGGTGATGGCATTTAAAGTCACTGCTTTAACTTTTCATTTTGAAGCCATTCAGCTTGGTTCAACCTTTTATGTTTAAAGTTGGTAACTGGTATTGACAACTCATGGACCTGTGAGCACATGAAACAGTTATTCTCAAGTGGTAAGTTACCTCAGCAAGTGTTTTTACTCTTTCTAGGAAAGGGGAGGGGTTGGCAATGGTTCTTAATACAAGGAGTGTCAGAATCTCCTGGGGAGTTTTATAAACTACAGATTCCTGGGCCAGAGATGTGTGTGTGTGTGTGTGTGTTTATTGTGATCTAGAAGAGCTATTTTAAGCTCGTCATGTGATTCTTATATACAGCCAGAGTTGCAATCCACTTCCTGATCCACCAGTGTACTGTTTTATCATTCACTGCCCTGCATATCATTCCTTGCAAGTTCCACTGTCTTTCTTTCTTTCTTCTTTTTTCTTGTTGTTTTGTTTTGTTTTATTTTGTTTTTTGAGATGGAGTCTCACTCTTGTTGCCCAGGCTGGAGTGCAGTGGCGCTATCTCAGCTCACTGCAACCTCCACCTCCTGGGTTCAAGTGATTCTCCTGCCTCAGCCTCCCGAGTAGCTGGGATTATAGGTGACCACCACACCCGGCTATGTTTTGTATTTTTAGTAGCAACGAGGTTTCACCATATATTGGCCAGGCTGGTCTCGAACTCCTGACCTCAGGCGATCTGCCTGCCTGGGCCTCCCAAAGTGCTGGGATTACAGGCATGAGCCACCTCGCCTGGCCGCTTTTACCTCTTTTTTTCTGCCTAGGCCTTACTGGTCTTCAGAGCTAAAATCAGTTAAAATTTTTTTTATTGTCATCCATTTTATGCTGAAAAAATTAAGCTGCTAAATTAAGTGTCCTAATATAGCCAGTAATGCTGAATCTCAAAAGTCCACATTAGAATCCCATGTCTTGATTTGGTAGGCAACAAGCAGTGGTGGTTTGGTGGTGGATGTGACCTCACTCCAACATACTTGAATCAAGAAGACGCTGTCCATTTTCACAGAACTCTGAAGGAGGCTTGTGACCAGCATGGTCCAGATCTCTACCCCAAATTTAAAAAATGGTAGGTAAAGTTACTGAACTTTCATGACCCCAAAATTACATTCTGTTCCTTCTGAAGGCAACTATTATGTCACTAAATACCCTCTTCTGCTTATGAAAATGGAACTAGTTTTCTTACTTTGCTCATCAGAAGAATTAGAATACTGGTTTTAAGTGGTTGTATTAAATTATTTACTTAGAAATATTTAATATAAATTGAGTAGTAATATCTTTTTATTCCAAATGATTTAGAATGGTAGACTATAAACTATAAGGTCATCTATGCTTGAGAATGAGAGGCTTTTTAATCTGGAGTGGGTTGTTAAATTCTTATTCCAGATGAGAATTATTATTCCTGATGTTGACTTGGGAATGTCTAAGGGCATTGGAAGGGTTGGAGAACCACTAGAGGGAGATGCCAACATACCAGAGATTTTGGCCAAGGGGAAAGAAGAATTGGAGAATTTGTTAAAGAAATTCTAATGATAAAATAAGAAAACAAACAAAAGTTGGGAGAAGACCCAGAATATTTGTTATCATCAAATGGAATCTTGGCACAAATTGTTTGGAATATGAGTAAAGTACTCAATTCTGCTTAGAGCCAATTGGCATTCTTGAAAAAGGAAGGACAAAGAATTTTTGTCTTTTTGCTTTGTTTTTAGAGCTAATAGTTGTGGAATGTTAATATTTATGCAAGAGTATGGAGTTCAGCTTTAAAATCGTCAGGAAAGATGAAACATTTGAATATTCTCTTGATTTAATATTACTACTGAAAACTACACAGCCATGGATGCATGCAGATACTGGTTTTTTGTTTGTTTTTTCCTCTCTCTCAGAACTTAGCATCCTTCCAGGAGGACTAATAGAGTAGACAGTTCTCTTTTTTGGTTCCTTTTTCTAGCTATTACTGAGATGACTTTAAGCAGTGTTAGGTAATAAAATATCTAGGATGGTAGCTAGTTAAAAAGAAGTTTTTAGTATAAATGCTTTGGTTTGAATATTTGTTCCCTCCAAAACTCATGTCGAAATTTAACCCCCAATCTGGCAGTATTAAGAGCTGGGGCCTTTAAGAGGTGATTGGGCAGAGCCCTGATGGATGGATTAATCCATTCATGCATTAATGGGTTAAATTCATGGGAGTGGGACTGGTGGCTTTATAAGAAGAGACCTAAGCTAGCACGTTCAGCCCCCCACCATGTGATGTTGTGCACTGCCTCAGGACTCTGCAGAGACCCCACCGGCAAGAACACTCATACTAGATGAAGCCCCTCAACCTTGGACTTCTCAGCTTCCATAACTTAAGAAATAAGTTCCTTTTATTTATAAATTATGCAGTTTCAGCTATTCTGTTGTAAGCAGCAGAACACTGACTAGGAAATAAGTAGATCACTTAATTTTGTAATGTTTTAAAGAGAGATTTTGAAATAGTATGATTTGGGTTAAAAACTGACTTTACAACTTTACTCAGGATATACTTTTTTAGACTATGTTAATAAAATGTGCATATAAAGAAGGCCAACAAGTCACGATTAAGGTGAATTCTACCTATGCGTCAGTTCTAGGGATTTGCATCTGTTGTTTTTTGTTGTTGTTGTTTAAGCAATTGAAGCTGTATTTAAGGTAACCTTTTAAATAGCTTTTAGTTTTTGTTTGAGCATGTTTTTCTATTTAAGGACCCTTATGCAGAGATTATCAAAAGAACTACTTTTAGGATATAAACTATTTTACAAGTTTAACAGTTAGGAAATGGCTTCTTTTTTGTTTGTTTGTTTGTTTGTTTGTTTGTTTTTTGAGATGGAGTCTCACTCTGTCGCCCAGGCTGGAGTGCAGTGGTGCGATCTCGGCTCACTGCAAGCTCTGCCTTCCGGGTTCACGCCATTCTCCTGCCTCAGCCTCCCGAGTAGCTGGGACTACAGGTGCCCACCACCACGCCTGGCTAATTTTTTGTATTTTTAGTGGAGACGGGGTTTCACCGTGTTAGCCAGGATGGTCTCGATCTCCTGACCTCGTGATCCGCCTGCCTCGGCCTCCCAAAGTGCTGGGATTACAGGCGTCAGCCACCGCGTCCGGCCCAGGAAATGGCTTCTTAGGAAACCTGTTCTAGTAGTCATAGAGGGGAAAAGACTCAAGAACAGATTAATAGTTTTATGTGCTGCCTCACAGGGTAAACTTTCATATGTCTGATATGACATATGAAATAATAAAAGATATCATCTGAACCTTTTTTTCCACCAACTTTTCCCTGTCTTTCATGCTATAGAACCATCAAATTTTATTTCTGAAAGAGACCTGAGAGATTGTTTATAGTACCTTCCTTTGGTGAATAAAGAACTCACTCAAGAGAGCTTGGATTTGCACCATGGTTGGTGTCATTGTTAGTGGAAGATTCCTGTCCTCCTGCCTCCTACAAAAGCAGCAGTGCTTCCGAAGGCAGCAGCTTATTCCAAGAAATACACTATCGATATTGGACTGTTTCTCTTTTCACTAAAGTTCTTAGAGTTTCACATCCTTTACAGAGACTTGTGTGAAATTGCCTGTTCGCCTTGAAAATAAGAGGATAAGCAGCCAGGCATGGTGGCTCACGCCTGTAATCCCAGCACTTTGGGAGGCCGAGGCAGGCAGATCACGAGGTCAGGAGATCGAGACCACCCTGGTTAACACAGTGAAACCCCGTCTCTACTATAAATACAAAAAATTAGCCAGGTATGGTGGTGGGCACCTGTAGTCCCAGCTACTTGGGACGCTGAGGCAGGAGAATGGCGTGAACCCGGGAGGCGGAGCTTGCAGTGATTCAAGATCGCACCACTGCACTCCAGCGTGGGGGACAGAGCAAGAGTCCGTCTCAAAAAAAAAAAGAAAAGAAAAGAAAAAGAGGATAAGCATTTTCTACCTTGGTGATATCTGCAAAAAATCTATCTGTCTAAAGTCCTCATTTCATTTTCATAGTTGGACAGCAAGTAAGGACACCATCCTGACATTAGTTGAGGATAGTGCTGTAACCTGAAAGGCTCACATTGATTTTCATGTCTGTTTTTTTCCATTTGATCCCTGGTTTGGCGCCGCTGTGTTTTCCAGGTGTGATGATTACTTCTTTATAGCCCATCGTGGAGAACGGCGGGGCATTGGTGGTATCTTTTTTGATGATCTTGACTCTCCGTCCAAGGAGGAGGTGTTTCGCTTTGTACAGAGCTGTGCCAGGGCTGTAGTTCCTTCTTACATTCCCCTTGTGAAAAAGCACTGTGATGACTCATTCACCCCCCAGGAGAAGCTGTGGCAGCAGCTCAGAAGAGGACGGTAAGTGACTGGAAAACGAATTCTTTCATGGCTAAGTGGGGGAGGTGGAGCAGCTCTTAATAATAGCGGGTGTTGTGTTGTCAGATACTTTGTAATAGTTGTGTTAATTTCTTTTCATAGATGAATATTAAGTGAATTAAAAGACATTGTGTAAAGTAATATTATAATTATAGCAAAGTTTATTTAATTCATCTATACATTAGAGACTCATAGTAGGCATGTAGTAAGTACTTCCTGAATTTAATTCTGCTGATTTCTCTTAGTCTTCTTGTAATACCCTCCAGCCTTATGTCAAGATGTAGACTTCATTTAATGTCTTTGCTGCTTTGTAAATTTGGAATCACACCTTTTTTCATTCATCTTAAAGATTTCACGGAAGTTATTTTAATGGAAATAATTTCAGAAATTTTGCTGGCCTCTACATTAGGCATTTTGTATCTGATGTTTTTCAACAAACCTGTAAGATAGGTGTAATCATCTTTTTTCAGAAAGTTAAGTCTGTTGCCCAAGAGACACAGCTGGTAAATTTAAGATCTCAGATGTGGAACTGGGTCAAAATGACCTCAAAACTTATAGTCTGTGTAGTGCCTAAAGTTAAGCAGCTGAAGCAGGTTTGTGCTTCTTACCATGATACTCACTTTAACCACCCTGTTCTGTGCAGTGAGCCTGGTGAGCTCAGTGGGGTGTCCAGTCTGAGGCTGTCTCCAGCCACGGTGTACTTGTAAATCCACTCCAAGTTATACAGCCTGCTGGCCCCAATCAGTTTCTCATTGCCACCTTAAATGCCTGTATACTACTGAAACATGGCTATAAAATGGATTTTCTCATTGACGTTAATTCTGTGTTAGGCAAAAGAAGCTTTGGGTACTAAAGAGGTAAAGCTTTTGCCTTAAAGAGGTCAACTTAAATAATGTTTCCAGTCTAAAGATAAACATTTGTGTATATCCTTTCTTATGACTGCCTGTGCTATCTGGTTCCCATTTATTAACTTGAAAAACATGAGAGTAAATTTTTAGAAATTTCTTAAAGAATGCATGTATTTTGGAACATGTTTTTTGTTTGCTTCCATAATTTCTTAAATATACCTTTACCACTCTTTCCTCCTTTCACTTGATACTTATTTTGGGGCCCCTGTGATGAGGCACTATCTTGGCTACCCGGTGGCTGTAACATGGACCTGCCAAAAAGAACCTCATAGTTTAGTGGGGAAGACATACCCAAGAGGACAATTTAGAACTCTGTGCAAAGTAAAGTATTCTAGTTTTGCACAAGATTTCGAAGGCAAAACTTGGCAGATTTTGTCAATACTAATTAGGTGAATCCTTTAAAACTTCATAGACAGGAGTAATGGTTTGTTTTGCGGTTTTGTTTTGTTTTTTATACATCGTTTGATGGCAGATCATTCTGAAAGTCGTTGTTGTGTATCATTGCATGTCTGGTGTCATGAGATAGGCAGAACTGTGGGGTAGTAGATTAATTTTCTATGGTATGGTGTGTGACTGTTCTTCAAAGACAGCTTCTTTCTGCCTCCCTTATCTCTGGTCCTTAAGATGGCAATAAACTCTGGGGCCTAAGATAACTCCAGTTCTTCTCTGGGGCTATCAACACTGTCTTTGGTTTCTAATACTGCAGTCATGACCAGTTTTCTGTATCCTTTTCACTTACTGTTACCCACTTTGCCTCGTCTTCACCCTGTCCAAACACCGGTCTCCCTTTCAGCAGTCAGTCTCATTCCCTTTTGACTTTACAGTCTCTTATTTGGCAATCTCATCCAGTTTCTTGCCCACAGTTACTGCTATCCTCCCCCAGACCTTGAACATCAGTCTTACAGTTATCCTTTTCATAGGAAAACAGAAATTAAAGACTTTTAACTTACTTGTTCGTTGTATTCTGGGAAAGGGAAACAGGATAAAATTTAGGCATTAGTTAAATTGAAGGGATTGGTTAAAGTCCCTAACTTATAGGCACCCCAGAGAGGACAGATGTATGGAAAGGATCAGAAAAGATTAAATAATATTATTTAAAAACAAATATGAAAATGCTGCAACTCAACACTACTTTTATTATGATTGCTGTTAATCTGCAGAGAGACTGAATTATATGACTGCTTATTAATGCAATTAACTACTTTAAGAAAGAAGAATATATAGAATATCAGATCTATACCAGGAATAGGAGATGGAAATTTTTTATTAAAAAAGAAAAATCAGATCTAAGTGCAACTTGGTGGGAGGTAGAGAGGCCAATGTAGAGAAAGGGGCATCCTTCACGCAATAAAGGAAAGGATCCAACAGAAAATTCATTAAGGAATCTTTACAAGGGTCTCTGCGATAGGTCTTCAAATACATCAATATAAACTAGAGAACCATACCCATCCCCTAGAGAGATGTTTCAGAAAGATAATATCAGGTGAAAAAGGTAGCCAAAAGATGAAATTATTTTCCATGGTCTTAGAAAAGGATTCAGAAGATTCACTTAAATTATTTTTTGAAACAGACATAAGAAGGTATTAAATAGTTTTTTGTACGTAAAAGTCAATGATAAATGGTGAGAGTTAGAAAGGGAGCATAGATAAAATTCTTTACACTTTTGCAGGGCTTTTGACAAGTTCCACATACAAAAGGTGCTTTTAAAAAATTAAAGTATTGTGGGCCGGGCGTGGTGGCTCACGCCTGTAATCCTAGCACTTTGGGAGGCCGAGGCGGGCAGATCACGAGGTCAGGAGATCAAGACCATCCTGGCTAACACTATGAGACCTCGTCTCTACTAAAAATACAAAAAATTAGCCAGTCATGGTGGCGGGTGCCTATAGTCCCAGCTACTCGGGAGACTGAGGCAGGAAAATGGGTGAACCCCGGAGGCGGAGCTTGCAGTGAGCTGAGATTGCGCCACTGCACTCCAGCCTGGGCAACAGAGTAAGATTCCATCTCAAAAAAAAAAAAGAAAAGAAAAAAAAATTATTGTGGGAATCTAGAGGATATTTTGCTATAGATGGGCATCAAGACAGTAACCAATAGGTAAATAAGAATATGTGAGTGAAGTTTAGACCAAGGGAGTAATTTCTGAATAAGATAAGAAATGATCTGAAAGGGGCACTGTTTATTGAACTTTTCAGATTATGAATCAGTCTAAATTCTTTTGAGTAGTAGAAATTATCCTTTTGAAATGGGAGAGGGAGACCCGTTTACATCCTATGTTAAAGGCAGATGCAGGGTTTTAAACTGGAAGGAGTCCAGATCTGACTAGGGGAGTTAACATATTGAACCAAGTTTTAGTTGATGCTAAGGGTATTTAAAAAAAAAATGAAAACACTGCAACTCAACACTACCTTTTATTATGATTGCTATTAATCTGCAGAGAGACTGAATTATATGACTGCTTATTAATGCAATTAACTACTTTAGGAAAGAGGAATATATAGAATATCATAGTCCATTATTAATAGATTATTGTTAGCTGTAGTTGGCCTTTCAGGTCAGAAGTTTTACACCATCTTAGTAGTAGTAGTTGTGGGTTACAGGCAGTGAAATGAAATCTTTGAGTCCAAAACATTCCAGATTATGAGGAAGGCCAGAAAGAGCTGGGTTATCCTGAGAAGGGATGCATTTCTTTTTCTTAATTGTTGTTCTGCTTTAAACTTCTCAGCTTTGTGTCAATTCTGTTTACTTATGGGAAAACATAACCTTGTATTGTGACTGCTCTATGTTGGGGCAGAATCTATATTCTATTGTTTGGTGGGTAGAATACCCTTTTATTTCTGCCTGTCCAGATGGAGAGCTCTCAATGGGCTGTAGGCTGGTGTCCTCTGTGCCAGTTCCAGCTGATGGGAACTGGGGGGAAGAACCCACCCCTTTTTAAGTATTTGTTATGGGTTAGTCTTAAGATTTTATTGAGCTGGCCCTTAATGTTATTTGATGTATTTATGGCAGGTATGTAGAATTTAATCTGCTGTATGATCGGGGCACAAAGTTTGGCCTCTTCACTCCAGGATCCAGAATTGAAAGTATCTTGATGTCTTTACCTCTAACTGCCCGGTAAGGAGATAACTCATTTTAGTAGTTATCCCTACACTCCCAATTCCCAAACACCCACAAAATATGAAAGTTAACACTGCAGATGTTGTGCCTAGGTCTTTGTTAGTTTTGACTTTGCTGATTTTATAAGAAAATCACAGTCAAATAAGGCAAATCAAATTGGGTATTTTAAGCGGTGACATGGTGAATCCCACAGCTCTATGAGGGCAAGGAGAGACTAGAGGGAGAGAGAACACAGGCTGAGTCATGGTGGCTAGGAGGTGAGATGGACCTTCTCTGCCTATTTGTTTTTCTGAGAAGAGGTATGCATAAGTATTAAGCTAAAGAAGGTTTGCCCATGGATCACCTGAGTTTCTACACTATATGAAACCCTGGTTTATATTAAAGGTGTATTTTGGCTCTGGGATATTAATACTAGCCAAAGCATACCCAAGAGTTGTTAAGAAACTATTTGTTTGGCAAATAGTTTTTTTAAAGGTCAAGTTGGTACAAGGCACATCAGGCACAGTAGAGACAAAGAAGTATAAGGCTTTTTTTTTTTTTATTCTTAGGATTTTATTTTTCATTTATTTTAAGTAAAGAGGTATGTGTGTCATTTTTTATGACGTTTTTTGCTTTTGTTTTGGACATGCATAGATGGGAGTACATGCATTCACCCTCAGAGAATTCCAAAGAAGCTGAAATTCTGGAAGTTCTACGCCATCCAAGGGACTGGGTGCGTTGATGCAGGCAGAATGGCTGTGCAGGGGTTTGGAGGGCACACGATGTGTGCTCCCCATGCCACTGGTCGGCACTTTGCCACTGTGTGGCAGTTACCCGTGCCTTAGTCTTCTCCACTCTGCACCCTACCTCGTGGGCAGATGATAACATGTTTTGGATGCTGTCAGTGATGAATGGTGAGATGGCAGATTGTCAGAGTCAATTGATTAAACCTCATTTATACTTCTAGTGTCATTTTATATGACTAGTTTACAAAATAGGACATTGAGTTTCCAAGTATTGAGATAAGGGAATATAAATAGTATTATATGTATCAGGAAATCTCTCATCTTGTTTTTGTTTCATGTATTTTTTAAAGTTTTCATTTGTGCCACAAAAATCTGTCGTGGAATATATTTTATTTTCATTAATTCAGTGAAGTTGAGACTTCATAGTAATTTTAGAATGCAACTTGAAGGTAAAAATTTTACTTTGTCAATACTGAAGTCTCTGCTGTAATCCTTATATATCTTTCTCCAGAGAACATAATATTGTCAAATAGATACACATTTTTCTAATAGGTATTTAGAAGCACTTGAAATAATCTCTGCATGTGTTACAATTCAGTTATTTCTGTAGTTTGTAAACTCTAAAGTGACATTACTATTATTTTAGAGATGTCTAAGTTGTAATTTTGATTTTTGTGGAACCATTGTTTGTTAATGTTGGGATTCTCTGCACTTTTGAATGTGAAAGCTTATATCCCTGAATTCTGATACTTAAGAGTTTTCTATTTCAGACATCTCTGTGTGGAAGTTGAGACTAAGAATAATCCTAGGGATGTCATGAATTTAGGCAATGTTTCTCATTTGGAAAATGAAATGAGAAATAATTTCCTTCTTTAAAGCAAGTATATATAGTATGAGAAACTTGGAGGCATTTCATACACACGTTTCTTAGGAAAATGGACACATTGAAAATGTCCTCTTTTTTATATTAGAGATTCTGCAGCTCTTTGCTCTTAAGAGCAAATCACAACAGGATTCTTAATGTATGATTTCTTTGTTCATATATTATGAATGTATTATTTTATTTGCTTCGTAATAAAGTTTATAAGGAAGAGCATCTCATACATATCATTATCGTGGAACACGTTGAATGTTTGTGATTCTGTGTGGCCTTTTTGGGGCTGGAAAATGTATGAATTCTTCAACTGTCTTACAAGAGATCTGCTAATAAATTTTATTATTAAATAAGACTAAGAAATATTTATATTTTTTGTTGCCAGGATAATATAGGAAAACGCATATATTTCTTAGTACAGTTGATCCTTGAACAACATTAGGGCTAGGGGCCCCAACTCCTCCTTACTGCATGCAGTTTCAAATCCTTGTATAACTTTTGACTCTCCCAAAACTTAATCACTAATAGCCTCCTGTTGACTGGTAGCCTGACCAATAACATAGTCAATTCGCACATGTTTTATGTTATATGTATTATATACTCTTCTTACAAGCTAAAGAAATGAAAATGTTATTAAGGAAATCGTAAGAAAGAAGATATATTTGCTATTCATTAGGTGGAAGTGAATCATCGTAAAGGTCTTCATCCTCATTGTTTTCATGTTGGGTAGGCTTAGTGGGAGTAGTAAGAGGAAGAGTAGGTCTTGCTCTCTCAAGGGTGGCAGAGGTGGAAGAAAATCTGCGAAGAAGCAAAACTCTTCAAACCTGTGTTGTTCAAGGCTCAGCTATGCTAATGCCATAGTTCCTCATTCCTAGGTATTTTACTCAAGAAAAATACAAGTTTTGTACTCAATTTTCATAGCAGCTTTATTCAATAGTTGAAAATTAGAAACAACCCAAATGGCTAACAGCAGGTGAGCAGATAAACAACTTGTGATATATGCGTATATTAAAATACTAAGCAATGAAAAGGAATAACTATTGCTAATGACAGTAACATGGGTGAACATCAGAAACATTATGCCAAGTGAAAGCCACACATAAAAGTACTTACTATATGACTACATTATAGGAAAACCTAGAAAAAGCAAAGCTTTAATGACAGAAAGCAGATCAATGGATGGCAGGGGTTAGGGGATGCAGATTTGTGAAAGGGGACAAAAGAGTATTTTGAGGTGATTTAAATGTTTTACATCTTGATTGTGATGGTTACTAGACTGTATATACATTTATCAAAATTCACTGAACTTAAAATGGAATTTTATTGTATATGTGAATAATACTTCAATAAATCTAATACTAGGAAAAATATAGGCATATAGGAACAAATGTTCAGATCAACCTCAGTTTAGCTTTTAAAAAATAGAAAATCACTACATAGTGATGATATAATGCTAAAATGCTAGCCTATTTAGTTGTGTTTAAAGCTGTGGCGGGTAAATGAAGATAAAATTTTTCTGTGCATTTGTTTTCAGTTCTTCAATAACCACGTATTTCTACTATGGATTAGACTATGTCTGAAAAGAATTGCATAACTACTGGAAAACAGATTATCCTACTGTTATTCAAAGTGAATTTCTCTTTCAATTTCTTACTGGTGTTAATTCAGTCTACCTGAAGACCACAGTGCACCTCCAGATGGCCTGAACACCTAACTGTCTTATGCATGCAGGTTCATGGTAATAAAGGGTGTCTGGAGGGGAGAAATGTCAATTCTCTGGAGCAAATTTTTAACCACTATTTTCTGTTCATCACTGTACTCTGCTGACCCTCCTAGTCAGCAGAGTATTTGAGATAAGTGCTTCTGCACGCTAAGGAGTACAAGATTTGAAAAGCCAAATGTTTCTTTATGACTTATCCTTCCATGTGTCTTTTGCTGTTACAATATTTAGAGACAGGAATCTTCTGCAGGTTTTTGACTTGCATGTCTGTACATAGGTGAGGATGACTCAAAGGCTCAGCTCATCTTGGACTGCAGGCTGCATTGCCTATGGGTGGCTCAGAGCACGAATTCCATGGAAAAAGGCAAAGGCAGTATGGTGGTTTTCTGTTCTAACCACTGAGGTTATGTAGTGTCACTTTCTTCACATTCCACTGGACTCCTGACAAGTCTGTCATTAAGGACAGTTCCAGATTCGAGTGGTAGGGAATTAGATCCCAGTCATCTTCAAAACCTCCACACAGCCTTCCACACTCAAAACCACGAAATAGATTGGACTCAACCCTCCACATTGCCCTAATTAGTTCCTGTTGAGTCCCCCTTTGAAATGGCTCCTGGTTTCCTTCCTCTGCCCTTTGCCACCACCCTACTTTAGTCTCACATACTTTCTCATCTGAACTTTTGCAATGCTCTCCCTGCCTCTGGGCACTCTGACCTTTCCCTCTCTTCAGAATTATTTTCCTAGGTCCCATTATCACCACCCTGCTGAAATAGTCAAAGAATCTCCTCTCCAGACAGAATTCTAAAGTCAGTCTGACATTCAAGCAATCCACCATTTAACTCCTACCTCGTGTTTCAGGCTTATCTTCTACATTTCTCTGTGCACTTCAGTCTCAGACCATATACTCACCACTCACCACTTTTCCTGAACTTCCCCCAAATTATATCCCCTCTGGCCTTTTCTCAGGCTGCTGCTATCTCTGCTTGGAATGTCTTATGTGCCCGCTCATCCTTCCATGCCCATTTTAAATCTTCTTCAAGAAACCTTCCTTGGAGTCAATCTCTTCTACCCTTTCAACACATTTTACTTTTAGTATTGCTGTCAACATATTCCATTTACAGTCATTCAATCCACATCCCACTTATTACAAAATATTGAAGGTGGATCTTTCCTTATTTATAGTACCTGCTACCTAATGAATGATGTGTTAACCTTTGTTTTCCAACACTGTTTTGCAATATATCGTAGTATCAAGCTTAGTGTTGTTTAGTTGTCTGTATAACTGTCTTATTCCTAGTCTGTGAAAACAGAAGTTCCCAGTATCTCTAAAAGCCCATTTAGAAATTGTTTTCAAGGATGTATTGTATTATCCCTGCCACAAGTATGAATTATGTATTTGAAATCTCACATTTTAAAATTTCATCTTTCTTCCCAAAGAAACACATAACAATCCAATTTCATAATAAACCTAAATTAGCACATTTAAGTTAGTGACGCTTAGACATTTGTAAATGGCTTGACTAAATTCCCTTGTATTGTTACCTGAAATCAAGTCATAAGTTGTACAACATAAAACCTCACTGATATGGTTAGGGTTTGTGTCCCCACCCAAATCTCACCTGGAATTGTAATCCCCCAAATCCCCAGGTGTCAAGGGAGAGACCAGGTGGAGGTAATTGAGTCATGAGGGTAAACCATCCCCGTGCTGTTCTCGTGGTAGTGAGTGAGTTCTCACAGGATCTGATAATTTTATAAGGTGCTCTTCCCTTCTTTGCTCAGCACTTCTCCTTCCTGCTGCCTTGTGAAGAAGGTGCCTTGCTTCCCTTTTGCCTTCTGCCATGATTGTAAGTTTCCTGAGGCCTCCCAGCCATGCTGAACTATGAGTCAATTAAACCTCTTTCCTTTATAAATTATTCAGTCTCGGGCAGTTCTTTATAGCAGTATGAAAACAGAATAATGCACTCACAGACCTGTTTCTACAAGTTGCTTTTTTTTTTTTTTTTTTTTTTTTTGAGGCAGAGTTTCACTCTTGTTGCCCAGGCTGGAGTGCAATGGTGCGATCCTGGCTCACCACAACCTCTGCCTCCTGGGTTCAAGCCATTCTCTTGCCTCAGCCTCCCGAGTAGCTGGGATTACAGGCATGTGCCAGCACGCCCGGCTAATTTTTTTGTATTTATTTAGTAGAGACAAGGTTTCACCATGTTGGCCAGGCTGGTCTTGAAATCCTGACCTCAGGTGGTCCACCTGCCTCGGCCTCCCAAAGTGCTGGGATTACAGGCATGAGCCAGCACACCCGGCTAATTTTTTGTATTTTTTTAGTAGAGACAAGGTTTCACCATGTTGGCCAGGCTGGTCTTGAAATCCTGACCTCAGGTGATCCACCCACCTCAGCCTCCCAAAGTGCTGGGATTACAGGCATGAGCCAGCACACCCGGCTAATTTTTTGTATTTTTTTAGTAGAGACAAGGTTTCACTATGTTGGCCAGGCTGGTCTTGAAATCCTGCCTCAGGTAATCCACCTGCCTCGGCCTCCCAAAGTGCTGGGATTACAGGCATGAGCCACGGTGCCCGGCCTACAAGTGGTTTTATACTGGATATTCACTAACATATACCAGCAGAGCAAGGTAGTTGAACTGCATTTCCTCTTCCGATCAGTGTAGCCAGCTCTATTCTAGATCTTAAGCTCATTCAAACAGTATTTTCAATAATTCTTTTACTGTTAATCCCTTCATATTTCAAAATGCGTTTGAACATAAAACTTGTCATAATCCAAGCCATCATGGTTTCAATAGGTTGATGCAAATACAGCCACTTAGGAAAGTAAATTGACTTTGCAGTCATTTAGAGTTGCAACACTGACTCTGTCATGGATGTGTTTTCTTATGAGATGGTTGAGAGGTATCAAAGTTCACAAAGCTGTACTGGCTGAATGCCTCTTATGTAATAGCAAGTGAATAATGCTTTCATAAATAAAAGTCTTTATAGCAATTTATCTATGCTCAGATCGGTTCAAGATTGCTTCCATTTTCTGACTTGATGAGGGAGACAGGCTTTTAGAATCTGTTCCACACCTGCTGCTTGACATTCTTCTAACCATTAGTATAATATACAAATCCACAATTTCTTGTAGTTCAAACTGTAGTTTATTAAAAATAACTAGTTCAGATGTCCTCAAAGACCATTTAAATTAATACTACCTGAATACAGGCTGGGCACGGTGGTTCATGCCTCTAATCCCAGCACTTTGGGAGGCCGAGGTGGGTGGATCACCTGAGGTCAGCAGTTCAAGACCAGCCTGGCCAACATGGTGAAACCCCATCTCTACTAAAAATACAAAAATTAGCCAGGCGTGGTGATGGGCGCCTGTAATCCCAGCTCAGGAGGCTGAGGCAGGAGAATCGCTTGAACCTGGGAGGCAGGGGGTGCAGTGAGCCAAGATCGTGCCACTGCACTCCAGCCTGCGCGACGGCGCGAAACTCTGTCTCAAAAAAAACCAAAAACCAAAAAACTACCTTAATACAAATTCTGCTGAAAGTACTTTTTGTTTTTTAATGTGTACTTGATCTTATGTGCTATTCAACGTGAGTGTGGTGCTTAAAAATAATGTATTCCTAAGAAGCAAAAATAAGGACCTACTTTCATCTTTACCTCTCTGCCACCCACCCCGACTCTTCATCTTAGTAATGTGTGGGAGATATGGTATCTCCCCAAACAGCAAGAGGCAGTCTTCAGCTGACGTGCCCTCGTGTGTGGAACAAAGACAAGCCATCGTTGCTGTGCCCTATCAGAATCCCTGACTCACAGAATCTGTGAATGTGATAAAATGGTTGCTGTTTATATGTCATTAAGCTTGGAGTGGTTTGCTAAACAGTAATAGATAATTGAAGCAGATTAAATGTCATTAACAAAAACGAGAAGAGCAGTTTTGAGGTGCTTGAAATGCTTGCAAGCTACCTGTACCAGTATTTAGAGATGTGAACTCAGGAGAGCTCAGTCTAGAAACACAAGTCTACCAATTTTGTAAAAGTGATAATTGAAGAAGTGGAAGAAGGTAAGCCACCCAAGGAAGTGCATGCAGTGTAATAAAAGAGCATCACAGACCGAACTGGGGGCAGAGAAATGAACACGGGATGAGGTATCAGGAAAGACAGCTAGAAGCAGCTATCTGAACAAATAGAATAGGAGGAAGGAAATTTAAAGAGACAAGTGGGATGTGATTGTAATAAAGGCTCAAATATTACAATGGTTGTTTCCAAATAGAAGATGTTAACATGATCTATACTCTATGTTAATATGTTTAATAAATTGGGATTTAAGTTAACACTTAAAAATGATCCTAGTTTATACATTATCAAGGTCTTCTCAGATACTAAAATTTAGATGATAAAATTATCTCCATTAACATACCAGGTTGTGTCTTCAGTTTCTCAAGAATATGAAATTCTTGAAAGAACCAGTAGGTGGAGCAGAAAATCTAATCTGCAGGGGGTTTTTTGTTTGTTTTTTTTTGGCAGGGAGTGGAGGAGGAGAAAGTAAAGAAAAGCAAGGAAGGAGGGAGAATGAAAAAGTGCTGGGAGGAAGAAGGAGAAACGAGAGAGAAGAGGTGGAGAACAGGACAGAAAAAGAGGAGAGGCAAAGAAGGAGGGAAATGAGAAAATTATTTGAAATCTGACTCTTGTTGAACTATGCTGTTGTTGGACAGATTATCTAAAGGAGTTATTACATATTTAATCAAGCATGGCTAATTTGACTATGCTGTTTATGTCTTGTCAAATGTCTCCACTGTGTTTCATGTCTCACTTTATGATTGGGAGATTCTGAAGTTGGCAATGTCTACAATTCCAGTAATGTTGAATGTCTAAATGCTTAGCATCTGAGTTCCTTGGCCATCTCTGAACTGCGAGTTGCCTGAGAAAATGTGAACATTTTTGTCTGAGAATGAATAATGTTAATTTGACTCTCAGAGGAAACATAATTCTAAAAAGATTGAGGACTATTCATCTAAATGTGTGTATTCAATTTAGAGTTTATACCCCAGGGGGTGTGTGTGATTCAGTGAAGACAGGTAGGAAAACATTTTTATCATTTCAAAAGCTCTGTTTGTGTGTAATTTTATTATGTCTACAATACATTAATTTAATTATGTGGGTATTTCACAAATACACACATTTTGGGTGTAAAAAAATCAGCAGCTTGTAATTGAAAAATTGCTTATTCAAATAGTGTATACGTTTTTACAATTTGATGGACTAAAAATGAAAGTGGAGAAGAAAGCAGAATGTCTTGATAAACCAAAGAAAGAATATAATGACCATAAAGCTTGGCTTCTTACCTCTGGCCGGAGTTACAGGGCAGGAAGTGAAAGGATGCTAATTTCCCATTGGTTTTAGAGAAAACTAATGGACACTGTCTAAAGAAATGGAGAATGAAGATGTTAAATACAGTATAGTAAAGGTAATCAGTAGACTAGAAATATAAACCAAACTTAAGTGAGAGACTTTAAACTACAAATTTAGAAAATAACAAGAACCATATGATAAAGCTATAGCAAACATACCCATCCTATCAATCAATAAAAAATGGCATACATATCAATAAATAAAAGTTTCATAACATACTGTTAAAATATTTCAAGTGGGACCATAAAGAAATAGATGCTATAAAAAACAGATACCTTTAAGACAAAATACTTCAGAAAGTAAAAAATGATAGCTATACCAGGCAAGTACAAACTTAAAAAAATGAAGGAGTTATGATACTCATATCAGCCATTATGGAATTCACATCTAAAAGCATAACATAAGAAAAAGAAGAGTACTTAAAATGTGAATGTAAAACGCTATAAATATCAATGGACCAAAGTACATAACTATATTCACAAGGAGAAAAAAATCCAGGAGCTAGACTGATGCACACTTGTAGTTGTTGAATTATTTCACTCAGTCCCTGACAGAGCAAGTCAGGGGAAGCACATTAAAGATGTAGAAGATGTAAATTACATGAGTAACAAAGTGTCTCTAACTTATATATATTTTGAACTCTGAACCCTGAAAATAGAGACAACCCTTCCAAGTACCTAGGGACATTCATAAAAATTGACAAAATTCTTTTCTAAATTACAAACTCCATAAGAAATTTTAAAAAACAGAAACTATACTGACAATATTCTCTATAATACAACAAGACAAAAATGAACAAGCAAATAAAAAACTAAAAACTCCAACATCTTGTAAATTACAACAGCTTTTTTTCTTAGCCCAGTCTTGGATCAAAGAGGAAATATAAACCAAAATTACTCATATCTAGGAAATACTGATAATATAAACAATACCTACTACACCCTATGAGACATAACTAATACAGCGTTTTCTTTTTTTTCTTTTTTCTTTTTTTTTTTGAGACGGAGTCTCGCTCTGTCGCCCAGGCTGGAGTGCAGTGGCGGGATCTCGGCTCACTGCAAGCTCCGCCTCCCGGGTTCACGCCATTCTCCTGCCTCAGCCTCCCAAGTAGCTGGGACTACAGGCGCCCGCCACTACGCCCGGCTAATTTTTTGTATTTTTAGTAGAGACGGGGTTTCACCGTTTTAGCCGGGATGGTCTCGATCTCCTGACCTCGTGATCCGCCCGCCTCGGCCTCCCAAAGTGCTGGGATTACAGGCGTGAGCCACCGCGCCCGGCCACAGCGTTTTCTTAAAGCCTTAAATATTTATATTGATAAAGAAGGAAAAATGAAAATAAACTATTTCTCAATCAAGAAATTTTACAAGACAACCAAGCAAACTGAAGAAAAGGAAAAAGAGAAATTAGCAGGCAGAAACAAGATAAGGATCTTCAGTATCACTACTATTATTCAATATTGTATTAGAGATGCTAAGCTAATAAGTTTAGACAAGAGAAAGAATTAGAAATACAAAGATTAGAAAAGAAGAGGTAAAATTGTAATGATAAAATCTAGAAGCAACCCAAGTTTAATAAATGGAAGAATAGATAAATAAATTCTGGTATATTAATAAAATGAAATGCCCTAGACTCATGTTATGTGTATATAAATTATAGAACTGGGAAAATTAATATGGATGAATATCACAGACATTGAGTGAAGATAAAATAACCTGCAGAACAATACATGCAATGTGGTTCCATTTGTACAAAATTCAAAAGATGCAAAGCTAGGCCATAGGCTATTTAAAGATACACATAAGTGATAAAACTAATGAAAAGCTAATGACAAATACCAAATTCAGGTGAATGGAGAATGGAACTGAGGCAGGATTCACAGATGGCTTCAAAGTTCTTAGTAGTGTTCTACAGCTGGATTCTGATATACAAGTGGCCATTTCAACATTTCAATATATTAATAGGATATTTCTTAGTATCCTCATATTTTATAAATATTAATGTGTATATCAAGTATTTAATTAAAATCTTTTAAGCTATGATCAGAAAAACTCTTACTCTGATACTAACATTCACTTCTGTGGGTTTTCTTGTTGGCATCCTGATACATGTTTCTTTAAAAATCAAGTATTTTTCCCACGTATTTAAATTAGTGTGTATGCTTTGTGGAAATCTTGGAAAATAAACAATGGTATTAAGGATATAATTACATTTGATTCCACCACTCAGAAGTCACCATAAATACTCAAAATTTTGGTATATTTCTTTCTAGGTATTTTATGCATATTTTAATGTAGTTAAATCATATTGCATATATAATTTTGAATACTCACTGTTTTCTTTTTTATGCCTTAAGCATCTCCCCCTGTTATTTAAACCTTTCAAAGGCAGATAATCGACCGGGGCTGAAAATAAGGGGTTTCTTGAAAGTGAGCAAGTGAGCTACTGACTGAGGGCTCTAGCCCATCGGCTGCCCCGTTTCTTTATGGGAACTTGGTCTCCAGCTGGGCAGGAGATTCAAGGGCTTTTTTTTTTTTCCAAATAAATAATGAATAGTTCTAGAGAAAAAAAAAATACTGCTGTAGGCTTTGACATTTTCACTACAAAATGATTAACTCTTTTCTTTGCCCCTACTTTACAAAGTAGAATTTACAAAGAACTTAAAAAAATTTACAAGAAGAAAACAACCCCATCAAAAAGTGGGCAAAGGATATGAACAGACACTTCTCAAAAGAAGACACTTATGCAGCCAACAGACATATGAAAACATGCTCATCATCACTGGTCATCAGAGAATTGCAAATCAAAACCATAATGAGATACCATCTCACGCCAGTTAGAATGGCAATCATTAAAAAGTCAGGAAACAATAGATGCTGGAGAGGATGTGGAGAAATAGGAATGCTTTTACACTGTTGGTGGGAGTGTAAATTAGTTCAACCATTGTGGAAGACAGTGTGGCGATTCCTCAAGGATCTAGAACTAGAAATACCATTTGACCCAGCAATCTCATTACTGGGTATATACCCAAAGGATTATAAATCATGCTACTATAAAGACACATGCACATGTATGTTTATTGTGGCACTATTCACAATAGCAAAGACTTGGAACCAACCCAAATGTCCCTCAATGATAGAATGGATAAAGAAAATGTGGCACATACACACCATGGAATACTATGCAGCCATAAAAAAGAATGAGTTCATGTCCTTTACAGGGACATGGATGAAGCTGGAAACCATCATTCTCAGCAAAACATCACAAGGACAGAAAACCAAACACTGCATGTTCTCACTCATAGGTGGGAGTTGAACAATGAGAACACCTGGACACAGGGAGGGGAACGTCACGCACCGGGGCCTGTTGGGAGGTAGTGGGCTGGGGGAGGGATAGCATTAGGAGAAATACCTAATGTAAATTATAAGTTGATGGGTGCAGCAAAACCAACACGGCGCATGTATACCTATGTAATAAACCTGCACGTTGTGCACATGTACCCTAGAACTTATAATAAAAATAAGAGCAAACAAAATTACTTGAATCAATGAGAAAACATTAGAAAGAATAATAGATAGCCAGGGTCATCAGATATTTGAGGAAAATATAAGAGAAAGAGAAAAAATAAGTAAAGAGACCACAGATAGGCAGGCTTCTAATGAATATATAATAGAACAGATAAGAGATTAAACTTAGAAATACAGAGGTAAATAGACAGATCAAAAAGATTTAAAAGTTGTTGCTTTTGGGCAGCAGGGCTGAGGTGAATAGAAATGGAAAGGGAATTGCTGGGTTTTGTCATAACCTTTTACTACTATTTGATTGTTTAACTGATTTTATTTATTAGATTAATAAAAATATTAAAGAGTAAAGGCCATGGATTTTTAAGCCCTCAAAACATTTTAATTGTGCATATTTTTATCATATAGATGCTTCTTATTAGAAAAAACTTTCCATTCTGTTACATTAATTTTTATCATGTGTTGCCATTACATTACCGCTGTTCTTAAAGACCTCTTCCTGTTTTTGACCTCACTGTTGAGCTGAATTAAATACACGTTATCATCTAACTAGTTTTAACTTTAAGAAGTAAGATATGTTCTGAGAAAAGTATTCTTTAACAGGTTCCAATCGTTCTTAAAGATTCATAGAACTTTATACATGGTGCCCAAATGTCTTTTCTGTCTATGTTAATAATAAGTAAAACTATTGTTTATAAAATGCAAACTAAGTCACAGATTTTGTACACCTCAAGGTACAGGGGAAGGTATTTTATAAAGTGGGTGCTGGACAATGGTCCAGATGTGTGACCTTTTTCAAGTTTTTGCTTGAGAGTTTAGAAGTTACATTTAAATCAATGATCACTGTGTCTAGGGTTATGTTTTCTAAACACAGCAGCCCTCTGGCTCAATCATGAAGATATCTCGTGAGTTCCAGAGGAACTTGGGTATATTTCTGTTTGTATAGAAAGACACTAAAAGAAAAGCATATTCTGGTTTTTACAGGTCTACCTTATTTTCTTCAAATTATATTTTAGTGACAACTTGAAGGAAATGCTATCAATGCTTCAAAACTCCAACACAGTTTTTTTGTGCTGCCACCACAGCATCATCTCTTCATGGTCTGATTGGTGTAAATACCACAGGGATAAGCAAAAGCATGAGACTGAAGACACTTTCTGTTTAGGAAAAATGGGTAACAAGTTGAAGAATGCTTCTCCCTGAAAAATCTTTGGGCTTCCTCTCAATGTTGTTCCTATTGTGTGGGTAGCTCCACCCCAGATACCCACACAAGAACTTGGCCAGGGTAAAAATCAAACCCTGTGTCTCAGGCCACAACAGAGTTTGATTTTACCCTGGCCCGGTTCTTGTGTGGGTAGCTGGGGTGGAGTCCTCTCATTCTTACTCTGCTTTTGTGGTGTGAAAGTCTAAGTTAACTGCTGATTGTTCTTCAACTTATTAGTGCTTTGCTATAATCTTAGGTAAAGTCAGAAATCCCATCAACTCATCTTATTGACATAGGGCAAAAGTACACCTGAATTTTTATTAGTTCAGAATTTTTTTAGAGTAAGAAGTCTTACTCTATAGTCTTTGTATATACGTACAAAGAGAACACAGCATTATGTTTTCATGACCTCGTACATCTTCATTCTTGAACCTTTTAATTTTCTCCCATCAGAAAATATTTTAATTATATAATGTTCAAAAAATTTAGGTGGGCATACTAACACAAAATCCATTTTCTCTGATTTGTAAACCTTTTTTTTTTAAATGAAGAGTTTTTGCTGCTTGCTTATATCTCTGTGGTTTGATGTTTTAGCCTCTTGATTAATCTCAATACTTTCTATCCTATGACTAAACTACTTTCCCTTGCATACACCCTTGGATTTCTACTGCACATCTTTTAAATTTTATGTCATTTATCATCTATATCTCTTCATCATTTTTTCTTAGATTTGTGTAATTCATGTCTCTTCTTTATTTGTAGAGAATCTAAATCTAGTCTTACATAATTGCTCCAGATGATAATAATCTATTTATTTATACTTCTAATTTGTCCCAGAAAGGACTTAAGGTGACATATATAATAATGCATAAAATATAGTGAGATGAATTCAATTGAAAATAAGAAAAGTTGACAAAGGGAAACTAATGGTGGGAAATTAAGATGAGGCCAAGAGCAAGGTCAGTGTTCAAATGCCTGCCTAATAGAGCCGCAGTTTGGCTTCCTGCTATATCCCTGTTTTTTGTTCACCAGCTTCATATCCCTCCCTATGTAGCTTGATGACCACAGCCTGCTTGTGATAGTTAGGGTTTTCCAGAGAAACAGAACCAATAGGATGCATGTGTGTATGTCTGTATATAGCTTTATTTAAGGAATTGGTGAATATAGAGACTGGCAAGTCCCAAATCTGCAGTTCATGCCTGCTGCCAGAATTCTCTCTTGCTCAGGAAGGTCAGTCTTTTGTTCTATTTAGAACATCCACTGACTGGATGAGGCCCACCCACTTTATAAAGGGCAAACTGCTTTCCTCAAAGTCCACTTATTTAAATGTTAGTCTCACCCAAAACACTCTTACAGAAACATCCAGAATAACGTTTGACCACATATCTGGGCACTATGGCCCCACCATGTTGACATAAAATTAATCACCATGCCACTAAAACCTGCAACTTGCCTTTAACCTCCACCTTGTCTTTCTTTTCCTTCCTACATGCACCCTTTCCATTTTCTCTAATTCCTGAAGCTTCAGTTATACTTCACTTTACTCCTTTTTTCTCACGCCTTCCGCTAAAGACACAGGATTCCCAAGGGGTCGTTAGGCCACGGGTTCCTATTTCCTGGGTTGGGTGAAATTCTTCTCCCTTCTGGTTGTTAACTACCGCTTTCAAATAAGTTCCTGGTCCATCTTGAGTGTCCCGCTTACATCTCCCCTAATGGCCCTTCCCCACCCTCTCCCTGTGCCCTACCCCTGGCTCTTTGTAAAAACTCCTTACATTGTTACAGGCCCATCGTGAACCATTTCTGCTAAAGGACTTTACGGTAGGAATTACCTTTGCTACATTAGGCCACGTTTTCTGGGTGCTGATGCAGCTGTATACAGGGTTACGTGAGTGCTTGTTTGAGTGTGTGTTATTGTCGTGAGAGTGGAGCAATAAAGACAGTCCCTGGGAAAAGTTTCCCAGGACCCAGTGGTCCAGTGTGTCTCTGCTACTAGAGGAAGAATGTGGTCCGCCACTCTACTTCTTGTTCCCTGAAGCCCAGACCACAGAGAGGGGTTGTGGGAATCAGTCTCTGCCTGGCAGGTTTTTGAAGCTTGTGAGGGGAAATAACTCTCTAGCTTTCTTTCAGATAGAAGAAAAAAAAAAAAAACAAAAATGAAATAAAAGTAAGACAAGTGGCTGTAACACAAAAAAACTTTATAGACAGAGATTCAAATATAAATCTGAATTGTTCACCCTTTTACTTTATAACCAGGCACCAGAGGACCCGTGAATGCATAATGATCATTTCTGAAATCTTTGGTAGTATTCCCATACAACCTGAGCCCATATTTCAGACCGGTCATAGCTGTGTGATTTAGGGGACGTCACACAGACTCTACTCTTAACTCCTCTGTAAAAGAGAATGAGTAATGTGTACCTCCAAAAATTACTGTGGGAAGTCAATAAAATAACATATGGGAAAGAGTTTTACAAGCTTTTAAGTGTTATGTGGACATTAGGTATTCAGGAAATCAGTTAAAGCCGCACTGAAGACATTAAAACAAACAATCAGATATTTGATACATAGAAAGCTGGGCAAATGACTGTTCAGCACTTTAAAGGTAGGAAGAAGAGGAGACTAGATCAGTCAGAGAGAAAGAGTTTAGTCATTTTCATATCATGATTCTTCCCTTCCCAGTGGAAAGTATATATGAGCATGTATGTTTATGTAATATAGATAGATGTGGCAGTAAATTGCCTTTCACTTTCTCTAGTCAAAATCAAAAATAATAATTTTTAAGCTAGGAAAATTCAGTAATTTGATGAGGGAATTTGGCTGGAAAAGTGAAAAACAATTCAAGGATAGGTATTTATAAATATATCAGAATATTATACATGTATTTTTGTATGCACATGTGTTTTATTTAGGAAGGAAATAACATGTTAACTTTTGCGTATCTTAATTTTTTATTCAGCATTGACTTCCCACCTGTTGTTTAACTTTTTCATTCTTTGTTTTTTTTTTTTTTTTTCCGTTGTGGTCAAGTGCGTATCGAAGACCACCTTAGCTTAGCTGAGAACGTTGTACTTGTGAAGCATTTGAATGTGGGCCACATCAAAGGTGAACAAAATAATTCATTTCCTGGCCCTGCTCAAGTATCCTCACCCTGAGAGTCTGCCCCTGTGGGCCACAACACTGCCACCCATAACAGTCACACCTCTCTTTAAACCCAGGTATATTTGGTATCTGTAACTCTCACCTGACTCTCACATAACAGTCAAATTATTTATCTCTTTGTAAACTTAAATTTACATTTATATGCTCCATCTCTCTTCACACCAGCTAGTGCTAATACCCAACACTGAGGGTGCCAGACAGTGTTCTAACATTACTTAAGTTAACTTAGTCAATATCTGAAATAACCCCGAGGAAGTTATTCTCATTGCATGCCTGAGAAAATTGAGGTGTGGAGGGTTGAAGTTTTTGCTCACCCCCACAGAGCCAAGTGCTGAGCAAAAGGTAGTCTGGGCTGGGTGCCGTGGCTCACACCTGCAATCCCAACACTTTGGGAGGCCAAGGCAGGCAGATCACTTGCGACCAGGAGTTTGAGACCAGCCTGGCCAACATGGTGAAACCCTGTTTAGTCTCTGCTAAAAATACAAAAGTTAGCCAGGTGTGGTGGCATGTGCCTGTAATCCCAGCTACTTGGGAGGCTGAGGCACGAGAATCACTTGAGCCTGGGAGGTGGAGGTTGCAGTGAGCTGAGATCACACAACTGCACTCCAGCCCGGGCGACAGAGAGGGACCCTGCCACAAAAAAAAAAAAAAAAAAAAAAAAAAAATAGTCTGGCCTCTGACATCACTCTCACCCAGAATTATGAAAGCTCAATAGGAATCAATACCTTGTCTCACAGTTTAGGTGCCTCCAGCCCCTAACCATTATTTGCATTCAAGAAAGGAACTGTAAATGTCTTATGGTTGTTACTCTTTGAAAACAAATCCTATAGTTATGGAAACAAACAAATAAAAAATGCTAGAGAACTTGTATTCTCCTAATACCATCTTTGATTAAGCTTTTACTGAGTTCAGAATTAAGGAATGTTAATGATACGAAAGCTTTTATAGCACTGATTTTTTTCAAAGTACCAACCTGTGGTTTGGTGACACAACTATAGAAACATGGATAGAAACTCCCTATTATGCAACAAACCACTTCCTGCATCTGTTTATTCATTTATTTGCAGTGTTTTAGCTAAACTCTTATCCACTTGTAGGGTCATATACTTGCAACTGTATCACTATATGTAGCATAAATATCACAAACTGCTGAAGAACATGGACTTGGTAGCTAGATTTTGAGGTTAGAATTCAATGTAATTCTGTATAAATAATACATACCTCAATAGGACAGTAGAAAAGATGACCTATGTTAACAAATGTAAAGCAATTAAAACAGTGCCAAGCACATAGTAAGTGCTTTATACATGTTTACTATTACTATTAAAACTCCAAAATTTCAGGAAATATACTTAGTTCAGCCTTCTGTAATCAGAAGTTTTGACTCAATTTAACCTGAGAGATAACAAAGTGAATGCCAGGCACGGTGGCTCACACCTGTAATCCCAGCACTTTGGGAGGCCGAGGCAGATGGATCATCTGAGGTCAGGAGTTTGAGACCAGGCTGGCCAACATGGTGAAACCCCATCTCTGCTAAAAATACAAAAATTAGCTGCGCTTGGTGGCACATGCCTGTCCCAGCTACTCAGGAGGCTGAGGCAAGAGAATCACTTGAACCTGGGAGGCAGAAGTTGCAGTGAGCAAAGATTGTGCCACTGCACTCCAGCCTGGGCGACAGAGCGAGACTCCACCTCAAGAAAAAAAAAAAGAAAGAAAGAAAAGAAGGAGGGAAAGAAAGAAAGAAAAAGAAGGAAAGAAAGAAAGAAAAGTGAAGCCTCTTTTCAGAGAACATCAGATCTTAGTTTTGGAAGGAAATCCAATTGTATGCTGCTCACACTTCTAATATACCTAAGAGGTAATAATAGTGATTCTGCTTGAACATTTCCAGTGATGGAGAACTTAACTACCCCTCAGAAAATTTCATTTTATAATTGGATAATTTAGTTATGAATAAACTTATATTTTATATTGAACAGAAATCTACCTTTCCGTAAATTCCACCTACTGGTTCCAGTGGTTAAATAGCAAAGCAGTGGTTTTTAAATTGTCTTGTGCAGAAATGTTTCAGAAGTTCTTAAAATGTTTGATCAAAATTTCATTTTTTTAAAAAGACATTTTTGAATCATTTGTTAAAACTGAAAAATTTAAAGGATGTGTAATATCCTTGGGAAGATTGCCTAACTTCTCCAATTCTCATCTTTTTCATCTACAAAATGAGTATAATTAGTAGATGAAAAATAAGTCTTCAATAAATGTTAACTGCATCTGTATAATTCTTATATTATTTGCATTTTGATACCAGCTATTAGAAGGCTTCCTTTAAAGCTCTGTGACTCAGAGGTCTTGTGGTTTCTCGCTGCAGACAATTCTCAGCTATCCTTTTCCTCAACTCAGTGGAGGATTTCTTTTGAGGGTTCAAACCCCCAACTTGGCCTTGTAATCAACTGAGCACAGGCTGACCTGGGTCTCCATCACTTCAAGGTAATCCACCAAGAGTGCTCACTCAACTCCCAGCCGCTACAGTTCCTGAAAATCTTCTAAGACAGGTGTTCAGATGCCCTGGCCTTGCTGTAATAGTAGTGGATGCTTTGGAAATCCACTGGAGCTGAGTTTTGCTAACACCAAGGTGCTGAGAGGTTTTCCACTGTGGTGTGATCCTGTGTAACTGCTGCCGACTGCATACCCTGCCATCCCTGCAGATTCTCAGCTTCCTGATTCTCTGATGGACCCTATGGCTTCAGAATAGGGAGAAATATGCCACAATAGAATTCTACTTTTGGGATAATTACCATCTTGTTAATCCAGCTTTGCAAAGGCTGAAGACTAGAGATTGGGTAGCTCTCAGTTCTCTATTCAGAAAACCAACGTATGTTTCTCCTGCCTACATACTCAGCTCCTCTGAGCAGGAGATAGTCAGGGAGAAGTCTGTCTGAGCTTGGCTCAAATGATATTCCCCTTTGGCTATGTGTCCTGTAGAGCTCTGTGGAGCATAATTTTGCTAGTTTTAAATATTATAAATGTAATACATTTTCATTGTAAGTTTTTTTTCAAACATTACTAGTATAAGTATACGGCATAAAATAAAAAGTTACATATCCCTACCACTATCTCACCCCCAGGTTTCACCACCCACTGATAGATCCTTATACATCTTTGAGGAAATTTCTCACTCTTATGCATATAACTATGCATAAATGTCTATTTTTATAAAAATATTGAAGGAGTCTTATAATAAATATATAAATATGTGCTTTATATACTTTAGTGTATTTTGGGCATTTTTCCATAGCAACACATTTAGGCTGCTTCCTTCTTTTTAATAAACACCTTATAATTTTATATTACATATTAAATATATATTAAAAGCTCTATAACATTTAATTAATATATTAAATGCTCTATAACATTTAATTAAGTTTAAAAATTTATTTACCCAGTACTTTATCAATGGATATTAAGATACTTTTCCTTTCTTTGTTTTTTTCATCCTTCCAAACTGTGGCAGGCAGTCTCAAAAGATGGCCCCCAATGAGCATTATCTCCTTGTGTATTCCCTTCCCTCATTGAATTAGTCTGTCCTGTGTAACAAGAAGACATTGTGCGAATGGCAACATATGACTTCCACGACTAGGTTATAAAAAGCATAGTGGCTTCTGCCTTGTACTTTCTTGAATTACTCATTCTGGGAGATGCCAGTTAACTTATCATGAAGATCCTCCAACAGTTATATTGGGAGGCAAGGGGTGAGGAGCTTGGCCCTCTTGCAACTTGTCAGCCCACAGGTCAAATTGGAATTGGATCTTCCAGCCCCAGTCAGACTTTGAGATGACTGCAGTCTCTGTCAACACATTGACTACAACCCCATGAAACAGCCACTCAACTAAATTGCTCTCCAATAACTGAGACACAGAAACTCTATGAGATAATGATGTCTATTATGACTTTAAACTTTAAAGTTTTGGGGTAATTTTTAAGCACAGGAGTAGATAACTAATAGACAAACAATGTCACAATGATCATCCACGTCTACTTATTTTTGTGAGAATATAAAAAGTCTGTAAAACAAATTCTTAGGAATAGAATTGAAAATAGTTGAAAAGAGTGTGAATTTTAAATTTCACTTAATAATATGCAATTTAATTTAACAGTGTCCCACAGTGAATGAGTGGGCTTCTCCATACCTACCCTCAACATTGAAGCTCACACTATAATTTTGCCATTTTATAACTTTTAAAAAAGTTTTTTTTTTTCCAACTTGGACTTAGTTATGCAGGAGGTTGAGCATTTATAAAATATTCATTGACAATTTATATTTATATTTCTGTTAACTGCCAATTTATATCTTAACTCGCTTTATATTGAATTGATCTTTTTGCTATTAGAGCTTTTTGTATAATAAGAAAATTAGCCCTTTTTTATAAGTATGCATGTTTTTCCCCATTTTGAAATTTTTATTGTAACATAGTTTATACATCTTTTTAGGGCAGAAAATGTTTACTTTTTGTAGTAAAATGTATCTTTTATTTTTTCATCAATTTTTATTTTAAGTTCTGGGGTACATGTGCAGGATATACAGGTTTGTTACATAGGTAAATGCGTGCCATGGTGGTTTGCTGCACAGATCAACCTATCACCTAAGTGTTAAGCCCAACATCTATTAGTTATTATTCCTGATGCTCTCCCTCCCCCTGCTCCCATGACACACCCCAACATGTGTTGTTGCCCACCGTGTGTCCATGTGTCCTCATCATTTGGCTCCCACTTATAAGTGAGAACATGCAGTGCCTGGTTTTCTGTTCCTGCATTAGTTTGCTGAGGATAACAGCTTCCAGCTCCATCCATGTCCCTGCAAATGATATGATCTTGTTCCTTTTTATGGCTGCGTAGTATTCCATGGTGTATATGTATCACATTTTCTTTATCCAGTCTATCATTGATGGGCATTTGGGTTAATTCCATGTCTTTGCTATTGGGAATACTGCTGCAATAAACACATGCATGCATGTATCTTTAAAATAGAATGATTTATTTTCCTTTGGGTATATACCCAGTAGTGGGATTGCTGGGTCAAATGGTATTTCTGCTTCTAGATGTTTGAGGAATTGCCACACTGTCTTCCACATGGTTGAAATAATTTACATTCCCACTGACAGTGTAAAAGTGTTCCCTTTTCTCAGCAACCTCACCAGCATCTGTTGTTTCTTGATGTTGTAGTAATTGCTATTCTGACTTGCATGAAATTGTGTCTCATTATGGTTTTGATTTGCATTTCTCTAATATAGGTGATATTGAGCTTTTATTCATATGTTTGTTGGCTGCATGAATGTCTTCTTTTGAGAAGTGTCTATTCGTGTCCTTTGCCCACCTTTAAAAGGAGTTGTTTTTTTCTTATAAATTTGTTTAAGTTCCTTGTTGACTCTGGATATTAGACCTTTGCCCATCAGATAGATTGCAAAAATTTTCTCCCATTCTGTAGGTTGTCTGTTCACTCTAATGATAATTTCTTTTGCTGTGCAGAAGCTCTTTAGTTCAATTAGATCCCATTTGTCAATTTTTGCTTTTGTTGCAATTGCTTTTGGTGTTTTCATCATGAAATCTTTGCCTGTGCTTATGTCCTGAATGGTATTGCCTAGATTTTCTTCTAAGGTTTTTATTGTTTTGGGTTTTACATTTGAGTCTTTAATCCATCTTGAGTTTTAGTTTTGTAGAAGGTACAAGGAAGGGATCCAGTTTCAATTTTCTGCATATGGCTAGCCAGTTCTCCCAGCACCATTTATTAAATAGAGACCCTTTTCCCATTGCTTGTCTTTGTCAGGTTTGTCGACGATCAGATGGTTGTAGGTGTGCAGTCTTATTTCTGAGTTCTCTATTCTGTTCCATTGGTCTATGTGTTTGTGTAAAATGTATCTTTTAGAAAAAGATTTTAGGTTTTATAAAGCTTTCCCTACCACACTGGGAATTGTTCAAAGGAAAACTCCCATATTATCTTCTGAGTTAATAAGATACTAGTTTTTTCCTACCAGTAGCAATGACTACAAAATTGGCTCTCAAAACAACAACAAAAAGCTCTGAATTGTAGTATTTGCCAATTTCCAAAGTGTAAATACTCCCATCATGTCCAATTTCAAGCTGCCCATGTGACTTCGCTGAACACAGAGTTAGGAAAAGATGTGCACAGTTGGCTCTTGCCAGCTGATATATGCCAACTCTAGCACATCACTGCACCAGAAATGTATTTTGACATAAGGGTTGAGAGAGATCCAGCTTCTTATTTTGTTCTTTTTTTCCAAACAGCTGAAGTGAATGCTGAAGTACATATAGGACTATAAATCTGATTAAAATAGCTATGCTTTTATTCCAACACAAATTTATGTCAATTATGTTCTTACCTAATATGTGATGTATATATATGTAAGCTTTGACTTCAAGGTAGGGTTTTTGAACACATGTACACAAGGAGGGGAACAACACACACTGGGGCCTGTCAGAGTCGGGGGAGGGAGAGCATCAGGATAAATAACTAACGTAGGCTGGGCTTAATACCTAGGTGATGGGTTGATAGATGCAGCAAACCACTGTGGCACACGTTTACCTGTGTAACAAACCTGCACATCCTGCACGTGTATCCCAGAACTTAAAATAAAATAAAATTAAATTTAAAAAAATGTTTGCAAACCACTGAGCTGAGTCTTTATCAAGACGGGAGGATGGGTGGGGAAGAGAAAGATGTGTCTCTAATTCACTTACAAAGTTGCAGTTTCTCCTTAGATCTTCAATTCTCCCACCCACATAATCCCACATATTTTAAGTACTAAATGCCCTCATCTTCTGTATTTCTGTTTGTTCAAATTTTCTTTTTTTTTCCTACCGTTAAAAACTCATCTCAGAGTAAAAAAATGAGTGGTTGTGGGGAGTAGGGGGGATTAATAGGTGGCACACAAAGGATTTTTAGGGCAGTGAAACTACTCTGTATGATACTGTAATGGTGGATGTATGTCATTACGCATTTGTCCCAATCCATAGAATATACAACACCAGGAGTGAGCCCTAATGTAAACTAACAACTTTGGGTTATTACAATGTGTCACAAAAAAACCTCATCTCATATCCTTTGTCATATTAAGGTGCAAATAACTGATGAAAAATTCAAGTGCTACAAGGAAGCTGTGTAGCTGACAGGCTAAAGCTCCAGTTCAGCTTGCAAGTGGGTGTGAGAGTCTACGGCAGCTCACAACCTTCCCATGAATCATAAGAGGATGGGAGTGGAGATGAGAGGTGAGAGGCAAAACTGAAAGAGGAGAGGATTTGATTTGAAGGCACAAGATTTGGGTTCTGGTGGTGGCTCTATCACTTCCTGGATGAGTGATCTTGAGAATTCCCTGAAACTCGTTTTTCTCACCTGAGTAACAAGCTTAAGAATAGCACATTCTATCTGTGCTTTAATGAGGATAAATTGAGATAATATATGAGGACATGCTTCACTAATTGTAGTTATACAAAAATGCTGGTTATTGGTCACAAAAAAGGCAGATGTGCTTTTGAAACATTCAGACTACGGTTTGACAATGGGGCCAGTCTGCCTGTATTCCATCATTTTTACTCTCCTTTTCTATTAACTCCATGTGTCCACTTTCTCATCCTAAAATTGGAATAAAAATATTTACTCTCCTGGTTGCTTAAAGGATTGAAATAGAAATGCATGTAAAGTAGAAAAGTATCTGTCTCTCCCCGTCTCTACTCCAGTAAGTGATCAACCAAAGTTGTTGCAATTTCCTTCCAAAATCCACAGGCAATGACATTAATCTGTGTTATGCTCAATCAAAAGGCATGCCCCAGTGACCCAGAAAAGAAGAAACCTGTGACATTCCCATTATTTCCCACAGGGCACTGATCACTTTCTACTTCTCCTAGCTCACCGTGTCCATCACTCATTCCTCAACCCTTTGGGTGGGAATGAGGCATTTGCCCCTACCAGTCTATTAAAATTGCACCTAAATTTACCTTAGAGGAAGTAAATTATAAAGAGCTCTTTGGACTGTTAAAAGTGAAGTGATGTATTTAGAAAGCGAGAGAATTTAAAAATACAGAACCATGATCAATTCTGTTTTAACTTGCAGTATATAGTTGAGAGCATGGTGTACAGGTGGGAACTGGAAAAACTGATTATTTGTTACAGTTGTTATATTTCTGAAAAAGGTGTTTATTCTTGTTTTCTTCACATCTGTTTCCAGTTGCCACTTGTCTTCTTGGGTGGAAATAACTTCTTTTCTATGAACTGGCAGAGTTTCTCTGGGTGTGGGGAGGTTCTGAACTTTGCGTGAGAGTGCTCTCCTTAGTTCAGTAATGAGATCAGTCACCAAGTCACCCCTTTGCTCTCTGGTGATGGCTGCCACCTCTTGCTTTCATGAGAAATGATAAAGCAAATGAGTCAGTGCCTAGGACCCTTCAAGAATGGCACGCGATGCTCAGCTAACCTCAAACCTTAGCTCTAGCTAAGGAGGTTTCAAAAAAAAGCCTTTGAGAAACTCTCCTTCCAGAAATACAGGCATGCATCTGGCTTCCTTCTCTTTTTCTCTATTGGCCTTTTATTTGGCGTTCTGGATTTCATTTAACTTTTTAAAAACACTGAAGTATGATTTTTAGTTTGAATAAAAAAGCAGTGATGTAGTAACCTGTGATCTTCCCCTTTAAGGTAAGATTCTGCAAAATTTTATGAAAAGACAATGTAGTTTTGCATAGTAGATGAGGGCAGAAATGTTTACTTTCCTAATTACCAGTTACCTCCTGGTCAACAAGTACAATCTGAGATCTTTTTGCTTACGTAGCGCTGTCAATTTCCTTTTTTCACCTGAGATAATCTTTTGTTTCGATAACTGTTTTCATAACCCATGCCGTGTTTTTTCCTCTGTTGTTTTTCTTTTTCTTTTTCTTTCTTTTTTTTTTTTTCAGACGGAGTTTCGCTTTTGTTGCCCAGGCTGGAGTGCAATGGCGCCATCTCGGCTCACCGCAACCTCCGCCTCCTGGGTTCAAGCGATTCCCCTGCCTCAGCCTCCCGAGTAGCTGGGGTTACAGGCATGTGCCGCCATGCCCTGCTAATTTTGTATTTTTAGTAGAGACGGGGTTTCTCCATGTTTGTCAGGCTGATCTCAAACTCTCGACCTTAGGTGATCCGCCCGCTTCAGCCTCCCAAAGTGCTGGGATTACAGGCGTGAGTCACCACGCCTGGCCCCGTTTTTCTATTTTTTAAACTACAGTAATTCTCTTTGATTTAAATATTTGTAAAGATATGTACAATAAAACTATTCTTAAATCATAGGGGAAAACAAAATATGGAGCAATAGAGCAATTCTAAATGAAATGCAAGCCTAAACTACTTTTTTAACAAGCTTTGTAAATAATCACTTGTTTGCAAAGGAGGTGGTGATTCATGTGAGAGGAGTAGAAAGAAAGATTTTGGTCCCTTTGAAATTTTATTATTGTTCTTCTAAGTACATCGTCTAGAAAGAAAGCAAACCAATAGCGTTTTGGAATTGTTTAGTCACTAATTGTATTCCATGAGCATTCTTTCTGGTTCACTGGAATTCAGTGTATAAGTCTGGGGACAAAGTGAAGCTCTGAAGTTATGAGCTTTGGACAGCAGGATGGCGAATTAAGGTGGTGGAAAAGGAAACTTTGATGTTGGAGAAACTGGTGTAGCTCAGAACGTAGAACAGAAAAAGCCAACTATTTGGCCAAAGTATCCATCTTTTAAAGAGATACAGTTTTAATCAAGTGAACAGGTAGGACTTCAGTCTGGGTGTTTATTTTTGTCTATTTATACAAATTCTTTATCACTCAGATCAAAGAGTTTGCATTAGGTAGTATTATGTTTCTATATTTTCTTAAATCAATATACACAATGAATTGTTATTAGATCATAAGAAATGCCAAACTGGATCAGATTTACAATTCATCCACCCAAATCCTACCTGTTTTAGACCAATCCAGGGATATTATGTATGGCGACCTGGTGGTTACTCTCCAGACAATTTTTAAAGTCTAGGATGAGCCTATATACAATGCCTAAAACAGTATCTGGCAAGTGTTTGGCTTGGTAATGGTTGATGTTTGTTGAACAAATGAGTGAAAGATAAAAATCTACCATCATGCAATTATCTACATTCTCCTGAAGCTAATCTTTTGTGTTATGTATCGTGTATGACAAGTCTTTTGTTCTAAGTGTATTACATTGTCTTTTTTCCCTTTTTTCTTTCCTTTCGTTAAAGTGTATTTACATTGTCTTAAAAATTACTTATCTTAAGCATCAAGAGAGTTCTTTTCCAACTTTAGTGTTACAGAATTTGATTTGATTAGTCTTAAAGCATTAGACAAGGAGGGAATGATGTACCCCCTCATTTGATGTGCTCCCCACCCCAGTTGAACCCCAGTCTTACTTGGAAGTGGAAGGATTCTGGCTCAGGTTGTAAACAGTAAACCATAAGAAGACAAACTGTTTTGCAGAGTATTTTTAGTAAGTAGCCTGGCCTACCTAAAGGATAAATGTTAATTAGTTATGATTTCTACTTAACATATGGAATGTTACAAGATTAACAGGAGCAGATAAGAAAGAGAAGCATAATTGATTAGTAATGCTGGTAAAAGGTTAATTACAGGGAATGATCTATTTCTATGAGGTAATGATTTATTACATAGATCCTAACAAAGCTTTTATAGTATATATTAATAGCACTTTGAAAGGCCTGAAGGGACTAAAAGAGGAAGGACACAGAAGCTACTTCCTTTGGCCAACAGAGAATTTGTTGACAGAGAAACTCACTACCATATTTTACAATTTCCAGGAACTGGAAGCAGTTGATTAGCCACATCTGTTGTGAGTATGGGTGTGAAGTGAGGAAGTACTTTGCCATATATTCGCTAGTCCAGTACTTTGCCATATACATATATTTCCTAAACCTTGCAGGAATTTGGCTTATTCTTTTGGGTAAAAATGCAATTAAGAGAAAAGATCTAACTGAAGTTTTTAAATGAAGAAATATACTGGACAGCGCAGGACACACGAGAAGGTCCTCAGATGAAACAACTCTATGCTAAGGCTATGAAAGTTTGACTCCAGTGGCCTTCTGAAACAATGCTGGGAATTTAAGATAGGGCTCTAGAGCTTACTTCCTTCCAGTTTAAATCTAGGAATTTGGTCCATGAGTTAATTTTATTCACACTGAGTGTATCCAAAGAAAAATAAGTTTTTCCTGTATTTCATTAGAAAGAATAACAAGTAGCAAACTTTCAGAACGTTTTTTTCCCCAGTACCTTAATCTCAGGTAGAGGAGCATATTTAAGGAGTCATTTTAGATTAAGATTGTACTCACACCTAACCCACATCAGAAAGTCAGTGTTGTTTTGCATGTGCATTGCCGGAAGAATTTTCTGCCTCTGGCTTCTCCTCAGTGAGGATACACTTTCAACGAACTGTAAGCATTAAGAGAATTGCTTTGGAAAGTACTTCAACTAGCAAGAACTGGGATGACTTCAAAATGTCTTTTACTGGCTTCACGGGTACTTATTTTGGCACTTTCCCTGTGGGGCCGCTTCAAGTTGGAAGCCTTCTCTAGAGAAATGTGGAGAGGGCAGCACACTGTCTTCTTTCAGGGGCTTAGAACAGCTCTTTCTTCTTCTTTTTGGACATAGATAAAAGTTTTGTTGTTACAAACCCCAGGCTACCGCACTATGCCTTGTGATCCCCTTTGGAAAGCACCCTTTGATTAATTTTGGCAAGCTGTCTGTTTCCTCCTGGGATCCTGATACATCACCTAATACCACGAAAGAATATGAGGCACTTTTAGTGTAATCTAAGAGTTTTGTACAATTAGAGAGAGAGAGAGCGAGAGAGAGAGAGATTCCATTTCCATTAATGGATTACCTGACTTGAGATAGGCTTTGGACTCAAACTTGGTGAAACTCACCCAATAGTTTCATAGACAGTTATTTTGGATAAACAGAAATTGTCCCTTCTCTTCTTAAAGCTTGAAACTTACATTTGTTTTATCTGTGTTTCTTTCTGAGGATAGGACCCCTAGCCCTCTCAAAAAGTATGAAAGAACTGAAACTCACCAGATCATAGCATCCAGACACTGAGACTCAGGGCCCCTCATTCATCATGATTGCACCCTTATCCCTCCCAGGTTCCTGTTTTTCCGTACATAGTTACACTTCTTTCCTGCTATATAAAGTCCTAATTTTAGTCAGTCAGGGAGATGAATATGAGACTGACCTCCCATCTCCTAGGCTATAGCACTTGATTAAAATCTTCTTCCTTGGCAATAACCATTATCTCAGTGATTGACTTTCTGTGCTGTGAGCAGCAGGACCTAGACCAAACCCTTGGTGTTTCAGTAACACTGGCAGAGCATGGACTATGGAAAGTGGCCCAGGTACAGTGAGAGACGCCAAGGTCTCTGCTTGCCCAGTGAGATCCACTGCCTGGGAATGGCTTGGTCTGTTGTAGTTACAAATCTTACTTCTCTATTTCCAAGTAGGATCATTTAATTCTGCCACATTTTCCTTAGGAAGCTACCACGAAAACTTTCTACCTTCGTCAGTGTCACTCTCCTTTCAGTGAAGGTTCTTTTAATTCTTAGAATTAACCTAAGGTATAAGACTGTTGCAGCATCCATGTCCTACTCCCTGAAGAATTTAGAATCAAAGTCATCTGTTTTTCAGGTTGGAGGGGTCATTTGAAACTACGTAGTTCAACTTCCTCCTTTCACACCTAAGAAACTGAGGTCTTTGTAGCCGGATGAGGAAGCCTCTCACCTAAACTTCATAGTTAGAGGTTATTATAGGTCCCAGATCCCATGAAAGCCATACTCCTGTTTTACCCAGTCTAATCTTTCTATTCAGGGACCTTGGACTTGACACGTGGCACTACTTAGATAAGAAGCCTGAGGAGCAAAGGCCTCTGTGGAGGAGTTTTGTAGAATGAGATGGGAGATTAGAAGAATACAATAAAGGGAAATGTTTTTAACTCCTGCAGGAATTTTTTCAAGGTATGGTTTGAGGACTGTGGTTTCACCAGGAATCTTACAATAATCCAGTCCCCTAAAATTCCTGCCATTATTTTGTTATAGGGAGGATATTTTCGGCAAATAGGAGTAGAGGTCATGCATGAGACAGCCAGTCTAGGAAGGCAGTTCAGCTCTCCTTCAGGTTTGCTTTAGTCATGCTATATTAAAAGTTGTGAGAATTTTCCCAGAAAAGAAAGCTATATAACAGAATGTTAAAATTGAAATTTCAACAAGGCATAAAGATAAAATAAATGCAAAAATCTCAAGTAAGTTGTTGCTAAGTCACTATATGCAGATGGTACAAGCATAATATCTGGGAATGGATTCCAAACTCTTGGATCCCGTCAGAGAATAAAGAGAGGGTTTTTGTGAGCTTTCCTTAAAAGTGACTAGTAGCTGTGCTATGGGGCCTCAGCTTTTTCCACTTGGGAAAGTTACTGTCTCCTACACCAAGCCCAGCAAGCTGGGAGGGGCTTCCGTGGGACTACTCTTAAAGAGCTTAAGTGTGTTTGCAGTATGCCAGAGCACTCTAGACAAGTTGATTCTCTCCTGAAAAGTCTAAATACAAAAGTTGGTTCATTAGGACTTTGATGGTCAGGCCAGGAATTCGCTGTTGCGTGGGGACAAAGATGCTTTGGCAATGTTGCATGGGGGCAAAGATGATCAGGCCAGGAATCCACTTTGCATGGGGGCAAAGATGCTTCATTGTTGCCTGTGAACCAAGGGTTGGTGATGGGGGGTAGTAACTGGTGTATAGTCCCTCTGCTGGTGGACCAGAGGCTAAAGAGGGGTGGGCATCCTGGGGAATGAGGAGTATCACTTAAGTCTTGAGAGTTGATGTTGGAGATGTCTCCTATGATGGGATGTTCAAAGAACCCATAAAATTGGCTCAACTGCATAACCTTCGCTATCTGCCATGCCCAAAGAACAGGAAGTTGCTCAACAAACCAAATCCCCCTACCTTTCCTCTCTGCCTCACCTAAGGTTATCAGAAAGAATATAAGGCTCAGTTAGATTTGAATTTCAGATGGACAAATAATCTTTGGGACATACTTATACTAAAAAATCATTTACTATTCATTTAAATTCAAATTTAACTAGGCATCTTGTATTTCTATTGACTAAATCTGGTAACCTTACCCCCACTCCACCTTTCTTTGAGCAGCTGGTGAGTAGGTGAATAGTGAGAGGAAGGAAAGAACGAAATTGACACTGTGTTTTATGCTTCAAAGCTCTTCCCAAAGAGTAAGAAGAAAAGTCAATGGACCTGCCAAATTCTTCAGGCAAGGGCAGAAGAAGAGTGCCCTAATGAATAAATTTTAAAAGGTTAGAATGGGAATAATAAATAAAAATTATGTTTTGCGTATACCACAAATCTTTGTTAAATAATCCAGGTCTGTCTGTCTAACTCTGTTTATTGAGCTGTTCCTCTTCAGGACCATAATTATTAATTTCTCTTGGAATTAGTACTTTTCAGAACATATTTAGGGAAATTTTACCTTATCATATAACTAAAGGATTGTATTAGAGAATCTTGGCAAAGCTTTGGTGGGGAACTAGTTTATAAGGTAAGTCCTTTAGGATTTCAGGTAAAAGAAAATTCAACTCAAACAGGCTTAAATAACAAAAGAAGTGTACAGGTTCAGTTACTTGGAAGGCTCAGGTGTAGGCTGGTTAATCTAGAAGCTCAGTCATGCCAACAAGGACTCCATTTTTATGTTTTGTTTTGTTTCATTTTGCTTAGTTTTGACTTTGTCTTTTCTTTTTACAGTCAACCATGTAAACTTTATTCTAAGTCTGGCTCTCTTGTTTCATAGGGTGGCTTCAATAGGGCACAGAGAAAGAGAGAGCAATGCTGTCTTGGCATTCCAAACAGCCTGGTTGGTTGGTCACATGCCCACCTTATAGTGAAGTCTATCAAGGCTTTGCCAGGAGGCTAAGAGTGGGTTCAACTTTTACAAAAACACAAGAGCTGCATGAGAAAGACCAGATAGATGACTGCCTAGGCATAAGAGTCCTGAATTATTTTGAGAAAAATGAAAGCATGAGAATGGATGCTGGGTCAACTGTCAAGTTTCCACCACCGTTGATTATTTAAATTTCTGCCATTGACTGCATGCAGGGGAGATACCAAAAACTATTTATCTGTCTGCATGTTTATGCAATCAACCAATCTGAAAGGACCTGGCTTTCAGTGGAGAAGCCTGGCTCCCAAGGGTCTCTTGTTTGCAAGGTGTTAACTCCTTAGTTGCTATATTGAAGTGTCCAAAAGCTACTAGGGAAGGTGACAGAAGACCATGATAGAGTGGGGCACTCAGAGGACACAGGGCAGTGGCAATTTACCAACTGAAGCAGAAATATATCAATATATTTTAACAACCTTTATACTTGTACCCATGTGTGCCAGCTGAATTTTTTTTTAAAACCACAATGTGATTTTGCTTCTGAATAGACTCTCCATTTCTCTTAGTTTTCTCATTTTAAAAATGAGTGGATTGGATTAGATGATTTTAAGAATTCCTCTGAAAACAATGTTTGTGTTGTAGTCTATAACAATTTATATAAATGACCCTTTAATTCTATCATGTACATTGTGATATGTTTCAAATAGAATATCGTAAGCAGTTGTTACACATTTTAAAATGCAGAGAACCAAATTTCCATTTGAAATTTGGCACGTTAAATTTAACTGAATTTAAATTTAACTGGATCTGCATGCTGAAATTTTCAAATAGATTGTTTTTAAGACCATGAGGGATTTCTTGTTGTTTCTCATTTTCTGTGTTTTGCTTGTAAAATGTGAGAAAAAGACAACCAACTTAACACCTTAAAAACCACTAATGTTGTTTTGACCTTAACGAGAACTCAGGAGGCACAAAAACAGAATTGGCTAAAGGAAAATTAGAGTTAAGATGGAAGCCATTCATTCGCCTAAGGATGGTTCAGTGGCTGAAGTCATTCATTTCCGGCAGCTGCCGTTGGCCAGGTTACCCAAGGATGGAGAGAGAGGAAGGGAGTAGTAGACACAGGTCATTCCCACTTCCCCACCCCGACAGGTTCAAATGCCCTCACAGGTATGGGTTTTTCTCCAGGGTTTCACCTGCTACTATAACACTTCCTGAGAAGTCTACCCAATCTCTTAGGTTTTTACCTGGCTTGTCATCTTAGATACAAAAACCTCAGAGGACAAATTTTTTTACTAAAATAAATGGGAAATCAGCGACAATGATGATGCTGTTTCCTCCCTCCCTCCCCTTTCTTTGTCCTCCTTTACCCATCTCGCCCAAATCAGTTGATCGTCCCAGAGGGCAGGGTTGCAGGCACTAAAATTATAGGCAAGAGGAAAGAGTAATATAGATTATCTTTTTCTGCAGAGACGTGAGTGTTTGTAGTATTCTGAATTTTTGGTCTGTCCGATGGAGCATTTCAAGCATTTGCAGATCTAGACTTGTGGATTTTTCTGAACAAGTTGCCAGAGCTATCAAAATTAAGAAAAGCTCTTGACCTTTGAAGAGAGAACTTCTTGTCTAAAGCTAGCATTTTCTCCTATCTTCAGAGCAAAACCGGTGGCTAAGTAGATCCCTAAGTCCCCCTCCTTCTCTTTATATATAATTTTTGATATAGTTGTATGTATATACACATCTACATTAATCAACTCAGATGAAAAACTTTACTAAGAGAAACTTCTAAGGGAAAAGAGCCACAGGTATAGGGATGAATGATCTTATCTTTCTAAATGTGTTTTCTCTTATAGCACTGGATATAGATAAAATGCGTTCATAATGCTTTTTACAAAAATAGTTCTGAAATATAATTTATAAAGTTTGTTGCCCAGAGGCTAAAATAAATTTATTAGTCACAGATGAGTGCTGTGGTTCTAATAGGTCTGCATATGTGGGTAAGTATATATCATGCCTAATGTATGTTATATAGAGTTTATATACATTCCTCCAACAACAGCTTGATAAACATTGTCTCCGCAATTAAATTAAATTATCTTTAAATCAAAATTCATTTTTGAATATTTATAGATCTGTCTCAGTGCATACAGGGCCAAAAAAGAATATAAAATAAAAACAAACATTACTTGTAAGACCGACATAAGTCGCCTCACTTACTGAGTTTTCAATAACCCCAAGTTAAATAATGTTATTTTCATTTTACAGATAAGAAAACTGAAGGAGAAAAATGTTAATAACTTGTCGAAGGTCTCACAGACTTTGCTAGTGGTAGGCTGTTATGGTTTCAAACTCAGTTTTTCTAATTTTAAAGCCTTTATGTTTTCCACTCTATCACACTATCATATTGTATATTTTTTTACTTTACCCTCCTTTTTTTTTCTTAGTAAGGGGAACTAGCTATGTTGCCCAGGCTGATCTTGAACTCCTAGCTCATGCAATCCTCCTGCTTTCAGCCTCCCTAGTAACTGGGACTACAGACACGCCACTGTACCCAGCTCATTATTATTATTATTATCGTTATCATTATTATTATCGAGATGGAGTTTCACTCTTGTCGCCCAGGCTGCAATGCAATGGTGTGATCTTGGCTCACTGCAACCTCTGCCTCCCGGTTTCAAGCGATTCTCCTGCCTCAGCCTCCCTAGTAGCTGTGATTACAGGTGCCAGCCACCACACCTGGCTCATTTTTGTATTTTTTTTTTTTTTTATTAGAGACGGGGTTTCGCCATGTTGGCCAGGCTGGTCTCAAACTCCTGACCTCAGGTGATCCGCCTGCCTCAGCCTCCCAAAGTGCTGGGATTACAGGTGTGAGCCACCGTGGCCGGCCCCAGCTCATTATTTTTAAGGCATTCCTCATTGTAATTTTCCAGGGAAATAGGAAAAAAAGTTTGGAAATAGTGGAAAACTCAATAACTTTAAACTAGTGTTTATTTAAAAAATAAACACTAGTAATAGTAATGATATTAGTCATATTTATAGTATTAAAAATTACTACCTATACAGCCTAAGAAGTCATTGAGGATTATTTTATAAAGCCAGTTAACCAAGAGACACATTAGGGGCACATTTTTACAATTCTCTACTTTGCTTAATATATGACTTTAGTAGCATGAAAATGTAGAAAACACTTATCATTCCGTTGTATAGTATGCTATGTCTTTGCCATACTTGAAAGCATTTCTCAAAAAGATGTTTGAACCTTCAGAAAATTTATATTCTCTCAGAAAAAAAAATTGTTCTATATATGTTAGCTCAGGTTTGCACAGAAGACCCCAAAATGGGATTAGGCAAGAATTGGGGAAGGGAGCTAGAAGACATGGGAGAACCCTCAGACTGAGGTCTGATTTGCATGGGGAGAAAAAAGGAAAGGGAGGAGAACTGGGTACCCAGATTGTTTTTCACAAGTTGTTTTGTGAATTCAATTGAGATAATATATGTGAATGATTTAACAGTTCCCGGGTGCTAAATAAATACTCCATAAACATAGGTTTTGTTTTTAATTTCAATTTTTAGAAATCATTGCAATGAGAATTGTAGATACTCGGTGCAAGTCATCTGCCCTGTGCATTTTTCTTGTAACAAAGCTGTACCGTTATAATGGAAAATTGATGTCAGACTAGTGGTTCTCCTTCCTTGACTGCTTAGTGAGCAATCTTCAGACATCCTTGAAGCTAGAAAACTTTCTAGGTAAACCCGAGGGAAAGCGAAAGCACTCAGAGTCAACATTTTCTTCTTATGTCTGCTTAAATACAAATTTTATTCTAGAAATATTTTACTTTAAAAATCTTTGTAGTTTTATAAAATATCATGCTCTTTGCAAATATTTTAGAATAGAACATTTGGAAAAAACAGTAAAACTCAAAGTATTATTCTGTCCAACCAATTCTAATTTACACTTAATTTAAAAGTTGAAATATTTTAAAATAAAATAGAAGTTGTGTCTACATAAACAAATTAAATTGACCTTTGATTTAACAGACAAGTCAATTTAGTAAAAGTAAAATTGAAGCTTTGAATCAAAACAATGATTTGCTGTTTGATATGAGAACAAATATTATTTGATTGAGCTTTAATTTACATCATTTTTTCAGAACTTAAATTATATCAAAGTCATGGATGTTAAACTTAAAATTGGACATGACATTTAAAAATTCTTATTTTGACTTTGAAGGAAAAGGCAAAACTTGTACATATTATTGTAATATAATAAATATACAAAATAAATATTATATTTATATTTTATATAATAGATAAATATATAATAAAATAATATTTGTTTTATGTGATGCATGACATTTATTTCAGCATCCTTTATTTTAACATTTTAAAAAAGTACATACTCATTATAGAACATGTAAAATATTCAGAAAAATATGAAGAAAAACAAATTAAGGATAAAAATAAATTTGCCCTTGGTTCTACTACCTAGAACAGCCATTGTTAACATTTTAATATATTTCCTAAATAAAGTAAGCTGGGATAATTACTCCTTAATGTTAAAAATAAATGTTAGGATTAATACTCTGGTATCATGTTCTTTTATTCAAAATTATGTTTAATTTTTCTCTTTGGTTGTGGGTCAATGATTATTAACTCATTATTTTACCTCATAACATCCTTAACTTCTCTTAAAAGTGATACACAGAAAATGTTGTTTCTTACTTAAAGAAACTTTAAATCAAGTTTCTATGTTTGGGGCAGTTTATAATATACTACATAGAGAAACCCTTATCTCTTAAAACTACAATTGGGAGTTGCTATTAAAACGAGGAAATTATTAACACAAATGTGCCTTCCAAAAGTGTAAATGAAGTTCCCGAAAGACAAGGGCATTGTCTACCAAATTTCTTCTGCACGTGGCCCAAGGCAACTCATTGTCTTAACAAGTAACATTTAATAAAGAAGATGGTAAAAGTTTAAATTCCTAATGTCAGTTTAGGTTCCATATGTCACAGGCACAAAATCTAGAGCGTGAGATTTGGGATTACATTTACTTTTCTTTCTTTGTCGCCATAGATATATAAGAAATCTGTGACCAGAAAAATTTTAAGGGATAGAGAAAATGAGATAATAGAATTTAGTACATATCTACCATTTTTTTGGTTTTAATTTTTTTGAGACGGGCTGTTGCTCTGCTGCCCAGGCTGGAGTGCAGTGACACAATCTTGGCTAACTGCAGCCTTCGCCTCCCAGGTTCAAGCCATATCTACTCTTTCTAAAAAACATTTTCTGGTGAAGGACACTGTCATAGGTGTCATAGCATTTGTGCTTTAGTGTGGACTTGGGTGTTACATTGAGCAAAATAGATAACTGTCCATTTCCTATGTGCAACATACTTTTGAATCAATTACAGGCTTCAAGTGGCCATCAGTAGGATAGAAAATGCCATTTGTGATAGATCACAATTAAGAGATTATATAACAGAAAAGAAAACATGTTACAGTTTTTAGAAAAAGTTATATTTTTAATAAAATGGACTTCCTCTTCCCTCAAGAAACATCTTTTTTTAGTATTAATTGTGAATAGGCAAAGGATTTGTTTATTTGAGATATTTGCTTTGGAAAAAATAAGAAAAATAATTTGAGTGAAAATTATTGCAATTAGGCAAAGGTAGTGGGGAGAGAGAGAAAGAGAAAATCTGGGAATCAGGAAAGAATACAGTGAAGTGGAAAGGCCATGAGCTTTGCGATTACGTAGGTCTGAGCTTAACTGAAATTGGGGTTTCATTTCTGGTTCATTACATTAATAATTATGTGAAACGATTCCTCTGAGGGCTATTTTCTTCATCTATAAAATGGGAATGTTTCCTCAACTATCATTTATTAAACTCTTAGTATGTACCAGGTAATTTTCTGAATTCCTTACATTTTCATCTTAATTAATTAGAGGTACTACTGTTTTCTAAAGCAAGTATAATTGTTCCTATTTTATAGAGAGAAATCAGGCTCAGGAAAGTTATGAAACTTGCTCATCTTCCATAGCTAATAAATGGCAAATTCAGTTCTGTCAGTGTTCTTTAACCACAATGCTATCTTACCCTCCCAATGGTAACAGTTAAGTCATAACAAAAATTATAAATTGATGATTTAAACATTTTATATCATGATAGTTGAGATAACTCTGTTCTTTTTAGGAAGTGCCAGCAATGGAAAATTAGTCAGAATAGCATTTTGACATCTGTCTTATTTCATTTTCTGCTGCTATAACAGAATATCACAGATTAGGTAATTTATAAACCAAAGAAGTTTGTTTGGCTCATGGTTCTGGAAGCTGGGAAATCCAAGAGCATGGTGCTGGTATCTGCTGAGGGTCATCCCATGACTGAAGAGCAGAAGGTGGAAGGGCAAAAGAAAGGGAAACAGACAGCCAAAGTCCCATGATAACTAACCTATTCCCATAATAATGGCCTTAATTCATTCATAGGGTGGAGCCCCGACCCAATCACCTCCTAAAGGTCCCACCTCTCAACACTGTCACAGTGGCAATTAAATTTCAACATGAGTTTTGGCAGGGACACTTAAACCACAGCACTTCATCCCTGTTGCCCCAAAATTCATCTTATTCTTATGTGCAAAATACATTCATTCCATCTTGATAGCCCTCAAAGTCTTAACTCATTCTGGCATCAACTCAAAAGTCTCATCTAAATCAGACACTCAACCTACAATTTATCTTGAGGCTAATACTCTCCAGCTGTGAGCCTGTGAAATGAAAACAAGTAATCTACTTCCACGATACAATGGTGAGATCCGACACAATGGTGAGATAGGCATAGAATAGACATTTCCATTCCAAAAGAGAGAAGCAGGAAAGAAGGGGTAACTGGTCCCAAGCAAGTCCAAAACCCTTCAGGGAAAGCAACATTAAGTCTTAAATTTAGAGAATAGTCTCCTTTGGCTCCATGTCCTGCATCCGGGGCACACTGAGGTGGGAGTTGGGCTCCCAAGGCCTCTGACAGCCCTGTCCCTATGACTTTGCTGGGCTCAGTCCATGCTTTAGCTGTCCCAAGCTGGAGTTTCACACTGGTATCCTATAGTTCTGTAATCTTGGGGGTCACTACACTTCCACAGCTCCACCAGGCATTACACTTTGAAACCTAAATGGAGGCAGTCATGCCTCACAGCTCTTGCATTCTTCATGCTTACAGACTAAATACCACACGGGCATTGCCAAAGCTTATGGCGTGTACCTTCTGGAGCAGTGGGGCTGAGCCAAAACAGAGCAACAGCCTTTATAGAAGTTATCTTCTGATCAATTGTTTGACTTCATAATCCCACTCTCAGTCTCTCTCAAAAGTGCATAGTCACATAAGTTACTTATTATCTAATGTGGAATATAGGTTTGGAGTTTGTGGAAAGATTTATAATACCCTGGCAATAGCCGGTGGAACTCCTGACTATCACACAGTGATTAGAAATCACTATTTTTGGTCCAATACTAGGCATATTGGACCTGAATTCAGAAAAGTTTTCCATTTAAATAGAAAATCAATGTTACACCAAGAAAGGGCTGAAGTAAAGGATATTGCATCAGTTATTTCTCTACTCAAGTACAGCTGGAATGATCAAAAAAGTTAAAGGACAGTGGCAAGATTGCTCCTGATGACTGTAATAGACTCCCTGTCCCTCATAGTTACAGCATATCATAAACAAAAGACATTCAAGCAAAAGTATGAATATAAAAATTTAATATTTAACATTTTAAATGTTTTTCATTTTTATTTTAATCAATGGTGAGATTTTTCTAGCATGTTCAGTTTAGTTCAACAATGATGAGTGCTTGATATGGAAGAAGCCAAGCATATGGCTACAAAAAATGAAGATGTGGCTTCTTCTCTTCCCCCATCCCCAGGGTGGAGGGAGCTCTCTTCCTACCTGGTGGACAGACATGGCACCAGATGAGTCACTATGCAGGATGCAATAGTTGCTGTGCTAAGAGACATTATGGGAGAATAAAGGTCCTGCCTGCATGCTGAAATGTTCATCACCATTTTCAAATTTTAAATGCATAGCAGTTCTAAAACTGTTGCTTTTAAGGAATTGGGTACTTGTAAAGGAAACAGCGGGTCATCCTAGAAAGAAACAGATGATTACTAGGGGAGGTCTCAAGGCCAATGTAGGGATTATACTCACAGATCAGAAACACAGTAATTGAAAAACTAGAGGACCTACAACTCAGAAATGATGTTTTATAATAAATTTAGCTACTATTTTTATCTTGGGTACTTCATTGAAAGCCTAAACTAAATTTTAGCTTTTTTTATTACTACAAAATTAATGCATTTTTTTTTGGAAAATACAAGTAATAATAAATATAAAAATCACTTGTAACTTCACAAAGTTAACATTTTGCTGTATAGGGTTCCAGTATTTTTGCATTCATATATGAATAAAATAGTCACAAATAATGTGGTCATCCTATAGATATAGTTTTGTAGTCTGCTTTTTTCACTTAATTTCATTGGATTTATTATTAAGGTCTTTCCACTTCAGTATATGGTACAGTATTTTTAAAGGCTGCATAGTATTCCATTGTAAGAAAGTGCATGAATTTTAATTTACTCAGTCAATTTGGACATTTGGATTGTTTTCACTTTCCTGCTTTTATGAACAATGCTGCAATAAAAATACATGTGCATATGTCTTTTCACCTGGCCGTAATGATTTTTTAGGGCAAAATCTTGGAAGTGGAATTGCTTTTGATATAGGTTTCTAAATTTTTTCTACAAAGCTTAATCAATTTACACTCAATAAGCTTCCCTCACACCCGCAGACCCAATCCTGGTCAACCTTAGTATTTAATGTTTCACTCTTTGTCAGTTTAATAGGTAAAACCATATTTTGTTTTTTTTAATATTATGTATCATGCTAAATATAAATTTACAAACTTTTTGGCAGTATTCTTTTCTATGTTTGAATTATTATAGGAAAGACACATTGATTTGAAATCCTGAGGACTAAGTTATACAGTTCTGAATTGACTTTTACTCAATTCTTTACTGATTTTCCGATTTTTAAGCTATTTCTATTAACATACACAAGTCAGGTCTGAATTGCATAAACATCTTTTTTATTAGAAATAAGGTAGCCATTCTCATCTATCTTCAAGTGCTCTGAATCTGTATTTTTGCTTTAAACATGAAACCACAGGCCAAGTTTCGTTTCTCATTTACCACTTCTCCACCTGAGTTGTCAGTTTTGCTTTTGCTCTAACTCAAGGCCAAATGAAAGGGCATCTCATTAAATCACTGTGCTGGGCAAGGTTCATGTAAAGTTATCTACTTTGCTTTGCATACTTTTTTTTAGTTTGTCATTTGGAAATAAATTTAAACCTAATACTGTTCAAGATGTGTTCTTGTGTTTAAAATAATGAGTCTATACGTTTAAAGTCTTAAAGATTTTTAAGACTCGAGAGTCTTAACATCTATAAAGACAATGATAGCATTTTCATTTGAGGATGCTAATGTGAACACTTTAAGGAAATGTAACAATGTTTAGGAAATAACCATATCAAAATGACAATTACATAAGTGACTTGTATATGGACTAAGTATGGGCTTCTCCTAAACATTGGAAAAGACCAAGGAAAGTTATTTGACTTGTAATTTTCATTGCATATACCGGGCTCTTCTTGGGTGTCACTATTTCATTCTTTGATTAAAAAAAATAAACAACTATGTGGATTCTAAACTCCATGAAAAACAAGTTCTGCTTCTACCTTTTTAACTCCTATAGAGTCGAATAAAGTGATATACATATATCACTATATATATTTATTGTGAACAAATACAAATATATATATATATATATTTGTTCAACCTTTTTTTTTTTTTTGAGATGGAATTTCGCTCTTGTTGCCCAGGCTGGAGTGCGATGGTGTGATCTCAGCTCACTGCAACCTCCACCTCCCGGCTTCAAGCAATTCTCCTGCCTCAGCCTCCCGAGTAGCTGGGATTACAGGCATTTGGCACCATGCCCAGCTAATTTTGTATTTTTAGTAGAGACAGGGGGTTTCTCCTTGTTGGTCAGGCTGATCTGGAACTCGTGGCCTCAGGTGATCCACCTGCCTTGGCCTCCCAAAATGCTGGGATTATAGGCGTGAGCCATCACGCCCCGCCTCAACTTTTTTTTTTTTTTTTTTTACGTAGAGATGGGGTCTCACTATGTTGACCAGGCTGGTCTCAAACTCTTAGCCTCGAGTGATCCTCCCATCTCGGCCTCCCAAAGTACTGGGATTACAGGCCTGAGCCACTATGTCCAGCCATGTTCAACTCTTTAGTAGAAATTTCAATCCATTTATATGCTTTTTGTAATTGCTGATATATTTATGCATACATATGCCATTTTATTTTGTGTTCTTTATTTACTATGCTTTTTCTTTGCTTTATTTTCTCCTTTCTTGTATTCTGTATTTTGTTAGTGGATAAAATAGTTAAATTCATCTCAAGTACTTCAGTCTGAATATTAACAGCAACATTCAACAGATGCTTTTCAGCTGCAACTGTATACAGTATGTTTGTGTGTTTGTGTATGTGTATAAGAGAAAGAAAGAGGCTGGGTGCAGTGGCTCATGCCTGTAATCCCAGAACTTTGGGAGGCCAAGGTGGGCGGATCACTTGAGGTCAGGAGTTTGAGACCAGCCTGGCCAAAATGGTGAAACTCCATATCTGCTAAAAATACCAAAAAAAAAAAAAAAAAAAAAGGAGCCTAGCATAGTGGCGCATGCCTGTAATCCAGCTACTCGGGAGGCTGAGGCAGGAGAATCACTTGAATCCTGGAGGCGGAGGTTGCAGTGAGTCAAGATCGTGCCTCTGCACTCCAACCTGGATGACAGAATGAGTGAGACTCCATCTCAAAAAAAAAAAAAAAAAAAAAAAAAGAGAAAAAAGATATTTTGTGAATGTGTAACTGCAATATGCCTGTTTTAGAATCCACCAGTTACAATAAAAAGATTTAACAATTTTTATGGTTGTCATAGTGTATTGTGTACGATAGACATTTTGCATTCACAGTTTGATGTTTGAGATTTTGACTGAAACTCCACAGTTGTATGACATAAAAAGCAGACATTTAAACCACTGACCTATGAGGTGATGCGGAATGAGTCACTTAACTAGTGAGTCAGGCCAAACACTTAGGATAGATATCTCCTTTCAACTTTTCTTTTTATACATTTTGCAATAGCTCTGAAAACATTACATTTTATTCAATTTGTATGAAGTAGATTATATGCTATATTGGAGTTGGCAAATTTAGGGATTTGTGAAGGTTTTACAATGGATGGTTATGAAATACAAAGGGTCTATATATACTCTGTAAGGAAAAGAGCAGTATTGCTTGCTGAAGACTTTGCCACAGATTTTTTTAAATTAAAAATAAAGTCTCCAGTCATATGTAATTTTTGATGCATAAAATTTTAATTTCTGAATAAACATCACAATAGTAGTTTATATCTCCTGTTTTGTATATAATTAAGAGCAAACAAAAGAGTGCATTTATAGTATACAGGTCACAAATATGCTAGGCAGGAGCACTTTTTTGTTTTATTTTGAGCTAATAGAAACACAGAAATAAAATATTTTAAATCAGAATTGATAGGGCCGGGCGCGGTGGCTCAAGCCTGTAATCCCAGCACTTTGGGAGGCCGAGGCGGGCGGATCACAAGGTCAGGAGATTGAGATCATCCTGGCTAACACGGTGAAACCCCGTCTCTACTAAAAATACGAAAAAAAATTAGCCGGGCGTGGTGGCGGGCTCCTGTAGCCCCAGCTGCTCGGGAGGCTGAGGCAGGAGAATGGCGTGAACCTGGGAGGCGGAGCTTGCAGGGAGCCGAGATCGCGCCACTGCACTCCAGCCTGGGCGACAGAGCAAGACTCCGTCTCAAAAAAAAAAAAAAAAAAAAAAAAGAATTGATAGGACCTAGCAAGTAAAAATGCTAAATTTCCTATCAATGTTGACAAACATGAGATACTCATAGATGATGTTTAACTCTCTCTAACATGGAAGTGTTAGAAAACTAGTTAATTATTACATATATTTAATTAGCAAATAAGAAAAATCACCGAATAATATCAAATTGATGAACATCTTTTACTAGGTTGGCAGATAATTTTAATAATAATGTGAATATTTTATCGTAGATCCTTAAGCATATGCAGCTAACTCAGAAAGTTTCATTGTGATTTGAAAGTACCTTTGGATCTTAGAAATTTGGTGCTTATGTATATAAACCAGAAATTTTTTAGTTTAATAATGTCTGCTCAACTAGCAGAATACTTTCCCCCTACTTTTAGATGAACAATGAACATTTTATGTAAATTTACATTTCACTACCATTTACCTTGTCATAAGAACCTTTATGAATAGTTTGATACTTTGGATATTTAAAGTAGGGTTTTTTTTGTTTTGGATTTTGTTTTTAATGCTGTAGGTTTATCTTAGGATGCAATTTGCACTTGTCATATATGTTTAGGAAATATAGCTCTATTAAGGAAATGACAAAGATAGCAAGAACCAATGAGTGTAACTCGCCCTAGGGTGGATTTTTACATTTGCAATATAAAATCAAGTCAGTGGCACAGTTGTTTTTCCCTGTACACTTATACGTAAAGTCTAGTCGTAATCGTTTACTTCTAAAATTGATAAAAACAAAGAATATTGGCTCAAAAAAAAAAGCTTTAAATAATAACCGGCATTTGCAGGGGAAAATCCAATCAACATCAAACTCCGTGAAAGACAAAAGGAACTCGCAGTAGTCAGTAACTGTTCGCAAATATTTTGGTAGTTAAAATTACCCTCTTGCTTTTTCTCCTATGGCACCTCTTTCTCTAATGGGGCTGGAGCCATTATCTTGCTGGCAGGTTACACCAATGGTCTGGTTTTAGAAGCAAATTTGTAATTCTTTTAGTTTTGCTCAGCTTTTATGAATGAGCTCTGCAGGAAAACAGGTTCTTTGTGGCATGCACATATGACAAGTCATTTCTCTCTTCTGAGATCGCTAGGTAGAATAGAGAGTGATTTGAGGAGTCAAGATGAATCACAGAGGAAGATTTTTTTCCACTCACCTTACCACCATACTGTGCATTTATGCATCTATTTAAAAATTAACTTGTGACCCCTAGTAATGGTCGGTTCTCAGTCACGCACATAGCTTCCCTTTAAGACTGCTGTTAAAACTTTTCACTACAGAAGTGATTTTGACTTGTTAAGAGTGGACAGGTTAAGGGACTCCCAGGAATATCAGGTTAGTTTCAACCTTTCAATACAACCCAAATGGAGTAAATGTGTTTGGGACTATGTTTGCGACTATGCGTGTCTTGATTACATTTCTTTTAAAATTAATTATAAAGTATCAGACAACACATTACCTAGGATTTAATGGAGAGCTTTTCTGGGGTAAGTTTCAAAAAGCTATTTGAGAAATGCTTGAGAGGTCACTATCCTTTTATATTTGTCATTTACATCCTCCGAGTAACTTTGGACTACTTATGCAAATGACAACAAATAATGTTAATCTGTAGTGATTTCCTTGTGTATTACTCTGAATTGTAAAAATTTTATTTTGTTTTCCTAACTTTGGATATAACTGGCAAGGCATGATTGTGTTAGGATGAAAGAGTAATTTTCTGGAAATTCTTGGCAATGTATTGATTTGTTCTTTAATGACATTAAATTATCACAAACTAGCCTTTAGGCTAGTTTAATTCAGGTAATAAAAATAATGAAAAGGTATAAATATGAGTCTGTGATTCTATGTATATCTGAATGTATATGTATATGTAGAATATCTACGTAAGTATAGAAATAGAAATTGTTCAAATTAAAAATGAAGAAATTTTATTATTATTATTATTATTATTTTTGAGACAGAGTCTAGCACTGTCACCTGGGCTGGAGTGCAATGGTGCAATCTTGGCTCACTGCAACCTCCATTTCCTGGGTTCAAGCGATTCTCTTGCCTCAGCCTCCTGAGTAGCTGGGATTATAGGTGCCTGCCACCATGCCCTGCTAATTTTTTGTATTTTTAGTAGAGACGGGGTTTCACTATGTTGGTCAGGCTGGTCTTGAACTCCTGACCTTGTGATCCACCTGCCTCGGCCTCCCAAAGTGCTAGGATTACAGGCGTGAGCCACTGCACCCAGCCTATGATTTTAAAAATATGCAAAATGTCAGACAACTAATTTGTAATAAACTTTTTAATGCTATTATAATGTAAATTACATTTCATACCAGCAGAATCCATATATGACAAAATAACATGTGAACTTAATCAAGCTTTGAACTTTTTTCTATTAGAGTTGTACTACCTATAAAATTATATCTATTTTTTTCTTTCACAACTGGTACATTATGAATGTAAAATAAACTAAGATTTTATTAAAGCCTACAATTATTATATCTATTTAAAGTACTAAAAAACCAATAATACATATTTTTATTTGGTGTTATTTTAAATATTCTCAGCAAAATTAAAGTGAAGAAGTAGAAATAAAATCTCAATATTTTAAAAATGAGAATGATTAAGTATTATTTGATGTTAGTTTGAAAATTTGTAAGGAGTAGTCAATAATTAATAATAGAAATCAAATCACTTTATAAAGTAACTTTTTACTCCACATTTAAAACTTTATTTATATTTATTATTTTTACAGTATCCTTGATAATTCTATAGACATAGATATTACCAACTACATTTAAGTATGAAAGGTTAAAATGACCTTACTAGTATCACAACATTAAGGGTGAAGCTAAAATTAATAGCACAGGTTTTCTGCTTTCCCAACCAATAACTTAGCTGATTGATTCAGCTATTTTTTAAAGGCAGTATTTTTCAAAGGCAGTAAGTTTCATGATTAGTAACAGTGCTTTTGCCGATTTGTTTTAAAGAAATGTGTGTCTTCTACCTTCTGTATTTTGTTTTTGTTTAACTTTTGGAGATCTATTCAATTGCATTGAATTTAGTTTTGAAGTTTTCCAAGAATATTTATTTGTTATTATTTACATGGTCTTTTCTTCTATAACCATAATAATTTACTAAAAGTTTATTAGAATTAGTATTAATATTAATATGTTGTTAGAAATTAATACAGTCCAGAAGAATACTTATGTAAGGAAATTATATTTTTATTTAATAACAGTTTAAGAAAAATTAACAAGTTAGCCAATTTATAAAACCAAAAACTGTATTTTCAGCTTCTAATTAGGCTACAAGGAGATGTCCGATATTTGAGGTTTCTCTTCATGTGAAAGATACATGAGATGAAATTAAATTGGCTAGTCTTTGAAAGGATTCTAAGTTTTTTCTGATTTTCAAATCTAATATTTAGAAGTAAAATGGTAATTCATTCAAGTCAACAGTGGAGGTAAAAACATAACCCGCTTTCCCTTGAATCAAAAGATGTTTACAATAGCATGCTTGCTGCTGCAGAGTCTTTTGTGGTTGCCACTAATTACATGTTTTTCACATCAAAGTCTTCAAAAGGAATATAGGTACAAATTGACTCAATAAATATTTATTGGGTAAAGGAATTCAAGAAGGTTTCTGGGTATGGAAAAAATATATATAAAATACTAGTGAGATCTTTGTTAGAGATTTTCTACTTTGGCTGAATACAGAGCAGCCTGTCTCCCTATATTACTGGATCTTATCTTGAAATTATAGGCACCAAGCAAATGATACTATAGGGAATGTGTAGCACTAACATTTTAATTAAAATACAAAATGATAATCTGCATCGGGGTACAGCTAAGCATTTTATGAGTTCCAATTATATTAGTAATAACATTTTCATTTGATAACTAGATAACTGGGTAATTAAAAACATGTAATTAAAGCAAAGTCAAATCCTAATTTATAAAGCCAATGGAAACAAAAGAGCATAGTAAAACCCCATTAAAAAGTAGTTGCTACACCATTATGAATGAGATACATTTTTATCAATATCTTATAAAGCAAATAGATGTTGAATCCTGCCATATGCTTATGTATTAAAATACTAGAAGACCATATGATAAAGTAAGTCCCAAATCATAAACACAATACAAAATCCCCATGAGTTTTTTTTTGCCAGTCCAAAGCCATTGTGAATAGGCATAGGATGAAGCACAATGTTGGAAGATGATGAAGAATCACGATACAAAGCTTTAAAGATTGAGGTCAGAATCTAGCTTAGTAACTCAGAAACAATTAATTGCACAGTGCAGGTATATTATATTTTTGTTACCTGCATTGTTACTGCATTTCTCATCAGATGAAAGTAGGCAGAATCATTTAAATGTAGTCCAATTTAGAGCCCAGTATGAAGGGTGGTGGGGATGAAGGTACCATGGTTTTTGAGAGAGGAAAGGCCCAAATGTGCATTAACAATCATGAAGAAAGGGACTGGTTCAAGCAGGAGCCTTTATCCAGGAGTTCAAGGACAGATGGGAATTGGATTTTGTCTGGTGGACTTGATTGGCAAGGGTCGAAGAAGGCTGCTTAGCTGAGAAAACAGCACATGGCCTAATTATATCCACAACACAGGGATTTTTCAGTCCTCTCTTTAAAAATGAACTCTTCCTTGCATCTATGAAGCAATGTGAATCCTATCATTAACACTTCCTTCTTTGTTGCTGACAAAAATTAACTCCTAAACCCACCAACAGAGCTTGAAATGTCACAGTTCCCTTTAGAGTGACACAGACCTCTTCCTCCTCCTGGCAAAATCTTCTGCATGAATGAAGGTGGAGAGAGCCTTAGTGAGGTGACTATCTGATGTCTCAGTGCTACTCCCAAAGTCATAGTTTTTCAGGCAAGGGCACAAGCAGTGGACAATGGCCCGGCGGATGTAGCTGTCGAAGATATAGTAAATGAAAGGGTTGACACAGCTGTTGGCAAATGCCAAGGGTCCACTCACCTCCATACCAAGCTGAAGAATAGCTGAGGGTAAATAGTGTTCTTGCCGCAACCCAGAGACAATGGCCAGGAACTTGAAAGTATTGAAGGGCAGCCAGGAGACAAGAAAGGCTGCCACGACAATAAAGATGATCTTTATAGATTTCTTCAGCTTTTTGTTGTGCTTTCCTGATTGCTGGTAATGGGCACACAGCTTCCTTGCAATGCAACAGTAGCAGGTCACAATGCTCAACAAAGGGACAAAAAAGGTGAAAATTAAGGCCACCAGGGACCATATGAGTTTAATTGGAGTTGCCTTTTTCTCTGCACAGTATGGCTTATCATCAATCAGCGTGAGCTCCCTGGACAGAAGAGTAGGCAACCCCAGCAGGCAGGAGATAAACCAGATGCTGGCACAGACTACATATGCACAGTCTGTCCTTCTGAATTTCCTGGATACGACTGGCCACACAATGGCCAGGTAGCGGTCAACACTCATGCAAGTGAGCAGGAGGACACTGCAGTGCATATTGACGGAGATCATGTAGGAGCTCCCTTTGCACAGGAAGGAGCCCGTCCTCCACAGTCCTAGAGATGCTTCTTTATCCACCCAGAGAGGCAATGTGACAAGAAAAATGAAGTCAGAGGCAGCCAGATTGATGATAAAGATGTCGATCAGTCTTCGGCTGCCGGGTTTGAAATGCAACGCTCCCATGAGAACAAGGTTCCCCAGCACTCCAGTCAGGAACACAGCTGTGTAAAAGACTGGAAGGAAGACAGAGGTGTAAGGAACATGGGAGTGGGTCTCCCTGATGTCAGAGTTTGGGCTCGTAGCATAGTAATAATCCAAATAAACTGAAGTTTCTTCTGGGTCCATCACCAAAGAGCAGATGCCAAATCTGGTGAGTTTACTTACATATGATGTTTTTGTATAAATTTTAGAAACCTCAAGGAAGCTTCTTTTATACAGTGCCTGCCTCTCTCTCTCTTTTTTCCCCTCCCTTTAAAGATCTTGGACAAACATGAAAGCCGAGATTAAAAAATGCAGTTTCTACCAATCCTCAGAAAGGGCACACAAGGAGCACCACTCTGATTGGTGTTGGTTGGTTGTGGTTGTGGTTTTTTTAATTTGCATTTGCTCGTGAAACTGAGGTGCTTTTTGAGTTATTTTTTCAAGATATTCAATTTATTTCTTTAAGGCCAGTAATTAAGAAGTGAATTAACTTGATTTTTTCACTTCCTTTAAAGACCTCCTTTGCTTTTGACACTGAAATTTATTTTGATCTAGCCTTCTGTTTCACATAGAAGATATTGTTCTGCTTTTAGAATTGTAAGGCAATGATAATGTATTCTTTTTATTTACTTTGTTGGCGAACTAGGAAGAAAACTAGTCTTTCATTGTGTAAAGAGTGAATGAAAAGTTTCCCAAATCATACCAGTATACAACTAGGTCAAACAACATGATTCCATTTAGGGCATGAGAGTCTCCCCATCTATGTGGCTCTTTCATTTGACATGTAGTCAATCCTGTTTCATAAGTTTTTAAAAATCCCCCCCCAAAGACTGGGACCACGTTTTCTGCTCTTATTATTTTAAGTTTTCCACTACAACTTGCATAGCATCTTGCATATAGTTGGTGCTTTGGAAATTGTAGTTTATTAGGTTTGATTCAGAAAATTCTTTTTGTTATCCAGCATATCTAGTAGAAATGAATTCATTGGGGTCTAACTTCAGGTATTGTTGTTATTTATGTAACTTACAAACACAGGTTTAACAATCTCAAGTTGCTATTTTTACCCTCCTATCTGCTATTGTAATTCAACCAGTGAAGTTCTCTTTTGTTAAGAGTTAACATCATTGATTAGGAGATTTTCTCCCTATTAACCCTCAAATACGCTTCATCAGACTCTGGATCCCCTCTGATCTTCTCTTCATTATACCACACCTGTGTAGCACTGATTTTTTTAGCTTCTGAGCCATGGCCTTCTGGTACCTCCACACATGGGTGAACATCACTTTTGGAATTGCTGATTGCTGATCTGGCAACAGATATACCTATAAGTGACATCATGATGGAGGTGCCAGCATGGACACTATAAAAGGGAAGATTTTTTAGTACATTTAAAACACTTGGGGAACAGGCTAAAACAGAAAGAATTCTATCACATTTTTCTCTCATATGTTTCCTTTTATATTATGATGACCATAGTAAAATATAACACATTTTGAAACGGACTCCATTTATTTCAGCTCTTTACTGGTCAAAGTGACTCAAGGCTCTCTTGCACTATTCTTCTCTCCTATCTGATTTAATCTTCAGAATTCTAGTTTCAGGTTGATATTGCTATTCATAGAAAAATGTATGTTTGTAGATGAAAATATAGTCATTAAACATTTGAAGTCCTTTCTTAAGTTGTTTTTTCATTTGTTTGTTTGTTTAATTTTTGAGACAGGGTCTCACTAGGGTCTCACTTTGTCACCCAGGCTGGAGTGCAGTGTCTTGAACACAGCTCACTGCCAGGCCCATGCAATCCTCCCACCCCAGCCTCCTGACTAGCTAAGACTACAGGCATGCACCACCATGCCCGACTAATTTTTGTATTCTTTGTAGAGACGGGTTTTCGCCATGTTGCCCAGGCTGGTCAGGAACCCCTGAGCTCGAGCAATCTATCCGCCTTGGCTTCCCAGAATGCTGGGATTACAGGCATGGGCCACCAAGCCTGGCCCTACTGAATTGTTATTTCTTCAGTAATTAGTATATTAAAAAGAATCATCCTGCCGGTTGTACTTCCTCCTTCCCTCTTCCTCCTGATATGGTCTAGTGTCACCTGAGTCTTAGGCAAGTAAGCTGAGGTCAGGGAAGGATAAAGGCTCCTCTGACCTGGGACAGTCCCAGAAGTCACTCTGGAGTTGATTTGTGGGCCTGAGCCTGCCTTCTCCTGTGTCCCTGGCTGCTGTGCGCAATTCATTTAATTTCATGGAGGGCATATTCTTTACTAAATATAGACTACAGATCAGAGAAACTAATTAACCGCTTTGACATTTCTGGGACAGAAATCTTTCCCACTGGGTAAGCTTTAATTATTTAATAGAATAATTCATTTTGTCAAAAATTGAAGTAGGACAATATTTACTCAAAAAAGATTAATAGGGTAATATAGAATATTTAAACATATCATCTATATCTGTGTGCCTGTGTGTTAAAGTACTAATCATATATATTCTTTAAGTGTACTGAAATTTTAATATTAGAATTTTGTACCCTACAATCATAAGTTCTTTTGGCATTTGAGAAAATAAGGTTGATTCTGGGTCTACGGTTTTTCTTCTTTTTTTTAATCCTTTGATATGTCTCAAGAATTCAACATAAAGGTATTATAAAATGGAAAAAGAGTTCATGCTCATACTGTAGAGGAAAATATTTGGCTGCACATTCATTCTGTATCCCTTAAATTTTTTTTTTCAAATTTCAAAAGTTGCTGGACCGCTGATGTAAACTATCTCAAATCCAATTTCCTCAGCAAACTATTGAAGCAGTTGTAGATAAAATAGTTTGCTTTATCATTATGTGGCCACCTTGAAGTATGATATTTAATGGTAGAATGTTACAATGTGAGAATACCCACCTTGGATCAACAGCATCTTTGTACCCAAATCAGAAAACAAATTAAATGTTTTAAGCCAAAAACGTTCACATAGCATAGTGCCAGTCTTTTAGTACCTCAGAGTACAATGCTAGTACAAGACAGAATCCACAATAAAGCTGGCTAAAGTGGGGTTGTAAATAAGCTGGTGCAACGGTCAATTTTAGGACTTTGAGTTTTCTTTAAAATAAACATGAAGATACTAACAATAAAATAGAAACCTACACATAGATCAAAACTCAAAAGCAACACTGGGTTCCATAAACATATGAAAAGTCAATGTAAACAGAATGATGGCAAAAAAAAAAAGAATAATATATAAGTATTAGTAACTGAATTAGAGCATATATGCCACATCTTTGGAATTCTTTTTCTCAGAAAATAACACTCAACTTTCCTCCATGACTCCTGGCAGAAATAACTGCTTCTTCCTTTGTATTTCCTAAGAACTTTAAAAATACTGGTTACAAAGTACTTGTCTCTTTTCACACTGTTAGTTGTCTTTGTATCTGACCCCTGGAGCTGATAATGAGCAACCTGAAGACAGAGTCCATTCATTATCTCTGGACTGGCCTCTAGCATACAGAAGTTACCCAACTAAAGTTCTTTTAGGACTCTTAAAGCCATTGTTTTGAACCTGTGGATGCCAGATCGTTTTACCCAGATTAGAGTCATCAGGGACACCTGCTGAGCTGTAGATTGCCAGACCCTATTCTAGATGTCCTCAGTCAGAATCATTGGGGAAGAAGTCTAGGACTTTATATTTAACAAGCATTCGAGGTGATTCTTATACACACTAAAGTTTAGAATCACTGTTCTAATTTATATAAGTTAACCAACATTATATATTATGCTTTGTTATTATTTTGACTAATTTTTAAAAAAGGCTTAAAAGTTACCTCAGAATTTGAAATTTGTGGAAGTCTTTTAGTCTGAATATCACAAAATTTGAGGAATTAATTTAGATTTCTAGGCCCTGCTTATTCTATGTTCCAATTCCTGAGTTATGCTCAGAACTGGTTCAGGTGTTGAAGATGAAGACAGAGAAAGGTTTTCTCTACTGAAACATCTGCTTGAGTGAATCCATTATTATTTGCTGTGGCTTGCAGCCTCTGCTTCACAAGCAGGCTGAAGATTTAATAATAGAGCCACCCCTATTAGGCTTATTGAACTTATGATTATATTACTTCGGCCTCTTCCCTGTCAACCACCATATCAGGTGGAGACTCATCAGATTACATGCATATAGCACAGAAGAAAGAAATCCCTGGATACGAAGCCTTTGATTCACACATGCTCTGCTGATATGTCCCAGAATAAATGGCAAAGAGCATGAAGCAACTAATTATTTCTCATTAATCTCATCAGTCAAACGGTGTCATTATATATTCACTTGTTAGATACATTATCTTGTCCATTTCTTAAAGTGCAAAGTCAAATAGTTAAGTTTAAGAAAAACGATTATACTGTTTATACTCTAGGAGTTTATTTTTATTTTTAAATTCTCAGTTACTTGGAGAATTTAGTACTATATAATGTAATATCACATCATGCCAAACTAAGTGGCACGTATTCATTATTATGAGGGCCCCCCACTTAATTTACTGGCTTATTTCCATTGGTAACTAATATATAGATAGAAATGATGTTACTATTCTAGGAATATATACTTTAGATTTCTTCGAAATAGCAGATTTAATCTGAATTTAGGTTGTGCATAACAAAAATTATGTTTATTTATGTTGGTGTCCTTGGCATCCAGCAGAGTGTCTGGCAAGCAATAGATGGTCAATAAATGATTATAGATCTGGGATGAATCATGCTTGAATTTTGAGTTATTTCCGCAGAGTAGGGACTTTTCACAAACTTCTTAGACAGCTTCCATTTTCTATTCAGTCCTGGGATCTTTGTCACATCATAAACTAATATGAAGAGATGTTTCTAAGTTAATGCAGCACATTTTTTGTCAACTTATGCTTATGTTTTCACTTGGCACATCTTGTTGAATCAGAAGCAACTTGCAAACCAATAAATGTGAAAAATATCATTATCATGGCCTCATAATAAGTATGACGGATAGTGATGAGAAGAGGACTCTCTCAATGAAGACTCTTAAGTTTATTAATAATTAAATTAATTGATTATATTAGTTTCTTATCTGCAATAAGATTTTTTTTTGAAAAGTTATTTTTGGGAGGCCCACAATTCATACTCATAACTCTATACTAATAAGTGTCAATTAGAAGAAATCAGAAAAGTTTCCTTCCATAATTTTACCTTCATAATTACTGTTAATCTTTGAAATAGCAAGGGCTGTTTTTCGGTACCTTTTCTAATCAGAATGCATATAGTCTTCCTCCTTTTCCTTTGCAATCTACATTTGCCACTATCTCTGCTTCTAGTACATTGCCTAGGCTTGAGGTATAGGGTATATAAATTCTGCAATGAAACTCTAATGCTGTGGATCTATGAAAAACCGTATTTTGTAGTTGCATTATTCTTCTTCCAGTAGAATTATAAACTGTAAAATTTTAGAGCTTCAAGTGGTGTTAATGATCATTAGTACAACTGTTTTACTAAAGAGGACCCTAGGGTCCAGAAAGGGGTCATTAACCAAAGATCCATTGATAATTTTTAAATAAAGGATAATTTAAACTTAAACTTCTCATTTACATATGGGTCATTCACTGTCTTTCAGAAGCATGGGCATCTAAAAATTATAGTTTTTTACTATATGTGGCACTTTACAGGAATTACTAAAAAAAAAAAGGAGACATTTTAGGTGCACTTTTCTATTTGCCTTGATCTTGATTCTGTTATTGTTCTACAGTGAATGGGTGCAAGGAAATTCAAAGATAGGTACATTTTTAAAAATGGTTTTTGGTTGGAACCCAGAATTGTACATATTCCCATTTTTTTCCTTTCTGAACTCCAAAGTTCACAAGGGAAACAACCAGAAAAAAAATTACATGAAGAAACATAATGTAAATATATCTTATAATGTAGATATAACTTTTAGTTCCTAAAAATGTGCAATTAAAAATAAAATATTAAATGTATTGGGGAATTTAGTATTGATGGAAATTCTAGTGTGAAGGGTTGTTTCATAAGTACATAATAAAAACAAGTTACAACATCTGAGTATCTAGATTTTCAGTTATCGGTTTTATTTTAAATGTGCTATAACTATAATGCCTTCCGGTTGAAACTAGAACCATCTTTAACAAGTTAAGCTAGATGTCTCATTTAACTTCGCTTTTAAACCTAAATTCCATAATCTCTACATGGTTGCACAAAATCATCTTTCATATTTGTGAAAATATAAGGCTAGCTACCGTTTCTCAAACAGCAGAGTAAGAAGCAGAAGTAGAAATTTAGCTCCATTAATTAATTAAGGATTTATTTTACCTACTCATACAACAAGCAAGCATAAATAGAAATTAGGAAACACCAAAGATGCAGAGATAAACCAGAAATACGGTTGTGTGGTTGGTGAAACTGGGTGTGAAGAGGCCGTTCAGGTCCTCTCTCAGGATGATCAAAACCACAAACACGTAGAGACACCTCCAGGTTCACACTAGGTTGGTCAGTGAAATGCGTCCTGAGTGTTTTCTAGGCATTCTGAAGACTTGAAGGGTGCAAGTGTCATCCTCCTTTGCAGGTCTTCCCAGAAACATCCACCTCCTGAGTCATGGCGACTTGTGTATGATACGATCCCAGGCCTGGGAATCTCCTGAGAAGGGTTAAACAGGGATGCCCAAAATACTAGCCCTGGCAAATTTTTCCTAGTCATTTGGTGGTTAGTCCAGAGCTTCTCAAACCTGCTGAAGCGAGCAGGAACACCTCTCTGTATAAATGGCTTATCTCCATTTAGGGGTAGCCTCTAGGGTTAATCCAGGAGCTTTAAAAGCTGTCTGTCTTTTTCTGTCCTGTTTTTCCCGGTCGCCGCACGCTGTCCCGGTCCGCGCCTGCTCCCTGCGTGCCTTGTCGCCATGCCTCCGAAAATTGAGGAAATCAAGGACTTTCTGTTCACAGCCCAATGAAAGGATGCTGAATCTGTCAAGATCAAGAAAAATAAGGACAATGTGAAGTTTAAAGTTCGATGCAGCAGATATCTTTATACCCTGGTCATCAGTGAAAAAGAGAAGGCAGAAAAACTGAAGCCAGTCCCTGCCTCCTAGTTTGGTAGTGAAGGAGTTGAAATGAACCAGCCACACTGATTTGAACTGTATTAGAATACAAAAAAAAAAAAAAAAAAAGACTGTTCTCACTAAGCTTACTCAAATATTATATTCAACAAATATTTGCAAATACTAATAACTTAATGATTCTTTCCTAAACCTCAGGTCCTGTGCTGGGCGTTTTATATGTTTTTCTCAATCTTCACAATGATCATGTGGGATAGATGCTACTGTCAACATCCATATTTTGGAGAAAAGACAACCGAGACTTAAAGAAGGTTAATTCTCCAAAGTCACAAAATGAGTATATTCAAGTGTGTTACCATGGTAGTCAGTTACTCTAATATCCAAGTTTGCTACCAAGTCAGTTACTCTCTCTAGTTCCTTTATCTGTAGACTGAAGTTGTTTCTTCTCTCTCCTTTAAACTTCTCTTTTGCCTGGTTTACTGACCACATGATCTCAGTGGAGAGGTAAATCTGAAAGTGGGGAATTTCTTTTTTTGAGGCAGAGTCTTGTTCTGTCGCCCAGGCTGGAGTGCAGTGGCGTGATCTTGGCTCACTGCAAGCTCCGCCTCCCGGGTTCATGCCATTCTCCTGCCTCAGCCTCCCAAGTAGCTGGGACCACAAGCGCCTACCAACACGCCTGGCTAATTTTTTTGTATTTTTAGTAGAGACGGGGTTTCACCGTGTTAGCCAGGATGGTCTCGATCTCCCGACCTCGTGATCTGCCGCCTCGGCCTCCCAAAGTGCTGGGATTACAGGCGTGAGCCACCATGCCCGGCGGAAAATAGGGGATTTCTAATGAAGGCCAATGGATGAAGACATTTCCTGGAGTATAAGGGCATTTATGTGTCTTACTACACATTGACAATTTGCCTGTGCCTCTCCATCACTTTCTCTAGTTGGTGCCTCTGACAAATTTTTTTTTGATTATATGCTGTATATGAAAATCCAGAGTCATGTTTGAATATATTTGGCTACTACCTTATTATGTGCTGCATATGAATATCAGTTTCACCCACTCAGGTCAAAGAAATGTAAGTACAGATAGAGAAACATATCATGCCTTTAATCTGTCAAAGTGGTAGAAATTTAATATCAACTTGCAGCTCCCATCTTTCTCCTATGCTAAATTACAAGGCATTAGGGGACAGAGTGGGGGTTTGAGAGCCCCTCTGGTCCTTGAGTCAGCTTTCTCTGTCGGTTACTGTTGAGAAATCCACCATTTGCTGGTCCCAGGCCACGTTAATAGTTCCACTCATGTTATTGTTAAGATGTCCCTGCTTCCTGTCCATGAATTTCTGTGTTAAACCTGAGGGTTCAGAATCATTGTTGCCCCTGTGCCACACATCATCTGCAATCTCCAATGCTGTCCATGACCTTATCTGCTTGAGTGATGTTCCCCAAATTTCAGTCTTTTTCCTACTATACCCACAATTTTTTATTCATTTTTTGACATATCTGGTATCCTCAGTATTATTAACTTAATAGTTTTTAAAATAAGTGAAAAGAATTTAAAAGGAACAACATTGCTGCAATAGAAAACTAGTATCACTTGTCATAAAAAGAAGGCAGCTACAAACACATTTTATGAAACCCAAATAATATCATTACATTCTTGATGGATACTGTCTGCCAGGTCACATACTTCTTAGCCTAAACTTATGCAATAAAACCAGAAGGATGCTCTGCTCCAATGGGAGGGATTCTGGGAGAGGGAAATAAAATGGGTCAACGTTTCACAAGTAGAATCCCATTTTTGTTCATTTATACTTAGATCTAGAGGCAGGGTGGTGTGATAGGGAAAGCACAGGCCTAAAAGTCAGATCTAAGTTATACAAGTCACGGTCATTGACTCGAGATGACCGGAAACAGGCCCGCTTTACTTTCTGGACCATTCTCCCTTCCTCCCTAAAATGCAAGAATCCAACAGCCTAGACTTCCCTTCTGCGTACCGGCTTGCCCTGAGGAGCTGAACTACATCTCCCACAATGCGCCGCGCGCGGCGCCAGGAATGCCTATCGCCGCCTCAGACAGCTTTCAGTCTGTCCCTCCTACAACTCCCACAAGGCCCCTCGGCCCCGGGCCGCGGCCCGGCCCGGAGTGGGGGCGGGCGGAGGCGCGGGAGTTATGGAGGGGGCGGGCTCTGCAGGGAAGTGCGTCAGAGGAGGCGCGGGGAGAGTAGGGTGCTGTGGTCTGAGCTAGAGGGTGAAGCTGGCGGAGCAGGAGGATGGGCGGTGAGTGAGCGGGACCTGCGTCGCCGGGCAGGGGTCGCGTCGCGGTTCCATGTTCCCGGCGGTTTGAAGAGGGGCCCCCTTCCCGGGCGTGGTCGGGCTGGGCGGGTTCCGAGCGGCGGATTTGTCCCAGGGCCGAGCCCTCTAGGGCGGGGCCTGGTCGGGTACCGGGGGACCCTGGCCCGGGGCCGAGCACGGCTGCCCCGCCCCAGCCCTGGCCTTCTCCGGCCCCGCCGTGAGGCCCAGGAGGTGGCTGCTGCAGGCGTCCGGCTTGGACGAACCGCCGTTCCCAGTGCTGGGACCCTTTAAGGTCATTTGAGAGCACCAGGATGAAGGGGGGATTTTTAAAAAATCAAAATACAAATCCAACTTTTTGAGTTTTCGTTGTCATTGCTCTTATCTTTCCTGAGTCACTTCCCATTTTCCAAACTCAGCAACCCCAGTTTGCGAGTCTGTTTTCATGAACCTTTGTAAGGTGTTTGGTGCGGTCACGGTGTATACTTGCCGTGTAGTATTTGACTCAGCGCGATCTGCCTTGAGTCATTTTACCGCGGCCATTTACTACTGCCGTTGAGCCCTGTCCACGCCTTGGGAGTGTTGATATGTTGAGAGTTTTCTGTCTGGCTGAGGAGGGATCATTTAGTTTTTGCGGACGTATGTTGCACTGAGGATTTAGGGAGAGAGCAAGATTTCTGTTGAGGAGGTTCAGAAGTATAAGGAATCGGGAGAGTAGATAGGAGTGAAGCATTTGGCAGCGTAAAGAAGCTTGGCTTAGCTTTAATGGATTAGGGAGAGATTGCTATCTAGCATTATTACATGTTATTGTTCTCTTTGCTATTTTATACACCTAGAACAACCTTTCCCTCGGGGTTAACAAACATCTTCAACTCTGTTTTCTGTATGGCTCCTGACTCTTACCTTTGTTTTAGGAGGCTTCCCTCTTCAGAGGAAACTGGGAGAAGCCAATTTCCACTGCTTCTTTTTCCTGTGCCTTTTTAACACTCAAACCCAGAACACTTAATCCTCTGCAGCTCGTGCAAAAATTCAGTCTGTAATTTAAAATGTGTGCACGGTACACTGCTGACCATGGGCATGTCTATTGTTTGTATCTGTAATGTGTATGTCCATTTCAGTGTTGTCTGTTTTAGTATGCAGGTGATAGACTAGAGAACAAGACCTCTGTCTCCGTAGCATCCTGGGTATGTGAGCATTCAATAAGTACTTTTATGAGAATGAGTTTTGTTTTAAGCTTAATTAAAAACATGCTTGCTTTCTAAAAAAAATTCTTAATGGTTATATGTACGAAGGGATGGGGAATTGGGTAAAGGGTGCATTTGGAATAATTCAAAATAATCTTTCTTATTTGTCCGTAAACTCTAACTTATCTTCTTTCTTCAACTTCTAAACAGAGCAGTCTGAATGCCAGAATGGATAACCGTTTTGCTACAGCATTTGTAATTGCTTGTGTGCTTAGCCTCATTTCCACCATCTACATGGCAGCCTCCATTGGCACAGACTTCTGGTATGAATATCGAAGTCCAGTTCAAGAAAATTCCAGTGATTTGAATAAAAGCATCTGGGATGAATTCATTAGTGATGAGGCAGATGAAAAGACTTATAATGATGCACTTTTTCGATACAATGGCACAGTGGGATTGTGGAGACGGTGTATCACCATACCCAAAAACATGCATTGGTATAGCCCACCAGAAAGGACAGGTATTTCTCTTATTTTAACTTCTGTCTTCTTCACCTGGTTAATAATAGACAAAACGACGTAATGATTGCCCAATTACATGTAAGCAGGTTTGTTGGTTCTCTCTCTCCTTAAAGAAATAAATCGTGTATCTTCTCTTTCTACTGCCTTCTCTCCCCAACTTCTTTGCATTACCATGGTACTCATCAATATTGGTTGGATGAGGAACTTTTCTTATCTTGGGAAAGCCTTAATGGCTTTTTTTTTTCTTATTTACTCACTCATTAAAATACTTTTCATTACTCTAACACATGTTATAAAGAAATAGTTGGAAAAGTACATCGAAAGACTTTTAAAAATATTTGGTAACTAGTAAAAGGACTACCATCGAAAATCAACTCAAAAAATTGTCCTTTTATGGGTTAGCTGTATTATAATACATATCTATCATTTGCCCCTGTGTCTTAGAGGATATAATTTGACCAGCTCTACATTTAATCTGTGTAATTATGAGACTGTTTTACAACAATCTTGATGCAGAGTTGGTAGGTTAAGAAATTTGTATTACAGAAGTTAAAAAAAAAAAACCAAAAACTAGATTTTTAGGTTTATTTTACAGGCATTCTTATTTAACACTTAAAGATTTTGATTTCCAGTTATTAAAATGGTAGCTTTAGAACTCTTTGTAAGGAACAACTTTACAGTTTATTTATGACTACTTCTGTTGGCCCCTTAGTGGGGAAGCATTGTATTCAAATCATAGCAGAACAGGCTTGAGTTATGATATATCAAAAGGATGATAATATGTCACTGTATCTGGAAAAAAAGATAATTTGGAAGGAAAGGAGAGAAAGTTGGTTAAAATTCATTGTAAAATGTTCAGTTTGACTTATGAGGTTACAGGAGCACTTGATATTGAAATTGGAGTTGGAATTGGAGTGTTACCATTTAGTCATTCATTAAACAAATAATTTATTGCATGTCTCCATGTTCCAGGGCCTCTTAGCTGGGAGAACATCAGGAAAGAACAAAATCCTTACTCCTGGGGAGCTAGCATTCTAATAAAGGATGACAGGCAGTGAACAGAATATAACAGTATAAACAGAATAAATAATTATTCAGTATGTTAAAAGATGACATGTGCTATGGCAAAATAGAACACAAAAGGGATTTGGAAATATGTGGGAAAAGGAATATTGGTGGCCATAGGTTATGATTTTCAATAGGATACTTAAAGTAGGTCTCATTGAGAAGACACCACTTGAGTAAAGAATGTAGTTAAAGACTAGACAAAAGAGTTGGCCATATGGGTAAATGGGGAGGAAGTCATTTAGGTTGGAAAGGACATCTACTGCAAAGGCTCTATGGCGGGAGCATGCCTGAAATATTCAAGGACCAGTAAGGAAGCCACTGGGCTGGAATGGAGGGAGAGACGGGAAGTTGGGTATGCTGTTAAAGACCTACTTTGGGAGTGGGACTGGGGCAAATCCTGGAGGACTCTAGGCAGAATGAGAACTTTGGTGTTGACTCCAGATACAGTGCTGAGCCCTGATCTGGTCACCCTGGCTGTTGTGAGAACAGAGGCAGCAGACAAAGGTGGAAACTAGAAGACTATGGTTAGGAGGTTATAGAAGTAATTCAGGTTAAGTGATGATTATGACTCACACCAGAATGGTAGCACTGAGCAGCAGCTGGATTCTGGACATAGTTTGAAGGAAGAATTCCTGGGATTTCCTGATGGAGTGTAAATGTACAAGAATTACTCTAAAGTTTCTGGTCTGAGGAACTGGAAGTGTGGATTTGGCATTCCCTGAGATGGGAATATGGTTGATAAAGCACGGTTGCATGAGAAGATCAACATTCCTATTTATTTCAGTCTTTGTTCCCTCCCCTTCTTCCTAGGCTTTCTACATAGCTATTCTGCCATTCATTTTACTGCTTCCACTTTATTTTTCTTCCTTGTGCCTATGTCTTCAGCCTGCCACTGAGAACCAGTGGCATCCATTGGACATCTATGAAACCTGTGTGTCAGTCAGGGCCAGAGAAGTTGCTGACCCCTCTGGAAACATCCTTTACTGTTTTACTTCAGAGAATAATTACTGAAAGAGATTTTTGTTAAATGTTTATAATTAAAACAACAGGCAATTGTTCTTGTTCCAGAGTCATTTGATGTGGTCACAAAATGTGTGAGTTTCACACTAACTGAGCAGTTCATGGAGAAATTTGTTGATCCCGGAAACCACAATAGCGGGATTGATCTCCTTAGGACCTGTGAGTACTTTGATTTCACCAGGACAGTTGGGGGAACAAAGATAATTTTATTTGTCTCTTTTTGGACTATGTTTTTGGAATAAGATGAGTTAGTAGATTGTGCCAACGTGAAATAAAATCTCTAACAGTATCCAGTGAACTCTATTCTGTTGATATTTTAGAAGGTAGATACATGCTTACCAAATTTCAAATGATTTGAAGTTGACAGGGCCAACTACTTCATTGGATGATGGGATCTAGACCTTCAAAAGATGTTATTAATGGGCCCATTTAGTAAAAGGAAATTTAGTTGAGATAACTTATACATTCCTATATTTGAATTAAACACTTTCCACTGCTTGAGTTCAGGTAAGTATATGTGAAAAAAGTTTACTGCAAGCTCTAAATGAGTCAGTGAGTTGTCAGGCCTGTCAAAAGTGTTTATCCAGTCTTAGGTGATAGTAACAAAAGGGTAGATGTCAAAAAAGATGAAAGTATTTATTAGGAACAACCTATTCCCTGATGGTCAGGCAGCCCATGAAATACTGTCTTCAGATTTGAGCCTCAGTTTTCAGGGCTATAGGGACTTGCCCAGAAGAATGACCATGTTGTAAGAGAAAAGGTTGAATAAGAGGTAGGTATTCAGTTTTATAAAGAGAATGTGTAGCAAGCAGTTTATTACTAGGAGAGTTTGAAAGAAAGTAAGTTAGAAAAACACATAAGAAGTTCCAGAAAGCAAAACCAGCACCAAAAGGTGTAAAGTTTAGTCAAGATTGATATGAATGCATTTCTAATAATGAATATTATTGGAAAATGGAATGGCATGTTTTGTGAGGTCATCAGGTTTTCTTCCCATGTTGATGAGAGATTTATGATAATTAAAACTACCTTTAGATTCTCTGCTTTGTGCTTTATATATATTCTTCAACAGCCCTATAAGACAGGTCATTTATAATTACCATTAATTTACTTGTTGTTACTGCCTTTAGATCATATAAAGACCTAGATATTGTTGGTAGGTAGAGTCAGACTGATTTTTGTATCAAATCCTGGCTCTACCACTTACTGTGTTATTTTTACAAGTTATTTATGACTCTTGCCTCAGTTTCCTTAATTACAAAATGGAATTAATAATAATACAGCTGTAGCTATGGGGGATTGGATTCAGGACCCCCTGCTAATTCCAAGGTTGCTAAAGTACCTTATATAAAATGGCATAATATTAGCATATAACCTACACAATCCTCCTGTATACTTTAAATCATCTTTAGATTGCTTATAATACCCAATACAATATAAATGCTATGTAAATAGTTGTTATACTATATATTTGTAAATTTGTATCATTTTTTTTTCTGAATATTTTTAACCCTTGGTTAGTTGAATCTGCGGATGTGAAACCTGCAGATATGGAGGGCTGACTGTACCTACTTTCTAGGGTTGTTGGGAGGATTAATACAGAAAATGTGTAGACAAACATAGCATGGAACATAGTGAACCCTCAGTAATTGCTACTACCTGTTAGTGTCCTTTTACTTTTATCAGGACAAGAGTAGCATCCTTTTGAATAATGTGCTTTAGAAAAGAGGCCTCAATGTTAAAATACTTTCACACTTTTTGAGAAAAGATCTAATTAGAATATGAAAGAAATTGCCATTGCGGGGAAAATGGTCTGAAATCACGGTAACATTTCTTTTCTCTCTTTTTAAAAATCAGATCTTTGGCGTTGCCAGTTCCTTTTACCTTTTGTGAGTTTAGGTTTGATGTGCTTTGGGGCTTTGATCGGACTTTGTGCTTGCATTTGCCGAAGCTTATATCCCACCATTGCCACGGGCATTCTCCATCTCCTTGCAGGTAGGTTTTGTCATCATACTTACCTTTTAGCTTCTTCCTGTCTCTTTAGGGACCAAAGAGTTATAAATCTGAAATGTTCACGTATTAACTGCCCTGTCACATTGCCTGAAAAGCTCTTTACTGTGCTTTTATCCAGCCATGTTTTGTTTTGTTTTCTAAATTTTCCCCCAAGGTCTGTGTACACTGGGCTCAGTAAGTTGTTATGTTGCTGGAATTGAACTACTCCACCAGAAACTAGAGCTCCCTGACAATGTATCCGGTGAATTTGGATGGTCCTTCTGCCTGGCTTGTGTCTCTGCTCCCTTACAGTTCATGGCTTCTGCTCTCTTCATCTGGGCTGCTCACACCAACCGGAAAGAGTACACCTTAATGAAGGCATATCGTGTGGCATGAGCAAGAAACTGCCTGCTTTACAATTGCCATTTTTATTTTTTTAAAATAATACTGATATTTTCCCCACCTCTCAATTGTTTTTAATTTTTATTTGTGGATATACCATTTTATTATGAAAATCTATTTTATTTATACACATTCACCACTAAATACACACTTAATACCACTAAAATTTATGTGGTTTACTTTAAGCGATGCCATCTTTCAAATAAACTAATCTAGGTCTAGACAGAAAGAAATGGATAGAGACTTGACACAAATTTATGAAAGAAAATTGGGAGTAGGAATGTGACCGAAAACAAGTTGTGCTAATGTCTGTTAGACTTTTCAGTAAAACTAAAGTAACTGTATCTGTTCAACTAAAAACTCTATATTAGTTTCTTTGGGAAACCTCTCATCGTCAAAACTTTATGTTCACTTTGCTGTTGTAGATAGCCAGTCAACCAGCAGTATTAGTGCTGTTTTCAAAGATTTAAGCTCTATAAAATTGGGAAATTATCTAAGATCATTTTCCCTAAGCATTGACACATAGCTTCATCTGAGGTGAGATATGGCAGCTGTTTGTATCTGCACTGTGTCTGTCTACAAAAAGTGAAAAATACAGTGTTTACTTGAAATTTTAACTTTGTAACTGCAAGAATTCCAGTTCAGCCGGGCGAGGATTAGTATTATTTTTAACTCTCCGTAAGATTTTCAGTACCACCAAATTGTTTTGGATTTTTTTTCTTTCCTCTTCACATACCAGGGTTATTAAAAGTGTGCTTTCTTTTTACATTATATTACAGTTACAAGGTAAAATTCCTCAACTGCTATTTATTTATTCCAGCCCAGTACTATAAAGAACGTTTCACCATAATGACCCTCCAGAGCTGGGAAACCTACCACAAGATCTAAAGTTCTGGCTGTCCATTAACCTCCAACTATGGTCTTTATTTCTTGTGGTAATATGATGTGCCTTTCCTTGCCTAAATCCCTTCCTGGTGTGTATCAACATTATTTAATGTCTTCTAATTCAGTCATTTTTTTATAAGTATGTCTATAAACATTGAACTTTAAAAAACTTATTTATTTATTCCACTACTGTAGCAATTGACAGATTAAAAAAATGTAACTTCATAATTTCTTACCATAACCTCAATGTCTTTTTTAAAAAATAAAATTAAAAATGAAAAGAGACTCAATTGTATATAGAGTGTCTGAATTGATTTAAATCTCAACACTTTAGGATAAAGAAGTGGAGGCAATCTCTGTGGTTGTCTGTGCAAAGTGCATCTTGCTGTACAGGGCTGTCGTTACATCCTGTGTTTGGGTCTCTTGTTTGATCTTCTGGGAAATGTAGGAACCCCTTCCCCCTATTAGAAATAAGAAAATCTTTATCTTTTATTTTTCAGAATTTTAAACCATGTTCTCAAAAGTAGTTTTGTTATCTCTACATGTCATACTTAATGTGGCTAGTTTTCAGTAAAGTCATTTAGTGGCTGTGGATGTTTGTGTTCTATAGTAAATAACCAAGTCAGCTTCTGACTTAGAACAAAGTCAGCATTACTCTGTAGCCAATTATTGCCTGTGAAATGACTGGTTACTCAGGTTTCTATCTAATCTTAATTCTTGAAGATTCATTACCCTTCAGCGCCTTCTGTGGAAGGTGGAAAAGAGAAAAGCTAAATGAACAAACAAAACACCTTTGGGAATGGGATAAGAAAATTTTTGGCAGCATGACATTTTTGTATTGGTCAGTTATTTTAAACAATGTCCCTGCCTCTTAATACCCCAGAGTTACATGGGAAGCTACTAGCACCATAACCCCTGGTGCTGCATTGTAGTTGGTATTTTTAGCATGTTGCAGGGTAGCTGAGGTTATCTTTCCTGCAAAGACTTTTTTTCTTTGGAATATATAGGGCTGTATTGTTCATTTAAATGTGAAACTGATTCTAATCAGGTTGAACCATATGAAACTGCAGATATTCAGCCATTTTTGATCAACCTAATAGATAAAATCAGTGGCAAGGCGAACCCTATTTAATCTTTGAAAGCAACCCCCAAAGTAAAAAATTAATTTTCAGATTTTTCAGAATGAATTTTTTTTTCTTTTGGGGTGGAGTTTCACTCTTGTTGCCCAGGCTGAGTGCAATGGTGCGATCTTGGCTCATCACAACCTTTGCCTCCTGGGTTCAAGCGATTCTCCTACCTCAGCCTCCCGAGTAGCTGGGATTACAGTCATGCACCACCATGCCCAGCTAATTTTGTATTTTTAGTAGAGATGGGGTTTCCCCATGTCGGCCAGGCTGGCCTTGAACTCTCGACCTCAGGCGATCCGCCCGCCTCGGCCTCTCAAAGTGCTGGGATTACAGGCATGGGCCACCATACCCGGCCTCAGAATGAATTTTGTGGCAGTTTAACAAATGTGTTTTAAGACTTTGATTTTATAGCTCCTAACTAAATGATGTGGGTAAATATCCTCTATGATTTTTAGCAAAAGACTCATTTCAAAATTTATTAAGTATAGCCATAAAACACAATTTGGCACAACAACAACAACAACAAAAAAGGAATTCTAGAATTTATTCAGATAACAGTGTGCCTTCTGTCTGCATCATATTACACTAGGATTTCAAATTTATAATCTAATGGGAATGTGTTAAAATTTTACCTGCTGTAGTTGTGTGTGTGCACATGCACACGTGCGTTAAGGGAGAGGATAGGGTTGACAATCACTCCTAGGTGAACTCATTTAGTCATATGATTTGAGAAGAATGAGATGACCACAAACCATATCAATTTAGTTTGTTTTTCCATTCCAGAAACATCACCAAATTGCAGACTAGCACAGTTAAAACCTATAGACCCTGTCATGTTCAATTGACTATAACATATATAGATCGGGCCATTTTAATACTTAGCCTTCATATAAACTTTCACCAAAAATGAAAACCTGTTAACCTAATTTTGCTGATTGAAAAACTTTCTTTTTTGTGAAATGGAGTCTCACTCCGTCACCCAGGTTGGAGTGCAGTGGCCCAATCTTGGCTCACTGCAACCTCCGCCTCCTGGGTTCAAGGGATTCTCCTGCCTCAGCCTACGGAGTAGCTGGGATTACAGGTGTGTGCCACCATGCCCAGCAACTTTTGTATTTTTAGTAGAGATGGGGTTTCACCATGTTGGCTAGGCTGGTCTCAAACTCCTGACCTCAAGTGACTCACCCACCTTGGCCTCCCAAAGTGCTGGGATGACAGGCGTGAGCCACTGCACACGGCCTGATTGCAAAACTTTCTGAAATTCTCTAGCAGCTAAAAGAGCAGTTAATGGGTGCAGCTCTGAAGATGCAAATTGTTATTTCACAAGCTTGATGCAGCTGTGTCCTGGCACAGATGGGTGGAGGCTTTTGTCCTCCTTTCAGCACTCTTCTCAAAGGGAACAGTGATTCATACCTTGAAAAGTGAGGAATAAACAAGGAAACGGATCTAAATTATTTTTCTACTGCTCATCAGGTGTTCTTATACTCCATCGTAATAAGATACATTTTTCCCTGGGGCCAAATTACATGCCATCATCCTGCAAATTCATGATGTGAAAATGCTCAATTGTAAAAAGAGTAACAATTATTTGCCCTATAGAAGAAGTTACCATAGAGTGATTACATTCTCTTCAGTGCCAGAATTTCTATTACTAGCATTACGTGTATACAAATATACATTATTTGACATATAAACATTTACATACTTTCAGCAAACTTCTATAAAAGCAAGATCCAATTTATATTACTTTGTATATTTGCAAAGGTTTAGAAATGTGAAATGAGAATTTTCTTTCTGCCGTACACCTTTTAAAATATCTGAGTTACTAAGTAATGTGTCATCTTTACTGGTCCAGTGTTAGTGTCTCAGTATGTGAGCTTTACCTCACCTGCCCTGCAGCCTTTCAGCCCCTCCCAGTCTTCCGCATTTTGTTCGTTTCTTTCCCCCCTTAGCTTGTATTGTCATTGTATGTTCACAAACATCTTTGGTTCTCTTGCTCCCATAATTTCCTATGACACCTCCCTTCGCAATCCTTAGCCCTATCTTCATAGACTGTGCTGTCCAGTTTTCTTAATCTTAAGATATCAAGGATGGCTGTTCAGAACTACTAAGTTGATTCTATAAAAAAGTATGCTGTTTGACTTCAACTGCTTTATAATTCTAAGCATCTCTAATTATTGATCTTTTAACACCCTGCCACACATTTTCCAAGTCTCTACAAATGTTAGTTGTTGGAAACCTTTATTCTTCCTGCTTAACTTCCATGGAAGGAGTTTATGCTCTCTTTTAGAAGGGAATACTGGAGTCAACTCTTGTAGTATCTCCCAGCCTTATTTGCTTCTCTATATAAAAGAAGAATGTATTATCTGGTTGGAGAGATTGCTGGAATCAGGGCATCCACAAGGAGCAGCATGGTATATGGTGGTTAAGTATTTAGCTTGGGAGACAGAATGCGAGCTTTGTAATCCCAGGTCTATCTTTTGTCTCTTAGCCTTTTTCCAAACACCGCTTTTCCCATCTGTGAAATGCTTTGATTATCATATGTCTCTTAGAGTTGTGATGAGGATTATGTAAATTGCTTAGCATAAAGTAGTCGCTCAAAAACTGCTAGTTATGACTGGCTGCATTGTGAGGGGTTGCCAAGCCTATAAAGTGGTGGCTCTTAGCCTAGGCTGCACATTGGAATTTCCTGGAGAACTTAAATGTTTTCATTCCAGAGAATCTGATTTAGTTGGCCTGGGCTATGGTCGGGTCATTGAAATTTTTAAAACCTTTCCAAGTGATTCCAATGGGCAGTTATATTTGAAAGCTATGTTTAAACGCAAGAAATAGGATTCTCTCTCTCCTAGGCAGATTATGAAAGAGTGGGCTGTGGAGTAAACAGACCTGGCTTGGTGTCTGCCTTCTAAAAGCCATTTCTCTACTGTGCTTTCCACACTCTTCTGTTGACTGGCTCTTTGTGACAGGTCCCAATCCATCCCACCTCTGATAGTTGGAGATGCGTATGAAGAGTCTGCTCTGCAGATCCAGTGCACCCCTGGTTCTCAGGTTCAGATTTGGCAGGATGTAATAGGAAGCCTTGTTTGTTTTGGCTTCAATTCCAAATTATTTTCTCTAATCCGGTACTTTCAGGGACCCTGTAATTTGAGGTCATTAGGCCTCTATAAAGAAAGTGAATATTCTTATCCCTGTCTGCTTATCAGTTCATTGTGTTCATACTCTTGGTTAGAACTAGGAAGGAAGGAGGCATGCATGAGTGATTGATGTTAACTTCTACCCAAGCTAGAAATTCTGAGGATGAACATATAATAGCATTATCTATAAAATGGGATATTATCTGCCTCAATAGGTTTTTGTGATGGTTAAATAAGAAGGTATACGTGCAAGTTTTTAGAACACCTTTGAAAACATAAGAGCTCAAAAAGTGTTTGGTACTATTATTTGGACATTAATGCAGTGCACGGGAAGGAGGCAGCCTTTGCTTGCCCTGTGTGGTCCAGCTCTAGGGCATGCGGGACTCTGAGCTGTTGGGGTTTACCACAAGGCTACACTCCAATGGGGATTAGAACTGGGGCTGGTGTTACATTATTGGGGAAGTCTTCTGTTTCCAGTAAAGGTTTGTTTCAAAACAGAAAGGGCTTCATTACATGGGCTTTTTAGCCATACAAGCCTCTCAAGGTGGAAGAATTTTTGCTTTTAAAACTCACATTTTAATCCTTTTTTTCAAGTAGGACAGCAGTGGGGTGGAACTTTTGGCCTTTCAATGATTGTGCTATTGGTAAATCGAGATAAATGCATCAAAAACCTTTCTATTAGTCCATTTGTGATTCTATAACAGAATACCTGAGACTGAGTAATTTATAAATAATAGAAATTTATTTTTAATGGTTCTGGAGGCTGAAAAGTCCAAGATGCCAGCAGATTTGGCAATTCTGATTCCAAGACAACACTTTGCATGCTTCATGCTTCAGAGGAGAGGAAAACTGTTCCTCACATGAGAGAAGAGTAGAAGGGCAAAGAGGGTGAGAGTGGGCCAAACTGTACCAATTCCACCCATGAGGGTGGAGCCCTCATGGCCTAATCACCTCTCAAAGGTCCCACCTCCTAATAGTGTTACAATGGCAATTGAATTTTGACATGTGTTTTGGAAGGGGCAAACTTTCAAAACATAGCACTGTCTTTATGTTGTTTAAAATTGGACTCAGGTCCATTGAGGGAAGTGGAAGAACTTGGATTCCTGCAGCTTGTTTGCAGGCTCCTGAAATCAGCCTCTACAACATGCAATCCAATTAGATTTGGATGGTTCATTTTAAGTTCTGAGGGTGGAAGTAGATTTCAGGGATCCACACCATGGTTCCACTGCTGAGTAATGGTGGATATTATTCATGAGCACTTAACAAGATGCCAAGTGGCACTTGTTACCATGGACTCAAAGGAGGATTCAAAGATATGAAAGATAAGACATTATCTAAAAAATTCTAGAGAGAGTTCCAACACTTGATGCTAAAACACCCTTGTAATGGTTAATATTAAGTGTCAACTTGATTGAATTGAAGGATGCAAAGTATTGTTCTTGGGTGTGTCTTTGAGGGTATTGCCAAAGGATATTAACATTGGAGCCAGTGGACTGGGAGAGGCACATCCACCCTCAGTCTGGGTGGGCACAATTGAATCAACTACCAGGACAGCCAGAATAAAAAGCAAGCAGAAGAATGTGGAAAGACTAGACTGACTGAGTCTTCTGGCTTCCCTCTTTCTCCTGTGTTGGGTGCTTCCTGCCCTTGAACATTGGACTCCAAGTTCTCCAGCTATGGGGCTCTTGGACCTTTGACCACCGACTGAAATCTGCACTGTTGGCTTCCCTACTTTTAAGGTTTTGGGACTTGGACTGCCTTCCTTGCTCCTCAGCTTGCAGACGGCCTATTGTGGGACCTCACCCTGTGATCATGTGGGTCAATACTTAAACTCTCCTTTATTTAAACATCTATCCTATTAGTTCTGTCCCTCTAGAATACCCTAATGCAGCCCTCAAGGACTAATTTAGAGCAGCAGTACCCAATTTGTCATCTTAACCATTTACCCCAGGCCTTGTACCCTCCACCTAAAACTCCCAAGCATTTGAAATAAGATACCTGGGGGAAGGAAAGGGAGGGAAAGGCCTTGAGCCTTTGAGTGGAGAGTGCTGTGGCCTCTCCCTCTTACTCCCTCCTATGCATTAGGCATTACTCTAGGTGAACAAGTAGAGCTACTCTGTAATTAATTCCTGACTTTAACATCCACAGAACTACTCTGGATTTAAACAGATCGATTTGCAATCCCAATTCTTTTTACTAGTTGAGAAACTTTGGGCAAGTTCTGTCATTCTTTAGGTCTCAGTAGGATAATAATGCCTATTTTTCACGTTCACTGTGAGGCTTATAAGGTAATATATGTAAAGTGCTTAGCATGGAGTTTGGTACAATTTAAGCTTTCAATCAACAATAACTGTTATTAATCTTCAGATGATTTCAAATCCCCAGCCCTGCCTTCTCCCTAAACTCCAAGTCCAAATTCCTAGGTGCCTTCAAGGCAGCTTCATTTGAATATTTTCATGATACCTAAAATGTAATATGTTTAAATTTATACTCATTTGTCTTCTCATAACTGCACCAATTCTCATTTGTTTTACATGTTTTCCCATCAACTAGACTTTTAATGTTGACATCATCTTTGACTCCTTCTTTTCCCTGGCCTTCTATATCCAATTAGTTATCAAGATTTTTTGATTCTATTTCAGTAATGCCTATGTCACTGAAACTCTCCTGTCTAGTCACCTTAGTTCCGGTTCCTTCCTGGATGATGACAGTAGACTCTCTGCTGGTCTCTTTGCCACTAACTAGCTTACCTGAAACCCATTTTACACATCCTGCCAGCCTAATTTGCTAAAGCATAGATAATATCGCATCAACCTTTTACCCCAAAACCATCAACAACTCTCTACTGCTTACAAAAGCAATCTAGAATAAAGTCTAGATTTTGTCTAACATCAAAGCTGTAACATTGTCTAGCTCTATCTTTGGATCATTTTCTCCTATTCCTCTCCTTTAGTCACAGTCATTGTTACGTTTGGACTTTCTTATATCTGTGATTCATCTTATATTGTCTTTATTTATGGAATGCTATTCTCCACATACTCAAATCTTGATCTATACCACTTCACTGCAATTCCAGTTTCAAAAATCATGACCACTTCTTTACCAATTGAAATAACTGAAGACTCATCTCGAATGTCTTGCTCTTCTGAATCCCTGTGGCATTCGGAGTAACCCCCTTCTTGCTGCTTTTGCCACTTTCTACTTTTTGTATAACAGTGATTGTTGTGCATATCAACCTTCCTACTAGAACTTATTGCCTATTTAATCTTTGTATCCCTCCAACATCTTCCACATTGCCTTGCAAAGAATAGTCCCTCAATAAATGAGAGAGTTGCTTCTGAGTTATAATCCTTGAAATTATTAGAAAGCTGCATTGTAAAATATATACATGAAAGTAGATTAACTGGGGAAAAATTAGAATTGATAGACTAGAGCTCAAATTGAACACCTTGGAGAGACTAGGCTATGTAATAGGTCCTTCAAGGTAATTTTGAGATTTACACCTCCCCCACTTCTTGCCCTGGAGCTGGAAGAAATGAGAGTTTGGTTGTTTGTCTATTGTGATATCACATCCACAATTTTACCCAATCACATAGGCTTTTGTGATTTTTGTTCACTTCATATAAAGTGCTGATACTAGAAAATGTTTAAAGACTTTTGTTGACATAGTTAGAAGATAAAAATTCAAAGCTGACCACTGTTGGCAAAGTTTGATGAAATAAATGTGTCCTAATCTGTATTTAAACTATGAAATAAAATTCTACAATGAAATCAGAGTATTGTTAGTTGTAAATTTAAGAGATGAGGCCAGGCGTGGTGGCTCACACCTGTAATCCCAGCACTTTGGGAGGTCGAGGTGGGCGGATCACGAGATCAGGAGATAGAGACCATCCTGGCTAACACGGTGAAACCCCGTCTATACTAAAAATACAAAAAATTAGCCGGGCGCGGTGGCAGGCACCTGTAGTCCCAGCTACTTGGGAGGCTGAGGCAGGAGAACGGCGTGAACCCGGGAGTTGGAGCTTGCAGTGAGCCGAGATAGCGCCATGGCAGTCCGGCCTGGGAGAAAGAGGAAGACTCCATCTCAAAAAAAAAAAAAAAAAAAGAGATGAATGGAGGGGAACATAAATACTTTAACAAACCTCAAAATGGAGATAGCTCTTATTTCAAATGCACATTCATCAAAAGGTAAATTTTCATGAAGAGGAAACTTTACCTTACATTTCCAATCTGGCCTGGCTACCCCCAAATCTGCCCAATACTATGCAATGTGTCTTGACTACTATAGTGGTGCTTGTCTTGATTAAAAGTAGATTCTTAACAAGCAATAATTTATTTCTTTCCATAGGAAATTACTCAGATTCTTGGCTCCATGAATAATTTTAATGATCTTCTACATTATCCTTGATAATTACTCATTTCTCAATAATCTTTTAATTTCATCCCATGACTCTGAGGATAGCTTCCAAGCTCTTTAAATGGCCTTACAAACTCATTGGCAAGTTCTATACTTCAGGCACACTGACCTTTTAGTTTTTCCAGTGGGCCATGCCTATGGTAGTTTAAAAACATGGCCTTAAAATCCTTCGATCAATCTTGCATTGAGATTCCCATCCCCTTGAATCTAGGCTGGCTTGTGATGGTTTTGACCAATAGAGTGTGCCTGAAATGACACTCTTCTCATGAGGTCCTAAAGATCATGTGTCCTTAAACCAGTTCTCTTGGAACACTCAGTCTTAGAACATTCCCTCTCCAAACCCAGATACCATGCTGTGAAGTCCAGGCCACATGGAGGTGTCCTGTGTAGATGCTCCAGCTGAAATCCCAAGCTAAGCTCCCAACTGACAGCCAACATCATTTCCAGCCATGTGTGGGAGCCATCCTGGATGTCCAGCCTTAACAAGCCTTCAGATGACTTCAGCCACAGCTATTATCTTACTACATCCTTGTGAGACTCTAATAAAGAACCAACTAGCTGAGCCCAATCAACCTATGGAACTGGTAGAAATAAAATGAATTGTTGTTTTGTGCCGCTATGTTTTGGGGTCATTTGTTATGCAGCCACAGTATCTGCAACAGTGCTGTTTCCTACCACAGGCTTTCTCATGGTTTTTTTCCCCCTTTTTCCAAATAGCTTTTTCTGACCTTTACGCTCCCGCATCCCACTCCTTTTACCCAGGTAACACTTATTTTTCAGATGAAAACTTAATATTTGCTTCTTCAGTCAAGTTTCCCTAATTATCTGTTTTAGGTTAGTTCTCTTACATTTCATCGCATTGTGAAGTTCTTGAATGTGGTAGTTATTGACTGCAGTAGACCGTTAGGTCCAAATATAAGAGTGATTCCACTTGCTACTACTCCTTTGAGACTCTGTAGATCCATTTTTTCTATACCTCCATAAGATCTAAAGTAGGTTTTTTAGTCATTTAATAGTTAATTAGCCAGGCACGGTGGTTCATGCCTATAATTCCAGTTCTTTGGGAGGCTGAGGTGAGAGGATGGCGTGAGGCCAGGAGTTTCAGACCAGCCTGGCCTTTGCCTCTACAAAAAATTACCAAAAAAAAAAAAAAAAAAAAATTAATGAACTAGTCCCTTTTGAGGTAGAGGAGCACTAAAAAGTCAGTCTAATAATCACACTCCAGTTCAATTAGGGAGGTATAAAAACTCACTATTCAGTGTTAAAACTCTTCTCTCTCTTAGCTTCGGTTTGCCTGTCGTTGGGAGGCCCACAGTGGGGGAGGAGGCTTTCTCAGCCTTTTCTCTCTGTCCTCAGTCACTGACTGTTTCTGACCTCTCTATGGTCAAACCAGTGGGAGAGTAGATTAGGGCAAAGTATATTTCGACTGTGGCTGGTACTGCTGTCATCTGAACCTGGAGCCATGGAGGGCCCATGCATAATGCAGGCTCTTTCTCTTTTTAGAGCCATTCTGTGAGTTTCTCAGAGACTTTCCCTCTGCAGATCTTCAGACTGCAGCTTTGCTAACATGTAAAATCAATATCTGTCCTTCATCGGGCTGACCCTCAATCCCATTCCTGGAAGGCTGGTTCCCCTCTGTTGGAACCACACTGAAGAATTCTCTTTGGGTCTGGGCGCAGTGGCTCATGTCTGTAATCCCAGCACTTTGGGAGGCTGAGGCAGGAGGATCACTTGAGGCCAGAAGTTTAAGACCAGCCTGAGCAACATGGCAAGACTTTGTCTCTATAAAAAATTTAAAAAATAGGCACGGTGGCACATGCCTGTTGTCCCTGCTACTGGGGAGGCTAAGGCAGGAGGATCGCTTGAGCCCAAAATTTGAGGTTGCAGTGAGCTATGATCTTAGCCTGGGTGACAGAGTGAGATTTTGTCTCTAAAAACTTTTTTAAAAAGAAAGAGTTCTCTTTTATTAGGGCCCCAGGCCAGCTCCTTCTCTTAGGAAGGCTTTTAACCCACAAGAATCATGAAGGATTAATGGATAGCTGGACAGAGGGAATGCAGGTCTCTCTCAGCTCACCTTGGGGTCTCAGTATTTCAGCGCTGTCTAATCAAGCCCTTTCACCTTTTGGACCCCTCAACGGGGAGTCATATATTCTTCTATAGGTTTCCCAAACTCCAGGGGACATGTATCAAACTCTCTGAGTAAAGACCCTCTCAACTGGGTAAGTAGAGTGAGCGGGGCCAAGCCTCCTCATTGCAACGGGTGGGACTACAGGAAAACCCGTTAAGTCTTTCTAGAGAATGTCTGTGTCTGAATTCTCCAAATTCTGATTCATTCCCAAGACTCATAAATAGTTGCGGGGGATAATGAGTCAAAGGTCACAAGATAAGTTTTTAAACCACTCTCTGAAAATCCTGCACAGGAGTCTGGTGTCTTAATTTGGAATGTGGAGCTTCTGATAAAACTAAATTGAGATGTCAGGAGAAATTGCACATAAATCTTAAACATTTATTAAATTGTAATGATTTTAGTTTAACATCTTCCCCCCAGGACTTCTGTAAGACCCATGAGAGAAGAAATCTTGGCTGGCTTTACTCGTAGTGTGTGGTGTATTTTAAAAATGCTCAGTAAGTATTTATTGAATGATGGATGAATAAATAAATATATTTAGATTATGCCACTGGCATTTCATTGTCTATGAGCTAATTATTAGTTGGTTATCCATAATACACATTTTTCAAATGTAAAAGTACATAGTCATACTCATAATTATTACATTTTGAGCTTCATTGTTTTCTATCAGTCCTTAAACAAGTTACTTTCTTGGTGTATATTTTCTGAGGGAGAGTAATAAATCTTTCTATCTCAAAAACAGTAATTTCCCTTTAAATAAAGGTTATGTATTTAAATATGAAGTTAAATAGAAGAAAAAATTGAGAAGGGAAGTATTGTGAAGGATAAAGTTCTATTAGGTTTACTATAAGTCAATTATATTAATGTGCTATAAATATCCTATACCATTTTACTTTCTTTTTTAATAGCCTGATTACATACATTTCTAAGAAGCAGGGATTGTGCCTATGTAATTATTTTTACTGTGTGTGTAGCCCTTCATCATTACTCATGTGATATGGTTTGGCTGTTTCTCCACTCAAATCTCATCTTGAATTGTAACTCCCACAATTCCCAGGTGTTGTGGGAACCCGGTGGCAGGTGATTGAATTATGGGGGCAGGTCTTTCCTGCACTGCTCTCGTGATAGTGAGTGAGTCTCACAAGATCTGATGGTTTTAAAAATGGGAGCTTCCCTGCACAGACTCTGTCTCTCGTGCCGCTGCCATGGCCATGTAAGAAGTGCCTTTCACCTTCCCCCGTGATTGTGAGGCCTCCCCAGCCATGTGGTACTGTAAGTCCATTAAACCTCTTTCTTTTGTGAATTTCCCAGTCTCGAGTATGTCTTTATCAGCAGCGTGAAAACGGACTAACACACCATGTTAAGAGGAACTAACTCAATACATAGTTTGCTGGGATGAAAGAAGACATGCTTTACAGGAGGGGATGAAGAGGCAAGGAAGAGCAGCAGCAAAGGAGAACAGCTGTCAGATTACTGAGGAAATTATACCAGATTTCATCTCTTTGGTGCTCATTGCCTGCCTCTCTGCAAGAATTCTCATCATGATACATTTCAGTCTTACTTTTTGTGTATGTGTGTGTGACAGTGTGAGACTGAGAGTGCTCAGGTAATGGGGTTTTTGGAGAGTCACACTCCTAGTTCACCCAACATTAAACTAAGAATAGAGCTTGTATGAGGGTCCTCCTCCCACCCACTTTTAGAACTACGTCTTCCTGTGAACCCAGCTGCCCCTGGTCTTCCAGGAACCTCAGTTTGGGACATTATCTGGTCTTGATCTCTGAGAATTAATGGCTTCCTTGATATGTGCCTCATTCATCTGGGCTGTGTCTTGTTGAAGAGCAAGCAATATAGATTAATTGATTTGTGCTACTGAGACAATGAGTTTCACCTCCCAAAGTTTTTGCCATTTTGACACTTGGACTTTCAAGACCTTAATCTTAATATTTTGCTTCTTGTCTTTCATGCTTCTTACCTGCTTGCCTTTCTTTCTTAATACAGTTTTTGAGTACTTCAGCTCAAATGCCATGCATTTAATAGACCCTGAGACACAGACTGCCTCCCTCCCCTCACAAACAACGTGGAATATGTGCTGCCATGTTTGTTTTAAAAATAAATAATTTTTAAAAAATATGGAAGCATAACACATTTCATTTCTGAGTCCAATCAATCATCCTCTTACTCATTTGGCAGGAAAGATAAAATCTACTCATCATGTTTGCCTCAATTTAGTATTCTAATAGTGGAATATGTACTTGCTATAGAGTTGGAGAAATCTTTTGAATAGAATAGTTTAGGTGCCCCTCATATTGCATTACTTGACCTACACATTGAGTTAGTCTATACATATTTGCCTTCCAGGCATGAGTAAATCAATTTTCCCTGCCCTGTTATCCCTACTTGTGGTAACCTAGAGTAACTCATTTAGTCTATATTCAGATTGATTGCAAACATTCAAAACATGTCTCCTCCCCACCCCTGACTGCCCATCTTAAATGGTATACCAGTAAGCTCCGACGCCTGCATTCAGGTTAGAATGTCCTAACATGCCCATTAGGGCATCATAGCCAAAAGGCTGTTGTTTACTTCTCATGTTAATTCTCTGGTTTTATGAAGAACTAGTTCCCCATAGATGCATATCTCTGTATAAAGTCATGTTTAAAAAAATCCCCAGTAAGTTATTCTCCCAGTAGAAATTTTGTGGTTTTTATCTCAGTCAGTTTTCCTTTATTTTGTATGTATTATTTTATCCTTATCTTCTAAAGGGAGCGTCAAACAAAATAGACCTGTAAGTCATATCGGCATATGACTCATTTCTCCAAAGTTATCATACTAATTTGATAATACATACTTTCCTACATTAGTATTTGGCTTTCTTTCCTTTATGAAAAGGGAGCTACCTTTATTGTTAACACCTTAAACAGGACTAACTGGTATCTGTTCTCTCTGTTCCCTGGGATTGATGTTGATTCATCACCATAAGCAAAACATAAAATTATAATGCAGCGATGAAGCTAATTCAAACCAAATAAAATAGCAAGTTTATAGTTAACAAAAAGGGTTGGTCAATAAGCATATTTAGTAAAATATATTTGCTTAAAATGAATTATACTGATTATTGTTCTACCATATTTCTATCAAGTTCATACCTATATCTCCTGCCCAGTAAAACTGAATAATTTTTTTATAAAGAATGTACAGCTCAACAGTTAACTGTTTACTGTATAAGATTTTCTTTTTAAAATAATGTATTTGGCTTATTTTTTTCTTTTAAGGTTTTCTTAAGGTTTAAAGGAACAATTAATATTTTATCTCTTTTTTTGTTAACTTCGGTACAAAAATGCAGTTGATGACTTGACAAAAGGGCTGCATCTATGGCTTGAAGGTGCAGCCCTTTCATCAAGTCATCAACTGTATTTTTGTACTGTTGAATTTCTCCAACAGTGACAAAGGAGAGCATGCTTCCAGCTGGAGCTGAGTCCAAGCACACAGCCACTCCTGCACACGCATGCGTGCAAACAGGGAAGCCCAAGTAGGAGAAGAGGAAAGAGGTTGTAGGGATTTGGGAAGAACCTTGATTATTCCCTGGAGGAAAAGACAAATCTACTTCCCTGAAATCACCCTCGAATCTACTTCCACCCTCAGAACTTAAAATGAACTGCATCCTTTTTTTCATCTTCTTTTCTTCTCCAGTGAATATGATCTCCAAACCCTTATTTTTTCTTTGAACTGTAAAATTTCCACTCATGGACGATGCAACCAACAGATGCAATCTCTGAGAAGATGAAAATTGGGACCTCTTATTATAAAATTGACCTAGCTGGACTCAGGAAACCAGGGAAGAAGTCAATGCAGGCATTTAAAATGTAAAGTTTTTTCTGGTTAAATCTATTTATTTTTCTTGTAGGTTGAGTATTTCTTCCCAGTTTTTCTGCTCTGGTGTATAACAAACAGGTCAAAATTTCCCATCTTTCCTCCTGATAGTAGTTGAATCCTACCTTGCATACTTAATGCATAGTGAAATGGCATCTAGCAGAAATACACACCCCCAAAACACACCACCATTTCATTAGGTGCCCAAAAAATTCTGTATTTAGCTTATTTATTTATTGTTATTTTTGCTTTTTCTTAACCCACTATATATTGACTGCAAACGAATTAATAAATTATCCCTTCTGGAACTTTTTGGTCTTTTCTTTTTTTTAATGTTTTCACTATAAAAGGTAAGCTGAAACATTGAGAAATTGTTCAAATCAGCATATTTTATAATTCACAACTACAACTTGGTAAATATTTTTACTGTAAGTAAGCACTGAAATAATGAAGTATGATGAGAGGCAGTAGTTTTTAATGCAAAGATGCAAAGTTATAAATTTAAATGTTCAGAGGGGCCAGGGAGGTGACATAAGAATTGTTGCCACTTTTTCAAGAAAAGTCAATTTTTGCTTTTATAAAAATTTTTAATAAAAATTTTAAATAAAAATTCTCCTGATATTTAAATTTCTTAAAATTAATTTTCCAAAGAACACTATGCTGTTCTGCATTGCGTGGGATAAACGATTCTGTGCAATCTCTGGGTGACCTTTTGTGATTTCTTATGTAATAATTGAGAATGTAGTTTTTGTAGTCAGGCAGCCTGGGGTTCAGGTCATGCAGACTCCTGTGGGTCACTGAACAAGTGACTCAACCATACTGTGCTTCATATTCTCACCTGTCACAAGGGATAATAATTGCAATTCTTTCACAGGATTTATGAGGGTTGGATGAGGTAATGTGTATACACAGCTTAGCACATGGACGCATAGTAAGTATCCAAGTACATTTGGTGATGCTGATGGACGTGCATTAGGCAAAAACTCAACTGATGGGGTTTAAATTTGAAACAGGCAAGGAAATACTGAAATGTCTGAGTATAATTGGAATGAACTAGGTTAGGTTTTCTTGGAGGTTACAAATATACACTATATTTTTATAGTTTTTCATTCATGATTTAGGGAATTATATCTAGAAATATATCTGTTTTCTACTCCCTTTTCTATATAGACTCAGCATGCTGATTTTCCATGTGATGCCAGCCTCTGGTGGCTGGCTAGCTTGAGGCCCACTGCAATCTGACAACTGCCTTCTGGAAATTTAGATGTGACCACAGAGCATCAAGAGAGGAGGTGGAAGGGAGAATTTTTCTGTTACTTGTTATGGGTCCTCCTTGTTCCAGAAGTTAGTAATTAAAATAATGGCAATGTTCTATTATTTAAGAAGATGAAAAGAGTGGTGTCTTGGTCATTAATATGTCTCAGCATCTAGAACAGTGCTTGCACATAGCAGAATCTCAATAAATATATGTAGAGTGAATAATTGGAAAGTATCTCTTTAATGATGTCACATAAGATTATTAGGTTCTATCCATATTAAACGACTTTAAGTTTTGCAATGGTGAAGGAATAAAAGAAAATATTTGAGATAAGCCCTGTCCACAGTCCCACAATCACACTTTTTTACATGTCTGTATATAATATACCCAAAGGTTGTGTCTCCATTGTTTAACCCCTTCCTCACCTCTCAGGAATGGGCACAGAGAAGTTTAGCCTAACTCACTGACAATGAAGGCTCTTCAGATCTACATGAAGTTTGAAATGTTTGTCTAGAACTTTATGATATGGTATCTTTATGCATGTAGGTTTTGGAGTAAATAAAACTTAATGTAACCTATCTTGAAATTTGACATTCTGATTTTAATTATTTAAATGTTTAAATCATTTAACAACAACTTCTATTTGGAAATATAATATTCACTTTTATTGGCACAATCACTTCCTGACTACCTCATTCTAACTACAATAATGTCCCCCACATGCTATTACATTTTCTTCCTCAAAATTCACTTGCCATTTTTGTTGCTCATGGATATAAGTGAGTTCGTTGGTTGACTGTTCACATGATCTTAAACACTTAACTGTAATGCACATGTTGTAAGCTATAGAGTGGGCTGGTTATCAAAGCCCGCTTTGTAAATGGTATGGCTTTTTATATTTGTAACTGGTAGTTTTGCTGTTGTTTTGGGTGTTGATCATCATTGATACTAACACAGTCTATAGGCATGGTGGCTTTCTACATTGCTGCTTGAGTGAATTCAATGTCTGCATGTGCTTTTAAATTCTGAGTAAATATTTAGCACAGTTCACTCCTTTCCATGAATTTTCCCTGTCACATATTTCTGCTTAATTTGATTGTATTTTGATATGTTTTAATATTTTGTATACAATTAGTACACTTCCTCTGTGTAATTTTATTTAGAAGTTTTTTGAGCATTAAACCATTAAGCTAGGATAGATGTCATTTGTTCACACTTCCTTGAGATTTTATTTTCAGCAGAATTTTTCTTAAGACACTTATTACTTCCTTGTTTCTCAGACTATAAATGAAAGGATTTAGTAAGGGAACTACTATTGTAAATAAAATAGCAGCTGGTATATCATTACCTCCTTCTTCAAGCAAATTTGGTCTAATGTATAGGAAAAAAATAGATCCATAGAATAATGAAACTGATGAAAAGTGGGATGCACAAGTAGAAAAGGCTTTGGCCCTTCCCTCCTTGGATTTCATTCTGAAAATAGTAAGAAGAATATAGAGATAAGATATTAAGACACTACCTATGGTAAAGACTTGAACTGAACCTGAGAAGATGAATAGAACCAGTTCATTGATGAAAGGGTCAACACAGGAGAGTCTATACAAGGGAAGAGTATCACAGTAAAAGTGGTTGATGTGATTCAATCCACAGAAAACTAACCTAAATACAAGCCCTACATGAATCATGGAATGCAGATTTCCAGCTATGAAGGCGCCTGTGGTCATCTGAATGCAGAGTTTCTTGGACATCATGATGTGGTACTGCAGTGGGTTGCAGATGGCCACATAGCGGTCATAGGCCACTGCTGCCAGAAGAAAGCAGTCTGCAGTTTCCACAGTGCAAAGAAAATAAAACTGTACTGCACATTCATAGAGGGAAATCCTTTTGCCCTCAGAAAAGAAGTTCTCTAACATTTTGGGGGTAATAGCACAGGCACAGCAAGAATCCACAAGAGCCAGATTTCCCAGAAAGATGTACATTGGTGTGTGAAGCCGACAGTGTGTAAATATCAGTGCCACCAAACTAATATTCCCCACCACGGTGATCAGATAGATGGCAAAGAACACCACAAACAGCAGAGTCTTCAGCTCAGGGTGATCTGTAAATCCTGTGAGGATAAACTCATTTTTCATGGTATGATTTTCTTCAACCATTCCTGACCTCTCTGAAAAAAATTGTAGAGGAATAAGGCACTAATTAATAATATGCCACAATTATTGACGTCTCTTTGGCTTAAAAGAAGGAGAGCATCTTCCACAATGTCTCCTCATCTTGCCTGGAATTTGGTGCATGCCCAATTCACTGCGAGAATGAGTCTCCTGAGGCTACTACTTTTGTGGCTATTGGTTGAACATGTTTCTATCATATTTTGAAAAAATATCTGATTGGGTGCACAAGGATGACTTTTGAGGTCTTGAGAGAAATATTGAGAGCACAGAACTTCTCCATATAGTATAGGTAAAGCTGATTCGTAATTTAAGTGTCAGTAATTGGTACCAGTGTTCCCGATTTCAATGTTTGTATATGTAGTGGTTAACAATGTGTTTAAAAGACTATTTTTGTATGCTAATGTTAACAGCAGCATTACCTTCAATAACCAAAACGTAAAAACAACCCAAATGTTCATGGACAGGTGAATGGATAAATAAATTGTGGTGGAATATTACTCAGTCTTAAAAAGGATTGAAATTCTCATACATGTTACAACATGGATTAACCTTGAGGACATAAGGCTGATTGAAATAAGCCAGACACAAAAGGACAAATATTGTATGATTCCAATTACATGAGAAAGCTAGAGTAGTCGAACTTACAGAGACAGAAAGTTGAATGGTAGTTGCCAGGGGAAGGGGTCTACTGGGAGCTATTGTTTAATGGGTACAGTGTTTCTGTTTAGGAAGATGAAAATGTTCTAGAGATAAATGATGGTGATCATTCCACAACAATATTAATGCACTTAATGCTACTGAACTGTACACTTAAATATGACTAAAATGATAAAAGTTATGTTGTGTATAATTTACCCCAATAAAAATATTTTTAAAATACTATTTTCATCTGCCTATTTCAGCAAATTACTATCTCCAATACTAGTGGAATATACACTTAAAAATAAGATGCTCTGGGGGAAAAGGGAATATTTATAAGATATTTATATTCCTGGGAGTTGGGGAGTAAAAGTGTTATGGATGGAAGCTGGGAGAAAAAACAAAACACTGCATTTAAAAAGTCTGGTGAGCACAGTGGCTTATGCCTGTAATCCCAGCACTTCAGGAGGCTGAGGAGGGAGCATCACTTGAATCCAGGAGTTCCAGACCAGCCTGGGCAACATAATGAGGCCCTGTCTCTTAAAAAAAAAAATAAAGTATATAAAATTACCAGGGCATTGTGACATGCTCCTGTAGTGCCAGCTACTGGGGAGGCTGAGGTGAGAGGATTCATTGAGCCTGAGAGATGGGGGCTGCAGTGAGCCATAATAGCATCACTGCACTCCAGCCTGGGTGACACAGCGAGACCCTGTCTCAAAAAAACCAAACCAAAACCAAAAAGCCTCCTATGTTACTAGTGATACTATGAGTAAAACTACTTATGTGCATAAAGAAATTAATGTTATTAAAAGCAATTGGAGAAATCCTGAGTTAAAAATATATTCGGTTGTCTAACTACGTATCAAAAAATTATGAATAAAATGTCAAACTGGGAGATTATCTGCAGTAAATTTGATAAAGTTTCTGTACCTTTGCTATAAGATCTCATACAAATGAGTAGGAATAATTACTAGAAAATAGGTAAAGCCCAGGAATAGAAAAATCTCAAAGAAAAAAACATTTTTAAGTAAATTAAAAATGTTTGATTTTATTACTAATCAGAGAAACACCATTCAGAAACACCTATGAAGCTATATTTATTTTGTATATGAAAATAAGATTAAAAAACTGATAATATTGAGCGTTATCTAGAATATAGTAAAATGGCAACCTAATTGCATTCCTGGTAAATGTATAAATTGGTGTAATCATTAGAAAATAATTTGGTAATAGATTAAAGAAACTCTTAAGGTTCATACCTTTTGATCAGTAAAAATAAATGCATCAAAAAGAAATAACTAAAACTTCAGAAAATATGTACATATAATGATGTTCATTATAATCTCACTCATAATAGTGAAAAATTTAAACACCTAAATGGTAACCAGTTAGTTAACCAGTATGATTAAATAAATGTGAACCATCCATATGAATGTATACTGACAAATATTTTAAATGGTGTTTAGCTATAATATCTATTATAATAAAACCGACATAAAAATATTGCATAAAAACAAAATAAAAAGTTTTACATGCAGTATAACCGGAATTACCAAATAAATATTTACATGTAAATGTAATAGAAGGTAGTACAGAAGCACATCAAAATGTTTTTACTAGTTTTTGCTATGTAATAAAAATTATTGGTCATTTTTTCCTCTTTATATTTTTCTCTATTTTAAATTTTCTATAATAACTGTTCCTCATATTCAGAAAACAATCTTAATTTTAAGTAAAGTGATGTACTCTTACATCTGCTATGTTTTATACTTTGATAAGTCCATAAAAATCATTGGGGATTCAACTAACGTTTTCTGCACTTTACAAATCTACAGTGGAGAACATCACAATGCACTTACTGAACAAGTGCCTGCTTCATTCTCATGGTGATGACATTGGTAGTTACAATAATTGTTTGCTGACAGTCTTGCACGTATCTCAAAACATTAAGGGATATGTTTGCATCTTGTGGTAATGCATTCTTACAGTCCTTTACCTATGAAAGCAGTATCACCTTAGTGTCAACTTCTACTCTTTTGAACATCATGATTCTATGGTATTCCTAGATTCTATGATGATCACATTTTTTAAAATTTGAGAATATTTTTAAAACTTCTGTTACTAACCCCTTAGGTATGTCCTTAAACATGGAGTTCTAACCTGCTGGAGCATGTTTTATTTTGATCTACCTTCATTTATTATAGCTACATTTGGAAGCATATATGCATTGTCCTGATATTGGATGCCTGTTTCATCCAATTACTTTCATCCTGTTACTTTCTTTAAAAGGTAGTTGAGACTGTTCTAGATATTTACAGATTGATAATTTTCTGGATAGTTACCGACCACAAGTACACTCCAAATTTCAGGAACAGAGAAAATGTTTTGGAGAGACATAGAAAGACCTCTTCTATTTTAGTTTCCTGAAAATATTGCTGACTTTTAAATATCAGATTATTTGGGGGATGATATCTTTAGAAACAATATTTTAAAATGAACTTTGAAATGTATATAAATATACTTTGAATACTTTTTCATTAACTGGTTACTCTTGCCAGTTTAAAGTCACATAACATAAGATTCCCTTCAGTTTTCTCAGTTGATTATAGTAAATTAAACAGAAATAAGGTTTATATTGGTATTTGATTTCTCTAAGAATCAAAAGAGAAACAAGAACACTCCCTAAAATTATATTGGGGGTTTAAAAGATTGGTTTGAAATTATAGTCCTTGCTCATATAATTTTTTTAATACATAGGGAATGCCCAATACAAACATTTTCAACACTATTTCATTGTAGAGGTTACCACGTTATTTAAAGAAGTTTAAAAATCTTCCCTAATGTATTCTGTTATTACTACAAAAGTATGCTCTTATTTATTTTTGGATCAGTGTAGGCTCCTCTTGAATTCATAAGTGATACAAATGAATGATAGTAAATTGTCTAGAGTTTACACAATAGACTTTAGATTTAGAAAAAGAATATAAGAATCCGAAAAAATTGAAAAGTTGGAAACATAAGGAAAAAGAAAACCATAAATAACTAAAAGAAAACATGTTTCAGGATATCAATTTTTCTAGTTTCTAATTTAATAATGTGTTAAATTCTCACCTCGATATTCCTGATAAGAGTTATATAGAGACCAGTTGGTTGCCTGGTATTAGTTTTTAAATTAGATGCAGCAATTAAACTATCTTCTTGATCATTTAGGAGAATATATGCACAATGAGATCAATGTTAATATTTATGTTGTTGCAGAGAATGACCCAACTATTCAAAATAATTCTAAGAGGATTTATTTGGCATTGACATCAAAGTATAGCCTAAGAGACTTAATCTTCTGAACATTACAAACATACTAAATTGGATTAATTAGCATATCCTTTGAGACCTGGAGAATAAGCCAAAAGCTGATTAATAAACAAATTTTAAGGGCCATATTTTGATTTCCATTCATTTGAGCTTATGCCACTTATCCTTATCATCAATCTGAATATAAAATCCTTAGTGGGAAAAAATATTCATACTGGAGAGGTCAGCAAAGGCTTCATGGAGGAATTGGAAACCAGGATTTGTTGCCTTAGAGGGGAGATTGCTTTTTGTGAGCAGAGGTTGGAAATTAACACATTCTCCATATTTTTTTCTTTGGTTAGTGATAGTATTTTATTTCAGGAGCTCTGGCCTTACTGTAATTTTTAAAATGTATTTTTTAATCGGCTCATAAAAATTGCATATCCTTATGGCATACAACATGATGGGTTAATATATGTATATATTGTGGAATGGCTAAATCAGGCTCATTAACATGTATTGCCTAAACACTTATTATTTTTGTGTGAGTGATAACATTTAAAATTTATATTCAAATATTTTCAAGAAATCAATACATTGTTTTAACTATAATCACCATATTGTACAAAAGTCTCCGGAACTAATTCCTTCAGTCTAACTAAAAGTTTGAATCATTTGAGCAATATCTACCCACTTCACTGTCCAACCGTTCATAACCACTCCACTGTACTCTGCTCTATGAGTTTGACTATTTTTAGATTCCACATATAATCAGATTATATGGTACTTGTCTTTCTGTGTCTGGCTTATTTCCCATAACCTAATGTCCTCCAGGTTCATCCATGTTGTTGCAAATGACAGAATTTTCTTCTGTTTTAAGCAGAATAGTATTCCACTGGGTATATTTATGATGTTTTCCTTATTAACTCGTTTGTTTATGAACACTTAGGTTGATTCCATATCTTGGCTATTATAGATAATGCTACATGGTTATAGGAGTGTAGTTTTTTTTGACATATGGATTTTATTTCCTTTGAATATATACCCAGTAATGAGATTGCTGGTTAATATGGAAGTTCTATTTTTAATTGTTTGGATTTGCCTCTATATGTTTTTCACAATGGCTGTATTAATTTTAATTACCATTAACAGTGTGCAAGGATTCCATTTTCTCCATATCCTCACCAAACCTTGCTATCTTCTGTCTCTTCAATGATAGTCATTCTGATAGATGGAAGGTCATATCTCTTGGTTTTAACTTGCGTGTATCTGATGATAGTGATGTTGAGCAATTTTTTATATATCCATTATTCATTCCTTTGAGAAATGTCTATTCAGGTCCTTTGTCCACTTGTAAAATCAAGTTGTTTTCTTACTGTTGAGTTATTTGGGTTCCTTATGTATTTTGGATATTAATCCCTTATCAGATGTGTGGTTTGCAAATATTTTCTCCCATTTTGTGGGTTTCCCTTCATTGTATGCATGCTTCCTTTGCTGTGCAGCAGCTTTTTAGTTTAATGTAGTCCTATCTGTCTATTTTTGCTTTTGTTGTCTGTGAGTTAAAGGTTATATCCAAAAAATTATCATCTAGACCAATGTCAAGAAGCTTTTTTCCTATATTTTCTCCTAATAACTTTATGGTTTCAGGTTCTACATTTAAGTAATAACATTTTGAGTTGATTTTTGAATATAGTGTGAAATAATGGTTTAACTTTATTTTTCTTCATGTGGGTATTTACGTTTCCCAACACATTGAATAGAGGACTGTCCTTTCCCCATTTTATGTTCTTTGCAATTTCATTAAACAGCAATTGATCTTAAATGCATGGATTTATTTCTGGGCTTTCTATGCTATCCTACTGGCTTACATATGGAATGTCAGTACTATGCTGTTTTGATTTGTAGTAAATTTTGAAATGGGGCCAGTTTTGATCTTTTTGCTTTAGACTGCTTTTGTCATTTGAAATTTTTTATGTTTCCCTTGTAATTTAATAATGTTTTCTATTTCTGTGAAAAATGTTATTAAAATTTTAATATTTCGTTGAATCTGCAGATAGTTTTGAGTTGTATGGACATTTTCACAATATTAATTCTTCCAATACATAAACATGGGATGCCTTTTGTTTTATTTGTGTCTTCAATCTCTTTTATCAATGTTTAATAGCTTTCAGTGTACAGATTTTTTGCCTCACTGGTTAAATTTATTCTTAAGTATTCTATTTTCATTTAATGTTATTTTAAATGAGATTATTTTCTTGGTTTCTTTTTCAGATACTTTGTTGTTACTATTATATAGAAATAGTAATTTTTGTATGTTGATTTTGTATCCTGCAAATTTTTGGAATAATTTATTAATTCTAGTGGTTTTTTGGTGGAGTCATTAAAGTTTTCAATACTTAAGACTATGTCACCTTCAAATACAGAAAATTTTACTTCTTCCTTTCCAATATAAATACATTTTATTGGTTTTCTTGCCTAATGTCTCTGGCTAGGACTTCCAGTTCTATTTTGCATACAGGTAGTGAGGGTGGACATTCTTGTCTTGTTTTTTTATCTTTCAGAAAAAGCTTTTAGTTTTTCATGCTGAGTATGATGTTACCTCTGGGTTTGTTCTATATGGCCTTTATTATTTTTAGGTACATTTCATCTATATCTAATCTCTTGAGAGTTTTTATCATATGAAAGCATGTTGAATTTTGTCAAATGCTTTTCTGCATATATTGAGATGATTTTTTTAAACTCTCTCATTCTGTTAATGTGGTATATCATATTTGTTGATTAGTATGTCAATCTTCTTTGCATCCCAGGGGAAAATCACACTTAATCATGGTGTGTGACCCTTTTAATATGCTGTGTGGTATTCAGTTTGCTAGTATTTTGTGGAGGACTTTTGTGTCTATGTTCGTCTGGGAGAGTAGCCTTGTAATTTTTTTTCCCTGAAAAGTCCCAATCTTGCTTTTACCAGTATAATGCTGGGCTCATAAACTGTGTTTGGAATATTTCCCTCTCTTTAATTTTTTTGAAAAGTTTGAGAAAAATTAGCATTAATCGTTCTTTAAATTTTTTCCTAGAACTCACCAATGAAGCTATCAATTTGTGGACTTTTTTCATTGTAAGTTTTCTGATTACTGATTCAATCTCTTTACTTGTTATTGATCTGTTGAGATTATTTCTTTATGATTCAGGCTTGGTAAGTGTTATGCTCCTAAGACTTATATATCCATTTCTTCTAGGTTAACCAATTTATTTATATATATATATATATAATCATTCATAACGGTCTCTTTTGATGCTTTGTATTTTTATGATACCAGTTGTAATGTCTCCTCTTTTATTTATAATTTTATTTTTGTGAGTCTTCTTTTTATTTTTCTTAGTCTAGCTAAAGGTTTCTTGATTTATCTTTTCAAAAACAACTCAGTTTCATTAATATTTAATATTTTTTTCTAGTTTTTGTTTTATTTATTGATGATCTGATATCTATTATTTTGTTCTATTTCCTCGAGATGTAAACTTATGATTTTTATTTGAGATCTTTACTCTGTGTTAATATTGGCATTTATTGCTATAAACTTCTCTTAAGAACTGCTTTTGCTGCATCCTATATGTTTAGGTATGTAGTTTCCATTTTCATTTGTCTCCAGATATGTTTTTATTTCTCTTTTGATTTTCTATTTGCCCTATTGGATGCTTAGGAGTGTGTAATCTAATTCCTACGTGTTTGTGTGGATTTTCCAATTTTCTTCCTGTTATTGTTTTCTGGATGCATACCATTGTTGTTGGAAACGACACTTGATATTATTTCAATTTTCTTGAATTTTTAGACTTGTTTGGTGGCCTAACATATAATCTATCCTGGAAAATATTTCATGTGCACTTAAAAAAATAATACTGCTCAAGTATACTGCTGCTGTTGGTTGAAATATTCTGTATATGTCTGCTAGGTTCCTGTGGTCTATAGCGTTGTTAATGTCTACTGTTTCTTTATTGATTTTTTGTCTTAATTATCTGTCCATTGTTGAAAGTGGGGTATCGAAGTCCCTGACTGTTATTATATTGCTATCTATTTCTTCATTCAGTTCTGTTACATTTGCGTTATGTATATTTAAGTGTGTCGTGATTGGTGTATATATATTTATAGTTGTTCCATCATTTTGTTGAAGTGACTTCTTTATCATTATATAATGACCTTCTTTGTGTTTTATATCAGTTTTTGACTTAAAGTCTAATTTGTCTGATAAAAGTTTAGCCACTCTTGCTCTCTTTAAGGTCAATAATTAAGTAATTATTGATAGGTAAGGACCTATTACTATGATTTTTTAGTTGTCTTCTAATTATATTATAATTCCTTCATTTCATTCCTCTTCTTTTGTCATCTTCCTTTGTAATTTAATGATTTTTTTTGTGGTGGTATGCTTTAATTTCTTCTCTTTATCGTTTGTGTAATCTGCTGCAGGGCTACAGTTGTTGTTGTTTTGTGTGTGTGGGTGTGTGTGTGTATACTTACCATGAGGTGTACATAAAATATCTTATAGCTGATGAGTTTAAGCTGATGACAACTTAGCTTTGACTGCATACAAAAACTATACATTATATTTACTTCTACCCTCACATTTTATGTTGTCAATGTTACAATTTACTTACTTTATATTTTGTGTATCCAAACCTAAATTATAGTAGCTATAGTTATATTTATCCTTTTATCTTTTAACTTCATACTATAGTTAAACGTGATTTGTGTATCACCTTTACAGAATGAGAGTATTCCAGATTTGATTATATTCTTACCTTCACAGTGAGCTTTATATGTTCATATATTTTCATGTTGTTAGGTAGCATTCATTTGTTTCAAGTTGAAAAACTCCCTTTAGCAATTGGGCTTTATTTTTTTTTGTCTGAAAAAGTTATTATCTCATCTTTATTTCTGAAGGATATCTTGCTGAGCATAGTATTCTTTGTTGGTGGTTTTATCCTTTCAGCACTTTGAATGTATCACTCACTCTCTTCTAGCCTGAAATAATACCGCTGAGATATCTACTGATAGTCTAATTGGGCTTCTCTTGCATATAACAAATTGCTTTCCTCTTGCTCCCATCAAAATTCTGGGTTTGTCTTTGACTTTTTGAGCATTTTAATATAACGTGTCTTAGTGCAGATTTCCATATACTTAATGTATTTAGGGTTCTTTGGGATTCATGGATTTGGATGTTTATTCCCTTCTTCAGATTTGAGAATTTTTTTCATCATTATTTTTCTAAATAAGCTTTCTGTCTCATTCTTTTTTGCTGACACTTCTGGATCTTCCATAATGTATATATTGGTTCACTTAATGATGTCCCATAATTTTCATAGACTTTATTCCCTCTTTTTCATTCTTTTTGCCTTCTGTTTCTCTGATTGGGTGATCTCCAATGCAATGACTTTTCTTCAAGCTCACTAATTCATTGTTTTACTTGATTGAGCCTGCTGTTGAACTCTTTGTGGAATTTTTCATGAAGTCATCTAAAGCTCCATAATTCCTGTTTGGCTCTTTTTAATGGTTTCTATTTCTTTAAGTTTCTAATTTTATTTATTGATTTCATTATTACATTTATTTGTTTATCTGTGTTCTCTTGCATCTTACTAAACTTCTTTGTTATTTTCATTTTTTTTAGGCAGTTCATAAGTATCCATTTCTTTAGCGTCCAGTTATTGGTGCTTTATTTTGTTCCTTGGTTAGTCTCATTTCCCTGATTGTTCATGTTCCTTGTGGCTGTGTACTAGTGTCTGTACGTTTGAAGAAGTAGGCACCTATTTCAGTGTTCACAGACTGGCTTCAGCAGGAGATGCCCTTCAGAAGTCAACCAGTCTAGAGATTCTTGTTAGGCCATTTGGTGGCGTTCATGGGTGGGTGGACTTACTGTTGGAGTTCTTGGCAGGTTGGCTTGGAGCTAGCATTCACTGGGATGGGTCAGGATTTTGGATCCATGGGGGGAATTGCCTACATTGTTGGGCTGCAGGGTTTTGCCTGGATGTTGGGTTGTTCTGGGGTGTCCTGGGGCTCTGGATGCCAGCTTAGTCCATGGAGCTGCAGGTGTTATCCTGGAACTGGGTTGGGCATGGAACCTGGGTCTGTAGGAGGTTGGGCTGGAGTCATGGGTTTTGCAAACAGGTCTGTCACAGGGGTTGGCTTGAAGCTTGGGGCCGCAGGAGCTGGCCTTCTGATGTGGTGGGCCTGCAGTCTAGGGCTTCAGGGTTGGCCTGATACCTGGGTCCCTGCATACTTACCTGGAGCCTGAAGTTGCAGGGGCCAACCTGGCATGGATGTCAGCCTGAAGTGCGGGACTACAGATAGGGGCATGGCACAGGGATGAGCCTGAATTCATGGGCTGTGGGTGCTGGTCTCATCTGGGTCTGCAAGGGCTGGCCTGGTTCTAGGGTAGGTCTGAGACCTTGGAATGAGAAGCAATAAGTAAATGAGGCCAGCCTGGAGGCTCAGCTCCTGTGTACTGGATGGGAGTCTGAGGTCATAGGGGATGGCCAGGCCCTTGCATCCATAGTAAATTTGGGTAATTATTTCAATCTCCTTTCCCCAAGCAGAGTCTACCTCTCTCATAGCTGTGCATATCATGCAGGCATAGGTATGTGTTGGGAGGGCGTGACGTGAGACATATGAAATTGTTCTTTTTACTCTCTTTAATCTGTCTTATTTCTGTTTTATGCCCATGTTCTGTAACCTTCAACCTGGTTTCCTTAGTTCTTGTGAAGGTATTTTCATGCATGGATAGTTGTTCTAATAGATGTTTCTCCTAGGAGACAAACACTAAAAAGTCTTATTTCATCATTTTGGTCTACCTTCAAGCTTTATCTTCTAATTCTTAATTTTTTTTTAAAAAAATCTGCTTTTTATAATTTAACATTTCAAATTTTTTAATATTAAGTTTCACTTCTATATTGCTTCTATTCTTGTATTTTGAATGCTACAAATTTTTAATTTGTTTGTGATATGATTACTTTTGGAAATTTTATTTTGTTGTCTGATTTGCCTCTTTTTCTCAAAGTATTTTTCTTTCTTTCCTTTTTGTTTTAAAAAAAAGTTTGCTTGTTTTCCCATGAGATCTATGAAGCCCTTCTATGTCCAGGACTCCTGTGGGGTTGATTCAGGCTGTCAAGTGTCTATTGTATTGAATTCCTCTAGCTACCAAATCCTTTTTCTTTCATCCCTTCCATAAGAATTGACTCCAAGAGCATTCCCTATTAAACATCCACACACTAAACTCTATATAACATCTTATTGCTCTTGAAATCCAATCACTGACAATTAGTTTTGAGAGAGATTGTTTTGGCATAAGAAGGAGAATATATTTTTCATTTCTGGTATGGCCCCTACTTGATTAAGCCCCTCTAGAGAGAGATGTGAGGCAGAACTTAAAGTCTGCATGAAGGATCTGCTGAAACTGTCAGCAAAGGCTGAGGGCCAATCTGCTTATGGAATATCTCAAAGATATTTTAATGAGATTATAGTTTTAAGAAAAGTTTGATGATCATGCCTCATATTGGAATTATTTGTGAAAAAATATATTTTGACGAGCCATCAAGTTGCCAGTATTATACCATTTTTTTGGTTAACAAAAAGGTTTCATATGGGTTAGTCTAAAACATTTTAGCTTCTTGAGTACAAGTTTTACTCTTTCAAGTTGACACCAGGTCTTATTTAATTTTTGTTTTAACTCAGCACCTACCTTAATGCTTCACATATTGCAAACCTCAGAAGTGGGTTGGCTGAATAAAGGAATAGATCTTGCACATATGGAAAAAATAAAAATAAAAGAAAAAGTCTTCTGAATTGATTAAATTAATGGAAAAACAGTAAACAGGGAAATAGTCAGATAGCATAATAAGAAAGGAGTGATGTTTTACATCAGTCTTAGGTGAAAATTGGAATTGCCATTTATATGTTATCTCCAGGGAAGGTGAGCAGAGGCCATGTGGAAAAATATTTGTACCATATAATACTCTGAACTTACCCAACTTAGCACTGTAAGAAGTATAGACAGGAAAAGAGCAGCAGAAACCAGAAGCTTAGCGTAAGATAAATTTTGAAGAAATAAAAATGACTGATCTTTGCTACTACCTAGGAAACTACAAAGTTCTTGGTTAGGCAGAGCCAACATGGAAAGATTCAGGTATAAGTTGCAGGCTGTATGTTTAATGTTTAATAGAATGAATAATTAGTAAATGTTTCTTTAAGAAATATTAAAAAACAAATTGTCATTATAGAGTCTTAAGGTTTTTATAATTATTTTAAAAATTACCTTTAAAATTCAGTTTTCTGAAGTTTTGAAAGTGGGTTATTCATTAACTACCAAGGACCAAGGAGGATGAATACATTTTGATAGTATCGGGACAATATAAATGTTTGTAGGAAAATGTAACCTCTTCTACTTGTGACTCAAGAGCTACAGAAAATGGAACTAAGTTATGAATATATGTATTATGTATATGCACATGAGATATCTTTTGAATACAGGTAGTTAATTTATTGTATATTTTTGTTGTTTTTGTATCACCCCATACATTTTTTCTTGCTATAATTTAGTACGTATCTTTTGAAGAAAGGAATAAGTTCAGCCCACTAACAAGGCTATTCCCTTTGAAAAAGAAATAGAAAATTATATTTTCAAATAGTTAAAATTTTATTATTTATTTTAAATTTTATTTAAATAAACACATTTATGAGATTTCAAATGATAGAAGTAATTCATCATAATATCAGTTTTAAATCTTTGAAAGACAGGCAAGACTGACACATCAAAAGGTAGAATAAGGTCTTTTATTTGCTCTGATACAGAAACAATTTCCTAGTATTACATATAACTTTTTTCTCCTCCTGTACATAATCTTAATACAGTCCCATCTTAATATATTACAATTACTACCTGAGAGTTATATTAAACTGAAAAATTAATATTTCAACAGTTAGTATGACTCTAGAGTTGAATGGGCTATAGCTATTACATTCTACTTCTCAAATGTTTAATCAGCATCACTTATGACCCAACATTTAAAATTGTGTTAGCTGGGCATGGTGGCTCGCACCTGTAATCCCAGCACTTTGGGAGGCTGATGCAGGTGGATCACTTGAGGTCAGGAGTTTGAGACCAGCCTGGCAAAAATGGTGAAACCTTGTCTCTCCTAAAAATACAAAAATTAGTCTGGTGTGGTGGCAGGCCCTTGTAATCCCAGCTACTTGGGAGGCTGAGGCAGGATAATTATTTGAACCCAGGAGGCAGAGTTTGCAGTGAGCCAAGATCACACCACTGTACTCCAGCCTGGGCAATGGAGTGAGACTCAGTCTCAAAATAAATAAATAAATAATAAAATAAAATTAAATTAAATGTTGAAATAGGCTTGCTGATAAAGCATACTTGTACAAATAAACAGGGCCAACTCTAGAGCACTTTTCCTGAGCTGGAAATGTGTAGGAATTGAAGACTAATATGATCTGAAGGGGCATGATCTGTGGAAGGGAGATATATGGTGTCCCCAGAGATGAATGTATAAAATAAATATTCTCGAGTCTACCAAACTTTGGATACTCAGTTAGTTGGCAATTCATCCTGGATGACAGGAAATGGCATATTAAGATTTAGGTAATACCTCAATAATTAAAATGTAAAAAGAAAGTGTTAGCAACATTAAACATTTCTACAAATTAGTTTTTCTTTTTTGAAAATAATGGCAGACAGGAGGCAGGACTAACTTGCAGCTCCCTCTCTGATGGACAGAACAGCATATGGAGACTCACATAGTGAGTCCAAGAACTCCAAGAACTAGCACAGGAACATACGAGGAAAACTGAAAGAATCCACAGACCTTTTGAAAGAAGTAGCTTGCTGATGCAAACTTTGTGAAACAGCTGAAAAAGTGTGAGTGCCCAAAGTGTGAGTGGGGAAGGTCCACCTCCTAACACACATCCTCACATCCTCACCGGGGAACCTGAAAACCCAGATCATGGGAGAAGAATTTAACCTTACCTAGAGCTGAAAAGAATTTAGAGAGCTGAACAAAATATAAAAGTAGAAGAAGTACTGAAAAAGCCCTGTAGGTATTCCTGGTTCGCAGGGAAGCCATTTCTGACTTTATCTCACTGAAGTCACTGGGTAGGACTGCCAGTGGAATTGGGGAAGGACAGGTAGAAGAAAACTTTCAGCTGAACTTTGTAATAATTTTGACCAAGTGCAAATTTTCCTGGGCAGAATCCTGGGTGGAGGGAATGGGAAGTACAGACAGGAGCACAGAAGCTGTGGCAGGTAAGGAGGGGTGGGGCCTGAAAGCCCTGCTTGCTTTCTCAGCTAGAAAACATGCAGCCTGGGGCAATATCCCAGCACTGTTCGTTGGCTGCCTGGATATAAACTAGGTGCTATTGGTGGGGTATGGTGGGATTGAGACTGTCCTTGCTGGCTGCATAGGAGACGAGTGAGGCTTGTCATTGCCAGCTTTCTCCACTTCCCTGAGAACCTGTATGATGCAACAGAGGCAGACATTATGCCCCTGGGAACATAGGTCCATTGGCCTGAGAACCACACCCCCATCACCCACAGCAGCTGCAGCAAGTCCCACACAAAGAGAGTCTGAGCTCAGACACCACTAACCTGCCCCTACTTGATGGTCTTTCTCTACCCACTCTGATAGCCAAAGAAAAAAGATACTATCTTTTGGAAGCTCTGTGGCCCTGCCCATCACTTGAGAAACCCAAATATTTATCCAAGTGACATTAGAGCAAGCTTGTATCTCCCCTATACTACTGCAGTTGATGCTGTCTTGAAACTGCCATCTCCTGGCTGGAGGCCAACACACTCAAGTGATTATATCAACTCATAAAAGAAAAGTCCTGCTCCAGGAAATGAGAAAACAACAGCTAATTCCACCACCGAAACATCCTGGCTAACCAGAGGTCCTGAGTCTGTCCAGGTACAACTTCACTGCTAGCACAACCAACATTCAAGAAAATCAGCACACTAAAAACTACAACCATGGACCCTCAAAGAGTCTACTTCATATCCCTGCTACCACCACTGGCCCAGGTGCTGGTATCCACAGCTGAGAGACTTGAAGATGGATCACATGACAGGACTCCTTGCAGACACTCTTCAGTACCAGCCCAGAGCTCAGTAGCGCTGCTGGGTGGCTAGACCCAGAAAAGCAGTGACATCCACTGCAGTCAGAATCTCAGGAAGCCCCATTCCTAAGGGAAGGGGGAGAGCACACATCAAGGGATCACCCTGTGGGACAAAAGAATCTGAATATCAGCTCTTGAGCCCCAGATCTTTCATTTGATATAGTCTACTCAGATAAGAAGAAACCAGAAAAACAATTCTGGTAATATGACAAAGCAAGGTTCTTTAGCACCCCCAAAAGATCACACTAGCTCACCAGCAATGGATCCAAACCCAGAAGAAATCTCTGAATTGCCAGAAAAAGAATTCAGAAGGTCGATTATTAAGCTATTCAAGGAGGCACCAGAGTAAGGTGAAAACCAACTTAAAGAAATGAAAAAATAACACAGGATATGGATGAAAAATCTCCAGAGATATAGGTAGCATAAATCAAAAACAATCACAACTTATAGAAATGAAAGACACACTTAGAGAAGTGCAAAATACACTGCTAACTTTCAAAAATAGAATTAAACAAGTCAAAGAAAGAACTTCAGAGCTTGAAGACAAGGCTTTTGAATTGCCTTTGAACAAGGCTTTGAATCTGACAAAAGAAAAGGAATAAATGAAAAATGACCAAAGCCTCCAAGAAGTTTGTGATTATGTTAAGCAATGGAACCTAAGAATAATTGCTGCCCCTGAGGAAGAAGATAAATCTAAAAGTTTGGAAAACTTATTTGAGGGAATAATCAAGAAAAATTTCCCTGGCTTTGCTAGAGATCTAAACATTCAAATACAAGAAGCTAAAAGAACACCCTGGAAGTTCATCACAAAAACATTTCATCACCTAGGCACACATTCATTGAGATATTTAAAGTTAAGATGAAGGAAAGAATATTAAGAGCTATGAGGCAATACATCAGGTAATCTATACAGGAAAATCTATCAGATTAACAGATTTGTCAGCAGAAATCCTTCATGCTAGAAGGGATTGGAGTCCTATCTTTAGCTTCCTTAAAGCACTTATCAGCCAAGAATTTTATATCCAGCAAAAGTAATCTTCATAAATGAAGGAAAGATACTGTCTTGAAAATTAATAAGGATATTCAAGACTTGATCTCAGCTCTGGACCAAGCGGACCTAATAGACATCTACAGAATTCTCCACCCCAAATCAAGAGAATATACATTCTTTTCAGCACCACATAGCACTTATTCTAAAATTGACTACATAATTGGAAGTAAAACACTCCTTAGCAAATGCAAAAGAATGGAAATCACTCACTCAAAACCACATGACTAAATGGAAACTGAACAACCTGCCCCTGAATGACTACTGGGTAAATAATGAAATTAATATGAATTAAAATGAAGAAATAAATAAGTTCTTTGAAACCAATGAGAACAAAGACAAAATGTACCAGAATCTCTGAGACACAGCTAAAGCAGTGTTTAGAGGGAAATTTATAGCACTAAATGCACACAGGAGAAAGTGGGAAAGATCTAAAGTCAACATCCTAACATTACAATTAAAATAACTAGAGAAGCAAGAGCAAACAAATTCAAAAGCTAGCAGAAGACAAGAAATAACTAAGATCAGAGGAGAACTGAAGGAGATAGAGACACGAAAAACCCTTAAAAAATGAATGAATCCAAAAGCTGGTTTTTTGAAAAGATTAACAAAATAGGTAGACCACCAGCCAGACTAATAAAGAAGAAATAGAGAAGAATAAAATAGACACAATAAAAAATGATAAAGGGGATATCACCACTGATCCCACAGAAATAAAAACTATCATCAGAGAACACTAAAAACATCTCTATGCAAATAAACTAGAAAATCTAGAAGAAATGGATAAATTCCTAGACACATACACCCTCCCAAAACTAAACCAGCACAAAGTTGTATCCCTGAATAGACCAATAACAAGTTCTGAAATTGAGGCAGTAATTAATAGCCTACCAACCAAAAGAAGCCCAGGACCAGATGGATTCACAGCCTAATTCTACCAGAGGTACAAAGAGGCCCTAGTACCATTCCTTCTGAAACTATTCTAAACAATAGAAAAAGAGGGACTCCTCCCTAATTCATTTTATGAGGCCAGCATCCTCTTGATACCAAAACCTGGCAGAGATACAAGAAAAAAAATAAATAAAATTTTAGGCCAATATCCCTGATGAACCTCGATGTGAAAATCCTCAAAAAAATACTGGCAAACCAAATCCAGCAGCACATCAAAAAGCTTATCCAACACGATCAAGTCGGCTTCATCCCTGGGATGCAAGGCTGGTTCAACATATGCATATCAATAAATGTAATCCATCACATAAACAGAACCAATGACAAAAACCACATGATTATCTCAATAGATGCAGAAAAGGCCTTTGACAAAATTCAACACCTCTTCATTCTAAAAACTCTCAATAAATTAGGTATTGATGGAACATATCTCAAAATAATAAGAGCTATTTTTGACAAACCTGCAGCCAATATCATATTGACTGGGCAAAAGCTGGAAGCATTCCCTTTGAAAACCAGCACAAGACAAGGATGGCCTCTCTCACCACTCCTATTCAACATAGTATTGGAAGTTCTGGCCAGGGCAATCAGGCAAGAGAAAGAAATAAAGGGTATTCAAATAGGAAGAGAGGAAGTCAAATTGTCTCTGTTTTGAGATGACATGATTGTATATTTAGAAAACCCCATCATCTTAGCCCCAAATCTCCTTAAGCTGATATGCAACTTCAGCAAAGTCTCAGGATACAAAATCAATGTGCAAAAATCACAAGCATTCCTATACACCAATAACAGACAAACAGAGAGCCAAATCATGAGTGAACTCCCATTTACAATGGCTGCAAAGAGAATAAAATACCTAGGAATACAACTTACAAGGGATGTAAAGGACCTCTTCAAGGAGAACTACAAACCACTGCTCAAGGAAGTAAGAGAGAACACAAACAAATGGAAAAACATTGCATGCTCATGGATAGGAAGAATCAATATCGTGAAAATGGCCATAATGCCCAAAGTAATTTCTAGATTTAGTGCAGTCCCCATCAAGCTACCAATGACTCCTCACAGAATTAGAAAAAACTACATTACATTTCATATGGAACCAAAAAAGAGCCTGTATAGCCAAGACAATCCTAAGCAAAAAGAACAAAGCTGGAGGCATCACATGACCTGACTTGAAACTATACTATAAGGCTACAGTAACCAAAACAGCATGGTACTGGTACCAAAACAGTTATGTAGACCAATGGAACAGAATAGAAGCATCAGAAATAATGCCACACATCTACAACCATATGACCTTTGGCAAACTTGACAAAAACAAGCAAGGAGGAAAGGGTTCCCTATTTAATAAATGGTGTTGGGAAAACTGACTAGCCATATGCAGAAAACTTAAACTGGACCCCTTCCTTACACCTTATACAAAAATTAACTCAAGATGGATTAAAGTCATAAACATAAGACCTAAAACCATAAAATGATACCTAGAAGAATACCTAGGCAATACCATTCAGGACATAGGCATGGGCAAAGACTTCATGACTAAAATACCAAAAGCAATGGCAACAAACACCAAATTGACAAATGAGATGTAATTAAACTAAAGAGCTTCTGCACAGCAAAAGAAACTATCACCAGAATGGGCAGGCAACCTACAGAATGGGAGAAAATTTGTGCAATCTATCCATCTGACAAAGGGCTAATATCCAGAACCTACAAGGAACTTAAACAAATTTACAAGAAAAAGAATAAACAACCCTATCAAAAAGTGGGTGAAGGATATGAACAGATACTTCTCAAAAAGAAGACATTTATGTGGCCAACAAACATGAAAAAAGTTCATCATTACTGGTCATTAGAGAAATCCAAATCAAAACCACAATGAGATACCATCTCATGCCAGTTAGAATGGTGGTCATTAAAATGTCAGGAAACAACAAGTGCTGGAGAGGATGTGGAGAAATAGGAACACTTTTACACTGTTGGTGGGAGTGTAAATTAGTTCAACCATTGTGGAAGCAGTGTGGCAATTCCTCAAGGATCTAGAACCAGAAATGCCATTTGACCCAGCAATCCTATTACTGGGAATATACCCAAAGGATTATAAATTATTCTAGTATAAAGACACATGCACACACATGCATATATCTATTGCAGTACTATTCACAATAGCAAAGACTTGGAACCAACCCAAATGCCCATCAATGATAGAGTGGATAAAGAAAATGTGGCAAATAGACACCATGGAATATTATGCAGCCATAAAAAAGGTGAGTTCATGTCCTTTGCCAGGACATGGATGAAGCTGGAAACCATCATTCTCAGCAAACTAACACAGGAACAGTAAACCAAACACTACATGTTCTCCCTCACAAGTGGGAGTTCAAAAATGAGAACACATGGACACAGGGAGGGGAACAGCACACAGTGAGGCCTGTCAGGGGGTTGGGGGGCTAGGGGAGGGATAGCATTAGGAGAACTACCTAATGTAGTTGACAGGTTGATGGGTGCAGCAAACCACCATGGCACATGTATATCTATGCACCACACCTGCACATTCTGCACATGCATTCCCGAAGTTAAAGTGTAATAATAATAATAATAAAAGGAATGGGAAAAAAAGATACTGTCTTTTTTAGACAAACAAATGCTGAGGGAATTTGCCACTTCCATGCCAGCACTACAAGAACTGCTAAAAGGAGTTCTAAATCTTGACATAAAACCTAAAATACATCAAAATAGAACCTCCTTAAAGCATAACTCTCTCAGGGGCTAGAAAACAATAACACAATGAAGGAAACCCCAAGGAATTCAGACAACAACTAGCACTTTGAATAGAATAGTACCTCACATCTCAATAATAACGTGGAATATAAATGGCATAAATGCTGCATTTAAAAGATACAGAATGGTAGAATGGATAAGAATTCACCAACCAAATATCTGCTGCCTTCAAGAGATTCACCTAACACATAAGGACTCACATAAACTTAAGGTAAAGGAGTGGAAAAATATATTCCATGCAAAAGGACATGAAAACCAAGCAGGAATAGGTATTCTTATATCAGACAAAATAGACTTTAAAGCCACAACAGTTAAAAAAGACAAGGAGGGACATTATATAATGATAAAAGGACTAGTCCAACAGGAAAATATCACAATCCAGATGTTTATGCACCTAATACTGGAGCTCCAAAATTTATAAAACAATTACTACTATACCTAAGAAATGAGATAGATGACAACATAATAATAGTGGGGGACTTCAATACTCTACTGGCAGCACTGGACAGGTCATCAAGGCAGAGAGTTGACAAAGAAAAAATGGACTTAAATATACCCTAGAACAAATGGACTTCACAGATATTTACAAGCATTCCACTCAACAACTGCAGGATATACATTCTATTCATTGGCACATGAAATATTCTCCAAGATAGACCATATGATAGGCCACAACACAAGTCTCAATAAATTTAAGAAAATTGAGATTGTATCAAGTACTCTCTCAGACCACAGTGGAATAAAATAGGAAATCAACTCCAAAAGGTACCCTTAAAACCATGCAAGTACATGGAAGGTAAATAACCTGCTACTGAATGATTATTGGGTTAACAAGGAAATGAAGATGGAAATTAAAAAATTATTTGAACTGAACAATAATAGTGACACAACCTATCAAAACTTCTGAGATTCAGCAAAAGCATCCTAAGAGGACTGATCATAGCATTAAATACCTACATCAAAAAGTCTGAAAGAGCACACATAGACAATTTAAGGTCACACGTCAAGGAACTAGAGAAACAAGAACAAACAAAGCCCAAACCCAGAAGAAGAAAGGAAATAACCAAGATGAGAGCAGAAATAAATGAAATTGAAACAATAACAAAAAATACAAAAGATAAATGAAACAAAAAGCTGGTTCTTTGAAAAGACAAATGAAATTGATTGACTGTTAGTGAGATTAACCAAGAAGAGAGATCGAAATAAGCTAATTAGAAATTAAATGGGAGATATTACAACCAATACCACAGAAATACAAAACATCATTCAAGGGTACTATGAACATCTTCACACGCACAAACTAGAAAACCTAGAGGTGATAGATAAATTCCTGGAAATATATAACCCTCTTAAATAAAACTAGGAGGACATAGAAACTCCAAAGAGACCAATGAGAATCAGTGTTATTAAAATGGTAATTAAAAAATTGCCAATAACAAAAAGTCCAGGACCAGATGAATTCACAGCTGAATTTCATCAGACATTCAAAGAAGAATTGCCTCCAATCTTATTGGAACTGTTCCAAAAGATAAAGAAAGAAGGAATCCTCCCTAAATCATTCTATGGAGCCACTGTCATCCTAATACCCAAACCAGGAAAGGACATAACAAAAAAAAAAGAAAAAGAAAATTACAGACCAATATCCGTGATGAACATAGATGCAAAAATCCTCAACAAAATACTAGCTAACCAAATCCAACAGCATATCAAAAAGATAATCCACCATAATCAAGTGGGTTTTATACCAGTGATACAGAAATTGTTTGACATATGCAAGTCAATTAATGATACATCACATAAACAAAATTAAAAACATAAATTCATGATCATCTCAATAGGTGCAGAAAAAGCATTTGACAAAATCCAGCATCCTTTTATTATTAAAACCCTCAGCAAAATCGGCATAGAAGAGACATGCCTTAAGGTAATAAAAGCCATCTATAACAAACCCAGAGCCAACATTATACTGAATGAGGAAAAGTTGAAAGCATTCCCCTGAGAGCTGGAACAAGACAAGGTTGCCCACTTTCACCACTTCTATTCAACATAGTACTAGAAGTTCTAGCCAGAGCAATAAGATAAGATAAATAAATAATGGACATCCAAATCAGTAAAGAGGAAGTCAAACTGCTGCTGTTCACTGATGATGTGATCATATGCCTACAAAACCCTAAAGACTCCTCCAAAAAGTACCTAGATCTGATAAATGAATTCAGTAATATTTCAGGATACAGAATTAAGGTACACAAATCAGTAGCACTGCTATACACTGACAGCGATGAAGATGAAACTCAAATCAAGAACTCAACCTCTTTTATAATAGCAGAAAGAAAAACAAAACAAAACAAACAAACAAACACTTAGGAATATACTTAACAAGGAGGCGAAAGACCTCTACAAAACTGCTAAACACTGCTGAAAGAAATCATAGATGACACAAATAAATGGAAACACATCCTGTCTTCATGGATGGATAGAATCAATATTGTGAAAATGACCATACTGCCAAAAGCAGTCTACAAATTCAATGCAATTCCTGTCAAAATACCACCATCATTCTTCACAAAATTAGAAAAAAAAATGCTAAAATTCATATGGAGCCAAGAAAGAGCTGGCATAACCAAAGCAAGACTAAGCAAAAGGAACAAACTTGGAGGCATCACATTACCTGACTTCAAGGCTATAGTCACCAAAACAGAATGGTACTGGTATGAAAATAAACACATAGACCAATGGAACAAAATGGAGAACCCAGAAATAATGCCAAATACTTACAGCCAACTGATCTTCGACAAAACAAAGAAAAACATAAAGTGTGGAAAGACACCCTATTCAACAAATGGTGTTGGGTTAATTGGCAAGCCACATGTAGAAGATTGAAACTGGATCCTCATCTCTTGCCTTATACGAAAATCAAGTCAAGATGCATCAAAGACTTAAATCTAAGATCTGAAACTCTAAAAATTCGATTCTAGAAGATAACATCAGAAAAATCCTTCTAGATATTGGTTTAGGCAAAGACTTCGTGACCAAGAACCCAAAGCAAATGCAACAAAAATACAGATAAATAGATGGGACTTAATTAAACTAAAAATCTTCTGCACAGCAAAAGAAATAATCAGTAGCCTAAACAGACAACCCACAGAGTGGGAGAAAATTTTAACAACTTTGCATCCAACAAAGGACTGATATCCAAAATCTACAAAGAACTCAAACGAATCAGCAAGAAAAAAACAAATAATACCATTAAAGTGGGCTAAGGAATAGATAATTCTCAAAAGAAGATATAAAAATGGCCAACAAACATATGAAAAAATGCTTGACATCACTAATTACCAGGCAAATGCAAATTAAAACCACACTGGGATACCACCTTACTCCTGCAAGACTGCTCATAATTTAAAAATAAAAAAAATTAGATGTTGGCATAGATGTGGTGAAAAGGGAACACTTATGCACTGCTGGTGGGATTGTAAACTAGTACAACCACTATGGAAAGCAGTATGGAGATTCCTTAAAAAACTAAAAGTAGATCTACCATTTGATCTAGCAATCCCCCTACTGTGTATCCACCCAGAGGAAAAGAAGTCATTACATAAAAAAGACACTTGCACACACATTTATAGCGGCACAATTCACAATTGCAAAAATATGGAAACAGCCCAAATGTCCATCAATCAATGAATAAAGAAAATGTATACTATTGAATACTACTGAGCCATAAAAAGGAAACAAATAATGGCACTCACAACAACCTAAATGGAGTTGAAGACCATTATTCTAAGTGAAGTAACTCAGGAATGGAAAACCAAGCATTGTATGTTCTCACTTATAAGTGGGAGCTAAGCTATGAGGACGCAAAGGCATACGTATGATACAATGGACTTAAGGGGCTCAGGTGGAAGGGTGGGAGGGGAGTGAAGGATAAAAGACTACAAATTGGGTACAGTGTACACTGCTCCAGTGATGGGTGCATCAAAATCTCAGAAATCACCACTAAAGAACTTATCAATGTAACAAAATACCTCCTGTTCCCCCAATACCTATTGAAATAAAAATAAAATAGAAATACCTACAAATTAACCCAAGTGTTAATATTTGTATACATAATGAGGTAAAATTATGATATTAACTGATGAGTCAACAAGGAGATTCACGTTATCATGTCATTCAATATGTCAGTTCCTGAAGTGACAATGCTGTCTAGGCAAGTAAGAATTGTCAGAACACAAATATTCCTAAGTGAACCAACCACTTCTAGAATTACTTTCCCCTTAACCATTTCTCCATGCTTCACTCTAGTGTCTATCTTCAGCCATTGTTCCAATATCTCACCCACTGATTTTCTGATACAGTAAACATGCTTGAACTTTAGTGTGAAATGATCTTGAGAAAGATGTGATCGATTTCATGAAGTGGATGAAAATTGTGTTGGATTGCCACTTGAATGAAATGTAAAGCCCTATTGACAAGTAGGTCCTTGCAGACATAAAACAATTAAAATGTGAAAAAAGAACAAATGAGAAAAATATAAACAAATTCAAAAGAGAAAAATCTGTACAATAAAGAAGTGATGCCCCTGTAGTGTCACCGTTTTTTTAAAAAATCAATTATTATTATTATTATTATTATTATTATTATTATTACTATTATTCCTTGAAGTAAAAAGTTAAATAAAGGTTGTTTTGAATTTTCATACTTTAATTTTCTGAAAAATAATACCAAGGAAAATCCTTTATATTTGATTCACTCTTTTTAAAATTTTTAAAAAATTATGTACACATTTGTGATTATAAGTAAACTTTGATTAAGGATGAGATAAAATATTTATAATTTTTAATTTTATTTTTCAAAATATTGTTTTAAACATGTCTGTTTTCCTCTGCATACCATAAAATGAGTCGAGATTTTAAAAATATTCATTTTATCAGATATTTTTCTCCCATAACCAGTAATTCTCAGATAAAGCCTGCCTGTAATTCTGTCTTACCCAATAACTATGCCTGCCGTTTCAGACAGTAACCAGGGCAGTTCACATTTTTTGATATAAGAAAAGGAGGCCAGAGCCATACAACAGTGTTATCCCTCACTTTTTTTTTATTTCTGAGCATACCTTTGATATTCCAGACAGAGAGAATAGACTAAGACAGAGTCTCATTTTTGAGTCCAATTTTACTCCATAAAAGTACATTTGGGAAACATTTGTAATGATGTGAAAACTAAGTATCATCCTAGAATTAAGGATTCAGTCAGTTGGGAAAAAAAGCAACATCAAGAAGGGAAGAGTTCGTGTTGCCTGGAAAAGGTTCTGTGGTTTCAATTCCCAGGGGGTGTCCTGGCATGGGAGTGGGGTGACAATTGCTCAGGGAGGTTTGGTGACCTATGTGCAAAAGGGACCTTCAAAAGGGACCCATGTAAGCTTTCAAAATCCTACATTGTACTGGTATTGTGTAGCATCGGAAGTGCAAAAATGATGCATTTCAACATTTCCTGGACCCACTGGGAAGAGGTCAAGAGAATTTACTCAGAAATTAGCAGATGAAGAGTAAGAGAGAGAGAGCCAGCCAACCCAAAGCCTTGTGGGTTGGATAAATAGACATTTTAGCTGAAAATCAATGCAGCCTGAGGAGTAGACATGGACGTAGATACCTGAAGTGATGGTGGCATGAAGAAATAACCAACGGGTCAAATAGGCTCAAACATCTCACAGAATCATAGCTTGGACAGAGCTCATATATAATCTGGCACCTGTGCTCAGTGCCATGATACCAGGCAAGGACCTATATGTGATGAAGGAAGGATGTAGGTAGTGTTGGGTAAATCCTAAATTGATGGAATTTAATTTGAAACAAACAAGATCTTCACATGTCCAAGTATAATTGGAATGAACTAGGTTAGATTTTCTTGGAGGTTACAAAGAAAAACTAGGTGGTTATATTTTTGCATTGATGAGTTAGGGAATTGGAAATTCATCTGCTCTCCTATTACTTTTTCTGTACAGACTCAGCATATTGATTTTTCCTGTGATGCCAGCCTCTGGTGGCTGGCTAACCTGGAGCACTTGACAATTGCTTTCTGGGAATTTAGACAGGTCCTCAGAGCAAGAGGTGGAAGGGAGATGTTTTTCTATTATGTGACATAGGTCCTTCTTAATCCAGAAGTTAGTAATAAAAATTGTGGCAATATTCTATTCTTCGAGAAGATGGAAAAACTGGCATTTTTTGTAACTGATATGGCCCAACACCCAGAACAATGCCTACCTATAGCAGGATTTCAATAAATATATGTTGAGTGAATAATTGGAAAGTAATTTTTAAAATGATATCACATTAAGATCATTACTCTACCCACAATACCAACTTCAGGTTTTGCAATAGTGAAAAGAAAAAAAAATTAGATAAACTCTACCTACAGTTTAACAACACTATGTTTTACATTTCTATATATAATATACCCAGGGTAGTGGTCTCTATTGTTGAAACCTTTCCTCACCTCTCAAGTAGGAGCACAGAGACATTGCACCTAACTCACTAACAAAGAAGCTCTTCAAATCCTACATGAGGTTTGAACTGCTTTTCTGGAAGTTTGTGTTATGGTATATTTATGCAGGTAGATATGGGAGTAGATAAAACTCTCTTAATGTAGCTTGACTTGAAAATTGACATTCTGTGTTTAATATTTAACTCAGTAATAATTTAAATTTGGAAATCTGATATTCACTATTATTTGACACCTTCGTTTTCCTAATACTTCCTTTCTAACTACAGTAATGTCCCCATAATGCTATTAAAATTGATTTCTCAAAATTCGCTTGTCACAATTTTGTTGCTCATGGATGTAAGTGATTTTACTGGTTGACCATCATATGATCTTAAACTCTTTCAGTTTAACCATAATGCTCATGCTCTAAGCTATTAAAATAACTTATCTGGTTATCAATGCTTAATGGAATGGTCCTTTGAACTTGTAACTTCCAGTTTTGCTGTGTTCTTTTGGATGCTTATCATCCCTGATGCCAACACAGACCAAGAGCTTGACAACATACTACATTGTTACTTGAATGAGTTCAAAATTAGAATTTCATTTTTGTTATTTTGAATTAAGATTTACCACAGTTTACTCTTTTTTGTATATTCTACCCTTACCTCTTGCCACTTAATTTGAATGTATTCTTATATATTAAAATTTTACTTATAATTTATGCATTTCCCCTGTGTAATTTCACATGGAAGTTTTTGCTGCATTTAAATCATTAAGCTATAGTAGATGTCACTTGTTTCCATCTTTCTTGAGATTATTTCTTCATCAGAATTTTTCTTAAGACACTTATTACTTCCCTATTTCTCAGGCTATAAATGAAAGGATTTAGTAAGGGAACTACTATTGTAAATAAAATTGCAGCTGGTATATCTTTATCCCCTTCTTCAAGCAAATTTGGTCTAACGTACATGAAGAAAAGAGATCCATAGAATAATGAAACTGACAAAAAGTGGGATGCACAGGTAGAAAAAGCTTTGGCCCTTCCCTCTTTGGATTTCATTTTGAAAATAGTAAGAAGAATATAGAGATAAGATATTAAGACACTACCTATGGTAAAGACTTGAACTGAACCTGAGAAGATGAATAGAACCAGTTCATTGATATAAGGATCAACACAAGAGAGTCTATACAAGGGAAGAATATCACAGTAAAAGTGGTTGATGTGATTCGATCCACAGAAAACTAACCTAAATACAAGCCCTACATGAATCATGGAATGCAGGTTTCCAGCTATGAAGGCCCCTGTGGTCATCTGAATGCAGAGTTTCTTGGACATCATGATGTGGTACTGCAGTGGGTTGCATATGGCCACATAGCGGTCATAGGCCATTGCTGCCAGAAGAAAGCAGTCTGCAGTTTCCACAGTGCAAAGAAAATAAAACTGTACTGCACATTCATAGAGGGAAATCCTTTTGTTCTCAGAAAAGAAGTTCTCTAACATTTTGGGGGTAATAGCACAGGCACAGCAAGAATCCACAAGAGCCAGATTTCCCAGAAAGATGTACATTGGTGTGTGAAGCCGACGGTGTGTAAATATCAGTGCCACCAAACTAATATTCCCCACCACGGTGATCAGATAGATGGCAAAGAACACCACAAACAGCAGAGTCTTCAGCTCAGGGTGATCTGTAAATCCTGTGAGGATAAACTCATTTTTCATGGTATGATTTTCTTCAGCCATTCCTGACTTGTCTGAAAAAAAATTGTGGAGAAAGAAGGCACTAATTTATAATATGCCACAGTTATTTAGGTCTCTTTGGCTTAAAGGAAGGAGAGCATCTTCCACAATGTTTCCTCATGTTGCCTGGACTTTGGTGCATGCCCCATTCATGGGGAGAATGAATTTCCATAAAGGAATTACCTCTTTGGCTAGTGATGAAACATATTTTCAGTACCTTTTAAAATCATTTTTAAACCATTTTAATAGTACCTAATAGTAGTTTTTCAGTCTCTCTGTCCTTCCACCCTCCACTGTCAAGTAGGCCCCACTGTCTGTCGTTCCATTCTTTCTGTACATGTGTACTCAGTGTTTAGCTCTCACTCATAAGTGAGAACATGCAATACCTGGTTTTCTGTTCCTTCATTAGTTTGCTTAGGATAATGGCCTCCAGCTCTGTCCATGTTGCTACAAAGGACATGATCTCATTCTTTCTTATGGCTGCATAGTATTCCATGCTGTGTATGTACCACATTTTCTTTATCCAGTCAATTGTTGATGGGCATTTAGGTTGATTCCATGTCTCTGCTATTGTGAATATTTCCAGCACATTTTGAGGAAGAAATACATCAGATTATCTTCACAAAGATGGGTTTTGAGGTCTTGACAGAAAGATCCAGAGAACAACACTTCTCTATATGGGTTAAGTAAAGCTGATTCATAATTTAAATGTCAGCAATTAGTATCAACATTCCCCAAAATTTCAATGAATATATATGTACTGATTAACAATGTTGTTTAAAAGAGTATTTTTATATGCCAATGTTAATAGCAGCATTATTCATAATAGTCAAAAGGTGGAAGCAAACCAAATGTCCAAGGATGATGAATAAATAAATGGTGGTATATACATATAATGGAACATTATTCAACCCTAAAAAGGGAAGAAATTCTGACATGTTACAACATGGATCAACCTTGGAGACATAATGCTAATTGAAGTAAGCCAGTCAAAAAAGGACAAAGATTCTGTTATTCCATTTACAGGTACCTAGAGTAGTCAAATTTATAAAGACAGAATATAGAGTGGTGGTTGTTAGTGGGAGGTGGGCACAGGGAGCTATTTCTTAATGGTTACAGAGTTTCAGTTTGGGAAGATAAAGTTCTGGATGAGTAGTGGTGATGGCTGTATTAATACAACATTGCAAATGTATTTAATTCTATTGAACTACACTCTTAAATATGGCTAAGATGATAAATTTTATGTATTTTCTATCACAATAAAAAATTTAAATGCCTATTTTCAGTTGTATATTCTTAGTAATTAACTATCTCCAATACTGCTGGAGTGTACACTTAAACATAACATGCTTTGGAAGCAGGCTATTTTTAAGGTATTTTTACCCCTCTGGGGTGGGGAGGAAAAGGAATGTGGACGGAAGTGGGGAGGAGACAGAGAGATTAGGGGAAATGAGAAAAAATGCCTATACTAGAAACCATCCAGGTTATTTATAATACAATTTATGCATACAATTAAGAATTATTCATGTGTGCATGAAATTTAAATGCTATCAAAAATTCAAGAAAAAGGTTAAAAACTGGAAGCATTCCCTTTGAAAACTGGCACAAGATAGGGATGCCCTCTCTCACCGCTCCTATTCAACATAGTGTTGGAAGTTCTGGCCAGGGCAATCAGGCAGGAGAAGGAAATAAAGGGTATTCAATTAGGAAAAGAGGAAGTCAAATTGTCCCTGTTTGCAGACGACATGATTGTTTATCTAGAAAACCCCATCGTCTCAGCCCAAAATCTCCTTAAGCTGATAAGCAACTTCAGCAAAGTCTCAGGATACAAAATCAATGTAAAAAAATCACAAGCATTCTTATACACCAACAACAGACAAACAGAGAGCCAAATCATGAGTGAACTCCCATTCACAATTGCTTCAAAGAGAATAAAATACCTAGGAATCCAACTTACAAGGGATGTGAAGGACCTCTTCAAGGAGAACTACAAACCACTGCTCAAGGAAATAAAAGAGGACACAAACAAATGGAAGAACATTCCATGCCCATGGGTAGGAAGAATCAATATCGTGAAAATGGCCATACTGCCCAAGGTAATTTACAGATTCAATGCCATCCCCATCAAGCTACCAATGACTTTCTTCACAGAATTGGAAAAAACTACTTTAAAGTTCATATGGAACCAAAAAAGAGCCCGCATCGCCAAGTCAATCCTAAGCCAAAAGAACAAAGCTGGAGGCATCACACTACCTGACTTCAAACTATACTACAAGGCTACAGTAACCAAAACAGCATGGTACTGGTACCAAAACAGAGATATAGATCAATGGAACAGAACAGAGCCCTCAGAAATAATGCTGCATATCTACAACTATCTGATCTTTGACAAACCTGAGAAAAACAAGCAATGGGGAAAGGATTCCCTATTTAATAAATGGTGCTGGGAAAACTGGATAGCCATAGGTAGAAAGCTGAAACTGGATCCCTTCCTTACAGCTTATACAAAAATCAATTCAAGATGGATTAAAGATTTAAACGTTAGACCTAAAACCATAAAAACCCTAGAAGAAAACCTAGGCATTACCTTTCAGGACATAGGCGTGGGCAAGGACTTCATGTCCAAAACACCAAAAGCAATGGCAACAAAAGCCAAAATTGACAAATGGGATCTAATTAAACTAAAGAGCTTCTGCACAGCAAAAGAAACTACCATCAGAGTGAACAGGCAACCTACAAAATGGGAGAAAATTTTCGCAACCTACACATCTGACAAACGGCTAATATCCAGAATCTACAATGAACTCAAACAAATTTACAAGAAAAAAACAAACAACCCCATCAAAAAGTGGGCGAAGGACATGAACAGACACTTCTCAAAAGAAGACATTTATGCAGCCAAAAAACACATGAAAAAATGCTCATCATCACTGGCCATCACAGAAATGCAAATCAAAACCACTATGAGATATCATCTCACACCAGTTAGAATGGCAATCATTAAAAAGTCAGGAAACAACAGGTGCTGGAGAGGATGTGGAGAAATAGGAACACTTTTACACTGTTGGTGGGACTGTAAACTAGTTCAACCATTGTGGAAGTCAGTGTGGCGATTCCTCAGGGATCTAGAACTAGAAATACCATTTGACCCAGCCATCCCATTACTGGGTATATACCCAAATGACTATAAATCATGCTGCTATAAAGACACATGCACACGTATGTTTACTGCGGCATTATTCACAGTAGCAAAGACTTGGAACCAACCCAAATGTCCAACAATGATAGACTGGATTAAGAAAATGTGGCACATATACACCATGGAATACTATGCAGCCATAAAAAATGATGAGTTCATGTCCTTTGTAGGGACATGGATGAAATTGGAAACCATCATTCTCAGTAAACTATCGCAAGAACAAAAAACCAAACACTGCATATTCTCACTCATAGGTGGGAATTGAACAATGAGATCACATGGACACAGGAAGGGGAATATCACACTCTGGGGACTGTGGTGGGGTCGGGGGACCGGGGAGGGATAGCATTGGGAGATATACCTAATGCTAGATGACACGTTAGTGGGTGCAGCGCACCAGCATGGCACATGTATACATATGTAACTAACCTGCACAATGTGCACATGTACCCTAAAACTTAAAGTATAATAAAAAAAAATTAAAAAAAAAAGACAAATTTATTTATATAAGTCAAAAATCATGAATAAAAATTAAGCATCAAACAAAAACTGGGAGACTGGAATAAATAGGATATTGTTTCTCTAGTTGTGTTTTAGGAAGGAAGCAGTACAAATAATCACTAGAAAATAGGTCAATGGCAGAACAGAAAAATATGAAGGAAATATAATTTTTTACAAATTAAAAATTTATAACCTCATTACTAATCAGAGAAACATAATTTAAAATAGCTATGAGGCTATATTTATTTTGCCTATTAAAATGGCAAGATGTTTTTAAAAAGAAATGATAATATATAGTGTTATCTAAAATTTGTGCAATTACTGGAAAATAATTTGTAATAAATTAAAGAAACTCTTAAACATTCACATCCTTTGGCCAATAATAATGAATTGACCAGAAAGAAATAATTAGACTCTTCTACAAAGATTGACATAAAATGATGTCCATTGTAATTTCATTCATAATCATAAAAATTCAAAACATCTAAAAGTGGTGGTATAACCATTTAGTAAGTTATGATGAAATAAATGTGAATCATTCACACGATGGCATATCGTACAATCATTAAAAATGCTGTTTACCTTGAAGATTATTGTAATGATAAAATAGATAGAAATACGTTATGTAAAAAACAAAATAGAAAGTTTTATAAACAAAATAATTGCAATTTCCAAATAAATGCTTACATATGAAGGTTAAAAAAAGTAGCATGACAATACATCAAAATATTACTAGTTTTTTCTATGCAATAAAAATTAGAGGTCAATTATTTTTCGGCTTTATATTTTCCTCCATTTCTTTCAAATTGTCTGCAATGGCTATTGCTTCAATAATCAGGATAGAAATTTTTTATTAAGTAAATAAAATGGCATGCTCTTAGGTCTGCAGTGTTTTATAACTTGATTAAGTGCACAATAATCATGGGAATTTAACTAATGTTTTCTGCACTTCACAATTCTACTGTGAATAATGTTACAATGGATTCATTGAGCAAATGCCTACTCCACTTTTATGATAATGGCATCACCAGTTATAAATAATAGGAATTTGCTGGCAATCCTGCATCTCAAACTATTCAGGCATATGTCCACATCATGTGGTAATGCAATCTTAAGGTCACCTCCTCTATGGAAGCAATATCTCTTTGGTGTCAACTTTTACTCTTTCAAATGTCATGTGTTTTCACTGTATTCCTAGATTCTAGGGTGTTCACATTTATTAAAATTTTGGGATATTTTAAAAACTTTCATTATCTACTCATTATATGTACTTATAGACAAAGAGTTCTTACCTATCGGGGAGCATTTTGTTTCAATCTACCTTATTTATCTTTGTTACTTTGGGAATCATGTATTAATTGAACTGATAGTCATTGGATGCCTGCTTTATGCTACCTACTTGCTTTGAAAGGTTGACTGACCCTCCTAGATATTTCTAGATAGACAGTTTTCTGGATATTCATTGACCACAACTATACTCCGAAGTTTGGGAACAGAGGAAAACCATTTTGGAAAGATATAAGAAGATCTCTCCTTTTTGGTTTCTGAAGGTATTACTAACTTTCAAATCTCAGATTACTTGAAGTTGGTGTGTATATATATATTTTTTTAAAGTTTATTTTTTGAAACAGGGTCTTACTGTGTCGCCCAGGCTGGAGTGCAGAGGTACAGTCTTGGCTCACTGCAACCTCCACCTCCCAGGTTCAAGGGATTCTCCTGCCTCTGCCTACCAAGTATGAAATTACAGGCATGCGCCACCTGCTTGGCTATTTATTTTTTGTATTTTTAGCAGAGGTGGGGTTTCACCATGTTGGCTAGGCTGGTCTCAAACTCCTGACCTCAAGTGATCCTCCTGCCTCAGCCTCCCAAAGTGCTGAGATTACAGGCATGAGCCACTGCACCTGGCTGATGTACCTTTAAGATCAATATTTTTAAAATAACGTTTGAAACTTATGTAATTTGAATAACTTTTTCATTAACTGCCTTGCCCTTGCCAGCTTGAAGTTATATAATATAAAATTTCCTTCAGTTCACCCAGTTGTCCATTGGTCAGATAGAAATAAATTTTACATTGATATTTTATTTCTCTAAGAATAAAAAAGAAACTAGAACATTCCTCAAAATTATATTGGGATTTGAAAGACTGGTTTGAAATTATAGTCCTTACTTATATAATTTGTTTAATACATAGGAATGCCCAACACAAAAATTTTAAACTCTATTTCATTGTAGAGGTTAATAATTCATTTCATCAAGTTTATAAGTAATAGGACAAACTACATTATTCAAATAAGTTTCAAAGTCTTCATTAATGTATTCTGTTATTACTATAAAAGTGTGCTTTTATCTCTTGATATAAATTTAGACTTCTGTTGAATTCAGAAGTGATACAAATGAATGATAGTCATTTGTCTAAAGCTTACACAATAGACTTTAGATTTAAAAATAATTTAACCAGCTTAAAACATTGAAAAATTAGAGTTTTAAGAAAAAAACCTTAAATAACTTAGAGAAATAAACGTTTCATGTCATTAATATTTCTAGCAAAAATAAGTTTTAAATTCTTTCTCACCTGAATTTTCCCTGGTAAGAGTTTTAAAGGGGCCAGTAGGTTGCCTGATAACAGTTTTTAAAGTAGATCTCACAATTAAGCTCTATCTTCTTGATCATTTAGGAGAATAGTTTTACAAAGAGGTTGATGCCAATATTTATGTCACTGGTAGAGAATGGTTCAGATGTTCGAAATAATTCTAAAGGGATTTAGTTGGCATTGACTTCAGAGCACAGCCTGAGAGACCTAATCCTTTGAACATCAGAGACCTACTAAATTGTAAGAGCACAGTCTGAGAGATGCAATCCTCTGAACATCACAGACCTTACTCCTTTGAGACCTAAAGAGTAAGGCAAATTCCAATTTCTAAACAAATTTTAAGAGCCATGTTTTGGGCACACATTTACCTATGTAACAAACCTGCACATCCTACACATGTTTCCTGGAGCTTAAAATAAGATTTAAAGAAAACAGAAATGTTTTAATTTTTATTCATTTGAGTTTATACTATTTATCCTTACCACCAATCTGAACATAAGATCCTTAGTGGGAAGAAAAAATTCCCACTGCAGTGGTCAGCCAAGGCTTCATGGAGAAAGTGGGAACTGAGCTAGGATTGAGGGCCTCGGAGAGGCGATTGCTTGCTGTGATAAGAAGATGAAAGCGGCACGTTTCCCACCTCTTTTTAATGGCAATATTTAATTTGTAGAATCTTCCTTTGACATTTTATTCATAATGTTGCTAACTTTATACCTTAGTTACTAAAATAAACTTTAGAAAATTTCTTCCAAATCCAGAAGCAGCTGCATGAAAGCCTTCTTTCTTCATAATACCATCCCTCTTTCAGGACTCTCCTATCATTTTGATGTGTTTTTTTGTTTGTATGTTTGTTTCTTTCTTTTTTTTTTTTGATGGAGTTTCACTCTTGTTGCCCAGGCTAGAGTGCAATGGCAGATCTTGGCTCACTCCAACGTCTGCCTCCCAGGTTCAAGCGACTCTCCTGCCTCAGCTTCCCGAGTAGCTGGGATTACAGGCATGCACCACCATGCCTGGCTAATTTTGTATTTTTAGTAGAGACGGGGGTTTCTCCATGTTGATCAGGCTGGTCTTGAACTCCTGACTTCAAGTGATCTGCCCTCCTTGGCCTCCCAAAGTGCTGGGATTACAGGCATGAGCCACCACGCCCAGCCCACTTATGGTGCTATGACACCTACTGATTAACTGATTGCCCACCAATTTCAAGTGTCCATTTGTTTAGGAGAGCTCATCAGGATTTACTGGGGGAAAGCCTCCACCAAAGGAACAATGGAAGAATGACGAATATTGCTCCTACCCAGGAAACTATGTAGGGTCAGTGGAAAGATTCATAGGAGTCAGTGAAAAGAATCATGTAACTCATTTCTTGTTACTCTGATTTTCCTACAAATTTATGAAAATTTTTATGCTTTCTTTGAAATTATGTAAAGTCCTCATATTCAGAACTACAAATCAGCTTCCACTTATTGTATCATTTATTCACGAATTCATGTAGTAAATACTATACGGTGCCTACTTGTTACTGTCATAATTATAGATTCTGTTCTCATGGAACTTACATTCTAATCGAGGGGAGCAGGCAAGCATATATAAATAAATACATGAAGAAGAAAAAAGCAGAAATTACTAAGTGCTATGCTGGAGGTAAGATAGGGTGGATGTGATAAAGAATGCCTAGGAGTTACTTTAGATACAATGATTAGAAAACATGTATAGGAAAAGGTGAGCAGTCAAGCTGAGACATGAGTAGGAAGAAGTCAGCCATGGCAGATGGACACGGTAGGTTATGGAGGAGAGGCAGTGAAAATTCCTCAAGGCAGAAATCACCTATGCATATTTGAGGAACCCATAAAAGACAGACCACAGCTGTTGGTGATGGGATTGGAGACTTGATCTCTTTGGGTTTGTAACATAGATTATGAAATTTGTATTTTATTTTTAGAACAAATGAGAAGACTTGGGAGAGGGAGAGTATATTGGGAGAATATATTAGTTTCTTATTGCTGCCCTAACAAATTATCACAAACTCAGTAGTTTAAAACAACAAAAATTTATTACTTCACAGTTCTGGGGATTAGAAGTCTGAAATATGTCTCACTGAACTAAAACCAAGATGTTAGCAGGGCTGAGTTCTGTTTTGGAAGCTCTGGTGAGAAATTTACATTCTTATCTTTTCCTAGATTCTAGAGTCACTCTTATTCCTTAGCTCATGGGCCCCCTTCCATCTTCAAACCCTGAAATGATTGGTTAAATTTTTTTCACATTTTCCAGCCAAAGTGAATGGCTTAAGTAAAAAAAAAAAAAAAAAAATTCTCACACTGTATCACTTTGATTTAAACTCTTCTGCTTCTGTCTTCAACATATAAAGTATTATTTTGGACCCATCTGGATAATTTTTTTGTTTTAAAGTTAGCTGATTAGCCACTTAATTCCATCTGCAACACATTGCAGTTTCCCGGGATTAGAATGAGGTTATCTTTGGGTGGCCATTATTCTGCCTGCCAAATGAGAGATTTTTAAAGCAGAGAAATGGCACACTCATTACATTTTAAAAAGGAACATTGTGTCAATTTTTAAGAAAGTGGGTCAAGAAGCATTTATTGAGTTGAAGGAGATTGGAAGAGGAATAATCTTTTTGGGGAAGTGGGGAAGTAAAAATATGAGTTCTACTTTATCCATATTGTGTTTGAGATACCTATCAGTTACCTGAGTGGGGATGCCAAATAGGCAATTGAATATAAAAGACAAGGCTGCAGATCAGAGGTTATCAGCACATATAAAGTGCTAGAACTGAATGAGATCATCTAGGTGCAGTAAGAAAGTAGAAAAGAGAAGGGTGACTGGCCCAGAGCCCTCTGGGTCTCTATGGTTTAGACTAGACCACAATGTCTAGCAATGGCCTGGTGGGAGGAAAATTCAGTGGTATAGAAGTTACAGGAAGTACCCTAAAGCAGATGAAGCCAGAATGCAAAGTTACAGAGCTTGACATTTCTTTAGTTGGTCTTGAATAAATTTGTCAAGGTTCTGACTCCATTAAATCTGAGTTTCAGGAAAACAACTTTGTGTTTGACTCATTGCTTTATTCTTCATGCTACATTTTGCATGTTAACATGACATAGATGAGAAATCAATCAACAAATATTATATTGAGTGCCTTCTATGTACCACAAAAGATTAAAACTATGAAATAAAAGTAGCTTTAAACTGAGATTGTTATAAAACAACAAGAACTCAAATTGAATGTAATGAATATTGGTTTTCTTTTCTGATCATGTTCGCCCAAAAGCTCTTTAAGCTGATACCTTCAGTAAAGTCTCAGGATACAAAATCAATGTGCTAAAATCACTAACACTTCTATACACCAACAGTCAAGCCAAGAACCAAATCCCATTCACAACTGCCACAAAAAGAATAACATATCTAGGAATACATCTAACCAGGAAGGTGAAAGAGCTCCACAAAGAGAACTACAAAACACTGCTCAAAGAAATCAAAGATGACACAAACAAACAAAAAAAATCCATTTTCATGGATAGGAAGAATTAATATTGTTAAAATGTCCATACTGTCCAAAGCAATTTATAGATTCAATGCTATTCCCATTAAACTGCCATTGATATTCTTCACAGAACTAGAAAAAAACCATTTTAAAATTCACACGGAACCAAAAAAGAGCCTAATTAGACAAGGCAATCCTAAGCAAAAATAACAAAGCTGGAGGCATCACGCTATCTGACTTCAAATTATACTATAGGACTACAGTGACCAAAACAGCATGGTACTGGTACAAAAACAGACATAGAGACCAATGGAACAGAATAAAGAACCCAGAAATAAGGCCACACCTACAACTATCTGATCTTGAACAAAACTGACCAAAACAAGGAATGGGGAAAGGACTCCTTGTTCAATATATGGTGCTGGGAAAACTGGCTAGCCATATGCAGAAGATTGAAGCTGGACACCTTCCTTAAACCATATACAAAAATCAACTCAAGGTGGATTAAAGACTTAAATGTAAAACCCAAAACTATAAAAATCCTGAAAGACAATCTGGGCAATACAATTCTGGACATAGGAACAGGCAAAGATTTCATGACAAAGGTGCTAAAAGCAAAAGCAAAAATTGACAAATGGGATCTAATTAAACTAAAGGGCTTCTGCATAGCAAAAGAAACCATCAATAGAGTGAACAGAAAACCTACAGAATGGGAGAAAATATTTGCAAACTATGCATCTGACAAAGGTCTAATATCCAACTTCTATAAGGAACTTAAACAAATTTATGAGAGAAAAACAAACCCATTAAAAAGTGGGCAAAGGACATGAGCAGACACTTTTCAAGAGAAGATATACATGAGGTCAACAAGCATATGAAAATAAGCTAAACATCACTGATCATCAGAGAAATGCAAATCAAAACCACAATGACATACCATCTCACACCAGTCAGAATGGTTGTTATTAAAAAGTCAAAAAACAAGGATGCTGGAGAGGTTGTGGAGAAAAAGGAACACTTTTACATTGTTCGTGGGAGTGTAAATTAGTTCAACCATTGTGGAAGACAGTGTGAAAATTCCTCAAAGACTAAGAGACAGAAACACCATTTGATCCAGCAGTCCCATTACTGGGTATATACCTGAGCTAATATAAATTTTTCTATCATTAACCTGCACACGTATGTTCATTGTAGCACTATTAACAATAGTAAAAACATGGAATTAACCTAAATTCCCGTGAATGGTAGACTGGATAAGGGAAATGTGGTACATATATGCCATGGAATACTATGCAGCCATAAAAAATGAGATCATTCCTTTGCAGAGACATGGATGGACCTGGAGGCCATTATCCTTAGCAAACTAAATGTAGGAACAGAAAACCAAATACCACATGTTCTCACTTATAAGTGGGAGCTAAAGGATGAGAACACATGGACATGTATAGGGGAACAACACACATTGGGGTCTATTGGAGGGTGAAGGATGGAGGGTAGGAGGTGGAAAAGGATCAGAAAAAATAAGCAATGGGTACTAGGTTTATACCTGGGTGATGAAATAATCTGTACAACAAACCCCCATAACACAAGTTTACCTATATAACAAACCTGTACATGTACCCCTGAACTTAAAAATTAAATAAAAAGAAATATTTGCTGGTTCTTATTCCAATGCCAAGCATAGTGACCATAAGAAATAGTAATTCAAGGCAGTGTGAGGCCCAATCCCTGCTTGCTGTGACTTCTCAATGTACTGGGGAAGTGTTCATGTAAACAAGTAATTAGAATGCAAAGTGATAAAATCTATACTATCACACATTCCTAACTATGGGAGGACAGATGGGGTATGACTTAACTTGCCAGGGGGAGTTAAGAAAATCTTTCTGTAAAAATAATTTCATTTTCCATAATAACACTTTTAATTTTGCAGTAGAGAGCAAATCTCCATGTGAAAGGAGTCATGGGCCTTATAACCCCCAAACCTTTTCCCAGATACTTGTTTTCCCCTTGGGGAAGTAGTCACAACTGCTGCCCAAACCATGGTGACCACAAGAAGGCACTGCTCTTCCATTCACATTCACTCTGGCCCGGATGATCCCCTGTAGCAGAGAAGAGTAGGAAGGATTATTTACTAGATCTAAGAGATAACCACTGGAAACAAAATTCAGTAATATACAACTAGAAGAGCAGTTCTTCTTCTTCTTTTATTATTTATTATTATTATTTACTATTATTATTATTTTGAGACGGAGTCTCTCTCTGTCACCCAGGCTGGAGTGCAGTGGCACGATCTCGGCTCACTGCAAGCTCCGCCTCCTGGGTTCACGCCATTCTCCTCCCTCAGCCTCCCGAGTAGCTGGGACTACAGGCACCCACCACCACTGGCTACAGCCTGCCATCACCGGCTAATTTTTTGTATTTTTTTTTTTTTAGTAGAGAAGGGGTTTCACCGTGTTGGCCAGGATGGTCTTGATCTGACCTCGTGATCTGTCCGCCTCAGCCTCCCAATGTGCTGGGATTACAGGCATGAGCCACCGCGCCCGGCCTAGAACAGTTCTTACTTAATCCTTTCACCCTACTTAGAAAGCTGGCAAGCTGGCAGGTGACATGACTTTATGACATACTCCCATGTGCCCCCCAGGTTTTGAACAATCGCCCGTTAGCTAGCTAGCTAGCTAGCTGGCTCTGATTCTTCTTCATTTTCTCCCAAAGAGAGCATATTGTTTTGCAGAGCAGTGAGGAAGTTATCATTGAAGTAATCTGGAATCCACTCTACTTACTTTTTTTCCTCCTGGAGATGGAGTCTCGCTCTGTCGCCAGGCTGGTGTGCAGTGGTGCTATCTCAGCTCACTGCAACCTCCTTTTCCCGGGTTCAAGCAGTTCTCCTGCCTCAGCCTACCGAGTAGCTGGGACTACAGGCGTGCACCACCACACCTGGCTAATTTTTGTATTTTTTGGTAGAGACAGGGTTTCACCAGATTGGACAGGATGGTCTTGATCTCCTGACGTCGTGATCCACCCGCCTCGGGCTCCCTAAGAGCTGGGATTACAGGTGTGAGCCACCACGCTTGGCCCACTCTACTTACTTTTTAAAAAGTTAGTCATATTTCAACTATGGAACTTTATTATTAGTAACACTTTAGTTGTGATACATCTCATAACCAATTGTGACAGGTCAGGGTGTTGAAATATTAATAGTATGAAAGCTGCTGATCGTGATAATCTGATTTATATGACTGAGTTGCTCATCTTGTGCTTATGGTTCACTATAGTGAGACCTCCTTACCCATCTCCACATCTACCTCTGAAAGACAGATGCTGCCTTTTCCTAGTCATCTGGCATAGCTCAGCTCCAGAGATCCATTTCCAAGAGTCTGAGGGACAGATGAGCAGGCAGGAGACTCACTCCTTTTTGTTGTTTAGGGCTTAGCTCTTCCCCTGTGTAATTGACACTAGGAATGGCCAACTCTTCAGGGGAGAGTCCAACCTTAATAACAAGATTGTAGCCATATCTTTAATAGTATAATCACATCAAAATATCCTACAATTAAGCTTAGCATCTGTGTAAGACTGGGAGATGACATTTAATCTTGACCTTGAAAGATACATAGACATTTTCTCAGCAAAGAAGGGTTGGAAATGGAATAACAAGCAATATACCAGAGGCATAAAAGCCCATGAAGTTTTAGAGGAATGAAAAGTAGTCTCCAGTCTTGCTGGATGTAGGATGTATTAGAGAACTTGGTATTCATAATTATGTGATGGGTAAATTACTCAATGGTGATACAATTTTGATATTTTCTGCCTGAAATAAATATTAAATGAATCAGCTATTCATAATCAAGTAATTGCTCAGGAGAAGTTCTAAACTCATTAGGTACATACCAGAAAGGATGTCTGATTTTATTATAGGCAGAGTAAAAGTCAGATTTCCTAAGGTAAATGTAGGAACCAAGATAGAATGTGGTAGACCAAGCTGTGCTCAGTAGAGAAATTCATAACTAGAGACATGGAACCCACTTTCTTTCACTTTTTTCTTTCCTTCTTTCCCTTCGTTCTTTCTTCTTTCATATACGCATACATTTATTTTGTATCCTTTCCCCCAAATATATTACATGTCTACTTTATGCCAGCCACAATTCTAGGCACCATGATTAAGCAATAAACAAAGGTAGATGTGGTATCTGCACCTCCCCTTAAAGAATTTGGGGCAAGGTATAAGAGAAAGACATTAACCAGTCACCCAAATGCTGTGGAATTACACCTTCTCTATTATGAAGATCCCTGGAGATCTAAAACTTGTAATAAAGAGGTGTAGCCTAGTCTGAAAAGATCATATAATGTAGCAGTTAACCCCATGAACTCTGGAATCAGGATGCCTAATTTTGAATCTTAGCTCTATCACTTTCTAGCTGCTCTTGGGAAAATTACTTAACCTGTCTGAGCTTTAATTTTCTCATAGAATAATGTATATTATAATGAATTGTGTTCCAAAAATGGAGACTAAAAAAGATAGTTTTAAAAATTTACTACATTATTATGTGTAAAGCACTAGAAAAGAGCCTATTACATACTAAGTGCTTGATAAATGCTAAATGTTCTCACCATCACCATTATTACTTATGGTGAGTCACAGTTGGGTTGCGGGGGGTGCTTAACAGAAAGATTTCCTTGAAGAAGTGATAACTGAGCTGAAATCTGGAGACTGAAGAGAAGTTACCAGGGAAGGGTAGAGTGAGTGAGTTGTGAGGAGAACCTATATAATAAAGGCTTTATTTCTGGAGGGAACATGGCAAGTTCAAGGTACTGCAAGAGGGTCAGTTAGGCAAAGAGAGTTGGGGAAAATTGTGCAAGAGAGGTGAACAGGGAAGAGATAATACATGGTATTGTAAACAATATTAATAATTTGGGTCTTTATTCTAAGAGCAATGAGAACCCATGGAAGGTTTTGATAAAGAAGGCTGACATAATTAGATTCTCATTTTGTAAAAAATCTGGGCCAGGCGCAGTGGCTCAGCCTGTAATCCCAGCACTTTGGGAGGCCGAGGTGGGCAGATTGTCTGAGCTCAGGAGTTCAAAGAAGGGTCTAAAATTCTGGCTTATGCAAGAGGCTGTTGATGACACTCACATAGACTGGACCATGGAACAGGATTAGGTTTGAAGAAAGAGGACAGCAGGAAGTAAGTTTGATTTCACACATGCTGAGTATGAGGTACATTTTTTTTTTTTTTTCCAGAGACAGTGTTTTGTTCTGTCGCCCAGGCTGGATTGCAGAGGTATGATAATAGCTCACTTTTACCTTCAACTCCTGGGCTTAAGCAATCCTCCCACCTCAGCCTCCCAAGTAGCTAGGTGCACATCACCATGCTCAGCTAATTATAAAAAATATTTTTTAAGAAACTGGATCTCACTATGTTGCCCAGGCTGATCTGGAACTTCTGGCCCCAAGTGATCCTCCCACCTCAGCCTCCCAAAGCCCTGGGATTACAGGTGTGAGCCACATTGCCTGTTCCTGAGACTTCTAAAAGAAGATGTCTAGAAGGTTTGAGGCATAGCAATGATGTCTGAATGTGTTTCATGTGAAGATATGTATTTGCATATCAATTATTTAGAGGTGGTGTCTGAAGCCTAGGGAGAATGTATAGATAAGAAAATCTAGAGCAGTGCTGTCCAATAGAACTACAATGTAAGCTACATATGTAATTTACTATGTTCTAGTAACCTAATTAAAAAATAATAAAAATGTGAAATTAATTTTAATAATATTTATTTAATTTAATATATCAAAAATATTGTCATTTCAACATGTAATAATGTAAAAAATTAATAGGATATTTTACTTTATCTCACCTAGCTTTAGAAATCTGGTGGGTTCATCACACTTAGAGCACATTGTAATTCAGACTATATACATTTTAGGCACTCAGTAGCTACATGGCTAGTGCTACCAGTTGGACAGCACTTACTTGTCTTGGAAAGGAGTGGAAAGGGAGGATAAAAGAAAGAGAAGAAAGAGGGAAAATGGGAGAAGAGGAGAGATAGTGTAGTGTGGTAAAAATCAAGGAGATAGTATATCCTAGAAGAAGTGAGTGGTCAAAAAGTTCAACTGACTTCAGCCTTCGCCGCTGTAATAGGTATTTTTTCCCCTGAAACTGCGTAGTTCTGCCATATTTTGGAAAACCTTAATTGACTGAACTGTCAATTCTTTAGTTCATGACTCATTTCTCTCAATTTTTAACATTAAACTTCTTAAAAAAGAGTCTATACATGCTGCTCTTATTAACAATCTGCAACCCAACTTTTGTTCCCATCATTTTGCAAAAACTGGACCCTGTAGTGACCTATTCATCAAGTCAAATGATCCTTCCAGAACTTTTTATCTTTTCCTCTCTAAAATACTGAACAGCTTAAACATTCTTTCATTATTAAAATGGTTTCTTTCCATCTCAACATGGGCATTTGTTTTATCTCTGACCATCTCTTCTCTGTTAGAAAACATTAACTCATAGCTGGATGCAGCTGGTTCTCAAATCTTCATTTGCAGTCCTAATCATGTTGGATATGTGGGATAGTCCCATAATATCTAATTATTGCCTCAAATTCACCATGCTTGAAAGGGAAATTACTTTGTCCAATAAAAGAAATTTTCTTCCTGACTAGTCTGTCACAGAATATAAGAGATGAGTCAGAAAGGGCATCCCTGAGGATGCTCACATAAGGTGAAGCTGGGGTGTACTTTGTAGTGAACCAGATAGCAAGGAAAGCAGAGAGAGAAACAGCATTCCAGGTTGTAGAATCTGTTTATTCAACAAAGAGCATCAGCTGCTTGCTACGTGCCATGCATTGTGCTACTCTCTTGGGATAGGCAGTGAGCAGGTCAAGCATGGACTCTTCCCTCATTGGGCTTATCATCTCGTGGGGGAGAGAGACACATTAAATAAATCATGACAACTGGATTAAATAGTGTGAAGATAGCATTTGGAGGCTTTGAGTTGGGAAGTAGCTTAGTGCGTTCTGGGAACTGAGAAGTCAGTGTGAATTATGGGAACAGTAGCAGCAAATGGGGCTAGAACAGGAGTCAGGGTCAGCTATCATAGGGTTTTATAGTCAAGGCTCAAGACTCCCAAGTGTATACTAAGACCAATGGGAAGACATTCAACTTCTCCAGGCTCCATACTATCATCTATGGCACTGCCATTATCCTCACTCCCTGTATCCAACTTATTATCAAGTTGTCATCAAGTTCCATGGATTCTTCCCTAATAAACGTCTCTCATTCTAGTCACTTGTGTTGTTGTTCAGGTCTGTATCCTGTGATTCTCATCTCATGTAATTCAGGGCTGTAAAATACCATAACAAACATTGTTCAGTACCATAACATTGAACTGGTACCAAAAATATTAAAATTCTGTCTCATAAATACATAAGAGAGCTTGGTCATATCAGTGAGCAGTTCTGTTAAGACAGAAACAGTATGAGGGACAACAAAGAAAAGATTTCATTAATCATGGATACTTTTATAGACATTATAAAATGTTATACTATAGTAGTAATTTTGTTGGAATTATTGATGTCTTATTTAATGCTCTTGTGTCTTCGTGTTTTAGATAATGGTGCTAAAATAGCTAATATTTAAAGTGTATTATAAAAAACACAAACATGTTTGAGAATCATTTCTTTTCTTTTTTTTTTTTTTTTTTTTTTTTGAGACGGAGTCTCGCTCTGTCGCCAAGGCTGGAGTGCAGTGGTGCGATCTCGGCTCACTGCAAGCTCCGCCTCCCGGGTTCAGGTCATTCTCCTGCCTCAGCCTCCCCAGTAGCTGGGACTACAGGCGCCCGCCACCACGCCCGGCTAATTTTTTTTTGTATTTTTTTAGTAGAGACGGGGTTTCACCATGTTAGCCAGGATGGTCTCGATCTCCTGACCTCGTGATCCGCCCGCTTCGGCCTCCCAAAGTGCTGGGATTACAGGCGTGAGCCACTGCGCCCGGCCGAGAATCATTTCTTTATTGTCTCATTACTGCACTATTACAATACTGCCGCATGTGATGGTTCTTTGTCTTGCTTACATCCATTTTATACATAGGTATATCACATTTTATTGCATTTCACTTTATTATACTTCGCAGATATTGTTTTTTTTACAAATTGAAGATTTGTGACAACCCTGTGTCAAACAAGTCTATCCATACCATCTTTCCAACAACATGTGCTCACTTTCTGTCTCTATATCATGGTTTTGTAAGTGTCACAATATTGCAAAACTTTTCATTATTATTCACTCTGTTATGATAGTCTGTGATCAGTGATCTTTGATGTTACTATTGTAATTGTTTTGGATGCTACAAACTGCACTCTTATAAGACAACAGACAATTAATAAATGTTGTGTGTGTTCTGACTATTCCACTGATCAGCTGTTCTCTCATTTCTCTCTCTCTTTTCTTGGGCCTCTCTATTCCCTGAGCCAAAAAAATATTGAAATTAGGCCAACTAATAACCCCATGATGGACTCTTAAGTGATCAAGTAAAAGAGTCACACATCTCTCACTTTAAATTGTAAACTAGAAATGATTAAGCTTACTGAGGAAGTCATGTCAAAAGCTGAGATAGGAAGAAGGCTACGCCTCTTGTGTCAGTTAGCCAAGCTGCAAATGCAAAAGAAATTAAAAGTTTTTCTCTAGTGAACACACAAATGATGAGCAAAACAGCCTTACTGCTTATATGGAGAAATAAAACAACAAAACTGAGGTGACAGCACACCTATTTACAGCATGGTTTACTCAATATTGTAAGCCCATTGTTGAGACCTATTGCTCAAAAAAAAACACCCAATTTATTTCGAAATATTATTGCTCATTGACAATATGCCTGTTCACCCTAGATCTTTGATAGAGATGTATAAGGAGATTAATGTTGTTTTCATATCTGGTAACACAACATCCATTCTGCAGCCTGTGAATCAAGTAGTAATTTTGACTTTCTAGTCTTATTATATAAGAAATATATTTCATAAGGTAATAGGTGCCATAATTAGTGATTCTTTGGATGGATCTGAGAAAATTAAATTAAACTTTCTGGAAAGAATTTATAATTCTAAATGCCATTAGGAACATATGATTGGTGGGAGGAGGGCAAAATATCAAAAATAACAGGAGTTCGGAAGAAGCAGATTCCATGGATGATTTTGAAAAGCTTCGTACTTCAGTGGATTAAGAAACTGCAAACGTGGCAGAAATAATGAAATAACGAGACCTAAAATTAGAAGTGGAGCTTGAAGATGTGACTGCATTGCTGCAATACTGTGGTAAAACTTGAACAGAAGAGCTGTTTCTTATGAATGAGTAAAGAAATTGTTTTTTGAGATAAAATCTACTCCTGGTGAAGATGCTGTGAACATTGTTGAAATGACAACAAAGGATTTAGAATATTACATAAACTAAGTTGTTAAAGCAGCGGCAGGGTTTGAGAGGTTTGATTCTAATTTTGAAAGGAGTTCTACTGTGGGTAAAATGCTCTCAAACAGTATCACATGCTACAGAGAAACCTTTTGTGAAAGGAGGGTTCAGTCAATGTGGCAGGCTTTATTTTTGTCTTTTTAAAAGAAATTGCCACAGCCACTCCAGCCTTCAGCAAACACCATCCTGATCAGTTGATGGCCGAAGCCGTCAACATGAAGGCAAAACCCTCCACCAACAAAAGATCACTATTCGCTGGTCTCAGATGATGGTTAGCATTTTTTAGCAATAAATTATTCTTTAAGATATATACATTATTTTTTGACATAATGTTATTGCACAATCAGTAGACTATAGTACAGTGTAAACATAACTTTTATACGTACTAGGAAACCAAAATATTTTATATATTCATACCTTCTGAAGATATCTGCCTATATGGGCCCCTTGTTTATAGACACTTTTCTACAACAGCCAAACTTGTGAGCTACCCAACTAGGCCACAGGCTTTCCTGCTTCCTCTTCTTGCCTTTGCCAACCTACCTAGCCTGTTTGTTACTCATTTCCTTCTAGAATCTGCCTGATGTCAAATTGATCTTTAGTGTTTTTCTCGGTTATCTGGGTTAGAATTTTGTGCCACTTTTTAGGTCCTATGATAGACACAGTTGCCCTGCCCTTTGCCCCGGACCTACTCTGTGGGTCACACGCACACTGTTCCTGTACAAATTGACTAAGGCTTTTCGTGCCTTTTTTTTTTTTAAAGTTCCAGGCAGAACTTGCAGGTACATTTGTGCCCTGGTGGTTTGCTGCACCTGGTAACCCATCATCTAGGTTCCCTCACCTCATCCCCCACCCCCCACTCCCTAACAGGCCCCAGTGTGTGTTGTTCCCCTCCCTGTGACCATGTGTTCTCATTGTTCAACTCCCACTTATGAGTGAGAACATGCAGTGTTTGGTTTTCTGTTCCTGTGTTAGTTTGCTGAGGATGATGGCTTCCAGCTTCATCCATGTCCGTGCAAAGGACATGGTCTTGTTCCTTTTTATGGCTGCATAGTATTCCATGGTGTATATGTACCACATTTTCTTTATCCAGTCTATTATTGATGGACATTTGGGTTGGTTTCCATGTCTTTGCTATTGTGAATAGTGCTGCAATAAACATACATGTGAATGTGTCTTTATAGTAGAATGATTTATATTTCTTTGGTTATATACCCAGTAACGGGATTGCTGGGTCAAATGGTATTTCTGGTTCTATATCCTTAAGGAATTGCCACACAGTCTTCCACAATGGTTGAACTAATTTACATTCCCACCAACAGAGTAAAAGCGGTTCTATTTCTCCACAGCCTCACTAGCATCTAATGTTTCTTGACTTTTTAATAATCCCTATTCTGACTGGTGGGAGATGGTATCTATTATGGTTTTGATGTCCATTTCTCTAATGATCAGTGGTGTTGAGCTTTTTTCATATGTTTTTTGGCTGCATAAATGTCTTATTTTGGGAAGTGTCTGTTCAATCTTTTGCCTACTTTTTGATGGGGTTGTTTGTTTTTTCTTGTAAATTTGTTTAAGTTCCTTGTAGATTTTGGATATTAGCCCTTTGTCAGATGGGTAGATTGCAAAAATTTTCTCCCGTTCTGTAGGGTGTCTGTTCACTCATGTTAGTTTCTTTTGCCATGCAGAAGCTCTTTAGTTTACTCTGGCCATGCAATTTCACTTCGCTTTGGAAAGGGCCAGGATGACATCATCAGAAATTTAACACTGAGGGAATGACCCTCAACCAATAAAAATGGGGGCTGGGGCTGGGCGCAGTGGCTCACACCTGTAATCCCAGCACTTTGGGAGGCTGAGGCAGGGGGAATACCCGAGGTCAGGAGTTTCAGAACAGCCTGGCCAACACAGCAGAACCCCGTCTCTACTAAAAATACACAAAACTAGTCTGGCCTGGTGGCGCACATCTGTGGTCCCAGGTACTCAGGAGGCTGAGGCAGGGGAATCGCATGAACCCGGGAGGTGCAGGTTGCAGTGAGCCAAGATTACAGCCACTGCACTCCAGCCTGGGCAACAGAGTGAGACTCTGTTCCAAAAAAAAGGGGAGGCGGGGGTGGTCAGTGGATATGTACTTTGACTTTGACTTTCTCACTGCATGGTGAAAAATGTTGATGTGTGTTTTTAAGTCTTTCAGAAGGTCCCTGATTTCTTATAGATATAACCTACTTATTAATGCATTAATGGGCTTTCCTCCTTCCTCTATCTCACTTCTTCATGCTCATTATGCATCTTGAATTACTAACCACATAAACTACTTGCACCCCTATCCTTTTCTCAAAGTCTGCTTTTGGAGAAACTCAAAGTAAGATTGGACTGGACAACACACTCACCAGCACTGTTTTTTTATATTTTCTTATTCAACCCTTACTTACTCAACTGTCATGTTATCTCTTTGAAAGTGAAACTTTGGGGTTTTGTTGTGGGAGTTTTATTAAATGAGATTTGTAAAAATCTTAAGTTCTCTGTAAGAGGAGCCATTATGGTTGTTACTGAGTGCTTTTGTAGTTGAAAGCCCTCACAACATTATATAAGAGAAGAAGAGCAAGGAATAGTTATTGACTAAATTATTACAGTGTGATGGTGCTAAAAGGAATTCAGGCCAAAACCAATTCAAGGTCCTTCACTAAAGGGGCTATACCATTTTAACGCTGAAGAGTGTAGAGATACTTTACGAAATAAACATTTGATATAGATTACGTTGGAGACAGGGCACTAGGGTGATTTGTCTGAGGTTAGATTGTTGTAGGGTTTTTTTTTAAAATAAAATAAATTATTTTAAAAAAATCAGCTTTCTGGAGAGATTTTCTAGGGTTCTCTGTTTCATATAATAAAAATGTGATCCTCAAAGAGTAAACTTCAGCTCTGCTGGCTAATGATGTCTCTGGCCCAAAGGGATGACTCAATTCAAATGCTCTTCTCATTCTGTCTCACTAATGTATCTTTACCAGAAATCCCTGTCTAGTTCCTAATTACATCCATTGTGCATTGCTTACAAATGAAACACAACCTCCTTACAGTTATGGAACTTGTCCAATTTCCAATCTCTGAGGGGCCAAACTTTTAATAAAGTCTCCAGTGAGGACATTCAGGTTTACTAAAACTTTCACTGAATATTATTAATTTAGGCAAATCTCCCCAGCTAACCAGTTAAAGTTAAAATTAACCAAGTCATACACAGATTTAATAATTCTCAGTGAGCTTAATTTCTTTTCCAAGAGCAGTACCCAAGAAAATCTTCAATTTTTTTTCTAGTCTGGAGTAAAAATAAAAAACAAAAACAGAAAGAAGCACCTATAAACTGGGCTGTTTAATGTATTTTGGTACTCTGTATTAGAATCTTTTATTTATATTTATATCGATATAAAATAGCAATATCAATATATTATATTAATATACAAATATAAATATAAAGTTATTTATATTCATAAACTTGATGGTGATGATAACATCCAACCCTGAGGTGAAAGACTGAAAAGGGATTTCCATGTGATATTGTTTTTGGAAGAAGCCATAGTTTTTCTTTTCTTTTTTTTTGTTTTCTTATTTATTTGTTTTTTTATTTATTTGTTTTTACTTTGCTTCCAATTAGCAGGAATGGATTCTCTCTGACTCAACTCTTTAATTACCAAGGCATTTTCAGCCATCATACCCTGAGTTTACAGCTGAGGCTTTATGTATTTTTAAAAATTAAGATATAATACACTTGGGATATAGTATAAAAATCTTCTGTGTATCGATGAATTGTTATTTATCCACCTGTGTAATATAATCACCTTAGTTGTTGATATCCTCTAATGTACAGCACTTTTCTTCATTTTATATATCCTTTTCTTCTGCCTCACCTTCTTTTCCATTTTCCCTCTTCCCATCTCTATGTTTATCCCTACTACCTCCCATTTCTCCACCTTCTCTACATCCCTCTCTACTTACAGCTGCTCTCCACTTCTATTCTCCCTTTTGTTCTCCTACCTAGTCTCACTTCCTCTTGTGTAGGTGTATCTGGAAGTTCCTGTGCTGGTTATAACCTGTTGCTTGATTTTATTACTCACCGCTGTAGAGTCTTGCTGAAGCTCTAATTGAGCCCAGGATCAAAGCACATCTATAGAGGATAAAGTGGGACGGCTATGATTGGCCATTTCGTACCCACGGTGTTTGGGAGAAACAGTCCAGCCCCTCTTTTAAGAAATGAGCAAGACACTGATTCCATCACATTGACTCAAGCTGGCTTTCAAACCAGAGGACTGGATGCTGAATCAAGCTGCCTGATCTGTCTGGACATGTCACTCTGACACTGGCATTCAAAACAGTAGGTGAAGGTAGCTTTACGGACAGAAGAAAGAAAGCCAGTATTTACCAGTTCCTTATGTATTTACATTTTTTCAAAATGAAAAGTTTTTATCATAAAATTGTAACTTTTATACACCATGCATAGGAAAAATGAAACAAAAGAAAACACAGCCAGAAATATATTAAAAAAAACTTAAAAATCTATGAAATATACACACTTGGTGGCTAACTAAAAATAAGTATTATTGACATTTTAATTGATATCTTTTCAGAATTATTTCTCCTATTGCTTTAGAAACTTGGAATCATATTGGAAAGAGTGTTTTAACTTAACATATTAGAGAAATCTGTCCTTATCAGCAAGCAAAAATTATATAATTAAGCATAATCAATATGTACCACTATTTTAAATTCATTCCCTTTTAATGGGTATGTGGCTTAATTCAATTTTTCTATTATAAATAAGCTACTAATTAATATCCATTAAATATATCCTGAATCTCTAGTCTAATAGAAATGAAATATTTGCATCAAAGGGTATGAACATTGTAAAGGCTTTTGATCTACTTTGCTCAAGTGCTCTCCAGAAAGATTGAGTTAATCTGGGAAAAGTCTCTGCTCTATTACACCACCAACAAACTGACTAACATCATCCTTTTTAGTTTTTGCCACACTGATATTTCTTCTTTTTCCTTGCTTCAGGAAATTAAAATAGATAGAACCCCAAAACTTGTTTGCCATTTGTATTTCTTCTTTGATAAATGTCTATTGATCTTTCCTTTTATTCAAATGTTTGCCTTTTTCATCATGATGTGTTAAGAGCCTCTTATACATCAAAGGTGTTAATATTTCCCTTTCTCCCATAAATGTCCTGAATATTTTTCTTATAATATTATTTGTCTAACTGTTTTTTTTGTTTGTTTGTTTGTTTGTTTTTACATATAGAAGTTTTAAAGTTTTACATTGTCACTGTATCAGGGTATACTCAGGAAAACGGAGCCCTTGCCAACGATTTAAATAGAGAAAATGCAATTCAGGAAATAATTACAAAGGGTGTGAAAAGTAAAAATTCAAACAAGGTAACCTGTGATAAGCTCCTACTGGAAGGACTGGTGTTAACAGAACTCAGAATTCTGTCCATAGGAGAGGTTATTCTGCAGAAGCTGGAATCTCTCTGGGGATACAGCTAAGTGCTAGAGACACTGCCTATAGCAGACAAAGAGTGAAGAAATATTGTGGCTTATATCCTCCACTCTCCAATTTCTTATTAGTGTCTGCCACTGGGAAAATCTAGCCAGAAGTCATTTGAAAGAAATTCTGGGAAATATAGCATACAAAGGCAATTTGATTGCGATACAAAACTGACCGGGGGAAGCCGAGAAATAGAAGGGGAAGCTGAGAAATAGATTGAGGGTAAACAGCGAGTGTTTAAGAGAATCATATACATTAATTATTTCTATTTATGACTTCTGGCTCTGGCATTAATAAAGTCCTCTTTTTCCCTAAGATTATTTCTTTGATTTGTATTTAATTTTGAGTCTTACATTTTTAGTTTACATAAAATATATGTTGGTGTAAAATGTGAGTATGTTCCCTGACAGAGGAAGGTCCAGCTGCTTGTTCTCGAGCTCTAATAAGAAGACGCAGACAAACTAGGAAAGATGGGAGTTTATTTCTGCAACCAGTTACAGGGAGAAGGTCAGAGTAACTCACCAGACCATCTCAAAGTTACAAGTTTTTTTCTGATACTTACATACATTTTAAGCTCCATGCTATGTGCAGGATTGCACCTACAAGCAGAAGAGTTTCATTCAATCTATGTCTAATCTTTAACTAGGGGGTCTGGGGTCTGGAAAGCTTTCTTTAGAGTCTTAGTTTCTTAATCTTAAGACAGAACCAGGTGTATGTGTAGGAATGCTATTACTATTCAATCACACTTTAGGGTCTGAGAAAACCCAGGTGGGATCTTAATGGGTTTGTTTTCATATTCCCATCCTCATACTCAGGCACCAGTTTCTCCAGTTCTTTATTTAACTTATCCACTCATCAAAATTATAGTAAAGGGTAATGGAAACTAACCGCCTGGTTGCTAATGGAAACCTGACCTGCCACAAGTAAGGATCTAACTATATTGTTTAATGACAGCCTAGTTGGCCCAACACCATCATTTGAATTAGATCTTTACCATATTGATAATTTTTAAAGAAGTTTGGGTTTATTTTTGTACTTTTTACTTAGTTCCATATATCTCTTTGTATGTGTTACAGAAGCTAAATTTCAGGTAAGTGTGAGCAAAAGTTTGGGGAATTCCTTCTGCTACCCATTCATAGGGTAGAAGCTATACCTTAGGCATGGCATGACATCAATGCAGAAACAACAATCACTTTTGCCCCCCCTCATTGGTAAGGCAGAGGTTCCACACTGGGAAGCCAAGCTTAGAAAATAAGAGGCTATGGTCCACACCCAATGCCTACTCCTAAAGCAGGGATGTCACTCACAGAGAAGGAGGCCACTGTTCCCACCGCCAAGCTTGGGAGTGTAGTCTCAGAAATTTTCCCAGGAGAAAATATGGTTATTCACATACAAAAGAATGGAATTGAACCCCTATTTCACAACATACACAAAAATTAGCTCAAATGGCTCAAATACCTAAATGTAATAGATAAAACTATAAGCTCTAATAAAAATAAGTATAAATATTGTGACATTGTGTTATGCCACAGTTTCTTAAATATGACACCAAAAGCACAGGCAAAATATCAAAAATAAGTGAGATTTCATCAAAATTAGGAGTATTTTTGCTTCAGAGGATACCAGCAAGAAAGCAAAGGACAGAACTAGATTTGGAGAAGATATATGAAAATCACATTTATGAGAAGAGAGTTTTATCTAGAATATATAAAGAACTTTTATCACTCAATAATCAAACCTCAAATTACCCTGTTTAAAAATTGGCAAAGGATCTGAATAATTATTTCTCCAAAGAAGTTATACAAATTTCAAATAGTACATGGAAGATGCTCAGCATTATTAAACATCAAGGAAATGCAAATCAAAACCCAGTGTGACACCACTTCACATGAAATATAATAACTATAATAAAAAGACAGAAAATAGCAAGTCTTGGCGAGGATGTGGCAAAATTGGAACCCTCATGCATTACTCTTGGGAATGTAAAATGGTTCAGCTACTTTGAAACACAGTCAAGTTATTCCTCAAAAAGCTAAACACAGAGTTACCATAAAACCCAGCAATAACACTCCTACCTTAATACCTAAGAGAAATGAAAAGATATGTCCATATGCAAAGTTGTATGCAAATATTCAGAGCAGCATTATTCATAATTGACAAACTAATGCTAAAGCTTATAATGAAAGATAAAAGACAGGTATAGCCGGCCGGGCGCGGTGGCTCACGCGTGTAATCCCAGCACTTTGGGAGGCCGAGGCGGGTGGATCACGAGGTCAGGAGATGGAGACCACGGTGAAACCCCAATCTTTACTAAAAATACAAAAAATTAGCCGGGCTTGGTGGCGGGCGCCTGTAGTCCCAGCTACTCGGAGAGGCTGAGGCAGGAGAATGGCGTGAACCCGGGAGGTGGAGCTTGCAGTGAGCCGAGATCGGGCCACTGCACTCCAGCCTGGGCGACAGAGCGAGATTCCGTCTCAAAAAAAAAAAAAAAAAAAAAAAAAAAGGCAAGTATAGCCAACACAACACTGAAGAAGAACAAAGTTGAAGGAAATCACACTACTGATTTCAAGATTCACTATGTAGCGGCAGTGATCAAGATAACATAGTATTTCTGAAAGAATAAACACAGAATTCAAGGGAACAGCATAGACAGCTCAGAATTGACTCACACAAATGTTGTCAGTTGATCTCTGACAGAGGAGCAAAGGCAATCTATTGAATAAAGATGGCTTTCAACAAATGGTGCTGGAACAATTGGACATCCATATACAAAAACTATAAAGCTAGATATACATCATACGTAATTCACAAACATTAAGTCAAAATGGATCATAGATCTAAATGTAAAACTAAAACTATAAGCTTCCAGAAGAAAGATAGGAGAAAATTTAGGTAATCTTTGGTGTGATTATGAGTTTTAGATACAATGCCAAAAGCATAATCTATAAAAGAAAACATTGATGTTTGTTATAGTAAAATAAAAACTTCTGCTATGAGAAAGACACTTTGAAGAGTATGAAAAGACAAGCTGCAGACTTAGAGATGACATTTGCAATACACATTTTTGATGAAGAGCTTGTATTCAATATATACAAATAATGACTAAAACTCAACAATAAGCAAATAAATAATCCAAATTTAAAAGGACCAAAATATAGGAATAGGCATCTAACAAAATAAGATACACAGATGGGAAACAAGCATATAAAAAGACACTAGACAAAATCCAATAATACTTAAAATACAAAACGCTAATGAGGATGTGAAGCAAGAGACACACACATACATATCTTCAGTCTGCCAGCTGAGAGGGCCTAGAAACAATGATACAGAAGAAGCAATGAACACACCTGTTACCCAGATCTTGGTTTCTAATACCATTCTTCAATAAAAGGAACTAGAGTTCGTTGGCTGATTCTAGCAATGGAGCAAGAAATATACAGTATGAGTCTGGAGCATCTGGCAATGACCAAATAAAAAGGTGCTAAAAAACCCCAACCCTATAAATAGAACTTGGGAGAAGGATTTTAATCCATATTTCAATAAGAATGCAGTAAAAAAAATGGAGCAAGACAGGGTAGGGGCACATGTACATAAATGAACAAAATACGTACAGCTAGAACTAGAGTCTGATAAACTTTTTTTGCCCTGAAGACAGTCATCCCATTGAAGACAGAATTCCTGGGAAAAACATACCAGATGACCAGGACCAAGCACAGAGACAAATCAGACACAGTGATTTTGAAGAAAACATGTTGTCCTTTTGTTACCAGTATAACTGGACTTATTTTTTTATCCTATGTTAAGTGACTGAACTTCAGTTTTTACCTGACAAAAGTAAAGAGAGCCTTTTTTAAGAAAAGCCCAAAGCAAACAAACAAACAAAAATACAACCCAATATATACACAATGACGTGTATATGGACAGGGATGCAGGAACCAATGGAAACAGCTTCCAGTAGCCAAAGATTACATGATTTGATCAACAAAATTAAGGAAGTAATATTTGGATATGCTCAAGTTATAGAATAAATATTGTGCATCAATACTAATGTCAATAAATGATTGAATAAGTAAACAAATAGGTTGAATAAACAAATATTCTGTACAAGAATTTCAACTGATTTATGTAAATATTTTGCCTTCAAAGAGTTGATGTATAAACTCTCCATTCCTTAAGTGTGTTTTGTTTGTAGTGACTTCATTCCAAAAAGTACAAGTTGGAAAGGGGAGAATCAGTTGAGTTTATGGTAGAGAAAACTGGCAAATACTGCCTTAGCCAGGTGGTCATAGTCAACATCAAGAGTTATGAGTCATGACAATAATATTTACCATTGATACAATATGATAAGAATGGCAGTTTGTTCATAGTCTTTATCCCCTAAACCCATAACTCTAGTCTAACTATGAGAAAAATATCAGAGAAATTCCAGTTAAGTGACATTCTATAAAATGCCTGACTAGTACTCCTCAGAACTTGCAAGGTGATCAAAAATGAGGAGTGGCAGAGAAACTGTCACAGCCAAGAGAGGCTAAAAAGACACATGAATAAATATAATGTGGATCTTAGATAGGATCCTGGAACAGAAGAACAACATTAGGTGTAAACTATGGAAATCTGAGCAATAAAACATGGACTTTAGTTCATAACAATGGATCAATGTTGGTTCATGAACTATAAAACATATACCATACTAATTAAGATGCTAATAAAATGGGTAACAGCTGTGTGATATATGGGAACTCTGTATTATCTTTGTAATTTTCTATAAATCTGAGGCTGTTTATTTATTGAAAAAGGCTTGGAGATAAAGTTCTACTTTTTAGAATGAATCCAGATAGCAACTGGAAACATTTCTCAATTTTTATATCCTCAAAGGTAATATTTTGATTCATGCAAGAATTTTCAATGGGTGCTAACATCATTTATAAAAAATTATTGAGAACAGTAAATTCACACAATATCAATGCATCAAACCCTACAAATTAGATTTTAATTAGTAAGGAAATAAGTTATCTTTTCATGAAAAGATCTGATGGACACTGCCTTGACCAAAGTTATCAAACTTAGCATCCAGTAAGAAGAAAAACTGATGTTATGAATCTCCTGTGATGCAAAAGGGAAAATACAGCATGCCTATATAGCCATAATTATTTAACTTGAATGAATCAAATTATGAGGAAACATCAGAAAAATATACATTGCAGGATATTTTATAATATATCTGACCAAAATACTTGAAAACTTAAATGCCATTGAAGGGAAAAAATAGGTAAGATAATTCTCTAGATCGAAGGGGACTAAAATATTATAATAACTAAAAGCAAATAGTGACCAGTAATTGAATGTTTAATTAAAAGATAAACTGCTATAGGGAACAATTTTGGGATTATTGGGGAAAATTCAAATGTAAAATACATATTAGTGATGTTACATTTCTTTGGGATAATACTGATATGATGACTATGTAGAAAATGTCTTTGTTCTTTTGAGATATACATTATTTATTGATAAAGTGTCCTGATATTAACTATATATGTATTACGTGTACATATATATGTATACATGTATTATATGTATGTACATACATATTTGTAGATAGGCAAATGTGGTGAGTTGTTAAAAGTGTCCAGCTGTTAACAACTATTTAACAATTGTTTAAATGTTTAGTTGGTTGAAAAACCAAAAATGGGTATTAATTGTATAATTCTCTGGGCTTTTCAGTAGGTTTTAATTTTTTCTAAATAAATTCAAGGGAAAATGTTATTGATCCATCTCTCTCTTGAATTTCTGTGCTATCTGCCTGCCCATTTCACAGGTTAACTTCTGGAAAAGTTTTCTTCTCATGCTACACTTTTTAATGTTATGTATACTGTGACTTAGTGGTTAAGCATCAAAATTCTGGAGGCAAGCAGCCTGGGTTTGATTCCTGAGCTCCACCTTTGTATTTCTGCGGACAAATTGTAAAATCTTTCTGTACCTTAATTTTTAAAAGTGTTTTTTTAGAAATTAAAATGTAGTTGAGTAAAAAGCTTAATAGATATGCTAAATAGTAAAATAGATGCCTCTGATAAGTCACTAAATGTTTCAAAGTATGAGACTTTTATTGAGGAAAAGCATAAAAAATAATGCCTAGCTAATTGGTAGGTAATATATACGGAAAGTCCAGTGACAAAGACTCTTTGGTTGGCCAAACTTTAGGCCACTTCTAAGCCTTCTTCTAGGCCCATCTGTGCACTTTTTTGTAAAATCCAGTTATAGAAAATAATGCTGCTAAGACAGTTCACAAGAATCCCCCACTCTCAATACCTGATCACCTTTGATATCTGATCAAATTGTTTCACTCCTTACCCCTGATATCTGATCACCTTGGCCTGCCCTCAGCAGGAATCCTGGTAGGTTGGTTTATTCAGCCAGAATTATCCATATACTTGATATGTCTTCTTAGTAATTTTCCATCCATGAAACCCCCTGTTCCTTGGCTACAAATCCCCACTTGTCCTTGCCATATTGGAGCCCAGTTCTATACTAGGGTCTCTCTCTCCCTACTGTAATAGTCCCGAATAAAATTTGTCTTCACCACTTTACTTGCCTGGCTGCTTTTCTTTGACAGTTTTTGGTGCTGAGATGCAGATCTGGATCAGAACTACCACTGGATTCTCAGATGTAGCAACAGGACCTCTCAGCACACAGCAGGACCCTTGTCTCCAGACTGTCTGCTTACTCATTCAGGTACTCGATGGTGAGCCCAACTCCAAAATCCATTGCTCCAGATAAATGTCCACTGATGCATGGTGAGGACAAATTTCAATTATTAAGATTTTGAGTATACTCTCTGAAGCTGGGTTAGAGTCTCGGGCTTCTTTTGAAAGGTGCCTCCTAGTCTGGAAGGGCTTCCTGCCTCCTTGTTCAGAGTGGGAATTATTATTCCCTGCTTTCCTAGGCTGAATGTCTTTCTTCCTGGCTCTCTGTGAGGCCTCTCTAGTCTTTCTCTTTTCTCTATTGGATCCTGCTTCTCCCATGAGAACTACTCGGTCAGCTGAAAACCCCTCGTTTAAAACCTCTGCTGACTATATAGTCAGCCACTATGGTCTAAATACTGTTTGCTTTCTTTCCCGTGGACAAAACTTTACTGAAAACTTTCCTGAGCAACAGTGGCTCTTTTGGTGCTCCTGAGATCTCTTCAAATTAGTCCACCTGAAAGGGAGTCCTAGAGCAAAACAAAACACAAATTTCAGATGCACATTGGCCTACTTATTTTGCCTGGTATGAAGAAGGCAAAAAATGGCTAAATCATTCAAATCTTACTCAAACTACTGAAGTTATTAGACAACGTCTCCAGAAAAAAATTTCCAAGCTGATAAACTTCCTAGAGCCTCCACAACTCTTCCACCCTCCCCCTTCAGCTTTCTTTTGTATCAATTTCTCCCAGAATGTCCCTCACCAGCTGCATCGCCAGCCCCTGAATTCTCTGTAATCATAAGGTTCACTGGGCTTCCATCTCTTGCTGATAATAAGGGTGAGGCTGGTACACATTCTCAAGCAAGGTTAACAGAAGAAATTACATTTAAACATAGGTCTTGATTCAAATTATATGCCATCGCTAAGGACTTTCTGACCCCAGAAGGAAAGGGAAAGATTTATTAAACAATTTAGAATATTTCTCAGGGGACACTCTCTAAGATTCCTTCACTTATCACAACTTATCTACCTACTGGTTGGACCTGGAGATGCCTCCCTTTGGTTTGAAAAAGCCAAATGGACCACCATCTCTGAAGACCTTCAAGGATATTGGACTATCACTGATTTTCATCAGAGAATGAGGCAAATAAGAGAAAAATTACTAGGAGCCATCTCTCAAGTCTATCCCACCAAAATTGATTGCTTACATATCCAAAATTGTAAGCAACTAAAGGATGAAACTTGCTATCGTCATCAACTATAGATAACATGGGAAGAACACTTAAAGCTGGAACTGACTTACTTGACAGTTACTGCTCTGCCCACCAGCTTTGTAAATGGTCTCAGACTGGAGATCCATGATGCATTAAAGAAAAATTATATTAACCGGCAAAATTAAAACATAACTGAGTTCCACACATTAGTCTAGCATTAGGTAAATAGTATTTCAGAAAGATTGGAAACCACACGCCACAAGCTTATGGCATCGCAAATGAAACAGTTAAAACAACCTGAGAATTTAAACTCACAGGAAGCTCCAAAATCACTGGCTCCTATTGATTTAGACACTTGCTGATATTATATGGAAAACAATATCTGTGCCTGGGATCCTGCAGACCTCAAGAAAAAAACAACAACAACTGAGTACCCTCCACATCAAAGATTGTTCCCTCTCTTCCAGGGAAGTAAATGTCCAGTGCCTTCGGCTACCACTAAACCACAAGGAGAAATACCATCTTTAGGCTTTAGCAAAACAAAGGTCAAAAAGTGGCTAGAGAAAAAATTCAATTATGCTCACTGTTTTTGTTTTATATTTTGTAATATATATATACACATATATATATAAATATATATGTATATAAATATATATGTGTATATACATATAGTTTGTTTCTTTTTTGAGACAAAGTCTTATTTTGTCACCCAGGCTGGAGTGCAGTGGCATGATCTCGGCTCATTGCAACCTCTGCCTCCCTGGTTCAAGTGATTCTCCTGCCTCAGCCTCCCTAGAAGGTGGAACTACAGGTACGCACCACCATGCCCGCCTAATTTTTTGTATTTTTAGTAGCGACAGGGTTTTGCCATGTTTGTCAGGCTGGTCTCAAACTCCTGACATCAAACAATCTGCCCGTCCCAGCGTCCCAAAATGCTGGGATTACAGGCATGAGTCACCGTGCCTGTGTGTTAAATATCCAGGTCATGATATTTCATCTTCAAGTAAAATCATCAGGCTGAGTCTCTCCTGCTAATCACTTTTATCTCCCTGAAACAAAATGACGATAGAAAATGTTGGGGGGTCTTGTGGCATATTGTAAAGTAAATACCTAATTTCTGTATGACTGCCTCACTCTTTATGACTAGTGATGAGGGATTTATCCCCAAACCCAGTAGCCTGGGACCCTGTAATCAGATTCTTTGGAAAACTTTAAGGACTCTACTTTCACCTCTCACTCTTAGACTTCCCAATTACTCCCTGCCCTTTTACTTGTTTTTGCATGAATGGGAAGAACATGTCCTTTGAGCGTTACCTCAAAAGCATAATGGACACCAGAGATATCTAGGGTATTATAGTCTAGCCTTAGACCCATTAGCTAAGGTATATCCTTGTTGCCTGCAAGCCATGGCCACAACCACCAAATTTGTCCAAGATCCTATTATTAATAAAGCACAACACTTTTCTGCATCTCTACTGATCTCTTATGAAACTTTAAAATTCTCCCCCTCCCACATCACTGTACATCACTTTTAAAACCTTAACCTTGCCACTTGCTTCCTTTACCAACTGATGAGAAACCTCACAATTATGTCACTAACCCTAGATCATTACCTTATTCTAGGCTAAGTTTATCAGAAAGCCCCCTTGTTCAAGTTTGTGTTGATGGCTCCTACCTCAGAAGGCACGATGGGACTTGCCAGGCCCTATAAGCCGTCACTGATCAATATATCTCTTGAATATCACGCTTCGTCAAACTTAATTTATATTTAAACTTTTTCTCAGAATTCAGATTTATTGATTTCTGTTATGTTGACTTTTAAAATGGTATTAAGCAGTCAGATTGGCAGTCAGCAAGAAAGGGAACTGGTGATTTCAAGATAAAATTAAGCTGATGGTGTAAGTACATCACCACTGGCTGCAGTCATCACATCATCTTAGATTGAATATGGATATTTTTTTTTGAACAAAGTTCCAGAGCTCTGATATCCAGGGACGCTGCAGATGTTTTCTGGCAATATCCTTCACTTTGGTCAGTCTCCTGAGCCAGCAGTGAAAGTGTTTTCAAAAACACTGTCATTTTCCCAGCACAGTGTTTTTGATTGCATCAACATGTTGAGTTGGAATCCAGCAGTAAGAGCCTCCTGTGGGACCCTACTGAAATATCACCATGTTGTAGTATTCATGACCCTAGTTTCGCTGACCACATTTTTAATGAAGCCCGTGGGCACTTTCTCAATCTGCCCTTGAACTCTGAATACCTACAGTGCTGGCCAGAAACCGGTGAATTAGGCGTGTTTGCTTCTGTCCAGGAATCTTTAGTGCTGATCTGGCCTTGTTCTAGCTTAAGTGAAGTCTCACTTTTCCCCCAGACTAATTGTACTTGCCAGACAGGGGTAGTGTTGGAAGGGTTCCTGGGCACACCTAACAGATCATATCTTCAGGTTCTCCTTTATTTAACACTTATCTGTGTTGTTTCTGCCTGCAGAGAGGCTCCTTCTCGTTCTTTTTGGCATTTGCATCCTGCTGTGTAGTATCTTTGGGTGGGTTTACTGCTTAAACACTGCATTGTGGAGCCAACCACCATGATCTTGGCCCTACGGGTCACTTTTATTTCTCTCAATGGGTCTTATACTCAATGTTCTATTCTCAATATCTTGTACTTGGGGACCAGTCCCTTACACATGACTTTCTGCATGGCAGGTGGAAGACCTGTAATCAAGTGAATTTTCTCTTTTAGCTTGGAGCTTGTGCTGTCCGAAGGGAACTTCATGTTGTGTTTGGTTTTGTTCCAGAGGACCTTCAGGTGGTCCACCAACTCCCTGTCTGTGCTGCTTCCCATATCCTCGCTTTTGCTGACCAAGGCCTGGGCCAGGGGACTGGGCTGAGGCCAGTAGCAGGCTGCTTCAAGTGGCTCAGGAGTCCTTGGCCACTTCCCCTTTTGCCTTCTGACATGATTGAAAGTTTCTTGAGGCCTCCCCAGCCATGCTACCTGTACAGCCTGCAGAACTGTCAGCAATTAAATCTCTTCTTCATAAATTACCAAGTCTCAGGTAGTTCTTTATAGCAATGCAAGAATGGACTAATACTGGAAGCCTGCACTTGAGTCCCCCATTGGCAGTTACAAGTACTGGCCCTGATAGTGATTGGGAGACAGTCCTCAGGCTTCCTGAAGAAATGTCTAGGCAAAGAGCAGAGTGACTGCTACTGCACTGATGTGTCACATGGGGGATGGAGATCCTGGCACCACATCCTAACAAGTAGGAATTGGACCTACTTGCCTCTCTTGCCGCAGACCCTTCAAGGTTTAATCCCCTGCTACAACCATGGCAGCAAGTTGGGACATTTAGTCATGGGAGTTTGCTTTCACTCTGCAAAGCTGCTCTGGGCCACAGAACTCACTGCCTGGGTTAAGACCATGCCTCCCCAGCAAGTTCCTCCTGCTTCAATTCTGTGAAAAGGGGATACTGGTTCTCACACAAGCAGCTGATGTCCATACTACACTCATTTCTCAGTTCTAGCTGTGGGAGCCCCTCCCACCTCAAGTCCTAGCTCTCTAATCTTTGACCCAAGTCTCTCTCATGCCAATGGCTACCACCATTGTTAGCCTGAAGAATCCTGCACAACTTGCTATGAGCTGGGATCAAGAAGGGCATCCAACAATCAGCCCTCAGACCTGGAAAAGTGAGTGAGACACTTCCCTGGAGTTGTTCTTTCTCAGTCTGTTGGCTGCTTTCTACGTTAGATCCAAGGCTTGGGAGGATCAAGATGCTCTCTTGTGAACTGAATTGCATGATTCCCTGGTTGGAAGTTGGATCACAGAGAGACATTCATCCTCCCTCCCCCATAATGGGCATTCACCATTTTCAGCCAGACCTGGCTGCACAAGCTATCTGCTCATCTTCTCTATACCAGTCTCAGAAGTTTTATTTTGCTCTTCTGTGTTTCTTCCTGGATAAAAGTTCAAAGTGCAGATCTCTACAAAGGGTTTTGCTTCTTCTAAATGAGTGAGGCATGTTGGAAAAACTTCTAGTCTACCATCTCCAGAAAAAAACCTCCAAAACCTATTTTCTTTATAAATCACTCAGCCACAGATATTCCTGCATATCAATGCAAATGGACTGAGACAGAAAGCAATATGTACTCACTCTAGCCTGCATGTGTTTTAAATAGCTAAACATTTTTCTTGCTAAAATGCCCCAGGAACATCAGTTGCCAAAGTTTTTCTGTAATAAGTCTTCCCAACTTTAGGTATACTCTCTACCAATTCTACCAACTCTAAGCTAACATTTTATTGGTAGAATTATATAGGAAATAGAAAACACAACACACAGTACTCAAAGACTCCACTGCCCCTACCATGCTCAGTCATCAGGAGACACAGAAAGATCCAATGGGATTCTCAAGACCAAACAGACTAAACTAGCTAAGGAATTGGACTTACCATAAACATGAATCATAAGATCGTCACTTTTGGAATTATCATGGGAAATCCCATGAGGATTATTTATCTTGGCTAGTGGAGGACTTTAACCTAACTCTATCTGACATTTTTAGATGCTGTCAAGGGTTAATAAAATATGCTAAATTCTATAATCAACAAGTCAGAACTGTCTTCATTTTAGAGCTTCCTCATCAACAATTACTCAATTTACAAGCAAGCAATCTGGTATTCTGGAAATGCCACTTTAGGAAAACTATTCTTGAGTTCAGAAGAAAAGGACGTTATGCTGTTTTATTTGGGCTAACGCAGGTACCAAATTACAGGGTGTTTAACCTTAGATTTATGCTTAAAAACTAAAGAAATACAAGAGCAATTCAAACTGGAAAAATATTCGAACTGGAAACCTCCACTGAGGCTCTGCTGGGAGTTTTCCAAAGCAGACAAAGGCTACAGAAAGACAGATACTTTAACAACCTCAGAACAAGTAGATATCTTTACAAGGTAATCAGTTTCTGCCCAAGACCATGGAACAAGACCCACCTGGATGCCCCCATCTCTTTATTTCTTTAAAAAAATCATTGATACATAATAATCATACATATTTTATGGGGTACATGTGATATTTTGATACATGAATGCAATGTATAATGATAAAATAAAGATAATTAGTATATAAATCACCTCAAACATTTATGACTTGTGTTAGAAAAATTTCAAATCTTTTCTTCTAGCTATTTTGAAATATTCAATAAATTATTGTTAACTATAGTCACCTTATTGTGCTATTGAACACTAGTACTTATTCTTTCTATTTAACTGTTTCTTTATAAGAGTAACCAACCTCTTTTGATTCTCCCAAAGACTTCCTATCTCCAGTACCATCATTCTACTCTCCACCTTCATGAGAACAACATTTTTAGCTCCCACATGTGAATGAAAATGTGATATTTGTCTTTCTCTGCCTGGCTTATGTCACTTACCACAATGACCTCCAATTACATTCATTTTGTTGTCAGTGATATAATTTCATTCTTTAAAAATTTTTAGTTTTTCATTTATTAATACATATATTATGCATATTTATGGGATTCATGTGAGTTTTTTTTTACATACACAGAATACATAATGATCAAGTAAGTGTATTTGTAATATCAATCATCTTAACTATTTATTATTTAGATGGGTCGATAACATTTCAAGTTCTCTATTCTAGCTATGTTGAAATATAAAAGGCATCATTGATAACTATAATCATCCTAGTTGCTGTCAAACAGTAAAACATATTTTTTTATTTAACGATGTGTTTATACCCATTAATCAATCTCTCTTCATTGCCCCTTGCCACCCAAACACTTCTCCAGCCTCCAGTGTCTATCACTCTATTCTCTATCTTCATAAGATCAATTTTTTAGTTCCCACATATGAGTGAAAACATGTGGTATTGTTCTTTCTGTGCCTAGTTTATTTCACGTAACTTATTGACCTCCAGTTCCATTCATGTTGCTGCAATGACATGATTTTCTTGTTTTGTAAGGCTGAATAGTACTCCATTATGTACATATACACCATATTTTCTTTATCTATTCATCCATTTATGGACACTTAGGTTTATTCCATATCTTTGCTCTTGTGCATAGTGCATATGGATTTGATAACCTATCTTCTTTTGTCCCTTTACCTTCAATCTATGTGCGTCTTCCCTGGTAAGGGAAGTTTCTCATTTGCAGTATATGGTTAGATCATTTTTTAAAAATCCATTTAGTGAATTAATATTTTTACGTTGAAGGTTTAATCCATTTACATTCAAAGTTACTGACATGTGAGAGTTTATTCTTATCATGTAATTTTTGGTGGTTTTGTGTATTATTTCCTTATTTTTCTTTTATTGTTTCTTATCATAGTTTAATAGTCCTCTGTAGTGGTGACATTTTATTCTTTTCTCTTTCTTGTTCATGTGTTTGCTCTACCAGTGGTTTTTATGTTTCCTTGTGTTTTCATGATAGTAGGTACTATTCTTTTGCTTCCAGGTGTACAACTCCCTTTAACATTTCTTTTAGAATGGGTATAGTAGTGAAAAATTCCCTCAGCAATTTCTTATCTGGAAAACACTTTATTTCTTCTTCATTTATGAGGGATAATTTTGCTAGGTATAATAATCTTGGCTGGCAGTTTTTTTCTTTCAGCACTTTGAATATATTATTTCATTTTCTCTTAGCCTATAATGTTTCTGCTGAGAGGTTCACTGTTAGTCTAAAGGGAGTTTCTTTATAGATGACTAGACTAGATGCTTATCTCTTGCTGTCTTTAGTATTCTCTGTCTTTGACTTTAACTATACTGTGCCATGGAGAAGACCTTTTTGTATTGTATCTGGGGATCTTTGAGGCTCCTGTATCTTGTTAGACTTGGGAAGTTTTCATCTATTATCTGGTGAAATAGGTTTTCTAAACTTCTCATTTTCTCTTTGCCTTCTGGGACTTCAAAAATTCAAATATTTGGTGCCTTTATGGGGTGTCCCATGTGTCATGTAGGATTGGCTCATTCTTCTTCCATTTTTCTTTATTTTTGTCTATGTTATTTCAAAAGACTGTCTTCAAATTTTAAGATTTTCTTTTCTACTTGATATAGTCTATTGTTGAGACTTTCAAATGTGTTTTGTATTTCATTCAATGAATTCTTCAGTTCCAGAATTTCTGTTTGGTTTTCTGCTATGATATTTATCTCTTTGGTAAATTTCTCATTTATATCTTAAATTGGCTTTTTTATTTCTTTGTGTTGTTTTTCAGAATTATCTTGTATTTCATGGGCTTCTGAAAAATCAATATTTGAATTCTTTTTCTGGGATTTCTTAAATTTGCTTTTGGTTGAAATTTTTGGCTGGAGAATTATCATTTTTCCCTTTGGAGGTTTCATATTTTCTTGCTTGTTAATGTTTCCTGGGTCCTTATATTAATATCTGGGCATCTAATGTAACATTCACTTCTTCCAATTTTTAAATTTGCTTTCATTGTGGAGAACTTTTTCTTGAAGATTTATCTATGGCTTTGCTTCTGTATGCTTGCTTGCAGTAGTGTTGTCTTTGTATAATTTGTTTGTTGGTTTGTTTTTTGGCTGTAAACAGTATCAGTGATATATGTGATTTCCTTGGTGGTTTAGGTTGTGGTTATTAGTAGAGGCTGTGATAAAGGTTTGCTGGGTACTGGGACAACAGGTGGACTAATTTTCAAGCCCCAGTGTTGACAGCAGTGGGCCAAGTGTGCCTGTCCTTGGGCCCCAGGGTGACATGGGACACCAGTGTTAGTGGGTCCAGATGGCCCAGTACTTGGGTCCTCAGGTAGCTAGCTTGGATGTGGATAGTGATAGTGGTGAGCCAGTTAGTGGGTAAGTTTTTGGGCCCCTGAACAGTTGGTGTGGCATGGGTGATGGCAATAGCAGTGGCAAGACAAGCTGCTGGTTCCAGAGTGGTAAGCAGTTGTGTTGTCAGTGGTTGTGATGTGGTTGGTGAAATAATAATTAGGCCTGTGTGTGACATGAGTGGCAGGGTGATAGGCCCACCATGGGCCCCCAGGAAGAGTGCTCCAGTGTCAACATTGGTAGACTGGGCCGGGAAATCTCCAGGCCCCCAGATTGCATGCTGTGGCATAGGGGGAGTGAAGCTGAGCTCAGTGGGCTTGTCCTTGGGACCTCTATGATGTGGGACCTCTATGATGTATGTGCCAGCTATGGTAGTAAGGAATGGGGCTATCCCCAAACACCTGACAGTGCTCAGGTGAGAGGCAGCAGTGGCCTCACTGTGGTACTGCCACCCAGGAGGTGGCAGGAGGTGCCTTCATTGGTGGCTGTCCAGGCCAGAAGGTGTCACATTCATGCCTCAGCCAGAGACAGTAGCCCACAACTTGTTCATGCCTCAGTCCATACAGCAGTATCCCATGTCCATGCCTTGCTTATGCCTCAGCCCCAGCTATCTCAGCCCACATCTCACTTAAAGTTCAGTTCCAGTGGGAGCAGTCCATGCTTTGCTTGTGCCTCAGCCCTAGCACCTCTGGGCCCCAGAACAGTGTAAATGGAACCTTAGGTCTCAGGGAGTTTGTAGAACACAATATAAGCTCCCTCTCTGAAGCAGTGCCATTGCATAGTTTTCCAGCAGCTCCTTGTGTCAGCTTCAGGGTCTGCAAGGATCAAGGGATTCTCCTGTGGCTGGGCTTGCAGGAGTCCACAGCAGGAATGTGCACTACTGGAGGCCTCTCACTCAACATTTTCCCTGTGTCAGGAAGTCTCTTCTGGCTCTCAGCTGATTCCAGCTGAGCAGGCTGGCTTGCTTCACTCTTTTTCCTTTCTTTAGGTGTTTTCTGTCACTTTTCTCTTGAATTCTAATATTCTCTCTTGGACAATGTATTCAAAGTGTTATTATCTACTCACTATTTTGGTTCTTCTTAGTGAAGAAGGCATCTTGAAGCCCTGACAACCAATTTTATTCTTTTTTTAATGGCTGAATAGTATTCCATTGTGTATATATACCACATTTTTTTTGTTAATAAAGAGATTTTTACATTTGTGTCAGCCACTGCAAATAAGAATGAAATGTGATTTGCAAATTTACTATGCCATTTGCATTAGCAAATAGTAAAATATGCACTTTTTTTTCATTTCCACAGGTTATTGGGGAACAGGTGGTGTTTGGTTACATGAGTAAATTCTTTAGCAGTGATTTGTGAGATTTTGGTACACTCATCACCCAAGAGTATACACTGCACCCTTTTTTTACTCCTTTATCCCTCACCTCCTTCCCACTCTTTCCCCCTGAGTCCCCAAAGTCCATTGTGTCATTCTTATGCTTTTGTATCCTCATAGCTTAGCTCCCAATTATGAGTGAGAACATACAATATTTGGTTTTCCATTCCTGAGTTACTTCACTTAGAATAATAGTTTCCAAAGTCATCCAGGTCACTGTGAATGCCATGAATTCAGTCCTTTTTATGGCTAAATAGTATTCCTTTGTGTGTGTGTGTGTGTTTGTGTGCGTGTGTGTGCATATATATATATATATATATATATATATATATATGTATATATATATATATATCTCTCTCACACAGTTTCTCTATCCATTCCTTGATTGATGGGCATTTGGTTGGTTCCATGATTTTGGTTGGTTCCATGATTTTGCAGTTGTGAATTGTGCTGCTATAAACATGCGTGTGCAAGTATCTTTTTTGTATAATGGCTTCTTTTCCTCTGGTAGATACCCAATAGTAGGATTGCTGGTTCAAATGGTAGTTCTACTTTTAGTTCTTTAAGGAATCACCACACCATTTTCCATAGTGGTTGTACTAGTTTACATTCCCACCAGCAGTGTAGAAGTGTTTCCTGTTCACTGCATCCACACCAACATCTACTATTTTTTGCTTTTTGATTATGACCATTCTTGCAGGAGTAACGTGGTATCACATTGTGGTTTTCATTTGCATTTCCCTGATTATTAGTGATGTTGAGCATTTTTCATATTTTTTGGCCATTTGTATATCTTCTTTTGAGAATTGTTTATTCATGTCCTTAGCCCACTTTCTGATGGGATTTTTTGTTTGTTTTTTTCTTGCTGATTTGTTTGAGTTTGTTGTAGATTCTGGATATTAGTCCTTTGCCAAGGGTATAGATTGTGAAGATTTTCTCTCACTTTATGGGTTGTCTGTTTACTATCTTGACCGTTCCTTTTGCTGTGGAAAAGCTCTTTAGCTTAATTAGGTCCCATCTATTTATCTTTGGTTTTTATTGCATTTGCTGTTGGGTCCTTGGTCATGAAATCCTTGCCAAAGCCAACGTCTAGAAGTGTTTTTCCAGTGTTATCTAGCATTTTTATAGTTTCAGTCTTAGATTTAAGTCCTTAATCCATCTTGAGTTGATTTTTGTATAAGGTGAGAGATGAGGATTCAGACTCATTCTCCTACATGTGGCTAGCCAATTATCCCAGCACCATTTGTTGAATAGGGTGTCCTTTCCCCACTTTATGTTTTTCTTTGCTTTGTCGAAGATCAGTTGGCTGTAAGTATTTGGGTTTATTTCTGGATTCTCTATTCTGTTTCATTGGTTTGTGTACCTATTTTTATACCAGTACCATGCTGTTTTGGTGACTATGGTCTTATAATATAGTTTGAAATCAGGTAATGTGATGCCTCCAGATTTGTTCTTCTTGCTTAGTCTTGCTTTGGCTATGTGGGTTCTTTTTTGGTTTCATATGAATTTTAAAATTGCTTTTTTCTAATTCTGTGAAGCATGATGGTGGTATTTTGATGGTAATTGCGTTGAATTTGTAGATTGCTTTTGGCAGTGTGGTCATTTTCACAATATTGATTCTACCCATCCATAAGCATGTGATGTGTTTTCATTTGTTTGCGTTGTCTATGATTTCTTTCGACAGTGTTTTTGTAGTTTTCCTTGTAGAGGTCTTTCACCTCCTTGGTTAGGTAGATTCCAAAGTTTTTTTTTTTTTTTTTCAGCTATTGTAAGAAGAATTGAGTTCATAATTTGATTCTCAGCTTGGTTGCTGTTGGTGTGCAGAAGAGCTACTGATTTGTGTACATTAATTTTGTATCCAGAAACTTTGCTGAATTCTTTTATCAGTTCTAGAAGCTGAATTTTTTTTATCAGTTCTAGGAGGAGTCTTTAGGGTTTTCTAGACAAACAGTCATATAATCAGCAAACAGCAACAGTTTGACTTCCTCTTTACTGATTTGGATGCCCTTTATTTCTTTCTCTTTTTTGATTGCCATGGCTAGGACTTTCAGTACTAGGTTGGAGAGGAGTGGTGACAGTGGGCATTCTGGTCTTGTTCCAGTTCTCAGAGGGAATGCTTTCAAGTTATCCCCATTCAGTATTATGTTGACTGTGGCTTTGTCATAGATGGCTTTTATTACATTGAGGTATATCCCTTGTATGCCAAGTTTGCTGAGTTTTAATCATAAAGAGATGCTGGATTTTTTGAATGCTTTTTCTGCATCTATCAAGATGATTATATAATTTTTGTTTTTAATACTGTTAATGTGGTGTACCACATTTATTGACTTGCATATGTTAAACCATCCCTGCATCCCTGGTATAAAATCCACTTGCTTATGGTGGATTATCTTTTTGATATGTTGTTGGATTCTGTTAGCCAGTATTTTGTTAAGGATTTTAGCATCTGTATTCATCAAGGATATTGGTCTGTGGTTTTCATTCTTGTTTATATCCTTTCCTGGTTTTTGTATTAGGGTGATACTGGCTTCATAAAATGATCTAGGGAGGGTTCCCCCTTTCTCTATCTTGTGTAATAGTGTCAATAGATTGGTACCAATTTTTCACTGATTATCTGGTAGAATTCTGTTATGAATCTGTGTGGCTCTGGACCTTTTTTTTGTTGGTAATTTTTAAATTACCATTTCAAATTTGCTGCTTGTTATTGGTGTTTTCAGGGTATCAAATTCCTTTTTATTTAATCTAGGAGGGCTGTATCTTTCCAGGAATTTATCCATCTCTTCTAGGTTTTCTAGTTTGTGTGCAAAAAAAAGTACATAGTAGGTTTGAATGATCTTTTGTATTTCTGTGATGTCAGTTGTAATATCTCCTGTTTCATTTCTTATTGAACTTATTTGGATTTTCTCTCTTCTTTTCTTGGTTATTTTTGCTAATGGTCTATCAATTTTATTTATCTTTTCAAAGAACTAGCTTTCATTTCATTTAGCTTTTGTAATTTTTGTTGTTGCAATTTCATTTAGTTCTGCTCTTATCTTGGTTATTTCCTTTCTTCTGCTGGGTTTGGGTTTGGGTTTGGTTTGTTCTTGTTTCTCTAGTTCCTTGAAGTGTGGCCTTAGATTGTCTGTGCTCCTTCAGACACTTCAGTGTACGTGTTTAGGGCTATGAACTTTCCTCTTAGCACTGCCTTTGCTGTATCCCAGAGGTGTTGATAGGTTGTGTCACTATTGTCATTCAGTTCAAATAATTTTTAAGTTTCCATCTTGATTTCACTTTTGACCCAATGATCATTCAGGAGCAGGTTATTTAATTTCCATGCATTTGCCTGGTTTTGAAGGTTGCTTTTGGAGTTGAGTTCCAGTTTTATTCCACTCTGGTCTGAGAGAGTGCTTGATGTAATTTCAACTTTTTAAAATTTATTGAGGCTCATTTTGTGGCCTATCATATGGTCTATCTTGAAGAAAGTTCCATTGACTGTTGAATAGAATGTATATTCTGTGGTTGTTGGATGGAATGTTCTGTTTGTATCCATTAAGTCCATTTTTTCCAGGGTATAGTTTAAATCTATTGTTTCTTTGTTGACTTTCTGTCTTGATGACCTGTCTAGTGTGGTCAGTGGAGTATTGAAGTGCCCTATTATTACCAACACAATAATATTATTGTGTTGCTGTCTATCTCATTTCTTAGGTGTATTAGTAATTGTTTTATAAATTTGGGAGCTCCAGTATTAGGTGCATATATGTTTAGGATTGTGAAATTTTCCCGTTGGACAAGGATTGTGATATTTTCCTGTTGGACAAGGCCTTTCATCATTATATAATGTCCCTCTTTGTCTTTTTTTTTTTAACTGCTGTGGCTTTAAAGTTCGTTTTGTCTGATATAAGAATAGCTACTCCTGCTCACTTTTAGTGTCCATTTATATGAAATGTCTTCTTCCACCCCTTTACCTTAAGTTTATGTGAGTTATGTGAGTCCTTATATGCTAGGTGAGTCTTTTGAAGGCAACAGATAGTTGGGTTGGAGAATTCTTATCCATTCTGCAATTCTGTATCTTTTAAGTGGAGCATTTAGGCCATTTACATTCAATGTTAGCATTGAGATATGAGGTACCATTCCATTCATTGTGCTATTTGTTTTCTGTATACCTTGGTTTTTTGTTTTTTTAAATTGTATTTTTACAATTTTGTTTTTTAAATTGTATTTTTGTGTTATAGGTTCTGTGAGATTTATACTTAAAAAGGTTTGGTTTTGATGTGTTTCCAGGATTTGTTTCAAGATTTAGAGCTCCTTTTAGCAGTTCTTGTAGTGGTGGCTTGGTAGTGGTGAATTCTCTCAGCATTTGTTTGTCTGAAAATGACTGTATCTTTCCTTTATATATGAAAGTTTTTCTGGATACAAAATTCTTAGCTGATAATTGTTTTGTTTGAGGAGGCTAAAGATAGGGCCCCAATGTCCTCAAGCTTGTAGAGTTTCTTCTGAGAAACCGACTATTAATCTGATAGGTTTTCTTTTATAGGTTACCTGGTGCTTTCATCTCACAGCTCTTAAGTTTCTTTCCTTCATCTTAACTTTAGATAACCTGATGACAATTTACCTAGGTGATGATCTTTTTGCAATGAATTTGTGCTTCTTATATTTGGATGTCTAGGTCTCTAGCAAAGCTGGAGAAGTTTTCCTTTATTATTCCCCCAAATATATTTTCCAAACTCTTAGATTTCTATTCTTCCTCAGGAATACCAATTATTCTTAGGTTTTGTCATTTAACATAATTCCAGACTTCTTGGAGGCTTTGTTCATATTTTCTTATTCTTTTTTCTTTGTCTTTGTTGGATTGGGTTAATTCAAAGGCCTTTTCTTCGAACTCTGAATTTGCTTCTTCTACTTGTTTGATTATATTGCTGAGACTTTCCACAGCATTTTGCATTTCTATAAGTGTGTCAATTGTTTCCTAAAGTTTTGATTGTTTTTTATTTATGCTATCTACTTTGTTGAATATTTCTCTCTTCACTTCTGATATCTTTTTTTTTTCCCTTACATTGGCCTTCATCTTTTTCTGCTGTCTCCCTGATTAGCTTAATAACTAACTTCCTGAATTCTTTTTCAGGTAAATTAGGGATTTCTTCTTGGTTTGGATCCATTGACAGTGAGCTATTGCAATTTTTGGGGGGTGTTAAAGAACCTTGTTTTGTCATATTACCAGAGTTGGTTTTCTGGTTTCTTTTCCAGTTTCCTCTGGCTCTGTCAGAGGAAAGGTCTAGGGCTGAAGGCTGTGGTTCAGATTCTTTTGTCCCCTGGCATGTTCCCTTGATATAGTACTCTCCTCCTTTTCCTATGGATGTGGCTTTCTGAGAGCTGAGCTGTAGTGATTGTTGTCTCTCTTCTGGATCTAGCCATCCAGCAAGTCTACCAGGCTCCAGGCTGGTACTGGGGGTTGTCTGCACAGTCCTTGATGTAAACTTTCTGTAGGTCTCTCAGCCATGGATACCAGAACCCATTCAAGTGGAGGTGGCATGGGGGTGAAATGAACTCTGTGAGAGTTCTTAGCTTTGGTGGTTTAATGCACTATTTTTGTGTTGGTTGGCTTCCTGCCAGGAAGTGGTACTGTCCAGAGACCATCAGCTGTAGTAGTATGGGGAGGAACAGATGGTAGGTGGGTCCCCAGAATTCCCAAAAGTATATGCCCTTTGTCTTCAGTTACCAGGGTGGGAAGGGAAGGACCATGGGTGGGAGCAGGGCTAGGCATGTCTGAGCTCAGATTCTCCTTGGGTGGGTCTTGCTGTGGCTGCTGTGGGGGATAGGGGTGAGGTTCCCCGGTCACTTGAGTTATGTTCCTGGGAGAATTATGGCTGTCTCTATGGTGTCATGCTGGTTGTCAGGGAAGTGGGGGAAAGCCATCAGTCACAGACCTCATCCAGTTCCCACACAATCCAAAGGGCCAGTCTCACTCCCTCTGTGCCCCCACCAACAGCACCAAGTCTGTTTCCAGGCAGTGAGTAAGCGGGGCTGAGAACTTGCTCCAGGCTACCTGCCCCCCAGCTGCAAAAGCAAGTATGGCTTACCTTCTTCCTCTGCCTGTGGAGTCTGCACACCAGATTCATGCCCTCCCCTGAGTTCTGGCCAGGAGACTTCTCGATCAGTACAAATTGTTCCAAAGTTCAGTGGAGATTTCCTTCTCCCAGTGGCCTTTTTCCAGTACCTCTGGCTGCCCTTCTGAAGGACCCCTGTGAGGCCAGGCAGAAATGGTTTGCTAGGTGACCCAGCAAGGTCACAGGGCTTTTCCTGCTGCTTCCTCTACCCCTGTATTTTGCTAAGCTCTCTAAATTGATTCAGTTCCAGTTAAGGTCAGAATCTCCTCCCATAATCTAGAACTTCGGTTTCCCCAGTGAGGGTGTGTGTTCTGGGGTGGACAATCTTCCTTTCCCACTTTTACAGTTTGGGCACTCACAGAATATGGGGTGTCTCCTGAGTCCTGCAGGAGCAATCTACTTCCTTCAGAGGGTCTGTGGGTCCTCTCAGATTTCCTGATTTATTCCTGCAAAAATTCATGATGCGAGCCTCCACACACTGCTCTGTCTGTCTGAGTCAGAGCTGCAATCTAGTCCTGCCTCCCATCCACCACGATCCTATGATCTCCCCACATTTTCTTTTTTCATCCATTGATGGGCACATAGGTTGATACAATAGCTTAGCTTTTGTGAATAGTACTGCAATAAACATACGAGTGCAAGATATTCTTTACAAAAATAGTACAGGCAATCCTAAAATGAGTATATACCTTTGATATACCCTTTTCTTTTCTTTTGGATAAATGTCCAGTAGTGAGATAGTTGGAACACATGGTAGTCAGATTTTTAGGTTTTGAGAAACCCTCGTACTGTTTTCTATAATGGCTATACTAATTTACATTTCCCCTAGCAATATGTAAGAGTTCCCACTTCTCCACATTTTTATCTTCATGTGTTATTTCTTGTCTTTTTGATAACAGCATTCTAACTGGGATTAGATGACATCTCATTGTAGTTTTGATTTGCTTTTCCCTGATAACTAGTGATATTGAGTATTTTTTCATATACCTGTTGGCCATTTGGATGTCTTCTTTTGATAAATGTTTATTCAAATCTTTTGCCCACTTTTTAATGAGATTATTGGTTTTTGATGTATTTTTGTTTGAGTTCTTTGTATATGCTAGATATTGGTCTTCTGATGGAAATATAGTTTGCAAATACTTCCTCCCATTCCACAGATGTCTCTTCACTTGGTAGATTATGTCCTTTCCTTTGCTGTGCAGAAGCTTTTCAGCTTTCCTGTCCCATTTCTTTATTTTTTTTTTAACTGTGTGTGCATTTGAGGTCCTAGCCATAAAATTTTTGCAAATATCCCAAAGTGTTTTCCCTATGTTTTCTTCTAGTTTTAAAAAATAGGTTTGAGTGTTACATTTTAGTTGTTACATATTTTGAGTGATTTTTGTATATGATGAAAATATGGGGTCTAGGTTTATTTTTCTGCATATAGATATCCAGTTTTCCTAGCAATATTTGTTAAAGAGGATATCTTTTCCCCAATGGATGTTCTTGGCACCTTTGTCAAATATCGGTTGATTGTCAATATGTGGACTTATTTTAAGTTCTTTATTCTGCTTCATTGGTTTATGTGTCTGCTTTTATACCAATGCCATGATGTCTTGATTAGTAAAGATTTGTAGTATATTTTAAAGTCAGGTAGTGTAATGCCTAAAGCTTTGTTCTTTTTAATCAAATTGCTTTGGCTATTCAAGTTATTTTGTGGTGCCATACAAATTTTAGGATTGCTTGTACTATTTTTGTAAAGAATATCTTTTGTATTTTGATAGGGATGGCATTGAATCTGTTGATTACTTTGGGTAGTTTGATCATGTCAACAATATTAATTTTTCCAACCCATGAACATGGATTGTCTTTCCATTTGTTTGTGTCCTCTTCAACTTTCATCAATGTTTTCTAGTTTTTCTTATAAAGAATTTTCACCTTCCTGTTTATATTTATTCTTACTTTTTGAAGCTATTGTAAATGGGATTTTTTTCTTGATTTCTCTTTCATCTAGTTAATTACCAATGATTAGACATGCTACTAATTTTTTCTATTAAATTTGTATCCTGAAACTTTACTGAATTTGTTCACAGTTCTAAGAGTTTTTTTGTGATGTTTTAGATTTTTCTGTATATAAAACCATGCCATATGCAGAGAGGAACAATTTGACTCCCAATTTCCGATTTAAATACCATTATTTCTTTCTCTTTTCTCATTGCTTTTGCTAGGACTTGCGGTACCATGTTGAATTAAAATGGGAAAAGTGGACATCCTTGTTTTTGTTCTTAGGGAATGGCTCCAGATTCTCCTCATTCAGTATGATGCTAGAAGTGGGTTTATCATATATAGCCTTTATTATGTTAAAGTATGTTCCTTCTATGTATAATTTGTAGAGAGTTTTAATTACAAAGGGAATTTTATTAAATGCGTTTTCTGAATCAAGTGAAATGATCAGTTGTTCTTTAGTTGTTGGTGTGATGCATCAGATTTATTGATTTGCCTATGTTGAATCATCCTTGTATCCCCGAGATAAATTCCACTTGATCATGGTGCATTATCTTTTTGATATGTTATTGGATTTAGTTTGGTGATTTTTTTTAAAAATGAATTTTGTACCTATGCTCAGCAGGGATATTGGCCTGTAGGGGCCTTTGTGTTTGGTTTGGCTTGTTTTGTTTCTGGTGGTGGTGTGTTCTTGTCTGTGTTGGTATTAGGATAATGCTTGATTCATAGAAAAATGTATAAAGAGTTCCCTGTCCTTCAAATTTTGGGGAACACTTTGAGAAGTTTGTACATGTTAGTTCTTCTATATATGTTTGGTAGAATTCAGAAGTAAAGCCATCTGTTCTTGGACTTTTTGGTGGGGGAGATTTTTATTATTGATTCGATCTCCTTACTCATTATTGATTTCTTCAGGTTTTCTATTTCTTCCTGATTCAATCCTTGTAGTTTGTATGTATCCTGTAATGTATCAATTTCCTCAAGAGTTTCTAATTTGTTAAGATATGTTTGTTTGAAATGGAAGAACATTCCATGCTCATGGATAGGAAGAATCAATATTGTGAAAATGGCCATACTGCCCAAGGTAATTTACAGACTCACTGCCATCCTCATCAAGCTACAAATGACTTTCTTCACAGAACTGGAAAAAACGACTTTAAAGTTCATATGGAACCAAAAAAGAGCCCGCATTGCCAAGACAATCCTAAACCAAAAGAACAAAGCTGGAGGCATCAGGTTACCTGACTTCAAACTATACTACAAGGCTACAGTAACCAAAACAGCATGGTACTGGGGCCAAAACAGAGATATAGGCCAATGGAACAGAATAGAGGCCTCAGAAATAACACCACACATTTACAACCATCAGATCTTTGACAAAACTGACAAAAACAAGCAATGGGTAAAGGATTCCCTATTTAATAAATGGTGCTGGGAAAACTGGCTAGCCATATGTAGAAAGTTGAAACTGGATCCCTTCCTTACACCTTATACAAAAATTAATTCAAGGTAGATTAAAAACTTAAATGTTAGACCTAAAACCATAAAAACCCTAGAAGAAAACCGAGGCAATAACATTCAGGACATACGCATGGGCAAGGACTTCATGACTAAAACATCAAAAGCAATGGCAACAAAAGCCAAAATTGACAAATGGGATCTAATTAAACTAAAGAGCTTCTGCACAGCAAAAGAAACTACCATCAGAGTGAACAGGTAACCTACAGAATGGGAGAAAATTTTTGCAATCTACTCATCTGACAAAGGGCTAATATCCAGAATCTACAAGAACTTAAACAAATTTACAAGACAAAATCAAACAACTCCATCAAAAAGTGGGCAAAGGATATGAACAGACACTTTTTAAAAGAAGACATTTATGAAGCCAACAGACACATGAAAAAATGCTTATCATCACTGGCCATCAGAGAAATACAAATCAAAACCACAGTGACATACCATCTCACACCAGTTAGAATGGAGATCATTAAAAAGTCAAGAAGCAACAGATGCTGGAGAGGATGTGGAGAAATAGGAACACTTTTACACTGTTGGTGGGAGTGTAAACTAGTTCAACCATTGTAGAAGATAGTGTGGTGATTCCTCAAGGATCTAGAACTACAAATGCCATTTGACCCAGTGATCCCATTACTGGGTATATACCCAAAGGACTATAAATCATGCTGCTATAAAGACACATGCACACATATGTTTATTGTGGCACTATTCACAATAGCAAAGACTTGGAACCAACCCAAATGTCCATCAATGATAGACTAGATTAAGAAAATGTGGCACATATACACCATGGAATACTATGCAGCCATAAAAAAGGATGAGTTCATGTCCTTTGCAGGGACGTGGATGAAGTTGGAAATCATCATTTGGAGCAAACTATCACAAGGACAGAAAACCAAACACTGCATGTTCTCACTCATAGGTGGGAATTGAACAATAACACTTGGACCCAGGGCAGGGGCATCACACACCGGGGTCTGTCATGGAGTAGGGGGATGGGGGAGGGATAGCATTAGGAGATATACCTAATGCTAAATGACGAGTTAATGGGTGCAGCAACCCAACACGGCACCTGTATACATATGTAGCAAACCTGCACGTTGTGCACATGTACCCTAGAACTTAAAGTATAAGAAAAAAGAAAAAAAAATTACAAACAAATATATATTTGTTTGTAATTTTCTCTAACAACCCTTTGTAGTTCTGTGATATAAGTTGTAATGTCACCTTTTTCACTTCTGATTTTATTTATTTGAGTCTTCTCTCTTTATTCTTGGTTAGTATAGCTAAAGTATATTAATTTTATCTTTTCCAAAAATATACTTTTCATTTTGTTTTCTATTTTGTTTAGTGTGCTTTGCTTTTTATTATTTCTTTTCTTCTATAATTTTGGTTTTGCTTTTCTAGCTCTTGAGGTGTGTTGTTGGGTTGTTTATTTGAAACATTTCAATTGTTTTAGTGTTGTAATTTACTGGTATAAACTTCCCTCAAAATTCTGCATTGATGGTATCCCTCTAGTTTCAATATATTGTGGTTTTTATTCAACTTTTATTATAGGTTCGGGGGCACATGTGCAGGTTTGTTACAAAGGTATATTGCTTGCATGATGCTGAAGTTTGGAGTAAGAATGAATCCATCTCCCAGGACCCAAGATGAAGTTTTTCAGCCCTTGTTCTCTCCCCGTCTCCTCCTCTCTTGTATTCCCCAGTGTTTATTGTTCTCATCTTTATGTCCATGTGTACTCAGTGTTTAGCTCCCACTTACAAGTGAGAATATGGGGTATTTTATTTTCTGTTTCTGCCTTTTCATTTGTATTTGTTGCTAACATTTTTTTGATTTCCTTTGTAATTTCTTCTTTGACTCAGTGGTCATTCAGGAACATGTTGTTTAATTTCTATGTATTTGCTCAGTTTCCAAAGTTCCTCTTGTTAATATTGAATTTTATTCTATTATATTCTCAAAGTTACTTGATATGATTTTTTTTAACAATTTTTGTTGAAGTTTTTTTTTGTGGCCTAACATATTGCCTAGCCTGAAAAGTGTTCCATGTGATGAGGAGAAAAATGTGTATTCTGTAGCTGTTGGGAGAAATATTCTATAAGTGTTTGTTAGGTTCATTTGGTCTAAAGTGAAGTTTAAATCCAATGTTTCTTTGTCAATTTTCTGTCTAGATGATCTGTCCAATATTGAAAGTTGGATGTTGAATTCTCCAACTATTATTTTATTGGGGTCTCTCTCAGTGGTTCTAATTATATTTGCTTTGTATATCTGGGTTCTGCAATTTTGGGTGCATATATATTTGAATTGTTACATATCTCTGGTGAATTCAATTTTTATCATAATATAGTGACCTCTTTGTCACTTTTTATGTTTTTCTGACTGAATTTCAATTTTGTCTGTTATAATTATAGCTTCTCTTGCATACTTTTTGTTTCCATTTGCATGAAATATTTTTCCCATCCCTTCACTTTCAGTCCTTGTATATCTTTGCAGGTGAAGTGAGTTTCTTAAAGGCAGGATATAATTTTTTCCCCATCTATATTAGTTCATTCTTGCACTGCTATAAAGAATACCTGAGACTGGGTAATTTAAAAGAAAAGAGGTTTAATTCACTCATGATTCTGAAGGCTGTACAGGAAGCATAATGCTAGCACCTGCTTCTGGGGAGGCCTCAGGAAGCTTGCAATCATGGCAGAAGGTGAAGGGGGAGCAGGCATCTCTCATGGTGGGAGCAGAAGGAAGAGAGCGAGTGGCGGAGATGCTACACACTTTTAAATGATCAGATTTCATGGGAACTCACTCACTGTCATGAGGACAGTACAAAGAGGGATGTTGATAAACCATTCATGAGAAAATTTCCCCCAAGATTCAACCACCCCCCACCAGAACCCACATTCAACATTGGGGGTGACATTTCCTCATGAGATTTAGGTGGGGACACACTTCCAAACAGTCACCATCCATTTGGCCAGACTATATCTTTTAATTTGGGAATATAAATTGTTCACATTCAAGGTTTTTGATGATAGAGGAGATCTTACTTCTGTCAATTTTGTTCATTGTTTTCTGATTATTTTGTATATTCTCTGTTCCTTTTTCTTTTTTATTGTTTACCTCTATAAAATGATGTTTATTTGTAGTGAAAACATTGCACAGAGGTACTTAGAAGGTGCTGGCAGGTATCTCTAATGGTGGTTAGGGTGGAACAATTCCCAGACCCTCAGACAACATGTGTAGGTGGCAGCAGCAGTGGCAAGCTGGGCAGGTCTGTCAGGACCCCAGATGGAACATGATGACATTAATGGCAGTGGCTGAGGTGGACCTGTCCTCAGGCACCTAGATGATATGCAGAGAGGCCCATACTCAGGCCTCCTAAAGGTGCGTGGAGGTGCAAGGCAGCTCTGCTGCTGGGGGTGGTGTTTTACTACAGCTGCTTGGTTTTGAGGGTTGTGTGAAATCTGTCATGAATGCACTGTCTGAAACAGTACTTGATAGTATTATTGGACTGCCATGGACTCCAGGAAGCTACTAATACTGGTCTCAGAGCCCATGAGGGCTGAGGAGTCGTATCATCAATGATAGACTGAATAAACAAAATGTGGTACATGTATACTATGGAATACTATACAGCCCCGGAATGAGATCTTGTTCTTTGCAGGAACATGGGTGGAGCTGGAGGCCATTAACCTTAGCAGGCTAATGCAGGAACAGAACACCAAATACCACATGTTCTCACTTACAAGAGGGAGCTAAAGGATGAGAACACATGGACACATGGGGGAAAAACATGCACACTGGGGCCTGTCAGAGGGTGGGAGGTAGGAGGAGGGAGAGGATCAGGAAGAATAGCTAGTGGATGCTAGGCTTAATAACTGGATGATGGGGATAATCTGGGCAGCAAACCACAATGACACATGTTTACCTATGTAACAAACCTGCACATCCTGCACATGTACCCCTAAACTTAAAATAAAAGTTGAACATTTAAAAAAAGAAGCATAAATAAACTACGAATTGTTTCAAATGAGTGAACGTTCCTATATTCTTCCACATAATCAGGAAAAGCTTCATGGGATGGGTAACATTTCACATGCATCTTGAAAAAAGATATCATTTCAGGAGTCTACAGTGGGAATGTGGACTGCTGGGGATCTCTCATTTATCTTTTCTCCACAATGGGGAATTCTCCCTGGCTCCAAGTGGAGCTCAGCTGGGCTGACTGCTTTGATTCCCTCTACTTTCTTCTATAATTGATGGAAATTTAGGTTGATTCCACATCTTTGCTATTGTGAACAGTGCTGCAGTGAACATACTTGTGCATGTTTTTAATAGAACAATTTATATCACTTTGGATATATACTCAGTATTGGGATTGCTGGATCAGATAGTATTTCTGCCTCTAGGTCTTTGATGAATTGTCACACTGTCTTCCACAATGGTTGAACTAATTTACACTCCCACCCACAGTGTCAAAGCATTCTTTTTTCTCCACAACCTTGCCAGCATCTGTTGGTTTTTGACTTTTTAGTAATAGCCATTCTGACCGGTGTGAGATGGTATCTCATTGAGGTTTTGATTTGTGTTTTTCTAATGACCAGTGATGGTGAGCCTTTTTTTCTATTATTTTTGGCCACATGTGTCTTCTTTTCAGAAGTGTCCATTTATGTCTTTTGCCCACTTTTTAATGTTTTTTTTTTTTGCAAATTTGTTTAAGTTCCTTATAGATGCTGTATATTAGACCTTTGTCAGATGCATAGATCACAAAAATTTTCTCCCATTTCATAGGTTGCCTATTTACTCTGTTGTTAGTTTCTTTTGCTGTGCAGAAGGTCTTTTAATTAGATCCCATTTGTCAATTTTTTGCTTTAGTTGCAATTGCTTTCAGTGTCTTCATCATGAAACCTTTGCTCATTCCTATATCCTGGATGGTATTGCCTAAGTTGTCTTCCAGAATTTTTATAGTTTTGGGTTTTACATTTAAGTTTTTAATCCATATTAATTTTTGTATGTGGTGTGAGGAAGGAGCCCAGGCTCAATTTTCTGTATATGATTACCCAGTTATCCCAGCACCATTTACTGAAAAAGTAATCCTTTACCTGTTGCCTGTTTTTGTCAGAACCGTCAAAGATCAGATGGTTGTAGGTGTGTGGTCTAATTCAGGCGTTCTTTATTCTGTTCCATTGGTATGTTTCTGGTCTTGTACCAGTACCATGCTGTTTTGGTTACTAGAGCCCTGTAGTATAGTTTGAAGTTGGGTAGTGTGATGTCTCCAGCTTTGTTATTTTTGATTAGAATTGCCTTTGCTAGTCAGGCTCTTTTGCAGTTCCCTATGAATTTTAAAATGTTTTCTTCTAGTTCTGTGAAGAATCAAATGATAAGAATAGCATTGAATCTATAAATTGCTTTGGGCCATATGACCATTTTTTTTAATTTTTTTATTATTATTACACTTTAAGTTTTAGGGTACATGTGCACAATGTGCAGGTTTGTTACATATGTACATGTGCCATGTTGGTGTGCTGCACCCATTAACTCATCATTTAACATTAGGTATATCTCCTAATGCTATCCCTCCCCCTTCCCTCCATCCCACAACAGGCCCCGGATTGTGATGTTCCCCTTCCTGTGTCCATGTGATCTCATTGTTCAATTCCCACCTATGAGTGAGAATATGCGGTGTTTGGTTTTTTGTCCTTGTGATAGTTTGCTGAGAATGGTGGTTTCCAGTTTCATCCATGTCCCTACAAAGGACATGAACTCATCATTTTTTATGGCTGCATAGTATTCCATGATGTATATGTGCCACATTTCTTAATCCAGTCTATCATTGTTGGACATTTGGGTTGGTTCCAAGTCTTTGCTATTGTGAATAGTGCCGCAATAAACATACGTGTGCATGTGTCTTTATAGCAGCATGATTTATAATCCTTTGGGTATATACCCAGTAATGGGATGGCTGGATCAAATGGCATTTCTAGTTCTAGATCCCTGAGGAATCGCCACACTGACTTCCACAATGGTTGAACTAGTTTACAGTCCCACCAACAGTGTAAAAGTGTTCCTATTTCTCCACACCCTCTCCAGCACCTGTTGTTTCCTGACTTTTTAATGATTGCCATTCTAACTGGTGTGAGATGGTATCGCATTGTGGTTTTGATTTCTCAGATGGCCAGCGATGATGACATTTTTTCATGTGTTTTCTGGCTGCATAAATGTCTTCTTTTGAGAAGTGTCTGTTCAAGTCCTTCGCCCACTTTTTGATGGGGTTGTTTTTTTCTTGTAAATTTGTTTGAGTTCATTGTAGATTCTGGATATTAGCCCTTTGTCAGATGAGTAGGTTGTGAAAATTTTCTCCCATTTTGTAGGTTGCCTGTTCACCCTGATGGTAGTTTCTTTTGCTGTGCAGAAGCTCTTTAGTTTAGTTAGATCCCATTTGTCAATTTTGGCTTTTGTTGCCATTGCTTTTGGTGCTTTAGACATGAAGTCCTTGGCCATGCCTATGTCCTGAATGGTACTGCCTAGGTTTTCTTCTAGGGTTATTATGGTTTTAGGTCTAACATGTAAGTCTTTAATCCATCTTGAATTAATTTTTGTATAAGGTGTAAGGAAGGGATCCAGTTTCAGCTTTCTACATATGGCTAGCCAGTTTTCCCAGCACCATTTATTAAATAGGGAATCCTTTACCCATTGCTTGTTTTTCTCAGGTTTGTCAAAGATCAGATGATTGTAGATAAGTGGCATTATTTCTGAGGGCTCTGTTTCTGTTCCATTGATCTATATATCTGTTTTGGTACCAGTACCATGCTGTTTTGGTTACTGTAGCCTTATAGTATAGTTTGAAGTCAGGTAGCGTGATGCCTCCGGCTTTGTTCTTTTGGCTTAGGATTGACTTGGCAATGTGGGCTCTTTTTTGGTTCCATATGAACTTTAAAGTAGTTTCTTCCAATTTTGTGAAGAAAGTCATTTGTAGCTTGATGGGGATGGCTTTGAATCTGTAAATTACCTTGGGCCGTATGGCCATTTTCACGATCTTGATTCTTCCTACCCATGAGCATGGAATGTTCTTCCACTTATTTGTATCCTCTTTTATTTCATTGAGGAGTGGTTTGTAGTTCTCCTTGAAGAGGTCCTTCACATCCCTTGTAAGTTGGATTCCCAGGTATTTTATTCTCTTTGAAGCAATTGTGAATGGGAGTTCACTCATGATTTGGTTCTCTGTTTGTCTGTTATGTGTGTATAAGAATGCTTGTGATTTTTGTACATTGATTTTGTATCCTGAGACTTTGCTGAAGTTGCTTATCAGCTTAAGGAGATTTTGGGCTGAGACAATGGGGTTTTCTAGATACACAATCATGCCATCTGCAAACAGGGACAATTTGACTTCCTCTTTTCCTTATTGAATACCCTTTATTTCCTTCTCCTGCCTAATTGCCCTGGCCAGAACTTCCAACACTATGTTGAATAGAAGCTGTGAGAGAGGGCCTCCCTGTCTTGTGCCAGTTTTCAAAGAGAATGCTTCCAGTTTTTGCCCATTCAGTATGATATTGGCTGTGGGTTTGTCATAGATAGCTCTCAATATTTTGAGATATGTCCCATCAATACCTAATTTATTGAGAGTTTTTAGCATGAAGCATTGTTGAATTTTGTCAAAGGCCTTTTCTGCATATATTGAGATAATCATGTGGTTTTTGTCTTTGGTTCTCTTTATATGCTGGATTACATTTATTGATTTGCGAATGTTGAACCAGCCTGCATCCCAGGGATGAAGCCCACTTGATCATGGTGGATAAGCTTTTTGATGTGCTGCTGGATATGGTTTGCAAGTATTTTATTGAGGATTTTTGCATTGATGTTCATCAAGGATATTGGTCTAAAAGTCTCTTTTTTGGTTGTGTCTCTGCCAGGCTTTGGTATCAGGATGATGCTGGCCTCATAAAATGAGTTAGGGAGGATTCCCTCTTTTTCTATTGATTGGAATATTTTCAGAAGGAAGGGTACCAGCTCCTCCTTGTACCTCTGGTAGAATTTGGCTGTGAATCCTTCTGGTCCCGGACTTTTTTTGATTGGTAAAATATTGATTATTGCCACAATTTCAGATCCTGTTATTGGTCTATTCAGAGATTCAACTTCTTCCTGGTTTAGTCTTGGGAGGTTGTATGTGTCGAGGAATTTATCCATTTCTTCTAGATTTTCTAGTTTATTTGCGTAGAGGTGTTTGTAGTATTCTCTGATGGTAGTTTATATTTCTGTGAGATCAGTGGTGACATCCCCTTTATCATTTTTTATTGCATCTATTTGATTGTTCTCTCTTTTCTTCTTTATTAGTCTTGCTAGCAGTCTATCAATTTTGTTGATCTTTTCTAAAAACCAGCTCCTGGATTCATTGATTTTTTGAAGGGTTTTATGTGTCTCTATTTCCTTCAGTTCTGCTCTGATCTTAGTTATTTCTTGCCTTCTGCTAGCTTTTGAATGTGTTTGCTCTTGTTTTTCTAGTTCTTTTAATTGTGATGTTAGGGTGTCAATTTTGGATCTTTCCTGCTTTCTCTTGTGGGCATTTAGTGCTATAAATTTCCCTCTACACACTGCTTTGAATGTGTCCCAGAGTTTCTGGTATGTTGTGTCTTTGTTCTCATTGGTTTCAAAGAACATCTTTATTTCTGCCTTCATTTCGTCATGTACCCAGTAGTCATTCAGGAGCAGGTTGTTCAGTTTCCATGTAGTTGAGCAGTTTTGAGTGAGTTTCTTAATCCTGAGTTCTTGTTTGATTACACTGTGGTCTGACAGACAGTTTGTTATAATTTCTGTTCTTTTACATTCGCTGAGGAGTGCTTTACTTCCAACTATGTGGTCAACTTTGGAATAGGTGTGGTGTGGTGCTGAAAAAAATGTACATTCTGTTGATTTGGGGTGGAGAGTTCTGTAGATGTCTATTAGGTCCGCTTGGTGCAGAGCTGAGTTCAATTCCTGGGTATCCTTGTTAACTTTCTGTCTCGTTGATCTGTCTAATGTTGACAGTGGGGTGTTAAAGTCTCCCATTATTATTGTGTGGGAGTCTAAGTCTCTTTGTAGGTCACTCAGGACTTGCTTTATGAATCTGGGTGCTCCTGTATTGGGTGCATATATATTTAGGATTGTTAGCTCTTCTTGTTGAATTGATCCCTTTACCATTATGTAATGGCCTTCTTTGTCTGTTTTGATCTTTGTTGGTTTAAAGTCTGTTTTATCAGAGACTAGGATAGCAACCCCTGCCTTTTTTTGTTTTCCATTTGCTTGGTAGATCTTCCTCCACCCCTTTAGTTTGAGCCTATGTGTGTCTCTGCAAGTGAGATGGGTTTCCTGAATACAGCACACTGATGGGTCTTGACTCTGTATCCAATTTGCCAGTCTGTGTCTTTTAATTGTAGTATTTAGCTCATTTACATTTAAAGTTAATATTGTTATGTGTGAATTTGGTCCTTTCATTATGATGTTAGCTGGTTATTTTGCTCATTAGTTGATGCAGTTTCTTTCTAGCCTTGATGGTCTTTACAATTTGGCATGTTTTTGCAGTGGCTGGTACCAGTTGTTCCTATCTATGTTTAGTGCTTCCTTCAGGAGCTCTTTTAGGGCAGGCCTGGTGGTGACAAAATCTCTCAGCATTTGCTTGTCTGTAAAGTATTTTATTTCTCCTTCACTTATGAAGCTTAGTTTGGCTGGATATGAAATTCTGGGTTGAAAATGCTTTTCTTTAACAATGTTGAATATTGGTCCCCTCTCTCTTCTGGCTTGTAGAGTTTCTGCCAAGAGATCTGCTGTTAGTCTGATGGGCTTCCCTTTGTGGGTAACCTGACCTTTCTCTCTGGCTGCTGTTAACATTTTTTCCTTCATTTCAACTTTGGTGAATCTGACAATTATGGGTCTTGGAGTTGCTCTTCTCGAGGAGTATCTTTGTGGCGTTCTCTGTATTTACTGAATCTGAATGTTGGCCTGCCTTGCTAGATAGGGGAAGTTCTCCTGGATAATATCCTGGAGAGCGTTTTCCAACTTGGTTCCATTCTCCCCGTCACTTTCAGGTACACCAATCCGACATAGATTTGGTCTTTTCACATAGTCCCATATTTTTTGGAGGCTTTATTTGTTTCTTTTTATTCTTTTTTCTCTAAACTTCCCTTCTTCCTTCATTTCATTCATTTCATCTTCCATCACTAATATCCTTTCTTCCAGTTGATTGCATTGGCTCCTGAGGCTTCTGCATTTTTCATGCAATTCTCAAGCCTTGGCTTTCAGCTCCATCAACTCCTTTAAGGACTTCTCTGCATTGGTTATTCTAGTTATCTATTTGTCTAATTTTTTTTCAAGGTTTCTAACTTCTTTGCCATTGGATTGAATTTTCTCCTATAGCTTGGAGTTGTTTGATCATCTGAAGCCTTCTTCTCTCAACTCATCAAAGTCATTCTCCGTCCAGCTTTATTCTGTTGCTGGTGAGGAGCTGCGTTCCTTTGGAGGAGGAAAGGTGCTCTGCTTTTTAGAGTTTCCAGTTTTTCTGCTGTTTTTTCCCATCTTTGTGGTTTTATCTACTTTTGGTCTTTGATGATGGTGACGGACAGATGGGTTTTGGTGTAGATGTCCTTTCTGTTTGTTAGTTTTCCTTCTAACACACAGGACCCTCAGTTGCAGGTCTGTTGGAGTTTGCTAGAGGTCCACTCCAGACCCTTTTTGCCTGGGTGTCAGCAGCGATGGCTGCAGAACAGCGGTGGCTGTAGAACAGCGGAATTTGGTGACCCACAAATGCAGCTGCCTGATCGTTCCTCTGGAAGTTTTGTCTCAGAGGAGTACCCGGCCATGTGAGGTGTCAGTCTGCCCCTACTTGGGGGTGCCAACCCGTTAGGCTGATCGGGGTTCAGGGACCCACTTGAGGAGGCAGTCTGCCCATTCTCAGATCTCCAGCTGCGTGCTGGGCGAACCACTACTCTCTTCAAAGCTGTCAGACAGGGACATTTAAGTCTGCAGAAGTTACTGCTGTCTTTTTGTTTGTCTGTGCCCTGCCCGCAGAAGTGGAGCCTACAGAGGCAGGCAGGCCTCCTTGAGCTGTGGTGGGCTCCACCCAGTTCAAACTTCTCAGCTGCTTTATTTACCTAATCAAGCCTGGGCAATGGCAGGCACCCCTCCCCCAGCCTCACTGCAGCCTTGCAGTTTGATCTCAGACTGCTGTGCTAGCAATCAGTGAAACTCCATGGGCGTAGGACCCTCCAAGCCAGGTGCAGGATATAATCTCCTGGTGTGCCGTTTTTTAAGCCCGTTGGAAAAGCACAGTATTGGGGTGCAAGTGATGTGATTTTCCATGTGCCGTCTGTCACCCCTTTCTTTGACTAGGAAAGGGAACTCCCTGACCCCTTGCACTTCCCGAGTGAGGCAGTGCCTTGCCCTGCTTCTCGGCTCGTGCACGGTGCACTGCACCCACTGTCTGGCACTCCCTAGTGAGATGAACCTGGTACCTCAGGTGGAAATGCAGAAATCACCCGTTTTCTGCGTTGCTCACACTGGGAGCTGTAGACTGGAGCTGTTCCTATTTGGCCATCTTGGCTCCACCTCATGACCATTTTCATGATATTGATTCTTCCTATCTATGAGCATGGAATGCCTTTCCATTCATTTGTGTCATCTCTGATTTCTTTGAGCAGTGTTTTTTAGTTCTTGTAGAGATCTTTTACCTCCCTGGTTAGCTTCATTTCTAGGTATTGTGTTCTTTTTGTGGCAATTTTGAATGAGATTGCATTCCTCATTTGGCACTTGAATTGACTGTCATTAGTGTATAGGAATGCTTGTGATTTTTGTACATTGATTTTTTATCCTGAGGCTTTGCTGAAGTTGTTTATCAGCTAAAGAAGCTTTTGGGCTTAGACTCTGGGGCTTTCTTGATATAGAAACATGTAGTCTGCAAATATGATAGTTTCACTTCCTCTCTTCCTATTTGGATGTGTTTTATTTCTTTCTCTTTTCTGATTGTTCTGTCCAGGACTCCTAATACTATGTTGAATAGTAGTGGTGAGAGTGGGCATCTTTGTCTGGTGCCAATTTTCAAGGGGAATGCTTCTAGCATTTTCCCTTTCAGTACGATATTTTCTGTGGGCTTTTCGTAGATGGCTCTTATTATTTTGTGGTACGTTTGTTCAATATCCAGTTTCTTGAAAGTTTTTTTTTTAACACAAAAAAGTGTTGAATTTTATCAAAAACCTTTTTCTGCATCTATTGAGATAATCGTGCATTTTTTGTCTTTAGTTCTGTTTATGTAATGAACCACATTTATTGATTTGTGTATGTTGAACCAGACTTGTGTCCCAGGGATGAAGCCTACCTGATAAGCTTTTTGATGTGCTGCTGTATTTGGTTTGCCAGCATTTTGTTGAGGATTTTTGCATCAATGTTCATCAAGAATATTAGCCTGAAGTTTTCTTTTTTTCTTTTTTTTTTTTTGTATCTCTACCAAGTTTTGTCATCAGGTTGATGCTGGCCTCATAGAATGAGTTAGGGAGTAGTCCCTCCTCCTTGATTTTTTGCACTGGTTTCAGCAGGAATGACACCAGCTCTTCTTTGTACATCTGGTAGAATTCAGCTGTGAATCTGTCTGGTCCCAGTCTTTTTTTGATTGGTAGACTATTTATTACTGACTCAATTTTTGACCTTGTTATTGGTCTGTTCAGAGATTCAATTTCTTGCTGGGTCGTTCTTGAGAGGGTGTATGTGTCCAGGAATTTATCCATTTCTTCTATAGTTTCTAGTTTATGTGCATAGAGGTGTTCATAATATTCACTGATGTTTGTTTGTATTTCTGTGGTGTCAGTAGTATATCCCTCTTGTCATTTCTCATTGTGTTTATTTGAGTCTTCTCTTTTTTCCTTTATTAATCTAGCTAGCAGTCTATCTATTTTATTAATTTTTTTTCAAAAAATCACCTCCTGGATTCATTGGTTTTTTGGAATGGCTTTTTTGTGTGTGTCTAAATTTCCTTCTGTTCAGCTCTGATTTTGTTTATTTCTTATCTTCTGCTAGCTTTGGGATTTGTTTACTCTTGGTTCTCTAGTTCTTTTAGTTGTAATGACAGGTTGTTAACTTGAGATCTTTCTAACTTTTGATATGGTCATTTAGTGCTATAAATTTATCTCTTAACACTGCCTTAGTGGTGTTCCAGAGATTTGGTACATTGTCTCTTTGTTCTCATTAGTTTTGAATAACTTTTGGACTTCTGCCTTAATTTCTTGTCGCAAAAGTACTTCAAGAGCAGATTATTCAACTTCCATGTAACTGTATCATTTTGAGTGAATTTCTTAGTCTTGATTTCTAATTTGATTGCACTGTGGTCCAAGAAATTGTTTGTTATGATTTTAGTTCTTTTGTATTTGCTGAGGAGTTTTTAAGTTCTGATTATGTTATCAATTTTAGAGTACATGTCATGTGGTGATGAGAAAAATGTATATTCTGTTATTTTTGGGTGAAGAATTCTGTATATATATATCATGTCCATTTGATTTAGTGCTGAGTTGATGTCCTAAATATTTTTGTTAATTTTCTGTCTTGATGATTTTTAATTTTCTGTCTCTATGATCTGTATAATATTGTCAATGGGATGTTAAAGTCTCCCACTATTATCGTGTGAGAGTCTAAGTCTCTTTGAAGGCCTCGAAGCACTTGCTTTATAAATCTGTGCTCCTGTGTTGGGTCCATATATATTTAAGTTAGTTAGGTTGTCTTGTTGGATTGAACCCTTTACCATTGTGTAATGCCCTTTTTTGTCTTTTTTGATCTTTATTGGCTTATTGTCTGTTTTGTCAGAAACTAGGATTGTAACCCCTCCTTTTTTTCTGTTTTCCATTGGCTTGGTAGATTTTCCTCCATTTATTTTGAGCCTATGTGTATTATTCCACATAACACTGGTCTCTTGAAGACAGCATAACAATGGATCTTGGTTCTTTATCCAGCTTGCCATTGTGTGTCTTTTAATTGGGGCATTTCACCCATTTACATTCAAGGTTAGTATTGATATGTGTGGATTAGATCTTACCATCATGATGTTAGAGGATTATTTTGCAGACTTGTTAATGTTATTGCTTTATAGTGTCACTGATTTCTGTACTTCAGTGTGTTTTTCTAGTAGGTGGTAATGGTCTTTCCTTTCCATATTTAGTGCTTCTTTCAGGAGCTCTTGTAAGGCAGGTCTAGTGGTAAACAATTCCATCAGAATTTGTTTATCTGAAAAGGATCTTATTTTTTCTTCTCTTATGAAGCTTAGTTTGGCTGGATATGAAACTCTGAATTGGAATTTCCTTTTTTACAGAATATTGATATTGGCCTCCAATCTCTTCTAGCTTGTAGGGTTTCAACTGAGAGGTCCACTGTTATTCTGAAGGGCTTCCCTTTTTAGGTGACCTGACCTTTGTCTCCAGTTGTCTTTAATATATTTTCTTTCATTTTGACCTTAGAGATGATTATGTGTCTTTGGGATGATCTTATTGTAAAGTATTTTACTGGGGTTGTCTGCATTTCCTGATTTTGAATATTGGCCTCTCTAGCTGGATTGGAGAATTTCTCATGGATGATATCCTGGAATATGTTTTGCAGGTTGCATCCATTCTCCCCATCTCTTTTAGGAACATCAATGAGGTATTCTTTTTTCTCTATTCTTGTCTGACTTTCTTATTTCAGAAAGCTAGTCTTCAATTTCTAAGATTCTTTCCTCTGCTTTGTCTATTCTGCTAATAACATCTGTGATTGTATTATGAAATTCTTGTAGATGTGTTTTTCACCTCTATCAGGCCAGGTACATTTTTTCTATACTATCTATTTTGTCTGTCACCTCCTGCATTGTTTGCCATGACTTTTTAGCTTCCTTGCATTGGGTTTTAATGTACTCCTGTAGCTCAAGGATCTTGTTTCCTATCCATATTCTGAATTATATTTCTGTCATTTCAGCCATCTCAGGCTGGTTCAGAACTCTTGCTGGAGAGGTGATGTGATCATTTGGAGAAAAGAAGGTACTCTGGCTTTTTGAATTTTGAGCATTTTTGTGCTGATTCATTTTCATCTTTGTGGGCTTATCTACTTTTAATCTTTGAAATTGCTGGCCTTTGGATGTTTGTTTTTCCTTTTATCCTATTTGATAACCTTGAGGGTTGGATTGTGGTATAAGGTGGATTCAGCCAACTGGCTTCATTTCTGGGTGATTTTAGGGGGCCAATACTCAGCTCCCAACTCCTGAACTGTGCGCTGTAACTCTGGAGGACTAGTATTTGGCCCCAACTTTCACTCTTCAGGGTTTGGATCCACTGCAGTTGGTGGGGGGTTGCTGAGGTGCAGCTGTGACAGAGTGATAGTGGGTGCTGGGGTTCCTGCTTTCCTGCAGGTACTTACCACAGTGGTAGAGGAAATGCAGCTGCGGGGAGGATGGGGAGCCTCCCCCTAACTTTATGGTGTGTGTGATTGCATTGAAGGTGGTGTTGGCTTGGGGGCAGGGTGCTTGTGGGTGCAGGTCTGGGTACTTTCTCTGTGCCTCAAAAGCAAGAGTGATCTTTCAGGTTGGGGGAGGATCTGCTGTTCTCTTTGCAGTGTTAGTACAAGTGCAGGGTGCTGACAGGGCAATGGTTGCTGCCTCTGGGCCTGCCAAGGCTCCATCTTCAATGGTGGTTGGTAGCAGAGAGGCAAACTGCACTTCCATTTGCTGGTGAGGCAATGAAGTAAAACCCACCTGTGCAGACGTGTGCCAACAAAGTGATGTGGGGAGTCACTGTGGACCTGGAGGAAGCTGCAGTATGGGAAAGGAGTGGGCAGACTAATGCATGGCTGTAGTGGCCACTTCACTGGGGCTTGCCACTGGTCATGCACAGTCTACAAGCAGAGAAGCTCTAATGTAGGCCCCCAGTGTACCCAAGACTGTCCTGCAAGCAGACATGGCCAGGCTGTGGCCCTGGGAGAGGCCAGCAGACCAAGGGGTGCTCAGGTCAGACCAGTCTCATCTGATGGGCAAGACTGCCCTGTGGATATCAGGTCTGAAAATTCCCCTAGGTCTAAAGTCTTCTATGGGAGCAAGTCTAGCCTAGGGGGATGGACTTCCCTGACTATGCTCTGCTACAGATGCTACCAAACCAAACCCTCTGGGCTTCACCTCAGCTGGCTTGCTGCCCCTGCTACTTTTTAAGGGGTCTCCTCCTGCTGGGGCTCCAGAAGCCCATGGTGAGAGCTGCTGTGGTCCAATAATGCAGTCCTCATTTTGGCAATGAGTATTTGTCTCTACATTTATCTAGTTGTCACTAAGTCCAATATAAAGCCTCGAAGCCACTATAGATTCCCAGGATATCCATAATGTAAATGGAAATGTTCTCATTCCCCCTCCCAGCCTAATTTCCCTGACCCAAGCCAGCTGCATGTAGACCACATCCAATAAGCCCTTTCTACACCCTCAAAATTTGCATCCTATTGTCACCTTAAGATATCAGATAATTATTTTTATGAACATTTGTTAGCTCCTGATGTTTCTTATTTTGTCTGTGGAACCTATGCTTGTCTTTTACTGACCTACTGAACCAGATCTTCTTTTCTTACCAATTTTACTAATCCCTTTATGTTGCTTGATTTTCTACAATTTTCTTCTTTTATTGAACTATCACCCACCTTCTCCAGTTTACCTAATTCTCACTATTGGAAAAATAAGGTTTTCAGAAACTCAGAGGTATTTTTGTAGCTGATCTCAGTTCCTAAGGAGATAATTTAGGAAAAACAGCTATAGAACAAGTTCCTTTCATGATCTCATTACATTTTCAGAAAGGTTTGCCACCTTTGGGTACCATTCCTAGGAATCTACCACCTGGCTGAAAAAGTTAGACTCAACAAAATAGAATCATTTAGTCATTACTTATACAATTCATCATGGCCATGGACAACATCACAGCTGCTCTCAAATCAATGGCTCACCAATTTTGAGGTAAGTCCCTTCTACTAGGTTGGTTCAAAAGTAAATTGTGTTTTTTTGCTATTACTTTTAATGGCAAAACAGCAATTACCTTTTGCAGCAACCTGATATAACTACTTTATTGAGGGTTTTTATCATAAAGTGATGCTGGATCTGATAGAATGCTATTTCTGCATCTATTGAGATGATCACATGACTTTTGTTTTTAATTGTGTTTACGTGATGTATCACATTTATTGACTTCTGTATGTTAAACCATCTCTTCACCCCAGGATGAAGCCCGTGTGATCATGAGGTATTATCTTTTTGCTGTGCTGTTGGATTCAGATATTTAGTATTTTGTTGAGGATTTTTGCATCTATCTTCATCTGGGATATTGGTCTGTAGTTTTGTTGTTGTTGTTGTTGTTGTTGTTATGTCCTTTTCTGCTTTGGGTATTAGGGTAATACTGGCTTCATAGAATGATTTAGGGAGGATTCCCTCTTTCTCAATCTTTTGGAGTAGTTTCAGTAGGATTGGTACCAACCATTCTTTGATTGGTTGGTAGAATTCAGCTGTGAATCCATCCAGTTCTTGAATTTTTTTTATTAGCATTTTTTTTTGGTACTGAGTCAATCTTGCTGCTTGTTGTTGATCTGTTCAGGGTTTCTATTTCTTCCTAATTCAATTAAGAAGGTTGTATGTTTCCAGGAATTTATTCATTTCCTCTAGATTTTCTAGTTTGTGCACATAAAGGCATTCATAGTAGGCTTAAATGATCTTTCATATTTCTGTGGTACTGGTTGCAATGTTTCTAGTTTCATTTCTAACTGAGTTTATTTGGATCTTCTCTCTTCTTGGTTAATCTGGCAAATTGTCTATCTATAAATTTTTGTTGCCTTTTTAAAGAATCAGTTTTTTGTTTCATTTATCTTTTATACTTTTTGGTTTCAATTTCATCTTGTTCTGCTCTGAACTTTGTTAGTTTCTTCTGTTGCCTTTGGGTTTACTTTGTATTTACTTCCTTAAGATGTGACATTAGGTTGTCAATTTATGCTCTTCAAGACTTTTTTGAGGTAGGCATTTAATGCTATGAACTTTCCTCTTAGCACTGCTTTTGCTGTATCCCAGAGATTTTGATAACTTTTTCACTATTATTATTTCGTTTGAATAATCTAAAATTTCCATCTTGATTTTATTGTTGATCCAAAAATCATTCAGGAGAAAATTATTTAGTTTCCAAATATTTGTACAGTTTTGACTATTCCTTTTGGAGTTGGTTTCTAGTTTTATTTCCCTGTAATCTGAGAAGATACTTAATATAATTTCAATTCTCTTATATGTATTAGACTTGTTTTGTGCCTATTGTATGATCTCTTTTGGAGAATGTTCCATGTGCTTATGAGAAGAATATATACTCTGCAGTTGTTGGGTAGAATGTTCTGTAAATATCTGTTAAGCCCACCTCTTCTAGAGTGTAGTTGAAGTCCATTGTTTCTTTTTTCTTTTTTTTCGAGATGGAGTCTCACTCTGTCTCCCAGGTTGGAGTGCAGTGGCACGATCTCTGCTCACTACAACCTCTACCTTTCAGGTTCAAGTGATTCTCCTGCTCAGTCTCCCGAATAGCTGGGATTACAGGTACCCACTACCATGTCCAGTGAATTTTTGTATTATTAGTAGAGACAGAGTTTCACCATGTTGCCCAGGCTGATCTCCAACTCCTGACCTCAGGTGATCTGCCCCTGTCAGCCTCCGAAAGTGCTGGGATTACAGGTGTGAGCCACCATGCCCAGACTAAATCCATTATTTCTTTGTTGACTTTCTATCTCAATAATATGTCTAGTGCTGTCAGTGGAATAGTAAAGTCCCACACTATTATTTTGTTGCTGCCAATCTCATGTCTTAGGTCTAGTAGCAATTGTTTTATACATCTGGGAGCTCCAGTGTTAGGTGCATGTAAATTTGTAATTTGATATTGATTGTAATATCTTCTTGTTGGATTGACCCTTTTACCATTACACTCTCTTTTGGTTTTTATTTGCATGGAATATCTTTTTCCACCCCTTTACCTTGAGTTTATATGAATCCTTATGTGTTAGGTGAGCCTCTTGAAGACAGCAGATATTTGGTTTGTGATTTTGTATACATTCTGCCATTCTGTATCTTTTAAGTGGAGCTTTTAGGCCATTTACATTTAATGTTAATATTGAGATGTTAGGTACTGATCTATTCATCATGTTCATTGTTACCTACATACTTTTTTTTCTGAGTTTTATGCTTTCAAGAGGTTCTATTTTGGTGCATATCAAGGTTTTGTTTCAAGATTTAAAACTCCTTTTAGCATTTATTGTAGTGCTGGTTTGGTAATAGCAAATTACCTCAGCATTTGTTTGAAAAATAACTTTTTCTTTCATTTATGAAAGTAACTTATTTTGCTGGATTCAAAAATTCTTGACTGACAGTTATTCTGTTTAAGGAGACTAAAGATAGAACCCCAATACCTTTTAGCTTTAATGGTTTCTGCTGAGAAGTCTGCTGTTAGTCTGATAGATTTTCCTCTATAAGTTACCTGATGCTTTTTTCTCCCAGCTCTTAGTATACTTTCCTTCATGTTGACTTTAGATAGCACAATGACTATGTGCCTTGGTGATAATCTTTTTGCAATAAATTTCCCAGGAGTTCTTTGAGTTTGTTGTATTTGGATTTCTAAACCTCCAGCAAGGCCAGGGAAGTTTTCCTCAATGATTCCCTCAAGTAAGTTTTCTAAATTTTAAGCGTTCTCTTTTCCCTCAGGGACACCGTTTATTGTTAGGGTTAGCTGTTTTACATAATCTCATATTTCTTTGAGACTTTGTTAATTTCTTTTGTTTCATTTTTCCTTATATTTGTCTGATTGGGTTAATTAAAAATCTTTGCCTTTCAGTTTTGAGATTCTTTCTTCTACTTGTTCTAGTCTATAGTTGAAACTTTCCACTGCATTTTGTAATTCCCTAAATGAGTTTTTCATTTTTGGAACTTCTGATTGGTTTTTCTTTATGATACCTATTTGTCTAGAATTTTTTAATTTGTATCCTGAATTTTTTAAAATTTTCTTTATGTTGGTCTTCACCTTTCTGTAGTATCTCCTTGAGTAGCTTAATAATTGACCTTCTGAATTCTTTATCTGGTATTTCAACAATTTCATTTTGGTTTGGATTCATTACTGGGGGAATCTTTTCAGAATGTTATAGAACCTTGTTTTGTTATATTTATTACCAGAATTACTCCTCTCGTTCTTTCTTATTTGGGTAGACTATTTCTTCTAAGTGTTCTTGAATTTATTTTTGATTTGACTTTTTCTAAAATTTCATTTTTTCTCCCTTAAGGATGCGACTTTAATGTTTATAGTTTTCTTTTTACCCTAATTTTGTTCTTGATGGTGCTTTTAGGGGTGAAGACTCTGTTTGAGGAAGACTCTGTTTGAGTTCCTTGATTATAGTCTTTGTATGACGGCTTCCTCAGATATTTGTTGTAGTAGCAATGTACTCAGTGTGTGGGCAAGTTCACTATCTCCTATAGAATTGGAATGGCAGAGGTCTGTTGAAGTTTATCTCATTCCCCCATGGTATGTACTTTTTAATTTATTTAATTTACCTCCAGTATTTTATTTACTGAGTTGATGGTTCAGGCTTCAGGCCAGTAGGGGAGGTGTCCCTGGGTAGGAACAGGTTGTAGCTAAAGCATATGGATAAATGCAATACCCAATGGTGTGCAAAGGTCCTAGCCTTGATGAAGGTGGCTGGAGGAGCTCTCAATTAGGCACACTGAGGTCTTATCAGGGAGAAGGATGGGAGCCAATTCAGTTCTTCCACCAGGCCAGCAGTAAAGCTATCCACCTCCAAGACTCACTCGTGTCCCAAGAGAGGCACCTCTTTTCATCTGTAAGGATGCTGATATTCCAAATAGAGAGAAATTGTGACTCTGCCTCTCATGCAAACCTGAATCTTGGGAGTGCTCCTTCTGTGGGAATGCAGTACTCTGAAGTGTTCCAGGAAGACTCTCTTTCATGTGCGTCCATGTGAAGAGACCAAACAGGCTTTGTGTGAGCAACATGGCTGTTTATTTCACCTGGGTGCAGGCGGGCTGAGTCCGAAAAGAGAGTCAGCAAAGGGAGATAAGGGTGGGGCCATTTTATAGGATTTGGGTAGGTAAAGGAAAATTACAGTCAAAGGGGGTTTGTTCTCTGGCGGGCAGGAGTGGGGGTTGCAAGGTGCTCAGTGGGGGTGCTTTTTGAGCCAGGATGAGCCAGGAAAAGGACTTTCACAAGGTAATGTCATCACTTAAGGCAAGGACCGGCCATTTACACTTCTTTTGTGGTGGAATGTCATCAGTTAAGGTGGGGCAGGGCATATTCACTTCTTTTGTGATTCTTCAGTTACTTCAGGCCATCTGGGCGTATACGTGCAAGTCACAGGGGATGCGATGGCTTGGCTTGGGCTCAGAGGCCTGACACTCTCTATAGGTGCACCCATGCTGAGCTCCCATGGGAGAAGCCCCAGCTGTGTCTGCAGTGGCGGACAAGGAAGGAAAGAATTCCCCTTCTGTAAGATCTTTCATGAGCACCAAGGCTGCCTGACTGTTAAAGTAGAGCTGCAAAATTTCCCTCCTGAGCCCAGCACTGCAATTGTGTCTCTGCTGAAAGAAACTTCCCACCAGTGGAAAAATCTGGGATTTAAGGCTTGCCATCCAGATTCTTTTGTCCCAGGTATTTTAATAACTCAAGTTAAGGAAACAATAGAATTTTTATAGAGATGCTCCTGATTCTGTTGAGAATTTTGTCTTCTTTGCTTCAGGGTCCTTCATGGTAGGTAGAGACTTCTTTATTAGGAACCTAGACAATCAGTTCAAAAGTAAGTGTAGGCAGTCTTGGCATTGCGTGGTTCCAATATGCACAGATTTCATACTAGTTGAACATATATGGAATTACAGAAAAAAAATAGCTGACCAGGGAAATGTTGACATGGTTGCATTTTGAGACAGATATTCACCCAGAAGAACTGGATTGTTTTGTCCCATGGGGTGTTCCATTGATGAGGTGCTCTCTCCCATACTCTAGGAGTATGAGTTCCTGAGAGCCAGACTATAGTGATTGTTCTTCTGGGTCTAACCACCCGGTGGGGCTGCTATACTCCAGGCTGGTGCTGGGGAAAGTCTGTGAGGGTTCTAGTGATGTTACCTTTCCTCAAAACCACAGCAGTTGGTACCAGTACTGGCTGTGATGGGAGTGGCAGGGGAGTGATGTAGACTTTGTGAGAATCCTTGATTATAGATAGCCTTAGTGTGTTGTTTTTCTTGAATGTTGATTATGATGGTAGTGAACTCGGCATGTGGACAGACTCAGACCTCCTGGTTAGCCAGTGTGTTGCAGGCAGTGGTGGTAGCTGAGGTCAGATACCAGTTTTCTTATTTCTGGGCACACTCTTATTCTATCTAGAGATGCTGTAGTGGACTGTGTTGGCTGGCCTCCAGCCAGGAGGTAGCACTTGCCAAAGAGTACCTGCTCCTGTAATAGTAGCAGGATTTGAGCTTTCCCTGCTTTGCCCAGAGGAGATATTCTGGTTTCTCAGGTGATGGGCAGGGCCATAAAGCTCCTAAATGTTTCTGTCATTTGTGTTACACTACCAGGGAGGGTGGAGGGGCACAGCCAGGTTGGGGCTGTGCTCTGACTCTCCACATGAGTGGCAAGCTGCAGCTTCTCTGAGGGTCAGAGGGCATTTATCAGGCTGCTGGGGTAATGCTCCAGAGGGGAGTGTAACTGCCTCTGTTGCACAGAAGAGAGTTTGCACAGGGAGTAAAGAGTAGCAGGTGGCAGTAAGCCTCACCCAGATCCCACACAGTTGGCAAAGTTGTTCTCACTCCTGAAGTGTTCTGCTAGCAGCACTGAGCTAAGCTCCAGGCAGCCTTGGCAGCCTGGCTCCTGCACTCATGGCTGCAGTGTACTTCCCACTTGCCCCTGGGTTCTGGCCAAGGGAGTTTGCTCCCACTCAATATTATATCCCAAAATTCAACTGGAGGCTTCTTTCAAACTGTGACCACTGTCTGAGCTACTTGGCTGACTTCCCTGAGTCCCTGTGAGGTATAATAAGGAATGAATGGTTTCCCTCAGTCCATGCTAGAGATTGGGAATGCCTGCAAGGTGCTTTCCACTACTGCCTCTACTTTTATATTTCTCACTATTCCCTAAATCAGTCCCAGCTCTGGGTAGGGTAAAGGCCTTCCCCCATGGCCTGGATTTCACGTTCCCTGATGGGGATGTGTATCCTGGATGCAGTCTGTCCCCTTCTCACACTTTGGGGACTTAGAGTTTTTTGGCTGTTTCACAGTGTAGGCTGTAGCCTGCCACTTCTTTCAAACAGCCTGTGCTTCTTTCAGTTTTCTTGTTAAGTTCCTGTGTTGCTTCTTGAAAAAAGTTCACAGCATAAATCTCTACATGCTATTCTGTCCTTTCAAGTGGGAGAGGTGTGCTAACACTGCTTCTAAGCTTCCTTCTTGGAAGAAAAAAAACCCAGCAGAGCAGCCTCTAATATTTATCATTCTGTTTTTCTTTATGGGTATCCCTCTCATTAAATGTCTCATTGATCTCACAATACAATTAGCAACCTGCACCAGGTACAAGCAGATGGTTTTGCTAGTCATAAATGAGCAAACTGGAGGAGAAATAAACTTAAGGGAAGAATGCCTCTTTTTCCCTTGAACAAACTACGGTCAGGCTTCTGAACCTTCTCTTTGGCTGACTTGTGTACTTTCTTGTAAAATCTAGTTCTAGTAAATAATGCAGAAAGACAATCTAGCAAGAATCCTCCCATCCTCAATACCTGATGACCTTCTATATCTGATCAAAATTCTTCCCTTCCCATTCTTGGTATCTGAATACTCTGGCTTGCCTTCAGCAAAAATCCTGTTAGGATTCAGGTGCTATGGATTCAGTGGGCTATGATCATACCACTGCACTCCAGCATGGGTGACAATGTGATTTATTTATCTCAAATATAAATAAATAAAAGAATAAATAAATCCTTTTCGATTGGTTCAACCAGAATTCCCCCTAGATTTGATGTCTCTTCTTAATAATTTTTCATTCGCTGGCCACCCCCTGCTTCTTTGGCTACAAGACCTCCCTTTTCCCTGCTGCATTTGAAATGAAGCTCTACACTGGGGTTTTTCTGCCCCTATGGCAATAGTCCTGAATCAACTTTGTATTTAGCACTTTAACTTTTGTCCTGCTCTGGTTTTCTTTGACACTAGCTTAGTGCATAGCAAGATAGCAATTTCTCAGTAAATTTTTTTCATATTTGTGTATTTAATAAATAAATATTGTTTAGATGCTTGGAATCCCTATTTTCTGCATCATTTATGCCTAACAGCATCTTAATGTTCTGTTATTGCTGTGAGCCCATCAGTAATTTACAATTAAAGTAGTTCAGGTTGGTGGAACTGCTAATAACAAGCCAGTGCCCTATTTAGATGTTTTGATTATTAAAAAATGTATCTATGTATATAGGTATTAACTGTATGTATACATGTATTGTAAGTATATATTTATGTGTATATGTGTCATTTGTATAATATCCATATGGACATGTAATATATATGTACATTTGTACTGCATTAATGTATATATATATTATAAGTATGTATATAGGTATTATATACCTATATACACATTTGGTGATAGGCAAGTATTGTAAAATGTTAATAATTGTTCAATAATTGTTAACAATTGTTTGATTGCTTAATTGGCTAAAAGAAGTATATGAATGTTAATCATATACTTTTTTCAACTTTTCTGTAGGTTTGAAATTTTTCAAAATAAATTTGGAGGTAAATGTCTTTGATCCATATCTCTTTTGAATCTCTGCCCTATTTCTCTGCCCACTTCACAGCTGAGATTGTTAAAATGTTTCCTCTCCTGCTTTTAGTTTGTGCTATGTACAGTATGACTTAGTGGTTAAGACCATGGATTCTGGAGCCAGATAGCCTGGGTTTGGTTCCTGAGCTCTACCACTGTATTTCTGTAGACAAGAAATTTCTCTGTCCCTCATTTTTTTTAAAGTAAGGTTATTAGAAATTAAAATAGTAATAAGAGTAAAAAACCTAATTAATTTGCTGTACAGTAAAATGGATACCACTGAAAAGTTATTTGAAAACTAAAAGATCACCTGAGGATTAATTTAAAATAGAATATAAAGAGACAAATACGAGTGATAGTCAAGAAGCAGGAATGTATCCGTTAGTATTTATTCAGTCATGAATAAAACATCTCTGCCAAATAAGCTTAAAAGATAAGAAGGTCTATTGGATTATACAGTCAGAAGAGATGGTTTACTCCAGAGATTTTGGGTCTATTTCTGTGTGATTTCTTCAGCTATGCCCTCATTTGAGTATTGACTACAACTCCAGGCTGGTTTTCCTCTTGATGGTGAAAGGGAATTGGCTCTGCTGGGTTTCATATCCGCATACCGTAACACTCAGAGAGAGAAAGACTATTTTTTGTGGATCTCTTTTAAAATAAGAAAACTCATTTTTCAGGAAAAAATCACCTTTTCTGTCTCACTGGCTCCATATAAGTCACAAACTCTTCCCTGAATAGATGTCTGGGATTCAGTGTTACTAAGAGTTGAGAGTGAATGACACAGAAACACACTTTTTATTTATTTCTATATATTTTTTGAGGCAGAGTCTCACTCTGACACCAAAGCTAGAGTGCAGTGGCCTGATCTCAGCTCACTGCAACATCCACCTCCAGGGTTCAAGCGATCCTCCTGCTTCAGTCTCCTAGGTAGTCGAGATTATAAGGATGCACCATGCCTGGCTAATTTTAAAAATATTTTTAGTAGAGATGGGGTTTCACTATGTTGGCCAGGCTAGTTTCAAACTCCTGACCTCAGGTGATCTACCTGCCTTGGCCTCTGGAAGTGCTAGGATTACAGGCATAAGCCCAGATTACTGTGCCAAGCCCAGAAATACATTTTTAAAATTATGGCATTATAGAAAGGGAAAAGCAATCAATACAGGTACTCTGTTTCATAGAACTTGAGAATGTAAAATGACTAATGACTAACACTAAATATGAAAATATTATTGATTAGAGAATACATATTCTGCATGAATAATTTTTCAAGCAATCTCTTGAAAGAACTCAAAAAAAGTTAGAATCAAATTCAGACAGACAATTTACTTCTCACAGATGATTCTGGTTAAAAAGGGACTAATGTTTGAGAACTTGGAATGTGCCTGAGTTCGTAAAATTATGCTTTAAGATTCCAGAAATTTGCCAACAATAGTAAATGCACACTACCGTTATATGTACTGACATTTATTCCTAGTATTTGTTGGATTTGCTGAAAATTGTAACTAATTACACTCTGACACAATCTGAGACTTCATGAATAATTTAGTTCACTTTTGATGAACACTAGTAGCTTAGATTTTGAAGTATATTTTACAGGAATTTCTCCTTTCTGAACATTTTGAACTCCTATATCATTATTTTTAAATAATTTAATATTTTATATTCAAAGTGGCCTTGTAAACTGCCTCACTATCCCTTGATTTAAAATAAAGTATTATCAAGTTGCCAGAGGGGATGACATTTGTTTCAGAATGTGACAAAATTTTCTCTTCTTCATAATTTTTTTCATAATATTTATTACTTCCTTATTTCTTAGGCTATAAATAAAAGGATTTAATAAAGGAATAACTAAAGTATAAAATATAGCAACAGGTATATCTTTATCCCCTTCATTAACTGCACCTGGTCGAGCATACATGAAGAGAAGGGAATCACAGAATATTGACACAGAGAGAAAGTGAGATGCACAAGTAGATAAAGCTTTGCCTCTTCCCTCCTTGGATTTCATTGTAAATATTGTGAAAAGGATGTAGAAATAAGAAACTAAGACTATAGTAAAGATTTGAATTGATCCTGCCAAGATAAATAACACCAATTCATTGATATAAGGGTTAATACAAGAAAGTCTATATAATGGAAGAACATCACAGAAAAAATGATTGATTTGATGAGACCCACAGAAAGTTAACCTCAACAGAAACTCTACTTCAATCATGGGATGCAGGTTGCCAGCTAGGTAGGCTCCTGCAGTCATCTGAATGCAGAGTGTCTTGGACATCATGGTGTGGTACTGCAGTGGGTTGCATATGGCCACATAGCAGTCATAGGCCATTGCCGCCAGAAGAAAGCAGTCTGTAGTTTCAGCAAGACAGAGAAAATAAAATTGTGCCATACATTCATACAGGGTAATCCTTTTGTCCTCAGAAAAGAAGTTCTCTAACATCTTGGGAGTAATAGCAGAGGAACAGCAGGAATCCATCAGAACTAGGTTGCCTAAAAATATGTACATTGGTGTGTGAAGACGTTGCTCTATATAAATCAATGCCACCAAACCAATGTTCCCCACCATGGTGATCAGATAGATGGCAAAGAACACCACAAACAGAACAGTCTTCAGCTTTGGATGATATGTAAATCCTGTGAGGATGAACTCAGCTATCAAGGAGTGATTCTCCTTATTCATCTCCACCTTGTCTGTTGAGAGATGAATGAGGGGTTATAATATTGTAATTGATTGTAATTGAGAGCATATTATTGTTCCTTCAATTTTTTTCCTTTTTACAACAAGTAGAGGAATTTCTTTGTCATATTTCCCCTGCTGTTTCTAAATACATCCTCACATACTTCTAGGGGACATTTGTTCTCCTAAAGTGTCAGTGTCTGTGACCTCAAGCTCTGACCCTTAGGATTCACAAGGATATTTTGATAATTCCAGGGAAGATGTTTAAAGTGGAAATGGTTCATCTTTATAAATTTATGCAAGGATAGCATAAAAAACTAGGGGACCCCTATCTGGTTCATTGTTCTCAAATAATTTCACTGTCAGTTTTGTATTGAAGATCCTCCTTAAAACAAATTTATAATATATATATATATGTCATATAATATAGAATATATATATTATATGGGGCTATATATATATATATACACACACACACACGCACACACATCTCTCTCCAAGAAAATAATTTCTATATATTCTTCCAGTAGATTGAATGTTTTAAAAAAGCATATAACAGATATGTTAAATTTATATCTTAGGAACTGTATGAAATTCACCAAGAACTGAGGAGGAAAATATTTATCTTTAAAGAAAATTATCTTGGAGATTTAAAGAAATAAACATCCGTAGATTATCACTTGTCTCATCCCTTTCCCCAGTGTCACACCCATTTCATAAACATTGACTCTATCCATTCTATTATTCCTGTTGATTTTCTCTTACATGCCTAAATCCTTCCTCCTTTTGATAAGGAATACTTTTTATATAATGCTACTTAAAGTTTTAACTAATTGCCCCAGTCCACACAGATTTCCATTTTCCGAACGGTAGATGCTCTCTTATATACTCCACACAATTCAGAATTTCTTGCCTATATATACATTGCTTTTTAAAAATGTCAGTCTATTCAATTTTCTTATATTGTAAGCATTTTGAGGTTAGTTGTGATTTATACTTCTGTGAAAAGAGCTGTAAAATACTATGGGGGAAAAGGCAGTATTAATTTCAGTATTAGCTCCACCCTGATGACCTGGAATGAGTAAAGTTGCTTTATGAATTCTACTAATGATCCTTAATGATTCTTTGGTTTCTGCAGACTATTAGCTTTAAAGGAAAGTCTACAAAGAAATATATAAAATCATTACATAAAATTTTAGGTGTCTTTCTTTTATCTAAATTGACTCTTTTCTACCATTTTTCTGTTTCTTCAGAAAATTATATAAGATTTTCTGAAGTATACTATAGCAGATTAAAAGCTACTAAGTAAAAGCAAGCTCACCTTTATACTATAGCCTTCTAACACTTAGGAAAAAGGAGAAAATCCTTTATATCTTAATAGGATTTTTGAAGTCAAATTTTGTTTTGCTTTAAAAGGCTATTTCCTTTCCCTGCATAGTGATTCATTAGGACATACTGACTGATAATTCAAATCATATAAGTTCTATGGTCAAAATAGACATGTTTTTATATTCAAAATATTAAAACAAAAACATGGGCTGACTATTTTATTAATTCGTTTTAAAATAATAAATGTAAGCCATGTAGTCAGTTAAGTTAGCAATAACTTTCTATGTACATGCCTAAATTATTTAACAGAATTTCTTTGTAACTTTACTTATGTGTTTTGAAATTCTGTTACAATCAGAAAGTCAGACAAATTGCAGTATTGTGTCTCATCCTAGTTCTTCATAGCATTCAATTTTGAAAAGTGCTAGAAAGATTAGAAAAAAGCTGAAATTTAAGAACAATAAAAGATACTAAATAATTCAGAGGTACTAAATAATTCAGAGCTTTATGGTTGCTAAAATTAGAAGTAAAAATAAGTTAGCACGCTTCTCTTACCTAGATTTTACTGAGAAGAGCTTTGTAACAGCTTTATGATGTGGTTTTCATAAAATTAAAGAATATAAACCTTGGCCTCTAAAACATTTGGGATTAAAAGAATGAAAATCTAGGAGACTACTAGTAGGTCAGTGTTGATAATTATATCTGTAACACTGCAAAGTTAAAGCTTTCCACCAAATCCTAAAGGGATTTCTCTGCACTGACATCAGTGTAATTCTGTGGACTCAGTCCTAAAAATATATAAACCACTTGAAATTAATTAAAGATGTCTTGTGAGATAATGAGGTAAAAACAAATGACCTTCACTAAAGTCTGTTTGATGATCATCTTGCTGATTCATATGAAACCGATCTCATTTTTACAATTTTATTCACTATTCTGAACATACAAGATAAAACAGGCAGAAAATAGTCTCAGGCTGGTTTGACCTGTTACTGGGGGAAGTGTGACTAATATGCTTTGTAGAAAATAATTAGTATTTAAAGAGGATCCAAGAAAGTGTAGAAAGTGCGGCCAAGGTCATCAACTTCTTCACTCTGTGAGGTGAATTTGTTCCCACATCCTACAATGCCCTCAGGGAAACTTTGATATTATTATTATCTGGCTCCCCATATGAATTATTGAGATTGCTATACCGTCTTTTCTGCTCATACCAGCTGTCCTTTACCCTGTTGTTTCCTTCTTCACACTTCACTCCTCGATATACTATATATTTGTTAGGACATCTAAAATCGGTCACTCCTGTCCCATCACTATCATTAGCATATAGGCTTAAAGGGAAGGGGTTTCTTTGACACATTCAATCCTGCATTTCAAATATCTTGAACAGTGTCTGGCACTCTTTTTTTTTTTTTTCTTTTTTGAGACGGAGTCTCACTCTGTTGCCCAGGCTGGAGTGCAGAGGCACGATCTCGGCTCACTGCCAGCTCCTCCTCCCAGGTTCATGCCATTCTCCTGCCTCAGCCTCCCGAGTAGCTGGGACTGCAGGCACCCTCCACCATGCCCGGCTAATTTTTTGTATAGTTAGTAGAGACGGGGTTTCACCATGTTAGCCAGGATGGTCTCGATCTCCTGACCTCGTGATCTGCCTGCCTCGGCCTCCCAAAGTGTTGGGATTACAGGCGTGAGCCACCACGCCTGGCCGTGTCTGGCACTCTTTAGTGCTAATTGAGGACTTGCTGAATGAAAGGGGGAAAAAATAATACTGCACTGCTCAAGAATTTATAAAATTCCCATTACTTTTCAAACCAAATCAATTTTTCTTATTTTGGTGTTCTAGATATCCCATTGTTTTCTGTATCTTATCATCAACTTGTTTTCTCCTCCTTATCTCAGCAAACTCGGCCATGTGCTCCCTTCCTTGTTCCTTGTGCATTTGCTTCAATTAATTTGCTAGTAATGTTTCTCTTATCTAAAACAGCTTCTCCCTCTTTTCCATCTCAATAGTTGAGTTCAAAGAAGATCTTGCAGCCTTTCTTAATCTTTGAAATCAAATTGATTTTTCTTCTTCTTGAAATACACAATACTTGCCTGCTCTATAATATACTTATCACTTAATAAGGTGTGAGTAGTATATCCCATGATTGTGTAAATCTTGATTAAATATCGTCAAGTCACAGACCAATTCATAAATCTTTTGGGCACTTTGTAGCAAACTGAGCTAGATCCTCAGACCCTCAATCCATACTTACTACACTGATTGCTAAAATTTCAGTTTTATTTTCCCTTTATTAAGTACTTACAACATACAGGGCAGTGGAAAAAAGAAAATTGGCATAGGGGTACTGGGGTATGAACAGGGTGAGGATAAGAACTTCTTAGATAAAAATGGCTCCTGACAAGAAGCTCATAATCTAGTTGGGAAGAAAGACACATAGATTGCTAACTAGAGTATAATTCAGGCTGTGATATAAAAAAGGGTAAATAAGTTTTTTTGTTTTTGTTTTTATTTTTATTTTTTTTGAGACGGAGCCTCGCTCTGTCTCCCAGGCTGGATTGCAGTGGTGTCATCTCAGCTCACTGCAACCTCTGCCTCCTGGGTTCAAGCAATTATCTTGCCTCAGCCTCCCAAATAGCTGGGACTACAGGCATATGCCACCACACCCAGCTAATTTTTTTTATTTTTAGTAGAGACGGGGTTTCACCATGTTGGCCAGGCTGTTCTCGAACTCTTGACCTCAAATGATCCACTTGCCTCAGCCTCCCAAAGTGCTGGGATTACGGGTGTGTAATCCCAGCACCTGGCCAAAAAAAGGGTAAGTAAGGTTTATAAAAATATAAAGAAGAAAGTGCATAGTGACCCGAGGAACAAAGAAAGATTTCTCAATGGAAGTGTCAGTTGAGATAAACTTTGCAAAATAAGTAGGATTATAATAGGCAGAGAGAATGAAGAAGAGGAAGAGGTGAGGGAATCATATCACAAAAGTCTGGAATTTTGAAAGCACAAGAGCTAATCAAAAAATGGTTTGTAAACTAGGGTGGCTGCATCTTACAAGAACTCATAAGCAATATAAGGGGAATGGGCAGTTAGATTACAAATTGTTCTACTTAGATCCCTCAAATTTATGGTTTCTGCCCTCACCATTTCACTGAAACTTTTCTCTGAGTAAGATCGCAATGAACTCTAAATGTCACCTTCAAAGAACATCTACCTATCTTCCTAACCAAGCTGTAGTGTTTGGTGCTATTGAAAGTCCCTTCACCTCTGGCTTCTGTGATAATACTCACTGGTTCTATCTTCCTCACTTTCTCACCTCAGTCTTTGATGCTGGGCCATGTTTCTCTCTTTTCCCTTAATGATGCTTCTATTCCCCTCTGTTGTATTCTTGGCCTACTTCTTTTATTCTAGAATTCTCCGTAGATTGTCTCATTTACTCTTATGTTTTAACTGTTGTATACTCTTGTGGCTTCACTAGAGGGGGGATTTACAACCATTTTTATTGTACATTCATATCAGTAAAATCATTTGGAGTACATCTTAAATATATATACATTCTTATGTAAATATTAAATAGATGTCACTGTACTAAATTATTATGTATAGTACAACATCAAAAGTAAAAATTTAGAAAGTACAAGATTAAATAAAATAATTAAATTTTAAAATTTTATTTAGTAATGATACAAAATATTGTTTAACAAGCACTATTATTAAAGTAATAATAATTTTATATTCAGCAAAATAAGTGTGATGATATGTGGCTTATTACTCTTAAAATCTTAGTCCAGCAGTGTAATGCAGTAATTTAAGGACTTATTTTAAAATTTTCCAAAACTTTTCTTAATGTCTGACACAGTTGTAAAAATCCTACTCATAGACACATCTGTCTAAATGGGAGAATAATGACAGTTTTGAGTGGGTTCCAGGACAGAAAAGGGCTCTCCACGGTTCAAGCTGTGGCTTAAGCAGTCCTGACATTTGGGCAATATGACTTAGCAGACCTATGATAATAGAGATATATGACGTTGGAAGAGAAGTGGAATTAATGGAAAACTTAAAAAACTTAAATTGAGTCACATTAGTCCTTTTGAGGCTATTTGAACAAATTGCAATTTATGAATCTGGCATTATCCAACCAAGGATTGTGGTTGGGGGTCTACTGGGGATGCTCAAAAGAAAAGCTTTATAGGATGAATAGAGAAGGAAAGTCAAAAAAAAAAAAAAGATCAGTTTGTTACAGTAATATAATTGCCTTATTTGAATTACCTATGTGGACAATCCCTAGTTATGTAATTAGAGGTTATTTGATGGTTTCTGATTGGTTGAACTTAAGTTTTACTTTCTCTAAGTTAGTCACTTAATGACAAACACATTCACGTTAGATTTTGGTTTGCTTCCATGGGAACCTAGGTCTCAGGGTCCACCTTAGGCTAAAGGCATCCTATTAAATTATTTTAATAAGTCCTCCCTTCTGATCAGCCTCTTATTTATTAATGATTGGCCAAAACTTGGGTGTGTGTGTGTGACTGTCACAATCGTGGCTGGTTGGCCTTTGTTTCAGCATGGAATTCATAAGTCATGATGTCAGGTTCATTGAGTAAACTTTTCTTGTGTTGTTTATCTTTTTCCTTGTTCTCACTGCAACAAGATAATCTGGTGTATTGTTGATGGTTATGAGCATGCATTTAAGGTTCTTGAGAGGACACAGCATACCAGGGAGATTAGAATGGTTACTATTAAGAGAATAATACAAAGAAACTAAAGTATGCTTCTTAGCCAAGCCCCCAAAGAACCAACCCAACTACAATCAAATAAATCAAAGAATGAACTAGAGGAGAATTTAACCTGTCTTAACTAGATGGCTTGCTTATTAATTTTTTTTGTAATTGAATTTTTACAACACCAGATGTGTTTATCCAGGTATAACAAGAAATATTAGCCATTGCAGACACCTCCTTGTTTAGCCAACAAATAATCTAAAGCAATTAAAACAACTTGAGCTGGAGAATCTAGAGATTTTTATTTGTCAGCTATAGCCTTAGTTGTGGAATCAGTTATACTAGCTAATGTGAATGACAAATTTTATTTATACTAGTTGAAGCCATGGAAACACCCAGCGGGATTGATACCTGCTGATAAGTTCCTTTTTTATCTATAGTTTAAGTTTAGAGGAGAGGACCAATGCTTATTTTCTGATTTGTTATGAAGTGACAGTGGCACTAGTCTGCATTAGTTTTTCATTCTCCGTTTGTTAAGCCATGGAGTGACCCATGCATATGATTGCTTGTTAAAACTTCCACAGATAAAAATGTGTACCCTGACAGTGCTACTAAGAATTATTTATGGAGCCATTTGTTGGAATAAAGACATTGGCAATTTCTAACCAAGGACTGATACTGAGTTGTTACTTACTGAGAGGCTATCAAAATGTAGCTCAATAGGCATTCTTGCAAAGAGTTTTATTTAAGCTTTCCTTTCTGTTGCATATCTCCCTTAGACTACTGTCAGAGGATCTGGTATTTCAATTCTGGCTTAAGTTATGACAAGAAGAGTTCCTCTGGTACCAAAAACAGACAGACACTATAAAAAAGTAGAAACGAATACCCCTGATGAAGATAGATTCAAAAATCCTCAAGAAAATACTAGCATGCTAAGTCCAAGAATACATCAAAAATATAATATACCATGATTAGGTGGGATATAGCCCAGCGATGCAAAGATGTTTAACATATGCACATCATGGAACATGATACATCATATCAACAGAATAAAAGACAAAAAACATGATCATTTTAATAGATGCCAAAAAGCATCTGATAAAACTCAACATCTTCTCGAGATAAAAACTCTCAGACAAACGAGGGACATTACGTCAACCTAAAGGCCATATATGACAAACTCACAGTTAATACACTGAATGGGAGAAAGCTGAAATTCTTTCTTGTAACATCTGGAACAAGACAAGGATGCCCACTGACACCACCCTTATTCAAATGTTGGCAAGGATGCAGAGAAAAGGGAACTCTTTTACACTGTTGCTAGAATGTAACTTAGTACATTCACATGAAATGTATGTGAAAAACAGTAGAAAGACTTCTCAGAAAACTAAAAATAGAACTATTATACGATCCAGCATTCCCATTATTGGATATTTCTTTAAAGGAAAAGAAATCAGTATATCAAAGGGATACTTGCACCCCCGTGTTTATTGCAGCACTATTCATGATAGCCAAGATATGGATTCAACCTAAATGTCCATAAGGGATGAACGGATAAAGCAAATGTGGTACATATACACAATGGAATACTATTCAGCCACTGAAAAGAAAGAAATCCCATTTTTTGCAGCAACATGGATGGAATCAGAGGTCATTATGTTAAGTGAAATAATCCAGGTGCAGAAAGACAAATATCACATGTTCTCATTGATATGTAGAAGTTAAAAAAGTTGATTTTCATGAAAGTAGAGAGCAGAATGATAGCCACCAGAGGCTGGGAAGAGTGGGCTGGAGGAAAAAGAGAGGTTGGTTAATAGATACCAACATGCAGTTAGACAGAAAAAAATGTTCTAGTGTTTGTTAGCACAATAGGGTGACTATAGTTAACAATAATTTATTATATATTTTAAAATAGCTAGAAGAAAAGATTTGACATGTTTTGACACAAAGAAATGATAAACGCTCAAGGTGTTGGGCACCCAAATACCCTGGATTGATCATCATACCGTCTATGTGTGTAGCAAAATATCACATTTACCCCATAAATATGTACAATTATTATGTATCAATTAAGAAAGTTTTAAAAAGAACTAATGTGTCTTGAACTCTAACTTCATAACGTAGATCAGTAATGCAATCTAAACAGATGGTCAAATTTGGGATTCTGGTAAAATCAGTTAAGAATGGGCTAGAACATTCTTTTCCTCATGTATTGATTTGGATTTGGCATGGCAAACACAACATTCAGTTAAAATCTCTGCTGAAACTACAAACTATAAAATTTCAATTATAGCATTATTTTGCAATGCACACATGGAAAGAAAAAGTGAGAACCAAAAGAGAAAAGAAGATTGGAGTTCCATGAGAGGCCAGGGAAGAGGTTTATGATCCATGATCTTTAAAAATCTGTTCACCTCAAGGATACCATCTTCTTTTGGTGGGAGAGATCTCCCTGGTCAGTTTTACTTCGAGATCTCCAGGTTGCATACAGTTCCAACAATCTCGAGGAACCCTTTTGAGCTGAGAGACTGGAACCCAAGTCTTGAAGTCCTGAAGCTTTATGAGTGATGATAAGAACTTGTTATGGTTCATTCCAATGAGACTCAAGAGAAGTATTTATTTGGTGTCATTTCTAAAAGACCCAATCTTCAGATTCTATATTATGGAAGGCTGGTCATCAGTCAGTGGGTCACAGAAAGCTTCCTTTACTTGGTGGAAATATTCTTCACCATAATGCATCAAGATGTTGCAATACCTAGTCATACAGAATTTAGAAGTATAAGAGATAAATGAGGTTCTATAATTAAGGTCATAGGTCTTCCTGTTACTATTGTATAAGCTGTTAGCATGTGCTTTTCAGCACAGATCTGATTGCAACTAAGGCCAGTGGTAAAAGTTTTGGCCAAGGCAATCCAGATTATTTTGTTAGTTTAGGCAACTTAGATTTAAGATATAATTTTTCATTCAATTTTTCCAGAAGACTAGGGATGATAAGGACAATGGTAGTGCCATCGTACTTGTAAAACTTTATTTCATTGTTTAATAATTTTTCCAGTAAAAGGAGTTCCCTTACTGCTGGAAATTTCTCCAGGTATTCTCCATAAAGGCTATGTATGCCCCATAGTAATTTAATTTGCTACTGTTATGGAGCTGGTCTTTATGCATGGAAAGGCTGCAATTCATCCTGAGAACAAAATACGATTACAAGACTATATTGGTAAGCCATTGAGAGTGGCAACTGCACGAAATCCATGTGTAGATGCTCCACTGGTCTAGTGGGTGGCAGAGACGTTCCATCTGTAACTGGACTTTGGTTATAAACCAATTTTTCAATCCAAGAGCTATTATCACCTCACCAATACTCTTTTCAAAATTTGGACCATTTTCTCTACACTATGAAGAGTTAAGGAGTATAGATAGGGTTTTTAATAGCAGTAGTTTTAAAGTCTTTGAAACCAACAAGAACAAAGACACAACATACCAGAATCTCTGGGACACATTCAAAGCAGTGTGTAGAGGGAAATTTATAGCACTAAATGCCCACAAGAGAAAGCAGGAAAGATCCAAAATTGACACCCTAACATCACAATTAAAAGAACTAGAAAAGCAAGAGCAAACACATTCAAAAGCTAGCAGAAGGCAAAAAATAACTAAAATCAGAGCAGAACTGAAGGAAATAGAGACACAAAAAACCCTTCAAAAAATTAATGAATCTAGGAGCTGGTTTTTTGAAAGGCTCAACAAAATTGATAGACTGCTAGCAAGACTAATAAAGAAGAAAAGAGAGAACAATCAAATAGATGCAATAAAAAAATCATAAAGGGGATATCACCACTGATCCCACAGAAATACAAACCACCATCAGAGAATACTACAAACACCTCTACGCAAATAAACTAGAAAATCTAGAAGAAATGGATAAATTCCTCAACACATACACCCTCCCAAGACTAAACCAGGAAGAAGTTGAATCTCTGAATAGGCCAATAACAGGTTCTGAAACTGTGGCAATAATCAATAGCTTACCAACCAAAAAGAGTCCAGGACCAGATGGATACACAGCCGAATTCTACCAGAGGTACAAGGAGGAACTGGTACCATTCCTTCTGAAACTATTCCAATCAATAGAAAAAGAGGGAATCCTCCCTAACTCATTTTATGAGGCCAGCATAATCCTGATACCAAAGCCGGGCAGAGACACAACCAAAACAGAAGAATTTTAGACCAATATCCTTGATGAACATTGATGCAAAAATCCTCAATAAAACACTGGCAAACCGAATCCACCAGCACATCAAAAAGCTTATCCACCATGATCAAGTGGGCTTCATCCCTGGGATGCAAGGCTGGTTCAATATATGCAAATCAATACATGTAATCTAGCATATAAACAGAACCAAAGACAAAAACCACATGATTATCTCAATATATGCAGAAAAGGCCTTTGACAAAATTCAACAACCCTTCATGCTAAAAACTCTCAATAAATTAGGTATTGATGGGACATATCTCAAAATATTAAGAGCTATCTATGACAAACCCACAGCCAATATCATACTGAATCGGCAAAAACTGGAAGCATTCCCTTTGAAAACTGGCACAAGACAGGGATGCCCTCTCTCACCACTCCTATTCAATATAGTGTTGGAAGTTCTGGCCAGGGCACTTAGGCAGGAGAAGGGAATAAAGGGTATTCAATTAGGAAAAGAGGAAGTCAAATTGTCCCTGTTTGCAGATGACATGATTGTATATCTAGAAAACCCCATTGTCTCAGCCCAAAATCTCCTTAAGCTGATAAGCAACTTCAGCAAAGTCTCAGGATACAAAATCAATGTAGAAAAATGACAAGCATTCTTATACACCAATAACAGACAAACAGAGAACCAAATCATGAGTGAACTCCCATTCACAATTGCTTCAAAGAGAATAAAATACCTAGGAATCCAACTTACAAGGCAGGTGAAAGACCTCTTCAAGGAGAACTACAAACCACTGCTCAATGAAATAAAAGAGGATACAAACAAATGGAAGAACATTCCATGCTCATGGGTTAGAAGAATCAATAACGTGAAAATGGCCATACTGCCCAAGGTAATTTATAGATTCAGTGCCATCCCCATCAAGCTACCAATGACTTTCTTCACAGAATTGGAAGAAACTACTTTAAATTTCATATGGAACCAAAAAAGAGCCCGCATTGCCAAGTCAATCCTAAGCCAAAAGAACAAAGCTGGAGGCATCAAGCTACCTGACTTCAAACTATACTACAAGGCTACAGTAACCAAATCAGCATGGTACTGGTACCAAAACAGATATATAGATCAATGGAACAGAACAGAGCCCTCAGAAATAACACCGCATACCTACAACTATCTGATCTTTGACAAACCTGAGAAAAACAAGCAATGGGGAAAGGATTCCCTATTTAATAAATGGTGCTGGGAAGACTGGCTAGCCATATGTAGAAAGCTGAAACTGGATCCCTTCCTTACACCTTATACAAAAATTAATTCAAGATGGATTAAAGACTTAAACGTTAGACCTAAAACCATAAAAACCCTAGAAGAAAACCTAGGCAATACCATTCAGGACATAGGCATGGGCAAGGACTTCATGTCTAAAACACCAAAAGCAATGGCAACAAAAGACAAAATAGACAAATGGGATCTAATTAAGCTAAAGAGCTTCTGCACAGCAAAAGAAACTACCATCAGAGTGAACAGGCAACCTACAAAATGGGAGAAAATTTTTGCAACCTACTCATCTGACAAAGGGCTAATATCCAGAATCTACAATGAACTCAAACAAATTTACAAGAAAAAAACAAACAACCCCATCAAAAAGTGGGCGAAGGACTTGAACAGACACTTCTCAAAAGAAGACATTTATGCAGCCAAAAAACACATGAAAAAATGCTCACCATCACTGGCCATCAGAGAAATGCAAATCAAAACCACAATGAGATACCATCTCACACCAGTTAGAATGGCAATCATTAAAAAGTCAGGAAGCAACAGGTGCTGGAGAGGATGTGGAGAAATAGGAACACTTTTACACTGTTGGTGGGACTGTAAACTAGTTCAACCATTGTGGAAGTCAGTGTGGCGATTCCTCGGGGATCTAGATCTAGAAATACCATTTGACCCAGCCATTCCGTTACTGGGTATATACCCAAAGGACTATAAATCATGCTGCTATAAAGACACATGCACACGTATGTTTATTGCAGCAGTATTCACAATAGCAAAGACTTGGAAGCAACCCAAATGTCCAACAATGATAGACTGGATTAAGAAAAGTGGCACATATACACCATGGAATACTATGCAGCCATAAAAAATGATGAGTTCATGTCCTTTGCAGGGACATGGATGAAATTGGAAATCATCATTCTCAGTAAACTATCGCAAGGACGTAAAACCAAACACCGCATGTTCTCACTCATAGGTGGTAATTGAACAATGAGAACACATGGACACAGGAAGGGGAACATCACACTCTGGGGACTGTTGTGGGGTGGGGGGAGGGGGGAGGGATAGCATTAGCAGATATACCTAATGCGAAATGACGAGTTAATGGGTGCAGCACACCAGCATGGCACATGTATACATATGTAACTAACCTGCACATTGTGCACATGTACCCTAAAACTTAAAGTATAATAATAATAAAATAAAATTAAATTTTAAAAAAAGACTTTGGGAGAATGAAGCAGTGGTTCAGGCTCTCAGTCAGTTCCTATTTAATATTAAATTTCATTCTTTTAAGAGCCAATTTTGTTTGTTTTGCTGATTCAGGTTCATAGCATTCTTTATTAAACAAATTATCATAGATTTGGATCAATTTTGTGGAGTTCATTCAAAGTGTTTTTCTTTCAAACATCTCAGTGGTATCACTACTAGTTTATTTAGCATGAACGACTTCTAGGGTATTTTCTCGGTATTCAGGTTCAGTTTTATGGGTGTGGCCTTCCATTTTAATAGCCATTTATGAAGGCAGCAAAACAGCAGAAAGACACTCATCTACTTGGGGCGCATTTTTGATGGGGGTTCCACCAAAGGTGAGGAACCCTCTTTCTTTTCATAGTATACCAAACTTATAAACTACGCGAAAATATATCTACTATCTGTAGAAATGTTGACTGATTTGCCCTTAGATATCTGACAGATCCAAGTGAGAACTTATAGCTCTGCCTTTTGGGCTGACTTAAATTGGGGAAAGAGTTACATTTTCTGTTAGTTCACATTGAGTTGTCACAGCATATCCTGCTTTGTATTTTCCTTTTGCATTTTTGGCATAAGATCCATAAACAAAAAGCATTAACTCAGGATTGTTTAATAAAATGTCTTGTAAATCAATGCAAGGGGTCAACAACAGCATTACCATATTTAACAATTATGGTCTTCATCACTGTCAGGAAAGGGTAACAAGGTAACAGGGTTAAATTGATTACAGCACTGAGACAGAGATTAGAAGATGATGGGAGCAAGTTTCTTAAGATGTTAGTCTGCTCACAGAAAAATGTTGCAAGAGTGTTAGCAGCTAGCAGTTGTCAACTGAGTCCCTTGCTAGGAAATGGCCTGAGCTGAAGAGAGCTGTCTTATCAAAGTTGTATCTCTTCCTTGGGGACAGCTTGCAACCAATGACTATTCATGGGAGGTGTAAATTCCTGAACACCTACACCTAATGCAATTCAGTCTCTGAAGGGACATCCAAAATCCTCACTTCCCCGCAGTAGTGGCTAAGGCTTTTGTTGTGACTACATTCAGCTATTCTTTCCTTAATAAATATAGGCCTGAGGATATTCCTCAACAAGTTTTTACATGTACATCTCCATCTCAGAGTCTGTTTCCTAGAGACTGTAGATTAAACAATTTGCTACACCCAAAATAGAAAATTACAAGATCAGAAGATGCAATTTATAACCGTCATAGATAAGCCATATATTAAAATATATCAAGTCACTGTACCAGCAAAAGATAGTGTCCCAAACTAATGGCTTTCAAAATACATTATTCCCTTATCCCTGATAGAATAAGCTATCATTATGATCCTAAGAAAAAAGGCGTTTCAAAACAAACAGAAAAATAATAGACTACATCCACATGAAAATAATATTAAAGGAAGATAGAAAATCAAAGCATTCCATTTGACAAAAAGTTTTTTAAAGAATCTAACCATAGAGAGAAAAACTGACACAATGCCACAACGTGAATTCATTATATTTAAGCATGTACTTCCTGATAGGTAAAATCATCTTTTATGTAAAGTAAAAAATTAGAACAGAGATGGACAAGAAGAAATATATAAAATGGGAACTGGCTAAATGTAAAAGATAAATTGGAGAAACAGATGTAATTATTTAAAAAAACTAATACTAAATTTTAAGATTTTCAAGGAGTAAGAGATTCTATCATTTATATAAGGGCTGTTGAAGAGAGAAAATAAAACTACTAGGGGAATAAAAATAAACACCAAAAGTAATAAAAAGAATTAAAGTCAACCTGATCAGCCTATGAGATTAGCAAGGGCAATACACAACACATAAAATTGGAATTTCCAAAAAAGAAGAAAATGGAGAAGAAATAATATTTTAAATGATAATCTAAGAAACTTTGGGAAATAACAGAAGACCTGAATCTGCCTATTGAAACACACTTGTCATAAATCATCCAGAATAGTGAGCTCAAATATACATCCTAATAAAAGTGTTAGACTTTAAGATAAAGAAAAATCATATGCACCTTCACATGAAAATACAAACTCACTTCCAAGGAAAGAAAATCAAACTGGTATCTGACTTCCTAACAGTAACATGCAAAGTAAGATAACTGTGGATCAATATTTTCAATAAACTCATACACAATGTGTGTGCCAAGAATTTTACACCTAGCAAAGCTATACTTTCCAATTTATACATATGGAAAGAATCAGAGAAATAGAAAATAGCATTAGAGCATCACAGTTATAATTATTGAAAACAAGGTCAGCCAGTGGATAAAACTTTGAGAAACAGGATATCTGTATAGTTTCAATGTATCTCCCCAATATGTTCATTCAATATTGGGATGCTGTTATAATGTTTTCACAAATTATTTGATAGTTCTGTTTCTAGGTAATAGAGCATAGTTCCTATCCCCTTGAGTGCAGCCTGGAATTAGTGTCATGTATGTAATGAATGAAGTAGCAGACCCTTCTTTAGCCAAGTGATACAGGCTAACAAAACCGGTAGTAAATCATGTTGATATCATGTACCCTCAGATATGATACAATGACAAAGACTCTTCCATTCTGTGATATTCTTCCCTTAAATCCCTAACAAAAGCCTAATCATGAACAAATATCAGACAAACTAAAACTAAAGGACATTGTATGAAATATGTAGCCAGTACTCTTCAAAAGTGTCAAAGGCATGAATGGCAAGAAAAGACAGAGGAACCTGTCATAGATTGGAGGAATCCAAGAAGAGTTGACAACTTTGGCTTCCTAATAGGATCTCAAAACAGGAAAATGACATTAGTGGAAAAATCTCAAGTTCAACATAAAGCCTATATTTTAGTTAATGGTACTACAACAATATTAACATCTTAGTTTTGATAAGTGTGTCACGATTATGTACGATGTTCAAATTAGGGAACTTGGATGAAGTCTGCATAAAACCTCTCCATACCATCTTTGTGACTCCTCTGTAAATCTTAAATCTCTGTAAGTAAGGCATCATCATTATTATGATGAATGCATCATAATAAAAAAGTAAATGAAAAGTAAAAACAAAATAAGTAGAGGTAAAGAGAGAAAGCTAAAATAGAACAATCTCACTGATTGTAATATAAGTACTAGTGGTAGTCAAAAAATATTATTTAAAGCAGAGAAACCAAAAATAGCATTATAAGTGCAGACACAGAAGAGTGAGTATGTAATAAAGGTGTTAATGTAAAGATAACTAAAACAAAAATGCAAACTGTCTGAAATACCAGGAGAAATAAAAATTATATAAAACAAGATATAAATAAACAGTAAATACAACACCATTGATAAATATTAAATGAAATAATATGATAGAATTTGGACTAAACATGTCAGTCATTGAAGTTAATAAAAATGAATTCAACTAAACTATTACAAGAAAGATATTTTCGGACTTGCTTCAAAAGAAAAAATCTAGCTCTATGCTTTGTACAAGAGATGTAGCTAAAACAAAGGAGAGTCAAAAAGTTACAAATAAAGTGATGATTGAGATGTATCAGATAAAGTATTGGAAAGAAACTCTGTATCTATAGATATAAAAACAGTTAATTAAATGCACAGTGGAGTACTATGTGAGTGTTAAAAAGGAAAATATTAATACCTACTGATATGTAACAATTTACAGGTTATTTTGTAAAGTAAAAAAAAATAAAAATGAAGAGCAAAAGCCAAAATCAAGGCAAAATATGTGTTTGGACACACACACACACACACACACACACACACACACACACGGTCTTATGAGTAAGAAAGAAGGGGAAATAAGAGTGTGTATATTTGTGTTTGGAAAGTTTGTTTCTTTTTTAAAAAAAGAAAGAAATTAGAAACCAGAAAACTGTGAAAATTATTACCTATTGGCCTCTGGAAAAATATCTAATATCCCATTGTGAGGCAGAAAAAAAATACACATGAGTAGCCTAGACATTTTTTCTTTTTTTTTGAGACAAAGTCTCACTTTGTCAGCCTTGACATCTGTACCAGACAACAAGAAATCTGTCAGAGACTACTAAGGTCATATCCGAAGGACTGAGAAACCAATATGGTATTTTTGATTTGAGCTCCTATCGGTCAAAGAATAATAATTATAATTTATTAAGTTGATAACATGTTAAAATCTATGAATTCATAGTGATAATTTTGAAAATAATAATCTTCATAGGCTATTAGACAACACTTATTATTCTGAAAACTGACAGGTTTATTTATTCTGCTTTTTAATGTGGATTGTATCTATTTGGAGCTCTCAGGTTTGTATTCACTGAGAAAATAAAACTGAATTTGTAAAGAGTAAGAGAGAAAGAAAGTCCGGGCGCGGTGGCTCACGCCTGTAATCCCAGCACTTTGGGAGGCCGAGGCGGGCGGATCACGAAGTCAGGAGATCGAGACCATCCTGGCCAACACGGTGAAACCCTGTCTCTACTAAAAATACAAAAAATTAGTTGGGCGTGGTGGCGGGTGCCTGTAGTCCCAGCTGCTCGGGAGGCTGAGGCAGGAGAATGGCGTGAACCCCGGGGGGCGGAGCCTGCAGTGAGCGGAGATCGCGCCACTGCACTCCAGCCTGGGAGAGAGCGAGACTCCGTCTCAAAAAAAAAAAAAAAAAAAAATAGAGAGAGAGAAAGACAGGAGAAAAAGAGGAAAAGAAAAGTAAAGACATGGGAAAGGAAAAAAAGAGTAAAAAAAGTAAAGACAAAACAGGAAAAAATAGAGCTAGGCAGGGAAGGAGGACAGATGCAAGGAATCCAACACTATCTAGAAAAATTAATTTTTTAAATGCCAAAAATATTCATTCTGAGATGCCATTAAGCCTGGGATAAAGAAAATCTCCTTAATGTTTCCAGAGAGATAATCAAGAAATGGGAATGAGAATAACATGCAATTTCTCAAAAGCAACACAGCATGCTAGACTATAAAAGAAAAATGCCTTCAGAGTGCAGAAGAACAATTATTTCAAATTTAGATTTCCACACAAATTAAAATATAAATCGCGTGTGAACAAAGGCTGCCAAAGAGCCCGTCAAGATTTTTTAGTAAAATGATGGAATGAACCATGAAGAGGAAGATGGAGAGTTTGGAAACAGAATATCTAACAGGGAAATCAGCAAAAGGGAAGTCTCTGCTGGAAGGATGAGCATTGGGTCTAGAGTGCAACCTGTCTGGACTGGAGCAGGAGGACTGATCAATGAACAGGGGGAGGTAATATTGAGCACCTTTTCTTTTCTTTTGTTTCTTTTCTTTTATTTTTTCTTTCTTTTCTTTTCTTTCTCTTTTCTTTTCCCTTTTCCCTTTTCTTTCCTTTCTTTTCTATTCCTTTCCCCTTTCCTCCTTCCTTCTTTCCCTTTCCCCTTCTCTTTCTTTCCTTGTCCCCTTCCCTCCCCTCCCCTCCCCTCCCCTCGCCTCCCCTCCCTTCCCCTTCCCTTTGACCATGAGAATGCAGGTATTTCTTTACGATTTTGATTTCATTTCCTTTGAATAAATATTCAGAAGTGGGATTACTGGGTCATTCGGTAGTTCTAGTTCTAATATTGTGAGGAAATTCTTACTGTTTTACATAATGGCTATACCAATTTTTATTTTCACCAACCATGTGCAAAGGTTTTCCTTTCTCCTCATCTTCATCAACACTTGTTATCTCTTGTCTTTTTTTATAATAGCAATTTTAACAGGTGTTAGGTGATGTCTCACTGTGGTTTTGATTTGCATTTCCTGGAGAGTTAGTGATATTGACTAACCACCCTTCCCTTCCCCTTTCCCTTTCCTTTCTTTTCCCTTCCTGTTCCCCTTTCCCTCCCTTTCCTTTTTCCTCCTTTCTTCCTTTTCTCTCTCTTTCTTTTTCCTTCCTTCCTTCCTTTCTTTCTTTTTCTCTTTCTTTCTTTCTTTCTGTCTGTCTTTCTTTCTTTCTTCTCTCTCTTTCTCTCTCTTTCTTTCTTCTTTCTTTCTTTCTATCTTTCTTTCTTTCTTTTCTTTCTTTTTGAAATAGGCTCTTGCTCTGTCACCCAGGTTGGAGCAAAGTGGTGTGATCACAACTCATTGTAGCCTCAAACTCCTGGACTCAAGGGATCCTCCTGTCTCAGGCTCTTGAATAGCATGAGTAGATGGAACTACAGGCACATCCCACCACAAGCACTAATTTTTAAAATTTATTTTAGAGATCGGATCTCTCCATGTTGTCCAGGATGATCTTGAACTCCTAGCCTCAAGCAATCCTCCCCACTTGGCCTCCCAGAGTGTTGGGATTATAGGTGTGAGCCACCAACCCTTGCCTGAGCACCTTTTCTTACACTTGCTGGACATTTGTATATGCTCTTTGGAAAAATATCTTTGGAGGTCCTTTTTCTATTTTTAAATTGGCTTGTTTATTTCCTATTGACTTGTATGATTACTTATATATTTTAGACAATGTCTTATTGAATCATGGTAGGCAAGTATTTTCTTCCACTTGGTAGTTTGCCTTTTCATTTTGGTAATCTTTTTTTTTCTTTTTCTTTCTTTTTTTTTTTTTTGCTGTGCAGACAGTTTTTAATTTGATGTATTCTGTTTGTTCACTTGTTTTTCTTGCTTGAGATTTTGGTGTGATTTTTAAAAATAATCAAGGAACTTATTTGTTATTTTTAAGGAGTTTTACAGTTTCAGGTTTAAGTCTTTAATCCATTTTGAGCTGATTTTTGTGTATGATGTAACCTAAGAGTCCAATTTTATTCTTTTGCATGTGCATATCTACTTTTCCAAGCATTGGTCATTGTGTAGATTATCCTTTCCCCAGTGCATATTCTTCATGCCCTTGTGAAGATTTTTGATTATATATGCACAGTTTTATCTGTGGGCTTCTATTCTTTTCCATTGGTTTATTAGTCTATTTCTTTAATAATAAAAATAAAGCTGGGGATTCACATTTCTTGATTTCAAAATGATTAAAAATCTAAAATAATCAAAACAGTTTGGCACTGGTGTAAGGATGGAAGTATAAATCAGTTGGGAAAGAATAGTCTCCTAAACAAATTGTGTGGAACAGCAGGGAATCTACATGTAAAAAATGAGTTTGGACCCCTATTTGTAAACTAAAACTATAATGTGTTAGTAATAAAACTATAATGTGTTAAAAGAAACACAGATATAAATATTTGTGGCCTTGGATTTTGCAACATTTTCTTAAATATGACACCAAGAGCATAAGTGACATATCAAAAATAGACTAGACTTCATCAAAATTAGAAACTTTACCTCAGAGAATGCCATCAAGAAAATAAAAGACAACCAATGGAATAGGATAAAATATATGAAAATCATATGTTTGATAAGGGAAATATATCTATAATTAATGAACAGCTCTTACCACTTAATAATAAAATTACAAGTTACTTCTTTATAAAAATGTCAAAGGATCTGAGTAGTTGTTTTTCCAAAGAAGAGATGTGAATAGCTAATAGTACATAACAAGGTGCTCAACATTATTAGCCATCAAGGAAATGCAAATCAAAACCACAATTAGATACCAGTTTACATGAACTCTAATGGCTATAATAAGAAAGACAATAACAGATGTTGAAGATGTGGCAAAGTTGGAAGAATCATATATTGCTACTGGGAATATACAACACTGCAGCTACTTTGGAAAGCAGTCAAACATTTCCTCAAGAAGTAAACAGAGTTGACATATGACCCAGCAATTTCACTCCTAGTATGTACCCAAGGGAAATGATAACACTTGCTCATACACAAAATTCTACACAAATGTTCAGAGTAGCATTATTGATAATTAAAAATATTATTTTAAAGTTTATATGAGAAAACAAAAGACTAGCATAGCCAACACAACACTGAAGAAGAACAAGGTTGGAACACTCACACTACCAGATCTCAAGACTTCTATAAAGCTAAGGTAATCAGTACAGCATGGTATTATTAAAAGAATATACACAAGTTTAAGATAACAGAATAGATGGACTATAATAGGCCCACATAATTATAGTCAAGTAATCTTTGACAAACTAACAAAGGCATTTCAATAAAGGATGATCTTTACACAAATGGTGCTGGAACACTTGGATGTTCATATTCAAATAACGTAAGCCTAGACATACACCATACATATTTCACAAGTGCTGACTCAAAGTGGATTATAAGTCTAAAATGTAAAACTAGAACTATAAAACTTCCAGAAGAAAACATAGGAGAAAATGTAGGTGCTCTTCAGTATGCTCATGAATTTTAGATACAACACCAACAGCACAATCCATAAAAGAAAAAAATAGGTAAGTTTAAGTTATATTAAAATTTAAAACATCTTCTCTGAGAAAGACACTTTTATGAGTATCAAAAGATAAGCCGTAGACTCTAAGTAAACTTTAACAAACACATTTCTGATGAAGGGTTTTATACATAATATAAAGTTCAACAATAAGCAAAGAAACAATCCAATTTAAAAAAAGGTAGCCGGGTTCAGTGGCTCATGCCTGTAATCCCAGCACTTTGGGAGGCTGAGGCGGGTGGATCACCTGAGGTCGGGGAGTTCAAGACCAGCCTGACCAACATGGAGAAACCCTATCTCTACTAAAAATAGAAAAAATGAGCTGGGCGCGGTGGTGCATGCCTGTAATCCCACCTACTTGGGAGGCTGAGGCAGGAGAATTGCTTGAACCTGGGAGGCAGAGGTTGCAGTGAGCCGAGATCGTGCCATTGCACTCCAGCCTGGGTGACAAGAGCAAAACTCCATCTCAAAAAAAAAAAAAAAAAAAAAAAAAGGGTAAAAGATCTGAACAAACATCTGACCAAAGAAGATATAAAGAAGGCAAATAAGAACATGAGAAGATGTTCAACATTATTTTTCCTTAGGTAATTGCAAATTAAAACAATAAGTAGATACTTAGAATGGTTACAATAAGAAATTAAATATCAATTATTGACAAGAATGTGGAGCAGCAAGAAGACACATATGCTCACTCTGACAGCTGAGAGCACCTAGAGCAATAATACTCTAGAAGCAGTCAGCACATCTATCACCCAGATCTGGTTTGTAATACCATCCTCCAATTACAAAAATCCAGGCCTTCTGAAAGAAATAGCTGATTCTAGGAATGCTGCGGGAAATATATGAGATATACTAGCAGCCAATAAAAAAGTGCCAAAAATAAACCAACAAAAACACATCCCATATACACAATTATGGGTGTTTGTCAAAAGCACACAGGAGGCGAGGGAAATAGCTTCGGTGGCCAAAATTGGAATGATTTGAGCTACAAAATCAATAAAGTAAAAGTAGAGGGAGGTAGAGCAAGATGACCAAATAGAGTCCTCCAGTGACTGTCTCTCCACACAAACACTAAATTAAACAACTATCCACACAAGAAAGTACCTTCATAGGAACAAAAAAATTGAGTGAGTGACCTCGGTACCTGGTTTAAACATAGCATTAAGAAAAGAGGCACTGAAGAACTTGGGAAGTAAAGACCTGCGTTGTCTATACCACCCCTCTCTCAACTGCAGGTAGCATAGCATGGGAGAGACAATCTGTGTGCTTGGGGGAGGGAGAGTGAAGTGATTGTGGAACTTTGCACTGGAACTCAGTGCTGCCCTGTCACAGTGGAACATAGCACAGAGCAGAATTCTGCCAGCTCACACAGAAGAAGCATTCCAACAAGCCCTGGACTAGAGGGAGATTCCCGGCTTCAGTGGTAAAATCTTGAGTCTTGGCTTCTCCATTTGCTTGCTAAGGTGGTCTGGGGCCTGGAAAAAATTTGAGTGCTAGTCAGGCCACAAGGTCTACGGTTTAGGGTAAGCTCTGGTGATACACTTGGAGGCAGAGAACATATGGTGTAACCAAGTGTGACACCAGCTGTAGTGGTCAAGGGCTCACCTGTATTACCTCTCCCCAACTCCAGGCAGTGCAGTTCCAGGACAGACTCCTGCTTGGTGGATGGAGAGGGAAAGATGTGGAGGACTATGGCCTACAGCATGGATACCAGCTCAGCTCCAGTAAAATAAAGCACCAGGCAGATTCCTGAAGCCCTGGATTCTAGGTCTTTGCTTTGCTCCTGAATGACATTTCTAGACCCACCCTGGGACAGAAGAAAATTCATTGTCCTGATGGGATGAACCCAGTCCTGGCAGAATTCACCACCTGCTGACTAATGTGGTCTAGAGCCTTGAATAAATATCAGTTGAAGCCAGCCAGGTAGTAGTGGCTGCAGACCCAGGTGCAACCCTGCACAGTGCCAGCTGAGCTGGCCACAAGGGTGCACCCATCACCCCTCCTCCAACTCTAGGCAGCCCAGGGTGAAGAGATACTCCTTCTGATTGCAGAAAATAGAGAGAAGAGAGCAAGAGATGTTTCCTAGTAACCCAGCGGATTCTCCCTTATCTACGAACCCCCAAAATGTGAGATAGGTCTCAGTTAATTTAGAAAGTTTATTTTTCCAAGGTTGAGGATGTACCCGTGACACAGCCTCAGGAAGTCCTGATGACATGTGCCCAAGATGGTCGGGGCACAGCTTGGTTTTATATATTTTAGGGAGACATGAGACAGCAATCAATATGTAAGAAGTACATTAGTTCCATCCAGTAAGGCTGAGACAGCTCAAAGCAAGCCCCCCTACCCCCACCCGTGAACATTTCAGCTCTCCATGAGTCCTGAAAGTTTTTCCTCTATTCTGATGTCACAATCTCCAGAGTTATCAGAAACCTGCATTTAAGAGCACCTGTAGGAGTTTTATAGCTGATTATAAAGCTACCTTTTAAACAAGACCAAAACAAGACAATCATGTCCAAGAACACTCCAAGAACAATTGTCTGTGGATGAAAAAAAAGGTGTAAGGCAATCATAGTCAAAAGACACAATTGACAAGGAAATTTGTTATATCTGTGGTTCACTAATTTTGACATAATGATTATGATTATTACTGATAATGTACAATAAGTTATATCAGAATTACAGGAGTTTCCTATAATTTTGGAACACATACTAATAACATATTTATACAAATACAGCCCAAAGAAAACCAAACACTATTTCATATTTGACAATGCTTCCTGTATAATTTTTATACCCAGTAAGCCAAACTATGTCATTTTTTTGGACTTTAAGGAGCCTAATGTCTTAAAAGATTAATTAGGTTACAAAAAGACATAATTTATAATTTGATTTTGGAAAGTTTGTCAAATATAAAAGGTTTTAAACACTTGATATTACAAAATAAGATTACAGGTCATTGTAAAGTCATTTAACCAAAGTGATAATTCAAGGATTTCCAAAAAAGTAAAAACCTTCATTCTTTGAGCAAGGAGACTTAATTTTCTAACTAAAAATTCTAATTAAAAACAGCATGAAGCCAATTACATTTGTTTTTCAAAATTTTGTAAACAATCAATAAAATTTAATTTTGATTATAAAATATAACTTCCATAAGCCTTTTATAACCTTTATTAAGGAGTTGGTTAATGTTTCAAGAAAACCTTATTGATCTGACATGGGAGTCTATATACTGGTTTTGCATCACTGTGCCTTCTATACTAATGATTAATTTATAGAGGAATGGAACTTATTTTATCTTTCAAAATTTGCCCTTACAATCTTATGCTCCCACTTGTTCTGCAATAGTCCTTGGCCTGGGCTTTGAGGAATTGAATAGCTTATTCTTTGTCCTGTGTCTCAGGAATGTAGTTTATTTTGATTGGCATCTTCTATGGGGCCTGAAGATGAGGCTTTAATTGCTGTCAGTGTTTAAGATTTAGCAGGACTCTGTGTCCTTTTTAGACCCAGGAGTTAAAACCCTGTAACCCAATGTTACAATGACTTAAAAGAACATACAGGAAAATACATGGATGTAATAACCTTAATTTAAAAAAATTATCTCAGTTTTTGTTTTCCTAAGCAAAGCAAAACTGACCATATAATACTTTTTCTTAAATAAAATTATTTTTCCTTAAGCATGCCTATAAGATTAAGAACATAGCCACAAAAGGGTAAATCTAAGAGTTATTGGCCTTAAAGGTGATGCAGAGAGAGAGATGGGGTAGAAAGTTTATTTAAAAAATAACAGCGAGAACTTTTCAAACTTAGAGAAAGACATGAATATCTAGGTACAAGAAGGTTAAGGAACCTCAAAAGATTCAACCCAAATAAGACTACCTTAAGGCAGATGACAATCAAATTCTCGAAGATCAAGGATAAAGAAAAGACCCTAAAAACAGCAAGAGAAAAGAAGCAAATAAAATATAGAAGAGTTTTGATACATCTGGCATCAAGCTTCTCATAGGAAACCTTACAGACTAGAAAGGAGTGGGATGAAAGGTTCAAAGTGATGAAAGAAAAATTCCAACTTAGAATATTATATTCATTAAATTATCATTCAAACATGAAGGAGAAACAAACCCTTTCCTAGACAAACAAAAGCTAAAATATTTTATCAATACCAGACCTGTCTTATAAGAAATTTTAAAAGGAGTTCTTCAATCTAAACAGAAAGTACCTTAACAAGCAACAATAAATCATCTGAAGGTATAAAACTCACCAGTAACAGTAACACAGAGAAATACAGAATTCTCTAACACTGTAATTGCAATGTGTAAAACCATGTATACCTTTAGTGGGAAGACTAAAAGACAAATTAATAAAAAAAATAGCTACAACAACTTTTAAAGAGATAGACTAGATAAAAAGATATAAATAGAGATAACAAAAAGTCAAAAGGCAGGGGAAATGGACTTGAAGACTAGAGTTTTTTACTTTTCTTTTTGTTTTTTGTTTGTTTCTTTGTAATCACAGTTAAGTTGTCATGAGTTGGAAATAATTGATTATAGAATGTTATTTGCAAGCCTCCTGGTAACATCCAAAAATACCTATAAAAGATATGAAAAAAATAAAAGCAAGAAATGTAAACATATCACCCAAGAAAAATCACTTTTACACAAAGAAAAATAGGAATAAATAAATAAAAGTGAGAGAACCAACAAAACAACTAAAAAACAAATAATAAAACAACAGTGTAATTCTTACTATCAATAAAATTGAGTATAAATAGTCTAAATTCTTCCCGAAAAAGATGTGACTGAATAAATAAATAAATAAAACCCAAGGCCCAACCATATGCTGCCTACAAGAAATTCACTGCACCTATAAAGACACACATAGACTAAAATTTAAGAAATGGAAAAAGACATTTTATGAAATAAGAACCTAATAAAGCAGGAGTAGCTATATTTCTATCAGAAAATACAGATAAAATACATTTGAAGATAAAAACTATAAATAGAGACAAAGAAGGCTATTATTTAATGAGAAAAGGGTTAATTCAACAAGAAGATATAAAAATTGCAAATATATATGCACCCAATGCTGGAGCATTAGAAGAAATAAAGAAGATATTACTCAAGCTAAAGACAGATATAATAATACCTGGTACCTCAACATCCTATCCCAGAATTGGACACACCATCTAAACATAAAATTAGCAAAGAAATATCAGATTTAACTGCACTATAGATCAAATGGACCTAATAGACATTTACAGAATATTTTATCTAACAGCTTGTAGAATACATGTTCTTCTCCTCAGCACATGGAATATTCTCAAGCTTAGACCACATGTTAGGCCAAAAAACAAGTCTCAGTTTTTTTAAAGAAGTTATATTAAGTATATATTCTGACCACAATGGAATAAGACAAAAAATCAATAACAAGAGGAACTTCGGAAACTCTACGAACAAATGAAAATTAAACAATGTGGTCCTAAACAACATTAAATGAATGAAGAAATTAAAAGGAAAATTTAGAAATTTCTCAAAATAAATAAAAATAGAAACAATGTATCAAAACCCATGGGATATAGCAAAAGTGGTGTAAGAGGAAAGTTTATAGCAATACGTGGCTGTATCAAAAAAGTAGAAAGTTTCCCATAAACAACTTAATGATGCATCTTAAAGATCTAGAAAAGCAACAGAAAATGAAACCAAAAATTATTAGAAGAAAAGAAATAAGATTGGAGCAAAATAAATGAATTTGATAATAAAATAACAGAAAAGATTAATGAAACAAAAGTTATCCTTTTTCTAAACTCCAAAGGATGTAAAGAAAAGGCAATATTGATTCAAAGTCTATCTCTATCCAGATGAGCTGAATGAATTTGGGCAAGACATTCAGGATTTCAAGATACGAGATTTCTACTGAGGAAATGTGTAAGAATTAAGGCCTAATCGGTAGTTTATATATATAAAAAGTCTAGTAGTGCATAGCAGATAGGTGGATAGGTGTATAAATTAGTTTTCTTTCATGTTTTTACTTTTAAGTGATGAAAAGATATTTTTGTTTAGCTATTAGGAATTTTCGTAGGGAAAGAAAGGGAGATCAGACTGTTACTGTGTCTATATAGAAAGGAAAGACATAAGAGACTCCATTTTGAAAAAGACCTGTACTTTAAACAATTGCTTTGCTGAGATGTTGTTAATTTGTAGCTTTGCCCCAGCCACTTTGACCCAACCTGGAGCTCACAAAAACATGTGTTATATGAAATCAAGGTTTAAGGGATCTAGGACTGTGCCTTGTTAACAAAATGTTTATAAGCAGTATACTTGGTAAAGGTCATCACCATTCTCTAGTCTCAATAAACCAGGGGTACAATGCACTGCGGAAAGTCGCAGGGACCTCTGCCCTTGAAAGCAGGGTATTGTCCAAGATTTCTCCCCATGTGATAGTCTGAAATATGGCCTCGTGGGATGAGAAAGACCTGACCGTCCCCCAGCCCAATACCCGTAAAGTGTCTGCGCTGAGGTGGATTAGTAAAAGAGGAAAGCCTCTTGCAGTTGAGATAGAGGAAGGCCACCATCTCCTGCCTGCCCCTCGGAACTGAATGTCTCGGTATAAAATCCGGTTGTACATTTGTTCAATTCTGAGATAGGAGAAAAACCACCCTATGGTGGGAGGCGAGACATGTTTGCAGCAATGCTGCCTTGTTATTCTTTACTCCGCTGAGATGTTTGGGTGGAGAGAAACATAAATCTGGCCTACGTGCACATCCAGGCATAGTACCTTCCCTTGAACTTAATTATGACATAGGTTCTTTTGCTCACATGTTTTTTGCTGATCTTCTCCTTATTATCACCCTGCTGTCCTACTACATTCCTTTTTGCTGAAATAATGAGAATAATAATCAATAAAAACTGAGGGGACTCAGAGGCCGGTGTCGGTGCAGGTCCTTGGTATGCTGAGTGCCGGTCCTCCTGGTCCCACTGTTGTTTCTCTATACTTTGTCTCTGTGTCTTATTTCTTTTCTCAGTCTCTCGTCCCACCTGACTAGAAATACCCACAGGTGTGGAGGGGCAGGCCACCCCTTCACCTAATAGCTTTGTTTAGCTATTAGGAATTTTCACTACTTTCTGCCTCACTTATGCATGATGAGCATCACTTTCTGTGAATGCTATGAACACATCAACAACATTCATTGAAATCACTGCAGATTGGTGGAATTTCTAACAAATAAGACAAGAAATAATACTAGGGTGAAAAGCAACTTGATTTAATCAATACAGTCAGAAATGGCGCTGTCATATATGATGAGCAATTAAGCAAACTACATGAAAAATTTAAATCCATAGGCATTTCAGTAAAAATAGACTTATTTTCAACCAGAGATAGAAAAATCACCATCATACAGATACTCTATTTCTGAGAACTTGAGAGAAAGTTTTTAAAATTTTAATTAAAACATTTAAATTTAAAATTAAAATTTCCATCAGTAAATATAAAAATTTTCTTCATTAGAACATAAAAATCCCATGTGAATCCATATTCAATATAATCTTTTGAATGAATTCAAAGGAAGTTGAGAATAATATTCAAACATGCGATTTACTTCTCACAGATAGTGTTGATTTAAAAGGGATTAATAGTTTCAAACTTAGAATATGACTGATTTTGCAAGGTTATGCTCAGGATTCCAGAAATTTTTCACAAATTTTGAATGGAAGTAACTTATATATGCTGACTTCCATTCTAGTATTTGTTGAAAATTATAACTACTTGCAATGTGACAACTATTTCCTAGGGTAAGTAATTGAACTCTGAATCCATTTGTAACCTCAAATTAAGTACTTAGAAGCAAGATGGTGGAATAAGAGGCTTCCTTGATCATCATCCTTTCCCAAGGACACAAATTTAACAACTATCTAACAAAAAAGCACCTTCATTAGAACAAAAAATCAGGTGAGTACACACAGTACCTGGTTTTAACTTCATGCCACTGAAAGAGGCACTGATGAGATAGAAAAAACACTCTTCAAGTGCCAATGCCACCCCTCCTCCACACACACTCCTCTCAAGGCAGTGGCTTGGTACAGAGAACATTGTTGTGTCTTGGGGAGAAGAAGAGTGAAACTATTGTGAGGCATTGAACTCAGTGATGACCTGTTATAACAGAAAGCAAAACCAGACCAACTCAGCTGATGCCTGCCCTCAGAGAGAGCATTTAAACGAGCACTAGCCAGAGGAGAGTCGTGGATCCCAGTGGTCAGACCTTGAGTTCTCACAAGCCTTGCCACCACAGGCTAAAGTGCTATGGGGACCTAATAAATTTGAAAGGATGTCTAGGCCACAGGCACTGAAACTTGGAGGCAAGTCCTAGTGCTGAACTTGGCTCAGAGGCAGTGGAATGCGGGGGTCACACAACCTACTCAGACACCAGTCAGGATGGATAAGGGAGTGCTGGCATCATCACCCTTCCAGTAACCCCAGGCTGCACAGCTCATGGCTCTAAAAGAGATTCCTTTCTTCCACTTGAGGAGAGGAGAGGGAAGAGTAAGGGGGACTTTGTCTTACATCTTAAATACCAACCCAGCCACATAAGTTAGTGTACTGGTCAGAGATGTGAGGCCCTTTTTCCAGGGCCTGGTTCCTGGATGACATTCCTAGACACATCCTGGGCCAAAAGGGAATCCACTACCTTTAAAGGAAGGATTTTAAAGGAATGCTGCCAGCCTGGGCAGCATTCATCATCAACAAGCTGAAGCGCATTTGGGCCCTAAATGCCAGCAGCGATACACAGGTACACATCAAAGGCCTTGGGTGAGACTGTGAGACTTGCAGACTTCAGGTGAGACTCAACACATTTCCAGCTGTGGCAGCTATGGGGCAAGATTTTTTTCCGCTTGAGGAAAGCTGAGAGAAAAGTAAGGGGATTTGTCTTGCAGCTTAAGTGCCAGCTTGGCCACAGGTGGGTAAAGCATGAAGTGGGCTCTTGGAGTCCCTGATTCTAGAACGTGGTTCTTGAATGGCATTTCTGGACCTGCCCTGGGCCAGAGAGGAACCCACTGACCAGAAGGGTGAGTCCCAGGCCAAGCAGCATTTACCACAAGGTGACTTCAAAGCCCTTGGGCCTTAAGAGAATATCAACAGTAGTCTGGCAGTATTCCCCATGGGCCTATGGTGGTGGTAGCCACAGAGTGAGGCTCCTCTGCCTTTAAAAAGGGGAGAGAAGAGTGAGAAGAACTGTATCTTGTGATTTGAGTTTCAGTTTAGCATCAGAACAATAGAATACCAGGTAGACTTCTAAAGTTGTTGACTCCAGTCCCTGCCTTTTGAACAGCACCTCTCAACCCTCCCAGGGCCAGCACCTCTAAAACTCTCTAAGAGCCTAGGGGAACTCATCACCCAGAAGGGAAAGACACAGGCCTGGCTTGTGCTGCCATCTGTTGATTGTAGAGCCCCAGGACCTTGAGCAAACAAAAGTGGTAGCCAGGGGGTTGTTACATCAGGCCTTGGGTGAGACTCAGGGCTGTGCTGGCTTTAGGTCTGACTCAGCACAGTCCTAGTGGTGGTGGCCACAGGGGTTCTTGTGTCACCCTATCCCCAACTTCAAATTCAGAACTGAGAGGGAGAGAGACTCCATCTGTTTGAGGAAAGCAAGGGAAGAGAACAAGAGTCTCTGTCTGGTAATTCAGAGAACTCTTCTGGATATTGTCCAAGACAATCAAGGTGATAACTCTACAAGTCTGCAAGAACCACAGCATTAGTGGGCTTCGGGTGTCCTCCAAAGCAGATAAAACTTATATCAAAACATCCATGTCCTCGTAGATATCTGTAAAGCCTTTTCAAGGAGTACTAGTACCAACAAGCCCAGACTTGCAAAGACTACAATATACCTAATTCTTCAATGCCCAGACACTGACAAACATCTAGTAGCATAAACACCATCTGGAAAATCATGACCCCACCAAATGAACAAAATAAGGCACCAGGAACCAATCCTGGAGAAACAGAGATATGTGACCTTTCAGACAGAGAATTCAAAGTAGCTGTGTTGAGGAAATGCAAAGAAATTCAAGATAATGCAGAGAGGGAATTCAGAATTCTATCAGAAAAATTTAACAAACAGATTCAAACAGTTTTTAAAAAGCAGAAATTCTGAAGCTGAAAAATGCAATTGGCATACTAAAAAATGCATTAGAGTCCTTTAATAGCAGAATTGATCAAGCAGAAGAAAGAATTAGTGAGCTTGAAGACAGGCCATTTAAAAATGTACAGTCAGGAGAGAAAAGTAAAAAAAATTAATAAAAATAATGAAGTACAACAACAGGATCTGGAAAACAACTTCAAAAGGGCAAATCTAAGAGTTATTGACTTAAAAAGGAATACAGAAAGAGATGGGGTAGATAGTTTATTCAAAAGGATAACAGAGAACATCTCAAACCTAGGGAAATATATCAATATCTAATTACAAGAAGGTTATAGAACACTAAGCAGATTTAAACCAAAGAAGACTACCTCAAAGCACTGAATAATCAAATTCCCAAAGGTCAAGGATTAAAAAAAAGATTCTTAAAAGCAGCAAGCAAAAAGAAACAAATAACATACAAAGGAGATACAATAGGTGTGGCAACAGACTTTCCAGAGGAAACCTTAGGACCAGGAGAGAGTAGAATGACATATTTGAAGTGCTGAAGGAAAAAAAGTTTTACCCTGGAATAGTGTGTCCAGTAAAAATATCCTTCAAACATGAGGGAGAAATGAAGACTTTTCCAGAAAACAAAAGCTGAGTTCATAACGGCAACTTTTAAATTGTTAATGTTTTCACAGTCATTAAGAAAACATTTATGATTCTGAAAACTGGTAATTTATTTATTCTCCTCTTTCTATGTAAATTTTATCTGTCTTGTACATTCAGGATTGCCTTAATTAAGGAAGTAAAACTTTGAATTTTTAGAGAGAAAAAAAGGGAGGGAAGCAGGGAGGAAAGAAAAGAGGGAGAAAAGACAAGGCAAAGGAAAGGAAAAGAAAAGACAGCTAAGCGGGAAGAACGAGTGAAACAAGACTCCACTACTATCTAGAAAAAGTGATGACAACATTGCTAAATTTTTTCATTCCGATACTTCACAAAGTCAGAGATAAAGAAAATATTCTAAATGTTTCCAGGTAAACAATAGAATGGGAATCAGAATAACGTGCAATTTCTCCAAAGCAGCAGATCATGCTAGAGTATAAAGGAAGCATAACTTCAGCGTTCAGAAGAAAAATTATTTATAACCTAGAATTTTAAAGAAATCAAATTATTAATCATGTGGAAAAAAATTGCCAAAGAGCAGTCAGCAAAAAGAGGGAATGAACAATTAAGAGAAAGATGGAGAGCTTGAATACTGAGTTACTTAAAACAGGAAATCAAAAATAAAAGTCTCAGCAGGACGGCTGAATATTGGGTCTAGAGAGCAAATTGTCCAGACTGGAGCAGGAGGGTGGAGGCCACCAGAAAAGAAGTCTCCAGGGTAAAAAAAGAACTCATGATTATTTAATATGGTTGATTAATTTGATGGATACATAATGGATGTGAATGAGCAAATAGGAATATGAAGTTTTTATTAACTTTAAAAAAATTTACAGGTGTAAAGAAAAAGAAATATAAGCATGGTAAACTAGTTCTTGTATTTGCATGTCCCTCATAAAAAGTCGTTATTGAATTATAAAAAATTTTGTTGGGCCGGGCACAGTGGCTCATGCCTGTAATCCCAGCACTTTGGGAGGCTGAGGCAGGCAGATCACGAGGTCAGGAGTTCAAGACCAGCCTGGTCAACATGGTGAAACCCCCGTCTCTAGAAACAAATATAAAAAATTAGCTGGGCACAGTGGTATGTGCCTGCAGTCCTGGGTACTTGGGAGACTGAGGCAGGATAATTGCTTGAACCTGGGAGGCAGAGGTTGCAATGAGCCGATATCATGCCATTGCACTCCAGCCTGGCCAACAGAGTGACATTCCATCTCAAAAAAAAAAAATTATGTTATATCATCAAGAATGAAGGGAAGGGGAGGTGTTTAATAAATAACTTAATATTCATTTACTGTAATGGGAAATTGATTAATATGATTAAAACTGATACTGAGAAATATAAGGATAAATTTTCAGAGAAATCGTTTAAAAAATTAGAAGGTTGTTGTGGATGAAATACCTAAGTCATGGTAGGCAAGAGACTGTAGTTTTTGGAATTCACCTTTTAGTACTATTTTTAAATCGTATTGTAAATATACATTAAAAAATAAAAAGGAGCAAAAGCACAGAGACGAGTTTGAAGCTAATGATATTGTTCAGGTGAGAGATGAAATTATGTACATGTGGTGTAAGTGGAGAGATTTGGCACATTTAAGATAGACTTCAGAGACTAAGTTGACAGATATCATGAAAGTTTGGTTGTGATAGGAGACAGAGTTGTGTGGGGTTCTCTTAATTTCTGCCTTGCCCAGCTGGTTGGAGGATGTGACCATCATAATGGAGAAGACCAGGGGAGGACCATGTTTAGTGGGAAATTCAAGACTTGTGCTTTGATCATGTTGAATTTGAGATGTCTTTGCAACATTTAAGTAATTATGTGAAGTAGGCAGTTGCACATGTGAGACTGGAGAGCAGGGAGGATATCAGAGGTGGAAATATACATTCTGAGCCATCTTCATATTGATGAAATTAAAGGCCAAAAAAAAAAAAATAGATGAGGTCACATAGAAAGAAAGAATAGAGTGAATAGATATTTTATATATAAATGTTATAGAACCCTAACAATAGACTTTAGGTAGAAGCATAAGAGTCTTCCTCAATTATAACTTATAGCTTTTTAGTTTGATTGCCTTTTAAAATGTCCATCTTCCCTCCTGAGACAGAAGTGTACGAACTAGAACCGTCTTGTTTTTGTTGTACAAACGGGCTAGAAATAGACCTCTCTGTGTATGCATGTACATGTGAATGTATGAGCATAAATGTACAAAAAGGAGACATAAGAAATCAGTTAGAGAAGAGTTTGTCAATAAATGCTTCTGGGACTACTGGTTAGCCATAAATCAAATTTTAATTCTCACTTTATAACATTATAAAATAAATTCCAGTTGGTTGCTGTATATTAAAAATCAAACTATGAAAAATGAAGGAAATACAAATTTTGTCTACAAATATATATCTAAATGACAGGAAGATATACATTTTAACATGAATGGAAGAGATAGTTACCCAGTTGTCCCACGGCTACTGAACAATCCTTTATTTCCTTGTTATTTGTGATGCCCTTCTTATTTTATATGAGAGTTTACTTTTGAACAATCTGATTTGTTCTGTTGGTTTGTTTATTGATTCTTGATTTAAAACCAAACTGTTATCATTATTGGAATTTTATCATATATTTTAATATATAACACATAAGGTATTTTTTTTATTTTCTAGAAAAATCTAGAATATGAAAAAATTTTAAATTCATTTTGCCAGGTTCCCAAAGAAGTTCTCCTGAGTGTTTATTTGAATTAAATTAGTTTATAAATATTTTTTAGAGAAACAGCCAAATAAAGTTATATCTTTAATATGCCATATACTAAATAAATTCCAGGAAGAATCAAGAGTCAAGTTGCAAAAATTTAAAATATCAAAAAAGGAAGGAGGAGGAAAATAGGGAGAAGGAGAAGAAGAGAAATAAGAAAAGGAGAAAAAGAAATATTGGTTAATAGTAGACTGGATTAAAAAAGAAATTCTGGATGAAATGCATGAAAGAGATCATAGAAAAAATAAGTAAATATGAGTATATTAAATTAAAATATTTATAAATATCAGAAACAAATACTAAGACTATCAACCCACAGAAGAATTATTTGCCACAAATAGTTGTGATGTCTTTTCTCTGTAAACAATGATATAAATAAGAAATAAAACAGACAAAACAAAAATGACAATTCATAAAAGTAAAAATGGTCAATAAACACATAAAATATTGGTACAGCTTACCATTACTCAAAAATAAAACAATGTCATTATTAATATGTTTTAAAATGTTTAATGAGTGTTAATATGTAAACTGTAGTTATATATAATACATAGCCAATAACATGGTTGATGCCTTCAAGAATGAAAAGGAACTTAATTATGCTTCTGGCTAAAGTAGACCTTAATCTACTCTGTCCAATTTGTTATAAGTCACAATTAATTATTCTGCAAAATAGAATATTTTGTAGGTGAGCCTCTTTGCATGTGTGTATGTGTGTGTCTGTGTCTGTATATGTCTGTGTATGTGTGTGTGTGTTCCTTTTCATTTTTTTTCATTCTTGCAATCTTATCTAAATAAAACTTCATTACCTTAAATATAAATTACTGCAATTAGTTTGCTTCTAGTCTTTTCCACTCTAAAGTAATCCACATGTGTCTCTCAGGTCAGTTTTCTGAAAGAAAACTATCATTTCACTTTTCTGCCAGGAAATTTTAAATGTTTCAAACACGCTACATAGGATTGGATATAATGTCTTCCATTAACTAGGAAACATTAATCAAAGAAGACTCTTCTACACATTTAAACATTTAACTTTCATGCTATGTTGATTAATTGAGGTTTAGGATAATACTCTCTGACAATTCCATGAGAGTCATGAAAGGTAGTAATAACAGTTACCAGTGAGTTTCCCCGATTCATTCTGGTTGTGGGATTTGGATAAAGATTTGTGAAACAATTTTGAAATTCCATTGATATATTTTTTAAACAAACATAGCCTAATGATTTATAAGCTTACATTTTGTGTAAAATCACATATTAATTTTTCTATGTTCCCTCTTTATGAAAGCATTTTAATAAATTAAAAATAAATTTGCTATAGAGCAAGTTTGTTTAAGAATGTTATAATTCCTCATAATTTTTTTAAGAACATTTATGACCTCCTTATTTCTCAGACTATAAATAAAAGGGTTTAGTAATGGGATTACTATTGCATAAAATATTGCCACTGGTGTATCTTTATCTCCTTCTTCAGATGGTCCAATATACATGAGAAGACAAATGTAAAATATTGAGACAGAGAGAAAGTGGGATGCACAGGTAGAAAATGCTTTACCTCTTCCCTCCTTGGATTTCATTTTGAAAACAGTCAAAAGGATGCAGAGATAAGAGATCAAGACAGTAGCAATGGTAAAGATTTGAATTGGTATTGAAAAGATATATATCATTAGTTCATTAATAGAAGGATCTGTACAGGAGAGTCTATACAGTGGAAGAATATCACAGAAAAAGTGGTGAATTTTATTAGACCTGCAGAAAGTTAACCTTAATAAAAGCCCTACATGAATCATGGAATGCAGGTTTCCAGCTTTGAAGGCCCCTGTGGTCATCCGAATGCAGAGCGTCTTGGACATCATGGTGTGGTACTGCAGTGGGTGGCATATGGCCACATAGCGGTCATAGGCCATTGTCGCCAGAAGAAAGCAGTCTGTGGTTTCAGCAAGACAGAGAAAATAAAATTGTGCCATACATTCATACAGGGAAATAATTCTATCCTCAGAAAAGAAATTCTCTAACATCTTGGGGGTAACAGCACAGGAACAGCAGGAATCCATCAGAGCCAGGTTGCCCAGAAAGATGTACATTGGTGTGAGAAGACGACGCTCTACATAAATTAATGCCACCAGACCAAGATTCCCCACCATGGTGACCAGATAGATGGCAGAGAACACCACAAACAGAAGCGTCTTCAGCTCTGGATAATTTGTAAATCCTATGAGGATGAATTCAGCTGCTAAGGAGTGATTTTCCCTAGCCATTCCTGGCTTCTCTTCTGAGACATAAATTGTAAAGAAATGTAAGATTCCAAAGCAGAATGTTTCTAATTCTCACCCTCTAATTTCCCTGTATACAAAAGGGAAGAAAGTCTTCTTCAAATTATCCTGTGCCATCTCCTAAACACTAGCACACTCACTGTGGGTCAAATCAAGTGAGAAAAAATGTATCATGGATTGTGTACCCAGGGCTTGTCTGAAAATATCTGTGTGAATTCCTAGGGCAGGAAAGCTTTATCTGCATGAATTATCCTATGCCGATGTAAAATCTGTGGTCAGTACATATAATTTTCCATTTCCAAAATTAAGACATTTTCTTATGGTATCTTTTCCTCCAGGAAAAAGTAAACAAGTTTTAAATCGTATCCTATTGGATCAATGTGACGCTTAAAATGAATTACTCTTAAGGCATTTTAAATGTCTACATTTTAAAAACTGCACAGAAACACAGTGATTTGAAGAATGCTTTTGCTAGCTTAGTAACCCTTTCCAGATAAGGTCACCAATTGCATATTTTATGAGATATCTACTCATCCTTTTAGAGAGGATAAGAATATGAAACATCTATGAGTGTTCTTAATCATTGTATTGGATATCATTTTTATGTTCATTTCAACATATTCTAGATACTATTCCAATCTTGGTATGACAAATTTCCCAAGGAGTTATTACTCTTAATTGCTCACTTATCCTAATACTTTCTGTCTCTAGTTTTAAGAGTTTTACATGCATGTCCAACATTGTAAGATTTGGTGGCAAAATCTCCACTCATAATGTGAATATTCTTCATGGTAAATATCTATTTTGTATTCACTCAAACATCTCTCATAGAAAGTAATGTCTTCATTTTCAGTGAGTTCTATGGAGGTTCTCCATTTATTTACTTGAGTTTTAAATTTATTTAAATTTACAAACTCATTATCTACTCTTTACTGGCTATATATTTATTTGAGTTTAATGATCAACTAAATTTATTATATAGTTCTTATAGTTTGGCAACTGTACATTAAAATATTTCAGGTACAGAAACAATTTGAGTTTTAAAGAATAATAAAATTAACTTTCTTTTCTTTTAGAAGTTTCTAAAAGTCTTTAGCCTTAGCATACTCCAAACAGACAATTTTGGAGAAGAGCCTACGATAGTTAATTCAAAGCACATTTTTTTTTTTTTTGAGACAGAGTTTCAAGCACTTCTCCTGCCTCAGCCTCCCGAGTAGCTGGGATTACAGGCATGAGCCACCATGCCTGGCTAATTTTGTATTTTTAGTAGAGACGGGGTTTCACCATGTTGGTCAGGCTGGTCTCGAACTCCTGACCTCAGGCGATCCGCCCGCCTCGGCCTCCCAAAATGCTGGGATTACAGGCATGAGTCACCTCGCCCGGCCAGTGAATTACTTTGAAAACATTTTGGTTAGGTTTTCTCTGTTTCTTACTTTTGTTTTTCTATTGACTCACATAATATGATGAGGTTTTCTGGAGTTTTATCACTAGAGGCTTGTAATCAAATGAATACAATAAAATGTCCTTTATATTTTAGGTCTATACCTCTTTTAAAAAATCTTTCAGAATTATATTTTTAAAAAAACTTTGTAAAAGTATAAAATGCTGCTCTTTATCATTATTTTAGTAACATCTAATGGAAAATCAACTGAAAATATTTATCAGGTGGACTGTGGAAAAATGGATTTTATTATCAATAATTATTTTATATAGATCATATTTCAGAATATAATGAGTAAAATCTCATTTTCTCTTCACCAATGTAAAATATAATTTTTGAACTTAATCAAAAATTAATTTGCCTATAGATCGCAGAATTACTGTACAAGGACATCATCAGCCTTATCTGTGTATTTGCTGATAAAATTATGGTACTTTTGAACAAAGAATAGGTCAGACTTATCCACTTACTATGTCTCCTTATGGCTTTCTATAATGGCTTCACTTTAGAGACAAAGAGAATTATTAAGTGGCTAAAATTTAAAAACAATAAAAATACTGAAGTATATTAGAAAATTTATATTCTGCATTTTGATACTATAATATAAATAAATTAGTAAATAAAATTAAGTCCTCATATTTTGAGTTCACTGAGAAACATTTTATAGTAGCTGACTGGTCTCCTGATGTTTTTTCTTTGTAGGGAAATTAAGAATAAAAACATTGGTTTTTAAATCATTAGGGAATAAATTATAAAAATCTAGGACACTCCCTACCAATAGGTTAGTGACAATAGTTATGCAAGTCTCAGGCAAAGTTAAAGTTTTCTATTCTAAAGGGACTTCCTCGGCATTGGCATCAGAGTGTTTCTGCAGAGACTCTAATCTGATGAGCATGGTTCCCCCAGCACCAGTAAATCAAACAGCATATAAAGATGGATGCATTTTGAGATTCGGAAGTTAAATCAAAATTGCTATCACTAAAAACAGCTTAAGGTTCATCTTGATTTTTCACATACTTGGAAACTCTCTCTTTCTCTTACACACAGACACACACACACACACACACACACACACACACACACACCCCTTGATTACCTGAAAACTATGATGGAGAGAAAAAGATTTACATTGATCAGTTGAGGTGGAAGTTAAACAGAGATTTGAAGAGAGATTTGTATTTGTGGACAAGAGGCAAAAATGTGGCAGGATCACCCAGGGTTGTATTCCTTTCTTTTGCTCCCCAAATTAATCTGGTCAAATCTTGTACATTCATCCTCTGAAGTAAGTCTGACATTATGTTCTTCAGTTTCACTTATTTGTCATAAGGTAACTTTAAAAAACTTAATTGAGGTATGATTTATGTGCAAAAAGCTATACACATATAATGTATACAACTTGATAAATTGGGACATAAGTATACACCCACAAAACTATTACCATAATCAATGCCATCATCATAAGATAACTTACTTGTTAATTGGTCTCCTATCCCCATCTTTTCTCTAGTGTGTAGATATGCTCTTATGCATTAGAAATATTTTTGGCTTCTCATTAGTCTTCAAACCAAGTTTTGTCCTTTATCTTGGTACTCCAAGGGCTCCATACAGAGGGCTTATATCACTTAAGGCTATTTTCTACCATTCACCTTTAAGAATCCATCTCCAGAGACACGCCTATAACTTATCTATTCCTTGATGTGTTAGAGTTTAACCTTGACCTCAGAATATTTACTCAGAATCTACTCTTCACATGAAATGCCCTCTTTGATTTATTCTTCTATCCAAATCTTACTCAATTTTTATGAGATCTGATTCTCATTATGAAGACATCCTCAACTTTCTGATCTGCAAGATAATGACTGTTTGTGTGATGCAAAGAGCTCTTAATTGTACTTCACTCCTGTGTTCATTCAGCTGTTCTTCATGTGCAAGTTTTGTTTATTCTTAGATTGATTTTCTTTTTGGTTTTCCACACTGCAAATCCCTCATAGTTCCAGAAAATGTAGGCCGTCGGTGAATGCTTATTGAATTGCTTGCAGAAATTTCAATTAAATTAACTTCAACATTATAGAGTGACTACAATAGAGAAGTCATGGAGTAAGACATTGCGCAAGGAGGGGTATGTGGTAGGAGTGAGTTAGGGCAGGAACCTGAATAGATAAATAAGAAATAATCCTGCCCTTAGAGAGCTCCCAATCTAGAGGATAAAATCACTTATACAATGATATAATATAGAAACTCAGGCTGAGTTAAGTATTACAAACTGAACTATAAGCAAGGTATATGAGAACACAAAGAAGGACTTAGAGAACTAAGAGAAGACATTATACAAAATGACATTTCTCATGATTCTTGAAGGATAAATTAAATTTCAATAGGCAAGAAGAATGTGTAGCAAAGAATTACAGGTTGAAGGAGCGGCATGATTAGAAGTAAAAGCATGGAAACTTGAAAGCACAAAGCATATTCAGTGAATGGAGAGTGAACCAGAGTAGCCAGAGTCTGGGCTCATGACAGGAAGGAGTTGGAGGTTCTCATCGCCACTCTCTCACTAAGATCACTACTCAACTCCTAATTACCACACCTAAAGCATTTTTTTAAATTATTATCTTAACTAATTAATTTTATGATTTGGCACCATTGACCACACTCTGAAGCATATTTGCTTCTCAGGCTTCTGTGATTTAATGCTTGTTTATTGCTACATCTCGGGCTGTTCTTTCTCCATGTTTTCTCTTAGATCCTCTTTTCTTCCTTTCCTCACACGCACAAATTCCTTAAAATAAAAGTACAACCTTGGGTACTTTTACAAAATTATGGCACTTTGTTTTAAATACTAGACACTAATTTAGAAAAGGCTTGCCTGATATTTAGCCAGTAAATCACCATACTCTCTGATGTCAATCAGTTGTTTTGTAAGAAAATTAAAAAGTGTAAGCAAATTAAAAATTTTTAAATTTGAAAAACAAGTTCAAATTTCTCTTAAAATATGTGGAATATTTTTATGAAGGTGGAAACATTGTGTTTCCAAATTTTTTAAAAAATAAGCAAACATGAGAGTTTTTAGTATGTTATCAGATAATTTTTGCCCAGAGTATTATATGAGGATATAGAAAAACATACTAAACATGTTTCAAGATTTTATCTGTGTTGCACAATTTCATATTGATAGTAGTTACAGTTCACTTAGTTAAATATCATACTGACATCAAAGGACAAAATAAAGGTTTTAATCATTTAAAAATATTTGTTGAGTAGCTACTTATCATCAGAGAATGGATTAGCAAATTTAGAAAACCTATCTTTTATTAGAAGAAAAATATATAATTCATCCTAAATTCAGCAATTGTTTTAAGTATTGACATGATTCCCAGTGAACCTCCGTGTGGCATGTGGTCACTCATTGTAAGATATCATAAAGTTTCTAGTATTTTAAATATCATATTTATTTTAAAAAACTAATCACATCAGTGACATGCATTTCATGCACTCCTGGTGTCAGTTTCTTTGCTGTAATACCTTGCCTATCAATGATGAAAATAGTTATTTTCAAATGGAGTGATACCTCTACTTGTTCTATTCATTGATTCATCATGAAAGTTTTTTAATGATAAATAAACACATTTTACTTTGTTGCCACATTGCTTTTCTGCATTATTTCCACTATTTTTTAGTCCAGTGTAGGTATTTTTACTAAGGAAGAATAAGCATTTCTCTAGTGATAAATTGCTTTTTCACTTTTAACTAAATAACATGAGTAGTAACCCTTTTAACTTAAAAAATTGTAATTGATGCATAATATTTTTTCATAGTCATGGGATACATGTGATATTTTCTTACATGCATAAAAAATACTTAATGATCAAGTCAAGATTTTTAGGATATCCATCACCCTGAGCATTTATTTCAATGTGTTAAGAGCACTTCAAGTCCTCATTTCTAGCTATTTTGAAATATGTGATACATTGTTGTCAACTATAGCCACCCTGTTCTACTATTGAACATTAGAACTTATTCATTCTATCTGACTATATGTTAGTACCCTTTAATCAACCTCTCTTCATCCCCTGCATTCCCCAATTTCTTTCCAGACTCTGGTAACTATCATACTCTCTACCTTTATAATATCAATGTTTTTTTAGCTCCCACATATGAATAAGCACATGCAATATTTCTTTTTCTGTGTCTGGTTTATTTTACTCAACATAATGAGCTCCAGTTGCAGCTGCGTTACCGCAAAGAACAGAATTTCTTTGCCTTTTATGACCAAATAGTATTCCATTGTATAAATATACCACATTCTATTTAACCATTCAGCCATTAATGGACACTTAGGTTGATTCCATAGCTATTGTTAATAGTGCTGCAATACAAATGAGGGCATAGATATCCCTCTGATATACTGATTTTCTTTCCTTTGGAAAAATACCCAGTAGTGGGATTCCTGGATTGTATGGTAATTCTATTTTTAGTTTTTTGAGAAACCTCCACACTGTTTTCCATTATGGAAAACAGTTCTAATTTACATTCCCACTAACAGTGTAGAAGACTTCCCTTTTCTCTTCATTTTTGCCAGTATCTGTTATTTTTGTCTTTTTGATAATAGCGATTCTTGCTGGGAAGATTATATCTCACTGTAGTTTTGATTTGAATTTCCTTGATGATTCGTGATGTTGAGCATTTTTTAATATACCTGTTGGCCATTTGTACATCTTCAAATTCTCTGCCCATTTTTAATGAGATTTTCTTTTGTAGGGTTGTTTGAGTTCCTTGAATATTCTGGATATTATTTCTTTGTTGGATAAATAGTTTGCAAATATATTCTCCCATTCAACAAGTTATCTCTTCACTTTGTTGATTGGTTCCTTTGCTATGCAGAAGCTTTTTACTTAGATGTGACCCATTTGTCTATTTTTGGTTTTGCTGCCTGTGCTTTTGGGGTTTTGGCCATAAAATCTTAGTGTAGACCTATGTCCTGGAGTGTTTTTCCTTTGCTTTCTTCTATGTGTTACCTTTAAGTTTTTAATCCATTTGAGTTGACTTTTGTATATGAGGAGAGACAGGGGTCTAGTTTGATTCCTCTGAATATGGATATTCAGTTTTCCCAGGACCGTTTATTGAAGAGGGTGCCCTTTTCCAAATGTATGTTCTTGGCACCTTTATTGAAAATCAATTGGTTCTACATACATGAGTTTAATTCTGGTTCTCTAGTCAGTTCCATTCATCTGTACATCTGCTTTTTTATACCAATACCATGCTTTTTGGTTGTGATAGCCTTGTAATATATTTTGAAGTCTGGTAATGTGATGCCTCCAGCTTTTACACTATTTGTTTTCCTCTTAGGATTGCTTTGGCTATTTGGGCTCTCTTTTGGTTCCATACAAATTTTAGAATTGTTTTTTCTATTTTTGTGAAAAATGTCATTGGTATTTTGATAGGAATTGCATTTAAGCTGTGGATTGCTTTGGTAGTATGGTAATTTTAACAATATTAATTTTTTTAATCCATGAGCATGAGGTGTCTTTTCGTTTATTTGTGTCCTCTTTAATTTCTTTCATCAGTATTTTGTAGTTTTCTTTGTAGAGATCTTTTGCCTCCTTGATTAAATTTATTCTTAGGTATTTTATGTTTCTTGAAGCTATTGTTTGTAAGATTCCCCTCTTGATTTCTTTTTCAGTTAGTTATTGGTGTATAGAAATGCTACTAATTTTTGTCTGTTGAGTTTGTATCCTACAACTTTACCAAACTCATTGATCAGATCTAAGTGCTTTTTGGTGAAGTCTTCAGGGTTTTCTAAATATGAGATCCTGTCATCTGCAAAGAAGGCCAATTTGACATCCTCTTTACAATATGGATGCCTTTATCTCCTTCTCTTGCCTTACTGTTCTGGCTAGGACTTCTAGTATTATGGGTTTTCAAAAATTTTTAATTTTAGTTTTTATTTTAAGTTCCCAGGTTCATGTGCGGGGCTTAGTATATGTTAAATAGGAGTGCTGAAAATGAGCATCCTTATCTTGTTGCAATTCTTAGGGGAAAGGCGTTCAGCTTTTTTCCATTCTGTATGATGTTAGCTGTGGGCTTGTCATATATGGCCTCTCCAGACAAAGCTGTCTGGCTTGCTTCCCTCTCCTTTGGTACCTCCTGTGTTTCCTCCTGTTACTTCTCTACTGAATTCCAGCATTATCTCTTAGATATACTATTTGAAATGTAATTATCTACTCACTATTTTAGTTCTTCATTTTGAAGGAGGCTGCTGAGTGGTGCCTCCAGTCAGTCATTATGAAGTCCCTCCTGGGCTTCTTAACATTTTATCGTTTAGTTAAATTAAATTTGTAAAATCATTAAATGAGTAGGGCATAATGATAGTTGGCATTTATCAAACAGTTGCATTTCTCTAGGCACTCTTGTAAGAAATTAAGTTTACTAACTCATTTAACCTTTATAATAGTCCTGTACAGTAGGTTATATTTGAGTTTTGTAGATGAGGAAGCAAATGCACAGAGATGTTGAGAAACTACCTCAGGTTCCTTACCCAGTAAGTGAAAAAAAACTGTATTTGAACCCAGTGGGTTTTATTCCAGAGTCCAGAGTCTGTGCTCTTAAGCACTATAATATATTTTTTGTTGTTGTTGTTAAATAGAACTCTGGATTCTGAACCCACAGTAACCCTTCTAGGAAACCAACCCCTTGTCTACAATAAACAGCCTAGGAAGTCACCCAGCCATAAGTCAGACTGGCAGGAAACCAGATTGCTATTTTTGGTAACAATTCAGGAAGCTACACAATAACTTTTGTAACGATCAGCTGGAAATGATCAGGACTTGATTAATAAATGTCAGCTTTCTAATTTTTGTTTTCACTTCCAATTTAGGATGATCCGGAGAATACCAAATATGCACCCCTCATCAGTCACATTGCATAGGCTGTCCCAATCCAGTTAGCATGGCTACATCTTCCCCATGGCAGCAGCCTCAAATCAAGGCACACATGAAATCTTCCTTTTTCTCCACTCCTCTGTCTGCATTTGAGTCTCCGGCAAGACACAAGTGATGGTGGCTGACTCTCTTGCTATAGCAAGCTATGAATATATAGCCTTTGTCTTCCTCATCTATTCATTTTTAAAAATTATTTTCATAGGACAATCACTAATGCTAGGAGACATTAGGAATCTACTTTGTATCTGGCCTAGGCATAAACTAGAGAATAAGTCCCATGACTAAATTTGGTTAACTAAGAATAATCAGTTGGACCTTATCTTAATTGACTGATGGTAACATTTTTCCTAAACTTTCCACCTAGGCATCAGTTATTGTCTTGCCTGGCCGATAAATAATTAAAACCTTTCTCTTATTTAGAACTCTTACAGTCAAGAAAGCCATGCTAGTGTCTAGGTGTGTTGCATATGTACTGGTAAATTATCACTTCAGGCCCTCAATGAGTAACCAGAAGATATGTTTTATATACATGGAAAGGCCAGTCAATATCAACAAAATAAACATTTTGCACTGGAAAGCATTGAAAGGCCATCTGATTACAGAAAGATAGTGTTGTGGGTATATTCTCAGAGGATAAAAAAGTAACCCTTCGGTAGCAATTGCAGTCTGAATTAAATCAGTGAGTCTGATTTCTAAAATTCTTTATGCAAAAAACAAAAAAAAATGGCCCTGTTGAGGCACGTAGATGCCTTGGAGTTAATCCTGATTAGAAAGCACACGGGCTGGTAAACAAATCTGACAGATGAAAACATTAACAGCCATGGAAAATTTTTAAGAATGAAATTAATGAGTCCAAAGAGTTTAAAGAAATAAGGCAGCTTAGGGAAGACTAAAAAGCACTAGGAATTATTTTTGAGGCTTTACCGAGATATAATTTATGTATAGTAAATTCATCCATCTTAAAAGTACAATTTGGTAAGTTTAAGAAACTGTGTGCAGTTGTGCCACTACCATAGCCAAACTTTAGGACATTTTAATAATCTCAAAAAGTTCTCAAATGTTTCTTCGCAGTCAATCTCTGCCCCTAATCTGCTTCCAGGCATCCATTAATCCTGTCTGTCACTATAGGTTTGTCTTTTCTAGAATTTTATAAAAATGGAAACATACGGTTTATAGTCTGTTGCGTCTGGCTACTTTTATTTAGCCTACTCCTTCAAAATCCATCCATATTGTGGAATGTATCAGTAACTTGTTGCTTTTCCTTGCCGAGTACGACTATCCTTTACCAACCATATTTGCTGGAGCTGGCTCCAGGGAACACATCTCCTTCTTTGGATGTCACCATGATAAACTTTGTCAGTAGAGGGCGCTGGAGAGACACTGCAGGACAATGAGTGTTCTCTAGTTTTCTTGCACTTTCTCTCTTTTTGCTGCAGTAACCGAACTACCTGTGGCTACCTATGGCATGCATCAGGAATCCTCAGTGACTCTCACCCTCCAACAAATTTTGTTGCTAAAATCACCTCCGTTATAGGCTTACCAATTGACAATCCTGGCCCACAGCGTCGCCTTTGCTTGCCTCAGCTAGCTGACTTTAGATGAGCTCTGGCACAAGAGGACCCAGCCAACTTCGCCATACAGTAATCTGCAGATCTTGCTCTCTCCAACAAGGTCTGGATCTCAACGGTGGGAAGGAAGTTTTGCTTCTAAGTTTGTCTCTTCTTTGGGTAGGTTTTCTCAACCTCAGGCTATTATTTAGCGTTGTCTTTTAATTTCCTCCTATCTCCTAACTTCTCCTCTGTTTTCTAACTGAAAACTTACTGATTCAGATTTGGAGCTGGGAGCTGTCCAAGATGATAGACTTCTCAATATGGGATCATGGAACAGATTTGGCCCTTGGGCTTGAGCCCTGTGCTGAGACTGAGATCTTTAATAATGGCTGGTTTGTTGTTGTTGTTGTTGTTGTTGTTGTTGTTTTGAGATAGGGTCTCAGTCTGTTGCCCAGGCTGGAGTTCACTGGCACAATCCTGGCTCACTGCAGCCTCCGCCTCCTGGATTCAAGTGATTCTCCTGCCTCAGCCTCCCAAGTAGCCAAGATCACAGGCATGCACCACCACACCCAGATAATTCTTGGATTTTTAGTAGAGATGGGGTTTTACCATGTTGTCTAGGCTGCTCTTGAACTCCTGACCTCAGGTGATCTTCCTGCCTCAGCTTCCCAAAGTGCTGGGACTATAGGCATGAGTCACCACACCAGGCTGATAATGACTGATGCTAATTCATAGCGTAGCAACATCACAGTTAATCAAGCTAACACCTGTAGTAGCAATTGAAGCATGTGCCTTGGAAATCCAACTGGCTAGTTCATTTGGCCAATAATGACTTCAAGGACTGTGGTGCGGGATAGATTCTCAGTGCACTAGAGTGCTTACAGAAATAAAATGGCATATACAGGTCTTTGCCTCTTAACTGAAATCACAGCCTGATGGGATGTCAACAAGAGGGCACAATAGGAAGCCCTAGACCCTCCTCATGGACACACGGATTCAACAACAATACACAGACCAATTTCCTTTGTAAGAAATCCAGAGACTAGTTGAGAGGTTTCTGTAGCCCAGGCAAGCATAAAACTGCCACGTTGAAGCCAGTAGGAAAGTTCGAGACAGCCTCTTGCCATAATCCCTGCCCCTGGCACAGCACTATGATTAGGGAGAATCCTCAAGCTCCCCACTTCTCCCTGGGGAAGTAAGATAAGAACTATACTGATGTTCAATTTTCTGATTTCTCTGGGGGCTGCTTGAGGCACTAAGTGTTGGTTTTCTGAAAAGACAAACCAACTGAGAAAACTTTAGCTAGTCTTACTAAAAGAAGAAAAGGGAGCATGAAGACAAAGAAAATGTAAATGAAAGAGGAGACTTTAAAACTGATGCCACAGAAATACAAAAAGATCATGAGACTACTATGAACAATTTCACATATATAAATTGGATAACTTAGAAGGAATGGATAAGTTTCTACAAACATACAACTTACCAAGAGTGAGTCATGAAGAAATGAAAAGTCTGTACAGACCTATAACAAATAAAGAAATTGAATCAGTAATCAAAAATCTTTTAACAACAACAACAACAAAAAACCCAGGACCAGATGGTGTCACTGATGAATTCTACCAACTGTTTAAAGAATAACTAATGCCAGTCCTTCTCAATCTTTTCCAAAAATCAGAGAGAAGGAAACACTTCTAAACTCATGTCAGGCCAGTATTACTCTAATACCAAATCCAGACAGAAACAATACAAGAAAGAAAAGCTGCAGGCCAATATTGCTGATAAACATTGATGTAAAACTCCTCAACCATACACTAGCAAACCGAATTCAATAACATATTTAAAGGACCATACACTGTGACCAAGTGACATTTATCCCTGGGATGCAAGGATGGTTCAACATACAAAAATCAATTAATGTGATAAACCATATTGATAGAACAAAGAAGAAAAATCACGTGATCATGTCAATAGATGCAGAAAAAACATGCGACAAAATTAAGCATTTTTTCAGGGTAAAAACTCTCAACAAACTCAGGATAGAAGGAAATTACTTCCAGCTACTCAAGGGGCTGAGGTGGGAGGATCGCTTGAGCTCGGGAGGCGGAGGTTGCAGTGAGCCATGATTGCACCACTGCACACCATCCTGGGTGACAGAGGGATACTCTGTTCCAAAAGAAATAAAAATAAAAGAAAGAAAGAAAAGAAATTGAACCCTTATCTTAAACCATCTACAAAAATCAACTCAAAATGAATTAAAGACTTAGATGTAAGACCAGAAACTGTAAAATTCCTAGAAGAAAACACAGGGGAAAAGCTTCATGGCATTGGTCTTGGCAATGATTTCTTGGCTATGACACCAAAAGCACAGGCAATTACTGTCCGATGCTGAGGCCTCCAGTTACATCCACATTACTGCAAATACATGATTTTGTTCTTTACGGCTGTGTTGTATTCCATGGTATATATGTACCATATTTTCTTTATCAAGCCATCGTATCAAGCCATCGTTGGTGGGTACCTAGGTTGATTCTATGCCTTCGCTATTGTGAATAGTGCTGTGATGAACATACGAGTGCATATGTCTTTTTGGTAGAACTGTTTTTTTTTTTTTTCTTTTGGAGGAAGAACCCCATCTATGGGATTACTGGTCAAATGGTAGGTTCTGTTTTAAGTTCTTTGAGAAATCTCCAAATTACTTTCCACAGTGGCTGAACTAATGTATTCCCACCAACAGCGTATAAGCATTCCCTCTTCTCCACAGCCTCTTATGATTAAGCAATTCAAAGGAAGTATAGCAATGGGCTCATGACCATAAAATTAACTTGTCTTACTCCATTACCTGGAAGCAACGGGCCTACATGAAAGATTCAATTCTTTCTGAAGACTCGGTTACATAATAAATTGGAGACAACACCCTCAAAGTATGAAATTTTGTCTTACATGATTGATTATATTCTTTTAATTAAATTCTGTTATATAGTGCAATCTCCCCATAGCCAGAATACATGAGTCCAGAAATAATTGGATAGAACCACAAATGGGCAGGTCCTCTCACTATTTTCCCAAATAACCTACACACAGAATTTTGGAATTTTGCTCTGGCAACTAAGCTCTGGTATTTTGGAGGTCTTGGTCTCTAAGATGGAAATGCTTCCATCAGGGATGAAACAATGCTTCCATTGAACTAGAAATTGAGACTGTTGCCCGACCATTTTGGGTTCTTCATGCTACTGAACCAACAAGTTAATTAAAGGGCTATTATACTGACTTGAGTAATTGATCCTGTTTAGTAGAGAAAATTGGATTGCTACTCTACAATGGAGACAGAGATAGCTACTTTGAAACACATGGGATTCTCTGGGGCTGCTCATAGCATTTCCTTCCTTATAGTAAATTTTAATGGAATATTATAGCCACCAAATAAATGAATGGCTATTAAGGACTCAGACCCCTTGGAAATTAAGGTTTACAGCACTCCACCAGGAAAAGAATTCCAACTAGGTGAGGTTTTGTTTGATGGCAAGGGAGACTTAGAATGTGTAAGCGAAAGGAAAAGGTCACAGATATCGACTTTAGCCTCATGACCAATTACAGAAATGAAGACTAGTGTCTTTACCCACTTTCTTTCTATGTGTTGTATTAGTTCATTGATAAATGCTGATAAAGACATACCCCAGAATGAGCAATTTACAAAAGAAAGAGGTTTAATTGGACTTACAGTTCCATGTGGCTGGAGAAGCCTCACAATCATGGCAAAAGGCAAGGAGGAGAAAGTCACATCTTACATAGATGGCAGCAGGAAAAAAATGAGAGAGCTTGTGCAGGGGAATGCCTCTCTTTAAAACCATCAGATCTCATGAGACTTATTTACTATCATGAGAACAGCATGGGAAAGACTTGCCCCCATGACTCAATTACCTCCCATCAGGTTCCTCCCACAACACATGGGAATTCAAGATGAGATTTAGGTAGGGACATAGCCAAACAATATCAGTGTTATACTTATGTGTTTATTGGTATATGCTAACCATTTTCTTCTCTGTTTTTCTCATTAATCTTTTACATAGAAACTGTTGGAAGAAAACTTTTCCATTTAGTCTTTAGGCAAAAGAATATTCAATGGGACCATGACTGAATTTTAAGAGTAATTAATACAGCTGGCAACAAATACAATGACTTTTGGGATGGTACCTCTTCTCCTATCTTGTCAGGCAGAGATATAGAGTTGCTTTATTGCTGTACAGTTGTCCAAATGCACACAGTAAGGTGCACATGGAAGCTGAATAGCCAAAGTGATAGACTAGGTTTCTCAGTTTCAAATTCTCCCTTAATTTCTTTGCTTTATGATACTAGAGCTGAACCCTGTCAACATTCCTTTCTCAGCTGGCAAAATATTAAGTTTTACCAGTAAAATACACTTTAAATATACTTTAGGAGAAAAGGACTTCTCTTACTGGATGTGATGAGCTACTCCTTTTGCTCCCATTGCACACTTTCCAGTGACATGTATGACGGACATGCAGTTACCATCCAGTAACTTTTGTTGTCAACCTTGCCTGTGATGTCCTCACAAGGTATGGTTCTGTGGTCCACCAGCTCCCTGGAAGAAAGGTTCCTGTCATTCCTGGTCTCAGCCTGCAATTCCTGCCACACCAGCCTCAATCAAAGGTTGCTGACAAGCTCTGACCTGCACAATCCAGCAAATTTCTTTATCATCCAGTAGGTAGCAGAAATACACTCTCCAGAAACACCTGATTCACAGCTTTGAGGAAGATCCTTTCCAAGTTTGTTCCTCCCTTAGGAACTGTCCCTCAGCCCTAGGGTATTTTTAGCATTCTCTTTTATCCCCTCTTAAAGGCTAACCTCCTGATAGCAGTTGGGGATTTTTTTTAGCAAAAATTCCCTATTAAAATTACTGAGTGGTTCCTCTGCCCTGACTGGATTCTGACTACCACAGTAATATTCCACTGTATGTGTGGCATGCTACAATTTGCTTATCCATGTACCAGTGAAAGGATATTTCGGTTGTTTTCAATTTGGGGCTATTGTGAATTAAACTACTATCTGCATACAGATGCAAGTTTTTGTGTGGAAATGATCTTTCATTTCTCTTGGTAACACACCAAGAAGTGGGATTGTTGGTTTGTGTGGTAAATGTATATTTAGTATACATTTTAAGTGGCTTCTTGTTTTACAAAGTGGCTGTCCTAGTTTTGCATTTTCAGAATTATGTGAAGATTCCAGTTTCTCCACATTAGTATCAGCACTTGTTATTATTGGACCTTAATTTTAGCTATTCTGGTGGGTGTATAGTGATATCTAATGGTGGCTCTAATTTTTCATAGTCCTAATGAGCAAGGGGTTGAGGATCTTTTCAAGTGCCTTTTGGTTTCTCCTACATCTTCTTTTATGAAGTGTCTGTTCAACTCTTTTGCCCATGTGTTTTCATTTATTTGCCCTTCTGGTATTGAGTTATAAAAATTTTCTATATATTCGGGTTACAAGCTCATTGTCAGACATATATTTTGTAATCTGTGACTTGACTTTTTATATTTTTTAATGTTTAAGGTAATCTTTCAACAAAATTTTTAGTTTTGATGAAGTCCAGTTTAACCCAACTTAACATTTTTTCTCTTATCTTTTATGTTTTTATGTCCTATTTAAAATATTTTCTTAACATCACAAAGATATTCTACTATATTGTCTTCTAAAGTTTTATGATTTGGGCGCCTATGTTTTTTGAATTCATCATCCATATTTTATTTTTTTTTTACTTGACACATGGTAATTGTTCATATTTATGGAGTACATAGTGATGTTTTGATATATACAATGTATAGTGATCAGATGAGGGTCACATTATCCATTTTGAATGCATTTTTGGTCACAAAGTGAGTAAAATTTCAAGGCTAGGTTTTTTTCCAGCTGAATACTCAGTTATCCCAGTACTATTTATTGGAATGTATATCCTTTCTCTATTGAATTACCGTGGTGCCTTTGTAAAAAATCAATTGACAATATGAATGTATATTTATTGCAGGAAGCTATCTTATTCCATTAAAATACATGTGTGTTTTTACTTATTGCAGTAGCAATGATTATTGTAGCTGTAGAGTAAGTCTTAAAATCAGATGGTATATAAATTTTAGAATCAGTTTTTCTACTTCTGTAAAATGTAAAAAGCCCGTTGGGTATTTGACTAGGATGCATTGAATCTACAGATCAATTTCACAAGACTTGCCATCCCAACAATATTAAGTCTTTCAACATTTTTATTTTGATATTACTTGATTTTCCTAAGCAATTTTTGTATTTTTTAAGTGTACCAGATTTTGCACATTTGTTATTAAATGTACTATGGCTTCTACTTTTATATGCTATTATGAATGGTGTTCTATTTTTAATTTCATTTTCTGTTGCTAATATGTAGAAATAGTTGATATTTGTTTATACAGTATTGTGACATTAAATTAACTTACTAGTTTTATATATCTTATATAATTTCTACTTAAGCAATTATGTAATATGTAAATAAAGATAGTTTTACTTCTTTCTTTCCAATCTACATTTGTTTCTCCTCATTGCCTTATAGCACCAAGACCTTGAGTACACTAATGAAAAAAAGTAATGAGAATATTTCTGACCTTAGGTAAAAATCATTTGCTCTTTCACTATTAAGTATGGTCTTGGCTGTATATATTTTTATAGGTGAACTTCATCAGATTGAGGAAGTCTTCTTCTATTCTTAGTTTGCTAAGAATTTTTAATATATTTTGAATTTTGTCAAATACTCTTTAATGCTTCTACTAAGATATTAATATAGTCTCTTGCCGTTATTCTATTGGTATATTATATTATGTTAATTGATTTGATTTTCAGATATTAAATATTCTGACATTTCTGGGATAAGCCTCACTTCATCATGGTGTATTATACTTTAAATAGTGCTGGATTTAATTTGCTAGTATTTTGTTAAAGATTTTTATGATTATGTCCAATGTAAATATTGGTCTGTAGTTTTTCTTTCCTGTGATGTCTTTGTCTAGCTTTGGCATAAAAATAGTACTAGACTTCAAACCTGATACATGAATTGAGTAACTGAAAATCATCTATCAATCCAGTTCAAATATAAAATCCAGCTCAATTAGTTAAGGGCTGAGATCATGAGATACATTTCAAATTCTACTATTAGCAACCTTACTGATAACAAAGAGGCCATATGCTTTGTGTGACTATTTGGATTTTTGCATTAGTATATGGATATATTAGTACATATGAAGTTCTTACTAGTTCAGATACATAAAGGGAGCAAACATAAATCTATACTTAAATTGAGTACAGAACAAAAACTTGTTTTGAGAGCCTCAGAGAGGGCTTTATCTTAAGCAGTGCCATAATGGCCATATGATCCTAAAGCAAAATGACTTTGTAAGGAAAGTATCCCTATATATGCAGACTAGAGTCTTTGGCAAAAGGTTCATGCTGACTCCCAGTGCCCCCCAGCCCTCAGCACTGACTAGTGTGATTTTGCAATCAAATGCTCTACATCTGAGCTGTACCTTTTCATCTAGTGTGATTTTGGATTCATAAGTCTACTGAAGCTAGATACAGTTCCTTCAGGAGTAAATGACTAGTCTGTTAGTGTACTTTGGTGGAGCCAGCTTTCACCACTAAAAGCAATCAAATAATTCTAATACCCCAAATGCCTGTTTTATAATGGGTAATGCCAAAGACACATTCCAGTAAGAGTAGATCACTGACAAAAGGAGAATGGTCATCTCTAGAGGAATATATTGTATCTATGAGGGGTTTGCAGCCTTGTCTTTGGTACTGTCAATAGAACCTCTCAAACGACTGTCAATACCAACTTCTAAAAGGTGTAAACTCTATGATTCTCTCTCTGCCAGGGGAAAACAAGCTGACTTAATTACTAGTGCAAGTCTCTAAACGGAGGAACATGATGCCATTTAGAAGTCTACAACCTTTTCCCCATAGATCATAAAACTAAAACTGGTAGAAAACAGAAATGCAAAAAGAGAATAGACTCCTCCAAAATTTTATGAGGTTTCCACAACCTGGTTATGAGAGAGAAAATGTACAGGAAAGTCTCATTTATGAACATATACATTAAAATACTTAAAAATCAGCAGACTGAACCTTGCATTATACAAAAACTGTAATATTACCAACAAGGTTTCTTCCAATGCTGCTTTGGTGTTTGAAAATGTATTACTATACTTTTCCCCCTTAATAAATTAAAAGAAAATATGCAAAAAATATTGGACACATTTAGTAACATTTATATGATAACATTATTAATAACTTCTAATAGAAAATACATTATTTAATAAAATTAAGTACCAAAAACTTATAGAAAATATCACCTGAATAGTAAAACTTTGAATTTTTCCTTTTGAGATCACGTATGACATGAGGAGGCCTGCTTTTATCACTTCAGTGTTATACTAAATATTCTAGTCAATTCAATAAGACAAAAAGAAAAGAAATATAAGTAAAATGTGTAAGAATCAGAAATGAGGAAAGAAAAATGTAATTTTTGGCAGATGATAAGGCAAGGAATGAGGTTGCAATTTAAAAATACACACAGTTTTAGAGGGCACCAAATGTTCCATGTCTTGATATTTAAGATTATTACATAAGTTTTCACTCCCCAATAATTCATCAAGCTGTTTTTTGTTTACATAATTTTTTATGCATTATATTTGTAATTTGTATTTTTATATTAAATAGAAATTAAATTTTATTTATTGAGAGTGGCTTGGAGATGGCACTGCTATATCCCCTTTTGGATGACCTGAACCTACGACTCATTTAAGAATGGGTCTGTCGGCCAGGCACAGTGGCTCATGCCTGTAATCCTAGCACTTTGGGAGTCTGAGGTAGGCAGATTACCTGAGGTCAGGAGTTCGAGACCAGCCTGGCCAACATAGTAAAACCCCATCTCTACTAAAGATACAAAAATTAGCTGGGCGTGGTGGCACACGCCTGTAATACCAGCTACTCAGGAGGCTGAGGCAGGAGAATTGCTTGAGCCTGAGAGACGGAGGTTGCAGTGAGCCTAAATGAACAAAATGCCAACCAAGTAAAAAAAAATTATGTCAGTGGGGAGGGAAGAAGAGGAGTATGGATTGAAAAGCTAACCTATCAGGTGCTATGCTCACTACCTAGGTGACAAGATTCATTTCCCAAACCTCAGCATCATACAATATCCCCAGGTAACAAACCTGCACATGTGCCCCCTGTATCTAAAATAAAAGCTGAAATTTAAAAAGTGCTCCAACATTCTAGAAAGTCATAAAAGAACCTGCTTATGCACCAGAGTGTTCAATACCTATATATAATGAAAGATTCCACAAGTCCATTTGTCATTAGCCTCTTCTCTGACCTGGAATAAGTGTGTGCTTTCAAGAAGGCTTCAGTGTTGTCAAGAACATTAGAGTGTTCTGACTAGCATTTACTGGGCTCTATTTGCCAGACTCTGCCCTACATATTTCACAATGGTCACCCTTGTACCTCTTCATAACAGAGTTCTACAGAACAGTTCTACAGTTCTACAGGGGGTATTATTCTCACCCCTCCCCACTTACAAACGAAGAAAGAGGCAGAGAGAGTTTCTGATTTAGTCAAGGTTATATGGTTAGTAAGTGGTAGAGCCAGACTTCAAAACCCAGGAGTCTAAGCCTAGAGTTTATGTACTTCAGCACCCTCTTTTGCCGTAATTGATAATTGAGGCTACTTCTGCCCTGTCCATTTCTTGTATGTAATAAGTTCAGGGAGATTAGGGCATGGGGGGTGTAATTAGACGTACTAATGAACTCTTGATACAAGTTTCAGTTAATGTAATCTGTGATCAGCTTTGGATTCAGATAAGGAAAATAAGAGCACTCCTTTGGAGATTTGGTTAGATCCCCTACCACATCTAAGGGATCTCCAGTAAGATGTGCAATAGAGCATGGAGCTAGATATTGTGGGGGAAAAGAATAAGTGCTAAGAATTAGAATGAACAGAGTAGAGTTATAAGAAATTTCAGAGAACAGCCATTATCGCTAGCATCTTGCTCTAATGAGCTTGATAGCAGATGAGGGTGTGTGAATGTGCAGTCAGCTTGGCTTAGTGCCCGAGTAGAGAAGAAATCCTCTTTCCTTCATGCCAAGATTGACTCTTGGGTCTCCTCAGTATTACTTAAACAGTGTTCTCATTTGATGACAGCAATGTTACCCTTCCTAAGAAATCCCTACTGATTCCCTAATAATGTCTGCTGAGTATTGCATGTAAATTATGAATACATATTTACAATTACAGAAGTTTCCCAATTCCCAATCTCTAAGCATCAAACTTTTAATAAGTTCTCTAGTGAAGACTCTCAGATTCACTATGATACTTTGAACAGGGAGTGTTAATTTTCTATGTATGTCCAGGGTTAACAAGTGAATTACAGTATTAATCAGGATACTGTCTCCAGTGACTCTCAGTGGATGGATCATTTTTTCAAAGACTAATGATGATAATCTCAGAAAAAGAAATATTTTAGTCATTTCTGTTCTGAGAAATAAATGAAGATGCCCCTCCCCTTCATTTCATAATAAAATAAGAGAAGAGTCTCTGGGTCCCCTGTATCAGATTTGTTGAAGCTATTTATTTATATATAATACATGAAAAATCAGTATTAAATATTAGGGACTAGCCTCTAATAGCAAACTTTGAGATAATAAATAGATTGAAAGAAACTGGAATAAGCCATTATTCTTAATTTCATGAATGAAAGCCTTGATTTCTTTTCACTTTTAATGTAGTAGGGAACTTTAGTGGGTAAAAGGCATTAGAAAGTGACTATGACTCTTTTCTTCCCTTTTAAACCCCTTCTTCTCTTTCCCAATCTCTAGCTCTAGCACTTGTACTGAATTAAATAGTTCTCTTTTCCTCATCTCCTGTCTCTCTCCCTAGTCTTTTTCTTGGTTCCTTTTCTTAGAACTCTCACGCTCATTCTTTTTTTTTTTTTCCTTCTGTCTTCAGGTGTGGGACTGAAAGTAGGAAGATTCCATGTTTAATCCTGATCTTCCCAACACCTTCAATCTTTATATTAGGTTTATGCTGGGATTTCTTTTTTTGGATGCTTTGGGTTTATCTTGGACTAGATCAGATTACTTTCAAAGGCAGATTGATCTGATTTAAATGAAAGTAGTAGAAAACTTTCATTGTTTTTCTTTAAGTTCTGCAGTGAGAAAAACAGAAACTAGCTCCTTGATTATAGATTAGCAGATTCACCATATTAATTAGTATATTCAGCTGCCTGCTTTACATCTCTATGTAAATGTCTAATAGGCATCTCAATTTTTTTCCGGGCCAAACCCGAGCTTCTCTATAATTGCCACCCCTTAATATTTCTCCTGTATCTTCTCCATTTAAAAAATAATGGTGATTTCATTTTTCCAGTTTTTTCCATTTTCCAGGTGATTTCATTTTTCCAGAACAATGCCTGATACATAATAAGGATTGACAAAGAATAACCTTGGTTTCCATATCCCAGGACTATGGTTTGAATACAAGCTAACCAGAACCAAACTGAATTTTTTAATAACTGATAATAGTAAAAGAGAAGCATGCTTTGTGGGTGAAGAAAAGCTGAAGCCCAGGTCTGAAATGTTAAGACTCCTACACTCACTAATACCTTGTCCAGACCGCAAATGCTATACGAAAGACAGTGTGTGATTTTACTCTATGTTGTCGTTTCTGATTGTGCCTACTTGGATCTTCTCTTTTTCTTTGTTAATCTAGTTAGGGGTCTATCAGTCTTAATTATTCATCTGAAGAATGAACTCTTGGTTTCATTGACCTTTTGTGTGGATTTTTGCATCCCAAATTCATTAAGTTCTCTAATTTCACCTACTTATTTTCTGGTGCTGGCTTTGGAATTGGTTTGTTCTTGTTTTTCTAGTTCCTTTAGGTGCAAAGTTAGATTGTTAATTTGAGACCTTTCTGACTTCTTGATGAAGGCATTTAAGGCTGTAAACTTTTTGGGTGGATCCCAGTGATTTCGGTAAGTTGTGTCCCTATTTTTGTTTATTTTAAAGAACTTCTTATTTCTGCTTTAATTTTGATGTTCACCCAAGAATTTTCAGGAGTAAGTTGTTTAATTTCCAGATATTTGTGTCGTTTTGAGAGATCTTTTTAGTACTGATTTTCTTTTTATTGCACTGTTGTCCAAGAGTACACTTTGTACAATTTCATTTTTTTGGTTTATTGAGGTTTGCTTTATGACAGAGTATATGGTTGATCTTAGAATATGTTCCATGTGCAGATGAGAAGAATCTATACTCTGTGGTTTTTGGGTGAAGTATTCTATAGATGACTATTAGGTCTAATTGGTCAAGTTTTCAGTTTAAGTCCGGAGTTTCTTTGCTTGCTTTTTGCTTGATGATCTAACACTTTCAATGTGGGTGTTGAAGTCTCCCACTATTATTGTGTGATTGTCTAGGCCTTTTTGTAGGCCAAGAAGAAGTTTCTTATGAATCTGGATGCTCCAATGTTGGGTGCATACATATTTAGACTAGGTAAGGCTTCTTGTTGGTTTGTACCTTTTATCATTATACAATGCCCTTCATTCTCTTTCTTAATTTTTATTGGTTTAAAGTCTGTTTTATGTGATATAAGAATAACAACTCCTGCTCTTTTTTTTTGTTTTCTGTTTGCATGGTAGATCTTACTCTGCCCTTTTAATTTGAGCCTGTGGGTGTCATTACCTATAAGATGGGTCTCTTGAAGACAAGAGATGGTTTTTTGACTTTTAATTCAACCTGCCACTCTGTGTCTTTTCAGTGGCGTGTTTAGCACATTTACTTTCAAGGTTAGTATTGGTATGTGTGATTTTGAACCTATCATTGTTTTGTTAGCTGATTGCTATTTAAACTTTATTGTGCAGTTGCTTTACAGTGCCTGTGGGCTATGTGTTTAAGTGTGCTTTTGTGGTAACTGGTGTCATTCTTTCAAATCCATGTTTAGCACTCCCTTAAGGATCTCTTGTAAGGCTGGTCTCGTTTAAATATATTACCTTGGCATTTGCTTGTCAGAGAGGATTTTATTTCTCTTCAATTATGAAGCTTAGTTTGTCAGGATATGAAATTCTTGGTTAGAATTTCTTTTCTTTACAGACACTGAAAATAGGTCCTCAGTCTCTTCTGGCTTGTAAGGTTTCTACCGAGAGGTCTACTGCTAGCCTGATGCTGTCCCTTCTGTAGGTGACCTACTGCTTATCTCTGGCTGACTTTAAGATGATTTCTTTTGCATTGATTTTAGTGAATCTGATAACTGTGTGTCTTGGGGATTCTCGTCTTGTACAGTGTCTGGCTGGGATTCTCTCTATTTCTTGGATTTGCATGTCAACCTCTTTGGTGAGATTAGGAAAGTTTTCATGGACTATCTCCTCAAGTATATTTTTCAAAGTTGCTTATTCTCTCTCCTTCTCTCAGGAATGCTGATGAGTTCTAGATTTGGTCTATTGCATAAAGCATATGTCTTGGAGGTTTTGCTCATTTTTCTTAATTCTTTTTGCTTTATTTTTGTCTGACTGAGTTGATTCAAAGACCCAGTCTTTGAGCTCTGAGATTCTTTCCTCACCTGGATCTGTTTTGCTGGCAATACTTTCAATTATATTATGAAATTCTCATAGTGAATTTTTCAGCTCCAGAAGTTTACTTTGGGTCCTTCTTAAAATGGGGATTTCATCCTTTAGCTCTTGAATCATTTTACTGTATTCCCTGGCTTCTTTGGATTGAGTTTCAATGTTCTCTCAATCTAGATAAGCTTCCTTGCCATTCAGATTATGAATTCAATGTATGGTCATTTCAGACAATTTAGGCTAGTTAAGAATCATTTCTGGGGAGATAGTAAGGTCATTTGGAGGTAAGGGGATATTCTGGCTTTTTGAATTGCCAGAGTTCATGTACTAATTCTTTATCATCTAGAAGTGGTGGTATTCCTTTAATTTTGGTATAAAGTGAATATACCAAATTGGCTTAGTTTCTGGAAGTTTTCAGAGGGCTAAGGCTCTGAATAGGATCTCTTGCTGAGACAGGATCTCTTGCTGAATAGGATCTGTTGAATTCTTGCTCTTAGTTTCTCCGGGAGGGAGAATAATTTTTGGTGGTGTGGTTAGGGATGTGATCCAGCAGATGGCGCCTGAAGGCAATGGACAGTAAACAGGCTTTAGTCATGCAGTTCCTTTGTGTATCTTCACGTTTTTTTATCTGTTCTGTGGTGCAAGGGAAGAGCTGTGATCCCCTCACCAGGTCTGCTCGTGGGCCTTGGGAAGTCACCTCCGATTGCTGGCACTCTGCCTAAGATTTTTGTTGTTGTCATTGTTGTTGCTAAGTCTTTCAGGCCATGGGGCTCCCTTAGGGAGAGGCCAGGTAGGGAGATAGGCTGCACCCTTACCAGACCAGCCCTGTGGAGCCAGACACAGCTAGGTCCCACACCAGCCTTCGAATCTGTGCAACTCAGCCCTCTCAGTCTTCCGAGAGAGTGTGGGATCCTCCTCCTTTCAAGTGCAAAGCACAGATTCCACCTTGGCACTCCTGAGCCCACATCCTTGGGGCGCCAGGACCTGTTCTCAGCTCCCTCCTTCGGATGCTCAGGGTTGGGTTCCAGGTGTGGTGCGTGATTGCAATGGCTCCCAGCTGGAACGCACTCAGGTGGAGCAAAGCATCTAGGCTGGGTAGTGGAGGTTGCACTGTGTAACTGCTCCTTCCAGGCAGCCAGGCAGGGGCTCTGGGAGGGTCTGGTGCTCAGTCAGCCTGCAGAACAGATGTGCCCCAGGCCCACGGGGAAGCAGGCCCTGCTTTCTCCCAGGGGTTACCTGGGGCTAGACTTTCTCAGAGGCAGACAGGCAGCCCTGGCTGGTGGGCTTTCATGACTGGGTTCTGCTGGAGCTAACCTGTGCTCTGCTCCATCTAATCTCTGAGAGATCCCCCTTGCCAGCTCACACATCCTAGGGGTGTGGGGCCCCTGTATTAGGTTCCCAGAGGTTTGTGGTGAGAGTGGGCAGTCCTCCAGTCCTCTCACGCACCGCTTCCTCAGGTGCTGTTCAGGGCTGGGAACCAGTTATAACATTCAGGCATCCCATGAGGAGTTCCCAGCTCCCTCCCTCTTCAGCCTCAGCAACTGCATCTTTTCTGTATCCATATTTGGCATTTTCTCTGCAAATAATCTGTTCAAATTATGTTGGTGTAGTTGAAATCATTGTCTTTTCCTGTGGGAGTAGCACTTCAGCTCCATCTAGTTGGCCACCTTGGTAAAACCTAAATTTTTAAAAATTAAATACCTTTTACTGTGCCAAATAGCCTTCAGGAAAGGGAAACTGGAATCAGGCACACTAACAAGGAAACTTAGTTACTATTGTCCAATGTGTCTCAGACAAGATTATATATCAGAATAAACTGGGTACCTTTTTTTGTGCAAAATATGGATTATAAGGTATTACTGTAGAAATAGTAGTTCAACAAGGAGGCCTAAAAGTCTCCATTTTTAACATGCTCCCCAGGTGACTCAAATGCATGCAAAGTGCTTAGTCCTTGTGTGATATGACTTTGGGGGTGATAAGGAGGACAAGGCAATAGATTCAAAAGAATTTAAAATGTAGTGTCATAAGGACTTAATGACATTTTGGATATGTAGGGGGTGACCAATGAAGGAGAATGGAATTATATGGGCTGGGCAGATGGCCATCAAAAACGCAGATTGAGAGCTCAGATGCATTGGCAAATTTGTGGAAGGAGAATGTAAAAAGTAAAGCAGAGGTTCCTCTTCAAAGACTTTCCTCCCCGTCTAATTAGGAATAAATAGTAACTTCTCTTAGAAGCAAAATGTATTCAAAGACCTGTGCTAACATTCTTAAATATCTGCTAGCCATAATAAAGAAATCAACGTACTTTATGTTCTTAGCTTCCACAATTTAGCCTAAATATTTGCCCTGGCATACTTATACTGGTCCAAGCAAGCGTTAGGTCATAGCCTGTTCCTCTTCCTTATTTAAAAGTGTTTTTACCTTTCTCAACATTCCACAAGTGACTTCCTCCTTTCTTTGTTCTCCTCTACCTTTGCCTCTTTTAAAAAGTTCTAAGTTGCTAGCCAATCGGGACAAATACAGAATGTGAGGTCCTGTTCCAGCCCACGGAAACCCGACACAGCAGTAGGGTGGATGCGTCAGGATGCATCTCCTTTTTTTGGTGTACTCTTGTGGCAGAACTGCTGGTGAGTGTACCGTTTCTACAGGAAGTAAAAATGACCTTACTAAATAAATTAAATTTATGTTCAAGTGCTATTTCTTTATGGCACGGGAACAAGCATTTCAAACAGAGAATCATCTGAATATCCAGGTCAGATGAACTTAGTAGTATGAATTTACTGGAACTTACTAGAAATAATGACTTGGTTTGGAGTAGATGAAGGAATCATTATGGAAGACCTAGCAATTGGAGAGTACACAAAGTGGAAGGAAAAACTCAAGGAAGTTGTATTACAGAGGTGATAATATGTATATGCCTCATTTATTAGAATTATTAGCCATCCCCTTTTCATCTACATGTGTCTTGGTGGTGGGAAGAAGTTACCACCCATTCTAGAAACCAGAGAGGTAGAAACACACTTTCACATTTATCTTGCACCTAGAGTGAAACACTTGATCTGAGTTTGGCCAGTCAAATTGTAACTGCCAGAGGGCTTCTTCCTGCTTGCTGCACAAACAAAATCAATTCACAGAGATGATGGCATTGCAGTAAAGGAAGAGTTTAATAGACATCAGGCCAGCTACACTATGTGGGAGACAAAGTTAGTACCCAGATGAATCTCCCCAAAGGCCTGTAGTTAGGGGTTTTTCAGTGGCAGTTTGGGGGAAGGAGTGGGGGTGGCCAGGTAATGGGTGCTTACTGCTGATGTGTTGGGTCAGAGATGAAATCGTAGGGGTTTGAAGCTGTCCTTCTGTGCATTGAATCACTCTGAGTGGGGCCACAGGAGATGGGTTGGTGGGTCCAGGTGGAGCCATGGGTGTCAGACATGCAAAAAAACCTGAAAAGATATCTCAAAAGGCCAATCTACAATACTGGTATTATTTGCAGGAATGGTTGGCAATCATTTATGTCTATACCTTAGCAGAATTCAGATTCCTCTCCTCCCCCAACCTGAGGGCCTTTCATTAGCTTTACAAAGGTTGTTGAGTTTTGGGGAAGGCCTATTATCATTTAAACTATTAACTAAATGTCTGTCAAAGTTAGTTCAGCCCAAAATCCCAGGAATAATTAAGGGAAAGGCATAATGGGAGGTGGGTTAGATAGATCTCTTTTACTGCCATAATTTTCTTACTGTTATAATTTCTGCAAAGACGGTTTAAAAACCAACCCTCCATAGTTTTGCAATTTGGAGAGGGAAGATAAAGGTACAGGAACAAAAGAGAATTTGGTAGCAAAGGCAGCAATGACAAGACTCTAGCTAATGCATCCTTGACTTTGGCAACAGTGGCATCAGCAGTGGAGGCTGTGGCACCCAAGTTCAGCAGCAGGAAGAACAGCCCTCATCAGCTAGTGTTGGAACGTGGCTTTAGCTGTTGACTGGCTGTCTTGCTTCCTTCTGTTTCTGCCTATTTTTCCAGCTGATCCTCCAACTTCCTTAGCATTTCTATTTTAGACAGATTTCCATGTAATAAACTTACTTCCTGTTGTAACTGAGAATCCTGGCTCAAACAAAAGAGAGACAACAAAGAGACCAGAAAAAGATACTGAAGGAAGTGATCAGAGAAGCAGGAGGGAAACTGGAAAGCTGAGAGTTGTAGACATAAAGAGGGAAGGATACTAAAGAAAGACAAAATATAGTACAGGGCTAAATGCCAAAAAAAAATGCTACAGCAAGACAAGGAGTGAGAAGAGATCTTTGAGTGTGAAAATTAAAAGATTTTTAGTGATGTTAGTAGAGCACTTGCGTCAGAGTTAAGGTCAGAGAGTAATTCAAAATAAATGGGAAACAATGGAAAATGCTACAGAAAGCTCCATGAAATGTGAAGAATGGTTGGCATGTTTTTACTGCCCATAGACAAATGTAAAAAAGAATTTCCCATAGAACAATTTAATAAAAGTTTTCAAAGGAAGAGAGGAGAGGAATACATTTAAAGGAGAAAGGGGACAGAGAAGTGGAAAGAGAATTTGGGTAGGTGAAAAGAAAACAAGATGGAGAACAGAGAAATAAGCAGAGAATTATGGGGTCGTAAATGGAAAAGTGCAGGAAAGACAAGCCAGAGAAGCAGAGGGGAAATACCAGAGAAAGACTGAAGTGGAAAAAAATGGAAAGGCTCAAAGGCTTTAAGATAAATATTTATCCTAATGAAGCGGCATTGTTTGTCTGGGGTAATATCTGAGGTTCGTTGCCTCATGCCAAGGAAAACAAGGACGCGGACACACCAGAGTGAAGTTAAGAGCAGAAGTTTAAAAGCAAAAGAAAGAGAAGAGCTCTCTGCGCAGAAAGGGGTCCCGGAGAAAAATGGGTTGCCAGTTTCATGGTTAAGTGCACAGGGTTTTGTAGAGGAGCTTGAGGAGGCAGCGTCTGATTTACATAGGGCACGAGAGATTGGTCAGGCCAGGTGTGCTGTTTGGATAGCCTGCAAAGAAGCTGGCCGCCCCACCCTAATCTTTTACTATGTATATAAGTTCTCTACCTGGCTGGCACCACGTTGCCTACTCCCTGACTGCACACGTGGTGACGAAGAAAAGCAAAGAAAACGGAAGATGGCGCCTCCATGTTGAACATGCCTGGCTCCCAGGTAGCCTATTCCTGTCGGCACAGCCGCCAGCATTTATCTATGCAAGCTTCCAGGTTGCTTATCTATGTTTGCAGCTTAATATTTCAGGCTGCTCTTTGTTAGAAAAGAAATGATTTGGGGGCTGCTTTTTATTAAAAGGGAAGCCTTGCCCAGGACTCCTTTACCCTCACTGTCTGCCTAAATAATTTCTTCTTAGCTCCTGTATCACTAACTTTGGTGTTAAAGTGTCAACTCTGGGAATCTTTTCTTCTCTTTTAATTCAAATTTCAAAGTTCATTTTCTGAGCAGAATTTGTGTTTGAAAGGGAGATCTGACTTTAAGTTTTACTTTACAAACTTCAAGTTTTTTATTAATATATTAGCATTATCTGAAAGTTCTTTCCATATTTAAAAGGTTATCATTGTGATTAGTTATTAAAACAGACTTTTTCTAGTAATTCTGCCGGTTTTACTTGAAAGCAACTTTTTCTCCCCCATTTTTATTAGCAAAAGAAAGTTGAGCCAAAGCCTTGAATCTTACTTAGGATATAATAAGCGGTGCTGATAATTCCAGTTGCTAAACGTATTTTTATTTGGAATAGGTCTTCCTCTGTATAATCCCAAATCAGTAAATAATTGAGAATTCTTTAATTCATTTTGTTTGGGGTTACTTATTATGTCATAAATACTGGAAATAGTATTAGAGTAGCGAAGGTGTATTTTCTGCATATTTTCCACTATATATTAAATAATCAATAAAATAATAGAAAGAAGTGCATGGAAGGATAGAAGAGTTAATATTTAAATGACTTAGCTAAAAGTGTTAACCAGAGTTGTGGTTTATGATACAGAATGAGTCTTTTTATAAAGTTATCAGAAAGATTTCCATATAAGAAGCATTAGGACCCAAGTCTTTAAACCCAGTTTTAAATTGTTTAAAGTTCTAGTTCACCACAACATCTCTTAAAAAGTCATTATAGTGAAAGTAAGAGGTGAGAAAATATAATTAGAGAAATTAATTTACCTTTGCAGCTATTTTGCATATTCAGATTGTAGTTCATGAAAATAAAATAGATAATTCACTAATAGCTTTGACGTCTTACATCTGGCTATTTTGGCATCTTGTAAACCCAATCTAAATTTACTATAAATTAAACAGCATTTTCAATCTTATATGTAAAGAATAACAAATATTATATAAATCATTTCTGTCTTACCCATATCTTGAAAGAAATGGTCAAAATCCTTTAAAAGTATTAGGTTTTCTAAAGTAGAAAAAAATACAACAGTACAGGAATGACAATAACACAGGTAGCAATTCTTTGTACATAAATTTGCTATGGAGGCTTCATTTCCCACATTCAGAAAAATGTCATTTATATAAATTTGCTTTAAGTGGAGGAGTCAACCAATTGCATGTACTACCATGTGCTTTTGACAGAAGAGGGAGGAGAACTGAAACTCCTCTAATAGCACCCAAGGGTTCCCTTTAGGGCAAGTTAAGATGTATTACTGGGCATTATAAATTTGAATGTGTATAAGAAGTCTAGGCTGTCCCACAGGGCATTATAGACTTTGAAACCATAAACATCAAGTCATTGTATATGGGTCTAGTTTAACAATTGAAACTGAAATTGCACTTTGTGCCACTATTTTCTACCATAGATGACACTTCCCACATGTTTATGTAAACCTCGGATTATATATAATATTCCTTTCCCTGTGGTCTTTGATTAGGCAGTCTTGTCTGAGTTAATCAAATCATGATTTTAATAAGGCTGAAAGTCTAGATTACCCTCAGGAGCCAACTCCAAATGAAAGTGTCCTCATGAAAACTGCAAATTAAATTCCAGACATATCACTAGTTCCCAACTTTGAGTTGAAATCTGATGAAAAATCTTATTAGCAAAGATCAAAGAGAAAGAGAAAACAAAGACCACAGTGGGAGGTGGCCTAGGTCTCTGTTCCCCAAATTTCAATGTCCGTACATATTTTGGAGATCTTGTTAAAATGCATATTTGGTTTCAGTAGTTCTGGCGTGGGGCTCAGAATCTTCTTGTCTAACAAAGTGATGCCTGCTATCCACAGGGCCTTCATCATTGAGGACTTAGATTACCAGAGAGGCTAGATCATTGAGAAACAAAAAATTATAAATGTGGCTGACAATCAGAGAGAGAAGCAGGGAGGAGCCAGATGAGGCCAGGGAGGTGGTATGAATGGGCCTGCATAGCTCTTGGGAGCTAGGTCAGGGACTTTGTTCTTTACACGAAGAAAGGAAAACTATGGGGAAATTGTAAGTGTAGTGGTAACATGTTTAGATTTGCATTTTTATCTTTAACAAAGTATTCAGCAAACATTCACTTAGAAAAATAAAACAGTTCACTCATTTGTGACATTTAGACTTTATAAATGAATAATGATATGTAACTATCTCTACAATAAAAAATGTTCAATCTAAACTTGGGTTATGGCTGGCAAGACACTGGGAGAAAGCATAGGGCATGTTTTATGGTAGACTCATTAATCAATTATCCTCCTTTCTTAAGATTTTGCTAGTAAAAGACAAAGAAGCAGAAGAAAATAATAAAGAGGAGTCAGTGTGAAACCTCTGCGGAAGTGTGGAGTAAGCAGCGTGATGTGCAGAAGTAGCTTTTAACATGACCAAAACTTGACTTAAATGTATTGCCCTCTTAAATTTTGTATGATTACCTCCTAACTCATTTTGTTGCCTATCTGTGAGTACAAAAGCACTATAGTTCTGCACTGACAATAGGTAGTCTTTTCAATTTTGGTCTTTCAAATGATTGGGTCATGGCATCTCATTGTGGTTTTAATTTGCATTTCCCTGGTAACTAATGATAGTGAGTATCGTTTTCTGTCCTTATTTGACATCTGTTTGTTTTCATTGCTGAAGTGTCTGCATAATCCTTTTGTTTATATTTCAATTAAATTATTTGTTTTATTATTTAGTTTTGAGAATTCTTCATATATTCTGGATACAAGTCTTTTTACAGATATGGAATGTGTAAATATTTCTTCATGATTGCCTATCTTCAACAACAAGGTATCACACTGATTCATTACACTGATGACATTATGCTGATTGTACCTAATGAGCAAGAATAGTGACTACTCTGGACTTATTGGTTAGACATTTGTGTAACAAAGGATGGGAAATTAATCTGACAAAAATCAGGAGACTTCTACCTTGGTAAAATTTCCAGGGCTCCAGTGGTGTGAAACATATGATGATATCCCTTTTCAAGTGAAATCTGGCTCTTCCTACAATCAAATGAGAGAAACATATTCTACTGGGCCCTTTTGGATTCTAGAATTAACATATTGCCCTTTTGGTTGTATTACTTTATTCCACTTACCTAGTGACCTGAAAAGCTGTTAGTTTTGAAAACGGTACGAAAAAGGAAAGGCTCTATAATAGGTCTGGGCTGCTGTGGGAGATGCTCTGCCTCTTGAGCCATATGATCCCACAGATCTAATGGTACTGGAAGGGTGAGAGGCATAAAGGGATGCTGTCTGGAGATGTTGACATGCCTCTACTGATGAATCACAGCACAAGCCCTTTGAATTTTGAAGCAAAACCTTGCCATCCTTCATAGATAACTATTTTTCTTTTGAGAAACAGCTCTTGTTCTGCTACTGGCTGGGCATTAGTAGAGACTGAACACTTAACTATGGACCACCAATTTACTATGTGACATGAGCTGCAAATCATGAACGGAGTGTTTTCTGACCCAATAAGCTGTATGATTTAGGATACACAGCAACACTCTAACGTCAAATAGCAGTGATATATACATGATTGAGTCTAAGCAGGTTCTGAGGATAAAAGTGTATTATTACATAAAAAATGGCCCAAATGCACATGGTCCCCACTTCTGCTACACTGCCTTTTCTCTCTTGGCTTGTACCAATGGACTCCTGAGTTGTTCTCTGTGAGCATTTGAAAGAGGAAGAGAAGACTGGAGCCTAGATACAGACATTTCTATAGGATATGCAGACTCCCCAGAAAGTGCACAGCTGCATCACTGGACACCCTTTCTAGGACATGTCTGAAAGAGAGTGATGAAGGGAAATCCTCTCAGTGTGCAGAACTTAGAGTGGTGCACTTGGTCACTTACTTTTCTTGGAAGGAGAAATAGTAAGACTTGTGATTATATATTGGCTTGTGGGATGTGGCCAATGGTTTGGTTGGATGCTCAAGAACATGGGAGAGGAATAATTGGAAATTTGGTAACAAGGAAATTTGGGAAAGAGGTATGTGGATAGACATCTCTGAATTGGCAAAAAATGTATAAATATTTGTATGCTATGTGAATTTCAATCAAAGGATGACCCCAACAGAGAAGGACGGTAATCATATGGATAGAATGATGTATTCTGTGGACATCAGAAATCCACTTTCTCCATCCACCCCCATTAACACTCAATTGACTCATGAACACAGTGGCCATGGTGGCAGGAATGGAGGATAGACAAAGTCTCAGAAACATGGACTTTCACTCACCAAGTTTGTACTGGACATAGTCACTGCTGAGTGCCTAATTTCCTAGCAATGGATAGCAACAGAGTCATCAATTTGTCACCATTCACCAGGGTGATCAGCCAGCTACCTGATGCCAGGCTGATTACATTAGACCACTCCCAAAAAGGAAGAGTCAGTGTTTTGTTGTTACTAAAAAAGCTACTTGTGGCTGGGCATGGTGGCTCATGCCTGTAATCCCAACACTTTGGGAGGCCGAGGGCAGTGGACTACCTGAGGTCGGGAGTTCAAGACCAGCCTGACCAACATGGAGAAATCCCGTCTCTACTAAAAATACAAAATTAGCCAGGCGTGGTGGCACATGCCTGTAATCTCAGTTATGCAGGAGGCTGAGGCAGGAGAATCGCTTGAACCCAGTAGGCGGAGGTTGCAGTGAGCCAAGATCACGCCATTGCACTCCAGCCTAGGCAACAAGAGTGAAACTCTGTCTCAAAAAAAAAAAAAAAAAATAGCTACTTGCTTTGGATACACATTTGCCTCCCATACACCAATGCTTTTGTCAAAACTACTGCCCTTGGACTTACAGAGTACTTACACACCTCATGGTATTTCACATAGCATTGCTTTTGATCAAGGAACTCACTTCACAGCAAAAGAGGTGAAACACTGAACCCATTCTCCTGGAATACACTAGGCCTGCCATGTTCTCTACTATCCCAAAGCCACTAATTTGATGAAAAAGTAAATGGCTTTTTGAAGACCCAGTAACAGCATGGTATTGTCACATCAGAGATGTGGCAGTACCTGTTAGGGCTGGGACAAAGTTTTCCAAAACACTACATGCTCTGAATTAGAATCCTATATATGGCACTGTTTCTGTCATAGGATGCTTGGGCCCAGGAAAGGAACTGGTGAAAATAAGAGTGGGCCACTCACTATTAGCCCTAATGATCTTGTTAGCAAAATTTTTGCTTCTGGTCCCCTGACGTTATTTTTCTCCTGGCCTAGAGGTCTTAGTTCCAGAGGAAGGAATGTTCCACTAGGAGACAGAACAACGATTCCACCAAAGTGAAAGTTCATACCACCACCTGGCCACTTTAGGTTCATCATTTCTCTGAATTCCCTAGCAAAAAAAGAAGTAACTGTGCTGGCTTGGGTGGTTGAGATTTGGGTCACTATACCAGGTGAAGAACCATGTCCAACTGAAGTGCTTACTAAAAGCAATTAGAATAAAGTATGGGCAATGGAAGAAGGTTATATATACCAGCTTTGACCACATGAACAGTTACAGAAATAAAGAATGTAATTGGCACGAGTATTTTCTGTTTGTTTTGAACGCATTTGTGTTTGCGTGTGTGTATAGTAAAAGTCCTTGTTTTCTTTCTTCGATTATTTCATCATGTAACATAAGATGTATTGACTTTATATCACAGTTTTTAACTATTGTTAATTTTGGATCATAATATTTTATTTCCCAGATATTAAAGGAAAGAGTAAATATTAACAAAGATCTTTACCTCCAATCCTGTGGAAGATGCATTGACAAGTGGTGGGCAGGGGATGATTTTATGCGTCAGCTTGACAAAGCCAGAGATGCCCAGATATCTGGTTAAACCTTATTTCTGGGTGTGTCTGTGAGGGTATTTCTAGCAGATACTTGCATTTGAATTGGTGGACTGAGTAAAGCAGATGGCTCTCCTCAGTGTGGGAGGGCATCAGTCAATTTATTTAGGGCCTGAGTGGCATAAAAAGACAGGGGCAGGTCAAATTTGCTCTCTGGCTGACTGAGCTGGCACATTGATTTTCTCCTGCCCTCAGCACTCCTGGTTCTCAGATCTTCAGACTTGGAGTATAGCTTATAACAGATGTATATTTTAACTCTTTCCTAACATCTCTTGAAATGACAAAAATGACAAAAAATATTATATCTATAAAGAAATAATTTGTGTCGGGAAGACATAAAATAGTTGGAATTATATTCAAGGACAAACCAGAGAACAAGTACGTGTAGACTAGACATATACAAGAAAAAGGCTTCAGAAGAAGTCTGAGTTTCTGAGAGGATCTCTTTCATACTCATCCAACATGAAGTATGACTTAACCTGCTACACACGTTGCCACATGCTCAAAGCTTGATGTCCACCTTTTCATTGAAGAAAAAGGCCAATCAGGGAAGTAGACCTTTAAAATGGCAAAAAAAAAAAAAAAAAAAAAAAAAAAAATGGACATCAGATGCTCACATTACCAATCCAATCTTTGGGTTATAACAATGAACAAACCACCAAAAAGACAGATAATTCACAGGAAACCATCAGTACATTGAAAATATTACATAGCAATAAAAATTTTTAGAAAAGCTACAGACACATGTAATAACATGGATTCTCTAAGGGAAGGAGTAATAGAAGTTGAAGTGTTCCATATTCACTCTGTTTCCTGGAGTTTGGTGGGATTTCTTGGGAGAACAAAAAGAGGGTAGATGATTTTGTTAACTGGATGTCCACAAATGTAGAATAATATTTATTTTAAATATTTATATATTTTTATCCTTTATACCAAACATCTAACTGAATAGCTTCCCCTTGATACTTTCTCCTACTCTATCCCAGAAGACAATCCTAGTAATAAGAATATAAATAATTTATTTAGCTGTATAATATTTTCAATTGTCATGAAGGAAACATAAGGCAAGTTGCCTGCAGCAGACATCCTAGGCTCAGTAATCTCCTTGGGCTCATATCAAGGTTAAAAAAGACTGATGCACTCTTACTGCATTCTAGGAATTTGTGCTGTCAGTTTCATTTTAATTTCACAAATATTTCAAAAATGCTTATTTAGGCCCTTATGTGAATAAGCCACTGTCTACACACTGCAAAATACAAAAAGAGTAGTTAGACTATATATTGTAATCTACAAGATCCTTTGGGCCAAAAATAAATACTATGCAAGGAAAATTTTGGCCTTAAAAGAAGAAAAAAATTGCTAAATATTTCAAATGAGTTAGTAGGAACATTTGAGATAGATCTTGAAGAAAGAGTGCCATTTCAATTGTAAATGAGGATGGACGCAGTCAAGGGAGGAAAGTTTCTCTGTGGATGGACCTATCTGAGAAAAAGCATATACCTGAGAGACTAAAGTATGTCCAGAAGTCTCTCAGTAACTGATTTTGGCTACAACACAGATTCCATTAGGACAACTGTAGAGGAGACTCCAGTTAAACCAAGGTTTCATTGGAAATGAACTCAATGTCAGGGTGAGCAAATGCAGTGTGACAAAGATCTATCTATCATCTATAAACACACACACACACAAAGACAAGCACATATAGTTGGCTCTCTATATCTGTTGGTTTTGCATTTGTGGATTCAAACAATTGTGGATCAAAACTATTCAAGAAAAAATAATTGCATCTTTACTAAATATGTAGAGACTGTTGGTTTTGGTCACTATTTGCTAAACAATACAGTATAACAACTATTTACTTAGTGATTACATTGTGTAGGGAAAAGAAAGAGAGATCAGACTATTACTGTGTCTATGTAGAAAAGGAAGACATAAGAAACTGCATTTTGATCTGTACCCTGAACAATTGTTTTGCCTTGAGATGCTGTTAATCTGTAACTTTACCCCCAACCTTGTGTCACAGAAACATGTATTGTATGGAATCAAGGTTTAAGGGACCTAGGGCTGTGCAGGATGTGCCTTGTTAATAGTACGTTTACAGGCAGTATGCTTGGTAAAAGTCATCGCCATTCTCCATTCTCAATTAACCAGGGGCACAATGCACTGCAGAAAGCCACAGGGACCTCTGCTCAGGAAAGTCGGGTATTGTCCAAGGTTTCTAAGATAGCCTGAGATATGGCCTCGTGGGATGGGAAACACCTGACCATCCCTCAGCCCGACACCCTCATCCCGACACAGCATTAGTAAAAAAGGAAGGCCTCTTGCAGTTGAGATAAGAGGAAGGCCTCTGTCTCCTGCATGCCCCTGGGAATGGAATGTTTCAGTATAAAACTGATTGTACGATTTGTTCTATTCTGAGGTAGGAGAAAACCACTCTGTGGCTGGAGGTGAGACATGCTGGTGGCAATGCTGCTCTGTTATTCTTTACTACACTGAGATGTTTGGGTGGAGAAAGGCACAAATCTGGCCTACGTGCACATCCAGGCATAGTACCTTCCCTTGAACTTATTTGTGACACAGATTCCTTTGCTCACATGTTTTCTTGCTGACCTTCTCCCCACTTTCACCCTGTTCTCCTGCCACTTTCCCCTTGCTGAGATAGTGAAAATAGTAATCAATAAATACTGAGCGAACTCAGAGGCCGATGCTGGTGCTGGTCCTCCGTATGCTGAGCGCCGGTCCCCCAGGCCCACTGTTCTTTCTCTATACTTTGTCTCTGTGTCTTATTTCTTTTCTCAGTCTCTCACCCCATCTGACGAGAAATACCCACAGGTGTGGAGGGGCTGGCCGCCTTCAACATTGTATTAGGCATTTTAAGTAATCTAGATATGATTTAAAGTACATAGGAGGATTTGCAGAGGTTATATGCAAAATGCTATACCATTTGATATTAGCGACTTGAGCATCCATAAATTTTGGTATCCGAGGGCAGTGCTAGATCCCCCACAGATCCAGAAGCCCCAGGGATTCAGAAGGATGACTGTATATCACACTTATTTATTTAGATTTTATATTTATATATTTTTATGTGTATGTGTATCTATATGTATATCACAAAATCTGTACATACAAATTAACAAGCATATGGATAGTTACAAGCAGTCATGCATCACTTCATGATGGGAATATGTTCTGAGAAATTTGTCATTATGATTACATCCTATAGTGTTCTTGCAAGAAGTAAGTGATTTTGTCATTGTGAAAACATCCTAGAGTGTACTTACAAAAAATCTAGATGGTATTGCCCACACACCTAGGCTATACGGTATCACCTATTGCTCCTGGGCTACAAACCTGTACATCATGTTACTATACTGAATACTGTAGGCAATTGTAATACAATGGTAAGGATTTGTATATCTAAATATATCCACACATATAAAAGGTAGAGTAATAAAACAACCTAAAAGTTTAAAAATTATACAACTTACCGTAAATGGAGCTTGCAGGATTGGAAGTAGTTCTAGGTGAGTCAGTGAGTAAGTGATGAGTGAATGTGAAGGCCTGGGACATTTCTGTCCACTACTGTGGACTTTATTTTATAAACACTGTACATGTAGGCTACCTTAAATTTATTTCAACATTTTTCTTTCTTCAAAATTAAATTAACTGAGCTTACTGTAATGTTTTTGCCTTATAAATTTTTAAACTTTTGAAAACTTTCTGACTTTTTTGTAATAATACTTAGCTTAAAAGGCAAACATGTTGTACAGCTATACGACAATATTTTTCTTTAAATTCTACTCTATAAGCTTTTTTCTATTTTTAGAATTTTTATTAAATTTTTTATTTTTAAAAAGTTTTATTAAAAACTAAGACACAAACACACACATTAGCTTAGGCCTAGTTAGGGTCGAGATCATGAATATCACTGTCTTCTACCTCCACATCTTGTGCCACTGGAAGGTCTTTAGGGGAAATAACATGTATGTAGCTCTCATCTCCTATGACAACGATGCCTTCTTCTGGAATATATCCTGGAGGACCTGCCTGAGACTGTTTTATAGTTAACTTTTTTATATAATTAGAAGGCATATACTCTAAAATAATGATTAATAGCATAATAAATACATAAACCACTAACAGTTGCTTATTGTCACTATCAAGTATTATGGACGGTACATAAATATATGAGCTATACATTTATATGACTGACAGTGCAGATTTGTATACACCAGCATCACACAAACATATGATTAATGTGTTCTACTGTGACATAATGATGGCTATGATGTCACTAGGTGATAGGAATTTTTCAGCTCCATTGTAATCTTATGGCACCACCATCCCATAGGCAATCAAAATGTCATTATGTGGTACACGACTTTATTCAGCTCTAGGAACATATATCTTATATGCATATAATCTGGTAGCAGTGACAATCCATTAAAGGTTATTGAAGAGGAATATGATTCAATGAGAGTCTTGTTTATGAAAAATTATCTGGCTACAGTGCTTACAAGGTAAGACAGTAAGAGCTAGATGAAAAAGATAAGAAACTTGAGTTTTGCAAAACACACAGCTGAGTATGTTTTGGGGTGGGAACCTGAGTGATACCAGCGTAAACTTACAGAATTTCAAGTGTGAAGAGAATAAGGGCAAGGATGACCTAAAGATGAATCACTCATTATATTTAAAGAACATTGAGTTTGAGGAAAGCTATCAAGGACCTTTCAGCAACAGAATATCCAAACTCTTGCTCATTTTCATGTCTTTTCTATTAACCTCTGTGCAGTATGACAAAATATATAATATATATATAATAACTTTATCTGTGCTTTTTTTCCTGAAACAGTGTCTCACTCTGTTGCCCAGGCTGGAGTGCAGTGGCATGATCATAGCTCACTGCAGCCTCCACCTTCTGGACTCAAGGGATCCTCCTGCCTCAGCCTCCCAACTTGCTGAGACCACAGGTGCACACAACCATGCCTGGCTAGTTTTAAATTTTTGTTTTAGAGATGGGGTCTTCCTATGTTGCCCAGGCTGGCCTAGCAACATATACTTAGCTGGCCTATATACTTTTATAATATAAAGTTCTCATCATTCAGTCCCCACATCTAAGTGAGAACATGTGTTATTTGTTTTTCTCTTCCTGTGTTAGTTTGCTAAGGATAATGGCCTCCAGCTCCATCCATGTCCCTGCAAAGGCATAAAGTCACTCATTGTTAAGGAATATAATTACATTATAATTACATTACAATATAATTACATTATAATTACATGTAATATAATTACAGTATATTCCTTGTAATATAACCTATAAATATCACTGATTTCTTGATCTTACAAGGTTCCTTTCTTTTTAATTCAGGGAAAATTTAGACCATTTAATTCTTATTCTACCACTTCTGTTTTTTTTTTTTTTTCTCTGCACTCAACTTAATTATTAAGTCTAATGTGTTAGCTTTCCGAATTAGTAAAGGTTTTCAGACTGCCAACAAACATACAAACACAGCTGGAAATGATCTTAGAAGGCATCACAAACAGGGAGAAGCAACTGGCCTCTCCTCACTCACAGAAGCACACTGAACTAAGAGAATCCTCTCATAGTTTCCTATTTCTGTTCATTTCTGTCTATGATATGTGAATTGAATCTCTACAAGAGAAGAAATTAACCATTTCCCAATAAAGTGGAATAAAACACTTTGTGATGGTTAGCTGAATTCATGAGATTTGTTTGGGCTCATGCAAACACAAACTTGTTCTATGGAGGAATTGTGCTATGAATCTCCAGTTTATAAACCTGTATTAGTAACAAAGACATCATACTCAAGTTGTTATTAAAGGATCTACTATTGTAGCACTTGATCCGTTTATAAAGCCACATTGAAGAGCAAGAAACCTGTAAAATGTTTTTTTTTTCTGCTCTAATCTAGTATGTCATGAACAGTTGACAAAATTTTCTTGTATGCTTTTCAATAATATATACAAATATCTTAAAGAATTCATTAGATACTAATGACTTGAGTCGTTAAAAAGTTAGGACAATTGTAACTGCAAAAAACTTTAAACATACACTAACATATACTGACATCTAGCCTGCATGATTATGTGACTTTAAATAGAGAATACATTCCAGTATGAGATCTAAACATTTCCTTTTAATGTTTTTGTCAGTGAATCTATGACTTGCTTATTTCTCAGGCTGTAGATAATGGGATTTAAGAAAGGAATTATGACAGTGTAAAATAGAGACTCCACCATATCTTGATCATCTGCTTGTGGAGATGCAGGGTGCACATACATGAAGAGAAGGGGGCCATAGTATAAAGAAACAGATAAGAGATGGGCTCCACAGGTGGAAAAGGCTTTCCTTATGTCTTTGGCAGACTTTTTTTTTTAAGATTGTAAAGAGGACAAATGTATAAGAGACAAGAACAGTCAAAATAGTGAATACCTGTATTGAACCAGACAAAATAAAAAGCATTAAAAAATTAATAGAAGGGTCAGTACAGGAAATCTTTAACAATGGGATAATGTCACAGTAAAAGTGATGTATTATGTTGGAATTACAGAAGGTTAATCTGAATAAAATACCTTCATGAATTAAGGCATGAAGAAAGCCACCTATAAATGACAAGACTAATAGCCAGATACACAGTCCATTGGTCATAATGACTGGATAAAGTAAAGGTTTGCATATGGCTACATAGCGATCATATGCCATTGTTGCCAAGAGAAAACATTCTGTGGTTCCACTGATTCCAAAGGAAAAAAATTGTATCTTGCATTCAGAGACAGAAATAATCATACTCTTAGCTAAAAAGCTGATCAGCATCTTAGGGGTCACTGAGGATGATAACCAAGCATCCACAAAGGCTAAACTCCCAAGGAATAAGTACATTGGAATGTGAAGGTGTGAGTCTTTCCAGATGACAGCAATCAGACCAAGATTTGCCATGATGGTGATGAGATATATTACCAAGAATGCCAGGAACAGGGGTATTTTCCACTCTGATTGATATGTAAGTCCTGTGAGAACAAACTCTGTCAGCAATGTTGCATTTTCGTCATCCATGTCCTCATTGGATGTACCCTGAGTGAACTGAAATAAATATAAAAAGAATATTCAATAAGAATTTATAAAGTGAATACTGGAGGAGAGGAGTTAAAATAAAATCATACACTCATCAGAATGTCCTATTCATGCATTTATTACACTGTGCTAATGAAAACTATAGTAGGGGAACTGAAGAGGTGGAAAAATGCAATTATTTGAGTTTATAGAATGTTGCGGGAAGTCAAGGACCCTGAATGGAGGGACCAGCTGAAGCCATGGTAGAAGAACATTAATTGTGAAGATTTCATGGACATTTATTAGTTCCTCAAATTAATACTTTTATAATTTCTTATGCCTGTCTTTACTGCAATCTCTGAACATAAATTGTGAAGATTTCATGGACACTTATCACTTCTCCAATCAATACCCTTGTGATTTCCTATGCCTGTCTTTACTTTAATCTCTTAATCCCATCATCTTCGAATGCTGAGGAGGATGTATGTCACCTCAGGACCCTGTGATGATTGCGTTAACTGCACAAATTGTTTGTAGAGCATGTGTGTTTGAACAATATGAAATCTGGGCACCATGAAAAAAGAACAGGATAACAGCAATGTTCAGGGAACAAGAGAGATAACCTTAAACTCTGACTGCCAGTGAGCCGGGCGGAACAGATCCATATTTCTCTTCTTTCAAAAGCAAATGGGGGAAATATCGCTGAATTCTTTTTCTCAGCAAGGAACATCCCTGAGAAAGAGAATGCATCCCTGAGGGGAGGCCTTTAAAATGGCCTCTTTGGGGGGCGGCTGTCTTTTACAGTCGCAGCTGTGGGATGAAATAAGCCCCTGTCTCCCATAGCGCTCCCAGGTGTATTAGGACAAGGAAATTCCCGCCTAATAAATTTTGGTCAGACCGGTTGTCTGCTCTCAAACCCTGTCTCCTGATAAGATGTTATCAATGACAATGCGTGCCCAAAACTTCATTAGTAATTTTAATTTCGCCCTGGTCCTGTGGTCCTGTGATCTCCCCCTGCCTCCATTTACCTTGTGATATCTTATTACCTTGTGAAGCATGTGATCTCTGTGACCCACACCCTGTTCGTACACTCCCTCTCCTTTCTGAAAATCACTAATGAAATCTTGCTGGTTTTACGGCTTGGCTCAGGGGACATCACGGAACCTGCCGACATGTGATGTCTCCCTTGGACACCCAGCTTTAAAATTTCTCTCTTTTGTACTCTGTCCCTTTATTTCTCAGACTGGCCAACATGTAGGGAAAATAGAAAAGAACCTACATGAAATATCGGGGGTGAATTTTGCCTGATAATAGAATGTGCATGAATAAACATATTTAAGCAAAAAGAGAGTCATTCTATAGATGTGATTAATTTATGTGGACACTGGAGGATGGTACAAAATTTCTGTGTCTGATACATGGAAACAAGGTCAAGGGAAAAGATCTTTGTAAGGTCAGAAACACAAAAAGAGTTAAAAGCCATGTGAAGGACTTTGAACTTTATTCTTCAGGAAATAGTCAGGAATTTAAAATTCTAAGACAGACAGTGGCATGTAAGATGTATTTTAAGTTAAATAATTGGTGTTATAGAAAATAGGCTGCAAGGAAGGGAACCTGCAGTCAGAGATACTAATCCAGAAGCTGTTTCTATTGCAAAGGAATACCAAGCCAGATTACATATCAGAATTGTCTGGGGAACTTTCTTACCAAAATATAGGACATGAGGGATTACTAACAAACTCTGTAGTTCAAGAATGAGGTCTAGGAATATGTATTTTTAAGAAAATGCTATTCATGTGATTCAAATGCAGGCAAAGTACCTACTTCATGTGTGATAAGGAAGTGATGATGAAGACAAAGAAATAGATTGAAAAGAACTCAGAATGTAGAGTCAACAGGGCTCCATGACATATTAGATGGGAAGAGAATAGTCACTGAAATAAAGAGGAGTCATTTGGTGATTCAAAATGAGATTCAGAACTCAGGTTCGTTGGCAGATATGTGGAAGAAGCATTCACTGAACATCCAGGTGAGGTGTGCTTAGAGATGTGACTCTACTAGAACTTAATAAAAATAATGATATGAGAGGCATTGGGGGTAGTTTAAGGCATAGTTATAGATGTCCTATGCATTGGAGAGTGTATCAAACATAAAAGAGGATCAGAGAGGCAATACATTTAAATTACGTTAAACAGGTTATAAAGCGTATCCAATTTACATGTCATTTATTAGATGGCCAGCCCCTGGTCCTCTTTTCTACCACATGAATCTTGGTGGCCGAGAGAGAATACTACCCATTCTAGAGCTAGAAACTTACTTTTCCATCCTTCTTGCACCTAGAATGAGGCTACTTGAGTAGGTTTGGCCAGCCAAACCCACCAACATAGATTTGGAATTTGGGAGGTGGGAAACAAAGGAACAGGGATCAAAGAGAATGTCTGATGCAAAAGCAGCCAAAGCAGCAATATCAAGACCCTGACAAAAGCATCTGCACACAACAATGGAACTGACAGTGTGAGCTGTGGCATTTGAAATTTCAACCATGACAATGGGAGCTTCTGTTGAGCTAGCGTTGGGCCATAATTTGGGCTGTTGACTGGCTGTCTTACTTCATTCTGTTCCTGCCCATTTTTACAGCTGATTCTTCCAATTTCCCTGGCATTTCTATTTTACATAGCTTTCCGTTCAATAAACTCATTGCCCAATGCAACCAAGAGTCCTGGCTCAAACAAAGAGACAAGGGCGATGTCAGAAAAAAATACTGAGCAGAGTGATCAAAGAAGCAGGAGGGAAACTGGAAAGCTGAATGTTGTAGACATAAAGATAGGAAATATACTCAAGAAGGACAAAGTACAGGGCAAAATGCCAGAAGAAATGCTCTGGTTGGACTAAATATGAATAGAGATCACTGATTGTGGAAATTAGAGATTTTTAGTGGCTTCAGTGAGAGCAGTTTGCATTTTCTGATAGAATTAAAGTCAGAAAAAAATAAGAAGTGAATGGGAAACAAATGGCACAACAAATGAGGGGAATGAACTACAGCACTGCACTCCAAGTAATGTGAACAACATTTGCCATTTGCCTACTGTTGTAGAAATGTAAATAAATTAGTCCAACCATTGTTGAAGACACAGTGGTGATTCCTCAAAAACCTAAAGACAGAGAAATATCATTCAACCTAACAATCTCATTACTGGGTATGTACCCAAAGGAATATAAATTGTTCTACTATAAAGACACATGCCTGTGTGTGCCCACTGCAGCACTGTTCACAATATCAAAGATATGGAATCAATGACGGAATCCAGTCCATCAATCATAGACTGGATAAAGAAAATGTGATACATATACATGATGGAATACTATACAGCCATAAAAAAGAAGGAGATCATGTCCTTTGCAGTGACATGGATGGAACTGGAGGCCATTATCCTTAGTAAACTAACACAGGAACCAAAAACCAAATACTTCATATGCTCACTTACAAGCGGGAGCTAAATCATGAGAACACACGGACACATAGAGGAGAACAACACACACTGGGGCCTGTCACAGGGTGGAGGGTTAGAGGAGGGAGAGGATCTGGAAAAATATAATAACTAATGGGTACTAGGCTTAATACCTGGGTGATGAAATAATCTGTACAACAAACCCAAATGATACAAGTTTACCTATGTAAAAAACCTGCACATGCACCCCTGAACTTAAAAATAGACATTTTCTGTAAGCCTTTTTAATAAAAGTTTTCAAAAGCAAGGAGAAGAAAGGAAGGCAAGGAGAGGAGGAAAGGAACCAGAGAAGTGGAAAAGAAAATCTGGGTAGTGAAAAGAAAATAAAAAAGAGAAAAATAGAAAACAAAAAAGGCATATATGAATGAATGTAGAAAAGACAAGAGAAGCAGAAAAGAAACTGGAAAGCTGAGTGTTGGAAAGCCGAAGAATAGGAAGAGAGGAAGTATCAGAGAAAGACAGAGGATTGGAGGTAAATAGATGTTTTAACCCTAAAGTTCATTAAAAGATGTGAATTAGATGTGAATTCTAGGAATCTTTTCTTTACTGTTACTCAAAATTCAAACTTTAGTTTCATATGGTCTTTTTGTATGAAAACAAGATCCAATTTTAAATTTTACTTACAAACTTTGTATTATTCATAGATACACTAGCACTGTCTAAAAGTTCTTTCTGTATATAAGTCATTTTGTCTTTGTTATTCTAGTGGTTAGAACTGACTTTAGGAATTCTGCTGGCTTTACTTGAGAGCACTTTCTTCTCCAACAATTTTTTTTAAGCAAGATAATATTGAGCCAAGACTGCAACCTGAAACAGGCTATAAAAATAGCCAACAACAATAATTTCAGTGATTTTTAGATGTATTTTAATTTTGAATTAAATTAAATTAAATCAAATTGGGCCCCATTCATGCAATCTCAATAGAAAAATAATTGAAAATCTCTAATTCTATTTGTGTGTGGATACTTTTTAAGTCATAAATATGGAAAAAGCAAACATTGGTGGGACATTTTTCTGCATTTTTATGTATTTTCTGCACATAAATAAATATAAATAGTGAAATTATTTGCAAAAGTGGGTAAAAAACTAAGTATTAAGTGACACCTTAAAAGTTTTAATCATAACATGTATTTAATTAAACAATAGATTATTTTATCAGAATCGACAAAAGGATATCTTATATAGTGATCATTATAATTGAATCTTTAAACTTAATTTTAAGTTGTTCTGGTTCACCAAAACTTACCTTATAAAGTCACTATAATTAGGTTAACAAGGTAATAAAACATCACTGAAGGGAGCAAATCAGTATTACAGCTATTTTGCTTGTTGAGGCTTTATTAATTATTTTTATTTTCTAACTACTAGAGAAGTAGGGAACAGACTTTAATTGTAAAAATAAAGTATGCAAAAAAATAAAAAAAATAAAGTGTGCAGATAATTCACTAATACTTTTCATATCTACCTATTCTGACATCTTATAAACCTAATCTTAAATTATTATTAAACAAATTTTAAACTTTCTACCTAAAGAATAATAAATACTATAGAAATCATTTTACTCTTACCCATTTATTGGAGGAAATTGTGGAGATCCTTTAAAGGTGTTAGGTTTTCTAAAGTAGAAATAAACATAATTATAGCACTAAAATGACAAAAACATAAGTAGAAATCGTGGCACCCTGATTCGTTTCAGAGGTTTTATTTCCCAAGTTGAAGAAACGTGTGTATAAATTTTCCTTGAACACCAAGTCAACTAATTGTACAACTGTGCACTTTTGCCAAAACAGGAAAAAGTGGAGAACTGAAATTGTCCCAAGAGAGCTTGAGGATCCCCTTAAGGACAAAGTTAGGGGTTCTACTGGGCATTGTAGGATTGGACATGTATGAAAAGTTCAGATTGTTCCACAGGGGATTACAGACTTTAGAATCATAAACATCAAGTTACTGTAGACAGTTCTAGTTTTAAGAATTGAAATTATACTTTATGCCTTTTTTTTTTTTTTTTAACCACAGATGACACTACTGACATATTTGTACAAACTTTGGTTTACTTACATAATTTGATGCTCTGAGTTCTTTGGTTAGTATGGTCTCATCTGAGTTAATTAAAACATGATTTTAATAAAACCAAAGATCTAAATTCCTTTCAGAAGCAAACACCAAGTTGTCCTCCTCATGCAAACTGCAGCTCAAATTCCAGACATATACCTAGCTCCCCAAGTTTACCTAAATATACCTAGCTCCCCAAATATACTTAGCTCCCCAAAAGTCTGAGGAGAAATTTTTCTAGGCAAAAGTTAGGGGGAGGAGCAAAGAAAATAAAAGACAAAGGACCTCTGTGGAGGGAGCATAGATCTGTGCTTCCCAAATTTCAATGCCTATGAATTTCCTGGAGACACTGTTAAAATGCAAATTCTGTTTCAGTAGTTCTGAGGTGGGGCTCAAGAGTCATCTTGTTTAGGCCTGCGCGGTGACTCACGCCTGTAATCCCAGCACTTTGGGAGGCTGAGGCGGACGGATCATTTGAGACCATATGAGACTAGCCTGGCTAACATGGTGAAACTCCTGTACTAAAAACACCAAAAAAAAAAAAAAAGAAAAAGAAAAAGAAAAAAAAAAAGGTGGGGCATGGTGGCTCACGCCTGTAATTCCAGCACTTTGAGAGGCCAAAGCGGGCGGATCACCTGAGGTCAGGAGCTCGAGACAAGCCTGACCAACATGGAGAAACCCTGTCTCTACTAAAAATGCAAAAAAGTAGCTGGGCATGGTGGCGCATGTCTGTAATCCCAGCTACTCGGGAGGCTGAGGCAGGAGAATCAATTGAACCCGAGAGGCGGAAGTTGTGGTGAGCCAAGATTGTGCCATTGCACTCCAGCCTGGGCAACCAGAGTGAAACTCCATCTCAAAAAAAAAAAGAAAAGAAAAAATTAGCTGGGTGTGATGGTGCTTGCCTGTAATTCCAGCTACTTGAGAGGCTGAGACACAAGAATTGCTTGAATCCAGGAGGCGGAGGTTGCAGTGAACCGAGATGGCCTGGGCTACAGAGTGAGACCCTGTCTCAAAAAGAAAGAAAGAAAGAAAAAAAAAAAGCAGTCTTCCTGTCTGAGTGATGCCTGTGGACACTTGCCTTCCACATAACATTCATCATTGGAGGGCCTAGATTATAAGAGAACCTATATCACTGGGGAAACAAAAAATGACAGATGTGGCTGGCAATCAAAGAGAGAAGCAGGAAGGAGCCAAATGTGGCCAAAGAAGCAGTATGAGTGGGATTGCACAGGGTTTGGAGACTAGGTCACAGACTTTGTTCTTTAATCTCAATTTGGAGGAAAACTATTGAGAGATTGTAATTGTGGTAGTAATACGTTCAGATTTTCTTTTTGAGAATTAACATAGAAATTTGTCAATGAGCATTTATTCAGAAAAGTAAAAATGTCCTTATTTTTGGCATTTAGATTTGATATCTGAATAGTGATAAGTAACTACCTACACATTAACTTTTTAAAAACTTTAATCTCCACCAGCAAGATGGGAGAAAGCAAAGGGCATAACTTTTGGTAGGTTTATTAATCAATTATCTGACTTTCTTAGAATTTTTCTAGTGAAAAAAATATACAGAAGAAAATTGCCTATATAGAAGCAAAGTAACTGTGAATGCGCCGCAGAAAGGTTGAGTAAACAATATGATGTGCCGAGTTAGCTATTCACCCAACCAAAATTTGACTTAAATTGACTACCCCTTTAAATGTTATGTAATTATCTCCCAACTTGTTTCCTAGTTTTTACTAACAGAAGTCTGCATCATTGTTTTCAGTATAAATAATCTTTTCAATTTTGTTAATTTAAATATGTGGCTCATAGCATCTCATTGAGGTTTTAATTTGCATTTCCAAGATGACTAATGATCCAGCATGTATTTATGACCTTATTTGGCATATCTGTATTATTTTTGGTGAAGTTTCTTCTGTTAAAATATTTTGCTTATTTAATAAAATTGGGTTATTAGGTTTCTTTTCATTGATTTTGAGAGCTTGCTGTATATTCTGGATACAATTCTTTTGTCGGATATATGAGTTGCAAATATTCGGGAACTTGATCCTCTTTCTTTTCCACGACATATTCCACTGATGATATACTGATGACATTGTGCTGATTATTCTGATGACATGCTGATTGTCCTATTAAGCAAGAAATAGCAACTACTCAAGACTTATTGGTAATATATTTGCATGCCAGAGAGTTGGAAATAAATTTCACAAATATTCAGGGACTTTCTATTTCAGTGAAATTTCTAGGGATCCAGTGGTGTGGGGCATGTTGAGCTATCTCTTCTAAAGTGAAGGAAAAGTTGTTCCATCGAACCTATCCTGCAGGCTAGAAAGAGGCATAAAGCCTTAATAGGTTCTTTGAATTTTGGAGACAACATGTTCCTAATTGGAGTGAGTTACTCTGGCCCATTTAACCAATAACCCAACAAGTTGCTGGTTTGATTGAGGCTCAGAATACAAGAAGGCTCTGCAACAGGTCTAGGCTGCTGTGCAAACTACCTAGAAGGATAAAGGGGATATCATGATGTTACCATTATCTATTGCCCTCATATAAGTCTCATGTAGAAGGTACTTTAGTAGATGTGGTAAATATCATACCATTATAGCAAGTGCACATCTTATAGATGAACTTTTAAAAAATTTTAAAATAATTTTGTGGGTACGTAGTAGGTGGTATATATTTGTTGGGTACATGAGATATTTTAACAGAGGCATACAATTCATAATAATCAGATCAGGGTAAATGGGTTTTCAATTGCCTCAAGCATTTATTCTTTCTTTGTGTTACAAACAATCCGATTATACTCTGTTATTTTTAAATGTACAATAAGTTATTGTTGACTGCAGTCACAATGTTGTGCTATCAAATACTACATCTTATTCATTCTACTTAACTATATTTTTGTACCCATTAACCATAACCACTCCTTCCTGCCTACTATCCTCACCAACCTCTGGTAGACATTCTTCTACTCTATCTCCATGAGTTCAACGTTTTAATTTTTAGCTCCCACAAATAAGTGAGAACATGCAAAGTTTGTCTTTCTGTGCCTGACTTATTTTACTTAACATAAAGACCTCCAGTTTTATACATGTTGTTGCAAATGAAAGGAGCATACTTTTTAATGGCTGAATAGTACTCCTTTGTGTATATGTAGCACATTTGCTTTATCCATTCATCTGTCAATGGACACTTAGGTTGCAAATCTTGACTATTGTGAATAGTGCTGCAATAAACATGGGAGTGCAGATATCTCTTCTATATACTGCTTTTCTTTTCTTTCTTTCCTTTTTTTTTTTTTTTTTTTTTTTGGCTATATACCTAGCAGTGGGATTGCTGGGTCATATGGTAGTTCTATTTTTATTTTCTTGAGGAACCTCCAAGCTATCTCACACTGCTTGTATTAATTTACATTCCCAATAACAGTATATGGCAGTTTCCTTTTCTACACACACTAACCAGCATTTCTCATTGCCTATCATTTGGATATAAGCCATTTTAACTGGAGTAAGATGTTATCTCCTTGTAGTTTTGATTTGTATTTCTCTGACGATCATTGATATTGACCATCTTTTCATATACCTGTTAGTGATTTGTATGTCTTCTTTTGAGAAATGTCTATCATATCTTTTGCCGATTTTTAATCAGGTTATTAGATTTTTTTCCTATTAGTTGTTTGGGTTTCTTATGTATTCTGATAATTAATACTTTGTCAGATGGGTAGTTTGCAAATATTTTCTCCCATTCTGTGGGTTGTCTCTTCACTTTTTTGATTGTTTGCTGTGCAGAAGCTTCCTAACTTGATATGATTCTGTTTATCCATTTTTGCTTTGATTGCCTCTGCTTTTGGGGTATTACTCAAGAACTCTTTGCCCAGTCCAATGTGCTGCCCATTGTTTTCTTGTAGTAGTTTCATAGTTTCAGGTATTCTAGTTCAGTCTTCAGTCCATTTTGACTTTTGTATATGGTGAGAGACAGAGGTCTAGTTTCAATTTCTGCATATGAATATCCAGTTTTCCCAGCACCATTTATTGAAGAGACTATCCTTTCCTCAATGTATGTGTTTGGCACCTTTTTTGAAAATGAGCTCATTGTACATAGATGTATGAATTTGTTTCTGGGTTCTCTATTCTGTTCCATTGGTCTATGTGAGTATTTTTATGCTAGTACCATGCTGTTTTGGTTATTATAGCTCTGTAGTATAATTTGAAGTCAGTTACTGTGATTCTTCCAGTTTTGTTCTTTTTTGCTCAGGATAGCTTTGTATATTCTGAGTCTTTTTTAGTTCCATTCAAATGTTAGGATTGATTTTTTCTATTCCTGTGAAGAATGTCATTGCTATTTTGATAGGCATTGCATTGAATCTGTAGTTTGCTTTAGGTAGTATAGACAATTTTAACAATATTGATTCTTCCAACCCATGAACATGGAATATATTTCCATTTTTTGGTGTCATCTTCAATTTCTTTCATCAGTGTTTTATAGTTTTCATTACAGAGATCTTTCACTTTTTTGGTGAAGTTAATTCCTAGGTATAAAATTTTATGTGTGGCTATTGTAAATGGAATTAATTTTTTATTTTTTTTCAGATTGTTCACTGTTGGTATATAGAAATGCTACTGATTTTTTGTATGTTGATTTTGTATCCTGCAACTTTATTGAATTTGTTGATGAGTTCTCATAGTTTTTTGGCAGAGTCTTTAGGTTCATCCAAATATAAGATCATATCATCTGCAAACAAGAATAATTTGACTTCTTCCTTTCCAATTTGGATACCCTTTATTTCTTTCTCTTGTCTGATTGCTCTAGCTAGACTTCTAGTACCATGTTGACTAAAAGTGGTAAAAGTGGACATCCCTGTCATTTTCCAGATATTAGAAAAAAGGCTTTTATTATTCCCCATTTAGTATGATAATAGCTGTGGGTCTTTCATCTATGGCTTTTATTATGTTGAGATATGTTTCTTCTATATCCAGTTTTTTGAGGGTTTTTATCATAAAGGGGTATTGAATTTTATCAAATGTTTTTTCTGCATCAATTCAAATGATCATATGGGTTTTGTCTTTTATTCTGTTGATATGATGTATCACACTGATTGATATGCATATGCCAAACCATCCTTACATCCCTGGGATAAATCCAACTTGGTCATGATGAATGATTTTTTTAATGTGATGTTGAATTTGGCTTGCTACTATTTTGTGGATTTTTGCATGAATGCTCATCAGGAATATTGGCCTGTAGTCTTTTTTTGATATGTCTTTGGTAGCAAAGTAATACTGGCCTTGTAGAATGAGTATTCCTCCCAGCTCTATTTTTTGGGATAGTTTTAGGAGGATTGATGTTAAGTTATTCTTTAGATATTTGGTAAAATTCAGCAATGAAGCCAATTGACTGTATGTTTTCAAATATCCCATCTTCAAGCTCACTAATACTTTCTTATGCTCGATCAGTTCTGCTATTAAGAGATTCTGACGTAATCTTTATTATTTCAATTGCATCTTTCAGCTCCAGAATTTCTGCCTGATTCTTTTAAATTATTTCAGTCTGTTTGTTAAATTTATCTGACGGGTTTTTCCTTGTTTGGAGACTTCTTATTAAAGCTTCAGTCTCCTTACTTGTTATTGGTCTGATCAGGTTTTGGATTTCTGCATGGTTCAATCTGGGGAGGTGGCATCTAGGATTTTATCCATTTCTTCTACATTTTCAAATTTATTTACATATGGTTACTCATAGTAGTCCCTAATAATCATTTGCGTTTCTGTGGTATCAATTGTAATGTCTCCTTTTTTATCTCTGATTTTATTTATTTGGGTTTTCGTCTTTTTTTCTTAGGTAGTCTGGCTAATGGTTTGTCAATTTTGTTTATCCTTCTATAAAACCAACTTCTCATTTCCTTGATTTTTGTATTGTTTTCCTTTTTTCTTTTTCATTTATTTCTGCTCTAATTTTTATTGTTTATTTCCTTCTACTAATTTTGGATTTGGTTTGCTCTTGCTTTTCTAATTCTTTAGGATGCATTGTTCTGTTGTTTATTTGAAGTTTATCTATGTTTTTGTATGTAGACACTTATGGCTATAAACTTTCTTAGTACCAATTTTGCTGCATCCTATAGGTTTTGGTATATGTTGCATTTTCATTTTTGTTTGTTTCAAGAAAATTTTCAGTTTTCTTCATTGACTTACTGGTCATTCAGGTACATATTGTTTAATTTCTATGTGCTTGCATAGTTTCCAGAGTTCCTCTTGTTATTGACTTCTAATTTTATTCCATTATGTTAAGAGATGATACTTGATATTTCTTTTTTTTTTAATTCTTTGAGACTTGTTTTGTGCCATAACATATAGTCTATCCTTGAGAGCGATCTATGTGCATAGGAGAATAATGTGTATTCTGCAACTGTTGGATGAAATGTTCTGCAAATATCTATTAGGTCCATTTGGTCTATAGGGCAAATCACATTTAATGTTTCTTTGTTGATTTTGTGTCTGAAAGACCTGTCCAATGCTGAAAGTGGGATGTTGAAGTCTCCAGCTATTATTGTATTGGGGTCTATCTCTCTTCAGCTCTAGTAATATTTGCTTTATATATCTGGGTGCTCTAGTGTTGACTGCATATATATTTACAATAATTATATCTTATTGCTGAGTTGACCTCTTTATAATCACATAACCTTCTTAGTGCCCTTTTATACTTTTTGCCTTAAAATCTATGTTGTCTGATATAAGTATAGCTATTCCTCCTTTTTTTTTGTTTCCATTTGCATGCAACATCTTTTTCCATCCCATTATTTTCAATCTATGTGTGTCTTTATAGGTGAGGTGTGTTTCCTGTATGCAACAAATCATTGGGTCTTTTTAAAAAAATCTATTCAGCCACTATATATCTTTTGATTGGAGAGTTTAGTCTATTTATATTCCATGTTATTGTTCATCAGTAAGGTCTTACTCTTGCCATTTTGTTATTTGTTTTCTGGTTTTTTTGGTGGTATTCTGTCTTCTCTTCTTTTCTTCCTTCTTGTTTTCCATTTAGTGAAGGTGATTTTTCTTTGGTGGCATGTTTTAATTTCTTGATTTTTATTTTTTTGTGTATCTGGTGAAGGTTTTGTGATTTGAGATTGCCATGAAGCTTGCCAATACTATCTTATAACCCATTACTTTAAACTAATGATAAATTAACACTGATTGCATAGGCAAACAAACAAATCAACAAAGATAAACAAATACAATTCACTTTAACTTTATCTCCCCACTTTTCAATTTTTTATTGTTTCTATCTGTATCTTATTGTACTGTCTATGCTTGAAAAGTTGTAGTTTTGATTATTGATCACTTCATATTTAGTCTTTCTATTCAAGATGTGGGTAATTTATATGCCACAATTACAGTGTTGTTCTGTTTCTCTGTGTACTTACTATTACCAGTGAGTCTTGCATCTTCACATTATTTCTTATTGCTCATTAATGTTCTTTTCCGTCAGATTGAAGAACTCCCTTTAGCATTTATTATAGGACAGGTCTGATGTTGGTGAACTCCCTCAACTTTTGTTTGTCTGGGAAAATCGTTATTTCTCCTTCATGTTTGAAGGATATCTTCACTGTTTGTATTATTCTAAGATAAAAGTTTTTTTCTTCAGCACTTCAAGTATGTCATGCCACTCTCTCCTGGCCTGTAAGGTTTCTACTGAAAAGTCTTTTGCAAGACATATCGGAGCTCCATTGTATGTTATTTTTTTTAATTTTCTCTTGCTGCTTTTAGAATTCTTTCTTTATTTTTGACCTTAGGGAGTTTGATTGCTAAATGTCTTTAGGTAGGCTTCTTTAGGTTAAATATATTTGGTGTTCTATAACCTTCTTGTACTTGGATATTGATATCTTTCTGTAGGTTTGAGAAGTTCTCTGTTATTATCCCTTTGAATAAACTTTCTACCCCATCTCTCTTTTTATCTACTCCTTAAGGCCAATACCTCTTAGATTTTCTCTTTTAAGGCTATTTTCTACATCTTTTAGGCATGCTTCATTCTTTTGTATTTTTTTTTCTTTCATCTCCTCTGATGGTGTATTTTCAAATATCCTGTCTTCAAGCTCACTAATACTTTCTTATGCTTGATCAGTTCTATTTATTTCAATTGCATTTTTCAACTCCAGAATTTCTGCTTGATTCTTTTAAATTATTTCAGTCGCTTTGTTAAATTTATCTGACGGGATTCTGAGTTCTTTTTTTGTGTGTTATCTCAAAATTCGTGGAGTTTCCTCAAAGCAGCTATTTTGAATTCACTGTTTGAAAGGTCACATATCTCTGCTTCTCATGGATGGATTCCTGGTGTCTTACTTAGTTCATTTGGTAGGTCATGATTTTCTGGATTGTCTTGAAGCTTGTGGATGTCTTTCAATGTCTGGTATTTATTATTGTCTTTGCAGTCTGGGCTTATTTGTACCCATCCTTCTTGGGAAGACTTTATGGGTATTTGAAGGAACTTGGGTGTTTTAATGTAAGTTTTTGGTCACTACAGCCATATCTGTATTAGGAGGCAATCCAAGCCAAGTAACACTGTGGTTCTCACAAAGAGGTAAAACCTTGGTGGTCTTGGATAAGATCTGGAAGAATTCCCGGGGTTATCTGGTAGAGACTCTTGTTCTCTTCCCTTACTTTCTCCAAAACAAATGGTGTCTCTGTCACTCTGCTGAGCTGCCTGAAGCTGGGGTTTGGGTGCCATACACTACTGGGGCTGTGCTGGGTTAGAACTGAAGCCAGCACAGCACTGGGTCATACCCAAGGCCCATGGTAACCACTACCTGACTACTGCCTATGTTCACTCAAGGCCTTAGAGCTTTACAAAGAGCAGGTGGCAAAGCCCTCCAGTATTCTTTCCTTCCCTTCAGGGCAGTGAGTTTCCCTCATCCACAGGTGGATTCATAGATGCTATGTGGGAGCCAGAACCTAAAGTCAGAAACCGTAAGAATTTACCTGGTTCTCTGTTCTGTGGCTGAACTTGCACCCAAGCCACAAGACAAAGTCTTTATCACTATTCTCTTTCCTTTCTACAATTAGAGGTGTCTCTCCTCATGGCTACTACTGCCCCAGTCCCATGATGAGTACTGCCTGGCTACTGCTAATGTTCAATCCAAACGCAAAGGCTCATTAGTCAGCTTGTGGTGAATGCTGCCAAGTCTGGGACTCTCTTTCAGAGCAGTGGGTATCTCTCTGGCCGATAAAGGACCAGAAATGCCATCCAAGAGCCAAAGCCTAGACTCAGAGACCACAAGATCCTGTTTAGTACTCTATCCCACTGTGGCCAAACTGGTACCTAAGCTGCAAGACAAAGTCTCCTTTATTCTTCCGTTTTTTTTCCTCAAGCAGAACGAATGTTCCACTATAGCCACCACAGCTGTGAATGTAATGGGTCACATCTGAAACCAGCACATCTCTGAGTCTTACCCAAGGCCCATGGTGAGTACTGCCTGGGTACCACTGATGACTATTCAGGGCCCAAGAGCACTTTAAATAGCAAGGGATGAATCCTGCCAGGACTGGGCTCTTCCCTTCAAGGCAGCAGGTTCCTTTCTGGCCCAGGGTGTGTCTAGAAATGTCATCCAGGAACTTGGACCTGGAACTGGGGCCTCCTGGTGCCCTGTCCTACTCTGATTGAGCTGGTATCCAAATTGCAGATCAAAGTCCTCTTTACTTTTTCCTTTCTGCTCCTCAAGTGGAAGGAAGGAATGATTCCTGGATTTGCAGTCATTCCTGGATCTGCAAGAATGTACAACCTGGGGTTGGGGGAGGAGTGGCACAAACACTTGCTTGGTCACCGCAGCTGGTTTCTCACTAGGTTGCATGCCCCTCAGGTCCACTGGCTCTTAGCCTAACACAGCAGTAGGACTTGCCCAGGAATTATGGTCCTTGTGGCCTAGACTGCCTTTCAAGTTTATTTAAGGTGACAGAGCACTTTAGACTGTAGTGTCGAGGCTTGCCAGAACTCAGGTACCAACTGTTGGGATGAGCAATTCCGTGCTGGCTATGACTGGTCTAAATGTTTCCTCTGTGGGCACTGAGTTCTGCCTGGTGTTGCTTTCCCCTCTGACAGGCCAGCACAGAGTTCCAATGAAAAGTCCCACAATCAGTGTTCTCTCCCTCCCCTAAGCACATGTATCCTCTCTCCTTGCCATAGTGCTGCTGCCAGAGGATATGTGAGGGGTGACATCAGCAATTCAAAACTGTGTTTCCTACCCTCCTTAGCACATCTTTTAATGATATGAAGTTGTAACCAGATACTGTGATTACTCACCAGAATTTTGGTTCTTATGAAGGCTTTTTGTTTGTTTGTTTGTTTTCTTTTTTTTTTTTTTTTTTTTTTTTGAGATGGAGTCTCACTCTGTTGCCCAGGCTGGAATGCAGTGGTGCGATCTCGGCTCACTGCAAGCTCTACCTCCTGAGTTCACACCATTTTCCTTCCTCAGCCTCCTGAGTAACTGGGACTACAGCTGCCCGCCACCATGCCCGGCTAATTTTTTTTGTATTTTTAGTACAGATGGGATTTCACCGTGTTAGCCAGGATGGTCTCGATCTCCTGACCTCGTGATCTGCCCACCTCAGCCTCCCAAAGTGCTGGGATTACAGGTGTGAGCCACTGTTCCTGGCCTGAAGATGTCTTTTTAATGTAGATAGATGTTGAATTTGGTGTTCCTTTGGGGAGAATGATCATTGGAGGCTTCTATTCAGCCATCTTGCTTCACCTCCTCTGTAGGTTAAATGTTTTGAGAAAATTCTTCCAAAGCTTGATTCCAGCTACACATTTTTTTTGCCTTTAGTTTATTTTTATTTTTATTTTTAATTTTTTTATTTTTTATTATTATTATACTTGAAGTTTTAGGGTACATGTGCACAATGTGCAGGTTAGTTACACTTGTATACATGTGCCATGCTGGTGTGCTGCACCCATTAACTCATCATTTAGCATTAGGTATATCTCCTAATGCTATCCCTCACCCCTCCCTCAGCCCCAAAACAGTCCCCAGAGTGTGATGTTCCCCTTCCTGTGTCCATGTGTTCTCATTGTTCAAATCCCATCTATGAGTGAGAACATGTGGTATTTGGCTTTTTGTCCTTGCGATAGTTTACTGAGAATGATGATTTCCAGTTTCATCCATGTCCCTACAAAGGACATGAACTCATCATTTTTTATGGCTGCACAGTATTCTATGGTGTATATGTGCCACATTTGCTTAATCCAGTCTATCATTGTTGGACATTTGGGTTGGTTCCAAGTCTTTGCTATTGTGAATAGTGCCGCAATAAACATACGTGTGCATGTGTCTTTATAGCAGCATAATTTATAGTCCTTTGGGTATATACCCAGTAATGGGATGGCTGGGTCAAATGGTATTTCTAGTTCTAGATCCCTGAGGAATGACCACACTGACTTCCACAATGGTTGAACTAGTTTACAGTCCCACCAACAGTGTAAAAGTGTTCCTATTTCTCCACATCCTCTCCAGCACCTGTTGTTTCCTGACTTTTTAATGATTGCCATTCTAACTGGTGTGAGATAGTATCTCATTATGGTTTTGATTTGCATTTCTCTGATGGCCAGTGATGATGAGCATTTTTTCATGTGTCTTTTGGCTGCATAAATGTCTTCTTTTGAGAAGTGTCTGTTCATATCCTTTGCCCACTTTTTGATGGGGTTGTTTGTTTTTTTCTTGTAAATTTGTTTAAGTTCATTGTAGATTCTGGATATTAGCCCTTTGTCAGATGAGCAGGTTGTGAAAATTTTCTCCTATTTTGTAGGTTGCCTGTTCACTCTGATGGTAGTTTCTTTTGCTGTGCAGAAGCTCTTTAGTTTAATTAGATTCCATTTGTCAAGTTTGGCTTTTGTTGCCATTGCTGTTGGTGTTTTAGACATGAAGTCCTTGCCCAGCTACACATTTTTTTCGATAAACATAGGTCCCTCCTGTTACCCTTACTGAAATAAGACAATAGAGTTTTGATTGGATATCATCAGTCAATAGTAATTCCCACGAAAAAGTATTTTAAAAACACCACAATACTTCATCCTTTGCAACAGATGTCCTATTGAATTTTACATCTAACTGTCAAAATAGTGAGGAAAGGAAAAAGCGGAGGCTGGAAATTCCAAATTCCCAGGCTTATAGTAATGCTGTTCTAGTTTTTATTGCTGTTTGCATTTACCTAAATTCTAATTATATTGTTTCTTTGAGCACAGTAAAGGATAATTCGTCAGCAGTCTCATGAGCAGTAGAAGATAAGACAATAAGTAAACAAATATGTATAGAGAGACACAGAGAGACTATATATGTATATGTATATGTATATATATATATAGAGAGAGAGAGAGAGAGAGAGAGAGAGAGAAAGAGAAATCTATGAATACTTAAATGTCAAGATTAAGTAAAAAATACATCTTCATAATAAAGAGTATTTCTACTGCTATTGGTAGTTCCATAGGGTGCTTTCAACCCAACATGAGCAGTGTTATAGGCAACATATGAAATTTCAATATGATATTATTCTTTATGTCTAAATACTCATTAAATAATACATATATATTTCTATAATTTCTTTTTAAAAAATACAGAAGAATATCTTGTCCAAAATGGGGGGGTTTCCCAAGTGTATAATTTATCTATTTTCTAATATCCCACTAAATACAAAAATAATGTACTAAAAGGAATAAATCTATAACACAAGTGAGAATGAGATTATATCAATGGACAATCAATTTTGGTGAATTTCTTGAAGGCATAAAATAATTGGGATTATACTGAAGGAAATGCCAGAGCAGATACATTTTTTAACTAGAAATGTACAGGACAAGGCTGCAGGGAAATTCTGAGCTCTTCAGAGCTCCCAATTGCCTGTTCCATTTCCCCCGCCCCCAACCCCACCTAAAATAAGACTTGTGATGCTATATATCCTGCCCATGTACTCATAGTTTGTTTTCTACCTTTTCATTAAAAGAAAAGCCAACTGCGGAACTAGGCCTTTAAAATGGCAGAAGAGACACCAGGTGCTTGTATTAATATTATCAATCTTGTCTTTGGGTCATAACAGTGAACAAACAAGCAAAATATAGATAATTGACTGAAAACCATAAGTACATAAAGAATGTTATACAGCAATAAAAATCAATAAACTATAAACATATGCAATAACATGGATTCTCTGTGGAGTAATAATAAAAGCAGCTATACTGTAATCCATTAGCTCTGTTTCCTGCCACTTAGCAGGCACCTCTCTGGGGAACAAAAAGAGGGCAAATGATCTGGTCTAATTTTGTGAGCCTAGCTCTGCAAATATAAAATAATGAATTTTTTAAAACATTTATATGTTTTATATCCTTCAATTTTTAAGATTGAATAGCTTCTCCATGATATTCTTCATAGTCTATACAAAGAGTCAATCCTCGTGAAAAGGAAAGCAAGAATAATTCACTATATTCTACGCATTTGTACTGTTGGTTTCTATTTGATTTCACAAATATTTCACAAGCACTTATTTTGGGCTTCATGTATGTAAGCCATCGAGTCTCCCATAGCAAAAGAAAGAAAACATAGTAGGACTTCTGATTTGTAATGTAAAAGATCTTTAAGACAATAAATATAAAGCCAAATATAGCGTAAGAAGAATAAATAAGGAGGGGACCAGGATGGCAGATTAGAAGCAGCTACAGTGTGTTGCAGTCACAGAGAGGAATGAAAGGATCAAGAGAATATAGCACCTTCAACTGGAATATTCAGGTACTTGCACTGGAACTGATCAGGGAAACAACTCAACCCACAAAGAATAAAGAAAAGCTGGGCAGGGCAATGGCCTTCCCAAGAGTGATAGAGATATGTCGCCAAGGGAATACCCACCTCCCAACCAAGGGAAGCAGGGAGTGAATGTGCAACCCTGGGAAGTCACAGTGCAACCCTCAGATCAGAAGATCCCCTTGTGAGCCCACTCCACCAGGGTCTTGGGTCCGACACCCAGGGCTGTGTGGAGTCTCAGCAGAGCACCTGCTTAAGCACACACAGAGACCCAGGAGCTTTACATACAATGGCTCCGGGATTCCCTACTGCAACTCAGGCAAGGTGGGAGGTTCATACATATCCCTAGGAAGGGAGCTGAATCCAGGGGGCCAATCAGCGTCAGTATGTGGGCCCTACTTCCATGGCACCTCACAAGATAAGACTAGCTTGGAATTCCAGCCAGCCACTGGCAATAGGGTAGAGCCTGACTGAGACAGGACAGAGTCCCCAGAGGAAGGGAAGGGAAGGCCACCATCTTTGCTGTTTGGACAACTCAGCTACTCCAGCCCGCAGGCTTTGGAGAGTCCAAAGGGTCCAGACAAGGAAGAGACTTCCCAGCACAGCACAGCTTCTTTAACAAAACATGGCCAGACTACTTCTTTAAGTGGGACCCCGATCCATTACTCCTCACTAAGTGGAACCTCCCAGCCAGGGCCTCAAGCCATGCTGGCCCATATTCTTTGGACAGAGCTTTGATCTCTCCCTGGGACACACTTCCTAGGCAGAAGGGCAAGCTGCCACCTTTGTTGTTTGGACAACTCAGCCATTCCAGCCTGTGGACTTTGGAAAGTCCAAGCTGATCGAGGCAGAGGCAGTTCTCCAGCATGACACAGCTCTTATGTTGAGGTGTGGCAACGCTGCTTCTTTAAATGGGACCCTGATCCATTCCTCTTTGCTGGGCGGATCCTCCCAGCCAGGGCCTCCAGCCACCCCTACCCATGTTCTACGGCTGACAGAGTTCTAATTTCTCCCTGGGATGGATTGCCCAGGGGACAAGGCGAGCCAATGCCTTTGCTGTATGGGCTTTTCACCCAGTCCAGCTTGCGGGCCTTGGAGAGCCCAGAGTGATCAGGGGCTGAAGGGATCCCCAACACAGCACAGCTGCTCTGCCAAAACGCAGCTAGACTGCTTCTTTAAGCAAGTCCCTGATCCTGTTCCTCCTGACTGGGTGAGACCTCCTACAGTTGCGTTCAGGCTGGCGACAGGTGAGTATTCCCCTGGGACAGAGCTCCCAGAGGAAGGGGAAGGTTGCCATTTTTGCTATTTTGCAGCCTTCACTGGTGATACCTCCAGGTACTAGAAAAACTGCAGTGACTAGGGTCTGGAGTGGACCACCCAGCAAACTGCAGCAGCCCTACAGAAGAATGGCCAGACTGTTAAAAGAAAAACAAACAACAACAAAACACAAAAATCCCATCCAAAGGTCAGCAACCTCTAATATTGAAGTTAGATAAGCCTACAATGATAAGAAAGAATCAGCACAGAAACACTGAAAACTGAAAAAGCGAGAGAGCCTCATTTCCTCCAAATGACTCTAGCAAGGATTTGAAATGGGGCTGAAGCTGAGATGATGGAAATGACAGATGAAGACTTCAGAATGTAGATGAAAATGAACTTCCCTGAGCTAAAGGAGCACATTATAGCCCAATGCAAGAAAGCTAAGAATCATGATAAAATGATGCAGGTGGTGACAGGCAAAATAGCCAGTACAAAGAGAAATATAACTGACCTGATACAGCTGAAAAACACACTACAAGAACTTCACAATGCAATCACAAGTATCGATAGCAGAATAGACCAAGTGGAGAAAAAAATCTCAGAGCTCGAAGACTATCTTTCTGAAATAAAACAGGCAGACAGGAATAGAGAAAAAAGAATGAAAAGGAATAAACAAAACCTCAAAGAATTACGGGATGGGATTATGTAAGGGACTGAATCTACACCTGATTGAGGTACTCAAAAGAGACATGGAGAATGGAACCAACTCAGAAAACATATTTCAGCATATCATCCAGAAAAACTTCCCCAACCTGGCTAGACAGGTCAACATTCAAATTCAGGAAATGCAGAGAACCCTGGTAAGATACTACATGAGAAAATAATCCCTAAGACACATAATCATCAGATTCTCCAAAGTCAAAATGAAAGAAAAAGTGTTAAAGGCAGACAGAAAGAAAGGTTAGGTCACCTAAAAAGGAAAGCCCATCAGACTAACAGTGGATCTCTCAGTGGAAACCCTACAAGGCAGAAGAGATATGGGTCAATATTCAACATTCTTAAGGAAAAGAAATTCCAACCCACAATTTCATATCCAGCCAAACTAAGCTTAATCAGTGAAGAAGAAATAAGATCCTTTTCAAAGAAGAAAATGCTGAAGGAATTCATTTCCACCAGGCCTGCCTTACAAGAGCTCCTGAAGGAAGCACTAAATATGGAAAGAAAAAGCTGTCACCAGCCACTACAAAAAACACACTGAAGTACACAGAGCAGCGACACTATGAAGCAACCATATAAACAAGCCTGTAAAACACCAAGCTAGCATCATGATGACAGGATCAAATCCACACATAATAATACTAACCTTAAATGTAAAGGGAGTAAATGGCCCAATTAAAAGACACAGAATGGCAAGCTAGATAAAGAACCAAGATCCATTGGTATGTTGTCTTCAGGAGACCCATCTCACATGCAAAAATACACAGTCTTAAAATAAAGGGATGGAGGAAAATTTACCAAGCAAATGAAAAAGAACAAACAAGTGGTTCCAATCCTAGTTTCTGACAAAACAAACTTTAAACCAACAAAGATAAAAAAAAGATAAAGAAAGCCATACGTAATAGTAAAAGGTTCAATTCAACAAGAAGAGGTAACTATCTTAAATATATATGCACTCAATACAGGAGCACCCAGATTCATAAAGCAAGTTCTTAGAAACCTTCAAGGACACTTAGACTCCTACACAATAGTGGGAGACTTTAACACCCCACTGACAATATTAGACAGATCATTCTGACAGAAATTTAACAAAGATATTCAGGATCTGAACTCAGCTCTGGATCAAGTGGACCTAATAGATGTCTACAGAACTCTCCACCCCAAAACAACAGAATATACATTCTTCTTATTGCCACATGGCACTTCTTCTAAAATTGATCACACAATTGGAAGCAAAACACTCTTCAGCAAATGCAGAAGAACTGAAATCATAACAGTCTCTCAGATAATAGCACTATTAAATTAGAACTCAAGCTTAAGAAATTCACTCAAAATCATACAATTACAAGAAAATTGAACAACCTGCTCCTGAATCACCTTTGAGTAAATAATGAAATTAAGGCAGAAATCAAGAAGTTCTTTGAAACTAATGAGTACAAAGATACAATATATCAGAATCTCTGGGATGAAATTAAAGCAGTTTTAAGAGGAAAATTTATAGCACTAAATGCTTACATCAAAAAGCTAGAAAGATCTCAAGTTAACAACCTAACATCACAAGTAAAACAACTAGAGAACCAAGAGCAAATAAACCCCAAAGCTGGCAGAAGACAAGAAATAACCAAGACAAGAGCAGAACTGAAGGAGATAGAGACATGTAAAACCTTTCAAAAGATTAACAAACCAAGTGCTGATTTTTTTAAGAAAATTAATAAAATAGATAGACCATTAGCCAGACTAATAAAGAAAAGAGGGAAGACTCAAATAAACACAATCAGAAATGATAAGGGGGATATTACCACTGACCCCACAGAAGTACAAACAACCATCAGAGGATATTATGAACACCTCTGGACATAAATTAGAAAATATGGAAGAAATAGATATATTCCTGGGCATCTGCACACTTACAAGACTGAACCAGGAAGAAATTAAATCCATGAATAGACCAATAATGAGTTCTAAAATTGAGGCAGTAATAAATACCCTACCAACCAAAAAAATCCCAGAACCAGACAGATTCACAGCTTAATTGTACCAGACGGGTGGAAAAAAAAAAAAGGCTGTACCATTCCTACTGAAACTATTTTTTAAAAAAATTGTGAAGAAGGGCTGTGGTGGCTCACACCCGTAATCCCTGCACTTTGGGAGGCCAAGGCAGGCAGATCATGGGGTCAGGAGTTCATCACCAGCTTGGCCAACATGGTGAAACCCTGTATCTACTAAAAATACAAAGATTAGCTGGGCGTGGTGGTGGGTGCCTGTAATCCCACCTATTTGGGAGGCTGAGGCAGGAGAATCATTTGAACCCGGGAGGCAGAGGTTGCAGTGAGCCGAGGTTGTGCCATTGCACTGTATCCTGGGCGATAGGGCGAGACTCTATCTCAAAAAAAAAAAAAAAGAAGAAGAAGAAGAAGGGACTCTTCCCTAACTCATTCTATGAGGCCAGCATCATCCTGATACCAAAACCTGGCAGAGGTACAACAAAAAAAAGAAAACTTCAGGCCAATATCCTTGATGAACATCAATGCAAAAATCTCAACAAAATACTGGCAAACTGAATCCAGCAGCACATCTAAAAGTTTATTCACCACTATCAAGTAGGCTTCAACCCTGGGATGTAAGGTTGGCTAAACACAGGCAAATCAAAAAATGTGATTTATCACATAAACAGAACTGAAGACAAAAACTACATGATTATCTGAAAAGATGTAGAAAAGGCCTTCAATAAATTTCAACATCCATTCATGTTAAAAACTCTCAATAAGCTAAGTATTGAAGAATCAAGCCTTAAAATAATAAGAATCATATATGACAAACCCACAGTCAATATCATACTAAATGGATAAAACCTGGAAGCACTCCCCTTGAAAACTGGCACAAGACAAGGTTGGCCTCTCTCACCACTCCTATTCAACAAAATATTGAAAGTTCTTACCAGGGCAATCAATCAAGAGAAAGAAATAAAAGTATTCAAATAGGAAGAGAGGAAGTCAAACTATCTTTGTTTCCAGATGATAAGATCCTAGATCTGGAAAACTCATTGTCTCAGCCCAAAAGCTTCTTAAGCTGATAAGCAACTTCAAAAAATTCTCAGGATACAAAATCAATGTGCAACAATCACTAGCATTCCTATACACCAACAGACAAGCCCAGAGCCAAGTCGTGAATACACTTCCATTCAAAGTTACCACAAAAGAATAATATACCTAAGAATACAGCTAACCAGGGACATGAAAGATCTCTACAAGGAGAACTACAAAACACTTCTCAAAGAAATCAGAGATGACACAAACAAATGGAAAGACATTCCATGCTCATGGATAGGAAGAACCAATATCATTAAAATGGCCATACCGCTCAAACCAATTTATAGATTCAATGCTATTCCTATCATCAGATTCTTCAAAGAACTAGAAAAAACTATTTTAAATAATCGTATGGAACTAAAAAAGGGCCTGAATAGCCATGGCCATCCCAAGCAAAAAGAACAAAGCTGGAGCCATCATGCTACCCAACTTCAAACTATACTACTGGGCTACATTACCCAAAACAGCATGGTACTGATACAAGAACACACACATAGACCAATAGAACAGAATAGAGAACCTAGAAATAAGACCACACACCTACAACCATCTGGTCTTCCACAAACCTGACAAAAACAAGCAACAGGGAAAGGATTCTTTATTTAATAAGTGGTGTTAAGAGAACTAGCTAGCCATATGCAGAAAATTGAAAATGGACTCCTTCTTTACACCATATACAAAAATCAACTCAAGATGGATTAAAGTCTTAAATGTAGAACTCCAAACTATAAAAACCTTAGAAGAATACCTAGACAATACCCTTCACGACGTAGGCATGGGCAAAGATTTTATGATGAAGACACCAAAAGCAAAAAAGCAAAAATTGACAAATAAGATCTAATTGAACTAAAGAGCTTCTGCACAGCAGAAGAAACTATCAACACAGGGTAAAGAGACCACCTAAGAATGTGAGAAAATTTTTGCAATGTGTGCATCTGACAAAGGTCTAACATCCAACATCTATAAGGAACTTAAACATATTTACAAGAAAAAAACAAACAACCCCATTAAAAAGTGGACAAAGGACACGAGCAGACACTTCTCAAAAGAAGACACACATGCAGCCAACAAACATATGAAAAAAAACTCGACATCACTGATCATTAGAGAAATGCAAATCAAAACCACGATGAGATACCATCTTGCATCAGTCAGAATGGCTATTATTAAAAAGTCAACAAAAACACCAGATGCTGGTGAGGTTGTAGAGAAAAAGGAATGCTTATTCACTGTTGGTGTGAGTGTAAATTAGTTCAACTATTGTGGAAGACTGTGACAATTTCTTAGAGACGTAGAGGTAGAGATACCATTTGACCCAGCAATCCCATTACTGTGTATATACCCAAAGGAATGTAAATCCTTTTATTATAAAGACACATGCACACATATGTTCACTGCCACATTATTTACAGCAGCAAAGACATGGGATCAACCTAAATGCTCATCAATTATAGACTGGATAAAGAAAATATGGTATATATTTATCATGGAATGCTATATAAACATAAAAAGGAATGGAATCTTGTCATTTGCAGGGACATGGATGGAGCTGGAGGCTATTATTCTTAGCAAACTAGCACAGGACCAGAAAATCAAATATTGCATGTCCTCACTTATAAGTGGAAGCTGAATCATGAGAATACATGGACATATGGCAAGGAACAACACACACTGGGACCTGTTGAAGGGTGGTTGGTGGGAGGAGAGAGGGGGTCAGAAAGAATAGCTGACGGATGCTGGGCTTAATACCTGGGTGATAGGATGATCTGTACAGCAAACCACCATGGCACACATTTACCTATGTAACAAACCTGCACATCCTGCATCCCTGAACTTAAAAGTTGAATTTTTTTTAAAAGAAGCATAAATAAAGTGCTAATTGTTTTAAATGAGTGAACACCCCCATCCACTTCCAGGTAGGCAGAAAAAGCTTTGTGGATGAAAGCTTTATAAAATGGTAACATTTCATACACACCTTGAAGAAAGTTATCATTTCAATTGCAAGTGACTTAGAGGTGAGTTGCAGTAGTAGGGATTCTCTGTGGAGAGAGCTATATGAACGAAAACATGCACCTGACAGAGTAAGGAGTGTACAGAAGTCTCCTGGTAACTCACTTTGGCTGCAACACAGGTTCCATCAAGATAATTGTGGAGGAAGAGTCTCCAGAGTTAAACCAAGAAGTTTTTTTGCAAAAGATCTCAAATAATTCAGGGTGAATAAATACTAGCTGAGGCATATATATGCATATTATACAATCTGTACAGACATATAAACAAACATATCCATATGTATATATTCATATATAGATATATGTACCACATATGCATATAATCTGCTAGCAATGACAATCCATTAAAAGGTAATTAAGTAGGACATGAATTAATTAAACTTAAATGCACAAATTATATGGCAGCATTGTTTAGGAAATAAGAGACTATAAAAGGATAAGGGAGATACTAACTAGAGTCTTGCAAAACAGACAGGTGAGTTGTTTCAGGTTGGGGACCTGGGTGATATAAATGGGAATGTGATGAAATGATATACATAGGAATATAGATGAAATTTTAGTGTTGAAAGAGGAAGAGTAGGGGTGACCTGAAGATGGATTACTCATAATACAGCAAGAGGATGTAGTGTGAGGAAAGCTAAAATGTAAGGACTTTTGAGTCACAAAACATCCATACTCTTGCTTATTTTCACACCTTTCGCAGCCACCCACTGGACACGATGAGATCATATCATTTTAGCATTATTTGATCTTTGGCAATATGCATTTAAGGCCACTTTTTATCCATAACAAATGCTAATAATTATGGAAATATTACTGATTTCCTTTTCTTATTGTTTTCATTTTTTTAATGCTAGAAAAATTGATACCATTTACTTTCTATTCTGGCATTTTTCTTCTCTACATCCATGCTAACTTAATTTTTAAATTATCTATTAGCTTTCTGAATTCGTTAGCAATATGAATCTTTTCATGTTTTCCAGTGTCATACAAATACAACTGTAAAAGGCCTCTGAAGGCATCGTCAATAAAGAGAGGCAAGTTGCCTTTTCTTATTACTCATAGAAAGGAATAGAGATAAAAGTACCCTCTTAGAGTTTGGCCTTGCATTGACGGTTTTAACTCACTTCTCATTTTATGATTGCATTTCCCATTCTATTTATTGCTTCAAGTGATATATGAGTTAAATTCTTATAAGAAGTGAAGTTTGCCAATTCCATAATCTAGAGTAAAAGACCTTTTGAGGGACAGCTGATTCCTGAGATCTTTATCGGCTCAACCAAACACAAATCTGCCACCACAATCCAGTTAAATGTGATGTTTCCACACTATACAATTCTGTCAGCTGTATTATATTTCCTACTCAAATACTTTTGAGAGGAACTACAGTGCTTTAACACTTAAGGCATTTATAAAGCCACATGAAGAGTATTTAACCTATAAATGTTTTCATTTGTTTTCTGCTTTAATTATCTAATATAACATGAACACCAGGTTAAAATTCCTTGGATGCTTTTGAATAACATATATAAATATTTTAAGGAGTTTATTAGGTATAAAACCCTAAGTCATTAAAATGCTAAAACAATTATATTTACAATAACTTTGAACACTTAGCAAAACACCTTATCTAACTGCAAAATTCTTTTTACTGAAAATGAGAGATATCACTATGAAATCTAAACATTTCTTTTTACCATTTTTGTGAATGAATCTATTACTTGTTTATTTCTCAGACTGTAGATAATGGGATTTAGCAAAGGAATTATGATTGTATAAAAGACAGAGTCTATCATATCTTGGTCATCTGCTTGTGGAGATGCAGGGCGCAAATACATGAAGATAAGTGGGCCATAATATAAAGAGACAGATAAGAGATGGGCTCCACAGGTGGAAAAGGCTTTCCTTACGCCTCTAACAGACTTCTTTTTTAGGATTGTGAAAAGAGCAAATGTGTAAGAATTAAGAACTGTCACAATGGTGAATACCTGAATTGAGCCAGACAAAATAAAAACCATTAGAAAATTAATAGAAGGGTCAGTACAGGAAATCATAAACAGTGGTATAATATCACAGTAAAAATGATGTATTATGTTAGAATTGCAGAAGGTTAATCTGAATATAAGGACTTCATGAATTAAGGCATGGAGGAAGCCACCTAAAAATGAGAAGGCTAACAGCCGTATGCATAGTGAATTGTTCATAATCACTGGATATAGTAAAGGTTTGCATATGGCTACATAGCGATCATATGCCATTGTTGCCAAGAGAAAACATTCTGTAGTTCCACCAAATGCAAAGGAAAAAAATTGAATCATGCATTCAGACAGAGATATCATCCTGTTTTTGGCCAAGAAATTAACCAACATTTTGGGAGTTACTGTGGAAGATATCCAAGCATCAACAAAGGCTAAACTCCCAAGAAAAAAGTACATGGGGATGTGAAGTTGTGGGTCATTCCAGATAAGAGCAATCAGACCAAGGTTCCACACAATAGTGATGAGATAGATCACCAAGAACACCAAGAACAGGGGCATTTTCCACTCTGGCTGATATGTAAGTCCTGTGAGAACAAACTCTGTCAGCAATGTTGTATTATCCTGTTCCATGTCCTCATTCGACATCCCTGAAATGAAATGCAGTAAATGTAAAAGAGCATTCACTAAGACTTATACAGCAAATACTGGGGGAGGGAAGTTGATAGAAAAACATACTCTTATTACAATACCCTTTTAATTTTCTTTCATATTCCTGTAATAGATGGAAACTGTTTTGGGAAATATAAGAAATCAAAATAAATGCAATTATTTTAATTCTAAAAATGTGATCAAATAATCTACTTTTAAAATGCAGATGATAGAAATGCATGTAATGTGTGTTAACTTAAGAAAATCACTATTTGTAAATTTAGAAAAGGAGAGAAGACTTATTTCTTATAAGGGGTTACAGCCTGCAAGGTGGCCATCAAGTGTGCTGGGAAGCATGCCTCTGGCCAAGACCAGAAACAGGCACATCAAAGGAGGAGGGCTTGAGGTAGGAGCTTTAGGCTAAATAAGTTGGCTAAATATACATATTCAACAGGTTACGGGAGGATCTATGAGTATTCATGAAGGTAGCCTTGGCACATGCATATTGAACATGTATGTAACATACAACCCATGTTCACATTGGAGTGGAGACTTAACATTTAAATTTGTTACAGTTAGGCCCTATACATCAAAAGGTCTTCTCAGGACATGAAGGCCCATAAATGCACTGTCTCTGTAAACCAGCCAGAACCAGTCCGTGGTCAGTTTTCCTCTTATCTGGAGAAAGTTACTGACATCAGTCTCTTGTCCAATCAAAGCTGTAGTTATGTCTGGTAGCAGGGGTTCAGTTACTGAGCATCTGGTGCAGCTGCAAATTGTTTTAATCCTGCTTGTCTTGAGGCCAGTGCCTGTTTAGCTACTAGAGAAAAAGAAAAACCTTGTGGCAGTTAGAACACAGTTTATTCTTTAAGTGTAGAGGTGCCTGACTTAAACCTTGCCTGGTGTGGCCTTAGGTTCTGTTTATAATTTGGAATCTTATTGTCACAAAGAATATGTTCTGTCAGTCTTATAATCTCTATCTTAACATTAATACCGGTCAGTTGTCATGTCTAAATTGCAAAAGAGAGGAAGTATAACAAGGCACATCTGACTTCCCACCCTGTCATGGCTGAGAACTAAGTTTTTACAGTTTTTCTGGAGAACTTTTGGCCAAGAGGGGGTTCGTTCTGTTGATGGGGGGCTTTGAATTTTAAGTTTGCAAGTGCCTAGTCCATGTGTATTATAATCTTGCAAATAATGAGGATGAAGAAATAGATTCTAAAGCATTCAGAAAGTAGTGTCACTAGGACTTAGTCACATATTTGATAGAAAAGTAGTATTCAGTGAAGGAAAAAGGAGTCACTTTGTGAGTAGGTAGATTGTCATTCAAAATAGAGACTGAGAACTCAGGGGCATTGACAAGTTTGCAGTGTGAGCATGCCTTGAATATGTAGGTGAGATGTTTGGTATTAGTAATACAATTCTACTAGAGTGATAGAAATAACTTGGGAGTCACTGGAGTAGTTGAAGGCATAGTAATGGATGTCTTACCTATTGGAGAGTACATTAAGAAAAGAAAAGCATAGCACCAAAAATACTTGATAGTATAATGACCTAATTTCCTTTGGGTATATACCCAGTAATGGGATTGTTGGGTCAAATGGTAGCTTTGTTTCAAATTGTTGAGAAATCTCCAGGCTGCTTTCCACAGTGGCTGAACTAAAGTATTTCCACCAACAGTGTATAAGCCTTTCCTTTTCTCCACAGCCTCATCAGCATGTTTTGTTTTTTAATAATAGCCATTATGACTGGTGTGAAATGGTATCTCATTGTGATTTTGATTTGCATTCCTCTGATGATTAATGATGAGCATTTCTTTTTTATGTGTGTTGACTGCCTGTATGTCTTCTTTGGAGAAGGATCTGTTCATGTCCTTTGCTTATTTGTTAATAGGGTTACATTTTTTTGCTTGCTGATTTGTTTAAGTTCCTTATAGATTCTGATATTAGACCTTTATTGGATGCATAGTTTGCAAATATTTTCTGTCATTCTGTAGGTTGTCTGTGTACTCTATTGATGATTTCTTTTGCTGTGCAGAAGTTCTTTACCTTAATTAGGTCACACTTGTCAATTTTTGTTTTCATTGCAATTGCTTCTGAGGACTTAGCCGAAAATTCTTTGCTAAGGCTGATGTTGAGAAGAATACTTCCTAGGTTTTCGTCTAGGATTTTTACATTTTGAAGTCTTACATTTAAATATTTAATCCATCTTGAATAAATTTTTGTGTATGATGAAAGGAAAGGATTCAGTTTCATTCTTCCACATATGGCTAGCCGCCATGACAGCACCGTTTACTGAATAGGGTATCCTTTCTCTGTTGCTTGTTTTTTGTCAGCCTTGTTGAAGATCAGATTATTCCAAGCGTGTGGCTTAATTTCTGAGTTTGCTACTCTGTTCCATTGGTCTATGTGTCTGTTTTTGTAACAATACCATGCTGTCTTTGTTGTTAAAGTCACATGCACTCCTATGTTCATTGCTACACTATTCACAATGGTAAACACATGGAATCAATCTAGGTGTCCAGCAGGGGTGGATTGGATTTTTAAAATGTGGTACATATACAAGATGGAATACTACTCAGCCATAACAAAGAATGAGATCATGTACTTTGCAGCAGCATGGATGCAGTTGGAGGCCATAATCCAAAGCAAACCGACACAGGAGCAGAAAACCAAATGACACACGTTCTTATTTACAAGTGGGGCTAAACATTGAACACACATGGACATAAACATGAGAACAATAGACACTTTGGACTAGTACATGGGAGACGGAGGGGAGAATGGGTGGAAAAACTATTGAGTACTCTGCTCACTAACTGCATGCAATATACCCATGTAACAAGCCTGCATATATTCTCTCTATATCTAAAATAAAAGTTGACTTTTTTTAAAAAAAAGAAAAACAGCTTGAGGAGTTATATTGAAAGGTAATATAGGGAATGGATGTCATTTATTGGATGGTCAACATCTGATACTTTTTTCTCTCCCACACAGATCTTAGTGGCAGACAAAGGATTTGACTTTGGTATGTGTAATCAAACCCACTCAACCTAGATTTGGATATAGAGAAATGGAGGCAAATGTGCATGGACAATAAAAAAAAATTAGTACAAAGGCAGTTGAAGCAAAAATTTCAAGATCTCAGAACATGCACCCTGCATTTAAAAAACAATGGTACAGAAAATATAAGCTGTGTCATTGGCAGTTCAGCAGCAGAAAAAACCACACTCATGAAGCTACTGTTGGAACAGGATTTTGGCTGTTGACTGGCTGCCTTGCTTCCTTCTGTTCCTGCCATTGTTTTCCAGTGAATTTCTCCAACTTTCCTAGCATTTATATGTTAAACTCAATATCCATTCAATAACTTATTTCCTGTTGCAGCCCCCCAAAACCTGGATGTTCAAAAGAGAGATGAGGGAGAGAACAGAAAAGGATATTGAACAGAAGGATCAAGGGAAGAAGCAGGAGGGAAACTAGAGAATTGAGTGTTGGGGACATAAAGAAAGGAAAGATACAAAGAATGACAAAGTGAAGTACAGGGCCAAATGCCAAAATAAATGGTTTAGTAGGACAAGAAGTGAAGGAAAATCACTGTGCTGAGAATGTACATGATTTTTTAGTGGCTTTAGTGAGAGCAGTTTCCCTTATATAATGGAATAAAGTTCAGCAAATAAGACGTGAATGGGAAACAAATGGCAAAACAGTGAGGTGATGAAATAGAGTACTCTATGAAATGTGGAGAATGGTTAGCATTTGTCTGCTGCTCATACACTAGTTTAATATTTTTTCTTCTGTAGAATATTTAAGAAAAGTTCTCAAAAGAAAATATAGACAAGACAGAGGACAGCAAGATATTTAGAGGAGAAAAGGGACAGAAAAAGTGGAAAGGGAAATTTGTGTGGGTGAAAATAAGAAGGAGGAAGAAAAATAGGCTGAGAATAATTATGCCATATAGGGGTAAGTGCAAAAAAGACAAGCCAAAAAAGAGATAGAGAGGAAGTCTGAGAGAAACATAGAGGCAAATAAAGGGAAAAGCTCAGAAGCTTGGGTTGAATGTGTGCATTAACTCTGATGTTCATGAATATGACAGAGAGCTCTGAGAGTATTTTCACTTTCTTTTTTAAAAAATTCAGTTTGTTTCCCTTTGGAATTTGTGTATGATGAAGAGACTTTTACTTAAAATTTTACCCATAAATGTTCCACTGTTCATGACCATATTGGCACTGTCTGAAAGTTTATTCCATATTCAAATGTTGCTATATCTTTATTATTATGGAGCTTAAAATGAAATTTCTCAAGAAATCTTGCTGATAGTGAGAGCACTTTATTCTCCATCAGCATTTTGTTTGATTGCTTGTTTTTTAGCAGAATTAAATAAACCAAAGACGGGATCCTGAGGCAGACTATATAAAGAACAAAGGGCAATAATTCCGCTTTTTATGTAAATTTTTATATAATTGGTTTATTCCATTCAAACCCAATTAACAATATAATCACACATTCTCAAAGTCAATTTATGCAGGTACTTTTTAAAACTATAAATGTCAAAAAAGGTAGGGGAAGTATATTTGCTGTATATTTTCTGAGATGTATATATGTGAATTACTAGTATTATTTATAAATAAAATACTCAATAAAAATATATTTATTTCTTTGTACTAATTTTATATATTTATTTATATGCCTATATTTAATATGATCAATGAAATTACTGCCATAAGTGGTGATGATATAGAGGAGTTAATATTTAATTAACAGATCTTAAAAGTTTTAATCAGAAATGTTGACTACACAGAATAAACCTTTATGTCAGAATCATCAGAAAGATTTCTTATATAACCATAGAAATGAATTAAAGCTTTAAACCCAGTTTTAAAGCATTTAATGTTCTAGTTATCCAGAATTTACCTTACATAGTCATTAGAGTTGGGTTTAAAAGATAATATATAAGGGTTCAAAATTTTATTTTATAGTTATTTTGCTTATCTAGATTTTAGATAAGATTTTAGACATAGATTTTAGTTATTTTGGTTATCTAGATAATAAAATAGGAAGATTATTCACTTCTTTTGTTCCATTTGCCCCTGGCAATTTTGGTATGCTGTAAATCAAATACAAAATTATTATAAATTAAATAGCATTTTAGACTTTCATTAAAAATAATAATATGAAAAATAATTTCTCTCTTACCAATATTATAAGAAATTACGGAGATCCTTCAAAAGTGTTAGGCTTTCTAAAGCATAGAAAAATGCATGATAGAACAGAAATGACAATAACACAGGTAGGAATTCTTTGCACACTGATTCATTATGGAGGCTTCATTTTCAATCTTAGGAAAATGTTGCTAACATAAATTTGCTTTCATTACAAGGGTTCACCAATTGTATCTCTTTATTTTTGCCAGGAGAGGATGGTGTGGAGAACTGAAATTCCGCTAAGAACACCTTAGGATTCCCTATAGGGTAAAGTGAAGATCTTCAACTGGGCGTTGTGGATTTAGATGTGTATGAGAAATCCAGATTATCCTACAGGGTATTACAAAGCTCAGAATGGTAAACTTTAAGTCACTGTAGCTAGTTCTGATTTTTACAATTGAAATTACACTTGATGCCACTATTTTCCATAAGTGATGCTTCTGACATTTTATGCAAACTTCAGTTTATATATAAAATTGGATGCTCTGAATGCTTTGATTAGCATGGTCTTACCTGAGCTAGTTAAAACATGATTTTAATAAGACCAAAGATCAAGATTTCCTTCAGAAGCCAACTCCAAGTGAAGTTGTCCTCCTCATGCGAACTACAGCTTAAATTCCGGACATAACAGCTTAGCTTCCAGGTGAGCTGATATCTGATGATAAATTTTACTAGACAAAGCAATCTTGCAATTTATCGCTACCCAGTTCATGCTGTAGGTATGTTTTATAATAAAAATGTTGTCATAGGAGCAATTGGGGAGGTTAGGAACCTTGTAGCCTCTGGCTGCAAGACTCTAGTGCCATAATTTCTAACTTTGTGGTGGTTAGGTCCACGACTATGCTAAATGTCATGCCCAGGGTTAGGTTCCAGCCCATGCTGAGGTTCCGGGGAAGTGGGCGGGTGGCAGATAGCTGAAAGACACTCGGCGGGGTGGTGTAGGCAGGTGAAATGTAGTTTTATTCAGCAGCTTTCTGGTCAGCAGCTCTCTTACACTGTCTGTCTTTATGTCAGCTACCTGTCTTTATGTCAGCTGTCTGTCTTTATGTCAGCTGTCTGCTCCAGCTCTGCAGCTCCTACCGCCCCTGTGCCTGCAGCTGCACTCCCTGGCCTACAAGCTGCACTCCCTGGCCTCTCTCTTTATGGGGAGAGCAGCTTAACTCTTTCACTCTGGGCACAAGCTGGTTCCTAGCTCCCTCCTGCCAACCTTCAAGGCAACTGGCTCTCCCTTACAGGGGTCAGTAGTGTTACTCTCTCTTCAGGTGCATGCAAACTGAGTCTGTGCAGTGTCAGCAGGGCAGTTATACCCTTTTCAAACAATAGTGGCTCCAATCCAAGTATGAGCTTATACAAACAGATTATACAACAAGTGGAGTTATATGCCTGTGCTCCAAACTCATGCAGGCCTAGATGTCCGCCTTAGCCTAATTCCCTGTACCTTATGTTGGCTAATTGGTTAGTTTTACAAAGGGGGTTTGGTTCCCAAGGAAGGAGGGGGTTTTTGTGAGGGGCGGTTATCATCTGTGTTGAAACTATAAACTAGTTCAATTTAAACTAAATTGATACCAAAGTTAGTTCAGCCTACATGCAGGAATGAAGAAGGGTAGTTTGAAGGTTAGATGCAGTGTCTCATTTTCTTATGTCAGATTCACTATCATAATTTTCCTATGTGAGATTTTTCTCATTGTCATAATTTTTGCAAAGATAGTTTCATCTATATTGCAGGGGATTATCCCTTACCTCATAATCCTGAATCTACTAAACATTTGCTTTGTTATGTTTTCACTCCTAATAATAAGAAGAAACTAGACAAATGCCCTATAAAGTCAGTTTCTCCGATTAACCAGGTCTGCTTGCCTTTTTTTTTTTTTTTTTTTTTTTTTTTGAGACAGAGTCTCGCTCTCTTACACAGCCTGGAGTCCAGTGGTGCAACCTCAGCTCACTGCAACCTCCACCTCCCGGATTCAAGCAATTCTCCTGCTTCAGCTTCCTGAGTAGCTGGGATTACAGGCATGCGTCACCACACCTGGCTAATTTTTTTGTATTTTTAGTAGAGGCAGAGTTTCTCCATGTTGGCCAGGCTGGTCTTGAACTCCTGACCTCAGGTCATCTGCTCGCCTTGGCCTCCCAAAGTGCTGGGATTACAGGTGTGAGCCACTGTGCCCGTCCCAGGCCTGCCTTCTTTAACTACATTTACAGGTTGGACAAAATCTGGCTCAGAGCAATGGTGAAAAATGTCCCTGTGATGCAGGATTGTTTTTGCTGTCACTTCACCAGCCAGAGACCTCTGCAGCCAGTGACACCCATGCCTGGGCCTTGCTTGGGTCCTGGGCTTGCTGCAGGAGACACCCCACCCACTCAGCCTGGTGGGCTGTGCTTGCCTTGCCCTCCTGCCTGGATCCTACACTCGCTGCAGAATCCGTGCTTAGCCTGCAGCTGGGCCAGGTGTGCTGTGACCTGTGTCCACCTTAGGAGCCAGCATCTGGACAAGAGGAATGTGATGGCACCTGAACAGAGATTCCCTGAAGCCCCAGAGTGGGTGTTACAACATGCTAATAACTCTTTTAGTCTTGCCATCCACAGCCCAACAAATGGGGCATGTTAACAGCTCTGTCAGTTTCATTGCCCTGCTATGGCCTGCAGCCCTGGGGCTGGGTCCGGCCCTGCCTCTGCTTCCCATTGCAAGGGGCAGCCACTGAGTGCTGGCAGGAGCAGAGGACTATAATCTTACAGGCTTTTTCATACCTGCATTCAGCAAGTCCCTAGTTCTTGTCTCATATCCAAGAAGAATGAGGTTATGCTGACAGCTGATGGGTGCACAAGGTGAAGAGTTTTATTGAGTGACAAACAGCTCTTAGTGGAGAGGTGGACCTGAGTTGGGTACCCCCTTACCTGAAGTCAGAGGGTCTCTCTTCTCTCGCCCATAGGTGGGTAGTCCCTAAGTGTAGCTGAATCAGGTTCTTTTATGGGCTCAGAATGGGGGAGTGCATGCTGATTGGTTTGTGAGTATGCAAAATAGGCTAAAGTCACCACTCAAAGGTGGGCATGACAGTGTAAAAAACCAATTAGGGAAGGGTAGTTATTTGTAAAATAGGTGAAGGGTGAGGATTAATCAGAGGAAAGTGCACCAAATGGGAAGAGAGGTTCTCAATCCAGTCCATGGATTTATCTGAGACTTGTAGCTTGGATTTCAGGCTTTAATCTGTCTTTGGTTTGAAGGTGGGGTTTCATCAGGGACCTTCCCCTGTCTGCCTATGAATTTGTCTGCCTCCTGCTGCTATCACCTGTTCCAAACAAAAGCCCCAGAAATTTTCTGTGAAATTTTGAATTCTTCTTGGATCACATGATCCAGGACTCTGTGATCTTCACCAATTCATTCAAATGATACTGGAAGCTGGTGAAGCTGGTAGCAGAAGCAAAATGTGTGGTACCTAAGATAGGTAGCAAAGATCTACCCCTCAGTCTTCCAGAGAAAGACAAAAAGTGCTGGGAAAATAACAAATAACCTCTTAGAATCCACCCTCAAATTATTTCTTCAACAACTCACTGGTCTGTCATGCAATCTTGTAAAGAAACAAGGATGAACTAGTCTTTGACTCTAAGGAAAGATTAGAAATACTATTTGTAAAACATTCTGGTCAATCCATGTTGAGTGCAGGCACAGAAAATACTTGTCCTATTTATTAATGGGATCCATGCTGAATTCATTGATCTAATTACTAAACAAAGCTGGATTGGGAAGCTGGCCAAATTAATACCCAAAATATTTTGCCTCTCTGGCATAAAGACTATTTCAAGCTGGTTATTTTAAGGTAGCATTAGAAGAGAAATTTAAAGGAATTTCCATTTTTAGGATGTCTCCCTTTCTGGTCCAGAAAGAGATGGAGGACTAAATCACTAAATAATGGAGAAAGAATTGATTCAATCTACACCACAAACCTGACCTTTTTAAGGTGTTTGTCTTGGTTATTTTGTCTTAACTGGGCTTTTACCAACACATTTTTTATTTTTTTGTTTTCACAGATGACTGTACCTAAGCCTGAATTCTAAGCATTGTGCCTTTGTAATATTAAATTTTCTAGCCTGTCTGTGCTAGGGCATGAGGGTAAACAGGTTAAAAATCTATATGCAAATTTCAAGAAGATGACACGTTTGAAAGAAAAAAAAAGGTATTTGTAAATTGGGCAAGTGAAAAATAGTAAAAGTATTTTCCACAAATATTAGTAAAAAGCTTTAGTCAACTGGGCAAGACATCTTAACTTGTTCCAACTACCAGAAACACAATTCAAATCTAGGTATTCTTCTATAAACTAGTGAGTTCAGCATTATTATACCTGACACATGGCTACAGTTTTAGGATAAACACTATAAGATTCGCTTCTTTCTGTATATTTATGTATGTCTATGTATGTTTGTATGCATGACACTTTTCTAACTCTAGATGATACTGCCAAAATTAAATTGTATTTGAACTCTATTTAACTAGCTTATGGAATAATATATACTTATATAAACTAAGAATTCTTTAAACTCTTAGAACAACAAAGACCAACCAAAATATTTTTCAAGTTCACATGATCTAGGATAATCTCTGGTAAATAAAAGCTATTTTAAATTTGCTGGTTTAATTAAAATAGACATCTCTAGAGTTTTTAGCATTAAATATAATACAAGAACACAACTTCCATTCAACATGGGTTTACTAGTCAAATAAGTTTAGGTTATCTTTATCTGATGTTCAGCCTAACACAAAATGTGAAAATTCATGTTTACTTCATATAAATCAAGCACATCAGTAAAATAAAAAACTCATGTACTTGACTTTTAGGTTTTTGCTTTCATGACTGACATGCATGTGCTGTAAATTAACAAAAAGTAATGTGAGATGTTGGCTAGCTGTGTCTACTGTCTCATGGAATTTTCATGACTAATGCACACATAGTTGTTAGGAACAAGTGAATTAGGACTAGCAAGTGGAGCAAGATGGCACAATAAAAGGCTCCACTGACCATCCCCTCACAAGGACCTCAATTTAACAACTATCTACACAAGAAAAGCCCCTTCATAAGAACCAAAAATCAGGTGAGCACCACAGTACCTGGTTTTAACCTTGTATCGCTGAAAGAGGCAATAAAGAAGTTAAAAAAAAAAGTTTTGAATCTCCAAAATTACCCCTCCCCAACCCGTCCGCACTGTCAGCCTGCTGCAGAAAGTGTTTCTGTGTGCTGGGGGAGGGAGAGCACAGCAATTTTTGAACTCAGTGCTGTCCTATTAGAGCTGAAAACTGAACCAAACTCAGCTGATGCTTCCTTATAGAGAAAACATTTAAACCAGCCCTAGCCAGAGGGAAATTGCTGATCCCAGAGGTTAGAATTTGAGTGCCTGCAATCCTAACCACCACAAGCTGAAGTGCTCTGGGGCACTAAATAAATTTGACAGGAATTCTAGGCCACAAGCACTGAAGATCCTAGGCAAGTCCTAGTGCTGGCTGGATCCAGAGTCAGTGGACTGGGGAGACATATCACCTACTGAGACATCGTCCAGGGTGGGTAAAGGGTAAGGGAGTGTCAGCCTTGCCCCTACACTAACCCCAGGCTGCACAGCTCATGCATCCAAAAGAGATTCTTTCCCTCCACTTAAGAAGAAGAGAGGTAAAAGTGAGGAGGACTGTGTCATGCATCTTGGATACTAGCTCAGCCACAGAAAGACAGGGCACCAGTAAGAGTTGCTGGGCCCCCTTTCCAGGTCCTAGCTCCCAGATGAAATTTCTAGACACAACCTTGGCCAGAAGAGAATCCACTGCCATGAAAGGAGGAACCCAGTCCTGACAGGACTCCATCACCTGCTAACAGAAGAGCCCTTGGGCTGTAAATAACCAGAAGCCTCAGTACTATACTGAGGGCCTTGGGAGAGACTCTGAGACTTCTGGCTTCAGGTGAGACTCAGCACATTCCAAGCTGTGGTGGTTATGGGATGAGACTCCCTCTGCTTGAAAAAAGCATAGGGAAAAGTAAAGGGGATTTGGCTTGCACCTTAGGCACTGGTTCAGCCATGGGGGTCGAGCACCTTAAGTGGGTTATTGGGGTTCCTGATTCCAGGACTTGGCTCCTGGACAGGATTTCTGAATAAGCCCTGGCCTGAAGAGGGGCTCACTGCCCTGAAGGGTAAGTCTCAGGGCGGGCAGCACTCACCACAGCTCACTATTTATTTATTTATTTATTTATTTAATTTATTTCAAAACGGAGTTTCACTCTTGTTTCCCAGAATGGAGCGCAGTGGCACTATCTCGGCTCGCTGCAACCTCTGCCTCCTGGGTTCAAGTGATTCTCCTTCCTCAGCCTCCTGAGTAGCTGGGATTACAGGCACCTGCCACCACGCCTAGCTAGTTTCTGTATTTTCAGTAGAGACAGGGTTTCACCATGTTGGTCAGGCTGGTCTCCAACTCCTGACTTTAGGCCGTGGTCCACGCCTGTAATCCCAGCACTTTGGGAGGCCGAGGTGGGTGGATTGCCTAAACACACAGCTGACTTAAAAGCCCTTAGGCCTTAAGAGAATATTGGCATTAATCTGGTAGTACTGCCCATGAGCCTGTAGTTGTGGTCATGGAGTGAGGTTATTATGCCTTTGGAAAGGGGAGAGAAAAGTGGGAAGGACTGTGTCTTGTGGTTTAAATACCAGCTCAGTCATATACAACAGAACACCAGGTACACGTCTAAGATTTTTGCCTCTAGTACCTGGCTCCTGGATGGCAACTGTGGACCTCCCAGGACCTGGGGGAACTGGCAACCCTGAAGGGAAGGACACAAGCCTGAGTGGATTTACCACCTGCTGATTGAAGAGCCCCAGGAGCTTGAGGGAACATAGGTGGTAGCAAAGAAGAAATTAAAGAAGGCCTTGGGCGAGACCTGGTGCTGTGCTGGCTTCAGGTCTCACATAGTGCAGTCCTAAAGGTGGTGGCCACAGGAGTGCTTGGGTCACTCCATCCCCAACTCCAAATGTCTCAGAATAGAGAGAGAGAGAGAGACCTTTTGTATGGGAGAAAGTAAGGGAAGAGAACAAGAGTTTCTGCCTGGTAATCCAGTAAATTATCCCAAATCTTTTTCGAGACCCTTAAGGTGGTACCTTTACAAGACCGCAAGAACCACAGGGTTACTGGGCTTGAGATGCCCCGTAAAACAGATATAGCTTAGATCACAACACTCAAATCTTTTCAAACATCTAGAAAGCCTCCCCAAGAAGAATGGGTACAAAGAAGCCCAGACAATGAAGATAACAATAAATACCTAACTCTTCAATGCCCAGAGACCAAAGAACATCTACTAGCATGAACACTAATAAGGAAAACATGACCTCACCGAATGATCCAAATAAGGCACGAGGGAACCAATCCTGCAGAAATAGAAATATGGAAGCTCTCAGACAGAGAATTCAAAATAACTGTGTTGAAGAAACTCAGGGAAACTCAAAATAACACAAAGAAGGAATTCAGAATGATATCAATGAAATTTAACAAAGAGATTGAAAGAAGTAAAAATAATCAGACAGAAAATCTGGAGCTGAAAAATGCAATTGGCATACTGAAGAATGCATTAGAGCCCTTTAATAGCAAAATGGATTGAGCAGAAAAAAGAATTGAAAACAGGCTATTTGAAAATACACTCGGGGGTCAGACTTGGTGGCTCATGCTTGTCATCCCAGCACTTTGGAAGGCCGAGGTGGGTGGATCGCTTGTGGTCAGAAGTTCAAGACCAGCCTGGCCAACATGATGAAATGCTGTCTCCACTAAAAATACAAAACTAGCCAAGTGTGGTGGTGCATGCCTGTGATCCCAGATACTCAGGAGGGCAAGGCAGGAGAATCACTTGAACCTGGAGGGTGGTGGCTGCAGCGAGCTGAGATCATGCCACTGCACTCCAGCCTGGGCAACAGAGCAAGACTCCATCTCAAAAAGAAAAAAAAAATACACAGCCAGAGGAGACAAAAGATAAAAACAATGAAACATACTGACAGGATCTAGAAAACATCTTCAAAAGGGCAAATCTGTCATTGGCCTAAAAGAGGAGGTAGAGAAAGAGATAGCACTAGAAAGTTTACTCAGAGAGATAATAATAGAAAACTTCCCAAACCTAGAGAAAGATATCAATATTCAAGTATAAGAAGGTTATAGAACAACAAGCAGATTTAACCCAAAGATGACTGCTTCAAGGTATTTAATAGTCACTCAAAAATCAAGAATAAAGAAAGGATCCTAAAAGCAGCAAGAGAAAAGAAACAAATAACATACAATGGAGCTCCAATACATCTGGCAGCAAACTTTTCAGTGGGAATCTTACAACCAGGAGAGAGTGGCATGACACATCGAAAGTACTGAAGGAAAAATAACTTTTACCCTAGAATAGTTTATCTGGTGAAAATATCCTTCAAGAGTTAAGGAGAAATAAAGACTTTCCCAGACAAACAAAATATTTCATCAATACCAGGCCCATCCTACAAGAAATGCTAAAGAGAGTACTTCAATCAGAAAGAAAAGAACATTAATGAGCAATAAATAATCACCTGAAGGTACAAAACTTACCGGTAATAGTAAGTACACAGAAAAACACAGAATAGGATAAAACTGTAATTATGGTGTTTAAACAATTCTAATCCTAAACAGAAAGACTTAACAATGAACCAATCAAAAATAATAACTACATCAACATTTCAAGACATAGTACAATAAGATATAAACAGAAACAACAAAATGTTAAAAGGCAGAGAGATGAAGTTAAGGCATAGAGTTCTTACTAGCTTTCTTCTGATTGTTTGTATGTTTGCTTATATGAAGTATTATGCTATTATCAGCTTAAAATAATGGGTTATAAGCTAGTAGTTGCAAGACTTATGTTAACCTCAAACCAAAAACATAATGGATACATCAAAAATAAGAGGCAAGAATATAAATCATATCACCAGAGAAAATCACCTACAGTAAAGGAAGACAAAAAGGAAGAGAAGACAAGAAAACAACCAAAAAACAAATAAGATGGCTGAAGTAGGTCCTTACTTATCAATAATAACATTGAATGTAAATGAACTGAACTCTCCAATCAAAAGACATGAAGTGGCTGAATGGATAAAGAAACAAGACACGTTGATCTGTTGCCTACAAAATACACATCTTACCTATAAAGACACACATGGACTAAAAACAAATAGATGAACAAAGATATTTCATCCCCCCTTAAAAAAACAAAAAAGAGCAGGAGTGTCTGTACTTATATCAGACAAAATAGATTTTAAGACAACACTATATGAAGAGATGAAGAAGGTTACTATATAGTGATAAAGGGGTCAATTCAACAAGAAGATATAACAATTTTAAATATATATGCACCCAACAGAGGAGACCCACATATACAAAGCAAAAAATATTAAAGAAAGAGCTAGGCCCCAATACAATAATAGCTGGAGATTATGATACCCCACTTTCAGCATTGGACATATCTTCCAGACAGAACATCAACAAAGAAACATTGAGGTTAATCTGCACTATAGACCAAATGGATATAACAGATATTTACAGAACATTTCACCTAACAGCTACACAATATACATTCTTTCCTCACCACATACATTATTGTCAAGGATAGACCATATGTTAGGTTACAAACATGTTTTAAAATATTCAAAAAATTGAAATATTATCAAGTATCTATTCTGAACACTATGGAGTAAAACTAGAACTTAAATATCAGGAGGAATTTTGGAAACTATACAATCACATGGAAAATAAACAATATGCTCCTGAGTGACCAGTGAGTCAATGCAGAAATTAAAAAGGAAATCACAAAATTTCTTGAAACAAATGATAATGGAAACACAACATACCAAAACCTGTCTGATATACCAAATGCAGTACTAAGAAGGAAGGTTATCGCTATGATTGCCTACATCAAATAAGAGAAAAAACTTCAAATAAACAATTTAATGATGCATCTTAAAGAACTGGACAAGCAAGAGCAAACTAAACCCAAAATTAGTAGAAGAAAAGAAATGATAAAGATTAGAGCAGAAATGAATGAAATTGAAATGCAAAAAATACAAAAGACTAATGAAACAAAAAGTTGGTTTTTTAAAAAAATAAACAAAATTTACAAATCTTTAGCCAAACTGAGGAAAAAAGAGAGAAGATTCAAATAAATAAAGTCAGAAATGGAAAAGGAGACATTGCAATTGATACTGCAGAATTTCAAAGGATTATTAGTGCCTACTATGAGCAACTATATATATATATATATATATATATATATATATATATATATATATATATATATACCAATAAATCAGAAAACCTGGAAGAAATGAACAAATTCCTAGATACATACAACTCACCAAAACTGAACCAGGAAGAAATTCAAAACCTGAACAGACCTATAACAAGTAACAATATTGAAGCCATAATACAAAGTCTTCCAGTAAAGAAAAGCCTGGGACCGGATGGCTTCACTGCCAAATTCTACCAAAGAGAACTAATACCAATCCTGCTCAAACTATTTCAAAAAATAAAGGAGGAAGGAATACTTCCAAACTCATTGACAAGGCCGGTATTACCTTCATACCAAAACCAGATATCAAAAAAAAAAAATTAACAGGAGAATATCTCTGATGACTATTGATGCAAACATTCTCAACAAAATATAAGCAAACCAAATTGAAAAATATGTGATAAAGTTCATTCATCATGACCAAGTGGGATTTGTCCCAGGGATGCAAAGGTGGTTCAACATACACAAATCAATCGATGTGATACATCATATCAAGAGAATGAGGACAAAAACAGTATGATTATTTCAATTGATGCTGAAAAAATATTTAATAAAATAAAACATCCCTTTATGATAAAAACCTCATGAAACTGGGTATAGAAGGAACATACCTCAATATAGTGAAAACCATATACAACAGACCCACAGATAGTGTCATACTGAATGGGGAATAATTAAAAGTTTTTCTCTCAGATCTTGAAAATGACAAGGATGCCCGCTTTTGCCACTGTTATGTAATAGTACTGGAAGTCCTAGCTACAGCAGATGAGAGAAAGAAAGAAAGGGTATCCAAATTGAAAAGAAAGAAATCAAATTATCCTTGTTTTCAGTTGATATGATCTTCTATTCAAAAAACCTAAATACTTCCCTTAAGAAAGCATGAGAACTGATAAAAAATATTCAGTAGATTTTCAGGATACAAAATCCTAGAAAATAAAGTTACTGAGAATTGAGAATTCTAGTTAATGTACGGTAATTAAAACTGCTAAAGAACATGAGAAACAACCCTGTATGCAAAGTAAGCAAGTAAAGTAAGAAATGTTTTTTTATAAGAAAAGCCACCAGGTATGAGGATATGTGGGTTTTTTTTTTTTTTTTTTTTTTTAAGTGGAGTAATATTGTCTAGTTTGGATGATAGCTAAAAGCTGTTTCAGAATAGATGATGAAAGACAAAAACCAAATGAATGCAGAAAGTTGGAAGAGAAAGAGAATCTTTTGCAGTTAAGTTGCCAGAATTCAAGTTATTATGAGTTTTTAAAATGAGTCTTAATATTAAAACTAAACTAATCAAAAATATAATTTGGTCTTTTCAATTAAAATCACAAAGTTTGAACAACGTGTTGGTCTGCTCTTACTAGACACTGGTTAAGTTTTCTCTTGGCCCTTTAAGTACTTGGCCTGTGAAACAAAAAGATTTTATGTTTTATCAAGATGATGTTCTGTGATCCATATTATCTTTAGCCAGTATCTGATTACTTAAGAAAACTGAGTTTTCTCAATATTAAAACAGATAACTTTTTTGTTTTTTTTCACAATAACATAATTTTTTTCTATTTGCCTTTGAAATCTTTGTCATTTTGGTATTCTTTCAATTTGTGACTATATTTAACCAATTATTGCAGGTCAAGACAAATGGTATGTTCTTACTGTGACATCACAGCCTGGGGAGTTAGCCTGGAGAGGCTATGATGTCTAATTAAAGATTAAAGTCTAATATGAGATTATTTATTAAAGGTCCTAACATGGCCAAATTAAAAAGAGATGGTCAGTCGCTATTTTTACTGCACTTATACTCAAGTCCTTATTAGATGACCTAGACTATTTTAGCATTTAATGCATTTATAAAGCCACATTGAATAACATACGACTTTGTAAAATATTTTTATTTTCTTTCTGCTAATATTATTCAATTATGATATGAACATGATTAAAATTTCTTAAGTGCTATTGAATAACATTAGGGATATATTTATTAGTTTAATAGGTACTAAAACCTTAGGCCATTAAAGTGCTAGGACTTTGCATCATCTTTGAATGCTGGCAAGACATAGACACCTCTAACTTGCACAATCTTGGGACAATTTTAGTAAATAGAGAAGAGAGATTGTATGAGATCTAAACATTGCTTTTGAACATTTTTGTGAATGAAGCTATTACTTGCTTGTTTCTCAGGCTGTAGATCATGGGATTTAATAAAGGAACTATGACAGTGTAAAATAGAGACTCCATCATATCTTGGTCATCTGCTTGCGGAGATGCAGAGCCCAGATATTTGAAGGTGAGGGGGCCATAGTATAAAGATACAGATAAGAGATGAGCCCCACAGGTGGAGACAGCTTTTCGTATCCCTTTGATAGACTTCTTTTCTAAGATTGTAAAGAGGATAATTGTATAAGATATAAGAATAGTTCCAATGGTAAAAACTTGAACAGAACCTGCGAAAATAAAAACCATTAGAAAGTTAATAGAGGAATCAGTACAGGAAATCTTTAACAATGGGATAATGTCACAGTAAAAGTGTTGTATTATGTTGGAATTACAGAAGGTTAATCTGAATGAAAAAGCTTCATGGATTAAAGCATGAAGAAGGCCACCTATAAATGACAAGACTAATAGCTGAATGCATAGTTCATTGGTCATAATGACTGGATAAAGTAAAGCTTTGCAAATGGCTACATAGCGATCATATGCCATTGTTGCCAAGAGAAAACATTCTGTGGTTACAGTGGTTACAAGGGAAAAAAATTGTACCATGCATTCAGAGAGAGATATCATCTTACTCTTAGCTAAGAAGTTGATCAGCATCTTCGGAGTCACTGTGGATGATAACGAAGCATCCACAAAGGCTAAACTCCCAAGGAATAAGTACATTGGGATATGAAGGTGAGGGTCTTTCCAGATGAGAACAATTAGACCAAGATTCCCCATGATGGTGATGAGATATATTACCAAGAATGCCAGGAAGAGCGGTATTTTACAGTCAGGTTGATGTAAAAATCCTGTGAGAACAAACTCTGTCAGCAATGTTGCATTTTCCTCTTCCATCTCCTCACTGCATGTCCTCTGAAAAATGAAGCAAAGGTAAAGGAACATTTGCAATGGAATTGTGAGTTGAAATTGGGGAAGAGGTGTTGAAATAAACTATGTAATTATCGAGCCCTCTTAATTTTTTTTGATCAGTGCTATAATTGATGAACCCTATATTTGAGGATTTAAATACATGGAAATAATAATGAATTTGGTTTGAAAATTGTGTAGGAGTTAACAGACTGAGAGTTAAAAAGACGCATTATCTGAATGTACTAAATTTTTGTGGACTCTACTGAATGTAATGAAAAAAATCTGTCTGGGACATGGATGTAGGGTGAAGGAAAAAAGATATTTGAAAGACGCAGGTTAAAATAAATGGAATGAATGCAATGTGAAGAATCTCAAATTTTATTCTTCACACAATAAACATGCACCAAATATTTTAGGATACAAAATGGCATCATGATATATTTTTAAAATTTAGTTCTTGGTAGTGTAAAAGTATGCTGCAGAAAGGAAACAGTGATTCAGGAGTCCTAATTAGAAACTTGATACTAAGGTCAAAGGGATCCCAAATTAGATTACACATGAGAATCATCTGGGAGAGTATTTTTTAATGAAAAATACAGATTGTGAGGTTTTATTGTAGAAATTGATGATTTCAGGAATGAGGTCTAGGAATCTGTATTTTGGAAATACCCTCAAGTGATTGAAATGCATGTGAAGTCTCTAGTCCCAGTTTGAAATGACACTGGAAGACGTGGTAGGACAAATGAATAGATTCAAAGGAATTCGAAATGTAGAGTCTCTAGTATTCTGTGACATATTCAGTTTGAAGTATGTGGTCAGTGAAGGAGAGAGAAGTCACTTGGTGACTAGATAGGTGGACATTAAACATTTAGGATGAGAACTCAAATTGCTGGCAAGTTTTTGGAGTGAGCATCACATCTGAACAACTAGGTGAGATTCAATCAGTAATATGGGTCTATTAGAGCTTAATAGAAGTAATTACCTGGAATCATTGTAGTATTTGAAGGCATCATTAGAAATGATGTACAAAGTGGATATAATCTTTTATAAGATGGTCAAGATCTAATCCTCTTTTTTGCCACCCAAGTCTTGGGGGCTTTCTGAGGTTACCTATTGCTATTGCTCTAGAAGCCAAAAGGATTAGAAAGTCATTTTCCCATTCTTCTTGCCTGTAGAGAGAAGAAACAGTGACCTAGGACGGCAATGAAACACATTGATCCTACCTTTGGAATATGGATAGAAGAAGAAAAGTGGATCAAAAGTGGATTTTAGTTGTAAATTCAGCCATGACAGAAATACCATGAATCCACTGAATGCATCCTTCATCTATATCAATAACACATACAGTGTGAGCTGTCAAATTATGGCCAGAAGTGTGTATATGAATACAAAAGTTAATTTTTAAGTGACTAGCCTTAAGAGTTTTAGTCCGAGAATGTGCATAATTAAAAACAATGAGTATTTTTATCAGAATAATCTGAAAAAAATTCTTAGAATCATTATGATAAAACCAGTCTCATTTGTTTAATGTCCTACAGCATCACAAATTGTCATATAACATCATAATAAGGTTAACAAAAAATAAAATATCATTAAAGAAACAATGTTGTCTTATAACTATTTATCCTATCCATATCATAGTCATGAAGCTAAAATATAGAGATAAGCCAGTAATAGCTATCGAATTTCAACCTGGCTATTTTGACAGCTTGTGTACCCAATCTAAAATTATGGTAAGTTAAGTAGCATTTTCAACATTTCTACAAAGTATAATGAAAATTATAGATATTTTTTCTTTCTCACCCATATTTGGAAAGAAATTTAGGAGATCCTTTAAAACCATTAGGCTTTCTAAGACAGAAAAAATATAATTGCACAGGAATGAAGATAACACAGGTAGCAATTCATTGCGTATCCATTCTTTATGGTGGCTTCTTTCCCCAAGCTCAGGAAACTGCTGTTTATATAAATTTGGATTAAACAGAAGAGTCATTCAGTTGTACAACTCTGTAGTTTTGCCAGAAGATGATGGAGTGGAAAACTGAAATTCTCATAAGAGTGCCAAAGGAATCCCCACGGAACAAACTGAAGCTGTTCTAGTGTGCATTTTGCATTTGGACATATGTGAGAAGCCCAGATTGTCCCAAAGGACATTACAAACTTCTGGAAACATAAACATCATTTCATTGTGGACAATTCTAGTTTTAACAATTGAAATAATATTTTATGCACTATTAACCACCACAGATGACACTTCTGTCATGTTTGTACAAACTTTAGTTTACATATGAAAATTACTCAGTGCTTTGATTAGTATAATCTTGTCTGAGGTAATCAAAACATAATATTAATAAGGCCAAAGTTTCTGATTCCCTTCAGAAGCCAAACCTAAATACAATTGTCTTCCCCATGAAAATTGCAGCTCAAATTTTAGACACATACTTAGTTCTCCCATTTTATGATAAAATATGATGGGAAATCTTATTAAAGGCCAAGGGATGAGCCAATGAAAAACAAAGACAAGGACTGCAGTGGGAGGTGCCCTAGAACTTTGCTTCTCAAATTATAATAGCTAAGACCTCTCTAAATGCAGATTCTATTTTAATAATTCTGGTGTGAGTTTTCCAGGAGCCTTTATTTCCAAAAAAAAGTAATGTCCATGGACATTTGCCATCCAACAGGCCTTCATCATGGGAGGACCTGGATTATCAGAGAACCTTGATCATTGGAGAAACAATAAATAGCAAATGTGGTGGGTATGCAAAGAGAGAAGCAGGGGACGACCAGATTTGTTCAGGGAGTCCAGCATGAGTAGGTTTTTGAGGGATCTTTGGGGGTAGCTCAGGGCTTTGTTCTTTACCCCAACTTACAGAAAAATCATTGATGGATTTTTGAAGGATTTTGAAAATGGAGGTAGCATGTTCAGAATTTTTCTTTAGTGCATTAATAGAGCAATATGTTAATGAGCATTCATTCAGAAAATAAAATCTAATGTACTTATTTATAATATTTATATTCATATTTAAATTTTCTTGGCAGTGAAAGGACTCTTTAAAGAAAAAAAAAAACTTCCTCTTGGAAAATGGTAGGATAGGAAGGTCTACTGCTCTCTCCCCTGTCCACCTGCACTGCCATGCAAGGACACCAAGTTCATACCCATCTACTCAGAAAAAAATACCTTCATTAGAACCAAAAGTCAAATGAGCACTCACAATATCTGGTTTTAATGTCATAGCTCTGAAAAAAACACTGAAATGATAGGAAAAAACAGTCCTGAATCAGTAACACCACATCTCTCCCACCCACCAGCAGCAGCATGGTGCTGAGGGACTCACTGGGCCTGTGGGAGGGAGAACAGAGCTATTGTCAGGTATTGAACTCAGTGCTGTCCTATTAGAGCAGAAAGGAAAACTAGACCAAACTCAGCTGAAGTTTGCCCACAGAGGGGACACTGAGACCATCCCTAGCCAGAGGGGAATCACTGATCCCAGTGGTCCAAATGAGAGTAGGCAAACCTCACCATCAAGGGCCAAAGTGCTCTTAGTCTCTAATTTGAAAGGCAGTCTAGGTCATAAGGACTGCAACTTGTAGGCAAGTCCTAGGGGAGAACCAGGCCCAGAGACAGTGGACTGGCGGGGGCACATATAATATACTGAGACACCAGCTGGAACAGCTAAGGGAGAGCTGGCATCACCCCTTTCCTAGCTGTCCAGGCTGCACAGCTCACAGATCTAAAAGAGACTACTTCCTTCAGCTTAAGGAAAGGAGAGGAAAGAGAGGGGAGGACAGTGTCTTGCATTCATGGATACCAGCTGAGCCACACCAGTATAAGGCACTGGTCACAGTCAAGAGGCTCCCATTCCAGGTCCTGTCTTCCAGATGACATTTCTAGACACACCCCGGGCCAGAAGAAGACCCAGTACCTAGAAGGAAAAGACCTAGTCTTGGCAGCATTCATCAACTGCTTACTGAAGAGCCCTTGGGCTCTGAATAACCTGTAGTGATACCCAGGTACTACATCAAGGGACTTCATGAGCCTCTGACACTTGCTGACTTCAGGTGAGACTTAGCACATTATGAGCTGTGTTGGCTATGGGACAAAATTTCTTCTGCTTGAGAAAAACAGAGAGAAAAGTAAATGGAGCTTTGTCTTGCACCTTAGGTACGAACATCACCACAGTTGGGTAGAGCACCAAGCTGGCTCTTTAGGTCCTCAATTCTAGCAGTTGACTCTTCAACAATATTTCTAGACTTTCCCTGGGCTTGAGGGGAGCCCACTGCCTGAAGGGTGAGTCTCAGGCTAGGCAGCTTTACCACAAGCTGATTTAAGAGTCCTTGGGCCTTAAGGGAACATCCAGGGTAGTCTTGCAGTACTCCTTGTGACCAGGGGTGGCAGTGGCAACAGGTGGAGGCTCCTCTGCCTTTGGAAAGGGGAGGGAAAAGGGGTAGAATTGTGTCTGTGGTTTGAGTGCCAGCTCAGCCGCAAACAATAGAATACCATGTAGACTTCCAAGGATTTTGACTCTAGTCGCTGACTCCCAGATGGCACTTCTGGACCCATCTGAGATTAGGGGGACCTTGCCTCCTGAAGGGAGGGACACAGGTTGGGCTCGCTTTGCCACCTTCTTATTGTAGACCCCCAAGGCCTTGAGTGAAAATAGGCAGTAGCCAGGGAGTGGTTACAGCAGGACCCGGATGGGACCCAGAGCTGTGCTGTCTTCAAGTCTGACCCAGTGCAGTCATAGTGCTGGTGGCCCCAGGGGTGCTTGCATCAGTTTACTCCAGCTTTAGGTGGCTCAGAACAGAGAGAGAGAATGGCTGTTTGTTTGAGGAAAAATAAGGGAAGAGAGCAAGAAATCTCCTGGATCTTGTTCAAGACCATCAAGGTAGTACCTCTATTATTCTGCAAGAAATGCAGCATTACTAGGCTTGAGGAGCCTCCTAAAGCACATACAGCTTAGATGACAATGCTGAAGTTCTTTCAAATAACTGGAAAGCCTTCTGAAGTAAGACATCTACAAATAAGCCTAGACAGTGAACACTACAATAAATGCCTAACTCTTCAATGCACAGACACTGAAGAACAGCTACTAGCATCAACTCTATCCAGGAAACAAGACCTCACCAAATGAACAGATTAGGCACCAGTCCTGGAGAAACAGCGATATGGAACTTTTCAGACAGAGAATGCAAAATAACTGTGCTGAGGAAACTCAAAGAAATTCAAGATAACTCAGAGAAGGAGTTCAGAATTCTATCAGAAAAATTTAACAAAGAGATTGAAAGAATTAAAAAGAATCAAGCAGAAATTCTAGAGCTGAAAATGCAATTAACATACTAAAGAACACATCAGAGCCCTTTAATAGCAGAATGGATTGATCGGAAGAAAGAATTAGTGAGCTTGAAAACAGTATATTTGAAAATACACAATCAGAGGAGACAAAAGAAGAAAGAACAAAAAACAGTGAAGTGCACTGACAGTATCTAGAAAACAGCCTCCAAAGGGCAAATCTAAGGGTTATTGGCCTTAAAGAAGAGGTAAAAAGAGAGATAGGGGTAGAAAGTTTACTCAAAGGGAGACTAACTGAGAACTTCCCAAACCTAGAGAAAGATATCAATATTCAAGTACAAGAAGGTTATAGAACCTCAAGCAAATTTAACCCAAAGAAGACTGCTTCAAGGTATTTGATAATCAAGGACCCAAAGATAAAGGATAAAGGATCCTAAAAGCAGCAAGAGAAAATAAACAAATGACATACAATGGCTCTCCAATACATCTGGCAGCAGACTTTTCAATGGAAACCTTACAGGCCAGAAGATAGTCACATGACATATGAAAGTGCTGAAGGAAAAAACGTTTTACCCTACATTAGTATATCTGGTGAAATTATTTTTCAAACATGAAGGAGAAATAACTTTCTCAAACAAACAAGCTGAAGGATTTCATTAATACTAGACCCATCCTACAAGAAATGCTAAAGAGAGTATTTTAATCAGAACAAAAAGGACATTAAAAAGCAGTAAATAATCATCTGGAGGTAGAAAACTTACTGATAACAGTAAGTACACAGAAAAAAAAACACAGAATATTATAGCACTGTAACTGTGGTGTGTAAACTATGCTTATGCTAAGTAGAAAGACTAAACAACAAACCAATAAAAAATATAAGGTATGAGGATACAAAGGCAGAGGAATGACACAATGGATTTTGGGGACTCAGGGGAAAGGGTGGGAAGAGGATGAGAGATAAAAGACAACAAATTGTGTGCAAGGTATACTGCTCAGGTGATGGGTGCACCAAAATATCACAAATCACCATTGAAGAATGTACTCGTGTAACCAACAGCACCTGTTCCCCAATAACTGATGGAAATAAAAAAAAAAATTAAAAAAAAATAACTACAACTTTTCAAGACATAGTCAACAAGATAGTACATAAATAGAAACAACAGAGAGTTAAGAAGCAGGAGGGCTAACTTATGGTGAGTATTTATTTATTTATTTATTTTTTGCTTATTTGTTTGTTTATGCAAATAGTATTGTTATTAGGTTAAAATAATGGGTTGTAGATGGAAATAAATGAACTATTTTCAAGCCCTGTGGTAACCTCAAGCCAAAAAGCACACACCAGATACAGAAAAAATAAAAATCAAGAAACTAAATCATATCACCAGAGAAAATCATTTTCATTAGAGGAAGACAGGAAGGAAAGAAAGAAAAAAGAGAAGACCACAAAATAAGCAGAAAACAAATGAAAAATGGTAGGAGTAAGTTGTTACTTATCAATAATAATATTAAATGTATTACAAATGGGCTAAACTCTCCAATCAAAATATGGAGTGACTGAATAAATAAAGAAACAAGACCCATTGATCTGTTGCCCACAGAAAACACACTTCACCTACAAAGACACACATAGACTGAAAACAAAGGGAAGAATAATAATATTTTATGCCAATGGAAATCAAAAGAGAGCAGTAGTCACTATACTTATATCAGACAAAATAGATTTCAAGACAAAAACTATAAGAAAAGTGAGTTACTATATAATGATAAAGGAATAAATTCAGCCTAAGGATATAACAATTTTAATTATATATGCACTCAACAGTGGAGCCCCAGATAGATAAAGCAAATATTACTAGAGCTAAAGGCAGAAATAGGCCCCAATACAATAATAGCTGACATTACAACTGATACTGCAGAAATTTAAAGCATCATTAGTGCCTACTATGAGCAATTATATGCCAATAAATTGGAAAACCTGGAAGAAATGAACAAATTCCTGGACAAATTCAATTTACCAAGATTGAACCAGGAAGAAATCCAAAACCTGAACAGACCAATAACAAGTAACAATACTGAAGCTGTAATAAAAAGACATCCAGTAAAGAAAAGCCAGGGATCTGATAGCTTCACTGCTGAATTCTACCAAACATTTAAAGAACTAATACCAATCCTACTCAAACTATTTCAAGAAATAGACAAGGAACCTCATTTGACAAGACCAGAATTATTCTGATACCAAAACCAAACAAATACACATCAAAAAAAAGAAAACTACAGGACAATATCTCTGGTAAATATTGATCAAAAATCCTCAACAAAATATTAGCAAACTGAATTCAACAATACATGATAAAGATCATTCATTATGACCAAGTGGGATTTATCCCTAGGATGCAGGTATGGTTCAGCATCCACAAATCAATCAACATGATACATCATATCAACAGAATGAAGAATAAAAACCATATGATCATTTCAATTGATGCTGAAAAACCATTTGATAAAATTCAACATCACTTTATAATAAAAACCCTCAAGAAATTGGGTATACAAGGAACATACCACAACATAATAAAAGCCATATACAACAGACTCACAGTCAGTATCATACTGAATGGGGAGCAACTGAAAGCCTTTCTGTCAGGCCTTTGAGCCCACGCTAAGCCATCATATCTCCTGTGACCTGCACTATACATTCGGATGGCCTGAAGTAACTGAAGAATCACTAAAGAAGTGAAAATGGCCTGTTCCTGCCTTAACTGAAGACATTACTTTGTGAAATTCCTTCTCCTGGCTCAAAAGCTCCCCCACTGAGCACCTTGTGTCCCCCGCCCGTCTGCCAGAGAACAACCCCCTTTGACTGTAATTTTCCACTACCTACCCAAATTCTATACAATGGTCCCACCCCTATCTCCCTTTACTGACTCTCTTTTTGGACTCAGCCTGCCTGCACCCAGGTGATTAAAAAGCTTTATCGCTCACACAAAGCCTGTTTGGTGGTCTCCTCACACAGACGCGTGTAACACTTTCCTCTCAGATTTGGAACATGACAAGGATGTTTACTGTCACCACTGTTATTCAATATAATACTGGAAGTACAATCATAGAGGAAAAGGTATAAAGGGCATCTAAATTGGAAAGGAAAAAGTGAAATTATCCTGCTTGCAGATGATATAATTATGTATTTGGAAAAAATGAAAAATTCAAAAAGAAAATTATTAGAACTGGTAAACAAATTCAGTAAACTTGCAGGATACAAAATCAACATACAAAAATAAGTAGCATTTCTATATAGCAACAGTGAACAATATGAAAAAGAAATTCAAAAGTAATCACAGTTACAGTAGCCACATGTAAAATTAAGTATTTAGGAATTAACCAGAGAAGTGAAAGATCTCAATAATGAAAGCTATAAAACATCGATGAAGGCAGTTAAAGATGACATCAAAACATGAAAAGATATTTTATGTTCATGGATTGGAAGAATCAATATTGTTAAAATGTCCACACTGCCAAAAGCAATCTATAGATTCAGTGCATTGCCTATCAAAATACCAATGACATTCTTCAAAGAAATAGAAGAAACAATTCTAAAATATATATAGAATGACAAAAGAAAACCCAGAATAGCCAAAGCTATCCTAAGCTAAGAGAACAAAACTGGAGGAATCATGTTACCTGACTTTAAATATACTACAGAGCTATAGTGTTGTGGGAAGACAGGGACCCTGAATGGAGGGACTGGCTGGAGCCGTGGCAGAGGAACATAAATTGTGAAGGTTTCATTTTAATATGGACATTTATCAGTTCCCAAATAATACTTTTATAATTTCTTATGCCTGTCTTTAATCTCTTAATCCTGTTATCTTCATAAACTGAGGATATACGTCACCTCAGGACCACTGTGATAATTGTGTTAACTGTACAAATTGATTATAAAACGTGTGTTTGAACAATATGAAATCAGTGCACCTTGAAAAAGAACAGAATAACAGCAATTTTTAGGGAACAAGGGAAGACAACCATAAGGTCTGACTGCCTGCAGGGTCGGGCAAAAAGAGCCATATTTTTATTCTTGCAGAGAGCCTATAAATGGACGTGCAAGTAGGCAAGATATCACTAAATTCTTTTCCTAGCAAAGAATATTAATATTAATATCCTCGGAAAGGAATGCATTCCTGCAGGAGGTCTATAAATGGCCGCTCTGGGAATGTCTGTTGTTTAAGATGTTTATCAAGGCAATACGTGCACCACTGAACATAGACCCTTATCAGTAGTTCTGCTTTTGCCCTTTGCCTTGTGATCTTTGTTGGACCCTTATCAGTAGTTCTCCTTTTCGCCCTTTGAAGCATGTCATCTACTCCCCATTCTTACATCCCTTCCCCTTTTGAAACCCTTAATAAAAAACTTGCTGGTTTGAGGCTCAGGTGGGCATCACAGTCCTACCGATATGTGATGTCACCCCTGGTGGCCCAGCTGTAAAATTCCTCTCTTTGTACTCTTTCCCTTTATTTTTCATCCAGCCAACACTTATGGAAAATAGAAAGAACCTATGTTGAAATATTGGGGACAGGTTCCCCTGATACTATAGAAAAAAAAAAACCCAGCACGGTTGACATAAAAATAGACACACAGACCAATGGAACAGAATAAAGAATCCAGAAACAAATGCACACATCTACAGTGAACTCATTTTCAACAAAAATTCCCAGAACACATACTGGAGAAAGACAGTCTCATCAATACATGGTGCTCAGAAAACTAGATATGCATAAGCAAAAGAAAAAAACTAGACCCCTATCTCTCACCATATAGAAAACTGAAATCAAAATGGATTTAAAACTTAAATTCAAGACTTCAAACTATGAAACTACTAAAGAAAACATTGGAGAATATATCCAGAACATTGGGCAGGGCAAAAATTTTTTGAGTAACAACCCAGAAGCACAGCAAACTAAGCAAAAATGGACAAATGACACCACATCAAGTTAAAAAGCTTCAGCACAGCAATGGATACAAGCATCAAAGTGAAGAGACAACCCAGAGAATGGGAGAAAATATTTACAAACTACCCATCTGACAAGGGATTAATAGCCAGAATATATAAGGAGCTCAAACATCTCTATAGGAAAAAAATTGAATAATCTGATTTTTAAAATGGGCAAAAGATTTGAATACACATTTCTGAAAAGAAGTCATATGAATGAAAAACAGGCATTTGAAAGGTGCTCTACATCATATTGATCATTAGATAAATGCAAATTAAAACTACAATGAGATATCATCTCACTCCAGTTAAAATGGCTTGCCTCCAAAAGACAGGCAATAATAAATGCTGGCAAGGATGTGGAGAAAAGAGAACCCTTATACACTGTTGTTGGGAATGTAAATTAGTATAAACACTATGGAGAACAGTTTGGTGGTTCCTCTAAAAACTGAAAATAGAGCTACCATATGATGCAGTAATTCCACTGCTGGATATATACTCCCCCAAAAAGGAAAGCAGTATATTGAATAGATATCTGCATGCACATATGTGTTGCAGCATGGTTCACAATAGCCAAGATTTGGAAGCAACCTAAGTATCCATCAACAAATGAATGGATAAAGAAAATGTGGCATGTATACCCAACGAGTCTCAATTCAGCCATAAAAAAGAATGAGACGCTGTCATTTCCAACAACATGGATGGAACTGGAGATCATCATGTTAAATGAAATAAGTCAGGTAAAGAAAGACAAACATCACACATTCTCACTTACTTGTGGCATCTAAAAACCAAAACAATTGAATTCATGCACACAGAGAGTAGAAGAATGTTAACCAGAGGCTGAGAAGGGTATTGGGTATTTCAGGGGCACTTGGGGATGCTTGATGGATACAAATAATAGATAGAAAGAATAAATAAGACCTACTATTTGATATCACAAAAGGGCGACTGTAGTAAATAATTTTTAAAAACTATTTATTAAGCTTTAAGTTCTGGGATACATGTGCAGAAAGTTCCGGTTTGTTACATATGTATACATGTGCCATGGTGGTTTGCTGCACCCATCAACCCGTCATCTAGGTTTTAAGCTCTGCATGCATTAAGTATTTGTCCTTATGCTCTCCCTCCCTACGGCCCCCACACCCCAACAGGCTCTGATGCTTAGTGTTACCCTCCCTGTGTCCATGTGTTCTCATGGTTTAACTCCCACTTATGAGTGAGAACATGCAGTGTTTGATTTTCTGTTCTTGTGTCAGTTTGCTGAGAATGATGGTTTCCAACTTCATCCATATCCCTGCAAAGGACATGAACTTGTTCTTTTTTGTGGCAGCATAGTATTCCATGGTGTATATGTGCCACATTTTCTTTATCCAGTCTATCATTGATGGGCATTTGGGTTGGTTCCAAGTCTTTCCTATTGTGAATAGCACTTCAATAAACATACAAATGCATGTGTCTGTATAGTAGAATGATTTATATTCCTTTGGGTATATACCCAGTAATAGGATTTCTGGGTCAAATGGTATTTCTGGTTCTAGATCCTTGAGGAATCACCACACTGTCTTCCACAATAGCTGAACTAATTTACACTGCCACCAACAGTGTAAAAGCATTCCTATTTCTCCACATCCTCTCCAGCATCTGTTGTTTCCTGACTTTTTAATGATCGCCATTCTAATTGGGGTGAGATGGTATCTCACTGTGGTTTTGATTTGCATTTCTCTAATGACCAGTGATGATGAGCCTTTTTTCATATATTTCTTGGCCACATAATGTCCTCTTTTGAGAAGTTCATATCCTTTGCCCACTTTTTGATGGTATTGCTTGTTTTTCTCTTGTAAATTTGTTTAAGTTCCTTGTAGATTCTGGAGATCACACCTTTGTCAGATGGATAGATTGCAAAAGTTTTCTCCTATTTGCTAGGTTGCCTCTTCACTTGTATGTTTAAAAATAACTGAAAGAGTATAAGTGGATTATTTGTAACACAAAAAAAATGTGTAAAAGGATATATACTCTATTCTCCATGATATGATTATTAATACCCAGTATTTGGTAGACAGAAGGTTTACTATAGTCAAAATAATTTAATTGTACATTTTACAATTACCAAGAAATACACTTGGATTGTTTGTATCACTAAGGATAAATGGTTGATGGGATGGATACCTCATTTTCCATGATGTGATTATAACATGTTGCATACCTATATCAAAATATCTCATGTACCCCATGTATATATATATGAATATATATGTACCCACAAGTATTAAATATATAATATATATAATATAGAGAGAGAGACTAACACATCAATAAAGACACAAATGCATGTGTCTGTATAGTAGAATAAGTATAAATATATAAAAAAATACTCTGGGGTACATATATACATATACATACATGTACATATATACACATATATACATATACATACACACACTCACATACATATATATATGTATCCACAAGTATTAAAAATAAAAATTTTAAACTTTTAAGTTCAGGGGTACATGTGAAGGTTGTGCAGGTTTGTTACATAGGTAAACGTGTGTCAAGGGGGTTTGCTGTACAGATTATGTCACCAGCCAGGCATTAAGCCCAGATTTCATTAGTTATTTTTTTGATATTCTCCCTCCTCCCACCCTCCATCCTCCAATAGGTCCCAGTGTGTGCTGTTCCCAACTAAGTGTCCATATATTCTCATCATTTAGCTCCCACTTATAAGTGAGAACCTTGTAGTATTTAGTTTTCTGTCTCTCCATTAGTTTGCTAAGGATGACGGCCTCCTGCTCTATCCATGTTGCTGCAAAGGACACGGTATCATTCCTTTCTATGACTGTATAGTATTCCATGGTGTATATGTACTGCATTTTCATTATCCAGTCTATTATTGATGAGCATTTAGGTTGATTCCATGTTTTTGCTATGTGATTAATGCTGTAATGAACATACACATGTATGTGTCTTCATAATAGAACAATTTACATTCCTTTGGGTATACCCTCAGTAATTGGATTGCTGGGTCAAAAGGTATTTCTGTTCTTATGTCTTTGAGAAATCACCACACTGTCTTCCACAGTGGTAGAGCCAGTTTACACTCCCATCAACACTGTCTAAGTGTTCCATTTTTCTCCACAACCTCACTAGCATATATTATTCTTTGACTTTTTAATAATAGCCATTCTGACTGGTGTGAGACGGTATGTCATTGTGGTTTTGATTTGCATTTCTCTAATGATCAGTGATGTTGAGCTTTTTTTGATATGTTTTTTGGCCACATAAATGTCTTCTTTTAGAAGTGTCTGTTCATATCGTTCACCCACATTTTGATAGGGTTTTTTTTTTTCTTGTAAATTTGTTTATGTTCATTATAGATGCTGGATGTTAGATCTTTGTCGGATGCACACACTGCAAAAATTTTCTCACATTCTTAGGTTGTTTGTTTACCCCATGTTGATAGTTTCTTTTGCTCTGCAGAAGCTCTTTAGTTTAATTAGATCCCATTGGTCAATTTGTGCTTTTGTTGCAATCAGTTTTGGTATCTTTGTCATGAAATCTTTGCCCATGCCTATGTCCTGAATTGTATTGCCTAGGTATTCTTCTAAGGTTTCTATAGTTTTGGGTTTTACATTTAACTCTTTAATTTATCTTGAGTTTATTTTGGTATATGGTGTAAGGAAGAAGTTCAGTTTCAATTTTCTGCATAAGGCTAGCCAGTTCTCTTAACACCGCTTTTTAAATAAAGAATCCTTTCCCCATTGCTTGTTTTGTTGAAGACCAGATGGTTGTAGGTATGTGGTCTTATTTCTAGGTTCTCTATTATGTTCCATTGGTCTATGTATCTGTTCTTGTACCAGTACCATGCTGTTTTGGTTAATGTAGCCCTGTAGTATAGTTTGAAGTAGGGTAGCATGATGGCTCTATCTTTGTTCTTTCTGCTTGGGATGGCCTTGGCTATTCAGGCTCTTTTTCCATATGAATTGTTCCATATGAATTCTAAAACAGTTTTTTCTAGTTCTCTGATGAATCTAATGATAGGAATAGCATTGAATCTATAAATTGCTTTGGGCGTTTAGGCCATTTTAATGATACTGGTTCTTCCTATCCATGAGCATGAAATGTCTTTCCATTTGTATGAGTCATCTCTGATTTTTTTGAGAAGGGTTTTGTAGTTCTACTTGTAGAGATCTTTCTGTTATGCATGCCCGTGTGAGACCATCTGAGCAGGCTTAGTGAGAGCAACAAGTCTGTTTATTCACTTGGGTGCGAGTGGGCTGAGTCTGAGAAAGAAGTCAGCAAAGAGTGGTGGGATTATCATTGATTCTTATAGGTTTGGGATAGGCGGTGGAGTCAGGAGCAATTTATTGCTGGCAGTGGATGGATGTTACAAAATACATTCTCAAGGGTGGGGAGGATGTTACAAAGTACATTCACAAGGGCAAGGAGGGTGTATTGTCAGAAGGGTGGGGAGGATGTTACAAAGTACCTTCACAAGGGCACGGAGGATGTATTGTCATAAGGGCGGGAAGGAATGTTACAAAGTACATGCACTGGACAGGGAATATCACAAAGTACATTATCACAACGGTGGGGGGAATGTCATGATGGCTTGACCACGGTGCAGCCAGATCAAAGGACCTTACATTTCTGTTTTTTAATGTTAATAAGGAAGACATAAAACAAGAAAGAGTAGTGAAAACTTGGGGTGAAAATTTTGGGGGTTGTATGGAGGGGTGATGGGTGATGTTTCTCAGGGCTGCTTTGAGCAGGATTAGAGGTGGCACGGGAACCTTAAGTGGGAGAGATTAGACTTAAGTAATACTTTGGGGTAAGGGGTGATATTGTGGGATTGTTAAAAGCAGCATTTGTTGTATAGAGTAATGAGTGATAGCCTTGATGCGGTTTCGTAGGAATTGAGAGATTAATTGGAAGACACAAAGCCTGAATAAGAGAAGGAGGAGGATAGGTATTGAGGACTAATGATTGGAAGAAGCCAGGATACCCAGTTAGAGAGTGGCCAGGTGGGTCCAGTGTAATTAGTTGCCTGATTAGCAAGTTTTTGAGCTCTGTCTTTGAGTTTTTTGATGTTATCATATACCAGGCCAGATTGATTTAAGTAAAAACAACACTCCTCTTTAAGAAATATACAGAGTCCTCCTTTTTCAGCAGTGAGTAAATCGAGGCCTTGGTGGTTCTGAAGGACAACTGTAGCTAAAGAGTCAACCTGAGCTTGGAGGACAGATAAAGTTTGTGATATATCTGTAATGCTAGCAGAGAAGTCATAAGAGAGGCTGCAGAATGTTGTGACAGAGGTTGAGACACCTGCTATTCCAGTTCCAAGTGCAATAGTGAAGGCACAAAGTCCTAGACCCACAAGTAAAGGGATTAGTGGGATGACTCTTTTTTGTCATGTTGGTGTCATGAGGAGGACAAGCAGTTGTTCATTCCCATCTGCAAGCTGGATTTTGGGGGTAAGGAAGATTAGAGTACATGTGCCTGTCCACTTGACAGGTAGGCACATGTAGGTGGAAGAGCCACATAAAAAAAAGAGATGTTGTGTCAGGCAGAACTGGAAATGTAAAGTAAAAAGGTGACAGGGTGTACTGAAAGAGGAGTCCTGCACCCCAAATCCTAAAGATCCAGCAAGGACAGCAGCCGTTAGCGGTTGTAAGGGGATTGATGGTGCAACTGCATAGAGGGAGAGGTTCAGTTCTCATGGAATAAGAGAAAGCACATAGTGTCTACAAGTAAGCTTTCACTGCTATTCATGGGTCTGGGTATAAGCAAGCAAGAGGAGGGGCCAGGAGGAGAGACAGATGAGCAGCGGGACGGTAGCCAAGGATGCACGGTAGGTGTCTTCCTAAACAGTAGTGACTGCCAATGTTTTTTAGTTTGTCAATAATGATAGAGGGCTTATCAGTAATGCAAAGTTGGAATGCTCCCATCTGGTAATGTGTGGCTGGAGATAAAGAGTAAAGGAATATTTAGACGGTGGAAGGTTGCCTAAAGGGATTCCAGCAGGCTGTTGTCAGGAGATGCATAAAGAAGCAGCAACAGGGATAGTTGTTTGTGTGGTTAGGGGTCCAAATATGGGGAGGGGGAGTGGAATTGATGTAGGAGAAAGGTGCCATGAGTAGATGTGGAGAAGTGTGGCAGCTTGTTGGTGCAAAATGTCTGGGGAGTTCTCACCAAATCTGTCTAGAAAGTAAAGAAGTTCCTCAGGTGGGTAAAGATGAGGGCTATTAAAGGAGGTTTGGAGGTGCAGGGAGACAGGAGAGGTAGCCCAGTTGACCCATGGAGTGGGGATGGCTGTGTAACAGCAGGAAGAAAGGGAAACGCATAGCCAACAATTCTTTGCTAGAGAAGGATTGGAGGAAGTGAGGAGAGAGTGGGTGAGATTTACAGTATGCTGGAGGTAACTAGGGAGAGGTAGAGAGTGACTGGAGAATGGGGGCAAGGATAAGAGTGAGTAGAAAAGTAAAAAAAACTAAAAAAGGACTTCATCAGGATAGAAGAATTGGAGTGTACCTTGCCACTGAAGATCTTCTATTCACTCCAAGAGAGAGTTAAGGGTGGCAGTTTGAGGTAAAACCAGGAGATTTCAGTTATGATGGTTTGGAGGAAAAGTGTAAACCAGCAGTGTAAACCACGGCAGGGCATTTACGAGTAGTTGAGAATGGTGAATAGGAGTATAACTAGACAGAAGATAGTAGGGATGACAGGTTTATGGGGCACAGTCCAAGAAGTGGGGACTGACCACGTAAAGCCCTGTTGCAAAAAGTAGGGTAAGGATGAATAGACCTAATAGAATGAAGATCCTGAACCAACCTGTAAGATGTACACATATGAAACAAACCTGCACGTTGTGCACATGTACCCTAAAACTTAAAGTATAATAATAATAATAATAATAATAAAAGAAATTAAAAAAAAGATTTGTCCAATTTCTGGACAGGTAGGATAGGGGAGTTGTAAGGAGAATTTGTAGGCTTTAAAAGGCCATGCTGTAACAGGGGAACAGTAACAGGCTTTAGTCCTCTTAAAGCCTGTTGTGGGATGGGGTACTGACGTTGAGCTGGGTAAGGGTGATTAGGTTTTAATGGGATGGTAAGTGATACCTGATTGGTCACCAGGCAGGGAGTAGAGGATCCCATACGTGTGGATTAAGGTAGGGATACACGAGAGGAGAATTCAAAGGAGGCCTTGAATCAGGCAAAAGGGCAGCAATGAGGTGTGGCTGTAGTCCAGGAATAGTCAGGGAAGCAGATAATTCAGTTAAAACGTCTCAGCCTAATAAGGGAACTGGGCAGGTGGAGATAACTAAAAAAAAGTGCATAAAAGAATGTTGTCCAAGTTGGCACCAGAGTTGGGGAGTTTTAAAGGGTGTAGAAGCCTGGCCATCAATAACCACAACAGTTACGGGGGCAAGGAAAACAGGCCTTTGAAAAGAAGGTAATGTGGAGTGGGTAGCCCCCATATCGATTAAACAGGGGATGGACTTACCCTCCACTATAAGAGTTACCCGGAGCTTGGTGTCCGTGATGGTCCAGGGGGCTTCCAAAGTTATTGGGCAGTGTCAGTCTTCAGCTACTAAGCTGAGGAGATCTGGGAAGGAATCGGCCAAGGAAAGTTGGGTTTGAGCTCCAGGAGCTTTAGAAGCAGCGGAAATGTGAGTCAGACAGTCCAACTTCCAGTGGGCCCCGCACAGACAGGGCGTGGCTTAGGAGGAATCCCGGGCTGCGGGCATTCTGAGGCCCAGTGGCCAGGATTTTGGCATTTGAAGCAAGGTCCATGAGGAGGTTTTGAAGGAACCCCTGGGAGCTGTGGTTTAGATGTTCTGAAGGTTTTGTATGCTGGAGACGTGACTGTGGGTTGTCTTACAGCGGAGGCAAGTAGCTGTAACTGAGAGATATGTTGCCGCTTGGTGGCTTCTTCTCTGTTATTGAACACCTTGAAGGCAAAGTTGATTAAATCCTGTTGTAAGGTTTGAGGGCCGGAATCCAACTTTTGGAGTTTTTTTCTAATGTCAGGAGAGAATTGGGTGACAAAATGCATATTAAGGATAAGGTGGCCTTCTGACCCCTCTGGGTCTAGGGCTGTAAAACGTCTAAGGGTAGCTGCTAAGTGGCCATGAATTGGGCTGGGTTTTCATCTTTACCTGGGGTAATTTCCTTCAGCTTGTCATAATTAACTGCTTTCTATGCTGCCTTTCTGAGCCCCTCGACTAGGCAGGAGACCATGTAATCTAGCCTACCTATACCTGGTGAGTCCGTCTGGTATTGCCAATGGAGATCCTCTCGGGGAACTGCCCTGGTGCCCTCTTGGAGGCCTGGCTCATGAAGCCAGCAGGTGTCTGAGTAGGACTGGGCTAGAAAATGAACTCTTTCTCGTTCATACGGGGAGAGGGTAGAGGTCAGGATGACATTTAAGTCACTCCAGGTTAAACTGTAGGACTGAGTTAGATATTGGAATTCCTATATATATTTAGTGGGGTCTGATGAGAAAGAGCCTAAACGCTGGCTGATATGGGAAAGGTCTGACAGAGAAAAAGGCACATATGCCCTGACTATGCCTTCAGCTCCAGTCACCTCTCTAAGAGGAAATTGTTGGGCAGGTTGCGGGGAGCTAGTCGTGGAATGAAACTGTAAGCCAGACTCGGTGTGAGGAGGGGAGGTAATAGAAGGGTTATAGGATGGTGGAGTGGAGGCTGCGGAAGAATTGGCACCTGATTCAGCCTGGGAAGGAGCGGCCAGGGGAGGAAGAGAGAGGTCAGAGGGGTCAGTAGAAAAGGAGGATTCAGAGGACTCTGAGCTTGGGGTGGAGACCGAAGGAGCGAACGGGAAAGAAAGAAGGAAAATCTGGGAGGAGTTGCACTGGGAGCAGAGACTAGGGAGGGAATGAAGTGTAAAAAAATGCCTGGACATAAGGTACCTCAGATCATTTGCCCAGTTGTCGACAAAAATTATCTAGGTCTTGTAGGATAGACAAATTGAAAGTGCCATTCTGTGGCCACTTGGAACTATTGTCGAGTTTGTATTGGGGTCAAGCAGTATTACAGAAGAAAATAAGACATTTAGGTTTTAAGTCAGGTGTTAGTTGAAGGGGTTTTAGGTTTTTAAGAACACAGGCTAAGGTGGAAGAGGGAGGAATGGATGGTGGAAGGTTGCCCATAGAGGAGAAGGTAAGTTTAAAGAGGAAGGTAGAGACATGGAGAAATGGAGGTGGGAAGCTACCAGGCTTCCAGTAGGCACCCCTGACTGAGTCCTGGGCTGTAATGTGGGTGAGCAGCCAAAGCAGGCGTCCTTGCGATTGACCTGCCACCAAGGGAAGGTGGGTGAATGACCACAGCAGGCGTCACCGCGGTGATCAGACACCAAGGGAAGACTGTCTTCCCATGTCCGTGACCGACGTCGGAGTTTTTGAATGCACGGATAAAATGTGTCTCCTTTTGTCTCTACCAGGAAGGGAGAGAAACTGAAATTGAAAGGAGAGAGATTTAAGGGAGGCAAGAGAGGTTAGGTAGAGAGCGAAAAACCACTTACCCAATTGCGAAAACCCGCTTACTGATTTGAAATTGGTGAGATGGTCCTTGGGCTGGCTGGTCTGATGACCCGAGGTCACAGGTGGATCTCCTCACGGTGGGAGCACGAGGACAGGGGACTGCTCTCCCGTAGGAGTTCCCCTGTCACGGGTCTTCGACACCAAATGTTACCCGTGTCTGTATAAGGGACCACCTGAGCAGGCTTAGTGTGAGCAACAAGGCTGTTTATTCACTTGGGTGCAAGTGGGCTGAGTCTGAGAAAGGAGTCAGCCAAGGGTGGTGGGATTATCGTTGGTTCTTATAGGTTTGTGATAGGCAGTGGAGTCAGGAGCAATTTTTTGCTGGCAGTGGATGGATGTTACAAAATACATTCTCAAGGGCGGGGAGGGTGATACAAAGTACATTCACGTGGGGAGAGGATGTATCGTCACCAGGGTCGGGGGGGAAAGTTACAAAGTACATTCACAAGGATGGGGGAGGGTGTATTGTCACAAGGGCAGGGAGGAATGTTAGTTACAAAGTACATTCACAAAGATGGGGAATATCACAAAGTATATTATCACAAGGGTGGGGGAATGTCGTGATGGCTTGATCATGGTGCGGCCAGCTCAGAGGAACTTACACTTTCACCTCCCTGGTTAGCTGTGTTCTTAGGTATTTTATTCTTTTTGTGGCAATTGTGAATGGGATTGCATTCCTGATTTGGCTCTTGGCTTGACTGTTTTTGGTGTATAGAAATGTTAGTGATTTTTTAGGTGTATAAATATATAAAATATATAAAACATATAAAAATAAAAATAAAAAATAAAAATTTAAGTAAAAGGATGTAAGTACAACAAAATTTATAAAGATTTAAACTTTGTTTTATAATTTATTTATAAACTATTTATAATTGTTTTTAAATTATGTTTTATAATGTGCCTGCATAAAAATATCCTCCCAAATCTCTATGGTAATTTATACCCTTAGAGGTTCACAAAGCTAAATTAAATGATCAACATTCATTGAATACCTGGCTGATTTCCAAATAAGACAAAATGTTAAAACATTAATTTCTGAAAATAGGCTTATCTGCTTTGGGCTTCCTATTACATAGGAAATAAAAATATTTGAGGTCACTAGCAAACATATTTCATTGCTACAGTGAGAAATTGTGCTGTGAAGAAACATATGCTTCTACAAATTATAAAATGGTGTATTCATAGGTTTCCCCATCTACAGATTTTGGATGTGATATGTACTAGGCAATCACTTATATCCAAGAAAATAAAGCTGCTGAGAATTGAGAGTTCTAGTTAACGTGTGGTAATTAAAACTTCTAAACAGCATAAGAAAAATAACTCTGTATGCAAAGTATCCAAGTAAAGTGAAAAATGTTATTGATAAGAAAACCACCAGGTATGAGGACATATATTTAAAAAAAAAAGAAAAGTGGAGTAATTTTGTCTAGTTTGGATGGTACCTAAAAGTTGTTTCAGGATAGATGATGAAGGACAAAAACCAAATGGGTACAGAGAGTTGGAAGAGAAAGAGAATCTTTTGCAGTTAAGTTACCGGAATTCAAGTTATTATGAGTGTTTAAAATGAGTCTTAATATTAAAATTAAACTAATAAAAACTATAATTTGGTCTTCTTAATTAAAATGGCAAGGTTTTAACAATGTGTTGGTCTGCTCTTATTAGACACTGGTTAAGTTTTCTCATGACCCTTTAAGTACATGGACTGTGAAATGAAAAGAATGTATGTTTTGTCAAGATGATGTTTTGTGATCCATATTGTCTTTAGCTGGTATTTGATTCCTTAAGAAAACTGAGTTTTCTCAATATTAAAAGATTTAACTTTTTTTCAATAACATCACTTTTTCTATTTACTTTGAAATCTTTTGTCATTTTAGTATTCTTTCAGTAACCAGTGCCTATACTTAACCAATTATTTAAATCATTTGATAGTTTTAACAAACTTCCCAAAATAAAACTGTAAATTAAATCTTTTTTGACCTCAATTAACTTTGAGATTTCCCAGATGAGCCTCTAGAATGTCGAAAGAGAATTTTCATTATCTGTTACAAAAAGAGAGATGTTAAGCTAATGAGGCTTATATAATATGTGAAATTGAGAAGTATTGTCCAATTAAAGCAATCAAGGGAACAAAGAATGTGAGAACTCATCAATTATCATGAGAATGGCATTACCATTCATTAGGAATTCTAGCTCTTGACCCACACACCTCTATTCTGTTTCACCTCCAACATTTGATTCAGATTTCAACATGAGATTTGAATGGGTCCCTCAAATCAAACTACAGAAAATTTCTCAAGAGAAACTGGCCTGATATCTGCTCACACCTTTCCAACCTTACTGACTGAGAGGAAGGTCACTTTCTAGAAGGCCCAGGAAACTGAAAAAACTTTTTAGGACTTCTTTTGAGTATAAGGGAATTTACCTAAATCTATGGAAGTTGCAGGTCAAAACAGATGCTATGTCTTTGCATGACATCATAGCCTGGAGAGAATATTAAAGTCTAATATGAGATTATTTATTAAAGGTCCTAACTTGGCCAAATTAAAAAGATATGATCAGTCACTATTTTTACTGCACTTATGTAAATACTCAGTTGAAGTTTAATGAGAGTAGACTTATTTTGTAAAGAAATTAGTCTTTCTATAATTATGTTTGGTAGAAATGAAGGGAACTGTAGAGGAAAAAATAATGTTTCAGTAGAAAAGTATAGTGCGCCCACTGTTAAATTCTTGTTCTCTCCATTGTCTTTGAGGTTTTATTATCTACCTATAAATTGCCCTATTCCTGAAGCCCTACAAGCTAGGGCTGGGCAACTGGATGTAAACTATAGAGGACAATCTTTATGAATGTAGCTGACTTGTCTGCTCAGGTAGTTGACCAATGACGTAAACAGAGACATTCAGACTGCAAACTAGAAAAATCATCATATTGCAACTGCCACTTTATTTCATCATCTAAAGACGCTTTGAGCTTAAATTTAAAAGTCTTCTCAAATAACTGCCCTCAGGGCTCAGATACTAAGTTTATAGATTGTTATAACCATTGATCTTTTGTTTTTATTGGGTTTATTTCAGTTGGTTCGTGCACACTTTGGCTATGGAGTATATCCCCATTCTCTTGGGACTATCACTGTGACTATTATCATTGTAATCTTCCTGGAGTGCTGTAGTCTCTCAAGAGTCTTAAATGTGAGTTCATAGCCATCACAGTATGCCAGGTTTCCTCACTGTGATTAGAATGACAACAACAAAGAAAAAATAGTAAAAGAAACACTTCTGCAAGAGACCGGACATTATGACATGAGTTCCATGTTGACACAAAGCTAAACCAGCTGTGCTCGTCACAGAAAGTGGCCCATGTGCCTAAGTTTTAGTCAATATCCCATAACTGGGAGCCTAACCAAAAGGGAAAAAATAGCTAAAATAGTTAAATAAAAGGATATTGGGCTGAGGTGGGTGCAGCAAAGTGGGTTCCTGCCTAAGCAAACAGAAATCCAACTCAGTGTAAATGGTAAAACAAAAATTAACTTAAAACAACCACCAACTCACCTCTAACTATTAAACTTCCACATGATCCAAATCATGCCACTGCTTCACTTTAGCCAATAAAATATTTCTTTTTGCCTTACTTTCTCATTTACCCTATAACAGCTTCTTTTCTTTCCTCTTCAGGAAAGCACCAAAGCACCTGCAGTCTGGTGGTACCAAATAAATCAGTTTCCTCAAATAAACTCTGAATTTTAATGCCACTACTTTATACATGTGTATATATACATATATTAGATGACTATACATACACATAAAAAAATGTATATTTACACACACACAGATATAGATACCTAAACCATATATGCATATAATTTGGTAGCAATGACAGTCCTACAAAAGAAACTGAAGAGCTACATAAATATTAGAGTTATGTTAGCAAAAAACCGATCTGATGGCAATGTTAAGGGAATGAATGAGTACTAGAAGAATGGAGAAAATAAGTAACCAGAGATTTGCAAAACAATACATGAGTAGTTTTTAGGTAAAGGCCTCATGGTATCAGTGAGAATGTAAACAAAATTTCAGTGATGAAAGATGAAGGGCAGAGTGGACTGCTAGATGGATGACTCATGCACTTCAAGAGTATGAGGTTTGAAGAAGGCTAACAAGCAAGGACTTTTTGAGGCAGAAATATACAAACTTCCTCATTTTCATGTTTTTTCCCTTCACTCACTAGGCACTATGATGTCAGATCATCTGATCATTATTTGAACTTTGGTAATAAGAATTTAAAGTCTCTGGTTGTCAAAAAATCATTCCAATAATCTTGCAACATCACTGAATATTAAAAATCTCATAGCTTCATTTTTTTTTCTGGGAAGATTAAGGCCATTTTGTTCTTATTATGCCACTTATCTTTTCTTCTCAATGCCTACTTCAGCTTAGTTCTTCTAGTTCATCTTTTAATTTTCTGAATTAAGGGAGCTTTTCAGATTATCTAAATACATACAGCCACAGCTGGAAAAGGCATTAGAAACCATTGTAGAAAGTTAGAGGCAACTTACCTCTTCTTACTTTTGCAAGCACACTACGTAAAGAGTACCCTTTTAGGCTTTGGCAAGATCTTCACTGTTAACTCCCTTCTCAGTTTTTCTCCTCATTGCATTTCCATTTTTGTTTATTTCTTTACCTGATATGTGAGTTGATTTTCTACAAGAAGTAGAATTCACTCTTTCCCAATGAAGTGGAATAAAAGATCCCTTGATGGCTAGCAGAATTCTTGGGATTTACCTCTGTTCACCAAAACACAAATCTACTTTCACAACAGAGTTAAATGTGTTGAGTGTCTCAGGTAATATAGTTGTATTAGTATCAAAATCATCATACTCAAGTCCTTATCAGATGACATAGACTATCTTAGCATTTAATGCATTTATAAAGCCACATTGAATAACATAAACACTGTAAAATATTTTTATTTGCTTTCTGCTGACATTATTTGATTATGATATGAACATGACTAAAAATTTTTAAATGCCGTTGAATAACATTAGGAGTGTATTTATTAGTTTACTAGATATTAACACCTTAGGTCCTTAAAGTGCTAGGACTTTGCAAAATCTTTGAATGCTAGCAAAACACAGATACCTTTAACTTGAACAATCTTGGGAAAATTTTAGTAAACAGAGAACAGAGATTGTATGAGATCTAAACATTTCTTTTGAACATTTTTGTGAATGAAGCTATTACTTGCTTGTTTCTCAGGCTGTAGATCATGGAATTTAATAAAGGAACGATGACAGTGTAAAATAGAGACTCCATCATATCTTGGTCATCTGCTTGCGGGGATGCAGAGCCCACATACATGAAGACAAGGGGCCCATAGTATAAAGATACAGATAAGAGATGAGCTCCACAGGTGGAGACAGCTTTTTGTATCCCTTTGACAGACTTATTTTTTAAGATTATAAGGAGGACAAGTGTATAAGATATAAGAATAGTTCCAATGGTAAAAACTTGAATTGAATCTGCGAAAATAAAAACCATTAGAAAGTTAATAAAAGAATCAGTACAGGAAATCTTTAACAATGGGATAATGTCACAGTAAAAGTGTTGTATTATGTTGGAATTACAGAAGGTTAATCTGAATAAAAAAATTTCATGGATTAAAGCATGAAGAAGGCCACCTATAAATGACAAGACTAATAGCTGGATGCATAGTCCGTTGGTCATAATGACTGGATAAAGTAAAGCTTTGCAAATGGCTACATAGCGATCATATGCCATTGATGCCGAGATAAAACATTCTGTGGTTACACTGATTACAAAGGAAAAAAATTGTACCATGCATTCAGAGAGAGATATCATCTTACTCTTAGCTAAGAAGTTGATCAGCATCTTTGGAGTCACTGTGGATGATAACCAAGCATCCACAAAGGCCAAACTCCCACGGAATAAATACATTGGGATATGAAGGTGAGGGTCTTTCCAGATGAGAACAATTAGACCAAGATTCCCCATGATGGTGATGAGCTATATTACCAAGAATGCCAGGAACAGGGGTATTTTCCACTGTGGTTGATATAAAAATCCTGTGAGAACAAACTCTGTCAGCAATGTTGTATTTTCCTCCTCCATGTCCTCACTGCATGTCCTCTAAAAAATGAAATAAATGTAAAGGAACACTTGGAATGGAGTTGTGAGTTGAAACTGGGGATAAAGTGTTGAAATAAACTATGTAATTATCAGAGCCCTCTTAATTTTTTTATCAGTACTCTAATTGATGTGCCCTCTATTTGAGCATTTAAATACATGGAAAAATAATACATTTTGGTTTGAAAATTGTGTAGGACTTAACAGGTTGAGATTTAAAAAAATGCATTATCTAAATGTACTAATTTTTTGTGGACTCTACCGAATGTAATAGAAAAACCTTCTGTCTGGGACATGGATGTAGGGTGAAGGAAAAAAGATATTTGAAAGGCCTGTGTAAAAATGGAATGAATGTAATGTGAAGAATCTCAAACTTTATTCTTCACATGATAAACATGCACCAAATATTTTAAAATGGGAAATGGCATATATATATATTTTTTTCTTTGTTTTTTTTGAGACAGAGCTTTGCTTTTGTTGCCCAGGCTGGAGTGCAATGGCACGATCTCAGCTCCTCCCATAGTGCTGGGATTATAGGCGTGAGCCACTGCGCCCAGCCCATCATAGCATATTTTAAAAATTTAGTTCTTGATGGTGTAAAAAGTGTGCTGCAGGAAGGAGAAACTGATTCAGGAATCCTAATTAGAAACTTGATACTAAGGTCAAGGGGATCCCAAATTAGATTACACATGATAATCATCTGGGAGAGTTTTTTCATGAAAAATACAGATTGTGAGGTTTTAATGTAGGAATTGATTATTTCAAGAATGAGCTCTAGGAATTTGTATTTCAAAAATACCCTCAAGGTGATTGATATGCATGTGTAGTGTCTAGTCCCTGTGTGATATGATATTGGAAGAGATGGTAAGACAAATGAATAGATTCAAAAGAATTCAGAATGTAGAGTCTCTAGTTACTGTGACATATTTGGTATGGAATACATCATCAGTGAAAGAGAGAGAAGTCAGTTGGTGACCAGGTAGATGGACATTAAACATTGGGGATGAAAACTCGAATTGCTGACAAGTTTTTGGTGTGAGCATCACATCTCAACAACTAGGTGAGATTCAATCAGTAATATGGGCCTATTCGAACTTAATGGAAATAATTACTTGGAATCATTGTAGTATTTGAAAGCATCATTAGGAATGATGTACAAAGTGACTATACGTTCTTTACAAGATGGCCAAGATCTAATCCTCTTTTTTGACACCCATGTCTTGGGGGCTCAGAGGTTACCTACTGCTATAGAAGCCAAAAAAAACAGAAACTCATTTTCCCATTCTTCTTGCCTCTAGAGTGAAGAAATAATTATCTAGGATGGCAATGAAACACACTGATCCTACATTTATAATATGGATAAAAGAAGAAAAAAAAGACAGGATCAAAAGTGGATTTTAGTTGTAAACTCAGCCATGGCAGCAATACAATGAATCCACTGAATGCATCCTTCATTTGACAGTGTGAGTTGTCAGATTATATCCAGAAGTGGGGATAAGGATACAAGAGTTAATTTTTAAGTGACTGACCTTAAGAGTTGTAGTCTAAGAATGTGATTAATTAGAAAGAATGAGTATTTCTATCAGAATAATCTGAATAATTCTTAGAATCATTATAATCAAAACCAGTTTCAATTGTTTAATGTCCTAGTTTGCCACAAGTTGTCAAATAAAGTCATAATAAGCTTAACAACAAAATAAAATATCATTAAAGGAAGAATGTTGTCTTATAACTATTTATTCTATCCATATCATAGTCATGAAACTAAAATATAGAGATAAGCCAGTAATAGTTATCTAATTTCAACCTGGCTATTTTGACAGTTTGTATACCCAATCTAAAATTATGGTAAGTTAAATAGCATTTTCAACATTTCTACAAAGTGTAATGAAAATTATAGATATTTTTTCTTACCCATATTTTGAAAGAAATTTAAGAGAGCCTCTAAAACCATTAGGCTTTCTAAAACAGAAAAAATACAATTGCATGGGAATGCCGATAACACAGGTAGCAATTCGTTGCCTATTCATTCTTTTTGGAGGCTTCTTTCCCCAAACTCAGGAAACTGCTGTTTATATAAATTTGGATTAAACAGAAGAGTCATTCAATTGTACAACTCTGTACATTTGCCAGAAGACGATTGAATGGAAAACTGAAATTCTCATAAGAGTACCAAGGGATTCTCTGGGGAACAAACTGAAGCTGTTCTTGTATGTATTGCGGATTTGGACATATATGAGAAGTCCAGATTGTCCCCAATGGCATTTAACTTCTGGAATCATAAACACTATTTCATGTAAACACTTCTAGTTTTAACAAATGAAATAATATTTTATATACCATTTACCACCACAGATGACACTTCTGTCATGTTTGTGTAAACTTTAGTTAAATGTGAAATTTACTCTTAGTGCTTTGATTAGTATAAGCTTGTCTAAGGTAATTAAAACATAGTTTTAATAAGGCCACATTTTCTGATTCCCTTTAGGAGACAAACCCAAATACAGTTGTCTTTCCCATGAAAACTGCAGCTCAAATTTTAGACATACACCTAGTTCTCCCATTTTATGCTAAAATCTGATGAGAAATCTTGTTAGACAGAGGTGAATGGATGAGCCAATGAAAAATAAAGACAAGGACTGCAGTGGGAGGTGCCCAAGAATTTTTCTGACATAAAAAGAGACACACAGACCAATGGAACAGAATAAAGAACCAGAAGCAAATCCACGCATCTACAGTGAAGTCATTTTTAACAAAGCTTCCAAGAACATACATTGGGGAAAGACAGTCTAATCAATAAATGGTGCTGAGAAAACTAGATATCCATATGCAAAAGAATAAAACTAGACCCCTATCTCTCACCATATCCAAAAATAAAATCAAAATGAATAAAAAGCTTCAATCTAATACCTCAAACTATGAAACTTCTATAGGAAAACACTGAGGGAAGTCTCCAGGACTTCTGGGCAAAGATTTCTTGAGCAATACCCTACAAGAATAGACAATCAAAGAAGACATGGACAAATGGGATTACATCAAGTTAAAAAGCTTCTGCACAAAAAAGGATACAATCAACAAAATGAAGAGACAACCCACAGAATGGGAGAAAATAGTTGTAAACTACTCACCTGAGAATGGATTAATAACCAGAATATATAAGGAACTCAAACCACTTTATAGGAAATAATCTAATAATCTGATCAAATTAAGGGTAAAAGATTTGAATAGACATTTCTCAAAAGAAGACATACAAATGGTAAGCAGGCATATGAAAAGGTGGTCAACATCCCCAATCATCACAGAAATGCAAATCAAAATGGCCTGGCATTTAGTGCCTGTGGTTTTTCCAGGCACACAGTGCAAGCTGTCAGTGGATCTACCATTCTGGCATCTGGAGGACAGTGGCCCTCTTCTCACAGTTCCACTAGGCAGTGCCCCAGTGGGGACTCTGTGTGAGGGCTCCAACCTCACATTTCCCCTTCGCACAGCCCTAGTAGAGGTTCTCCATGAGGGCTCTGCCCCTACAGCAGACTTCTTCCTGAACATCCAGGTGTTTCCATGCATCCTCTGAAATCTAGGCAGAGGTTCCCAAATTCTTTCCTTCTGCACACCCACAGGCCACAGGGAAGCCATCAAGGCTTGGGGCTTGTACCCTCTGAAGCAACGACTCAAGCTATACCTTGACCCATTTTAGCTACAACTGGAGCTGGAGTAGATAGGATGCAGGGTGCCATGTCCCAAGGCTGCAAAGAACAGCGGGGCCCTGGGCCCAGCCCATGAAACCATTTTTCCCTCCTAGGCTTCTTGGCCTGTGATGGGAGGAGCTGCCATGAAGATCACAGAAATGCCCTGCTGACATTTTCTGTACTGTCTTGGCTATTAATATTTGGATCCTTGTTACTCATGCAAATTTCTGCAGCAGGTTTAAATTTCTCCCCAGAAAATGGGTTTTTCTTTTCTGCCACATGGCCAGGCTACACATTTTCCAAACTTTTATGCTCTGCTTCCCTTTTAAAGATAAGTTCCAGTTTCAGAAAATCTCTTTGTTCACACATATAATCATACACTTTTAGAAACAGTCAGGTAACAAAACATCTTTAATGCTTTGTTGCTTAGAAATTTCTTCTCCCAGATACCCTAAATCATCTCTCTCAAGTTCAAAGTTCCACAGATCTCTAGGACAAGGGAAAAATGCCACCACTCACTTTGCTAAAGCATAGCACGAGAGACCTTTACTCCAGTTCCTAATAAGTTTCTCATCTCCATCTGACTATCTCAGCCTGGATTTCATTGTCCAAATCACTATCAGCATTTTGGTCAAAACCATTCAACAAGTCTCTAGGAAGTACCAAACTTTCCTTCATCTTACTGTCTTCTTCTGAGTCCTCCAAAGTGTTCCAACCTCTGCCTGTTACCCAGCTCCAAAGTTGCTTCCTCATTTTCAGGTATCTCTATAGCAGTGCCCCACTCTTTTGGTACTAATTTTCTGTATTAGTTCATTCTTACACTGCTATAAAAAGCTACCTGAGACTGGGTACTTTATGAAGAAAAGAGATTTAATTGACTCACAGTTCCATAGGCTGCACAGGAAGCATGGCTAGGAGGCCCCAGGAAACTTACAATCATGGCAGAAAGTGAACGGGAAGCAAGCACGTCTTACCATGGCAGAGAAGGAGGGAGAGTGAGCAGAGAGAGAGTGAGCAAAGAGAGAAGTGCCACACACTTTGAAACCGCTAGGTCTCGTGAGACCTCACTCACTATCACAAGAACACTAAGGGGGAAATCCGCTCCCATGCAATCACCTCCCATCAGGTCCCTTCCCTGACACATGAAGATTACAATTTGATATCAGATTTGGGGGAGAACACAGAAACACAGAGCCAAACCATATCAATAAACAACACAGAAGTCACTGAAAACTCTTCAGAAGGGTGCACTAAGCAGTATAATATGCATACATAGTTACTGACATTACACAAAATTAAATTATATTCCCGTCTACTTGTGTAACATAATGCTGGAAATAATGAGGAGGATGAAGAAAGATTTAAGGCATTCGGAATGTAGCATCACTAGGATATTGTAAGGCATTCAGAATGTAGCATCACTAGGATGCAAATATTTAGCCCCATATTTGATGGGAAAGTAGTATTCACTGAAGGAAAAAGGAGTCACTTTGTGAGTAGTTATCCAAAATAGAGACTAAGAATTCAGATGCATTGACATGTGTGTAGCGTGAACATGCCTTGAACATCGAGATGAGCTGGTTAGTATTAGTAATATAATATTACTAGAGCAATAGAAATAAAAAAATAATTTGGGTGTCATTAGAGTAGATGAGGGCATAGTTATGAATTATTTATCTATTAGAGAGTATACTGAGAAAAGAGAAGTATAGCAAGAAAAAAAAATGATGGTATAATGACCTAATTTTCTTTGGATATAGTAATAGGATTGCTAGTAATAGTATCGCTGGGTCAAATGGTAGCTCTGTTTCAAGTTCTTTGAAAAATTTACAGACTGCTTTCCACAGTGGCTAAAGTAATTTATGTTCCCACCAACAGTATATATGTGTTCCCTTTTTCTGCAGCCTCTCCAACATCTGTCTTTTTTTTTTTTTTTTTTTTTTTTTTGACTGGTGTGAGATGGTATCTCATTGTGGTTTTGATTTGCATTTTCTCTGATGAGTAGCGATAATGACCATTTTTTCATATGTTTTTTGACCACTTGTATGTCTTCTTTTAAGAAGTGTCTGTCATATTTGCTCATTTCTTAATGGGGGTATTTATTTATTTATTCTCATTGATTTAAGTTCCTTATAGATTGTAGATATTAGACCTTTGTTGGATACACAGTTTGCAAATATTTTCTCCCTTTATGTAGGTTGTTTTTATTCTCTATTGATAGTTTCTTTTGCTGTGCAAAAGTTCTTTAATTAGGTCCCACTTGTCAATTTTTGTTTTCGTTGCAATTGATTTTGTGGACTTAACCAAAAGTGCTTTACCAAGGCCAACATTAAGAGGGGTATTTCCTAGGGTTTCTTCTAGGATATTTATAGTATGAGGTCTTACGTTTAAAAACTTAATCCACCTTGAGTAAGTTTTTGTATATGTTGAAAGGTAAGGGTTCAGTTTTGTTCTTCTGCTTCAGGCTAGCCAGTTATCCTATCACCATTTATTGACTACAGAATCTTTTAACCACTGCATGTTTACCTTGAACTTGAAGGTCAGATGGTTGTAAGTGTGTGACTATCTTTCTGAGTTTTCTACTCTTTTCCATTGGTCTATGTGTCTGGTTTTGTACAAGTACTATGCTGGCTTAAAGGAAATCAGTGCGTGTAGAAATTAAGCAATTTTTAATGGCTTTAGTGAGAGCAATTTTCCTTAAGTAATAGAATAAACATCATCAAATAAGAAGTGAATGGGAAACAAGTAGCACAATAGTGTGGGAATGAGATAGAGTACTCAAAGGTATGTGAACACTTAGCATTAGTCTGCTGCTCATAGACTAATGTAATATTTTTTCTCCTGTAGAGTATTGAAAAGTTCTCAAGAGAAAAGATAGATTGAGATGAGAGAAGAGGAAGATGTTGAAAGGAGAAAAGGGACAGGAAAAGCAGAAACGGAGATTTGTGTGGGTCAAATAAAACAGGAAGGAGGAAGGAAAGATAGGTAGAGAATCATGAAGTCATAGATGGGTAAGCGCAAAAAAGACAAGCCACAAAATAAAAAGAGAGGAAGTATCAGAGATTCATTAAGGCAAAATAGAGGCAAAGACTCAGAAGTTTCGTTTGGATGTGTGCATTGACCCTAGTGTTCATCAATACCAGCTTGAGCTCTGAGTCTTTTGTAAAAAATTAAAAGTTTATTTTTCCTGTGGAATTTGTGTATGATAGTCTTGGACTTGAAATTTTACTCACAAATTTCCCACTGTTCATGAAAATATTGAAACTGAAAGTTTAGTTCATATTTAAATTTTGATCTTCCTTTTTGTTAAAGTAATTAAAACTAAATTTCTCAAGAAACTTTGCTGGTTTTGAGAGCACTTTATTCTCCACCAGCTTTTTGTTTTTGTTTTTGTTTTTTTTGCAGAAAGAAATCAGCCAAAGACTGAATCCTGATACAGAAAATATAAAGAACAAATGGCAGCAATTCCAATTTTAAGTAAATTTTTATATGGAAAACATTTTCTTCCATGCAATCCCAAATCACAAAATAATGAAAAATTCTCAAAAGTTTTTACTGGAATACTTTTAAATTTGTAAGTGCTGAATAAGTTAGGGAAAGTATGTTTTCTGATATGTATATATATATATGTATTACTATTCATATATAAAATGCTGAATAAAAATATATGTATCTCTACATACTGCTGTATATATGTATCTATATAAAAGATATTTAAATTATTGCCAGAAGTTATAGAGAAGTTAATGTTTAATTGGCAGATCTTAAAATTTTAATCAGAATGTGTGATTACACAGAATATACATTTATATCAGAATCATCAGAAAGCTTTTTTATATAAGAACCATAATGAAAGGAAAGTTTAAACTGAGTTTTAAACCATATCACATTCTACTTAGGCCAGGGATGGTGGCTCACACCTGTAATCCCAGCACTCTGGGAGGCCAAGGCGTGTGGATCACCTGAGGTCAGAAGTTCAAGACCAGCCTGGCCATGGTGAAACCCCATCTCTACTAAAAATACAAAAAATTAGCCAGGAGTGGTGGTGTGCACCTGTAATCCCAGCTACTCAGGAGGCTGAGGCAGGAGAATCGCTTGAACCTGGGAGGTGGAGGTTGCAGTGAGCCAAGATTGCACCATTGCACTCCAGCCTAGACAACAAGAGTGAAACTCCGACTAAAAAAAAAAATTCTACTTAACCAGAACTTATCATACAAAGTGATTATAGTTGGGATAACAAGCTAATAAGTCATCATTATAAAAACTCATTTATCGAGAATTTTGCTTATCTAGATTTTAGTCATGATAATAAAACATGAAGATTATTTACTCTTTTTTAATTTGTCCATAATTTTAGCATGCTGTATATTAAATCTAAAATTATTATGAATTACATTGCATTTTAAACTTTAAGAAGAATAACAGATATTATAAAATAATATCTCTTTTACCAATATCATAGGAAATTATGGAGATCCTTTGAAAGAGTTTGGCTTTCTAAAGTAGAGAAAAATATATAATAGTACAGAACTGATAATAACACAGGTAGCAATTCTTTGTACACTGATTCATTTTGGAGGCTTCATTTCCAATCTCAGAAAAATGTTTATATAAACTTGGCTCTATGTGGGTTCAACACAAGGGTTCATCAATTGTATATCTCCACTGTGCCGGGACAGGAAGGTGTAGAGAACTGGAGCATCCCTAAGAGCACCTTAGGATTCCCTGTAGGAGAAAGTGAAGATCTGCAACTGGGCATTGTGGATTTAGATGTGTATAAGAAATGCAGATCATCCTACAGTGTACTATGGACTTCAGAATCATAAACATTAAGTCACTATAAGCCAATTCTTGCTATTAACAATTGAAATTACACTTTATTCCACCATTATCCACAACACATGACACTTCTGACATCTTATGCAAACTTCAGTTTATAAAATTGGATGCTCTGAATGCTGTGATCAGTATAGTGTGATCTCAGCTAGTTAAAACCTGGTTTAAATAAGGCCAAAGATCTAGATTCCCTTCAGAAGCCAGCCCCAAGTAAAATTGTCCTCCTCATGCAAACTGAACCTCAAATTCCAGACATATATCTTCCAGGCAAACTTATATCTGATGAGAAATAAGGGGTTTTACTAGGAAAAGGTCGGGGGAAGAAAAAGGTAAAATAAAGACAAACTTGCAGTGTATTGCCTCTTAGCTGGTGCTGTCACTATGTCTTAATACTGCCATTCTATCATCCTATTCATTAGTGTATATATATATATATATATATATATATATTTTTTTTTTTTTTTTTTTCCAGAGGCCAGGTGTAAGTCTTTGACTGACATTTCCAACTCCTCCTCCTCTCTATATAACCGCCCACTGGGATCTTCTTGCCTTCTACCCACATAGAGGCAATTATCAAGACAGAGGAATTAAAATAGTGAAAGAGTTTAATAGTCATAGAGCTGGCTAAATGGGAGACTAGAGTTTTATTATTACTCAAACAGCCTCTCCAAAAATTCAGAGGCTAGTGTTTTTTAAAGACAATTGTTAGTTTTTAAAGATAGTTGATCGTTTTAAAGATAGTTGTTGGCAGGGGCAAGGAAATGGAAAATGCTGATTGGTTGGTTTAAGGATGAAGTTATAGAGAGTCAAAGCTCTCCTCTTGAGGTGAGTCCAGACGAGCCGGTCTACAAGTCAAAGTGGTGCCTGCTAGTTCATCAGAATACCGGGTCTAAAGATATACCTTGAACACCAAACTCGGATTTGACAATAGTAATGATATCCATAGGAGTAACTGGGCAGAGTAGGAATCCTGTGGCTTCTGGCTGCATGGCTCTTGAACTACAGTTTCTAATCTTGTGATAATTTGTTAGTTTTTCCAATGTGGTCTGGTCCCCAAGGAAGGAGGTGGTTTGTTTTTAGTAAGGACTGTTATGCTCTTCGTTTCAAAGTCAAACTTAAACTAAATTGCTCTAAAAGTTAGTTTGGCCTACACCCATGAATGAAGAAAGAAAGCTTGGATATTAGAAGCACTGTCTAATTATCCTATGTCAGATTCACTGTCATGATCTTCCCATGTGACATTTTTCTGTATAAATTTTTGCAAAGGCAGTTTCATCTATATTTCTCTTTATTATCTTCTACCCGTTAACTCCAAATGTACTAAGCCTTTTGCTCAGTTACCTTTTCACCCATGAGAATAAAAGGAAACTAGACAAATGCCCCATTAAGTCAATTCCTCAGATCAACCAGGTCTGCCTTCTTTAACCACCTTTACACCTTGGTCAATGTCTGAGCTCCATGCAATAATGAAAAATGTCCCTGTTCCAAATAAAAGCCCCAGAAATTTCCTGTAGAATTTAGAATCCTTTTTGGATCATATGATCCAGGACTCTCTGAATTTCACCAATTTATTCAAATGATACTGGAACCTGGTGAAGCCTGCAGCTGAAGCCAAATGTTAGGTAACTAAAATAGATAATAAAGATCCACCCCTCGGCCAGGCGTGGTGGCTGACGCCTGTAATCCCAGCACTTTGGGAGGCCGAGGCAGGCGGATCACGATGTCAGGAGATCGAGACCATCCTGGCTAACACAATGAAACCCCGTCTCTACTAAAAATACAAAAAAATTAGCCAGGCATGGTGGCGGGCGCCTGTAGTCCCAGCTACTTGGGAGGCTGAGGCAGGAGAATGGCGTGAGCCCGGGAGGTGGAGCTTGCAGTGAGCCGAGATCGTGCCACTGCACTCCAGCCTGAGCGACTGAGTGAGACTCTGTCTCAGAGAAAAAAAAAAAAGATCCACCCTTCAATCTTCCAGGAAAACACACCAAAAGCTGAGAAAATAACAAATAATCTTCTAGAACCCATCCCATAATATTTCCTCAATAATTCACTGGTCTGTCATTCAGTCTTGTAAACACAGAAAGAAGAACCAGTTCTGTAAGGCAAGATTAGAAGTACTATTTGTAAAACATTCCGGTCAATCCATGTTGAGTTCAGAAATAGAAAGTACTTATCCTATTTATTAATGGGATTCACCCTAAACCATTAATCTAGTTATAAAATAAACATGGTTTGATAATCCGACCAATTAATACCCAAAATATTTCGCATCTCTGGCACAAAGCCTATTTTATGTTAGATATTTTGAGATCCCATTATAAGAGAAATGTAAAGGAATCTCCATTTGTAGGATGTCTCTCTTTCTGGTCCCCAAAGAGAAGTTTGAGTAAATCACTAAATAGTGGTGAAAGCACTGATTCAGTCTCTGTCACAAACCTTACCTTTGTAAGTGTGGTTATCTTGGCTATCTTGTCCTGACTGTGTCTATCAACACTCTTTTTGTTTGTTTGTTTTGGCAAATAATGACATTTAAATATGAATTCTAAGCACTGTGCCTTTGATATATAAGGCTGATGGTATCATGAATGTTTAGGTAAGTAGCTATGATCAAAATCTTAACAAGCACATGGAAAAGGCTCTGAGAAGTAAAGATTTCTGGTAACATTAGAATCACAACATCGTACCAGATTTAAAGAATCTTTATCAGAAATTTGGTCAAGTATACCCTTTGTAAACAGAATTAAAACATTTACCTATCTCTCCCTAGCTGATCTATCCAGAATTCAGAAACTGAGTATTCTACTTTTGATGACAATATAGGTATTTGTGAAAGTTTAATAAGAATTTGTTCTTCTTGTAAGATAACACATTTGGAAACATTGGTTGTATGACCACAACTTTGACTGGAATGTCATATTGGAGAATGTGTGTAGAATTAGATATGACTAGACAGTTTAAGGAACTGTCTTTATTAAGGAATTGACTTTATGAAGCTAATTATGCCTTGCCTTAGTCCATTCAGTGTTGCCTTAAAGGAATACTTGAAGCTAGGTAATTCATATATAAAAGAAGCTTATTTGGCTTAAAATACTGCAGGCTATAAAAGAAACATTGCACTAACATCTGTTTCTGGTGAGGGCTTCAGCCTGCTTCACTCATGGAGGCAGGTGAAATGGAGTTGGCATGTGCAGCGATCACATGACAAGAGAGGAGGCAAGAGAGGAAGCAAAGGTGTCAGGCACTTTTTAACAATCAGCCATCATAGGAACTAAGAAAGTTAGAACTCACCCATTATTATGGGGGATCCGTACCCATGACTCATACACGTCCCATTCTGTCCTACCTCCAACATTCAGATTCATATTTCACCATGGGATTTGGAGTGGTCCATCCAATCAAATAGCAGCAAGTACCTTCAGAAAAACCGACCTGATATCTGCTCACAAGTTTTCCAGCCTTATTGTTTGAGAGGAAGGTCACTTTCTGGAAGGCTCAGGAAACTGAAAAATATTTTTAGTACCTATTTTGAGTAGAGGAGAGTTTAGCTAATTCTATGGATATTGCAGGTAAACACTGATTTTATGTTCTTGGTATGATTTCATAGCCTGGACAGGCTTTTAAAGTTGAATCCGAGATTATTTATTAAAAGTTCTAACAAGGTAAACTTAAAAAGAGATGATCAATCCTATTCCTACTGCACTTATGTAAATACTCAGTTGAAGTTTAATGAGAGTAGACTTGTTTTGTAAACAAATTAATCTTACTATAACTATATTTGAAAGAAATGGGTGTGACTATAGAGGGAAGATTTATGTTTCAGTAGATAACTGTAATGCACCCATTATTAACTTCTTGTTCTGTCCATTGTCTTTGAGGTTTTATTATCTACCTATAAACTGCCCTATTCCTGAAGCCCTGCAAGCTAGGGCTGGGCAACTTGATATAAACTTCAGAGGACAATCTTCATGCATGCTGCTGTGTGGGCTGCTAAGGAAGTTCACCAAAACATCCAATGACATAAACTAAGCTTGTCCAACATGTGGCCCACAGGCTGCATGCAGCCAAAGATGGCTTTGAATGTGGCCCAACACAAATTAATAAACTTTCTTAAAATATTATGAATTTTTTTGTGATTTTTTTAGCTCATCATTTTTTAGCTATCATTAGTGTTAATGTATTTTATGTGTGGCCCAAGACAATTATTCTTCTTCCAATATGGCCCATGGAAGCTAAGACATTGGACATACCTGACATAAACAGAGACATTCAGATTACTAACCAGAAAAATCATTAGATTGCAACTACCATTTTATTTCATCATCTAAAGTTGCTTTGAGCTTAAATCTAAAAATCTTCTCAACTAACTGCTCTCTGGGCTCAATACTAAATTCACAGATTGTTATAACCATTAACCTTTTCTTTTTATTTGGTTTATTTCTGTTGGTTTGGTTCACTGGCACTTTGGCTATCGAGTATATACCAGTACCTTGTTGTTTTCCTTGTGATAGTCATCACTGTAATCTTCCTGGTATGCTGTATTTTCTCAGTAGTCTTATAGCCATCAAAGTATGCCAGGTTTTCTCACTGTGATTAGAACGGCAAAAAAAGAAAATAAATAAAATATTTAAAAAATAAATAAATAAAAAATAACTGAAAAAGAAGCTTCCTTAAGAGACTAGAAATTATAACTTATGAGTTCTATGCTGAGACAGAGACAAACCAGAAAAAGCGGCCTGTGTGCTTGAGTTTCTGTCAATAATTCATAACTGAGAGGGAGGCTGACCAAAAGGGAAAAAATAATTAATATCATTAAGTAAAAGTTCCTTAGGATGAAGTGGCTCCAGCAAAGTGGGTTCCTGTCTAAGCAAACAGAAATGCAATTCAGTGTAAAAGGTAAAACAAAAGTTAAATTTAAACAACCAGAAAATGCCAACTCACCCCTAACTAGGGACTTTTCACTGGAGTGAAATAATGCTACTGCTCCACTTTAACCAATAAAATATTTCTTTTTGCATTCCTTCTGCATTCACCTTATAAGAGCCTTCATCTCACATGTTCTCACTCATAGGTGGGAATTGAACAATGAGAACACTTGGACACAGGAAGGGGAATATCACACACCGGGGCCTGTTGTGGGGTGGGAGGAGGGGGGAGGAATAGCATTCGGAGATATACCTGATGTAAATGACGAGTTAATGGGTGCAGCACACCAACATGGCACATGTATACATGTGTAACAAACCTGCACGTTGTGCACATGTACCCTAGAACTTAAAGTATAATTAAAAAAAAGAACCTTCATCTCCTCTCTTGCCCCTTCAAAAAGCCCCAAACCACATGCAGTCTCATGTTGCAAAATACATCACCATCTCCTCAAATAACCACTAAATTCTAGTGCCACTACATTCATATTTTAACTATATATGTATCTATGTATATATATTACATGACTCTACATACACATAAAAAATAAACATGTGCATAGATATTGATACCTGAAACATACATGCATATAATCAGGTATCAACGACAATCCAACAAGAGGCACTGAAAAGAGATATAACTCATTAGAGTTTTGTTTGCAAAAAACAATCTGACAGCAATGTTGGGGAAGTAAGTGAGTGCTAGAGGATGGAGGAAATAAGTAACTAGAGGTTTCCAAAACAATATGTGAATAGTTGTTAGAGTAAGGGCCTCAGTGGTATCAGTAAGAATGTGAAAGGAATTTTGGCGTCTAAACATCTTCATCTTTTGACAGAGTGGAATGGTCGATGAATGACTCATATATTCAAGAGTATGAAGTGTGAAGAAGGCTAACAATCAAAGACTTTTTGAGGCAGAAAATATCCAAACTCTTTCTCATGTCCATCTTTTTCCCTCTACTCACTGGGCACTGTGATGTCATATCATCTTAACATTATTTGAACTTTGGTGATGTGAATTTAAAGCCCCGGGTTGTCAAGAACACATTCCAGTAACTTTGTATTATGACTTTTTCTTTAAAAAATCTTAGTAGCTTCATTTTTTTTCTAGGAAGATTAAGACCATTTTCTTCCCATTACGCCACTTATCTTTTCTTCTCTATGCCTACTTCATATTAGTTCTTCTATTTAACCTTTTAATTTTCTGAATTAGGGAAGAGTTTCAGATTGTCTAAAACATAAACATGCTAGAAAGGAAGTTAGAAGCAAATATAGAAAGTTAGGGGCAGCTTTTCTTTTCCTGCTCATATAAGCACAATGAGTTAACAGCATTCTCTTACACCTGTTAACACCTTTCTCATTTTATTTCTAATTGTGTTTCAATTTCAGTTTATTTCTTTACTGGAAATGTGAGTTGATTTCATACAAGAAGTGGAATTCACCCTTTCCCAAAAGTGAAATGAAAGTCCTTTTGAGGACTAGCAGAATTATTGGGATTTACCTCTCTTCACACAAACACAAATTTGCCTCCACTATGAGTTAAATGTGATGGGCGTCTCAGGCAATATAGTTGTAATAGTATCAAAAGCATCACACTCAAGTCCTTATCAGATGAACTAGATAATTTTAGCGTTTAATACATTGATAAAGACATATTGATTAACATACAATCTATAAAATATTTTTATTTGCTTTCTGCTGTCATTATGACATGATTAAAATTTCTTGAATGCTTTTGCATAACATATAGGAATATTTTAATTAGTTAATTAGGTTCTAACATGTTAAGTCATTATAGTGCTAGGACAGTTATAATTACAAAAAAATTTGAAAGTTGGCAAAAACTTAGGTACCTCAAACTAGCATAATTTTGTAACTATTTTATTGAATAGAGAAGAGAGATAAGTATGCAATGCAAATATTTTATTTTAACATTTTTGTGAGTGAACCTATTATTGCTTATTTCTCAGGCTGTAGTAATATGGTTTAACAAACGCACAATGATAGGGTAAAATAGATACTCCATCATATCTTGATTATCTGCTTGTGGAGCTGCAGGGCCCACATACATGAAGAGAAGGAGGCCATAACATAAAGAGAGAGGTATGTAATGGGCTCCACAGGTGGAAAAGGCTTCCCTTATGCCTTTGTTAGACTTCTTTTTTAAGATTGTAAAGAGAACAAACATATAAGATACAAAAACAATCCCAATGGTTAAAACTTGAATTGAACCTGAGAAAATAAAAAACATTAGAAAATTAATACAAGAATCAGTACATGAAATCTTTAACAATGGGATAATGTCACAGTAAAAATGTTGTATCATGTTGGAGTTACAGAAGGTTAGTCTGAATAAAAAACCTTCATGGATTAAAGCATGAAAAAGGCCACCTAGAAATGACAAGACAAATAGCCAGATGCATAGTTCATTGGTCATAATGACTGGATAAAGTAAAGGTTTGCATATGTCTGCATAGCGATCATATGCCATTGATGCCGAGATAAAACATTCTGTGGTTACACTGATTGCAAGGGAAAAAAAATTGTACCATGCATTCAGAGAGAGATATCATCTTACTCTTAGCTAAGAAGTTGATCAGCATCTTCGGAGTCACTGTGGATGATAACCAAGTATCCACAAAAGCTAAACTCCCAAGGAATAAGTACATTGAAATATGAAGGTGAGGGTCTTTCCAGATGAGAAAAATCAGACCAAGATTCCCCATGATGGTGATGAGATCTATTACCAAGAATGCCAGGAACAGGGGTATTTCCCATAAAAATCCTTGTTGACATAAAAATCCTGTGAGAACAAATTCTGTCAGTAATGTTGCATTTTCCTCTTCCATGTCATCACTGCATGTCCTCTAAAATAAAATGCAATAAATGTGAAAGAAAATTTGCAGTGGTATTATGAGTTGAAATGGAAGAAGAGGTGTTGAAATAAACTGTACAATTATCAGAGGTTTCCTAAGTTTATTTATCAGTGCTATAGTTGATGAATATACATTTGAGGCATTAAAGAAATAAAAAATGATAAATTTTAGTTTGACAATTTTTCAGGAATTAATAGATTTAGATTAAAAAGATGGATTCTCTACATATACTAAATTTGTGTGTGCACTATGGAATGTGGCATAAATATCCTGTGTCTGGTACATGGATGCAATGTTAATGGAAAAGGATTTTGAAGGTTTTGGATTAAAAATAAATAAAATGAATGCCATGTGAAAAATCTTAAACTTCACTCTTCACATAATAAGCATGCACCAAATGTTTTAAGATGGGAAATGGCATCATAACATATTTTTTAATTTAGTGATTGATAGTGTAGAAAATGTGCTACAGGAAGGGGAAACTGACTCATGGATATTAACCAAAAACTTGTTACTAAAGTCAAGGTGATCCCAAATCAGATTACACATGAGAATCACCTAGCAGTGTTTTTTCTATGAAAAATACAGATTGCAAGGTTTTAATGTGGAAATTATTTCAGAAACAGAGTCTAGGGATCTGCATTTTGAAAATACCCTCAAAGCGATTCAAAAGCATATTAAGGGTCTAGTCCATGTGATGTCATTGGAGGAGATGGTAAGTCAAAGAAATAGATTCAAAAGAATTCAGAATGTAGAGTCCCTAGTATTCTGTGACATATTTGGTGAGAAAAAAAAGTGGTTAATGAAGGAGGGAAGAGTCACTTGGTGACTGGGTAAGTGGTCATTAAATATTGAGGATGGGAACTCAGTTGCGCTGGCAAGTTTTGGAGTGAGCATCATGTGACCAATTAGGTGACATCCAATCAGTAATGTGAACCTACTATAGCTTCATAGAAATAATTACTTGGAATCATTGTGGTAGTCAAAGACATAGTTAAAAATGATGTATCCATTGGAGATTAGACAAGTAAAAAAAAGAATGACAAGAAAATAAACTTAAGGAAATTATATTAAAAGAGGTAACAAAGTGGATATGCATCCTTTAGAAGATGGCCAAAAGCTGATCCTCTTTTTTGCCACCCAAGTCTTGGCGGCTGTCAGAGGTTACCTACTGTTCTAAAAGCCAAAGAACTAGAAACTCATTTTCCCATTCTTCTTGCTTCTAGAGTGAAGAGACATGATCTAGGATGGCCAATGAAACACACTCATGCTACATTTGGAATATGGAGAAAGAGGGAGAAAATAGTTTAGGAACAAAGGCAGATTTTCTTTGCAAAGTCAGCCAAGGCAGAAATACTAGGACTCCACCTAACGCATCTTTCATCCACAGTAAAAACATTTACAGTGTGAGCTGTCAAATTATTGTTAAAATGGGTATAAGTTTACAAGGGTTAATATGTAAGTGACTCACCTTAAAAGCTTTAATCAGAGGATGTAATTAAGTAAAAGAATGGGTATTTGTATCAGAAAATTTAGAAATAATTCTAAGAATCATTATGATCTGAATCCTTAAACCCAGTTCTAATTATTTAACGTACTAGTTCACCAGAAGTTATCTTATAAAATCATTATAACGTTAACAAAATACTAAAATATCATCAAAATAACAATTTAGTCTTATAACTATTTACCCTATCCATATTATAGTCATGAAACTAAAATATAAAGATAACCCAATATTTGTTGTCTAATTTCAACCTGGTTATTTAGACAGATTGTGTACCCAATGTAAAATTATAATGAAATAAATAACACTTTTAACATTTCTATGAAGCATAATGAAAATTATAGAAATTATTTCTTCCTTACCCATATTTTGAAAGAAATTGTGGAGATCCTTTAAAACTATTAGGCTCTCTGGCCAGGTGCAGTGGCTCACGCCTCTAATCCCAGCACTTTGGGAGGCCAAGGCGGGTAGATCACCAGAGGTCAGGAGTTCAAGACCAGCCTGGTCAACATGGTGAAACCCCATCTCTACTAAAAATACAAAATTAGCCGGGTGTGGTGGTGTGCGCCTGATAATCCCAGCTACTCGGGAGGCTGAGGCAGGAGAATCTTTTGAACCTGGGAGCCAGAGGTTGCAGTGAGCCAAGATAGCACCATTACACTGCAGCCTGGGTGACAGAGTGAGACTCTGTAAAAAAAAAAAAAAAATTAAAAATAAAAAACATTAGGCTTTCTAAAACAGAAATAAAATATAACAACACAGGAATGCCAACAATTCATGGCATATTCATTCTTTTTGGATGTTTCTTTTCCCATTCTCAGGAAAATGTTGTTAATATAAATTTGAATTGAACATAGAATCATTCAGTAGTACAACTCTGTACTTTTGCCAGAAGATGAAGGAGCAGAAAAACCAAAATTCTCATAAGAGTGCCAGAAGACTCCCTGTAGGACAAATCGATGCTGTTCTAGTGAGCACGGTGGATTTGGTCATGTATGAGAAGTGCAGGTTGTCTCAAATGGCAGTACAAATTCTGGAATCATAACCATCATTTCAATGTAGACACTTCCAGTTTTAACAATTGACATAGTACTTATGCCACTATTTACCACCACAGGTGGCACTTCTGGCATGTTTGTGCAAGTTTTAGTTCACATATGAAATCTACTCTTAGTGTTTTGATTAGGATGGTCTCCTCCGAAGTAATCAAAACATAATTTTAACAAGGCCAAAGTCTCTGATTCCCTCAGGAGCCAAACCCAAATACGGTTGTCTTCCCCATGCAAATTACAGCTCAAATTTTTGACATAAACCTTGTTCCCCTGTTGTAAGCTAAAATCTCATGGGAAACTTTATTAGGCATAGTTCAACAGGAGAGCAAATCGAAAAACACAGACACCACACTGTAAGGTGTCCTATATCTGTGCTGCTCAAACTATAATGCCTATGACTTTCCTAGTGATGTTGTCAAAAATGCAGACTCTGTTTTAGTAGTTCTGGCGTGAGTCATTCAGGAGCCTTTATTTCTAACACAGTGATGACTGTGGACATTTGCATCCAACAGGCCTTCATCATGGGAGGACCTAGATTATCAGAGATACTTGATCATGGAGAAACAATAAATGATAAATGTGACTGGTATGCAAACAGAGAAGCAGAGAAGGGTCAGATGTGTTCAGTGAGGCCAGTATGGGAAAACTTTAAACGAACCTTGGAGTGTAGTTCAATTTACAGAAAAAAACTATTGAAGGATTTTGAAAATGGTGGTAACATGTTCAGATTTTTCTTTGGAGTACATATAGAGTAACGTTAATGAGCATCCATTAGGAAATAAAACGTAATATACTTATTTGAAATATTCATATTTCATATTTAAATAGTCCATGTAAATTTTTTGGCTGTAAAAGGACTCCTTAAAGAAAAAATATAACTTAGATCATGGATGTTAAGCTAGTTGGTATGCAAAGGGCATATTTGCTTGGTAGACATGTAAATCAATTATCTGTTTTCATAGGATTTTTCTAGAAAGAGACAAAGAAGTGGGAAAATACTACATAGATAATAAAGGAGTCACTGAAAACTCTTCTGAAGACTGGACTAAGCAGCTTAATATACAGAGATAGATATTGACATGACACAAAATTAAATTAAATTGCCTCATCCCTGTGTAATATAATGTTGGCAACAATGAGGAGAATTCAGAAATAGATGCTGAAGCATTCAGAATGTAGCACCACTGGGACTTAGTCACATATTTGATTGGAAAGTAATTTCAGTGAAGGAAAAAAGGAGTCACTTCGTGAGTGGGCAGTTTGTCATCCAAAATACAGACTGAGGACTCAGATGCATTGACAAGTGTGTAGTGTGAGCATGCTTTGAACATATAGGTGAACTGTTTAGTATTAGTAATATAATTCTACTAGAGCAATAGAAAAAATAATTTGCAAGTCAGAAGCCATAGTTATGGATGTTTTACCTATTCTAGAGAACAGGAAGAAAGAGAAACAGAGCACAAACAAAAACGCTTGGTGGTGTAATGATCTAATTATCTTTTGGTATATATGCAGTAATTGGATTGCTGGGTTAAACGATAGCTCTTTTTTAACTACTTTGAGAAATCTATAGACTGCTAATCACAGTGGCTGAACTAATTAATACACCTTCCCACCAACAGTGTATAAACACTCTCTTTTCTCCACAGCCTTTCTGGCATCTGTTGGTTTTTTACTTTTAAAAAAGCCATTCTGACTAGTGTGAGATGGTGTCTCATTCTGGTTTTGATTTGCATTTCTCTGATGACTACCGATGATGAGCATTTTTTCATTGTTTGTTGACCATTTGTGTCTCTTCTTTCAAGAAACATTTGTTCATGTTCCTTGCCCTATTATTAATGGGTTTATCTGTTTCTTTCTTGTGGATTTAAGTTCCTTATAGATAGATTACAAATATTAGCAAATTGTTAGATGCATAGTTTGTGAATAATTTCTGCCATTCTCTTGGTTGTTTGTATACTCTGTTGATAGTTCCTTTTGTTGTCCAGAAGCTCTTTAGTTTAATTAGGACCCATTTTTCAGTTTTTGTTTTTATCGTAGTTGCTTTTGGGAACATAGCCAAAAAATATTTACCAAATCTAATGTCAAGAAGAATATTTTCTAGGCTTTCTTGTATGATTTTTATAATTTGAGGTCTTACATTTAAATATTAGTTTATCTCAAGTTAATTTTTTATATGGTGAAAGGTAAGGATCCACTTTTTACTTCTGCATATGTCTAGCCAGTTGTCCCAGGACCATTTATTGAATAGGGGATCCTTTCTCTATTGCTTGTTGAAGATCAGATGGTTGTAAGTGCATGGATTAATTTCTGAATTTTCTACTCTTTTCCATTGGTCTATGTGTCTGTTTTTGTACCAGGAACATGCTGTTTTATTTATTAAGATACATGCACTCATATATTCATTGCCATGCTATTCAAAATAGCAAGACATGGAATGAAACTTGCCATTCACCAGTGGTTAATTGGATTAAAAAATGGGGTAAATACACACCATAAAATAGTATGCAGCTGTAAAGAAAATAAAATCATGTCCTTTGCAACAGCATGGATGCAGCTAGAGGCCATAATCCTAAGCAGGTTTAATCCTAATTCAGGAACAGAAAACCAAATGACGCATGTTCTCACTTATAACTTAGAGATAAACATTGAGCACAAATGGAAATAAACATGGGAATAATAGGTACTGCAGACTAACAGCGTGGTGAGAGGAGGGTGGAGTAATGGTTTGAAAAACTACCTATTGGGTACTATGGTCACTACCGGCTTCCAATATGCACATGTAGCAAACCTGCATATGTAACTTTCATATCTGAAAAAAATATTGATTTTGTTTGTAAAAAATGAAAAAACAACTTGAGAAAGTTATGTAAAAAGGTTATGTAAAAAGGTCATTCATGAGATGGATAAAATCTGGAACACTTTTCTGCTACATGACTGTGGCAGACAAAGAATTTCACCTAGATTTTCCAACCAAACCCATCCAAGATTTGGAGATAGATGGAGACAAATGCACACGAATAAAGAAAAAAATAGTGCAAAGTCAGTTGAAGCAAAAATATCAAGATCCTATCATGTGCATCCTGCATCTAGAACAATGCCATTGAAAATGTAAGCTGTGTCATTGGAAGCACAGAAGCAGAAACAACCACCCTCATGAAGCTGCTATCAGAATAAGATTTTGGCTGCTGACTGGCTGTTTTGCTTCCTCCTGTTGCTGCCATACTGTCCAGCTGACTTCTCCAACTTCACTGTGATTTCAGTGGTAAATATCAATTCAATAACTTACTTCCTGTTGCAACCCAAAGCCCTGGGATTTTCAAAAGAGAGACCAGGGAGACAAGAGAAAAGGATACTGAGCAGAGTGTTGAAGGGAAGAAGTGGGAGGGAACTAAAAAGCTGAATGTTGTGGACATAAAGAGAGAGGGAAGATGTGAAGTGTGATGCAGTGAAGTACAGGGGAAAATGACAAACTAAATGCTCTAGTAGGACAAGGAGTGAAAGGAAATCACTGCATATAGAAATTAAGTGATTTTTTGTGTGATTTTTTTTTTCCAGGCACAGTGGCTTACTACTGTAATTCCAGCACTCTGGGAGGCTGAGGTGGGCAGATCACCTGTGGTCAGGAGTTCAAGACCAGCCTGGCCAACATGGTGAAATCTCATCGCTACTAAAAATATTTAAAAAAAGAAAAGAAAAATTAGCCAGGCATGGTGGTGGGCAGCTGTGATCCCAGCTACTCGGGAGGCTGGGGAAGGAGAATCTCTTGAACCCAGGAGGTAGAGGTTGCGATGAACTGAGATCATGCCACTGCACTCCAGCCTGGGCAACAGAGCAAGATTCCATCTCAAAAAGCATAACAAAACAAAAATTAAATTAAATTAAGTGATTTTTAGTGGCTTTAGTGAGAACCGTTTCCTATATGTAATAGAGTAATGGTCTGCAAATAAGAAGTGAATGGGAGACAAGCAGCAGTGAAGGAATGTGATAGAGTCCTCTAAGACATGTAGAAAACAGTTGGCATGTGTTACTGGTCACAGAGTAATTTAATATTTTTCCGCCTGTGGAAGATTTAAGAAGAGTTCTCAAAAGTAAAGATAGACAATTGAGAGAACAGGAGAAGATGATGTCGAGAGGAGATAAAGGATAGAAAAAGGGGAAAGGGAAATTTGTGTGGGTGGGTGAAGTACAACAAGAATGAGGAAGAAAAATAGGCAGAGAATAATGAAGTCATAGGTGGGTAGGTGTAAAAAGACAAGCCACAAAACAGGGAGAGAGGAAGTATCATAGATGCACTAAGGCAAAATAGAGGGACGAGCTCAGAAGCTTGTGTTGAACCTGTGCATTAACTCTGGTGTTCATGAATGCCACAGAGAGCTCTGAGAGTCTTTTCATTTTCTTTAAAAAAAATTTCAAAGTTCATTTTCCTATGCAATTTGTGTATGATAAAGAGACTTTGAGTATAATTTTCCCCCATAAATTTTCCACTGTTCATGAATATATCAGCATTTTCTGAAAGTTTACTCCGTATTTAAATGTTGCTTTATCTTTGCTATTACAGTGATTAAAACTAAATTTCTCAAGAAATGTTGCTGACTTTAAGAACACTTTCTTCTCTGTCAGTTTTTTTCTTTGATTATTTTTAGCAGAATCAACCAAAACAAAGACTGGATCCTAATACAAACATTGTAATAAATAAAGGACAGTAATTCTACTTGTAAATTTTTAATAGACAATCTCATGCAATCCTTCCCTGAAATCTCAAATTACAAAATAATGAACAACTCTAAAATTCAAGTTGTTTCAAGGTGCTTTTAAAATCGTAAATGCTAATAAGTTTAGGGAAGTACATTTTCTGCATATTTTCTGAGATATATGCATAGATATACATATACTATAACTATTGCTAGTATTACCATGTGTATCTAAAATGAATATGAAAAATGGGTATTTCTATGGATTTAATTATTTATAATTTATACACCATATATAAGAAATAATCAATGAAATTATGGAGAGAAGTGGTGAAAGTATAGAGGAAAAAATATTTAATTGACGGATCATAAATTTTTCATTGCAGAATGTGATTATACAGAATGAAACTACATAACAACCATCAGAAAAGTTTCTTATGTAACAATCAGAGTGAATTGAAGATTTAAACCCAGCTTTAAAAATTTTAATTAGCCAGAATTTATAACATCATTATAGTCAGGTTAAAAAGATAATAAATTATCATTTTAAAATTTATTTTAATAGGTGTTTTGGTTTTCAAGATTTTAGACATAATAATGAGATATCAAGATTCTTCACTCTTTTTGTTCCCAGCAATCTTGGCATGCTGTAAACCAAATACAAAATTATTATATATTAAATAGCCTTTTAAAATTTCTTTAAAAATAATAATGGATATGATAAAATAATTTTCCTCTTACTAATATAGAAAGAAATTACAGAGATCCTTTAAAAGTATTAGGCTTTCTAAAGCAGAGAAAAATACATAATAGAGCATATCTGATAATAACACAGGCAGCACATCTTTGCACACTGATGCATTTTGGAGGCTTCATTTCCAAACTCAGAAAAATATTGTTTATAAAACTTTGCTTTCAACACAAGTGTTCATCGGGGGACCTGCCCCGATAATCACGTAGGCTCTTTTCTATTTTTCCTAAGCATCAGCTGGCTTGAGAAATAAAGGGACGGAGTACAAAAGAGAGAAATTTTAAAGCTGGGCGACATCACACGTTGGTAGGATCCGTGATGCCCCACAAGCAGCAAAAACCAGCAAGTTTTTATTAGAGATTTTCAAAAGGGGAGGGAGTGTGTGAATAGCTGTAAGTGACAGATATCAAGTGCTTAACAGGGTAATAGAATATCACAAGGCAAGTGGAGGCAGGGCGAGATCACAGGACCACAGGACCGAGGCGAGATTAAAATTGCTAATGAAGCTTCGGGCACCATTGTCATTGATAACATCTTATCAGGGACAGGGTTTTGAGATAAACTGGTCTGACCAAAATTTATTACGTGGGAATTTCCTCTTCCTAATAAGCCTGGGAGCACTATGGGAGACTGGAGCTTATTTCATCTCTGCAGACTGGACCCTAAGAGATGGCCACACCCCCGGGGGGACCAGTGTAGAGACCCACCCGCAGGTGTGCATTCTCTTTCTCAGGGAAGTTCTATGCTGAGAAAAAGAATTCAGTGATATTTCTCCCATTTGCTTTTGAAAGAAGAGAAATACAGCTCTATTCTGCCTGGCTCACCAGCAGTCAGAATTTAAGGTTATCTCTCTTATTCCCTGAACAACTGCTGTTATCCTGTTCTTTTTTCAAGGTGCTCAGATTTCATATTGCTCAAGCACACATGCTGTACAATTTGTGCAGTTAATGCAATTATCACATGGTCCTGAGGTGACATACATCCTCCTCGGCTGACAGGATTCAGAGATTAAAGTAAAGACAGGCATAGGAAATCACAAGGGTATTGATTGGGGAAGTGATAAGTGTCCATGAAATCTTCACAACTTATGTTTAGAGATTGCAGTAAAGACAGGCATAAGAAATTACAAAAGTATTAATTTGGGGAACTAATAAATGTCCATAAAATCTTCACAATCCACGTTCTTCTGTCATGGCTTCAGCCGATCCCTCTTTTTGGGGTCCCTGACTTCCCGCAACAAGTGTTGACCAATATTATATCTCCATTTTCACCAGGAAAGAAAGAAGTAGAGGACAAAGTGAAGAACTTCAACTGGGCATCATGGATTTAGATGTGTATGAGAAATACAGATTATCCTACAGGGTACTGCAGAGTTTAGAAACATAGACATTAAGTCACCATACCCAGTTTGGGTTTTAACAATTGAAATTACACTTTATGCTACTATTATCCACAACACATAACACTTCAGACATTATATGCAAACTTTAGTTTGTACATAAAATAGGATGCTCTGAATGCTGTGATTAGTATAGTCTCATCAGAGCTGGTCAAAACATGATTTTAATAAGGCCAAAGATCTAGGTTCCCTTCAGAAGCCAACCCCATGTAAATTTGTAAAATTGTCCTCCTCATTCAAACTGCAGCTGAAACTCCAGTAGCTGAAGCCAAATGTGAGGCACCTAAGATAGATAGCAAAGATCCAACCCCTCAATCTTCCAGAAAAGGAATAAAACAGGGTGGGAAAATAACAAATAATCCTCTAGAATCCATTCCCCAAGTATTTCTTTAAAAACTCACTGGTCTGATACGTAATCTTATAAACAAAATGGGAGGAACTAATCTCTGACTATAAGGCAAGATTAGAAGTATGATTTGTAAAACATTCTGGTCAATTCATGTTGAGTTCAGCATAGAAAATACTTGTCCTATTCATCAGTGGGATCCACCTTCAACTCATTAACCTAGTTACAAAACAAAAGCTACATTGGGAAGCTGATGATCTGCCAAATTAATAACCCAAAATATATTTCAGTAGAAAATTATAGTGCATCCGCTATTAAATTCAACTTCTGTCTGTTATCTTTGAGTTTTATTATCTACCTATAAATTGTCTTTTTCATGAAGCCCTGTGAGCTTGGTGTGGAAAACTTGATATAAACTTCAGAGGACAATCTTCATACATGCAGCTGAGTGGGCTGCTAAAAAGCTCACCAAAATATCCAATAACATAATCAGAGACACTGAGACTACAAAACAGAAAAATCAACAGATTGCAACTGCCATTTTATTCCATCATCAAAAGATGCTTTGAGCTTAAAATCTAAAAATCTTCTCAACTAACTGCCCTTTGGGCTCAGACACTAAGTTCACAGATTGTTATAACCATTAACCTTTTTTTTTTTTTTTTTTTTTCCTGAGACAGAGTCTCGCTCTCTTGCCCAGGCTGGAGTGCAGTAGCACCATCACTGCAACCTCGGCCTCCTGGGTTCAAGCGATTCATCTGCCTCAGCCTCACAAGTAGCTGGGATCACAGGTGCCTGCCACCACCCCAGGCTAATTTTTTTGTATTTTTAGTAGAGACAGGTTTCACCATGTTGGCCAGGCTGTTCTGGAACTCCTGACCTCAAGTGGTCCACCCACCTCAGTCTCCCAAAGTGGTGGGATTAGAGCCGTGAGCCACCACACCAGGCCTATAGCCATTAACTTTTTATTTGTTTTATTTCATTCATGGGCACTTTGGCTGTGGAGTAATTCCAAGTCCCTTGATATTTTCCTCGTGAGGGTCATCATTGTAACCTTCCTGGTATGCTGTATTTTCTCAAGAGTCTGAAATGCAAATTCATAGCCGTCACAGTTACCAGATTTTCTCCATAAGATTAAAATGGCATAAACAAAGTGTCCAATAAAAGAAACACTGCTTTAAGAGACTAGAAATTGTAACTTATGCTGAGACAAAGACAACAAGCTCTGGTGGTGAGAAAGTGCTCGTGTATCTGAGTATTGGTCAATATCCCATATCCCATAATTCCCATAATATCCCACCAATATCCTATAATTGAGAAGTGAAACAAAAGGGAGAAAATAGTAAATAATATATTTGAGTAATAATTTATTCTATAATAAAATTGAACATTAGGCTGAGGTGGCTCCAGCAAAGTGGGTTTCTACGTAAGCACACAGAAACCCAACTCATTGTAAATGGTAAAACAAAAATTAACTTTTTCTTTTTCTTTATACTTTAAGTTCTGGGATACATGTGCAGATCATGCAGGTTGTTACAAAGTTATACATGTACCATTGTGGTTTGCTGCATCCATCAACCCGTCATCTAGGTTTTAAGCCCTGCATGCATTAGGTGTTTGTCCTAATGCTCTCCCTCCCCTTCCCTCCACCTCCTGACAGAGTGAGAGCATGCGGTGTTTGGTTTTCTGTTCCTGTGTTAGTTTGCTGATAATGGTGGTTTCCAGCTTCATCCTTGTCCCTGCAAAGGACATGAACTCATTCTTTTTTATGGCTGCATAGTATTCCATGGTGTATATGTGCCACATTTTCTTTATCCAGTCTATACTTGATGGGACTTTGGGTTGGTTCCAAGTGCTTGCTATTGTGAATACTGCTGCAATAAACATACGTCTTCATGTGTCTTTATAACAGAATGATAAATAAGTCTTTGGGTATGTAATCAATAATGGGACTGATGGTCAGATGGTATTTCTGGTTTCAGATCCTTGAGGAATCACCACACTGTCTTCCACAATGGTTAACTAATTACATTCTCACCAACAGTATAAAAGTGTTCCCATTTCTCCGCATCCTCTCCAGCATCTGTGGTTTCCTGACTTTTTAATGATCGCCATTCTAACTGGTGTGACATGGTATCACATTGTGGTTTTGATTTGCATTTCTCTAACGCCCAATGATGATGAGCTTTTTTTCATATGTTTGTGGGTCACATAAATGTCTTCTTTTGAGAAGTGTCTGTTCATATCCTTCACCCACATTTTGATAGGGTTGTCTTGTAAATTTGTTTAAATTCCTTGTAGATTCTGGATATTAGCCCTTTGTCAGATGAATAGATTGCAAAGATTTTCTCCCATTCTGTAGTTGCCTGTTCACTCTGATGGTAGGTTCTTAACAAAAGTTTACTTTAACCAATCTGAAATCATCAACTAGCCTCTAAGTAGGAACTTTCTACTGGAATAATCCAAATAATGCTACTGCTCCACTTTAAGCAAAAGAGTTTCTTTTTGCCTTACTTCCACATTAAGTCAACAAAAGCCTTTCTCTCCTCTCATGTATACATAAGCATATGTATACATATATTGACATCTAAAACACATATACATATATAATCAGGTAGCAATGACGATCCAACAAAAAAAAATTGAAAGAATTGAAAAAACAATCTGACAGCAAAATGGGGGAATAAATGAGTGCTAGAAGGATGGAGGAAATAACTAGAGGTTTTCAAAACAACCTGTGAGTAATTTTTAGGGTAAGGGCCTTGGTATCAGTGACAAAGTGAAATGAATTTCAGTGTCAAAAGATAAAGGGCAGAGTGGAATGGTAGATGGATGACTCATATACTTCAAGAGTATGAAGTGAAAAGAAAGGTAACAAGGGCTTTTTGAAGCAGAAAATATCCAAACTCTTCCTCATTTTTCATGTTTTTCTTCCAAATCACTGGACACTATGATGTCGTGTCATCTTAAAATTCTTTGAACTTTGGTGATAAAAATTTAAAGCCCCTGGTTGTCAAGAACACATTCCAATAACCTTGTAACATCACTGACTTTTAAAATCTTAGTAGCTTCATTTATTTTTTCTAGGAAAATGAAGACCCTTTTCTTCCTACTATGCCATTTGTCTTTCCTTTTCTATGACTACTTCAAACTAAGTTCTGTATATTCATTTAATTTTCCGATTTAGGGAAGCTTTTCAGATTGTCTGAAAACACTATCACAGCTGCTAAGTCCCTTAGAAGCGATCTTAGAAAGTTAGAGGCTGCGTGCCTCTTCTTACTCATACAAGCACACAGAGTTAACAGCACTCTCTTGCCTTCTTGCACACTGGCAGTGCCTTCACTGTTAAACACTTCTCATTTTGTCCTCATTGCATTTCCATTTCTGTTACTCTGTTTGATATGTGAGTTGACTTCCTACAAGAAGTAAAATTCCCTCTTTTGCAATTAAGTGGAATGAAAGACCTCTTGAAAGCTAGCAGAATTCTTGGGATCTACCTGCCTTCCTCTAAACACATATCAACCTTCACTATGAAGATAAATATGATAGATGTCTCAGGTAATACAGTTGTGTTAGTATCAAAAACATCATACTTAAGTGCTTATCAGATGAACTAGACTATTTTGCATTTGATGCATTTATAAGACACATTGATTAACATACCATACTGTACAATATTTTTATTTGCTTCCTGCTATCATTATTCTATTATGAACACTTGATTAAAATTTCTCAAATGCTTTTGAATAACATAGGAACATAGGAGTATTTTAATTAGTTAAGTAGGTATTAACATCATAGGTCATTAAAGTGCTAGCACAGTTATAATTGCAAAATCTTTTAATGCTGGCAAAAACATAGGTACCTCTAATTTGCACAATTTTGTGATTATTTTAGTAAATAGAAAAGAGAGATGAGTAAGAGATCTAAATATTATTTCTTTTGAACATTTTTGTGAATGAAGCTATTACTTGTTTGTTTCTCAGGCTGTAGGTCATGGGATTTAATAAAGGAACTATGACAGTGTAAAATAGAGACTCCATCATGTCTTCGTCATCAGCCTGTGGGGATGCAGAGCCCATATACATGAAGTCGAGGGGCCCATGGTATAAAGATACAGATAAGAGATGAGCTCCACAGGTGGAGAAGGCTTTTCTTATACCTTTGACAGATTTCTTTTTCAAGATTGTAAAGAGGACAAATGTATAAGATATAAGACCAGTCCCAATGGTGAAAACTTGAATTGAACCTGAGAAAATAAAAACCATTAGAAAATTAATAGAAGAATCAGTACAAGAAATCTTAGACAATGGGATAATGTCACAGTAAATGTGGTGTACTACGTTGGAGTTACAGAAGGTTAGTCTGAATAAAAATCCTTCATGGATTAAAGCATGAAGAAGACCACCTACATAGCCGGATGCACAGTCCATTGGTCATAATGGCTGGATAAAGTAAAGGTTTGCATATGGCTACATAGCGATCATATGCCATTGTTGCCAAGAGAAAACATTCAGTGGTTACACTGATTGCAAACGAAAAAAACTGTATTTTGCTTTCAGGCAGAGATACCATCTTACTCTTAGCTAAGAAGTTATTCAGCATCTTTGGAGTCACTGTAGATGATATCCAAGCATCTACAAAAGCTAAATTCCCGAGGAGTAAGTACATTGGGATCTGAAGGTGAGGGTCTTTCCAGATGACAGCAATCAGACCAAGATTCCCCATGATGGTGATGAGATATATTACCAAGAATGTCAGGAACAGGGGTATTTTCCACTGTGGTTGATATAAAAGTCCTGTGAGAACAAACTCTGTCAGCAATGTTGCATTTTCCTCTTCCATGTCCTCACTGCATGTCCTCTAAAATAAAATGCAACAAATGAAAGGAAACATTTGCAATGGCATTATGAGTTGAAATTGGGGAAGAGGTGTTGAAGCAAACCCTAAAATGATCATAACCCTCTCAATTTTTTAATCAGTCCTATAACTGATGAAACGGTATTTGTTACAATGAAAAAATGGAAAAAAATCATATATTTTGGTTTGAAACTGTGCAGTAATTAACAGATTTTAATAAAAAGAGGCTCGTTCTCTGTATGCAGTATATTTCTATGGACACTATTGAGTGCAGTAGAAAAATTGTGAGTCTGGCATATGATCCAGTGTCAACAGGAAAGACTTTTGAAGGGTCTGAATTTTAAAAAAAAATGAAATAAATGCCATGTGAAGAATTTTAACCTTTATTCTTCATATAATAAGCATGTGCCAAAAATTTTAAGATGGGACATTATATCCTAATATATTTTTTAAATTTAGTTTTTGATAGTGTAGAAAATATGCTGCAAGAAGAAGAAACTGGACTCAGGGATACAAATTAGAAACTTGTAGTAAGTTCCAGGCAATCCCTAATCAGATTACCCATAAATAGTATCTGAGAGAGTTTTTTTGAAAAATATAGGTTGTGAGGTTTTAATATAGAAATTATTTCAGGAATGAGGTCTTAGGGTCTTTATTTGAAAATACCCTCCAGTTGATTCAAATGCATGTTAAGTGTCTAGTCTTTGTGTGATATGACATTGAAAGAGATGGTAAGACAAAGAGATATATTCTAAAGAATTCAGAATGTTGAGTCTCTAGTATTCTGTGACATATTTTGTGGGAATGAAGTGGTCAGTGAAGGAGAGAGGAGTTATCTGGTGACTGGGAAGATGGAAATTAAACATTGAGAACTCAGGTATTCTGACAAGTTTTTTGAGTGAGCATCATCTGGACAACTAGGTGTGTTCTGATCAGTAATATGAGCCCATTAGAGTTCAATAGAAATGATTACTTGGATTCATTGCGGTAGTCAAAGGCATAATTAAGAATGATGTATCCATTGGAGAGTAAAAAAGAAACAAAAAGGGCGGCAAGAAAATCAACTCAAGCCAGTTATATTAAAGAGGTAACAAAGTGAACATATGTCCTGTAAATGGCCAAGATGTGACCTTATTTTGCCATCCAAGACATAGAGGCTGTCAGAGGTTATCTACTGCCCTGGAAGCCAAAAGAACTAGAAACTCATTTTTCCATTCTTCTTACATCTAGAATAAAGGGAAATGATCTAGGATGGCCAATTAAACACATTGATCCTACATTTGGAATATGGAGAGAGAGAGAAATACAGGGACAAAAGATATTGGTTTCAAAAGTAGCCAAAGCAGAAATACCAGGACTCTGCTTAATGCAACCTTTATACGCATCAATAACATTTACAGTGTGAGATGCCAAATTATTGTCAAACATGAGCGTAAGGATACAGGAGTCAATATGTAAGTGATTTACCTTAAAAGTTTTAATTGGAGAATATGGTCAATTAAAAGGAATGAGTATTTATATCAGAACAATTCCAAGAAATAATTCTAAGAATCATTGTAATCTGAACTTTTAAACCAGGTTTTAATTGCTTAATGCCCTAGTTCATATTAATTCATTATAATAAGATCAAGAAAATAGTAAAATATTAAAGGAACAATTCAGTCTTATAACTATTTATCAATATTATAGTCATAAAACTATAATATAAAAATAGTCCAGTCAGAGTCATCCAGTTTAGTACTTGCTATTATGACAGCTTGTTACCCAATCTAAAATGTTAATGAATTAAATGGCATTATCAACATTTCTATAAATGATAATGAAAATTAGAGAAATTATTTCTTCCTTACCCATATTTTGAAGGAAGTTATGGATATCCTTTAAACATGTTGTGCTTTCTAAAAAGAAATGCATACAGTAGCACAGCAATGTCAATAACACAGGTAGCCATTCATTGCATACTCATTCTTTTTGAAGGTTTCATTTTCCAAGCACAGTAAAATGTTGTTTATTAAATTTCATTTGAGCATATAAGTGGCCCAGTTGTGCAACTGGGGACTTTTGCCAGAGGAAGGAGTGGAAAACTGAAATTCTCATAAGAGTGTCAGAGGACTCCCTGTAGGACAAATTGAAGCTGTTCTAATGGGCATTGTGCATTTGCACATGTGTAAGTCCAGGTTGTCCCCACGGGCATTACAGACTTCTGGAGTCACAAACATCATTTCATGGTAGACACTTCTAGTTTTAACAATTGAAATAACACTTTATGTTACTATTTACCACCATGGATGACACTTCTGGCATATTTGCTCAAACTTTAGTTTATATGTAAAATTTACTGTTAGTGCTTTACTCAGTATAGTCTTATTTGAGGTAACCAAAACATAATTTTAATAAAGCCAAAGTTCTAGATCCTCTTTGGGAGCAACCTCAAATACAGTTGTCCTTGCCATGCAAATTTCAGACATGCAAATTTTAGACATATATGTAGATCCCCCATTGTAAGCTAAAATCTGAGAGGAAATTTTACTAGGACGAAGACAAGGAGCAAATGTAAAACAAAGCCAGGGAGTGGCTTGCAGTGGGAGGTGTCCTAGGTCTGTGCTTCTCAAACTATAATGCCTATGACTTTCCTAGTGATGTTGTCAAAATGCAGATTCTTTTTCAGCAGTTCTGGTGTGGGTTTCTCAAGAGCCTTCATTTCTAACAAGGTGATGCCTGTGGACATTTGCCATTCAACAGGTCTTCATCATGGGAAGATCTAGATTATCAGAGAGCCTTGATCATTGAAGAAACAACAAATGATAAGTGTGGCTGTTATGCAAAGAGAGAAGCAGGAAGGACCAGGTGTGTTCAGGGAGGCCAGCATGGGTGTGACCTCAACAGGTAGTTCAAGGATATGTTCTTTACCCCAACTTACATAAAATCCAATGAAGTATTATTGAATGATTTGAAAATGGTGGTAGCATGTTCAGAATTTTCGTTAGAGCATTAACAAAATAACATGTTAAGGAGCATCCACTCAGAATATAAAATTGAATTTACTTTCTCGCAATATTTATATTTCATATTTAAATAGTGACATGTAACTTTCTCGATAGTAATAGTATTTATTAAAGAAATAAAATCATCTGTACTTGGATCACGGATAGTGATATGGTTTGGATTTGTTGTTCCACCCAAATCTCATGTTGAATTCCAATCCCCAGTGTTAGCAGAGGGGCCTGGTGTGTGGTGATTGGATCATAGGGGTGGACTTCCCCCTTTCTGTTCTCATGATAGTGAGTTCTCATGAGATCTGGTTGTTTAAAAGTGTGTAGCACCTCCCCCCTTCTCTCTTTTCCTCCTTCTCTGGACATGTACAACATGCATGTTTCCACTTCAACTTCCCCCATGATTGTAAGTTACCTGAGGCCCCCCCAAACCATGCTTCCTGTACAGACTTTGCAACTGTGAGTCCATTAAATCTCTTTTCTTTAAAAACTACCCAGTCTCTGATAGTTCTTTATAGCAATGCAAGAACAGACTAACGCAACAGGTAAATTATATGAAGTGGCCCATATGCTCATGGTCCCTACCCCTGCTACACTGCCTTATCCCTGCGAGCCTTCAGCAACAATCTCATGGGGAGGTTCTTATAATCAACTGACACTGAAAGAGAAGACTCAGGCCTGGATACAGATGGTTGTGCAACATAATCAAGCACTGCGCAATATTTTGGTGGCTACCGTACTACAGCTCCTTTCTGGGACTTTTCTGAAGGACAGTGGTGAAAGGAAATCCTCCCAGTTAGAAAAATCCTAAATGATGTACTTGGTTGTTCAATTTGCTTAAAAGGAGAAATGAATAAATGTGTGATTATATATCAATTTATGAGCTATGTCTAATGATTAAGCTGGATGATCAGGGACTTGAAAGGAGCATAATTAGAAAACTGGTGACAATGATATTTGAGGCAAGGTGCTGGGAGAGATGTCTCTAACTGGGTGTAAATTATATAGATATCTGCTATGGTTTGAATGTTTCCCCTCCAAAATTCAGGTGTTGAAACAATGGCCAGTGTGATAGTAGTAAGAGGTGGGGCCTTTAGTAGGTGCTTAGGTCATAAGGGCTTCTTTCCTTGTTGATGGGCGTAAAGCCCTTATTAGAAAAGTTTTCCCACAGCCTTCAGTTTCCTTGCTCTTCTGCCTTTCACCACGTGAGAACACAGTGTTCCTCTCCTCCAGAAGAGCTTTCAAGGCATCATCTAGGAAGCAGGGAGGGGACCCCTACCAGACATCCAAACCTGTCAGCATCTGGATCTTGAAAATACCAGCTTCTAGAGTTGTGATAAAATCAATTTTCGTCATTTATAACTACTCGGTCTCTGGCATTCTGTTATAGCAGCACAAATAGGCCAAGACAGAAATATGTACCAAGAAGTGGAGTGTTCCTATAACAAATACCTAAAATGTGGAAATGTCTTGGATAGGGGTAATGAGTAGAGGCTATAGCAGTTTTGAAGTGAATGATGAAAAAAGCCCGTATTTTTCAAGAATGAAGCACTAAGGACAAGTCTGGTTAGAATTCACAAGGGAAGAGCGGTAGGGAAAGCCTTATCCTTCTTAGAGATTACTAGAGTGGTCATGAACAGAATGTGGGCAGAAATATGGATGATAAAAAATATTCTGATGAAGTCTTAGATGGAAATGAGGACTATCTTATTGGAAATTAGAGGAAACACTCTCCTTATTACAAAGTGGCAAAGAACTTGGCCGAGTTGTATCTGTGTCTTAGGACTTCGTGGAAGGCAAATCTATAAGCAGCAAAGTGTTGAGGGAGCTGCATGGCTTCTCTTAATGGCTTATAGTAAAATGCAAGGAGAGAGGAGCTATTAAAAGATGGAATTTGTCATCAAAAGGGAAGGAGAATGTAAAGATTTAGAAAATTTTCAGCCTGGTCATGTAAACAGTAATGATGGATGTTCCAAAAAGAAAGTCAATGGTGTGACCAAGTGATCATTTGATCACTATATTAGTCTATTTATAATAGAAGAAAGCCAGCTGCTATTCATCAAGACAATGCAAGAATGAGTCCAAAAGTATTTCAGAGATCTTCAAGCCTGCCATATCCCATATCTGGGACTGGACTCTGCCAGTCCCAGAGCGCCAGGACTTTGAGGGGACCTGGAAACTCACTGCCCAGGGCCCCCTTAAGTCTCTGCTCTCTGCATTATGACACAGAACTCCTTTGCCAGCTAAGTTGAATGGAAGTTGTGTCTCAGGTGTGCACACCTGCAGCTGAAGCTACTGCCCCAGAGTGCAGAATTGGTAAGCCTTGGTGACATCCATGTGATGCTAATTCACAAGCCTGCAGAATGGACACACGGATTTCTCCACCTAGATTTCAGGGGATGCCTCAGATAATCTCAACACCCAAGCAGAGACGTGTCACAGGGTCAGAGCCACCACAGAGACTCCCAAATGGGGCAATTTTCCGTAGATCTATGGAAACAGAGCTGCCAGGAGACCTCAGACCGGTATAGCCACTAGCTACAGTGGCATCCTGAGAACTACAGGCACTGGACTGCAATCCATAGGACCTGCGGTGTAGGATGCACTCAACAAAGACAGAGAGGCAAGGAACCAGGAGCCTTATTGATGCAACCCCTAACACGGTGTATTTGGAAAGCGGGACATAACATCAAGGCTATCCTGAAGACTTAAGATTTAATGTTGTTTGCACTGTTGGGTTTTGGACTTAATTGAGACCTGTTATTCCTTCTTTTCTATTTCTCCATTTTGGAATTGAAATATTTGTTCTGTCCCATCATGTATTTTGGAAGCACATAACTTGTTTGATTTCATAGGTTTATATCTAGAGAGTAATTTACCTCAGAATGAAAAATACTTTATGTCTTACTCATAATCTGATTTAGATGATATCTAGATGAGACTTTAGCCTTTAGACTTTTGAGTTGATGCTGAAATGTGCTAAAACTTTGGGGCTATTAGGATAGAATTTAATGTATTCTGCATATGAAAAGGATATGAATTTTGGGAAGCCATGAGCAGAATGCTTCAGTTTGCTTTGCCATTCCACCTTCAACCATGTAAGGATACAGTGTTTCTACCCTCCAGAGGATGCAGCAAGAAGGATTCATTTTGGAAGCAGATAGCAGTCCTCACCAGAAAATCCAATCTGATGGCATCTTGATCTTGACTTCCTACCCTCCAGAACTCTGAAAAAGTACGTTTTTGTTTTTTTGTAAATTACTCTATCTGTGGTATTCTGCTATAGCAGCACAAGTGGACTAAGACAGTATTTGTAGCTCATGTGGATGTTGACCTGTGTATCCTCTTGATTATTAAAATCTTCAGCTGAGGAGAATTTTAATAATCAAGAGGATAGAATGACCCATCTATGGATACCAGTAGGCCTGAGGTGGCTGTGGTAATAGGGATGGATGTTATGCCTGGGCTTAGCTACATGCATTTCCACTTACCAAAGCCAACCTGTCTAGGGCCATTGTGAGGTGCTCAATCAACCAGCAAAAGAAGCCAACACTGAGTCCCCAATCAGTAAGCATTAAGCTAGATGTCAAGTTGATTACATTGGACTTCATCTATCATGAAAGAAGTAGTGTTTTGCTCCTAGTGGAATAGATACTTACTTGGATACAGAAATGTCTTCCCTATGCACAATTCTTCTGTTGAAGCTACCATCCATGGACCTATAGAATTCCTTCTTGACTGTCATGGTATTCCACACAACATTCCTCCTGATTATGGAGCTCACTTCACAGCAAATGAATTGGAGCAATGGGACCAAGTTCATGGAATTCACTGGTCTTACTATGTTACTATGTTCCCCACCATCCTGAAGCAGCCAGTATAATAGAAACCCAACCCACTGTGAATGATAAAGAAAAAGTTAACTTGTTTTTTCTTTATACTTAAGTTGTGGGATACATGTGCAGACAGTGCAGGTTGTTACATAGGTACACATGTGCCATGGTGGTTTGCTGCACCCATCAACCCATCATCTAGGTTTTAAGCCCCGCATGCATTCAGTATTTGTTCTAATGCTTTCCCTCCCTTTACCCCCACCCACTGACAGGCCCCAGTGTGTGACATTCCTCTCCCTGTGTCTATGTGTTCCCATTGTTCAACTCCCACTTAAGAGTGAGAACATGCAGTGTTTGGTTTTCTGTTCCTGTGTTAGTTTGCTGAGAATGATGGTTTCCAGCTTCATCCATGTCCCTGCAAAGGACATGAACTCATTCTTTTTTATGGCTGCGTAGTATTCCATGGTGTATATGTGCCACATTTTCTTTATCCAGTTTATCATTGATGGACATTTGGGATGGTTCCAAGTGTTTGCTATTGTGAATACTGCTGCAATAAACATACGTCTTCACGTGTCTTTATAGCAGAATGATTGATAAGCCTTTGGGTATATAATCAATAATGGGATTGCTGGGTCAAATGGTATTTCTGGTTCCAGATCCTTGAGGAATCACCACATTGTCTTCCACAATGGTTGAACTAATTACACTTCCACCAACAGTGGAAAAGTGTGCCTATTTCTCCACATCCTCTCCAGCATCTGTTGTTTCCTGTCTTTTTAATGATTGACATTCTAACTCACATAAGATGGTATCTCATTGTGGTTTTTATTTCAATTTTTCAAATGCCCAGTGATGATGAGTACGTTGCCTGTTCACTCTGATGGCAGGTTCTTAACAAAAGTTTACTTTAACCAATTAGAAACCCTCAACTCACCTCTAAGTAGGAACTTTCTACTGGAATAATCCAAATAATGCTACTGCTCCACTTTAAGCAAAAAGTTTATTTTTGCCTTACTTTCACTTTAAATCAGCAAAAGCCTTCCCCTCCTGTCATGTATACATAAGCATATGTAAACATAGATATTGACACTTAAAACACACACACATATATATGTATATATATACACACACACACGTATATATACACACATATAGGCACAATCAGGTAGCAATGATGATCCAACAAAAGAAATTGAAGGAATTGAAAAAACAATCTGACAGCAAAATGGGGGAATAAATCAGTGCTAGAAAGATGGAGAAAATAACTAGAGGTTTGCAAAATAACATGTGAGTAATTTTGGTAAGGGCCTTGGTACCAGTGACAAGGTAAAAGGAATTTCAGTGTTGAAAGATAAAGGGCAGAGTGGAATGGCAGATGGATGACTCATATACTTCAAGAGTATGAAGTGAGAAGAAGGCTAACAAGGACTTTTTGAAGCAGAAAATATCCGAACTCTTCCTCATTTTCATGTTTTCTTCCCAATCACTGGACACTATGATGTGAATGAACTTTGGTGATACACATTTAAAGCCCCTGGTTGTCAAGAACACATTCCAATAACCTTGTAACCATTGGTTTTTAAAATCATAGTAGCTTAATATTTTTTTTCTCGGAAGATTAAGAGGATTTTCTTTCTGCTATGCCATTTGTCTTTTCTTTTCTATGCCTACTTCAATCTAAGTTCTATTTATTCGTTTAATTATCTGATTTAGGGACACTTTTCAGATTGTCCGAAAACACAATCACAGCTGGAAAGTGCCTTAGAAGCCATCTTAGGAAGTTAGAGGCTGCGTGCTTCTTCTTACTCATACAAGCCCACAGAGTTAACAGCACTCTCCTGCCCTCTTGCACATTGGCAGTGCCTTCACTGTTAAACCCTTCTCATGTTGTCCTCATTGCATTTCCATTTCTGTTACTTTATTTGATATATGAGTTGACTTCCTACAAAAAGTGAAATTCACTTTTTTGCAGTAAGTGGACTGAAAGACCTCTTGATGGCTAGTAGAATTCTGGGATCTACCTGTCTTCCCCTAAACACAAGTCTATCTTCACTATGAAGATAAATGTGATAGACGTCTTGGGTGATAGAGTTGTGTTAGTATCAAAAACATCATACTTAAGTGCTTATCGGATAAACTAGACTATTTTGCATTTAATGCACTTATAAGACACATTGATTAACATACCATACTCTACAATACTTTTATTTGCTTTCTGCCATCATTATTCTATTATGAAGATGACTAAAATTTCTCAAATGCTTTTGAATAACATAGGAATATTTTAATTAGTTAAATAGGTACTAACATCATAGGTCATTAAAGTGCTAGTACTGTTATAATTGCAAAATCTTTTAATGCTGGCAAAAACATAGGTACCTCTAATTTGCACAATTTTGTGACTATTTTAGTAAGTAGAAAAGAGAGATGAGTAAGAGATCTAAACATTATTTCCTTTGAACATTTTTGTGAATGAATCTATTACTTGCTTATTTCTCAGGCTGTAGATCATGGGATTTAATAAAGGAACTATGACAGTGTAAAATAGAGACTCCATCATATCTTGGTCATCAGCCCGTTGGGATGCAGAGCCCACATACATGAAGGCGAGGGGCCCATAGTATAAAGATACAGGTAAGATATGAGCTCCACAGGTGGAGAAGTCTTTTCTTATGCCTTTGACAGACTTCTTTTTCAAGATTGTAGAGAGGACAAATGTATAAGATACAAGAACAGTCCCAATGGTGAAAACTTGAATTGAACATGAGAAAATAAAAACCATTGGAAAGTTAATAGAAGAATCAGTACAGAAAATTTTTAACAATGGGATAATGTCACATTAAAAGTGATGTATTGTGTTGGAATTACAGAAGGTTAATCTATAAAAAACCTTCATGAATTAAAGCATGAAGAAGGCCACCTAGAAATGACAAGATTAATAGCCAGATGCACAGTCCATTGGTCATAATGACTGGATAAAGTAAAGGTTTGCATATGGCTACATAGCGATCATATGCCATTGTTGCCAAGATAAAACATTCTGTGGTTACACCAATTGCAAAGGAAAAAAAATGTATCCAGCATTCAGAGAGAAATCAACTTACTCTTAGTGAAGAAGTTGATCAGCATCTTCAGAGTCATGTGGATGATAACAAATCATCCACAAAAGCTAAATTCTCAAGGAATAAGTATATTGGGATATGAAGGTGAGGGTCTTTCCATACGACAGCAATCAGACCAAGATTCCCAAAGATGGTGATGAGATATATTACCAAGAATGCCAGGAACAGGGGTATTTTCCAGTGAGGTTGATATAAAAATAATGTGAGAACAAACTCTGTCAGCAATGTTGCATTTTTCTCTTCCATGTCCTCACTGCATGTCCTCTAAAATAAAATGCAACAAATGAAAGGCAAATTTGCAATGGCATTATGAGTTGAATCTGTGGAAGACGTGTTGAAATAAACAGTGCGATTATAAGAGACCTCTTAGTTTTTTACCATTACCATAAAAAAGAAATCCTATATTTAAGGTGTTAAATAAATGAAAAAATATATATATTTTGGTTTAAAAATTGGGTAGTAATATGCATTCTCTGGTATACTAAATTTATGTGCACACTCTTATGTGGTAGAATAATCCTGTGTCTAGTATATGAATGGAGTTCCTGGGGAACAGGTTTTTGAAAGATCTGGATAAAAATCAATGCAATAAATGCCATGTGAAGATTCTTAAACTTTATATTTCATAATATAAGAATGCACCAAATACTTTCAGATGGGAAATTTCATGCACTTGTGTGTGAAGAGTTCACCAAACAGGCTTTGTGTGAGCAATAAAGCTGTTTATTTCACCTGGGTGCAGGCAAGCTGAGTCCGAAAAGAAAGCCAGTGAAGGGAGATAGGGGTGGGGCTGTTTTATAGGATTTGGGTAGGTAGTGGAAAATTACAGTCAAAGGAGGTTGTTCTCTGGCTGGCAGGGGTGGGGGTCATAAGGTGCTCAGTGGGGGAGCTTTTGAGCCAGGATGAGCCAGGAAAAGGAATTTCACAAGGTGATGTCATCAATTAAGGCAGGAACTGGCCATTTTCACTTCTTTTGTCATTCTTCAGTTACTTCAGGCAATCTGGATGAATACGTGCATGCTTGGGTTCAGAGGTCTGACATTGCTGTCTTCTTATATTAATAAGAAAAATAAAACAAAATAGTGTTGAAGTGTTGGGGCAGCAAAAATTTTGGAGAAATAATGGGCGGTATTTCTCAGGGCTGCTTCAAGTGGGATTAGGGGAGGCATGGGAACTTAGAGTGGGAGAGATTAAGCTGAAGGAAGATTTTGTGGTAAGGGGTGTCCCTCAGACACTGTGGGAAAGGCCTCTACCCATCCAGTGAAAGTTTCTACCCAGATCAAGAGTTATTTTAGTTTCTTGACTCGGGGCACGTGAGTAAAGTCAATTTGCCAGTCCTGGGCAGGGGCAAATCCCCCATCTTGATGTGTAGGGGAGGGAGGGGGCCTGAACAATCCCTGAGGAGTAGTAGAATAGCAGATGGAACACTGAGAAGTGATTTCCTTGAGGACAGATTTCCATGATGGAAAGGAAATGAGAGGTTCTATGAGACGGGCTAGTGGCTTGTAACCTACATGGAAGAGGTTATGAAATGATGACAGAATAGAATGGACCTGTGAGGCTGGAAGGAGATATTTTCCTTGGTCTAAGAACCATTTGCCTTGTGTGGGAAGAGATTGATAGGTGGAAGTTTCAGTGGGGGAGTAAGTGGGAGTGGCCGGTGAGAAGGAGAAAAACTGGCAGTGAGGGACAGAAGTTGGAACGCTAGCTGCTTCTTTAGCTACCTTATCAGCATAAGCGTTGCCTAGAGCAATGGGATCTGATGCCTTTGATAGCCTTTGTAGTGAATGACTCCAGCTTCCTTTGGAAGTAAAGCAGCCTTGAGAAGAGTTTTTATCAAAGAGGCATTAATGATGGAGGACCGTTGTGTAGTGAGGCAACCTCTTTCTGCCCATACAACAGCGTGGTGATGCAGGATATGAAAGGCATAGTTACAGTCAGTATAAATATTGACATGTATTTCCTTTGCAAGAGTGAGAGCTCGAGTTAAGGCAATGAGTTCGGCTTGCTGAGAGGTAGTGGAAGAGGGCAGAGTGGTAGCCTCAATGATAGATGTGGAAGATACCATAGCATAGCCTGCCTTTGCTGGTGAGTGACGATTAGGCCTGGTGGAACTGCCATCAATAAACAAGTGTGATCAGGGTGAGAAACAGGAAAAGTGAGAAACAAGAAAGAAGGAAATACGGGGAAGGAAGTGAGAAACAGGAAAGAAGGAAATATGGGGAAATGGGGTGAATGTCAGGTTGATCAGAGAAGAAACAGTCATGGGGGTCAGGTGTGGTGTCCAGAATAATGTGGGAGGCTGGATTGAAGGAACAATCATAATTGTTGGGAGACTCAACAAAGAGTGAGTATAACTGAAGGAGCTGGGGAGCAGAAAGTATATGCGTCAGGTGTGAGGAAGAAAATAGATTTTGGAAGTTATGAGAACTGTAGAGTGAGTTGAGCATAGTTTATGATTTTGAGGGCCTCTAAAAGTATTAGGGTGGCAGCAACCACTGCACGGAGACATGATGGCCAGCCTAAAACAAACAGTAAGGTCAAGTTGTTTTGACAGAAAGGCTACAGGGCATGGTCCCAGACCTTGTGTAAGAATTCCAACTGCACAGCCCTGCATTTTGGCTGTGTGTAATGAAAACGGTTGGGATGAGTCAGGGAGAGCTAGAGTGGGGGCAGCCTCTAAAGCTGTCTTCAAGGAATGGAAAGAGGAGTAGGGAAAGGATTTAGGATCTGTGGGGTCAGCTAGGTTTCCTTTTGTGATATATAACGGTTTTGTTAGGATGGCAAAACCAGGTATCCAAAGGCAAAAGTATCCAACTATGCCCAGGAAGGAAAGGAGTTGTTGTTTTGTAAAAGGGGTCAGGGTTCGAGGGATCAGTCAGACGCAATTGGCAGGGAGAGCATGTGTGTTTTTGTAAAGAATTATGCCAAGGTAGGTAACAGATGGAGAAGAAATTTGAGCTTTGGAGGGGGATACCCATCTCCTTTGTAAAATAAATGTTGAAGGAGCAGGAGGGTGTCTTGTTGAGAAGATTCAAAGGAGGGGCTATAAAGTAGAAGGTCATCAATATATTGAATAAGGTGAGAAGCGGAGGGGTGGAAAGAAAGCAAATCATGAGAAAGAGCTTGGCTGAATTAATAAGGGCTGTCCCTGAAGCCTTGTGGCAGTACAGCCCATGTAACCTGCAGAGGCTGATAGGTGTCAGGATCAGTCCAGGTAAAAGCAAAGAGAGGCTGGAATGAGGGGTGCAGGGGAATAGTGAAAAAAGCCTCTTTAAGATCAGAATAGAATAATGAGTTGTGAAGGAAGGCATTGAGGACAAAAGAGTGTATGGGTTGGGCACTATAGAGTTGATAGCAAAATAATTTGGTTGATAAGGCACAGATCCTGAACTAACCTGTAAGACTTGTCCGGTTTTGGACAGGTAAAATGCAGGAATTTAAGGAAAGTTTATAGGTTTTAGAAGCCCATGCTGTAGCAGGCGAGTGATAACAGGCTTTAATCCTATTAAAGTATGCTGTGGGATGGGATATTGGCATTGAGTGGGGTAAGGGTGATTAGGTTTTAATGGGATAGTAATGGGCATATGATTGGTTGACAAGGAGGGAGTAGAGGTGTACTATACCTGTGGATTAAGGTGGAAAGATACAAGGGGAGGATGAGAAGGAGGCTTTGAACTGGGGAAAAAGGTGGCAATGAGGTGTGGCTGTAGCCTAGGAATAGTCAGGGAAGTAAATAATTTAGTTAAAATGTCTCGACCTAATAAGGGAGCTGGGCAGGTGAGGATAACTAAAAAGGAGTACATAAAAGAATGTTGGATTTGGGGAGTTTTAAGAGGTTTAGAAGCCTGGCCGTCAATACCCACAACAGTTATGGGGGCAAGGGAAACAGGCTGTTGAAAAGAAGGTAATGTGGATTGGGTAGGCTTCATATTAATTAAGAAGGGGATGGACTTACCCTCCACTGTAAGCATCTGTGATGGTCCAGGAGGCTTCTGAGGTGTTCGGGCAGCCTCAGTCTTCAGCTGCTAAGCTGAGAAGATCCGAGAAGGAGTCAGTCAGAGCCTTGGGCTAGTTGGACAGTCCAATTTCCACTGGGGTCCCACACAGATGGGACACGGCTTAGGAGGAATCCCATGCTGCGGGCATTCCTTGGCCCAGTGGCCAGATTTCCAGCACTTGAAGTAAGATCCTGGGAGAGGAGGTCCTAAAGGAATGCCTGACTGCTGTGGCTTAAGTGTTTTGAAGTTCTTGAGTGCTGGAGTTCTGGCTGGGGTTTCTCTCACAGTAGAGGCAAGGAATTGCAACTCAGAAATACGTTGCTACTTGGCTGCCTCTACTCTATTATTGTACAACTTGAAGGTGAGGTTAATTAAGTCCTATCATGGGGTTTGAGGGCTGGAATTTAATTTTTGGAGTTTTATTTAATGTCAGGAGTGGATTGTGTAATAAAATAAAATGTATATTGAGAATAAGATGGCCTTCTGACCTTTCAGGGTCTAGGGCTGTAAAGTGTCTCAGGGTTGCTGCCAAACAAGCCATGAACTGGGCTGGGTTTTCATATTTGATGAAAAAGAGCCTAAACGCTAACTGATTTGGGAGAGGTTGGATAAAGAAAAAGGAGCATTAACCTTAACTATGCCTTTAGCTCCAGCCACCTCTTTAAGAGGAAATTGTTGGGCAGGTGGGGGAGGGCTAGTCATGGAATGAAACTGTAAGCTGGACTGGGTATGGGGAGAGGAGGTGATAGAAGGATTACAGGGTGGAGGAGCAGAAGCTTAGGAAGAATTGGAGCCTGATTCAGCCTCACAGGGAGTGAACTGAGGAGCAGTCTGGGGATGAGGGGAGAGGTCAGATGGGTTGGTAGAAAAGGAGGATTGAAAAGACTCAGTGATGCTTGGGGTTGGGACTGAGGGGACAGGCGGGAGGGAAAGAAGGAGGATTTGGGATGAGTTGCATTGGGAACAGAGACTAGGGAGGGACCGATGTGTAAAAGAATGCCTGGACATCAGGCACTTCAGACCATTTGCCCTTTATGACAAGAATTATCTAGATCATGTAGGATGGAAAAGTCGAAAGTGCCATTTTCTGGCTATTCGGAACCATTGTCAAGTTTGTATGGGGGTTAAGCGGTATTGCAGAAGAAAATAAGGCATTTAGGTTTTAGATCAGGTGTGAGTTGAAGAGGTTTTAAGTTCTTGAGAACACAGGCTAAGGGAGAAGGAGGAATTGAGGGTGTAAGGTTACCTATAGTGAAAGAGGCAAGCCCAGAGAAAAGAGAGGGTAGAGACATAGGGAGAAGGGGTAGGGGGGGTGCTTGCCCCCAGGAAAGTGGAGAGAAAAGAGAGGGTAAAGACATGGAGAGAAGAGGTGGGGGGTGCTTGCCCCCCCAGGAAAGTGGAGAGAAAAGACAGGGTAGAGACACAGAGAGAAGGGGTGGGGTGTGCTTGTCCCCCAAGAAAGTGGAGAGAAAAGAGAGGATAGAGACACAGAGAGAAGGGGTGGGTGGTGCTTGCCCCCAAAGAAAGTGGTGCTTGACACTAAGGGTGAAGGATCAAGGCAGGCATCCTGGCCATGATCAGACACCTCTGAAACGTGGGTGAATAATCAAGCAGGCATCCTCACAGTGGTTAAACACCAAGGGAAGACTGTCTTCCCAAGTCTGTGACTGGTGCCGGAGTTTTGGGTTCACGGATAAAACGTGTCTCCTGTGTCTCTACCAGAAAAGGAAGGGAACTGAAATTAAGAGAAGGGAGAGATTGAAGGATGGTGCCAAGATTGAAAGGAGAAAGAGATTGAGGGATAGTGAGAGAGGTTGGAGAAGAGAGTAAAAAGAGGCCACTTACCCAATTTAAAATTGGTGAGATATTCCTTGGACTGGTTGGTCTGAGGACCAGAGGTCGTAGGTGGATCTTTCTCATGTAGCAAAGAGCAGGAGGACCAGGGATTGATCTCCCAAGGGAGGTCCCCCGATCTGAGTCACGGCACCAAATTTCACATGGGTCTGTGTGAAGAGACCACCAAAGAGGCTTTGTGTGAGCAATAAAGCTTTTTAATCACCTGGGTACAGGCGGGCTGAGTCGGAAAAGAGAGTTAGCAAAGGGAGATAGGGATGGGGCTGTTTTGTAGGATTTGGGTAGGTAGTGGAAAATTACAGTCAAAGGGGGTTGTTCTCTGTCTGGCAGGGGTGGGGGTCACAAGGTGCTCAGTGGGGGAGCTTTTGAGCCAGGATGAGCCATGAGAAGGAATTTCACAAGGTAATGTCATCAGTTAAGGCAGGAACTGGCCATTTTCACTTCATTTGTCATTCTTCACTTGCTTCAGGCCATCTGGATGAATATGTGCAGGCTTGGGCTGAGAGGCCTGACAGGAAATGCCATCATAATATATTTTTTAAATTTTTTGATAGTGTAGAAAATATGCTGTGGGATGGGGAAATTGGACTAAGGGGTACTAATTAGAAACTTGTTACTAAGATCCCAGTGATCCCAATCAGATCACATATAAAAATGATCTGGGAGTGTGTTTTATGAAAAATATAGATTGTGAGAATTTAATGTAGAAATTGATTATTTCAGAAATGAGTTCTAGAAATCTGCATTTAAAAAATACCCTCAAGGTGATTCAAATGAGTGCTAGGTGTCTTGTCCAGGTGTGATATTACATTGGAAAAGATGGTAAGACAAAGAAAAAGATTCCAAAGAATCTAGAATGTAGATTCTCTAGTATTCTGTGACATATTTGGTGGGAAAGAAGTGGTAATAAACGAGACAAAAGTCACTTGGTGACTGGGTAATAGGTCATTAAATATTGAGGATGGGAACTCAGATGTGCTGGCAAGTTCTTGGAGTAAGCATCCTGCAGCCAACTAGGTGAGATCCAATCAGTAATATGAGTCTGTTAGAGCTTAATAGAAATAATTACTTGGAATCTTTGTGGTAGTCAAAGGTGTAGTTAATGATGTATCCACTGGAGAGTAACAAAGAAACAAAAAGAGTGGCAAGAAAATCAACTGGAGCAAGTTATGTTAAAGAGATAACAAAGTGGACATATGTCCTAGGAATGGCCAAGATGTGATCTTTTTTGCTATCCAAGTCTTGGTGGCTGTCAGAGGTTACCTACTGCTCTAGAAGCCAAAAGAACTAGAACTCATTTTTCCATTCTTCTTGTTTGTATAGTGAAGGGACCTGATCTAGGATGGCCAATGAAACACGCTGATCCTACATTCGGAATATGGAGAGAAAGAGAAAGGTTTTGGTTTCAAAAGCAGCCTGTGTACTCTTTATATCTAAAATAAAAGTTGAAATGCAAAACATTTTAAGAAGCATATTAAAAGTTTATGAAGGCAATGGAGGCCATTTATTAAATTGCCAACACCTGGAACCCCTTTCTACCACATGCGTTTTGGTGGCAGACAAAGAATTTCACCTAGATTTGTTTAATCAAAGCCACACTACATACAGTTGGATATAGAGAGATAGAGACAAATGTACATGGACAACAAAAAAAATAGTGCAAATGCAGTTGAGGCAAAAACATTAAGATCCCAGCATGTGCATCCTGTATCTACAACAATGCCATTGAAAGTATGAGCTGTGTCATTGGAAGTACAGCAGCGGAAACAGCCACTCATGAAGTTCCTGTTGGGAAAGGATTTGGGCTGCTGGCTGGCTGCTTTACTTCCTTGTGTTCCTGCCATTATTTTCTAGCTGATTTCTCCACCTTCCCTACCATTTCTATACTGGAATCAATATCCATTCAATAACATTTTACATTGCAACCCAAAGCCCTAGATGTTCAAAAGTGTAACAAAAGAGATAGTAGAAAAGGGTACTGAACAGAGTGATCAAGGGAAGAAGCAGGAGAGAACTAGAAAGCTGAGTGTTGTGGATGGACATAAAGAGAGGTAAGATCAGTGTGACCAAGTGAAGCACAGGGAAAAATGACAAAATAAATGCCCTAGAGGACAAGGAGTGCAGGGAATTCGCTGTGTATACAAATGAAGTAATTTTTAGTGGCCTTAGTGAGAGGAGTTTCCCTTATGTAATAGAATAAAAGTCAGCAATACAAAGTGAAGGGGAAACAAGTAGCCCAGCAGTGAGGGGATGAGGTACAGTACTCTACGACATGTGGAGAATAATTGGCATTTGTCTGCTGCTCATAAACTAATGTTTTTTTCTCCAGTACAATATTTAAGAAAAAGTTATCAAAAGTAAAGATTGACAAGTGAAAGGAAAAAAGGCATAGGAAATGTGGAAATGGAAATTTGCCTAGGTGAAATAAAACAAGGAGAAAAAAATTAGTCACAGAATAATCACATCATAGATGGTAAATGCGAGAAAGACAAGTCAGTAAAGAAGGAGACAGAAAGAAGTACCCTGGTGTTCTTCCACTCATCAGAGCCGTATCATTTTGGCACATTGGCTGGGAAAGGAAATTCATTCATCAGACTGGTGAGTATGGAGTGGATCTCAACTTTAAATCTGATCTTTAATTTTAGGGCACTCTTCCAGCTATCCTGTTGCCAAACTTTCTTTCTCTTTCTATCTACAGTCTCTTAACCCTGTCTCTGCGTGTCTAATGTGCAGGAATCTTTACAGTTCAAGGAAACAGGTCTGTTAGAAAAGATCACAAATCACATCAGGCAGTAACTCAATAAACATCTCTCTCTACAGTTTCTCTGGTGAGCACATGGTATTTCTAAGCCACCTAGCGGAAATAAAAATCCTCTACATGAGGCACACTTTGTTCCTCTTTTTTCATGGTAACACCGCAGCTTCCTTTTACACTGTTAGACATCAGGCTCTGGGCCTCTTATGGGAAGGGGATGGTTCTGCCTTTAGCAGAGAGGATTAAGATGTCTTCTGTAGCCAAATGTTAGTCTTGATATTGTCCCCCTCACAGGAAAATGGCCATTTGGTTCCTACATTCCCTTAAGGCACCTATTCTGTCCCCTATTAAGACAGTACTTAAATTAATAAGGGGATTTTAAGTCTGAAAGTTAACTGGAACGATTCTTCTATGGGTAAATGCTTTAGCATGGGCTATAACAGCAGGATTTAGAGTTCAATCCAGCACACCCCCTCCCTTAAACGGGCCTTGCCCAATTACGTGATTTTTCTTGAAATCCATTTATTTTTTTTTTTTTTTTTTGGAAAGCACACAGGTCACACAAGTCTAGGAGGTCAAAGGGAAATAAAAGGAAGAGGACTAAGGCTCCTTGGGGACAGCATGACTATGGCCCAAAAGTTTAGTTCCTCTGGTGTCATGCTTTGGAGGGTCATGCCTGCAGTCATGGGCGGCACATTGAAATGGGTGCCTGGATTCAGGATCCAAGGAGAGAAAATAGTTGGGGGGATGTGCTCTACTGGATCACATACCAAAATGAAGGAGACTAAAAGAATGCTTTTATTCTCTCTTCTTTTTCTAAATGGGTAACAGATCATCTTCAATATGCACTCCCCTGGAGTGTATTTTGAAGCACTGGGACTCCTTTGACCTTAAACTTTGAAGAAAAAGTGGCTTATTTTCTTTTGCACAAGGGCATGGCCTTTCTTACTACACCTTTGTAAGTGTTGCAAAATTAACCCAGCTCTTTTAGCAATCATATCAGGCAGTCATAAAGAGAATAATTCCCCAAAATTACAGGAGCAAGTTCCAGGGAAACCATCTGAGGATTCCCTTGTTTGGAGCTCCTTCAAGTTCCCTTCTCATTTCAGGACCTTAGACAAGTAAAGGGAGACTTAGGCTGATTTTCTGACTCTGATAGGTATACAGAAGCTTTCCAAAATTTACCTCTCGTATTTAACCTCTCATGGAGGAATGTTATGCTGCTCCTAAGCCAAACCCTAACTGCAGCTAAAACAGGCAGGTCTGCAAGCAGAAGAGTGTTTTGAAGATAAGCAATATGCCTCCTACAGTAGGCTAAAAGAAAAAAGAGAAAATAGAGAAGGCAAAGAAATAGGGGAAACACGATTTCCAGTAGGAAAAGAGGCAATACGTCTTAACAACCCTAATGGAACTCCTTTCTATGGCGTTTTCCTTCTTTCATGGTTTAAAATGGCTTCTATCTCTTTTTTAATGTTCTTCCAATCTGGAAAAAAACCTTAAAACACTTGGCTTAGAGTTGAGCTAGGTGGGAAGAAACCGAGAAGCCTAATATGCTGGCAAAAGTTTAAAAATTTCTTACCAGTTGGGCTTTTGAATTCTCTCTCCCTGTGCAAGCCGGTAAAAGGGATAATAAGGATCATTGTTTATCTCTGTAAATTTATAATTAATGACAAAAGATTTGTGAGATTGTTCTTAAGCTGTAGACTATCTGGTATGCTTTGCATCTCTTTCTGTATGGTTCTGTCAAAGAAAACACATTTTACTTCAGGATGCAGGCCAAGGACCCCATAAGCCTACTGTTTGAGCCAACCCAACAAAACGGTCAGTAACAAAGTTGGCTACAAACCTCCGTCTTGTTTCATGTCTTTGGGAACATGACCTGTAACCGCATGGCAATACTGTGTTTTAGTCTCCGCCATTTTACAATGGTGGCTGTCTTCTTGTGCTAAGTCAGTTCCTGGGTAAGGGCCACAAAATCAGATAAGCCAGTTTGTCAATCTGGGTGGTGCCAGTTGGTCCATCAAGGACAGGGTTTACAAAACATCATAAACACTGGTCTCAAGAGCAGTTTAGGAAGGTTCAAAATCTTGTAGCCTCCACTTTCATGGCTCCTAGGCCATGGTTTCTAATCTTGTGGCTTGTTTCTTGGTCTGGTCCCCAGGCAAGAGGGTAGTATATCTTGGGAAGCAGCTGATATCATCTTTGTTTTAGACTATAAACTGTAAACCAGCCTCCTCCCAAAGTTGGTTCAGCCTATGCCCAGGGATGGGCAAGGACAGCTTGGAGGCTGGAAAAAATATGGAGTTGTTTTAGTTGGATCTCTTTCACTGTCGCTCGGCCAGAGTCTGCAGGACAGACTCAGCAATAACCTAATTAAGACTCATTGATTTCACCTGAGAGGTTGCTTTCTGTAAAGTTCAAAGGCTGAAAATCTTAACTGCTTGGCATGGCTAAAGTCAAGTAACATGGGATTTGAAAGGATTTTCTTAAAGAGTGCTCAGCTTAATTAAAAGTGGATATTCAATTTATAGGTATATTTAAAAGGCCTTTTTGTTTTTCTCTTCTTGGCTCTTGTTTTCTGAAAATGTCCTCTTTTCAGTTGACTGAATTATTTTTCTCGATTTTTTGTCTTACCACTCTTAATGAATTCATGGGAGGCCTTAAGATAACTTATGGTAGCGTGGGACTCCTTGGGAAAACAGAGGAGGCCTCACAGACCTCATTTTGGGGAAAAAAAAAAAAACTATTTTCCTCATGAAATCCCCAAAATTAAAAGCAGGTAGTTCCCTGTCAGAATCAAAATCTTTATTCTGTTATGCATTGTGTTATCTACCATTTTGAGTTTTGGGGGTAGAAAATTACTTCACATTATGAGAGAGCTTTGATGTGTAATAAATAGGTAGAAAATACACTGTAAATGATGGCTAATAGTGGTTATAAATCAGAGAAGCATGCCCTTGGCCACCTGAAAGATAAGGAAACATCCCCACCCCACACTAAGAGATATGCTAGTTCTGTGCAATTTTATCCTACTAATTCTGCCAGGTAATAAAAGTGAGTAGGGTGCCCATAACTCAGAGGTTTCTTTGTTGAGGAAAATCAAACCAATGAACTTCATAGACCCCCAAAGGGAAACTCTATATCTTGGATTAACACCTCTAGTAAAGTAGAGGAAAACCTACATGAACTTAACAGTCAAATCAAAATTATTGACAGGCTCAGAGAAAGTGCAGGCCTCAGCCCTGGGTGGCTACTATCCCTCTTTAATGAATTCCACTGTTCTTTATGGAATTGGCTAACCCCTTTGGTAAACCTTCTCTTGCTTATATGTCTTGTATTAATATTTGGACCCTTTATACTCAATATTATAACTCAAATTGTTTCTTCTCATGTAGAACTAATCAAGCTCCAGATGGTGCTGCAAACTAAACAACACAAGGACAAGCTGTTCTTCCAAGGACCTTAGATCACCCCCAGGAGGAGCCCTAGTGCTGTTCCCCATCTGATGTCCCTTTCAGCAGGAAATAGCCAGAAACAGTCATCACCCAAAACCCCCTAACAGCAATTAGGGTGATATTTCCACAGGTGGGAATGTGGTAGGATTTATTAAGAAATTATTTTAGACAGATAAAAAGGAAAAGCAATCCTTGAAAAGTTTTTGTTTCTTTTTAAAGCAGCTCCAGAAAAGTTTTCATGTGTGTCCATGTCATTTTTTCCAATTCAACGAGAGACAAACAACCCTGGTGTTCCTCAACTCATCAGAGCCATATCACTGATACAGGAAATATAAAGAAAAAATGGTAATAATTCCACGTGGATAAAGTGGAGATCTTCAACTGGGCATTGTAGATTTAAATGTGTATGTGAAATACAGATTATTCCACAGTGTGCTATGGACTTCAGAATCATAAATATTAAGTCACTGTAAGCCAGTTCTAGTTTTTACAATTGAAATTACACTTTATGCCACAGTTTCCCACAATATGCTTCACTTCTGACATTTTATGCAAACTTCAGTTTGTATATAAAATTAGATGTTTTTCATCAAGAAGAATAGCTAATGGATGCTGAGCTTAATAAGTAGGTGATGTGTTCATTTGTGTAGCAAACCACCGTGGCACACATTTACCTATATAACAAACCTGCACATATACCACAGAACTTAAAATAAATGTTGATTTTTAAAAACTGAATGCTCCATGTATACCTATGTAACAAACCTGTACGTTCTGACATGTATCCCAGAACTTAAAGTATGATAATAATAAAAAAAACTGGATGCTTTTAGTGTTTTGATTAGCATAGTCTCATCCGAGTTAGTCATGATTTTAATAAGGCCAGTGATCTAGATTCCCTTCATAAGCCAATCCCAAGTAAAATTGTCCACGTCATGAAACTGTAGCTCAAACTCCAGATATTTTCCTAACTTTCAGGTGAGTGGAAATCTGATGAGAAATTTTATTAGGCAAAGGTCAGGGGAAAAGAGAAGAAAAAACAAAGACAGTCTTGCAATGTATTCCCTCATAGGTGGTGTTCTTACACTGCCTTCAAAATGTCATTCTACCTTTCTATCCAATTAGAATGTGTGTGTGTGTGTGTGTGTGTGTGTGTATGTGTGTGTGTGTGTGTATTTTTTCCATAGAGTCTGTGTGTGAGTCAATGACTAACTTAACTCCAATTGCTCCTTCTGTCTATGTTACCACCAAATGAGTTCTTCTTGCCTGCTATCTGGTTAGAGCCAATTATCAAGACAGGGGAATTGCAACAGGGGAAAATTTTAATGCACACAATTCCAATTTATTACCTGGCTAAATGGGAAAGCAGAGTTTAATTATAACTCAAGTCAAACTCTCCAAATAGTCAGAGGCTAGAGTGTTGGTTCTCTTTTCTTTTCCTTTTTCTTTTCTTTTCTTTTCTTCTCCTTTTCTCTTTCTTTCTCTCTCTCTTTCTTTCTATTATTTATTTTGTTTTTTTTTTTTTTTTTGAGACAGAGTCACTCCATCACCCAGGCTCAAGTGCAGTGGCAGGAAGTCTGCTCACTGCAACCTCCTCCACCTCCTGGGTTCAGGTGATTCTCGTGTCTCAGACCCCCAAGTATCTGTGATTACAAATGTGTACCCTCACGCCTAGCTAATTTTTGTGTTTTTAGAAGAAACAGGATATTACCATGCTTGCCAGGCTGGTCTCAAACTCCTGACCTCAAGTGATTGGTCTGCCTCAGCCTCACAAAATGCCGGGATTAAAAAAATGAGCCACCATGCACGCCAAAGGCTAGGGGTTTTTAAAGATACTTTTTCAGGAAGAGGGTTAGGAAATGGGGAATGCTGATTCATTGGTTTGAGGATAAAGGTGGGCCCCAAGCAAGGAGGAGGTTTGCTTTGAGGGGGGGCTCTTGTCGTCTTTGTTTCAAAGTCAAACACTATAAAGTAAATTCTTCCCAAATGTAGTTTGGCCTACACACAGGAATAAAGAAAGTCAGCTTGTTTAGAAGTACTGTCTAATTTTCCTGTTTCAGATTCACTGACAAAATATTCCTATGTGAGTTTTTTCTCATTTTCATAATCTTTGCAATGGCAGTTTCATCTATATTTCTCTATATTATCCTCTAACTCATAACTCTGAGTCTACTAAGGCTTTTGTTCAGTTATGTTTTCACCTGTAAGAATATAAAAAAAAATCTAGTCAATTACCATATAAATTCAGTTCATCAGATCAACTAAGCCTGCCTTCTCTTTACCAATTTTTGCACCTTGGTCAAAATCTGAGCTCAGAGCAATAGTGAAAAATATTCTCTCCCAAACATATGCCCCAGAAATTTTCTGTGGAATTTCTAATTCTTCTTGGATCATATGATTTAGGACTCTTTGATCTGTACCAGTTTATTCACATGATCCTGGAACCTAGTGAAGCCTGTAGCTGAAGCTAAATGTTGCATACCTAAGACAGACAGCAAAGATCCAATCCCTCAATCTTCCAGGGAAAGAACAAAAGTGCTGAGGAAATAGGAAATAATCTCTTAGAATCCATCCCCAAAGTATTTCATCAAAAACTCACTTGTCTGTCATGCAATCAAAGAAAAAAGGATAAACCAGTCTCTGAATATAAGGCAAGATTAGAGGTACTATTTGTAAAACATTGTGGTCAATCTATGTTCATTTCAGGAGTAGAAAATCCTTGTTCTATTCAATGATAAGATCCACCCTGAAATCTTTAATGTAGTTACAAAACAAAAACTGGAATGATATGTGAATGATGAGGCCAAATAATTACCAAAATATTTTACCTATTGGCATAAAGACTATTTTGATTTGGTTGTTTTGAGATTCCCTTTAGAAGAGAAATTTAAAACAATCTCCATTTGTAAGAGATCTACATATCTGGTCCAGGAAGAGTAGTAGGACTAAACCTCTAAATAATGGAGAAGGTAGTAACTTTATCTACATCACAAAACCTACCTTTGTTTAAGGTGGTTATCTTGGCTGTCTTGTCTTAACTGGGTCTCAACACTCTTTTTGTTTATTTGTTTTGGAAAACTGTGGTACTTAAGTCTGAAATCTAAGCACTGTGACTTTAACATGTAAATATTCTTACATGTCTACTGTAAGGTATGAGAACTTTATATTTTATATGCAAATTTCAAGGACACATCACATCTGAACAAAAAAGAGGCATTTGTAAATGGGTCAAATGAAAAATAGTAAAAACATTTTCCAAAAATATTAATAAAAAGCTTTGGTCATCTGGGCAAGACATCTTAACTTCTTCCAACCATGAGAAGAACAATTCATGTCTAGAGAGTCTTATAAATTATTTTTTTCTCCTTCTTTCTTTTTTTTTTCTTTGACAGAGTTTCACTCTGTCAGCCAGGTTGGAGTGCAGTGGTGCAATCTTGGCTCACGGCAACCTCCATCTCCTGTGTTCAAGTGATTCCCAAGCAGTGGGGAATACGGGGGCACACCACCAACCCTGGGTAATTTTTCTATTTTTAGTAGAGACAGGGTTTCACCATGTTGGCCTGGCTGGTCTCAAAATCCTGACCTCAGGTGATCCACCCACCTCGGCCTCCCAAAGTTCTGGGATTATAGGCAAGAGCCACCATGCCCAGCCTTGAGTTTGTTGTTATTGTACCTGACATGGGGCTACAATTTTAGAATGAACTCTATAATATTTGCTTCTTTCTGTAAGTTTATGTATGTCTATATGTTGTATAGGTGACATTTTGCTACCTTTGGATGGTATTGCAAAATTAATTTGTATTCTAGTTCTATTCATTTGGCCTATAGAAGAATATATGCTTATATGAATTAAGGATTCCTTAAACTCAGAAAGATGGAAATTCACCAATATATTTTTAAGGTTCACATTATCTATGATAATCTCTGTTAAGTCAAAGCTACTTCAAGTTTGTTGGTTTAACTAAAATAGACATCTCTTCAGAGTTTTCAAAATTAAATATAATACAAACACACAACTTTTATGTTAGCTGAGTTTACTAGTCAAATAAGTTTATATTATCTCTAACTGATGTTTAAATTCAGAAAACTAACAGTTCAACCTAAACACCTATGTGAAAATGTGATAGCATTTACTTCATATATATCAGGCACAGCAATAAAACAACAAAAACATATATTTGACTTTTATATTTTTGCTTTCATGATGACTGACTGACATAAATGTGCTGTATAGTTAACAAGAAAGTAATTTGAGAGGTAACTAGTTTTGTCTAATGTCTTATGAAATTTTCATGAGTAACCCAAACAATTTAGAACAAGTGAATTAAGTAGATCTAAGTACAATAAAAGTTTATAAATGAACTTTTAAACTATAACTATGTTTACTAATAGATCTGCTTAAAAATGCCTCCCCTCTTCTCTCTGATAAATTATACCCTTAGAGTTTCACACAGTTGAATTAAATTGCCAATAGTCATTGAATATCTGGATTATTTCCAAATAAGAAAAAATATTAAAACATTAATTGCTGAGCATATACTTATCTACTTTGTACTTCTTGTTACAGAAGAAATAAAAATATTTGTGGTCATTAGCAAACATGTCCTGTGCCACATGGAAGAATTATGTAACGGGAAAGCACATGCTTCTAGAAATTATGAAATTGTATATTCAGAGATTTGCCAATCTGTAAAATGCTGGTGTGATGCTTATTTGGCAATTGCTTATATCCCAGAAAAGAAAGTTACTAAGAGTTAAGAATTATAATTAATGTGTGATAATCATCACTACTAAATAACATAAGGGAAACATCCTTATATGCTAAGTATCCGAGAAGTGTATTTCAAAATGAATGAGGGAAGAACAGAAACCAAGTGAACACAGAAAATTGGGAAGTGAAAGAGAATCTTGCATGGTCAAATCGGCTAGAATGAATTTATTTTAAGAGGTCTTAATATTAAAAGTAAACCATTGTAAAACTATAATTTGGTCTATTCTGTTAAAATGAAAAGTTTTCACAGTGTATATGGGCCTGCTCTCATTGGAAATTGGTAATGTTTATTCTTTACATTTTAAGTAAGTGGCCTGGAAAACAAATATTTTATATTTTGTCAAGATAATTTTCTGATTTGTTATCTTTTTAAAATTTTATTATTATTATACTTTAAGTTTTAGGGTACATGTGCACAATGTGCAGGTTTGTTACATATGTATACATGTGGCATGTTGGTGTGCTGCACCCATTAACTCATCATTTAGCATTAGGTATATCTCCTAATGCTATCCCTACCCCCTCCCCCCACCCCACAACAGTCCCTGGTGTGTGATGTTCCCCTTCCTGTGTCCATGTGTTCTCATTGTTCAATTCCCACCTATAAGTGAGAACATGCGGTGTTTGGTTTTTTGTCCTTGCAGTAGTTTGCTGAGAATGATGTTTTCCAGTTTCATCCATGTCCCTACAAAGGACAGGAACTCATCATTTTTTATGGCTGCATAGTATTCTATGGTGTATATGTGCCACATTTTCTTAATCCACTCTATCATTGTTGGACATTTGGGTTGGTTCCAAGTCTTTGCTATTGTGAATAGTGCCACAATAAACATACGTGTGCATGTGTCTTTATAGCAGCATGATTTATAATCCTTTGGGTATATTCCCAGTAATGGGATGGCTGGGTCAAATGGTATTTCCAGTTCTAGATCCCTAAGGAATCGCCACACTGACTTCCACAATGGTTGAACTAGTTTACAGTCCAACCAACAGTGTAAAAGTGTTCCTATTTCTCCACATCTTCTCCAGCACCTATTGTTTCCTGACATTTTAATGATCGTCATTCTAACTGGTGTGAGATGGTATCTCATTGTGGTTTTGATTTGCATTTCTCTGATGGCCAGTGATGATGAGCATTTTTTCATGTGTTTTTTTGCTGCATAAATGTCTTCTTTTGAGAAGTGTCTGTTCATATCCTTTGCCCACTTTTTGATGGGGTTGTTTGTTTTTTTCTTGTAAATTTGTTTGAGTTCATTGTAGATTCTGGATATTAGCCCTTTGTCAGATGAGTAGGTTGCAAAAATTTTCTCCCATTTTGTAGGTTGCCTGTTCACTCTGATGGTAGTTTCTTTTGCTGTGCAGAAGCTCTTTAGTTTAATTAGATCCCATTTGTCAATTTTGGCTTTTGTTGCCGTTGCTTTTGGTGTTTTAGACATGAAGTCCTTGCCCATGCCTATGTCCTGAATGGTATTCCCTAGGTTTTCTTCTAGGGTTTTTATGGTTTTATGTCTAACATGTAAGTCTTTAATCCATCTTGAATTAACTTTTGTATAAGGTGTAAGGAAGGGATCCAGTTTCAGCTTTCTACATATGGCTAGCCAGTTTTCCCAGCACCATTTATTAAATAGGGAATCCTTTCCCCATTTCTTGTTTTTGTCAGGTTTGTCAAAGATCAGATGGTTGTAGATATGCGGCATTATTTCTGAGGGCTGTGTTCTGTTCCATTGATCTATATCTCTGTTTTGGTACCAGTACCATGCTGTTTTGGTTACTGTAGCCTTGTAGTATAGTTTGAAGTCAGGTAGCGTGCTGCCTCCAGCTTTGTTCTTTTGGCTTAGGACAGACTTGGTGATGTGGGCTCTTTTTTGGCTCCATATGAACTTTAAAGTAGTTTTTTCCAATTCTGTGAAGAAAGCCATTGGTAGCTTGTTGGGGATGGCATTGAATCTATAAATTACCTTGGGCAGTATGGCCATTTTCATGATATTGGTTCTTCCTACCCATGAGCATGGAATGTTCTTCCATTTGTTTGTATCCTCTTTTATTTCATTGAGCAGTGGTTTGTAGTTCTCCTTGAAGAGGTCCTTCACATCCCTTGTAAGTTGGATTCCTAGGTATTTTATTCTCTTTGAAGCAATTGTGAATGGGAGGTCACTCATGATTTGGCTCTCTGTTTGTCTGTTGTTGGTGTATAAGAATGCTTGTGATTTTTGTACATGATTTTGTATCCTGAGACTTTGCTGAAGTTGCTTATAAACTGAAGGAGATTTTGGCCTGAGACAATGGGGTTTTCTAGATATACAATCATGTCATCTACCAACAGGGACAATTTGACTTCCTCTTTTCCTAATTGAATACCTTTTATTTCCTTCTCCTGCCTAATTGCCCAGGCCAGAACTTCCAACACTATGTTGAATAGGAGTGGTGAGAGAGGGCATCCCTGTCTTGTGCCAGTTTTCAGAGGGAATGCATCCAGTTTTTGCCCATTCAGTATGGTATTGGCTGTGGGTTTGTCATAGATAGCTCTTATTATTTTGAGATATGTCCCATCAATACCTAATTTATTGAGAGTTTTTAGCATGAAGAGTTGTTGAATTTTGTCAAAGGCCTTTTCTGCATCTATTGAGATAATCATGTGGTTTTTGTCTTTGGTTCTGTTTGTATGCTGGATTACATTTATTGATTTTCATATGTTGAACAAGCCTTGCATCCCAGGGATGAAGCCCACTTGATCATGGTGGATACGATTTTTGATGTGCTGGTGGGTTTGGTTTGCCAGTATTTTACTGAGGATTTTTGCGTCAATGTTCATCAAGGATATTGGTCTAAAATTCTCTCTTTTGGTTGTGTCTCTGCCAGGCTTTGGTATCAGGATGATGCTGGCCTCATAAAATGAGTTAGGGAGGATTCCCTCTTTTTCTATTGATTGGAATAGTTTCAGAAGGAATGGTACCAGCTCCTCCTTGTACCTCTGGTAGAATTCAGCTGTGAATCCATCTGGTCCTGGACTTTTTTTGGTTAGCAAGCTATTAATTATTGCCACAATTTCAAAGCCTGTTGGTCTATTCAGAAATTCAACTTCTTCCTGGTTTAGTCTTGGGAGGGTGTATGTGTCAAGGAATTTATCCATTTCTTCTAGATTTTGTAGTTTATTTGCTTAGAGGTGTTTGTAGTATTCTCTGATGGTAGTTTGTATTTCTGTGGGATCGCTGGTGATATCCCCTTTATCATTTTTTATTGTGTCTATTTGATTATTCTCTCTCTTCTTCTTTATTAGTCTTGCTAGCAGTCTATCGATTTTGTTGATCTTTTCAAAAAACCAGCTCCTGGATTCATTAATTTTTTGAAGGGTTTTTGTGTCTCTATTTCCTTCAGTTCTGCTCTGATTTTAGTTATTTCTTTCCTTCTGCTAGCTTTTGAATGTGTTTGCTCTTGCTTTTCTAGTTGTTTTAATTATGATGTTAGGGTGTCAATTTTAGATCTTTCCTGCTTTCTCTTGTGGGCGTTTAGTGCTATAAATTTCCCTCTACACACTGCTTTGAATGTGTCCCAGAGATTTGGTATGTTGTGTCTTTGTTCTTGTTGGTTTCAAAGAACATCTTTATTTCTGCCTTCATTTCGTTATGTACCCAGTAGTCATTCTGGAGCAGGTTGTTCAGTTTCCATTTAATTGAGTGGTTTTGAGTGATTTTCTTAATGCTGAGTTCTAGTTTGTTTGCGCTGTAGTCTGAGAGACAGTTTGTTATAATTTCTGTTCTTTTACATTTGCTGAAGAGTGCTTTACTTCCAAGTATGTGGTCAATTTTGGAATAGGTGTGGTGTAGTGCTGAAAAAAATGTACATTCTGTTGATTTGGGGTGGAGAGTTCTGTAGATGTCTATTAGGTCCGCTTGGTGCAGAGCTGAGTTCAATTCCTGGGTGTCCTTGTTAACTTTCTGTCTCACTGATTTGTCTAATGTTGACAGTGGGGTGTTAAAGTCTCCCATTATTATTGTGTGAGAGTCTAAGTCTCTTTGTAAGTCACTAAGGACTTGCTTTATGAATCTGGGTGCTCCTGTATTGGGTGCGTATATATTTAGGATAGTCAGCTCTTCTTGTTGAATTGATCCCTTTACCATTATGTAATGGCCTTCTTTGTCTGTTTTGATCTTTGTTGGTTTAAGGTCTGTTTTATCAGAGACTAGGATTGCACCCCCTGCCTTTTTTTGTTTTCCATTTGCTTGGTAGATCTTCCTCCATCCCTTTAGTTTGAGCCTATGTGTGTCTCTGCATGTGAGATGGGTTTCCTGAATACAGCACACTGATGGGTCTTGACTCCTTATCCAATTTGCCAGTCTGTGTCTTTTAATTGGAGCATTTAGCCCATTTACATTTAAAGTTAATATTGTTATGTGTGAATTTGGTCCTGTCATTATGATGTTAGCTGGTTATTTTGCTCGTTAGTTGATGCGGTTTCTTCCTAGCCTCGATGGTCTTTACATTTTGGCATGTTTTTGCAGTGGCTGTTACCAGTTGTTCCTTTCCATGTTTAGTGCTTCCTTCAGGAGCTCTTTTAGGGCAGGCCTGGTGGTGACAAAATCTCTCAGCATTTGCTTGTCTGTAAAGTATTTTATTTCTCCTTCACTTATGAAGCTTAGTTTGTCTGGATATGAAATTCTGTGTTGAAAATTCTTTTCTTTCAGAATGTTGAATATTGGCTCCCACTCTCTTCTGGATTGTAGAGTTTCTGCCAAGAGATCCGCTGTTAGTCTGATGGGCTTCCCTTTGTGGGTAACCCAACCTTTCTCTCTGGCTGCCCTTAACATTTTTTCCTTCATTTCAACTTGGGCAAATCTGACAATTATGTGTCTTGGAGTTGCTCTTCTCGAGGAGTATCATTGTGGCATTCTCTATATTTCCTGAATCTGAGTGTTGGCCCACCTTGCTAGATTGGGGAAGTTCTCCTAGATAATATCCTGCAGAGTGTTTTCCAACTTGGTTCCATTCTCCCCGTCACTTTCAGGTACACCAATCAGTCATAGTTTTGGTCTTTTCACATAGTCCATATTTCTTGGAGGCTTTGTTCATTTCTTTTTATTCTTTTTTCTCTAAACTTCCCTTCTCACTTCATTTCATTCATTTCATCTTCCATCACTAATACCCTTTCTTCCAGTTGATCACATCAGCTCCTGAGGCTTCTGCATTCTTCACATAGTTCTCGAGCCTTGGCTTTCAGCTCCATCAGCTCCTTTAAGGACTTCTCTGCATTGGTTATTCTAGGTATCCATTCGTCTAATTTTTTTTCAAAGTTTTTAACTTCTTTGCCATTGGTTTGAATTTCCTCCTGTAGCTCAGAGTAGTTTGATCATCTGAAGACTTCTTCTCTCAACTTGTCAAAGTCATTCTCCGTCCAGCTTTGTTCCATTGCTGGTGAGGAGCTGCATTCCTCTGGAAGAGGAGAGGTGTTCTGCTTTTTAGAGTTTCCAGTTTTTCTGCTCTGTTTTTTCCCCATCTTTGTGGTTTTATCTACTTTTGGTCTTTGATGATGGTGATGTACAGATGGATTTTTGGTGTGGATGTCCTTTCTGTTTGTTAGTTTTCCTTCTAACAGACAGGACCCTCAGCTGCAGGTCTGTTGGAGTTTGCTAGAGGTCCACTCCAGACCCTGTTTGCCTGGGTATCAGCAGCGGTGGCTGCAGAACAGCAGTGTCTGTAGAACAGCGGATCTTGGTGAACCGCAAGTGCTGCTGCCTGATCGCTCCTCTGGAAGTTTTGTCTCAGAGGAGTACCCAGCAGTGTGAGGTGTCAGTCTGCCCCTACTGGAGGGTGCCTCCCAGTTAGGCTGCTCAGGGGTCAGGGACCCACTTGAGGAGGCAGTCTGCCTGTTCTCAGATCTCCAGCTGCGTGCTGGGAGAACCACTACTCTCTTCAAAGCTGTCAGACAGAGACATTTAAGCCTGCAGAGGTTACTGCTGTCTTTCTATTTGTCTGTGCCCTGCCCCCAGAGGTGGAGCCTACAGAGGCAGGAAGACCTCCTTGAGCTGTGGTGGGCTCCACCCAGTTGGAGCTTCCTGGCTGCTTTGTTTACCTAATCAAGCCTGGGCAATGGCAGGCGCCCCTCCTTCAGCCTCGCTGCCACCTTGCAGTTTGATCTCAGACTGCTGTGCTAGCAATTAGCGAGACTCTGTGGGCATAGGACCGTCTGAGCCCGCTGCGGGATATAATCTCCTGGTGTGCCGTTTTTTAAGCCCATTGGAAAAGTGCAGTATTAGGGTGGGAGTGACCCGATTTTCCAGATGCCCTCTGTCACCCCTTTCTTTGACTAGGAAAGGGAACTCCCTGACCCCTTGCACTTCCAGAGTGAGGCAAAGCCTCGCCCTGCTTTGGCTCGCACACGGTGCACTGCACCCACTGTCCTGAACCCACTGTCTGGCACTCCTTAGTGAGATGAACCTGGTACCTCAGATGGAAATGCAGAAATCACCCGTCTTCTGCGTCAGTCACGCTGGGAGCTGTAGACTGGAGCTGTTCCTATTCGGCCATCTTGGCTCCACCTCCCTGATTTATGTTATCTTTTATTGGTACTTGATTACTTTAAAAAAAACTGAGTTTTCTCAATGTTAAAAAAGCTACAATTTTTCTTTTACACTAACATACATTTTTCTATTTGCCTTTGAAATCTTTTTCCACTGTGATGTTGTTTCATAGTGACATATGACTATGTTTAATCAATTATTTAAATCATTTAATATTTTAAACAAACTTCCCACAATTAAATTCTGATTTAAGTCTTTTTTGACCTTGGACATTGGGATTTCTCAGATGAGCCTCTAGAATATCTTAAAAGAATTTGTTTCATCTCTCATAAAAAGAATTGTTTCATCTCTTATAAAAAGGCTTTTTGATGCATTAAATTCGATGGGAAGCATTATCCAATAAAGGTGATGGTTTTCATTCTTTATTATATTTGTACAGACACATTTCATTAATATAATAATCTAGACTTTTATGAAATTTCCAGAACTCTTATATATCCTTAAACACTATTGTACTACTGTCAGTCATAATTCTAATTATTATCCTGTTTTGTGTCACAGAGTAACAAAATCTCTATGTCCATTGCACTTAAATAAACTCTAACAGATTTTTAGCTTTGGTCATTTGAAGAACTTTGAAATTCACAGACAGCTTGTTGTGTTACTCTGATGCTTTCATGAATGATTGTGGAAGAAGCTGTACTAAAAATCCCAACAGATTTACTGGAAAGGCTCTGACAAGTAAAGATTTCTGATAACTTTAGAAACATAACATGAGACCAGAATTAAAGGAACTTCATAAACAATTTGACTAAGTATACACTTGCAAACAGAACTAATACATTTACCTTCTTCTCCTTAGCTGCTATCTCCAGAATTCAGAAACCATCGAGTATTTTTATTTTGATTGCAATAAAGTCATTTGCAAAATTTTAATCAGAATCTGTTCTTATAATATAACATAATTATGGTAAATATTACCACTACTGTGAAGGGAATGCCATATTTGAGAATGTGAATAAAATTAGATATGTCTGGAGAGTTTTAAGAAATTAAGAATTAACTTTATGGAGCTAATTATGCCCTGCCTTATTCCATTTAGTGTTGTAATAAAGAAATACTTGAGGCTGGGTAATTTATAAATAAAAGATGTTTATTTGGAAAACAATTCCGCAAGCTGTACTGAAAGCATGGCTTAAATGTCCACTTCTGATGACGGCTTCAGCCTCCTTCACTCATGACAGCAGGAGAAGTGGAGCTGGCATGCGTAGTGATCACGTGGTGAGAGAGGAAACGAAAGAGAGAGAGTGGAGTGCTGGGCTCTTTTATCAATCAGCCCTCATGGGAACTAAGACAGTAAGAACATACTTACTAGTATGAGGATGGCACCAAGGCATTCATGACAGATCGACCCCCATGACCCAAACACCTCACATCTTCTACACCTCCAGTATTTGGAATCAAATTTCAACATGAGATTTGCGGGTGTTTATCGAACAAAACTAGAGCCAGCTCCTTGAGAAAATCTGGCCTGACAGCTGCTCACAAGCTTTCTAACAATACTGGTAAAGAGTAAGAGAGACCTTACACTCTGGAAGGCCCAGGAAACTGAGAGTTACTTTTAGGACTTTTTTGAGTACAGGGGAGTTTACCTAAATCTATCAGTACTGCCGGTGAAATTAATAGTATGTTGTTGGTGTGACTTTATAGCTTGAGGAGCATTTAAAGTCTAATCTGAGATTATTTAGTAAAGGTCGTAACAAGGGCTTCTTAAAAAGAGACGATCAATTCCTATTCCAACTTGCACTTATATGAATACTCAGTTGAAGCTTAATGAAGGTAGACCTATTTGGTAAACAAACCAGTCTTACTATAATTGTATTTGAAAGAAATGGGGTGATTATGGAGGGAAAAATCGTGTTTCAGTAGAAAAATATAGTGCATCCATAATTAAATTCCAGTTCTGTCCATTGTCTTTGATGTTTTATTATCTACTTAGAAATTGTCCTATTCCTGAAGCGCTACAAGCTAGGGCTGGACAACTTGATATAAATGTCAGAGGATGATCTTCATGCATGACGCTTAGTGTCCCACTTAGGAAGTTCACCAAACATTCAATGACATGACAAGAGACATTCAGACTGAAAAGCAGAAAAATTATCAGACTGCAACTGCCATTTTATTTCATCATCTAAAGATGCTTTGAGCTGAAATCTAAAAATCTTCTCAACTAACTGCCCTCTGGGCTCACATGCTAAGCTTACAAGTAGCTTTAAACATTAACTTTTTGTTCTCCTTTAGTTTATTTCAGTTGGTTTGGTTCAGGTGTACTTTGGCTATGGAGCATACCCCAGTCCCTTGGTAGTATCCTTGTGATAGTCATTGTCATCTTCCTGGTGTGCTGTATTTTCTCAAGAGTTTTAAATACACGTTTGTAGCCACCACACTGTCCCAGATTTTCTCACTGTGATTAGAATAGCAAAAAAAAAAGTGTCCATAAAAGAAACACTTCTGTAAGAGACCAGACATTGTAACTTATGAGTTCCATGCTGAGACAAAGACAAACCAGCTGTGTTGGTCACGGAAAGTGGCAAGTGTGCCTGAATTTTGGTCAATATCCCATAATGGAGAGGCTGATCAAAAGGGAGAAAATAGTTAAAATAATTAAATAAAAGTTTATTAGGCTGATATGGGTCCAGCCTAATAAACTTAGGTTTGTATCTAAGCAAACAGGAATCCAACTCATTGTAAATGGTAAAACAAAAATTAAGTGTAACCAACCAAAACCCCCTAGCTAATTTTTAACTAAGGATTTTCCACTAGAATGATTAAAATAACACTACTGCTCCACTCTAGCCAATACAATCTTTACTTTTGCCATACTTCCACATTTGCCCTGTAAAAGCCTTCATCTCCTCTCTTGCCCCTTCAAGAAAGCCCCAAACAACATGCAATCTCGTGTTGCAAAATAAAGTCTGCTCAAATAAACTCTAAATTCTAATGCTGCTACAATTGTATTTTAACTATATGTGTAGTAATATATAGCTTCTATCACCATGCATACATATCAAAAACAAAACGTATCCATATGTATACATACTGATATAGGTACCTAAAACATACAAGCATATCATCTGATAGCAATGATAATCTAAAAAAAGAAATTGAAGGGGGATATAATTAGTTAGAGTTCCGTTTGCAAAAAACAATCTGACAGCAATGTTGGGGAAGTGAGCGACTGTTAGAAGGTTGGAGGAAATAAGTAACTAGAGGCTTGCAAAACTACATGTGAGTAGTTTTTAGACTAGGGACCTCAGTGGTATCAATGAGAATGTGAAAGAAATTTCATTGTTGAAAGATGGAGGACAGGGTGGACTGGTAGAAAGATGATTATCATACTTAAGTATATGAAGTGTCAGAAGGTTAACAATCAATGACTTTCTGAGGCAGAAAATATCCAAACTCTTACATCCTTTTCATGTTTTTGCTTCGTCTTACTGGGCGCCATGATGTCATATCATATTAACATTATTGGAACTTCTATGACAGGCATTTAAAGCCTCTGATTGATACAACACATTCCAACAACCTTGCAATATTACTGATTTTTACAAACCTTGGCAGCTTCATTTCTTCCTCAAAATATTAAGACAACTTTCTTTCTATTATGATACTTATTTCTTCTCTATGCCTACTTTAAATGTAGTTATTCTATTTAATCTTTTAATTTCATGAATTAGGGATGTTTTTCAAATTGTGTAAAGTCATATAAACTCAGCTGGGAAGAGCCTTAGAAGCCATCCTAGAAAGTTAGAGGTGGCTTGACTCTTCCTACTCATACAAGCATACACAGTTAAGAGCATGCTCTTACACTATGGCAGTTCCTTCACTGTTAACTCCTTCTATTTTTATTTTTCCCATTGCATTTCCATTTCCATTTATTTTGTTACTTGACCTGTGAGTAGACTTCCTGTGAGAAATAGAATTCACCCTTTCCTAAGATAGTGAAATGGAAGACCTTTGATAGTTAGCAGAATTATTGGGATTTACCTCTGCTGGCTCAAAAACAAATTTGCCTCCACTATGGGTTAAATGTGAGGGGCATCTCAGGTAATTCAGTGGTATTAGTATCAAAACCATCATACTCAAGTCCTTATATGATAAACTAGGCTATTTTAGCAATTAATGCATTTATAAACACACAGTGAATAACACATAAAACTGTTAAATACTTTTATTTACTTTCTGCAATCATTATTCTATTATGATATGAACACAATGAAAATTTCTTGATTGCTTTTGAATAACATATAAATATTTTAATTAGTTTATTAGGTACTAAAATGTTAGGTCATTAAAGTGCTAGGACAGTTATACTTGCAAAAATGTTTGAACACTGGAAACAACATAGGTACCTCTAACTTGCGTAATTTTGTGACTATTTTAGTAAATAGAAAAAGGATATTAGTATGAAACCTTAACATTTCTTTTTAACATTTTTATGAATGAAACTATGACTTGCTTATTTCTCAGACTGTAGATGATAGGATTTAACAAAGGAATGATGACAGTGTAGAATAGAGGCTCCACCATATTTTGACCATCTGCTTGCGGAGATGCAGGGCCCACATACATTAAGAGAAGGGGGCCATAGTATAAACAGACAGAGAAGAGATGGGCTCCACAGGTGGAAAAGGCTTTCCTTACACCCTTATCAGATTTCTTTTCTAAGACTGTGAAGAGAACAAATGTGTAAGATATAAGAATAGTCACAATGCTGAATACCTGAATTGAACCTGAGAAAATAAAAACCATTAGAAAATTAATAGAAGAATCAGTACAAGAAATCTTAGACAATGGGATAGTGTCACAGTAAATGTGATGTACTATGTTGGAGTTACAGAAGGTTAGTCTGAATAAAAATCCTTCATGGATTAAAGCATGAAGAATACCAGCTATATATGACAAGATTAATAGCCGGATGCACAGTCCATTGGTCATAATGGCTGGATAAAGTAAAGGTTTGCATATGGCTACATAGCGATCATATGCCATTGTTGCCAAGAGAAAACATTCTGTGGTTACGCCAATTGCAATGGAAAAAAATTGTATCTTGCATTCAGAGAGAGATATCATCTTACTCTTAGCTAAGAAGTTATTCAGCATCTTTGGGGTCACTGTGGATGATATCCAAGCATCCACAAAAGCTAAATTCCCAAGGAGTAAGTACATTGGGATATGAAGGTGAGGGTCTTTCCAGATGACAGCAATCAGACCAAGATTCCCCATGATGGTGATGAGATATATTACCAAGAATGCCAAGAACAGGGGTATTTTCCACTGTGGTTGATATAAAAATCCTGTGAGAACAAACTCTGTCAGCAATGTTGCATTTTCCTCTTCCATGTCCTCACTGCATGTCCTCTAAAATAAAATGCAACAAATGAAAGGGAAGATTTGCAATGACATTATGAGTTGAAATTGGGGAAGAGATGTTGAAATAAACCCTAAAATGATCAGAACCCTCTCAATTTTTTGATCAGTCCTACAACTGATGAATTGTGTATTTGATGCATTAAAGAAATGAAAATGATATATTTTGGTTTGAAACTGTGCAGTAATTAACTGATTTAGGTAAAAGTAGAGGCATTCTCTGTATACACTACATTTATATGGACACTATTGAGTGCAGTAGAAAAATTGTGTGTCTGGCCCATCATACAATGTCAACAGAAAAGATTTTGAAGGGTCTGAATTAAAAATAAATGAAATGAGTGCCATATGAAGAATCTTAAGCTTTATTCTTTATACGTTAAGCATGTACCAAAAATTTTAAGATGGGAAATTATATTCTAATATATTTTTAAATTTAGTTTTTGATAGTGTAGAAAATATGCTGCAAGAAGAGGAAACTGGACTCAGGGATATTAATTAGAAACTTCTTAGTAAGGTCCAGGCAATCCCAAATCACATTACACATAAAAATTATCTGACAGAGTGTTCATGAAAAATATAGGTTGTGAGCTTTCAATGTAGAAATTATTTCAGGAATGAGGTCTAGGGATCTGCATTTTGAAAATACCCTCCAGGTGATTCAAATGCATGTTAAATGTATAGTCCTTGTGAGATATAACATTGGAAGAGATGGTAAAACAAATAAATAGATTCTAAGGAATTCAGAATGTAGAGTCTCTAGTATTCTGTGACATATTTTGTAGGAAGTAAGTGGTCAGTAAAGGAGAGAGGAGTCCCTTGGTGACTGGCAAGATGGACATTAAACATTGAGAACTCAGGTGTGCTGACAAGTTTTTGGAGTGAGCATCATCTGGACAACTAGGTATTTTCCGATCATAATATGAGCCTATTAAATCTCAGTAGGAATGATTACTTGGATTCATTGTGGTAGTCAAAGGCATAGTTAAAAATGATCTATCCATTGGAGAGTAATGAAGAAACAAAAAAGATGGCAAGAAAATAAACTCGAGCAGGTTATATTAAAGAGCTAACAAAGTGGACATATGTCCTGTAAATGGCCAAGATGTTATCTTATTTTTTGCCATCCAAGTCTTGGTGGCTATCAGAGGTTACCTACTGCTCTAGAAGCCAAAAGAACTAGAAACTCATTTTCCCATTCTTCTTGCCTCTAGAGTGAGGAAACAATGATCTAGGATGGCCAGTGAAACACACTGATCCTACATTTGGAATATGGAGAGAGAGAGAGAGAGAGAAGTACAGGGACAAAAGATTTTGGTTTTGAAGGTAATCAAGGTGGACATACCAGGACTCTACTTAATGCAACCTTTATTCATATCAATACACTTACAGTGTGAGCTGTCAAATTATTGACAAACATGGGTTTAAGGAGTTCATATGTAAGTGACTGACCTTAAAAGGTTTAATTAGAGAATGTGGTTAGTTAAAAAGCATGGGTATTTATATCAAAATAATCAGCAATAATTCCAAGATAAGAATCATTATGATGTGAATGTGTAAACCAAGTTTTAGCTGTTCAATGCCCTAGTTCATACAAAGTCATTATAATATGATCAACAAAATAGTAAAATATTAAAAGAATAATTCAGTCTTACAACTATTTACCGTATCTATGTTATAGTCGTAAAACTGAAATAAAAAATAATCCAGTCAGAGTTATCCAAATTCCATCTTGCTATTTCGACAGCTTGTATACCCGATCTAAAATTTTAATGAATTAAATAGCATTTTCAACATTTCTATAAGGCATAATGAAAATTTAGAAGTTATTTCTTCCTTACCTATATTTTGAAGGAAATTGTGGATATCCTTTAAATGTGTTACGCCTTCTAAAACCGAAATACATACAGTAGCACAGCAATGTCAATAACACAGGTAGCCATTCATTACGTACTCATGCTTTTTGAAGGTTTCATTTTCCAAGCATAGAAAAATGTTGATTATTAAATTTGGTTTGAGCATATAAGTGACCCAGTTGTGCAACTGGGGACTTTTGCCAGAGGAGGAAGGAGTGAAAAACTGAAATTCTCATAAGAGTGTCAGAGGACTCCCTGTAGGAAAAATTGAAGCTGTTCTAATGGGCATTGTGTGTTTGCACATGTATAAGTCCAGGTTGTCCCCAAGGGCATTACAGACTTCTGGAATCACAAACATCAGTTCATTGTAGACACTTCTAGTTTTAACAAATGAAGTAACACTTTATATCACTATTTACCACCATGGATGACAATTTTGCATGTTTGTTCAAACTTTAGTTTATATGTGAAATATAGTGTTAGTGCTTTAATTAGTATATTCCTATTTGAGTTAATCAAAACATGATTTTAATAAGGCCAAAATTCCAGAACCTCTTTTGGAGCAACCTCAAATACAATTGTCCTTCCCATGCAAATTTCAGCTCAAATTTTAGACATATATGTAGTTTCCCCATTTTAAACTTAAACCTGATGGGAAATTTTACTAGGAAGAGGACAAGGGAGGAGAAAACGTAAAACAAAGCCAGGGACTACGGTGGAAGGTGTCCTAGGTCTGTGCTTCTCAAACTATAATGCCTATGACTTTCCTAGTGATGTTATCAAAATGCAGATTCTATTTCAGCAGTTCTGGTGTGGGTCTCTCAGGAGCCTTTATTTCTAACAAAGTGATGCCTGTGGACATTTGCATCCAACAGGTCTTCATCATGGGAAGACCTAGATTATCAGAGAGCCTTCATCATTGCAGAAACAATAAGTGGTAAATGTGGCTGGTATGAAAAGTGAGAAGCAGGGAAGGACCAGGTGTGTTCAAGGAGGCCAGCGTGGGGAGGCTCTCAAGGAGACTCAGAAGGTAATTCAAGGATATGTTCTTTACCCCAACTTACACAAAAACCAATGAAGTATTATTAAACAATTTTGAGAATGGTGATAGCATGTTCAGAATTTTCTTTAGAGCATTAAGAGAATAACATATTAGTGAGAGCTGGGATTCACTCCGGATGGTGGCAGAAATATTAAAGGGAAATATTATGGAAAGTTGTAGGGAATAGTCACAAAACTTTTGGAAGGCCGAAAGGTTACATAGCTTGTAATAATTGAACAGGCTGAAGGCAGCCGGTTCTTACCTTAGAGCATTAGGTCATAAGGTAAATACTAAGGACAACAGAGGCTTCCCCAGTTAAGTCTGTTGACCCTACCTCCATTAACTAACCTTTGAGTTAGATGGCCCTCTGCCGGGGAGGGAGGGTCGACCAGGGATATTGCCCCCAAATGGTATTTACTTTAGACCATGGTACCTGAGCTTTAATCATTGGTAGAACTACTCTCTTAACGATGTTAATTATCCTCCAGTGTGTTTACTCAAAGCTTCTGTTGTTAATTGTATACTAAATAAATGCCTGGAGTGTGAGCTGTTCAGGGCTGGCCCCAGTAAAAACCTCTCTTGGTGTGCTGGCGGTCGGACACTCAGCTGGACTGGCAAAGCAGAATATCTGTGTGTCAGTGTACATTTTAGGCATCTGTCATTTAGGTCAGGGTCTGTGGGCAGATCCCCGCAGCTAATGCTCTCTTGTGAGGAGCAATACCTCAATAAGCATCCATTCAGAAAATAAAATCTTATTTACTTACTTGTAATATTTATATTTCATATTTAAATAGTGACAGGTAACTTTCTTGACAGTAAAAGTATTCACTAAAGAAGTAAAATAACCTGCACTTGGATTATGGATGTTGATATGGTTTGGGTTTGTTTCTACACCCAAATTTCATGTTGAATTCCAATCCCCAATGTTGGAGAGGGGCCAGGTAAGTGGTGATTGGATCATAGGATCAGACTTCCACCTTGCTGTTCTCATGATAGTGAGTTCTCATGAGATCTGGTTGTTTAAAAATGTGTAGCACCTCCCGCCTTTTCTCTCTTCCTCCTTCTCTGGACATGTACAACATGCATGCTTCCCCTTTACCTTCCCCCATGATTGTAAGTTTCCTGAGGCCCCCCCAACCATGCTTCCTCTACAGCCTGTGCAACTGTGAGTCCATTAAACCTCTTTTCATTATAAATTACCCAGTCTCTGATAGTTCTTTATAGCAATGCAAAAACAGACTAACACAAAGGTAAATTATATGAAGAAGAGGCCCAAATGCTCATGGGCCCTACCCCTGCTACACTGCCTTATCTCTGCAAGCCTTCAGTGATAGCTTCATAAGGAGCTTCTTACAATCAATTGAGAGCAGAAGAGAAGACGTGGACCTGGATACCGATGATTGTACAACATATTCAGGCACTGCCCAAAGTAGGTGGCTGCAGTACTACAGCTCCTTTCTGGAACATTTATGAAGAACAGTGGTGAAGGGAAATCCTCCCAGTTAGAAAAATTGGAAATTACGTACTTGGTTTTTCAATTTACTTAAAGAAATGAATAAATGTGTGAATATATATGTATTTATGGGCTATGGCTAATGGTTAAGCTGGATGACCAGGGACTTGGAAGGAGCATAATTAGAATACTGGTGACAAGGAAATTTGAGGCAAGGTGCTTGGAGAGATGTCTCTAACCGGGTATAAATTATGTAGATATCTGCTATAGTTTGAATGTTTCCCCTCCAAAATTCAGGTGTTGAAACAATGGCCAGAGTGATAGTACTAAGAGGTGGGGCCTTTAGTAGGTGCTTAGGTCATAAGGGCTTCTTTCTTTGTTGATGGGCCTAAAGCCCTTATAAAAAAGGTTTCACACAGCCTTCAGTTTCCTTGCCCTTCTGCCTTTCACCACGTGAGAACACAGTGTTCCTCTCCTCCAGAAGAGCTTTCAAGGCATCATCTTAGAAGCAGGGAGGGGACCCCTACCAGACATCCAAACCTGCCAGCATCTGGATCTTGAAAATACCAGCTTCTAGAGTTGTAATACAATTTTCATTGTTTATAAACTACTCGGTCTCTGGCATTCTGTTATAGCAGCACAAATAGGCCAAGACAGAAATAGGTATCAAAAAGTGGAGTGTTCCTATAACAAATACCTAAAATGTGGAAATGTCTTTGGAAAAGGGTAATGAGTAGAGGCTGTAGCAGTTTTGAAAGTGAATGATGGAAAAAGCCTGTATTTTTCAGGAATGAAGCATTAAGGACAAGTCTGGTTAGAATTCACAAGAGAAGAGCAGTAGGGAAAGCCTCATTCTTCTTAGAGATTACTAGAGTGGTCATGAACAGAATGTGGGTAGAAATATCGATAATACAAAATTCTGATGATGTCTTAGATGGAAATGAGGACTATGTTATTGGAAATTAGAGGAAACACTCTCCTTGATATAAAGTGGCAAAGAACTTGGCCGAGTTGTGTCTGTGTCTTAGGACTTCATGGAAGGCAAATCTTAAGTGCAATGAATTATAATATTTGGCAGAAAAAATCTATAAGCAGCAAAGTGTTGAGGGTGCTGCATGGCTTCTCTTAATGGCTTATAGTAAAATGCAAGGAGAGAGGAGCTATTAAAAGATGGAATTTGTCATCAAAAGGGAAGGAGAATGTAAAGATTTGGAAAATTTTCAGCCTGGCCATGTAAAGAATAATGATGGATGTTCCAAAAAGAAAGCCAATGGTGTGACCAAGTGACCATTTGATCATGATATTAGTCTCTTTATAATAGAAGAAAGATAGCTGCTATTCATCAAGACAATGCAAGAATGACTCCAAAAGTTTTTCAGAGATCTTCAAGCCTGCCATGTGTATTACAGTCCCAGAGTGCCAGGACCTTGAAGGGAACTTGGGACTCACTGCCCAGGGCCACCTCAAGTCTGTGCTGTCTGCATTATGACAGAGAACTCCTTTGCCAGCTGAGTTGTGTCTCAGGTTGGGCCCACCTGCAGCTCAAGCTACTGCCCCAGACTGCAGAATTTGTAAGCCTTGGTGACATCCATGTGATGCTAATTTACAAGCATGCAGAACGGACACATGGATTTCTCCACTAGGTTTCAGAAGATGCCTCAGATAATCTCAACACCCAAGCAGATACCTGTCACAGGGTCAGAGCCACCACAGAGACTCCCAAGTGCGGCAATTTTCAGTAGATCTTTTGGAAACAGAGCTGCCAGAAGCCAGAAGCCAGGCCTGTACAGCCACTAGCTACAGTGGCATCCTGGGAGAACTACAGGCACTGGACTGCAATCCATAGGAGCTGCGGTGTAGGATGCACTCAACAAAGACAGAGAGGTGAGGAACCAGGAGCCTTATTGATGCAACCCCTAACACGGTGTATTTGGAAAGTGGGACATAACATCAAGGCTATCCTGAAGCCGTAAGATTTAATGTTGTTTGCATTGTTAGGTTTTGGATGTAACTGAGACCTGTTATTCCTTCTTTTCTACGTCTCCATTTTGGAATCAAAATATTTGTTCTCTGCCAGGCCCATCATGTATTTTGGAAGCATGTAACTTGTTTGATTTCACAGGTTTATAGCTACAGAGTAATTTACCTCAGAATGAAACGTTCTTTATGTGTTACTCATATCTGATTTAGATGGTATCTAGGTGAAACTTTAGCCTTTAGACTTTTGAGTTGATACTGAAATGAGTTAAAAGTTTGGGGCTGTTAGGATAGAATTTAATGTATTCTGTATATGACAAGGATATGAATTTTGGGAAGCCATGAGCAGAATGCTATTGTTTGTTTTCCCTCAGAAATTAACTTATTAAAACTTAACCAGTGTGATGGTACTCTTTACATGACCTCTTAAAGATGGTACATTTAGGAGGTAATTAGGTCATGAGGGCTTCTTCCATTTTGTGTGGTGTTAAGGACCTTATAAAAGAGGCTTCAGTTTGCTTTGCCATTCCACCTTTAACCATGTAACGATACAGTGTTTCTACCCTCAAGAGGATGCAGCAAGAAGGAGCCATTTTGGAAGCAGAGAACAGTCCTCACCAGAAAATCCAATCTGATGGCATCTTGATCTTTGACTTCCTACCCTCCATAACTCTGAAAAAGTACATTTTTGTTTCTTGTAAATTACTCTCTCTATGGTATTCTGCTATAGCAGCACAAATGGACTAAGACAGTACTTGTAGCTCATGTGGATGTTCACCAATGTATCCTCCTGATTATTAAAATCCTCAGCTGAGGAGAATTTTAATAATCAAGCAGATAGAATGACCGATCTATGGATACCAGTAGGCCTGAGGTGGCTGTGGTGATAGGGATAGAAGTTATGCCTAGGCTTAGCTACATGGATTTCCACTTACCAAAGCCAACCTGTCTAGGGCCACTGCGAGGTGCTCAATCAATCAGCAAAAGAAGCTAACATTGAGTCCCCAATCCATAATCATTAAACTAGATGTCAAGTTGATTACATTGGACTTCTTCTATCATGAAAGAAGCAGTGTTTTGTTCCTAGTGGAGTAGATACTTACTCTGGATACAGAAATGTCTTCCCTCTGCACAGTGCTTCGGTTGAAGTTACCATCCATGGACTTCCTTCTTGACTGTCATGGTATTCCACACAACATTCCTCCTGATTAAGGAACTCACTTCACAGCAAATGAACTGGAGCAATGGGACCAAGTTCATGGAATTCATTGGTCTTACTATATTACTGTGTTTCCCACCATCCTGAGACAGCCAGTATAATAGAATTGTGAAATGACTTTTTGAGAACTCATTTACAGCACCAATTAGGTGGTAATAATTTGCAGGGCTGGAGCAAGGTTCTCCAGAATGCCATATATTATCTGGATTCACATTCAATATATGTTGCTACTTCTCTTGTGAGCTGGATTCATGAGCCTAGAAATCAAAATGGTGGAAACAGGAGTGGACCCACTCACTAAATCTAATGACTCACTAGAAAAGTTTGCTTCTTGTTACTGCACTCTTCTTGCCTTGAAATCTTAGCTCCAAAAGAGACCGCTTATACTAGGAGATAAAACGGTGATTCCATTGAGCTAGAAGTTAAGACTGCCACCAGGTCACTCTGGTCTCTTTATTCCTCTGAATCAACAGGCAAATAAACAAATTGCTTCATCCCTGTGTAATAGAACATTGGCAATAATGAGGAGGATTCAGAAATAGATTCTGAAGAATTCACAATGCAACATCACTAGGACTTAGTTATATATTTGGTTGGAAAGCAGTATTCAGTGAAGGAAAAAGGAGTCACTTTGTGAATAGATAGTCATCCAAAACAGAGACTGAGGACTCAGATGCATTGACAAGCATGTGGTGTGAACATGCCTTGAACATGTAGGTGAGCTGTTTAGTATTAGTAATATAATTCTACTAGAGTAAGAGAAAAAATAATTTGTGGGTCATTGGAATAGTGGAGACTATAGTTATGCATGTTTTATCTGTTGCAGAGTACACAAAGAAACAGAAACATAGCAAAGAGAAAAAACACTTGATGGTATAATGATGTAATTATCTTTTGGTCTACATGCAGTAATTGGATTGCTGGGTCAAATGGTAGCTCTTTTTTACTTTCTTTGAGAAATCTGCAGACTGCTAATCACAATGGCTTAACTAATTAATACACATTCCCACCAACAATGTAAAAACACTCCTTTTTCTCCGCAGCCTCTCTGGCATCTGTTGGTTTTTTACTTTTAAAAAAGTCATTCTGACTAGTGTGAGATGGTATCTCATTTTGGTTTTGATTTGCATTTCTCTGATGACTAGTGATGATGAGCATTTTTTCATTATTTGCTGACCACTTGTAAGTCTCCATTTAAGAAATGTCTGTTCATGTCCCTTGCCCCATTAATAATGGGTTTATCTGTTTTTTTCTTGCTGATTTAAGTTCCTTCTAGATAGATTACGAATATTAGCACATTGTTAGATGCATAGTTTGTGAATAATTTCTCCCATTCTGTTGGTTGGTTGTAGACTCTATTGATAGTTCCTTTCATTGCACAGAAGCTCTTTCATTTAACTGGGACCCATTTGTCAGTTTTTGTTTTCATTGCAGTTACTTTTGGGACATAGCCAAAAATTCTTTACAAAAGCCAATGTCAAGAAGGGCATTTCCTAGGTTATCTTGTAGAATTTTTACAATTTGAGGTCTTGTATTTAAACACCAATTTATCTCAAACTAACTTTTTTAGATGGTGAAAGTTAAGGGTCCACTTTTTTACTTTGGCATATGGCTAGACAGTTGTCCCAGGACCATTTATTGAATATGGGATCCATTCTCTACTGCTTGTTTTTGTCATCCTTGTTGAAGATCAGATGGTTTTAAGTGTATGGATTAATTTCTGAGTTTTCTGCTCTTTTCCATTGGCCTATGTCCCTGTTTTCATACCAGTACCATGGTTTTTTTGTTTATAAAGACACATGCACTCGTATGTTCACTGCCATGCTATTCAAAATAGCAAGACATGGAAATGAATCTTGCTGTTCATCAGCGGTTCATCAGTGGTTGATAGGATTAAAAAAAGTGGTACATACACAGCATAAAATACTAAAACTTTCAAAGGACATGAAAATAAAATCATGTCCTTTGCAGCAGTATGGATGCAGCTGGAGCCCATAATCCTAAGCGAACTAATGCAGGAACAGAAAACCAAATGCCATTTGTTCTCACTTATAAGCCAGAGATAAACATTGAACACAAATGGAAATGAACATGGGAAAAATAGACACTGCGGACTACTGGAGTGGTGAGAGCATAGGGAGTAATGGGTACTATGGTCACAACCTGCATGCAATATACACATGTAACAAACCTGCATATGTAACTTTCATATCTGAAAAAAAGATAACTTTTTCCTAAAAAACGAAACAAAACACTTGAGATACTTATGTTAAAAGGTTATGAAAGGGATGCATGTCATCCATGAGATGGCTAAAACCTGAAACACTTTTCTACTACATGACTCTTTGTGGCAGACAAAGGATTTCACCTAGATTTTCCTACCAAACCCATCCTAGATCTGGAGATAGATGGAGACAAATGCAAAGGAATAAAAAAAAAACAAAAAACAAAAACAAACAAAAAAAAACTTAGTGCAAAGGCAGTTGAGGCAAAAATATCAAGATCCCATCACATGCATCCTGCATCTAGAACAATGCCTTTGAAAATGTAAGCTGTGTCATTGGAAGCACAGAAGCAGAAACAACCGCCCTCATGAAGCTGCTATTGGAATAAGATTTTGGCTGCTGACTGGCTGTTTTGCTTCCTCCTGTTGCTGCCATACTGTCCAGCTGACTTCTCCAACTTCACTGTGATTTCAGTGGTAAATATCAATTCAATAACTTACTTCCTGTTGCAACCCAAAGCCCTGGGATTTTCAAAAGAGAGACCAGGGAGACAAGAGAAAAGGATACTGAGCAGAGTGTTGAAGGGAAGAAGTCAGAGGGAACTAAAAAGCTGAGTGTTGTGGACATAGAGAGGGAAAACATGAAGTGTGACGAAGTGATATATAGGGGAAAATGACAAAATAAATGCTCTAGTAGGACAAGGAGTGAAGGGAAATCACTGTGTATAGAAATTAAGGATTTTTGTTTGTTTGTTTTTTGCCTGGCGCAATGGCTCACACCTGTAATCCCAGCACTCTGGGAGGCCAAGGTGGGCAGATCACCTGAGATCAGGAGTTCAAGACCAGCCTGACCAACACGGTTAAACCCAATCTCTACTAAAAATATAAAAAAAATAAAAGTTAGCCAGGCATGGTGGAGGGTGCCTGTGATCCCAGCTACTCAGGAGGCTGGGGCAGGAGAATCTCTTGAACCCGGAAGACAGAGATTGCGGTGAGTTGAGATTGTGCCACTGCGCTCCAGCCTGGGAGACAGAGCAAGACTTCATCTCAAAAAAAAGAAAAAAGGAAATAAATTAAGTGATTTTTAGTGGCGTTAGTGAGAACCATTTCCCATACGTAATAGAATAATGGTCTGCAAATAAGTGAATGGGAGACAAGCAGCGCAACGGTGAAGGGATGAGTTAGAGTACTCTACGACATGTGGAGAACAGTTGGCATTTGTCTACTGCTCATAGAATAATTTAATATTTTTTCCTTCTGTGGAATATTTAAGTACAGTTCTCAAAAGTAAAGATAGACAATTGAGAGAAGAGGAGAAGATGACGTCGAGCGGAGAAAAGGAATAAGGGAAATTTGTGTGGGTTGGTGAAGTACAACAAGAATGAGGAAGAAAAATAGACAGAGAATAATGAAGTCATAGGTGGGTAAGTGTAAAAAAAACAAGCCACAAAAAGAGAGAGAGGAAGTGTCAGAGATATACTAAGGCAAAATAGAGGGAAGGGCTCAGGAGCTTGGGTTGAATCTGTGCATTAACTCTGCTGTTCGTGAAGACTACAGAGAGCCCCGGGGGTCTTTTCATTTTCCTTTTTAAAAAAAAATCAAAGTTTATTTTGCTATGCAATTTGTGTATTATAAAACAACTTTGACTATAATTTTTTCCCATCAATTTTCCACTGTTCATGAATATATCGGCATTGTCTGAAAGTTTACTCCATATTTAAATGTTGCTTTATCTTTACTGTTACAGTGATTAAAACTAAATTTCTCAAGAAATGTTGCTGATTTTGGAGCACTTTCTTCTCTGTCAGTTTTTTTTCTTTGATTTAGCAGAATCAAGTAAGACAAAGACTGGATCCTAATACAAACATTGTAATAAACAAATGACAGTAATTCCACTTGTAAATTTTTATAAGGCATTGGTTTCCTTTCATGCAATCCCAAATTACAAAATAGTGACAAATTGTAAAATTCAATTTGTTTTGGGGTACTTTTAAAATCATAAATGCTAACAAGGTTAGGGAAGTACATTTTCTGCATATTTTCTGAGGTATATGCATAGATACACATACACTATAACTATTACTAGTATTACCATGTAGATCTAAAATGCTCAATATGAAAAATGTATATTTCTACATATTTAATTCTTTATATATTTATGCACCATGTATAAGAAGTAATCAATGAAATTATTGAAAGAAGTGGTGAAGGTATAGAGGAGATAATATTTAATAGACAGATCCTAAAAGTTTTCATTGGAGAGTGTGATTACAGAGAATGAAACTACATCACAACCATCAGAAAAGTATCCTATATAACAATCACAATGAATTGAAGATTTAAACCCAGCTTTAAAACATTTAAGCTTCTAATTAGCCAGAACTTATAACATCATTATAGTCAGGTTAACAAGATAATGAATTATCATTAAAAACTTATTTTATAGGTATTTTGCTTGTCAAGATTTTAACCATAATAATGAGATACAAAGATTCTTCACTCTTCTTGGTTCCATTTGTTCCCAGCAATCTTAGCATGCTGTGATCCAAATACAAACATTATATATTAAATAGCATTTTAAAATTTCTTTAAAAATAATAGTGGATATGATAAAATAATTTCTCTTTTACTAATATCATAAGAAATTATGGAGATCCTTTAAAAGTATTAGGCTTTCTAAAGCAGAGAAAAATACATAATAGAGCATATCTGATAATAACACAGGCAGCAATTCTTTGTGTACTGATGCATTTTGGAGGCTTCATTTCCAGTCTTAGAAAAATGTTTGTAAAAATTTGCTTTCAACAAAAGTGCTGACCAATTGTATATCTCCGTTTTGACCAGGAGAGAAAAAGTCAGAGAACTGAAATTCCCCTGAGAGCATCTTAGGCTTTCCTGTAGGACAAAGTGAAGATCTTCAACTGGGCATTGTGGATTTAGATGTGTATAAGAAATACAGATTATCCTGCAGGGTATTGCAGAGTTTAGAAACATAGATATTAAGTCACTGTACCCAGTTTGGGTTTTAACAATTGAAATTACACTTTATGCCACTATTATCCACAACACATAACACTTCTGAGATTTTACGCACACTTCAGTTTGTACATAAAATAGGATGCTTTGAATGCTGTGATTAATATGGTCTCATCAGAGCTGGTCAAAATATGATTTTAATAAGGCCAAAGATCTAGATTCCCTTCAGAAGGCAACCCCAAGTAAACTTGTAAAATTGTCCTCCTCCTTCAAACTGCAGCTGAAACTCCAGACATATATCTAACTTCCAGGTGAGCTGAAATCTGTTGAGAAATGTTAACAGGCAAACATCAGGGGGAGGAAAAAATAAAAACAAAGACAATCTTGCAATGCCTTGCCACCTAGTTGGTGCTGTCACTATAACTTCATAATGGCATTCTATCATTCTATCGGATTAGTTTATATATAATTTCCAGAAAGTCTAGGTGTAGATCATTGACTGACTTAACTCCAACTGCTCCCTCTCTGTACGGAACCACCTAATGAGATCTTTTTGCCTGACACCTAGATAGAGCCCATTACCAAGACAGAGGAATTACAATAGAGAGTTTAATCCATATAGAATTGGCTAAATGGGAGATTCAAGTTTTATTATTACTCAGATCACCCTTTCCAAAAATCCAGAGGGTAGGGTTTTCTAAACACGGTTTGTTGGGCAGCGGTCTAAGGAATGAGGAAAGCTGATTGGTTGTGTTGGGGATAAAATCATAGGGGTTAAAACTGTCTTCTTGTGGATCCTGCAGCAGGGGGGTGGTCACAAAACTAGAGGAGTCCTTTTACCATTCTGAATGTTGCCAGCTGATTTATCAGAATTCAGGATCTACAAAATACCTTGAACACCAATCTTAGATTTCACAATAGGAATATTATCTGTGGGAGCAGTTAGGAAGGTTAGAATTCCATGGCCTCCAGTTGCATGATGATCAGGAGCCATAATTTCTAATCTTGTGATAATCTGTGAGTTTTACAAAGGTGGTCAGATCCCCAAGCTAGGAGGAAGTTTGCTTTGAGGAGAGACTGTTACCATCTTTGTTTCAAAATCAAACTATAAATTCCTCCCAGAGGTAGTTGGACCTACACTCAGGAATGAAGAAGGGCAGCTTGGAGATTAGAAGCACTGCCTGATTTTCTTATTTCAGATTCACTGTCATAATATTCCTATGTGAGATTTTTCTGTCATCATTTTTGCAAAGGTGGTTTCAACTATATTTCATTCTATCATACTCTATCTTGTCACTCTGCATCTACTAAGCCTTTTGCTCAGTTACATTTTCACCCATTAAAATAAAGGAAACTAGATAAATGCCTTATAAAGTCACGTCCTCAGATGAACCAGGCCTGCCTTCTTTAACCACCTTTACACCTTGGTCAAAATCTGGGCTGAGAGCAATAGGGAAAAATATCCTTGTCCCAAACAAAAGTGCCAGACATTTTCTGTGGAATTTAGAATTCTTCCAGGATTATATAATCCAGGACTCCCTGATCTTTATCAATTTAGTAACATGATACTTTAACCTGGTTAATCCTATAGCTGAAGCCAAACGTGAGGTACCTAAGGTAGACAGGAAAGATCCAACCCCTCAATCTTCCAGAAAAGGAACAAAAAGGGTTGGGAAAATAACAAATAATCCTCTAGAATCCATTCACAAAGTATTTCCTCAAAAATCCACTGGTCTGACATGTAATCTTATAAACAAAACAGGAATTAATCTCTGACTATAAGGCAAAATTAAAAGTATGATTTGTAAAACATTCTGGTCAATTCATGTTGAGTTCAGGCATAGAAAATACTTGTCCTATTCATCAGTGGGATCCACCTTCAACTCATTAACCTAGTTACAAAACAAAAGCTACACTGGGAAGCTGATGATCTGTCAAACATTTTCAAATATTTGAAAATATATTTCAGTAGAAAATTATAGTGCATTCATTATTAAATTCAAGTTCTGTCTGTTATCTTTGAGTTTTCTTATCTACCTATACATTGCCCTTTTCCTGAAGCCCTGCAAGCTAGGTCTGGACAACTTGATATAAACTTCAGAGGACAATCTTCATACATGCAACTGAGCTGGCTGCTAAAAAGTTCACCAAAACATCCAATAACATAATCAGAGACATTCAGACTGCAAAACAGAAAAATCAACAGATTGCAACTGCCATTTTGTCCCATCATCAAAAGATGCTTTGAGCTTAAAATCTAAAAATCTTCTCAACTAAATGCCCTCTGGGCTTAGATACTAAGTTTATAGATTGCTATAACCACTAACTTTCTTTTCTTTTTCTGAGACAGTGTCTCACTCTGTTCCCTAGGCTGGTGTACAGTGGTGCCTTCTCGGCTCACTGCAACCTCCCACTCCTGGGTTTAAGTGATTCTCCTGCCACAGCCTCATAAGTAGCTGGGATCACAGGCACCTGCCACCACGCCCGGCTAATTTTTTGCATTTTTCATAAAGATGGGGTTTCACCATGTTGGCTAGGCTTGTCTGGAACTCCTGACCTCCAGCGATCCGCCATCCTCGGCCTCCCAAAGTGCTGGGATTAGAGGCGTGAGCCACTGTGCCTAGCCTATAACCATTAACTTTTATTTGTTTTATTTCTGTTGATTTTGTTCATGGGTGCTTTGACTATGGAGTACTCCCCAGTTCCTTGGTATTTTCCTCAAGGGGTCATCATTGTAATCTTGCTGGTATGCTGTATTTTCTCAAGAGTCTGAAATGCAAGTTCATAGCCATGACGGTTGCCAGATTTTCTCTATATGATTAACATGGCAAAAACAAAGTGTCCAATAAAAGAAACACTGCTTTAAGAGAATAGAAATTGTAACTTATGAGTTCCATGCTGAGACAAAGACAAGCTCTGGTGGTGAGAAAGTGCTCCATGTGCCTGAGTGTTGGTCAGTATCCTATAATTGAGAAGTGAAACAAAAGGGAGAAAATAGTTAAAATAATTAAATTGAAGTACATTGGGCTGAGGTGGCTCCAGCAAAATGGGTTTCTACCTAAGCACACAGAAACCCCAACTCATAGTAAATGGTAAAGAAAATGTTAACTTTTTTCTTCTTTATACTTTAAGTTCTGGGATACATGTGCAGGTTGTTACATAGGTACACATGTGCCATGGCGTTTTGCTACACCCATCAACCCGTCACCTAGGTTTCAAGTCCCACATGCATTAGTTATTTGTCCTAATGCTCTCCCTACCTTTCCCCTCCACCCCCTGACAGGCTCCAGTTTGTGATGTTCCCCTCCCTGTGTCCATGTGTTCCCATTGTTCAACCCACACTTATGAGTGAGAACTTGCAGTGTTTTGTTTTCTGTTCCTGTGTTAGTTTGCTGAGAATAATGGTTTCCAGCTTCATCCATGTCCCTGCAAAGGACATGAACTCATTCTTTTTTATGGCTGCATAGTATTCCATGGTGTATATTTGCCACATTTTCTTTATCCAGTCTATACTTGATGGGCCTTTGGGTTGGTTCCAAGTGTTTGCTATTGTGAATAGTGCTCCAGTAAACATACATGTGCATGTGTCTTTATATTAGAAGGATTTATAAGGCTTTGGGTATATACTCAGTAATGGGATTGCTGAGTCAAATAGTATTTCTGGCTCCGGATTCATAAGGAATCACCGCACTGTCTTCCACAAAGGTTGAACTAATTACACTCCCACCAACAGGATAAATGAGTTCTTATTTCTCCACATCCTCTCCAGCATCTAACATTTCCTGACTTTCTAATGATTGCCATTCTAACTGGCGTGAGATGGTATCTCACTGTGGTTTTGATTTGCATTTCTGTAATGACCAGTGATGACAAGGTTTTCACATGCTTGCTGGTTGCATAAATGTCTTCTTTTGAGAACTGTCTGTTCATATTCTTCACCCATATTTTGATAGGGTTGTTTGTTTTTCTCTTGTAAATTTGTTTAAGCTCCTTGTAGATTCTGGATATTAGCCCTTTGTCATATGGACAGATTGCAAAAATTTTCTCCCATTCTGCAGTTTGCCTGTTCACTCTGATGATAGGTTCTTAACAAAAGTTTACTTTAACCAATCAGAAACCATCAACTCACCTCTAAGTAGGAACTTTCTACTGGAATAATCCAAATAACGCTACTGCTCCACTTTAGCCAAAAAAGTTTCTTTTTAACGTACTTCCGCATTAAATCAACAAAAGCCTTTCTCTCCTCTCATGTATACATAAGTGTATGTATACATAGATATTGACACCTAAAACACATGTACGTATAATCAGGTAGCAATGATGATCCAACAAAAGAAAATTGAAAGAGTTGAAAAAACAATCTGACATCAAAATGGGGGAATGAATGAGTGCTAGAAGGGTGGAGGAAATAACTAGAGGTTTGCAAAACGATATGTGAGTAATGCTTAGGATAAGGGTCTCGGTATCAGTGACAAAGTGAAAGGAATTTCAGTGTCGAAAGATGAAGGGCAGAGTGGAATGGCAGATGGATGACTCACATACTTCAAGAATATGAAGTGAGAAGAAGACTAATAAGGACTTTTTGAAGTAGAAAATATCCGAACTCTTCCTCATTTTCATGTTTTTCTCTCCAATCACTGGGCACTATGATGTCATATCATCTTAAGATAATTTGAACTTTGATGATATGCATTTAAAGCCCCTGATTGTCAATAACGCATTCCAATAACCTTGTAACATCACTGGTTTTTAAAATCTTAGTAGTTTCATCTTTTTTTCTGGGAAGATTAAGACCATTTTCTTCCCACTATGCCATTTATCTTTTCTTTTCTATCCCCACTTTAAACTAAGTTCTATTTTTTCATTTAATTTTCTGATTTAGGGAAGCTTTTCAGATTCTCTGAAAACACAATCACAGCTGGAAAGTGCCTTAGAAGCCATCTTAGGAAGTTAGAGGCTGCATGGTTCTTACTCATACAAGCACAGAGAGTTAACAGCATCCTCTTGCCCTCTTGCACATTGGCAGTGCCTTCACTGTTAAACACTTCTCATTTTGTCCTAATTGCATTTCCATTTCTGCTTCTTTATTTGATATATGAGTTGACTTCCTACAAGAAGTGAAATTCACTCTTTTACAATTAAGTGGAATGAAAGACCTCTTGAAAGCTAGCAAAATTCTTGGGATCTACCTGTCTTCCTCTAAACACACATCAACATTCACTATGAAGATAAATGTGATAGACGTCTCGGGTCATACAGTTGTGTTAGTATCAAAAACATCATACTTAAGTGCTTATCAGATAAACTAGACTATTTTGCATTTAATGCATTTATAAGACACAGTGATTAACATACCATACTGTACAATATTTTTATTTGCTTCTGCTATCATTATTCTATTATGAAGACTTGATTAAAATTTCTCAAATCCTTTTGAATAACATAGGAATATTTTAATTAGTTAAATAGGTGCTTATATCATAGGTCATTAAAGCGCTAGGACAGTTATAATTGCAAAATCTTTTAATGCTGGCAAAAACATAGGTACCTCTAATTTGCACAATTTTGTGACATTTTAGTAAATAGAAAAGAGATATTAGTAATGATCTAAACATCATTTCTTTTGAACATTTTTGTGAATGAAGCTATTACTTGCTTGTTTCTCAGGCTGTAGATCATGGGATTTAATAAAGGAACTATGACAGTGTAAAATAGAGACTCCATCATATCTTGGTCATCAGCCTGTGGGGATGCAGAGCCCATATACATGAAGGCGAGGGGCCCATAGTATAAAGATACAGATAAGAGATGAGCTCCACAGGTGGAGAAGGCTTTTCTCATACCTTTGACAGACTTCTTTTTCAAGATTGTATAGAGGACAAATATGTAAGATATAAGAACAGTCCCTATGGTAAAAACTTGAATTGAACCTGCAAAAATAAAAACCATTAGAAAGTTAATAGAGGAATCAGTATAAGAAATCTTTAACAATGGGATAATGTCACAGTAAAAGTGTTGTATTATGTTGGAGTTACAGAAGGTTAGTCTGAATAAAAATCCTTCATGGATTAAAGCATGAAGAAGACCACCTACATATGACAAGATTAATAGCCGGATGCACAGTCCATTGGTCATAATGGCTGGATAAAGTAAGGGTTTGCATATGGCTACATAGCGATCATATGCCATTGTTGCCAAGAGAAAACATTCCGTGGTTACACTGATTGCAAACGAAAACAACTGTATCTTGCATTCAGAGAGAGATATCATCTTACTCTTAGCTAAGAAGTTGATCAGCATCTTCAGAGTCACTGAGGATGATAACAAAGCATCCACAAAAGCTAAATTCCCAAGGAGTAAGTACATTGGGATATGAAGATGAGGGTCTTTCCAGATGACAGCAATCAGACCAAGATTCCCCATGATGGTGATGAGATATATTACCAAGAATGCCAGGAACAGGGGTATTTTCCACTGTGGTTGATATAAAAATCCTGTGAGAACAAACTCTGTCAGCAATGTTGCATTTTCCTCTTCCATGTCCTCACTGCATGTCCTCTAAAATAAAATGCAACAAATGAAAGGGAACATCTGCAATGACATTATGAGTTGAAATTGGGAAAGAGGTGTTGATATAAAGTGTGCAATTATCAGAGACTCAATTTTTTGATCATTATTATAAATAAGAAATCCTATAAGGGGTTAAAGAAATGAAAAAAATGTCATATTTTAGTTTGAAAATTTGGTAGTAATATGCATACTCTGGATTTACTAAATTTATGGGCACAGTCTTGAATGTGGTAGAACAATCCTGTGTCTGGTACATGAATGGAGGTCCTGGGGAATAGGTTTTTGAAATGTCTGGATAAGTGAATATCCAGATGAAATAAATGCCACGTGAAGAATCTTAAACTTTATATTTCGTAATATAAGAATGCACCAAATACTTTCAGATGGGAAATGCCATCATAACATTTTTTAAAATTTTTGATAGTGTAGAAAATATGCTGCGGGATGGGGAAATTGGACTAAGGAGTACTAATTAGAAACTTGTTACTAAGGTTCCAGCAATCCCAAACCAGATCACACATAAAAATTATCTGGGAGGGTGTTTTATGAAAAATATAGATTGTGAGATTTTAATGTAGAAATTGATTATTTCAGAAATGAGTTCTAGAAATCTGTATTTAAAAATACCCTCAAGATGATTCAAATGAATGCTAGATGTCTAGTCCATGTGTGATATTACATTGGAAGAGATGGTAAGACAAAGAAATAGATTCCAAGGAATCCAGAATGTAGATTCTCTAGTATTCTGTGACATATTTGGTGGGGAAGAAGTGGTAATAAAGGAGATAAGAGTCACTTGGTGACTGGGTAATTGGTCATTAACTATTGAAGATGGGAACTCAGATGTGCTGGCAAGTTCTTGGAGTGAGCATCATGTGGTCAACTAGGTGAGATCCAATCAGCAATATGAGCCTGTTAGAGCTTAATAGAAATAATTACTTGGAATTATTGTGATAGTCAAAGGCACAGTTAAAAATGATCCATTGGAGAGTAACAAAGAAACAAAAAGAGTGACAAGAAAGTCAACTGGAGCAAGTTATATTGAAGAAGTAACAAAGTGGACATATGTCTGGTAAATAGCCAAGATGTGATCTTTTTTGCCATCCAAGACTTGGCAGCTGTTGGAGGTTATCTACTGCTTTAGAAGCCAAAAGAACTAGAAACTCATTTTCCCATTCTTCTTACTTGTAGAGTGAAGGGACATGATCTAGGATGGCAAATGAAACACACTGATCCTACATTTGGAATATGGAGACACAGAAAGGTTTTGGTTTCAAAGGTAGCCAAGGCAGAATTACCAGGACCCTACTTAAAGGTACCTTTATTTACATCAATAACATTTACAGTGTGAGCTGTCAAATTATTGTCAAATGTGGGTGTAAGGATACAGGAGTTTATCTGTAGGTGACTCATCTTAAAAGTTTTAATCAGAGAGTGTAGTTAATTAAAAGGAATGGGTACTTATATCAGAATAATTCCAAGAAATTCTAAGAATCATTATGATCTGAACCTTTAAACCAAGTTTTAATTGTTTAATGATCTAGATCATATGAAGTTATTATAACAAGATTAACAAGATAATACAATATCATTAAAGGAACAATTCAGTCTTATAACTATTTACCCTATCCATAGTATAGTCATAAAACTGAAATCTAAAGACAGTACAGTAATAGTTACCCAACTTTCTTCTGGCTATTTTGACAGCTTGTATACCTGATCAAAAATTTCAATCAATTAAATAGCATTTCAACATTTCTATAAAGCATAATGAAAATTACAAAAATTATTTCTTCCTTACCCATATTTTTGAAAGAAATTGTGGATATCCTTTAAACGTGTTACACTTTCTAAAACAGAAAAAAAACACAGTAACACTGTGATGTTAATAGCACTTGTATCAATTCACTGCATGTTCTTTCTTTTTGGATGCTTCATTTCTGAATCTTAGAAAACCATTGGTTATAAAAATTTGGCTTGAGCACATAAGTGATCCAGTTGTGCAACTGGGTACCTTTGCCAGAAGATGAAGGACTGAAAAACTGAAGTTCTCATGAGATTGCCAGTAGACTCCCTGTAGAACAAATTGAAGCCATTCAAGTGGGCATTGTGAATTCAGACACATATGAGAATCCAGGTTGTCCCAAAGGTCATTACAGACTTCTGGAATCATAAACATCATTTCATTGTAGACACTTCTAGTTTGAACACTTGAAATAACACTTTATGCCACTATTTACCACCACAAGTGACACTTCTGGCATATTTTTTCAAACTTTAGTATATATGTGAAATTTACTCTTAGGGCTTTGATTAGTATAGTCTTGTCTGATGTAATCAAAGCATAATTTTAATAAGACCAAAATTTTAGATGCAATTCAGGAGCCAAAACCAAATATAGCTGTCTTCCCCATTCAAATTTCAGCTTAAATTTTAGACATATACCAAGTTCCTCCATTTTAAGCTAAAATCTGATGGGAAATTTTACTAGGAAGAGGACAAGGGAGGAGCCAATATAAAACAAAGCCAGGGACTGCAGTGGGAGGTGCCCTAATTCTGTGCTTCTCAAATGATAATGCTTATTACTTTCCAAGAGATCCTGTCAAAATGCAGATCATCTCTCAGTAGTTCTTGTGTGGGTCTCTCAGGAGCCTTTATTTCTAACAAAGTGATGCCTGTGAACATTTGCCATCCAACAGGCCTTCATCATGGGAGGACATAGATTATCAAAGACCCTTGATCACTGGAGAAACAATAATGTTAAATGTGGCAGGTATGAAAAGAGAGAAGCAAGGAAGGGCCAGTTTTGTTCAGGGAGCCAGCATGGGGAGGCTCCCAAGGGAACTCAGAGGGTAGTCAGTGGTTTGTTCTTTACTGCAATTTACAGAAAAATTATTGAAGCATTATTGAGGGATTTTGAAAATGATGGCAACATGTCCAGTATTTTCTTTAGAACATTAACTCGGCAACACATTAGTGAGCATTCTTTCAGAAAACAAAATCTGATAGACTTGATTTGTAATATTTATATTTCATATTTAAATAGTGACATGTAATTTCCTTGACAGTAAAAGTGTTCATTAAAGAAATAAAATAACCTGCACTTGAATCATGGATGGTAAGTTAGTTGGAAAGTAAAAGCCATATTTTTTGGTAGATTCCTTAATCACTTATCCTTTTTTCATAGAATGTTTGTAGAAAAAAACAAAGAGGTAAGGAAAATACCACATAGAATACACAGGAGTCACTGAAAACTCTTCAGAAAAGAAATGTAAGCAGTATAATATGCCGACATAAATACTGACATGACACAAAATTAAATTAAATGGCCTCATCCCTGTGTAATATAATGTTGGGAATAATGAAAAGGATGAAGAGATAGATTCTAAGGTATTCAGAATGTAGTGTCACTTGGACTTAGTCCCATATTTGATGAGAATATAGCGGTCACTGAAGGAAAAAGAGTCACTCTGTGAGTAGGCAGATAGTCATCCAAAATAGAGACTGAGAACTCAGATGCATTGATGAGTTTGTAGTGTGAGCACACTTTGAACATCCAGGTGAGCTGTTTAGATTTAGTAATACAATTCTACAAGAGTAATAGAAATAATATTTTGGAAGTCATTTAAGTAGCTGAGGATATAGTTATGAATGTCATATCTATTGGAGAGTACACTAAAAAAAAAAAAGAGAAGTATAGCAAGAAAAAAAATTGATGGTATAATGACCTAATTTCCTTTGTGTATATATCCATTAATGGGATTGCTGGGTCAAATTGGAGCTCTGTTTCAGGTTCTTTGAGAAATCTTCAGACTGCTTTCCACAGTGGCTGAAGTAATTTATATTACCACCAATAGTGTATAAGTGTTCCCTTTTCTCGGTAGCCTCTCCAGCATCGGTTGTTTTTTTGACTTTTTAATAATAGTCATTCTGACTGGTGTGAGATGACATCTCATTTTAATTTAGATTTGCCTTTCCCTGATGACTAGTGATGATGAGCATTTTTTCACGTCTCATGATCACTTGTATGGTCTTTTTAGAAGCGTCTGTTCATGCACTTTGCTCTTTGGTGAACGGGTTATTTGTTTTTTGTTTGTTGATTTGTTAGATCCCTTATATATTCTGGATAGCAGACCTTTATTGAACGCATAGTATTCAAATATTTTCTCCCATTCTGTAGATTGCTTATACACTCTAACAATAGTTCATTTTGCTGTGCAGAAGCTCCTTTGTTTAATTAAGGACCACTTGTCAATTTCTGTTTTTGTTGCAATTGCTTTTGAGGACATAACCAAAATTCTATTCCAATGCTGATGTCGAGAAAGGTATCCCTAGGGTTTCTCCTAGGATATTTACAGAATAAGTTCTTACATTAAATGTTTAATCCAGCTTGGGTTAATTTTTCTATATGGAGAAAGGTATGGGACAAGAGATAAGACTCAAACCTAGCTCATCTGGCTCCAAATGCCATTCTCCTTCCACCACACAGCGCCTCATCTCAACGACGTTCTGAATGAATTTGGATTCAATCACCTGACTGTGCTAAGTTTGGTGGTGCACAGAACTGAGGAGCTGCCCCACTAGGGATAGCCCCCATCCAGTTTCCCCTTGATACAGGTTGTGGGGGGCATTCATTCTTCTATATATGGCTAGCCAGTTTCATTCTTCTTCATATGGCTAGTCAGTTATCCCAGCACCATTTATTGAGTAGACAGTTCTTGCCCCATTGCACTTTTTGTCAGATTTGTTGAAGTTCAGATGATTGTAAGTTTGTGGCTAGATTTCCGAGTGTTCTACTCTGTTCCATTGTTCTAGGTGTCTGTTTTTGTACCAGAACTATGCTATTTTGTTTATAAAGACACATGTACTCATATGTTCATTGCTGCGCTATTCACAATAGCAAAGACGTGGAATGAACCTAAGTCATTATCAGTGGTAGACTGGATAAATAAAACGTGGTACCTATAGATCACGGAATACTATGCATCCTTAAAAGGAAAAAAAATCATGTCTTTTGCTGCAGCATAGGTGTAGTTGGAGGCCATAATCTTAAATGAACTAATGAAGGAACAGAAAACCAAATACCACATGTTCTCACTTATGAGTGGAAGCTAAACATTGAGAACACAGGACATAAACATGAGTATAATAGACTCTGTGGACTAGTAGATTGAGGAGGGAGGAAAGAAGGAATCAGTAATAAAACTACCTGTTGGGTGCTATGCTCACTACATGCATTCAATATACTCAAGTAACAAAGTAACAAAGCTGCCCATGTACTCTTTATATCTAAAATAAAAGTTGAAATACAAAACATTTTGAGAAACATACTAAAAGGTTATGAAGGCAATGCAAGTCATTCCAGGCCAACACCTGGAACCCCTTTCTACCACATGGGTTTTGGTGGCAAACAAAGAATTTCACCTAGATTTGCCCAATCAAACCCACCCAAAATACAGTTTGATATAGAGAGATGGAGACAAATGTACATAGATAAAAAAAAATTAGTGCGAAGTCAATTGAGGCAAAAACATTAAGATTCCAGCACGTGCATCCTATGTCTACACCAATGCTACTGAAAATATGAGCTGTGTTTTAGCAGCAGAAACAGCCACACTCATGAATTTACTGTTGGGAAGGGACTTTGGCTGCTGACTAGCTGATTTACTTCCTTCTGTTTCTGCCGTTATTTTCCAGTTGATTCCTCCACCTTCTCTACCATTTCTATATTGGAGTCAATATCCATTCAATAAAATTTTTCCATTGCAACCCAAAGCCCTGGATGTTCAAAAGAGAGACAAGGGAGATAACAGAAAAAGGCAGTGAACAGAGTGATCAAGGGAAGAAGCAAGAGGGAACTAGAAAGCTGGGTTTTGTGGACATAAAGAGAGGGAGAGGAAAGATAAGTGTGACCAAGTAAAGCACAGGGAAAAATGATGAAATAAATGCTCTACAGGAAAACGAGTCCAGGGAAATCACTGTGTGTAGAAAGGAAGCCATTTTTAGTGGCTTTAGTGAGAGCATTCTCAAGTAATAGATTAAAAGTCAGCAAATAAGAAGTGAAGTGGAAAGAAGTAGCACAGCAATGGGGGGATGAGGTAGACTGCTCTGCCACACATGGAGAAAAATTCACATTTGTCTGCTGCTCATAAACTAATGTTTTACTTCATTAGAGTATTTAAGAAAAGTTCTCATAGGTAAAGATAGATAAGTGAGAGGAAGTTGTCAAGAGAAGAAAGGGATAGGAAATGTGGAAATGGAAATTTGTGTGGGTGAAATAAAACAAGGAGGAAGAAAAATAGGCACAGAGTAATCATGTCATAGATGGTAAATGCAAGAAAGACACGTCAGTAAAGAGGGAGACAGAAAGTATCAGAAATGCATTAAGCCAAAATAAAGGGAAAGGCTCCGAAGTTTGGGTTAAATGCCTGCATCAACTCTGGTGTTCATTGCTGCTAGAGAGAGCTTTGAGAGTCTTTTCATTTTCTTTTTTTAAAAAAATTCAAGTTTATTTTTCTATGGAATTAATGTTTGATAAAGAGACTTTAACTTGAAATTTTACCTATAAATTTTATACTGTTCATGAATGTGTTAGCACTGTCTGAAAGTTTATTCTATATTTAACTGTTACTCTACCCTTTTAGTTGCAGTGATTAAATTTTTCCAAAAATCTCGCTTCTGGTGTTGAGAGCACTTTATTTTCCATCAGTTTTTTGTTTGATTGTTTGATTTTTAGCAGAATCAAGTAAGCAAAAGAATAAATCCTGAGGCAGACAATATAAAGAACAAGTGACAATAATTCCACTTGGATGAAGTGAAAATGTTCAGCTGGGCATTGTGGATTTAGATATGTATGAGAAATACAGATTATTCTACAGTGTAATACGGACTTCAGAATCATACACATTAAGTCACTGGAAGTTAGTTCTAGTTTTCACAATTGAAATTATACTTTATGCCACAATTTTCCACAACATGCGACACTAGTGACATTTTATACAAACTGAAGTTTTTATAAAATTAGATGTTCTTCATCAGGAAGAATAGCTAATGGATGCTGGGCTTAAAACCTAGGTGATTGGTTCATCTGTGTAGCAAACCACCATGGCACATGTTTACCTTTGTAACAAATCTGCACATCTTGTACATGCACCCTAGAACTGAAAATAAAGTTGATTTTTAAAAATTGGATGGTCTTAATGTTTTGATTAGTATAGTCTCATCTGAGCTAGTCATGATTTTAATAAGGCCAATGATCTAGATTCCCTTCACAAGCCAATCACAAGTAAAATTGTCCCCCTCAAGCAAACTGCAGCTCAAACTCCAGATATTTACCTAACTTTCAGGGAGCTGAAATTTGTGAAGAAATTTTATTAGGCAATGGTCAAGGGAAAAGAAGAGAAAAAACAAAAACAGTCTTGCAAGGTATTCCTTCATAGGTGGTTCTCTGACTATACCTTCAAAATGTCATTCTATCTTTATATTCAATTAGAATATGTGTGTGTGTGTTTATGTGTGTCTGTGTGTGCGTGTGTGTGTGTGTGTGTGTGTATTTTTCCCATAGAGTCTAGGTGTAAGTCATTGACTAACTTAACTCCAACTGCTCCTTCTCTCTATGTTACCACCAAGTAGTTCTTCTTGTCTGCTACCCAGATAGAGCCAATTATCAAGACAGGGGAATTGCAATACAGAAAAAGTTTAATACACACAAAGCTGGCTAAATGGGAAAATAGAGATTAATTATAACTCAAGTCAAACTCTCCAAATATTCAGAGGCTAGAGTGTTGGGTTTTTTTTATTTTTTCTTTCTTTCTTCCTTTCTTTCTCTCTCTCTTCCTTCCTTCTTTCCTTCCTTCCTTTCTTCTTTCTTTCTTTTTCTTTCTTTTTTTTCTTTTGTTTCTTTTTTTTTTTTTTTTGAGATAGAGTCACACTCTGTCACCCAGGTTGGAGTGCACTGACCGGATGTCTGCTCACTGCAACCTCTCCCTCCTGGGGTCAAGTGATTCTCATGGCTCAACCCCCCAAATAGCTAGGATTACAGGCATGCATCATCATGCCTGGCTAATTTTTGTATTTTTTTATAAGAAACAGGGTTTTACCATGTTGGACAGGCTGGTCTCGAACTCCTGGCTTCAATTGATCTGTCCACCTCAGCCTCCCAATTTTCTGGGATTAAAGGCACGAGCCACTGTGCCCAGACAGAGTCTAAGGGTTTTTAAAGATAGTTTTTTAGGCAGGAGGCTAGGAAATGGGGAATGCTGATTTGTTAGTTTGGGGATAAATGCATATGAAGCTGAAGCTGTCCTCTTGTAGTAAACCAGTTTCTGGAAAAGAGCTATAAGACCAGAGAAGCAAGATTACAGTCTGGATGGTGCCAGTTGTTTCATCGGAATACAGGGTCTAAAAATCTTTGGTTTTACAATAATAATGTTATCTACAGAAGTAATTAGGGAGGTTAGGAATATTATGGCCTCTGGCTGCATGACTCTGGAGCCATAATATTTAATCTTGTGGCCTGGACCCCAAGAAAGGAGGAGGTTTGCCTTGACAAGGGGCTCTTACCATCTTTGTTTCAAAGTCAAACACTATAAAGTAAATTTTTCCCACATGCAGTTTGGCCTACACCCAGGAATGAAGAAAGTCTGCTTGGAGTTTAGAAGTACTGTCTAATTTCCCTATTTCAGATTCAGTGACAAAATATTCCTATGTGAGATTTTTCTCATTTTCATAATGTTATGAAATGTTTTCTCATTTTTATTTCATAATGTTCTCTATATTATCCTCTATCTCATAACTCTGAGTCTACTAAGTCTTCTGCTCAATTATGTTTTCACCTGAAAGAGTAAAAGAAAACTGGTCAGTTTTCTTATAAAGTCAGTTCATCAGATGAACCAGGCCTGCCTTCTTTAACCATTTTTATACCTTGATCAAAATCTGAGCTCAGAGCAATAGCGAAAAATATCCAGCCCAAACATATGCCCCAGACATTTTCTGTGGAATTTCTAATTCTTCTTGGATCATATGATTTAGGACTCCCTGTACCAGTTTATTCACATGATCCTGGGACCTAGTGAAGCCTGTAGCTGAAGCTAAATGTTGCATACCTAAGATAGGTATGCAAAGATCCAATCCCTCAATCTTCCAGGGAAAGACCAAAAGTGCTGAGGAAATAAGAAATAATCTCTTAGAATCCATCCCCAAAGTATTTCTTCAAAAACTCACTTGTCTGTAATGCAAACAAAGAAAAAAGGACAAACCAGTCTCTGAATATAAGGCAAGATTAGAGGTACTATTTGTAAAACATTGTGGTCAATCTATGTTGAGTTCAGGCATAGAAAATCCTTGTCCTATTCATTGATAAGATCCACCCTGAAATCTTTAATGTAGTTACAAAACAAAAACTGGAATGATATGTGAATGATGGGGCCAAATAATTACCAAAATATTTTACCTATTGGCATAAAGACTATTTTGGCTTGGTTATTTTTGAGATTCTCTTTAGAAGAGAAATTTAAAGGAATCTCCATTTGTAAGAGTTCTACATATCTGGTCCAAGAAGAGTAGTAGGACTAAATCTCTAAATAATGGAGAAGGTGAAGGCATTAAGTTAATCTACATCACAAACCTTACCTTTGTTTAAGGTGGTTGTCTTGGCTGTCTTGTCTTAATTAGGTCTCTATCAACACTCTTTTTTGTTTATTTGTTTTGGAAAATGATGGTATTTAAGTCTGAAATCTAAGCACTGTGACTTAACATGTAAATATTCTTACATGTTTACTGTAAGGCATGAGAGCTTTATCTTTTACAAGCAAATTGCAAGGACACGTCACATCTGAACAAAAAAGAGGCATTTGTAAATGGAGCAAAAGAAAAATAGTAAAAACACTTTCCAAAAATATTAATAAAAAGCTTTGACCATCTGGACAGGACATCTTAACTTGTTCCAACTAGGAGAAACACAGTTCATGTCTAGATAGTCTTATAAATTACTGAGTTTGGTTTTTTTTATTTCTGTTTTTTTTTTTTTTAAATGGAGTTTCCTTCTGTCAGCCAGGCTGGAGTGCAGTGGAGTGATCTCAGCTCACTGCAACCTCCACCTACTGTGTTCAAGCGATTCTCCTGCCTCAGTTTCCCAAGCAGCTGAGACTACACGGGTACACCACCACGCCTGTCTAATTTTTCTGTTTTTAGTAGAGACAGAGTTTCACCATGTTGGCCAGGCTGGTATCAAACTCCCGACCTCAGGTGATCCACCCACCTCGGCCTCCCAAAGTTCTGGGATTACAGGCAAGAGCCACCGTGCCCAGCCTTGAGTTTGTTCTTATTGTACCTGACATATGGCTACAATTTTAGAATGAACACTATAATATTTGCTTCTTTCTGTATGTTTATGTATGTCTATATATGTTTGTATGTGTGACATTTTGCTACCTTTGGATGGTACTGCAAAACTAATTTTAATAGAGCTCTATTTATTTGGCTTATTGAAGAATATGTGCTTATATAAACTAAGGATTCCTTAAACTCAGAAAGATAGAAATTCACCATTATATTTTTCAGATTCACATTATCTATGATATTCTCTGTTAAGTCAAAGCTATTTCAAGTTTGTTGGTTTAATTAAAATAGACATCTCTTTAGAGTTTTCAGAATTAAATATAATACAAACACACAACTTTTATATTATCTGAGTTTACGAGTCAAGTAAGTTTATATTATCTCTGCCTGATGTTTAAAGTCAGAAAACTAACAATTCAACTTAAACACCTATGTGAAAATATAATGGCATTTACTTCATATATATCAGGCACGGCAATAAAACAAAAAAACACATATTTGACTTTTAGATTTTTGCTTTTATGATGACTGACTGATGAGGGAAGAGAGAGACCCTCTCATATTGTTTTATATTGTTTTATACTCAGAAAAGGAAAGAGAAGTGAAACTAAAGGCAGGTAGCCTGGCGTCTAGGAACCAGACCCGAAACCAGGCCTGGGCCTGCCTGACCTAAGCCTGGTTGTTAAAATTCGACCCCTCACCTAGCAACTGTTGTTATCTATAGATTCCAGACATCGTATGGTAGGACATTGTGAAACCTCCCGTTCTGTTCTGTTTCACTCTGACCACCGGTGCTCGCAGCCCCTGTCACGTACCCCCTGGCTTGCTCAATCGATCACGACCCTCTCACGCGGACCCCCTTAGAGTTGTGAGCCCTTAAAAGGGACAGAAGTTGAGCACCTGACGAGCTCGGATTTTAAGACGCTAGCCTATCGATGCTCCCATCTGATTAAAGCCACTCCCTTCACTATCTCGGTGTCTGAGGGGTTTTGCCCACGGCTCGTCCTGCTACACTGACATAAACGTGCTGTAAATGTAGTTAACAAGAAAGTAATTTGAAACGATGACTGGCTGTGTCTAATGTCTTATGAAATTTTCATGAGTAAACCAAACAATTCAGAATAAGTGAATTAAATAGATGTAAGTACAATATACGTTTATAAATGAACTTTTAAACCATAATTATGTTTAATAAGAAGTCTACTTAAAAATACCTTCCCACTTCTCTGTGGTAAATTAAACCCTTAGAGTTTCACACAGTTGATTAAATTATCAATAGTCATTGAATATCTGGATTATTTCCAAACAACATTTTTTTAAAAGACTAATTGCTGAACATACACTTCTCTATTTTGGACTTCTTATTACAGAAGAAACAAAGATATTTGGGTTCACTTTTGTGTTCATATTTGTGTTCAACATGTCCTGTGGCACACTGAAAAATTATATAATGGGAAAGCACATACTTCTAGGAATTATGAAATTGTATATTCGTAGATTTGCCAATCTGTAAAATGCCGGTGTGATGTATATTTGTCAATCGCTTCTATCCCAGAAAAGAAAGTTACTAAGAGTTTAGAATTCTAGTTAATGTGTGGTAATAAATACCACTAAATAACATAAAGGAAACATCCCTGTATGCAAAGTATCTGTCTAATCTCAACAGATTTGCGGAAAAGGCTCTGACAAGTAAAGATTTCTGATAACGTTAGAAACACAACACGAGACCAGAATTAAAGAAACTTTGCAAACAATCTGGCCAAGTATACCTTTTGTAAACAGAATTAATACGTTTACCTTCTTCTCCTTAGCTGACCTCTCCAGAATTCAGAAATCATCATTGAGCATTTTTATTTTGATTGCAATATAGGTATTTGCAAAATTTTAATCAGAATCTGTTATTACAATATAACATAATTATGGTTATATTACCACTACTGTGACTGGAATGTCACATTGGAGAATGTGCATAAAATTAGATATGACTGGAGAATTTTAAGAAACTAAGAATTGACTTTATGCATCCAATTAAGCCCTGCCTCATTCCATTTAGTGTTGCAATAAAGAAATTCTTGAGGCTGGGTAATTTATAAGTAAAAGGTGTTTGTTTGGAGAACAATTCTGCAGGCTATACAGAAAACAAGGCTTAAATGTCCACTTCTGATGACAGCTTCAGCCTACTTCACTCATGACAGCAGGCGAAGTGGAGCTGGCAAGTGTGGTGATCACGTGGTGAGAGAGGAAAGGAAAGAGAGAGAGTGGAGTGCTGGGCTCTTTTATCAACCAGCCCTCATGGGAACTAAGACAGTAAGAACATGCTTATTACTATGATGATGGCACCAAGGCATTCATGAGAGATCGACCCCCATGACCCAAACACCTCCCATCTTCGACACCTCCAGAATTTGGAATCAAATTTTAATATGAGATTTGCAGGTATCAGAAAAATAACTACAGCCAGTTCCTTTAGAAAATCTGGGCTGATAGCTGCTCACAAGCTTTCTAGCCATATTGGTAAAGAGGAAGAAAGACCTTACTCTCTGGAAGGCCCAGGAACTGAAATATACTTTTAGGACCTTTTTGAGTACAGGGGAGTTTACCTAAATGTATCAGTGTTGCAGGTGAAACTAATGGTATGTTGTTGGTGTGACTTTATAGCTTGAAGAAACTTTAAAGTCTAATCGGAGATTATTTAGTAAAGGTCGTAATGAGGCCTTCTTAAAAAGAGATGATCAATTCCTATTCCAACTTGCACTTATGTAAATACTCACTTGAAGCTTAATGAGGGTAGATCTAGTTGGTAAATAAATTAGTCTTACTATAATTACATTTGAAAGAAATGGCCTGATTATGGAGGGAAAAATCATGTTTCAGTAGAAAAATATAGCGCACCCATAATTAAATTCCAGTTCTGTCCATTGTCTTTGATGTTTTATTATCTACTTAGAAACTGTCCTATTCCTGAAGCGCTACAAGCTAGGGCTGGACAACTTGATATAAATGTCAGAGGATAATCTTCATGCATGATGCTTAGTGTCCCACTCAGGAAGTTCACCAAACATTCAATGACATGACAAAAGACATTCAGACTAAAAAACAGAAAAATTATCAGACTGCAACTGCCATTTTATTTCATCATCTAAAGATGCTTTGAGCTTAAATCTAAAAGTCTTCTCAACTAACTGCCCTCTGGCTCACATGCTAAGCTTATAGGTAGTTTTAACCATTAACCTTTTATTATTTTCATTTGGTTTATTTCAGTTGGTTTTGTTCATACGTACTTTGGCTATGGAGCATACCCCAGTCCCTTGGTACTATGTTTGTGATAGTCATTGTCATCTTCTTGGTGTGTTGTATTCTCTCAAGAGTTTTAAATACAAGTTTGTAGCCACTACACTGTGCCAGATTTTCTCACTATGATTAGAATAACAAAAACGAAGTGTCCATAAAAGAAACACTTCTGTAAGAGACCAGACATTGTAACTTATGAGTTCCATGCTGAGACAAAGACAAACCAGCTGTGCTGGCCACAGAGAGTGCAAGTATGCCTGAGTTTTAGTCAATATCCCATAATGAGAGGCTGACCATAATGAGTTAAAATAATTAAATAAAAGTATATCAGGCTGACGTGGGTCCAGCAAAGTGGGTTTGTACCTAAGCAAACAGGAATCCAACTCATTGTAAATGGTAAAACAAAAGTTAACTTTAACCAACCAAAAACCCCAGCTAATTTCTAACTAGGAATTTTCCACTGGAATGATCAAAATAACACTACTGCTCCACTTTAACCAATACAATCTTTACTTTTGCCATACTTTCACATTTGCCCTGTAAAAGCCTTTATCTCCTCTCTTGCACCTTCAGGAAATCCCCATACCACATGCAATCTGGTGTTGCAAAATAAATCGAGTCTCCTCAGATAAACTCTAAATTCTAATGCTGCTACATTTGTATTTTAACTATATAAGTACTAATATATATCTTGTATCACTATGTATACATATGAAAAACTAAACATATGCATATGTATACATATAGATATAAGATACCTAAAACATACATGCATATAATCTGGTAGCAATGACAATCTAACAAAAGGAATTGAAGAGGGATATAATTAGTTAGAGTTCCATTTGAAAAAACAATCTAACAGCCATTTTGGGGAAGTGAGTGACTGTTAGAAGGATGGAGGAAATAAGTAACTAGAGGTTTGCAAAACTACATGTGAGTAGTTTTTATGCTAGGGACCTCAATAGTATCAGTGAGAATGTGAAAGGAATTTCAGTATTGAAAGATGAAGGAGAGGGTGGACTGGTAGAAAGATGATTAACATACTTGAAGTACAAGAAGTGTTAAGAAGGTTAACAATCAATGACTTTCCGAGGCAAAAAATCTCCAAAATCTTACCTCATTTTTTTGTTTTTGCTTCCTCTTGCTGGGCACCATGATGTCGTATCATGTTAACATTATTTGAACTTACATGACAGGCATTTAAAACTTCTTGTTGATAACAACACATTCCAACAACCTTGCAATATTATTGATTTTTACACATCTTGGTAGCTTCATCATAAAAACATTAAGACCACTTTCTTTCTTTTATGATACTTATTTCTTCTCTATGTCTACTCCAAATGCAGTTATTCTATTTAATCTTTTAATTTCCTGAATTAGGGAAGGCTTCCAGGTTGTCTAAAATCATATAATCATAGCTGGGAAGGGCCTTAGAAGCCATCCTAGAAAGTGAGAGGCAGCTTGCCTCTTCTTACTCATACGAGCACATAGAGTTAAGAGCATGCTCTTACACTATGGCAGTGCCTTCACTGTTCATTCCTTCTATTTTTATTTTTCTCATTGCATTTCCATTTCTGTCTGACCTGCGAGTTGACTTCCTTCAAGAAACAGAATTCACCCTTTCCTAATATAATGAAATGGAAGACCTTGATGGTTAGCAGAATCATTGGGACTTACCTCTGTTCACTCAAAAACAAATCTGCCTCAGTTATGGTATATGATGGATATCGCAGGTAATTCAGTAGTATTAGTATCAAAACCATCATACTCAAGTCCTTATATGATAAACTAGGCTATTTTAGCAATTAATGCATTTATAAATGCACATTGAATAACATATACAACTGTTAAATAGTTTTATTTGATTTCTACAGTCATTATTCTATTATGAACAGTATGAAAATTTCTTGAATGCTTTTGAATAACATATAGACATATTGCGATTAGTTTATTAGGTACTAAAACATTAGCTCACTAAAGTGCTAGAACAGTTGTACTTGCAAAAATGTTTGAACACTGGAAACAACATAGGTACCTCTAACTTGCATAATTTTGTGACTATTTTTGTAATTAGAGAAAGGATATTAGTATGAAACCTTAACATGTTTTTTTAACATTTTTGTGAATGAAACTGTGACTTGCTTATTTCTCAGACTGTAGATGATAGGATTTAACAAAGGAATGATGACAGTGTAGAATAGAGGCTCCACCATATCTTGATCATCTGCTTGCGGAGATGCAGGGCCCACATAAATGAAGAGAAGGGGTCCATAGTATAAAGAGACAGAGAAGAGATGGGCTCCACAGGTGGAAAAGGCTTTCCTTACACCTTTATCAGATTTCTTTTTTAAGATTGCGAAGAGAACAAATGTATAAGATACAAGAATAGTCACAATGCTGAATACCTGAATTGAACCTGAGAAAATAAAAACCATTAGAAAATTAATAGAAGAATCAGTACAAGAAATCTTAGACAATGGGATAGTGTCACAGTAAATGTGATGTACTATGTTGGAGTTACAGAAGGTTAGTCTGAATAAAAATCCTTCATGGATTAAAGCATGAAGAATACCACCTACATATGACAAGATTAATAGCCGGATGCACAGTCCATTGGTCATAATGGCTGGATAAAGTAAAGGTTTGCATATGGCTACATAGCGATCATATGCCATCGTTGCCAAGAGAAAACATTCCGTGGTTACACTGATTGCAAACGAAAAAAACTGTATCTTGCATTCAGAGAGAGATATCATCTTACTCTTAGCTAAGAAGTTATTCAGCATCTTTGGGGTCACTGTGGATGATATCCAAGCATCCACAAAAGCTAAATTCCCAAGGAGTAAGTACATTGGGATATGAAGGTGAGGGTCTTTCCAGATGACAGCAATCAGACCAAGATTCCCCATGATGGTGATGAGATATATTACCAAGAATGCCAGGAACAGGGGTATTTTCCACTGTGGTTGATATAAAAATCCTGTGAGAACAAACTCTGTCAGCAATGTTGCATTTTCCTCTTCCATGTCCTCACAGCATGCCCTCTAAAATAAAATGCAACAAATGAAAGGGAACATTTGCAATGGCATTATCAGTTGAAATTGGGGAAGAGGTGCTGAAGGAAAACCTAAAATGATCAGAACCCTCTCAATTTTTTGATCAGTCCTATAGCTGATGAATCTCTATTTGTTGCAATAAAGACATGAAAAAATGATATATTTTGGTTTGAAACTGTGCAGTAATTAGCAGATTTAGGTAAAACAAGAGGCATTCTCTGTATGCACAACATTTATATGGACACTATTGAGTGCAGTAGAAAAATTGTTTGACTGGCATATGATACAATGTCAACAGGAAAGATTTTTGTACGGTCTGAATTAAAAATAAATAAAATAAATGCCATGTGAAGTATCTTAAACTTTATTCTTCATACAATAAGCATGTGCCAAAAATTTTAAGATGGGAAATTACATCCTAATTTTTTTTAATTTAGTTTTTGATAGTGTAGAAAATATGCTGCAAGAAGAAGAAACTGTACTCAGGGATATTAATTAGAAACTTGTTAGTAAGGCCCAGGCAATCCCAAATCACATTACACATAAAAATTATCTGAGTGAGTTTTTATGAAAAATATGTTATGAGGTTTTAATGTAGAAGTTATTTAAGGAATTAGGTCTGGGGATCTGCATTTTGAAAATACCCTCCGGGGGATTCAAATGCATGTTAAATGTATGGTCTTGGTGTGATATGACATTGAAAGAGACAGTAAGACAAAGAAATAGATTCTAAAGAATTCAGAATGTAGAGTCTCTAGTATTCTGTGACATATTTTGTAGGCAGTAAGTGGTCAGTGAAGGAGAGAGGAGTCCCTTGGTGACTGGGAAGATGGATATTAAACATTGAGAACTCAGGTGTGCTGACAAGTTTTTGGAGTGAGCATCATCTGGACAACTAGATGTGTTCCAATCAGTAATATGAGCCTATTAGAGCTCAATAGAAATGATTGCTTGGATTCATTGTGGTAGTCAAAGGCAGTCAAAGGCATAGTTAAAGATGATGCATCCTTGGAGTGTAAAACAGAACCAAAAGGAATGGCAAGAAAATCAACTTGAGCAAGTTATATTAAGGAGGTAACAAGGTGGACATATGTCCTGTAAATGGCCAAGGTGTGATCTCCTTTTTTGCCATCGAAATCATAGTGGCTGTCAGAGGTAACATACTGCCAAAAGAACTAGAAACTCATTTTCCCATTTTTCTTACATCTAAAGTGAAGGGACATGATCTAGGATGGCCAATTAAATACACTGATCCTACATTTGGAATATGGAGAGAGGGACAAAAGATATTGGTTTCAAGGCAGCCAAAGCCAAAATACCAGGACTTTACTTAATGCAACCTTTATTCACATCAACAAAATTTACAGTGTGAGCTCTCAAATTATTGTCAAACATGAGTGTAAGGATACAGGAGTTAATATGTAAGTGACTCACCTTAAAAGTTTTAATTGGAGAATGTGGTTGATTCAGAGGAATGGGTATTTATATCAGAATAATTCCAAGAAATAATTCTAAGAATCATTATTATCTGAATCTTTAAACCAAGTTTTAGTTGTTTAATGCCCTAATTTATATAAACTCATCATAATAAGATTAACAAAATAGCAAAATATTAAAGGAAAAATTCAGTCTTATAACTCTTTATCCATATTAGAGTCATAAAACTAAAATATAAAAATAGTCCAGTCAGAGTCATCCAGTTTCTGACTTTCTATTATGACAACTTGTTACCCAATCTAAAATTTTAATGAATTAAATGGCATTATCAACATTTCTATAAATTATAATAAAAATTAGAGAAGTTATTTCTTCCTTACCCATATATTGAAGGAAATTGTGGATATCCTTTAAACACGTTGTGCTTTCTAAACAAAAATACATACAGTAGCACAGCAATGTCAATAATACAGGTAGCCATTCATGGCATATTCATTCTTTTTGAAGGTTTCTTTTTCCAAGCATAGAAAAATGTTGTTTATTAAATATGCTTTGAGCACATAAATGACCCAGTTGTGCCACTAGGGTCTTTTGCCAGAAGAGAAAGGAATGAAAAACTGAAATTCTCATAACAGTGTCAGAGGACTCCCTGTAGGACAAATTGAAGCTGTTCTAATGGGCATTGTGCATTTGCACAAGTGTAAGTTCAGGTTGTCCCCAAGGGCATTACAAACTTCTGGAATCACAAACATCATTTCATGGTAGACACTTCTAGTTTTAACAATTGAAATAACACTTTATGTTACTATTTACCACCATGGATGACACTTCTGGCATATTTGTTCAAACTTTAGTTTATATGTAAAATTTACTGTTAGTGCTTTAATTAGTATAGTCTTATTTGAAGTAACCAAAACATAATTTTAATAAAGCCAAAGTTCTAGATCCTCTTTGGGAGCAACCTCAAATACAATTGTCCTTCCCATGCAAATTTCAGACATGCAAATTTTAGACATATATTTAGATCCCCCATTATAAGCTAAAATCCAATGGGAAATTTTACTAGGAAGAAGACAAAAAGCAAATGTAAAACAAAGCCAGGGAGTGGCTTGCAGTGGGAGGTGTCCTAGGTCTGTGCTTCTCAAACTATAATGCCTATGATTTTCCTAGTGATGTTGTCAAAACGCAGATTCTGTTTCAGTAATTCTGGGGTGGGTCTCTCAAGAGCCTTTATTTTTAACAAAGCAGTGCCTGTGGACATTTGCATCCAACAGGTCTTCATGGTGGGAAGACCTAGATTATCAGAAAGCCTTGATCATTGAAGAAACAACAAATAATAAATGTGGCTGGTATGCAAAGAGAGAATCAGGAAGGACCAAGTGTGTTCAGGGAGGCCAGCATGGGTGGGACCTTGTCGGGTAGTTCAAAGATATGTTCTTTACCCCAACTTACAGGAAAACCAATGAACTATTATTGAACGATTTTGAAAATGGTGATAGCATGTTCAGAATTTTCTTTAGAGCATTAACAGAATAACATGTTAAGGAGCATCCATTCAAAAAAGAAAACCTAATTTACCTACTTGTAATATTTATATTTCATATTTAAATAGTGACATGTACCTTTCTTGACAGCAAAAGTATTTATTAAAGAAATAAAATTGCCTGCACTTGGATTATGGATGGTGATATGGTTTGGATTTGCTGCTCTACCCAAATTTCATGTTGAATTCCAATCCCCAATGTTGGAGAGGGTCCAGGTGAGTGGTGATTGGATCATAGGGGTGGACTTCCCCTTTCGGTTCTCATGATAGTGAGTTCTCACAAGATCTGGTTGTTTAAAAGTGTGTAACACCTCCTCCCTTCTCTCTCTTCCTCCTTCTCTGGACATGTACAACATACATGCTTCCCCTTCAGCTTCCCCCATGATTGTAAGTTTCCTGAGGCCCCCTCAACCATGCTTCCTGTACAGACTGTGCAACTGTGAGTCCATTAAACCTCTTTTCATTATAAATTACCCAGTCTCTGATATTTCTTTATAGTAATGCAAGAACAGACTAACGGACTAACGCAAAGGTAAATTATTAATGTCCCTACTTCTGCTACACTGCCTTATCTCTGCAAGCCTTCAGCAATAGCTTCATAGGGAGTTTCTTATAATCGATTGACAGTGGAAGAGAAGACTCAGACCTGGATACAAATGGTTGTGCACCATATTCAGGCGGGTGGCTGCAGCACTACTGCTCCTTTCTGGGACATTTTGGAAGGACCATGGTGAAGGGAAATCCTCCCAGTTAGAAAAATTTTAACTGATGTACTTGGTTGTCCAATTTGCTTAAAAGGAGAAATAAATAAATGTGTGATTATGTATCAATTTATAGGCTATGACTAATGGTTAGGCTGGATGATCAGGGACTTGGAAGGAGCATAATTAGAATACTGGTGAAAAGGATATTTGAGAGAAGGTGCTTGGAGAGATGTCTCTAACTGGGTATAAATTATGTAGATATCTGCTATGGTTTGAATGTTTCCCCTCCAAAATTCAGGTGTTGAAACAATGGCCCGTGTGACAGTATTAAGAGGTGGGGCTTTTAGTAGGTGCTTAGGTCATAAGGGCTTCTTTCCTTGTTGATGGGCTAAAGCCCTTATAAAAAAGGTTTCACACAGCCTTCAGTTTCCTTGCTCTTCTGTCTTTCACCACATGAGAACCCAGTGTTCCTCTCCTCCAGAAGAGCTTTCAAGGCACCATCTTAGAAGTAGGGATGGGACCCCTACGAGACATCAAGGCACCATCTTAGAAGCAGGGACGGGACCCCTATGAGACATCCAAACCTGTCAGCATCTGGATCTTGAAAATACCAGCTCCTAGAGCTATAATAAAATAAATTTTCATCATTTATAAATATTTAGTCTCTGGCATTCTGTTATAGCAGCACAAATAGGTCAAGACAGAAATAGGTACCAAGAAGTGGAGTGTCCCTATAACAAATACCTAAAGTGTGGAAGTGTCTTGGAAAGAGGTAATGAGTGGAGGCTACAGCAGTTTTGAAGTGAATGATGGAAAAAGCCTGTATTTTTCAGGAATGAAGCATTAAGGACAAGTCTGGTTAGGATTCAGAAGAGAAGAGCGTTAGGGAAAGCCTCGTTCTTCTTAGAGATTACTAGAGTGGTCATGAACAGAATGTAGGTAGAAATACAGATGATAAAAAATATTCTGATGATGTCTTAGAAGGAAATGAGGACTCTGTTATTGGAAATTAGAGGAAACACTCTCCTTGATATAAAGTGGCAAAGTACTTGGCTGAATTGTGTCTGTGTCTTAGGACTTTGTGGAAGGCAAATCTTAAGTGCAATGAATTATAATATTTGGCAGAAAAATATTATAAAAATATTTGCTTATAAAAATATAAGCAGCAAAGTGTTGAGGGTTGCTGCATGGCTTCTCTTAATGGCTTATAGTAAATGTAAGGAGAGAGGAGCTATTGAAAGATGAGGTTTGTAATCAAAAACGAAGGAGAATGTAAAGATTTGGAAAATTTTCAGCCTGGCCAGGTAAAGAATAATAAAGTACGTTTCAAAAAGAAAGTCAATGGTGTGGCCAAGTAACCATTTGATCACGATATTAATATAAAAAGAAGAAAACCAAGTGCTATTCATCAAGACAATGGGAAAATGACTCCAAAGGTATTTCAGATATCTTCAAGCCTGCCATGTGTATTACAGTCCCAGAGTGCCAGGACCTTGAGGGGAACTTGGGACTCACTGCCCAGGGCCACCTCAAGTCTGTGCTCTCTGCATTATGACACAGAACTCCTTTGCCAGCTGAGTTGTGTCTCAGGTTGGGCCCACCTGCAGCTCAAGCTACTGCCCCAGAGTGCAGAATTGGTAAGCCTTGGTGACATCCATGTGATGCTAATTCACAAGCCTGCAGAACGGACACATGGATTTCTCCACCTAGGTTTTGGAGGATGCCTTAGATAATCTCAACACCCAAGCAGAGACCTGTCACAGGGTCAGAGCCACCACAGAGACTCCCAAGTGGGGCAATTTTCAGTAGATCTGTGGAAACAGAGTTGCCAGAAGACCTCAGACCTGTATAGCTACTAGCTACAGTGGCATCCTGGAGAACTACAGGCACTGGACTGCAATCCATCGGAGCTGCAGTGTAGGATGCACTCAACAAAGACAGAGAAGCAAGGAACCAGGAGCCTTATTGATGCAACCCTAACACGGTGTATTTGGAAAGTGGGACATGGCATCAAGGGTATACTGAAGCCTTAAGATTTAATGTTGTTTGCACTGTTGGATTTTGGACTTACTTGAGACCTGTTATTCCTTCTTTTCTCTCTTTTGGAATTTAAATATTTGTTCTGTGCTTGGCCCATCATGTATTTTGAAAGCATGTAACTTGTTTGATTTCACAAGTTTATAGCTAGAAAGTAATTTACCTCAGAATGAAACATACCTTTAGTTCTTACTCATACCTGATTTAGTTGATATCTTGATGAGACTTTAGACTTTTGAGTTAATGTTAAAATGAGCTAAAACTTTTTGGGCTATTGAGATAGAATTTAATGTGTTCTGCATATGAAAAGGACATGAATTTTGGGAGGCCGTGAGCAGTATGCTAATGTTTGTTTTACCTCCAAAATTAAGGTATTGAAACTTAACAACCGATGTGATGGTACCTTTTAAATTACCTCCTAAATGTTGTAAATTTAAGAGGCAATTAGGTCATCAGGGATGCTTCCATTTTCAATGGTATTAAGGACCTTGTAAAAGAGTCTTCAGTTTGCTCGCCCTTCCACCTTCGACCACATAAGGATGCAGTGTTTCTCCACCTCCAGAGGATGCAACAAGAAGGATCTATTTCGGAAGCAGATCGCAGTCCTCACCAGAAAATCCATTCTGATGACATCTTGACATCTTGGTCTTTGACCTCCTACCCTCCAGAACTCTGAAAAAGTACATTTTTGTTTCCTGTAAATTACTGTCTTTGTGGTATTCTGCTATAGCAGCACAAGTGGACTAAAGACAGTGTTTGTAGCTCATGTGGATGTTCACCAGTGTATCCTCTTGATTATTAAAATTCTCCTGAGGATTTTAATAATCAAGAGGATAGAATGACCCATTCTATGATACCAGTTAGTCTCAAGTGGCTCTAGTGATAGGGATGGAGGTTTGCTTGGGCTTAGCTATATGGATTTCCAATTACCAAAGCCAACCTGTCTAGGGCCACTGTGAGGTGCTCAATCAACCAGAAAAAGAAGCCAACACTGAGTCCTCAATCTGTAATCATTAAACTAGATGTCAAGTTGATTACATTGGACAGTTTCTATCATGAAAGAAGCAGTGTTTTTTTCCTAATAGAATAGATACTCAATCTGGATACAGAAATGTCTTCTCTATGCACAATGCTTCTGTCAAAGCTACCATCCGTGGACCTACCAAATTTCTTCTTGACTGTCATGGTACTCCACACAACATACCTCATGATTAAGGAGCTCACTTCACAGCAAATGAATTGGAGCAATGGGACCAAGTTCATGGAAATCACTGGTCTTACGATGTTACTATGTTCCCCACCATCCAGAAACAGCCAGTAGAATAGAATAGTGAAATGACTTTTTGAGGACTCATTTACAGCACCAATTAGGTGGTAAAAATTTGCAGGGCTGAGCAATGTTCTGCAGAATGCCATATATTATCTGGATTCACATTCAATATACGTTGCTACTTCTCTTGTGAGCTGGATTTACAGGTCCAGAAATGGAAATGGTGGAAATGGGAGTGAGACCATTCACCACCTCTAGTGACCCACTAGAAAATTTTGCTTCTTGTTACTGCACTCTTATCCTCTTCTCTCCTAAAAATCTTAGCTCCAAAAGGAGAATATTTATACTAGGAGATATAATGGTGATTCCATTGAGCTGGAAGTTAAGACTGCCACCAGGCCACTTTGGTCTCTTTATTCCTCTGAATCAACAGGCAAATAAACAAATGACTGCTGATTGGAGTGATTGATACTGACAACCAAGGAGAAATTGGGCTACTACTCCACAGCAGAGGTAAAGAAGAGTATGTCTGTAATACAGAAGCTCCCTTAAGGGATCTCTCAGTATTATCAGTTCTTGTGATTAAGGTCATTAAGAAACTTCAACAACCTAATCCAGGTAAGGCTAATACTAACCCAGTTTTGTCAAGAATAACAATAAATGAAGACTATAATTGTCAGGAGCATTTCCTCCTTTTTGTTATTAATATATGTTTGTATACACTTCTACATACATAGAAAATATCTTTGTTTTCTTTCCTCTCATAGTCCTTTATCATGTAACATAAAATATATTTTTATATCATGGTTTTTAAGTACTGCTAATTTTACATCTGGCAATTTCACTTTCCAGAGTTCAAGGAGAGCAAATAATACCTAAAGACTAAATGTCCTCTTCTGGAGGCGTTCAGTGAGTTTTATGCAGGATAGTTTCATTATGCTAGTCAGAATTATGACATTTTTGTATTTATTCAGTCATTTACTGTGGTTTAAGAAGATGCACGTGGATGCCAAGTTGACAATACGGAGACAAGTAATGGATCTCTCTGTGTCACCTTGACTTGGCCAAGGGATTCCCAGATATCTGGTTAAACATTATCTCTGGGTGTCTTGAAGGTGTTTCCAATAGATATTAACATTTGAATTAGTGGTCTGAATAAAGCAGATGGCACTCCCCAATGAGGGTGGGAATTATCCAATCTGTTTTGGGTTCAGATGGAACTAAAAGGCAGAGGAAGATTGAATTTGAATTTGCTTTCTTCCTGACTGACTGAGCAGAGATATTGTTCTTCCACTGCCCTTTATGCGCCTCATTCTCAGGCCCTCAGACTAGGAGTGAGGTCTATACCATCAGCTCTGTGGCTCCCAACCTTTTGCTTTCATGTGATGTTTTGATATATGTATACATTGTAAAATGGCTAAATTAATCTAATTAACATATACATTACCCCACATAGCATTTTTTTTTGTGATGAGAACACTTAAAATCTACTTTCTGAGGAATTTTCAAGTATATAATATATTGTTACTAACTATAATCATTGCAATGTATAATTGATCTCTTGAATTTATTCCTCCTGTCCAACTGAAATTTGGTATTCTTTAACCAGTATCTCTCCAATCTCCTTATCTCCAGCCTCCAGTAACCACTATTTTACTCTCTGCATTTTTTCATTCAACTTTTTCAGATTCCACATGTAAGTGAGAACATGTGATATTTGTTGTTCTGTCTCTGGCTTATTTCACTTAATATAATACCCTACAGGTTTACCCATGTTGCCAAAATTACAGGATTTCCTTTTTTTGAGACAGAATAATATTCCATTGTGTATATATGCCACAGTTTCTCTATTTATCTGTTGATGAGTGCTTAAGTTGATTGCATATCTTGGCAGTTGTGAGTAATGCTGCAATTAACATAGAAATGCTAATGTCTCTTTAACATATGATTCTATATCCTTTGAATGTATACCCAGTAGTGAGATTACTGGGTCACATGGTAGTTCTGTTTGTAGTTTTTTTTAGGTGTATGCATACGGTTTTCCATGATAGCTTTACTAATTTACATTCCCAGCAACAGTATACAAAGCTTCCATTTTCTCACATTTTTACCAGTGTTTGTTATCTTTCATCTTTTTGATAATAGCCATTCTAACAGGCATGAGACGGTATCTCCTTCTGGTTTAACTTGCATTTCTCTAATGATTAGTAATGTTGAGCCTTGTTTTTACGTAGTTGTTGGCCATTTGCATGTCTTTTGAGAAATGTCTGTTCAAGCCCTTTGCCCATTTTTAAAATCAGGTTATGTGTTTTCTTGTTATTGAATTGTTTGACTTTCTTATATATTTTGGATATTACCCCTTATCAGATGTATGCTCTGCAAATATTTTCTCCCATTTTAGGTTGTCTCTTCACTCTTGATTATTTCCTGTGCTGCGCAAGAGCTTTTTAGTTTGATGTAATCCCACTTGTCTGTTTTCACTTTTGTTGGCTATGATTTGGGAGTCATATCCAAAAAAATCACTGCCCAGACCAATGTCATGACCTTTCCCCCTATGTTTTCTTCCAGTAGTTTTACCACTTCAGGTCTTACATTTAAATCTTTAATCCCAGGTCTCATATTTAAATTTTTAATCCCCTTTGAGTTGATTTTTGTATGTGGTGTGAGATGAGGGTCTAATTGTATTTTTCTGCATGTGGATATACAGCTTTCCAAACAACATTGATTGAAGAGACTATCGTTTTTCCATTGTGTGTGTGTATGTGTGTGCTTTGCCCTTTGTCAAAAATTTGCAAATTTATTTCTAACTTCTCAGTTCTGGCCTATGTGCCTGTTTTTATGACAGTACAACAGATAAATGCCATTTTATTTTAGCCTCGTAGTAGATTTTGAAATCAGGTAGTGTGATGCCTATGACTCTGTTTTTGCTCAAGATTGCTTTGGCTATTTGTGGTCATTTTGGGTTCAAATCAAATTTTAGGATTTTTTTTCTCTTTCTTCATAAATATCATTGAAATTATGACAAGAATTGCATGAAATCTGTAGATCACTTTGGATAGTATAGGCATTTTCACAATAATTGTTCTTTCAATACATGAAAATGAGTTGTCTTTCCATTTATTTCTGTTTTCAATTTATTTCAGCAATATTTATAGTTTTCAGTGTACAAATTTTTTCCTCTTATTAAATTTATTTCTAAGTATTTTATTTTTTTGTTGCTATCAAAATTTAATTTATTTAATCAATTTATTTCTAAGTATTTTATTCTTTTTTTGTTGCTGTCATAAAATAATTGTTTTCTTGATTTCTTTTTCTTATAGATTATTGTTCATAGAAAGAAATTAAATTGCCTTTTGTATGCTGATTTTGTATCCTGCAATTTTACTGAATTTTAAAATAATTTCTAGCAGTTTTGGGGTAAAAATTTTGGGGTTTTTGTATATATAAGATTATGTCATCTGCAGAGAGAAACCATTTAACTTCTTTCTTCCTAATGTGGATGCCTTTTATTTTATTTTCTTGTCTAATTGTTCTGGCTAGGACTTCCAGTAATATATTGAGTGGAATTGGTGAGAATAGGCATTCTTGTCTTGTTCCTCATTTTAGGTTAAAAACTTTCAGTTTGTGTGATGTTATCTGTGTGCTTTTTATATATGGATTTTATTGTGTTGTGGTGCATTCCTTCTACCTCCAGTTTTTTGAAAGGAATTTCATGAAAGAATGTTAAATTTTATCAAATACTTGTTCTGCATCTACTGAGATGATTATATGATTTTTCCTTTTATTCTGTTAATATGGTATATCATATTATTTGATTTACATATTTTGAAGCATCCTTGCATCATATGGCTAACTCCCACTTGGTCATGGTGAATGATCTTTATATTGTGCTGCTGAATTTTGTTTGCTTGCATTTTGTTGAGGATTTTTGCATCTATTTTGCAATTTCATAAAGGATATTGGCCTGTATTTTCTTTTTCCTGCAGTGTGCTTGTCTGGCTTCAGAATCAGAGTGACACAGAACTTGTATAATGTATTTTGAAGGGTTGGTCCTTTCTCCTCAATTGTTTGAAAGAGTTGAGAAAAATTGATATTCATTCTTATTTAAATTTTTGGCATAATTCAGCAGTGAAATCATCAGGCCCTGTGTTTTACTTTTATGGGATTGTTTTACTGATTTAATCTTTAATTCATTATTGCTTTAATTTATTCATGATTTAGTCTTGGCAAGTTGTACATTTTTTAGAAATTTATCCATTTATTTTCAATTATCCGATGTGTTAACAAATAATTGGTCATAGTCTGTTGTGATCCTTTTCTCTGCGGTATCAGTTGAATTGTCTCTTCTTTCATTTCTCATTTTTTTAAATTTGAGTCTTCTCTATTTGTGTCTTAGATTAGCTAAAGTTATGTTGATTTCATTTATCTTTTCAGAAAATAAACTCTTTTGCTGATATTTTATATTGTTTTTCTAGTCTCTATTTTATTAGTTTGTCCTTGATCTTTATTATTTCCTTCATTCTTTTGACTTTGGGCTAGTTTGTTTTTAAAATATTTTTTTTAAATTCTCTCTTGATATCCTTTTTGGTTCAGTGGTGGTTCTTGTTTCCACATATTTGTGAAGTTTTGAATTTTCTTTTTATTAATTACTTGTTTCATTACATTGTGGTTTTAAAAGACACTTGATATGATTAAACTTTTTAAATTTGTTAAGGCTTGTTTTTTGACCTAATACAGGAGCTATCCTAAAGTATGTTCTTTTGCACTTGTAAAAATTGTGTATTTTTAGCTGTTAAATGAAAAGTCCTGTATACCTTTATTAAGTTCATTTGGTCTGTAGTGATCTTTATTAATTTGCAATGTCTCTCTTTATTTCTGGTAATATTCCTTGTTCTGAAGTCTATTTTGATAACCACCTCAGCTTTTTTTATTAGTGTTTGCATCATATATCTTTCTTCATTCTTTTAATTCTAATTAATCTGTCTTTATATTGAAAGTATTCTCAAAAATGTATAGTTAGATTTTGCTTTTGCATTCAACCTGACAATCTGTCTTTCATTTGGTGTGTTTATATCATTTATCTCTAATAAATATATTGATACACAAGGTTAAAAGCTATCATCTTGCTAGGTGCTTTTTTTCTATCTATTCCATCTGTCTTTTGTTCACTTTTTCCTGTTTTCCTGCCTGACTTTGGATTAATATAAATTTTTTTCATTTTATCTTCATATGTGGTTTATTATTTATACATTGTTTATTTTTTGGTGGTGTTCTATGTGTATGCAATACATCACTTTAATTAATCAAAATCTACCTTCAAATAATATTATACCACCCACATAAGTAGTATAATAATCTAAAAGCAGTATACTCACTATTCTTTCCCCCGACCTTTCATGCCATGTTGTTATATATTTTACTTTCTCCTGTACTATAAAGACACAATACATTACTACTCTTTTAGACATTCAATTATCTTTTAAATTAATTTATAATAAGAATATTTTCTATATGAACTTTAATTTTAATGATTTTCAGATATCTTTATTTCTTTGTGTAGCACAAAGTTTCTCTTTGGTTTCACATTCTTTCTGCCTGAAAAACTTCCTTTCATGGTTTTCTTTTACTCTAAGTGTCTAATGCTAATACATTTTTTCAGCTTTGTCTTAAATGTCTTTGTTTCATTTATTTTTTCTTGTTTTCCCAGGTTTCATTATTTAAGAAAAAAGTGATAAGTAATGTTGGGATTAAAATCAAGAACAACATTGGCCTTTACCTTCTTTCCAACCAGTTTCCCTAAAACTCCCTACACCCACTTTTTGTGTTCCCAAATTCATCTTTAGTGAATCAATAGCTTAATCCCAAAATTTCTGTGGCAAATCCCAAGGTCTTGTTTCCTCAGCTTCTCCCCTTTCTCTTGTTCCACAACTTCTCATACTGAGGAATCTGAATGCATGAGAGAGCTCAGAGTGGTGTGCAAGACAGAGGGGAATGCTTTATATTTAAGAGTGAAAAGAACTGAGAAGTACAGAGTATTGATGTGATGGTCCCCATAGTTTGAAGTACCAAAATGAGGCTCAGGTATCAGAGGAAAGCACACTGGTCTTGTGAAAGGATACTCAGTGGCCTCAAAGTCTTCTCATTGAGAATAGTTATTTCTTGGTGCCTTTCTGGCACCAATTACAGAGCCACACTCAGACCATGTGCTTCTCAATCCTGATCGCTTGAATCTTGGTGCTCACCTGCTTTCTCTCTAGAGCCTGCTTTAGGATGGTTTTGTTTTGAATATCCTCTAATGTTTTTCATTGTCTCTCCATCAACTTCTTCAGCAGGGGCCACAGCTTACACATGTTTTTAAAACTAAGCTGCAGAGCTTCAATACAGCAGATGTTCATTTAGCTGAACAACTTCCTGCAGGCGATATCCTTCTGCTTCAGCAATTTGGCAAATGCTTCAGATCTTTCTGCCGAGTTTTCATGTCTTGGAATGTCTGGGCTTTTCCTTCAGCTTTTCCTTGTTCACAACACCAGGGGAACAGAGCTGAAGTGTAAGGGATGCCCAATCAGGGCTGCTGTCAACCCTGGCCCTGGCCTGGCCCTTGGGCTTAGAGGTCTGTAGCCACTATGGGTTACCAGCCCTATTCCAATCTGAGGTGCACAATATGCCATTTCTGTGCAGAACTCACAGAGTATAGAACACTGGGAATCCCTCATACCTCAGTGTCCACCCAAACCCTGCCCACTTTCTGGTCCTTTGAGATGAAGGGAGGAGAGGTAGGGAGACGCGCTATTGGAAGCCCAGCCAGGTCAGAAATCAAGTAAGCCCAGCTTCCACCTTCCTGATCCATAGCCTCCATCATCTGGTGGGGCTGATAAGGCAAAATTCAAAGCCACATGTCTCACCATGGAGAAACTGGAAGGCATCTTTTGCTGAGTATAGAATTCTCTGTTGGCATGTTTTTCCCCCACCTAGTTTGAAATGTTATTCAATCCATCTGGCTTGTGTACTTTCTTTTTTTTCTCTGGCCCCTCAAACTTTTCTTTCTATCTTTGCTTCTTAGACAATTCAACAAAATGTATCCAGGATTTGTATTTGTTCCTGATATATGTTTGTTTTGGTATTTATCCTGCTTGAGGTTGTATGAGCTTTTCAGATCTTTAGTTTGATTCCTTTCATTATTTTTGAAAAATTCATGGCAATCACATCTTCAAATATTTCTTCTGCCTCTCTCCCTTCTCCTTTAAGATTTTAATAACACATACTTTAGATGACTTGATATTCTTTCATGATACCTGAAGGTTACATTTTGGTTTTACTTTTTGTCTTTTTGTTTAATTTTGATAATATCTGTTGATCTATATTCAGGTTCACTGTTCTTTTCTCTGCTGTGTATAATTTACTGATGATTTCACCAAAGTCATTCTTTTCATCTGTCCTCCTGTTTTATTAAAAAAAAGTAATTCTAGCATTTTCGCTTGACTTTCCAAAAATATTTTCCATCTCTCTCTGAAATTCTTTATCAGTTCATACATGAGAACTTTAACATATCAATCATAATCATTTTAAATTCCATGACTGATAGTTCCAGTTTCTGAGTTATATCTGAGACTGGTTCTTTTGACTGCTTTTTCTTTTTACTTTGGGTTCTTTCTTGCTCTTTTGTTGTTTATTTTACTGTTTTAAATTGAAATCTGCTCATTGTGTGTAGGACAGTAAAAATTAATATAAATAACACTTTAAAAAACAAATAGTATATCCTGAATTATGAAAATCTAAAATTCTTTTTTAATAGCTGAAGTATATATTTGAGATATGAAGTTAAAATGGACATTGACTTTCAACTTTGATAGTGATGGGGCAGGCACTTAAAGGTATGAGGTAGAAGAATGAACTACTTTAAGATTCTTCTTAGATCTAAATAACATCTGGATAGACAAGACCTTTCCAAAATAGTGAGTCACCACTCAACCAATAATATTTCTGTGGAAGTAATCCTTATGCCGTTAAAATAGGACACATAGGTATACTTGGTTCCTCTATAAAACTTTCAGTTCTATCTTAGGGTAATAGAGGTATATTAGTTTGTGTTCTACCAGAAGAAAATCCTGAGACATTATTTGAGTAAAAGTGATTTATTTTTGAAAAGTTGATAAGTGAAAAAGTGAAGTAAGACAGGAAATGGAATGCACCCACTAAATGGTAATTTATCAGCCAAGCTACAATTGTAGGCAAACAGCTTAATTAAAAAAAAAAAAGGAGCCAGCGTAGTGCATGAAATTTAAATTTATCTCAACCAAAGGGCAAAAAATTGGTAGCATTTATGAACTAATTCCTGTTAGTTACTTTTTTATAGGCAGTCTAGGAGAGATTCTATGAGGAGCATTCGTTTTCTAGCTCTTATAATCTGTCTTAAGTGAGGGTAGAATGACTTCAGCCATCAGAGCATGCCCTCAGCTTCAGATGTAGTATTAGAGAAAATATTGGTGGACACCAACAGTATCTATGATAGGAAATCAATATGAATCAATGGGCAATGTGATCTGTGACTCATATTTCATGAACTCTTCAACACTAGTGATATTATAGCAATCCTCAAGAAAACTGAAGTTCTGGTTTTTCCATAAGTCCTCAAAGAAATGATAAAACTGGCTTTTACAGGCTTAAGAAATTGAAAAACAGTGTTTCAAAGTGAGTCGTAGTATACAGTTTATACATACACCTACTTACACATGCCCTCTTAATTGAAAGAGAATCTTCTCTGATTTTTGCCAAATACCTTTAAAATGGTAATGGAATGTTATCTAATTTTTGTTATAGTCTTCATCTCTAACTAACACTTATAAAGCAATTCCTAGTCACATTATCATCATCCATTGGTTCATTACTTATGGTACCTTATACACAGGGCAGCCAGAAACACAATATTGTGTCTGCGAATAGTGCTTTTGAATTGAACAGCGCACACAGCCTGAACAGCCATTCACAATCCCTCTGCAAACACTTGTCTCAATACTATTCATGGAAGCCCTTATTTTTCCCTCAATAGTTTATAAATCTGGCCCCATTTTCTGTACTTTCAGTGCAACATATAGAAAGTCAGATATTACTGTATTTACCTTTCTCTGTTAGTAACCGGTCTCTCTGTCTGGAAGTTTATAGATACTCTCTTTATTCCTGGAATCTGGGACTCTTTGCCAGGAGTATATTATACTTTGGTTGGTATACTATAAGGGCTATCCCTTGCATGTTACTTATATTAGGAATTCAAGATTTCCCTTGCTTCTAGGTAAAGGCTTGATGAATTTTAGACCGAGGGACCTAATTTGACAATTTTAGAGTCACCAGTTTAGAGGGTATAAACTCACTAGAGAATGCCAATAGTTGTGAGTTCTCTAAAATACCCTTAAAGATGAATGCTCCAGTATTGACTCAGGGCTTTGATTCACCCTTATGGGTACCACGCTTCCATTGCTTTAGACCCCATTGCACTACAACTGTTGTGTGCCAACCCTCAGGTGCCTGACTTCCAGTTATGACCTGCTATCCGTGGGGCTGCAATGCTATTGCACTCCATCCACAGGGCTCATGCCTCCATTGTGTCCTGGCATCATTGGATTCATGCCAGTGTTGCATCCCATCCCCCTAGGGCTAAATCATTGCAGCATGCCCCAGAGACCCACAACTTGATTCTGTAAATGATGTGTACAAATCCACAAATCAATCACTGGCACCACTGCTGCAACAAGTGCACCTGTTACCCACTCCACAAGTGCACCTGTTCTCTGCTCCCAAAAAACTCAGGATGAAAGAGTAAGAAAAGCCTACAGAACTTATTGAACACCATCAAGTGAACCAGTATCAGCATTATGGGAGTCAAGGAGAAAAAAAGGAGAAAGGGACAGAACATTTATTTGAATAAATAATAGCCGAAAACTTCCCAAGTTTGGAGAAAGATATGAATATCCATATTATTTTACCTCAAAAGTCCCCAAACAGATCAAATCAAAAGAGGTCTTCACAGAAACACATTATAATCAAATAATCAAAAGTCAAAGACTAAGAGAGAATTTTGAAAGCAGCAAGAGAAAAGCAACTTGTCACATACCATGGAAAATTCATGAGGATATCAGTGAATTTATCAGCAGAAACCTTGTGGGCCAAAGGAGAATAGGATAGTATATTTAAAGTGGTGAAATAAAAATTGTCAACTATGAATACTGTATCTAGTTTCATAGTAAATACAGTAAATACCATTTCTGTATTTACAGTAAATAGAAACTAGTAAATTCAATTTCTGTATTTACTAGCTACAGAAATTTTACTGTATCTAGTAAAGTTATCTCTAATAAACGAAGGACCGTTAAAGACTTTCTCAGATAACCAAAAGCTGAGGAAATTCATCACCACTAGCCCTGTCTTTCAAAAATGGTAAAAGGAGTTCTTAAGCTGAAACAAAAGAATGCTAATTATTAACATTAAAGCATATGAAATTATAAAATGTAACAGTAAAAAAAATCACATACAGAATACTCAAAAATGGAGGTATATAGTACTTAAAGGGCAAATAAAGAGCAATTTTTAATTCAATATAGAGGTCAAAAGAAAAAAGTAAAAATATCTAGAGCTAAATATTTTGTCAATGGACACGCAATATAAAAAGATGTAACTCACTATATAAACAACATAAAATGTGGAGAGGAGACAGAAAAACTTGTAGAACTTTCCTGTGTAATTGGGGTTGAGATATTATCAGCTTAAACTATTGCTGTAGGTCTTTTCTCCTTAGTTCAGCTAAGAGCCAGGTCCTTGTCATACGGCCATGAAATATTAGGCTCACAGACACTTTGAAGGATGAGAAAAATGGAATTTATTGGGTAAAAGGGAAAAAAAGAGAAAAGAGGAACTCTTGCTCTGGAGTCTCAGCCAAGCAAAAATCCTGCTAGTAGAGGCTTCTGGCCTCACAGATTGAATCTCAGGCTCCACCCAGGAAAAGGAAGGGCCAGGTTCCTCCGGACCCTAAACAGGTGCAAACTTCTCGAGGCCCCACCCTGGTGCACATTATTCCCAGTGCTTAGGCTAGTCAGAGGTTCCTGGGGACCCCTTTATACATGGCTGTCTCATTCCCCCCTGTAAAGAAGTACATCTATCTACCATTAGAATCAGGGTAAGGATAAGGACAAAGACCCATCTTAACTGCTTCCTACTGACAGGGGGTGCTGTTTTGAGGAAACATCAGTCAGATCTCCCTCACAGGCCTATCTAAGGGTTCCCAGCAGACTAAGCCATCAACCGAGGCTCTGGTTGCATGACCATTTGGAGTTTGACGGCCTGAAGGCAAGAAGAGACAAACCAAGTTATGAGAAAACATTTATCAAAATGAAACAAGGAAAGGGGTAAGAACAGCTTAAAAATCCCAAGGCTTTTTGCCAGTTTACACAGGGAGAGGGAGGCCAAAAGCCCAAATGGAAAAAAAAAATTTACCCTTTTGCTGGCATGTTCCCTTCCTCTGAGCCCAAACCTAAGCAAACCAGTTTAAGGTTTGGGAAATTAACTCTTTCCAGTCTGGAGGATGCATCTGAGGGGAGTGTCTCATAGCATGGAGACACAATTGTCTATCAGTGAAGAGAGGGCAGAGGAGGAGAAAGAATAAAATAAGGTGCTTTTCAAAGGAGTTCCAGGGGTTCAGGGTGCATTCAAAAGGGGTACAGACTGAAGATAAATTGCTACCCATCTAGAAAGAGGGGAGCAGGCATCCCTGGTTCCCATCACTCCCTAGCAGACACCTGAGGTACATGCGGGAGAGAAGGAAGAACATCCTCTTTCCCTCTTCTGTTCTGGCATCCCCAAGTCCTGGCAACCTTGGCAGGTGCCACCATGGATGCCAAACCGGCTTGCACTCATGAAGCAGGGAGGACCTAGAGAATAAGAATTATCCACTCTCTCCTATGTCTCTATCCCACCTACTGTCAGTAGCCTTGGATTTCCCTAGACCTCATTTATTCCATGGATATTAGCAAGAACTTTATCCATGAAATGGGAGGTTTGGATTAATCAGCAGGAATTAGCCATTCTCACTTGCACTGTTCCTTTTAACCACTGTTGTTGTCTGCCTCTGGATCCCTTAGATCCAGTTTTCCTTCCTTGGGTTTTTACCCGAAGCTTGGAATTGAGTTTGGGACAAAAATGTGTCTTGGGAAGGTGGAGGGGGGTGGTTGCATGAATTCCTTATCAAAAGCTGAATGCTGAGATGAAACTGTGGAACTGAGTCCTCCTCCAAAAAAAGAGAGAAAAGGATGTCTTTTGACACACCCAGATAACTGGTGGTTATAGTTATGCTTGCTAGGATTTGGGTGTATTTTACTTGGTTTTGGTTAGCTCTCTTGGTCTCACTTTCTTAAAAAGGAAACCTCCAGGTGATGGACATGCTTTTTATTCCCATCACCTGACAGGATTTGCAGGATAATTGCTCAGAACTAGAATATTGATGCAGATTTTTACATTACCCATCCCTCTTGCTCTTTCTGAGCTGCAGCCAGAGATTGCTGGTTGGTTCACAGGAACAAGCAGCGTTAGTCTAAAATGTTGGCAAAAACTTAGTAACAACTAATGAGTTTAGAATTTAATGACAAATATATGATAAGTCCCTCCAGTTCTCATTTTTGTTAAGAAAAAACTAAGTCATCATAGGACTGAGTGATTTGCAAAATAGACTTTAGTCTTACACTAGGCCTGATCATTTGCATAAAGTGCAGCAAGAATAATCATTTCTACATAGGCCTTTTAGACTGGCTTTGATGTAACTCCATTCCGCAAGGAGTCTCAGATAAGACCTATTAAAGCCAAGCCCAGCCATGGGTTTGTATCCTCAAATACCTGTGAATTGAGTGATCCTCTCTTCTTAAGGTCCCAAAATAAACTTGGAGCTCCTAGGCCTACTGGAAAGTGACATTCTTTACTGACCACAGGTCAGGAACTCAGTACAGGGACTGTTTAGGCAAGGGTATGAGGCCAGTTTCCAACCCCCATCCCCAAGGGGGGTTTATCAGCTCTGCAAGTTGAGATTGACTCCTTAAAAGGAAAAACACCCTTCCAGTCAAAGCCTTGGTAAAAATAACCAGTTTCTCCAATTGCATCCTGTTGCAAAAGAAAAATGGATTCTTATTAAACCGCAAAAATATATTGCTGTAAGTTAAGAATACTCACAGATAGTTTCCAAATTCTAGAGGAACCAGGCAGAGAAAAAGACAAATATGCTCCCAAGTTGGTTCATGGGAGTATACCTACTCAATTATTAAAGGCTGTAAATAGTTCAAAATAAGTTTCCTTGACTCTGAAAAACAAAATAAGGGTCAACAATTTTCCAAGCAAAAGCCAAAAAGATTGCTTCAGCTTTCTCAGTTCAGTCCATGTAGTTCTTGATTCACTTGATATTTGTGAACATTTCAGCTCTTCATGACTCCTGTAAATTTTTCTTTATTCCAATGTCACAGTCTCCAAAGGTATCAGAAACCTGTATTGAGAGCACCTGTCAAAGTTCGGTAGCTCATTATAAACCATCTTTTGAAATGAATTAGAACAAGACAACAATTGTCTGTGAATAACAAAATGTCCAGGGTAGTTATAGTTAGAAACACAATTGACAAAGAAGTTTGGTTATCTCCATGGCTTACAATAACTTAATAATCTTAATTATGATTGATAGCATATACTTGGACATCAGAATTTTAGAAATCCCATGCAATTTTGAAACATATATTATTATTATTTACCAAAATATAACCTAAAGAGGATTGAACACCATTTTGGCAATCCTGTGAACCTAAACATGTCAAATAATTCTGTTTACATCTCTTTTCTGGACACTGCAAGGGCCCTTCTGGAGTCTCTGAAAAGGTATCAGGAAAGACAATTTTGAAATTTAAGTTTGATTTTAGGAAGCCTATTAAATATGTTAGAGGGTTAAAACACTTGATGTTATGAAATAGAATTCCAGATTACCAAAAATGATTTATTTTGCCAGAATGATGACTCAGATTTTAAAGAAGCAAAAACCTTTAGAGTGGGCATGGTGGCTCATGCCTGCAATCCCAGCACTATGGGAGACTGAGGTGGGTGGATCACTTAAGGTCAGGAGTTTGAGACAAGCCTGGCCAACATGATGAAAACCCATCTCTACCAAAAGTACAAAAAATTAGCTAGGCATGGGGGCAGGTGCCTGTAATCCCAGCTACTCAGGAGGCTGAGGTAGGAGAATTGCTTGTACCGGGAGGCAGAGTTTGCAGTGAGCCAAGATCTTGCCGCCACACTCCAGCCTGCGCAACAGAGGGAAACTCCACCTCAAAAAAAAAAAAAAAAAAGAAAGAAGCAAAAACCTTTTATAACCCTGTAAAAATTTTGCTAAACAGCAGATTAGTGCCTTAAGAAAACCTTGTTGTGCTTTTATTTCAATGCTCAATTTACCGAAAAGCCATATAACTTTTTTGAATTTAGCCAATATGTTCACACATGAAATTTTTTTTTGCAAGATTAATTTTACAATCCTTCCACCAAATTGCTTGAACTTTTAGCTTTATCTTATGCAATTTAAAACAATCCTTTAAGAATTTACATTTTCATGTCTTCTTATAATCTTATTAAAAGCACATTTTACCATTCTTACACACCTCACATGTAAATCTATTTCCAGTAGTTTCAATTACATGTTATAATGGTAACTACTAGCAATTTCAACTTTAATGTAAAACCTGGTAAGTTGTTTTAATTCTGTGCTAGGTACAGCCAAGGTTTGACTCCTTGCAGCCTAATTAAGACAGTGGTTAGTTCTGTATGTCCCCAGGCCTGACCAGTTGTTAGGAAGGCAAGTCAGATAGTTCTCAAAACCTAAAAAAGCAGTTATAACCTTAAAACACTTGGCAAACCTTGCATCTGGCCTGCATAATTTAGTCCATCTATTTACATTTTGATGACATCTGCATTTTACCAATAATCTTTAAGGCTGTTGTTTTTATTTCTCAAAGATTAAAGTAATATGAATTGAAAGATACCAGAGATTTTATATTCCCTTTTAAAAAAATTTGACCCAAGCACCTCTCTTCCTTTAGGCCAATTAATTACAGCTCTTTTTATAGAAAACACACACAGCACACATACAGCTACACAGACAGGCAGAAGAAAACCCATGAGTCCTTTAAGAGACAGGGCTAGGAAAACACAAACCAGAAAGGACTCATTCCCTAAGGGAAGATTGCTAAACAAAGTGTTGCTCTAGGGTTACAAGCCACACCCCCAGGATGTAAAATAAGATGAAAGCCTGCAGCTCAGAGACATGCAAAGCATACCAGATTGGCTGCACCTTAAGACCAGCCTCACAAATACTTTTTCTCAATTAAAACTTTATAGAGAATATAAACAGTGATCCTTATCATTCCTAGCCTAGTAAAACATCTTCTAAAAAGAAAACCTTGTTTAAAAGTTAACTGCTGACAGGGTGGAAAAAGGGAAGAAAAAAAATCAATTTAAACATGTCTGAGAAAGAACTTCTTATTCTTATGCAACTGGTTCCTCCACCAGGGAAAAACGCTTAACTGCTGTGGGATGGGAGCTGACCTCCCTGGCTAGAGGAGGAGAAGACTCCATGGGCGCATAGCAGGGAATGCTAGACAGTCACACAGGGTGCCTTGGGGCCCTGGCAGCCGCTGTGGCTCATTCACGCCCTGTGTGAAAGTTGGACACCATGCACACATGCAGCAGACATGGCCATGCACCCAGGCTGGTAGGGAAAGGGGAGCAGAGAGCTGCCCTGTCCAACTGGCCTGCATGCACACTTGTCTCCTTTGGGGAGCTCAGGTATTATAAAAGAAAAAACAGGTGCTGCTACTGTCGTGAAAAAAAGAAGAGGAATGCCATAGGACCAAAAGGCTCAGAAGCAACAGTGAGAAGTTTTGAGTCCCCATTTCACTCACCCCTTCTCAAGCCCCACGTTGTGGGTGCCAAAGCTGTTGTAGGACTTTCTCTTTAGTTCAGCTAAGAGCCAGGTCCTTGTCACATAGCCATGAAATATTTGGCTTGCAGACACTTTGAAGGGTGAGAAAAATGGAATTTATTGAGTGAAAAGGAAAAAAGGGAGAAACAGGGACTCTTAGCAGAGTGAGATTCCTGCTAACATTGGCTTCCCTCCCCACAGATTAAATCTCAGTTTGCACCCAGGAAGAGGAGGGGCCAGGCTCCTCCCTACTGCAAACAGACACAAACCTCCTGAGGCTCCACCCCAGTGCACATTCCTCCCAATGCACAGACTGCTCAGAGGTTCTCTGAGGACCTCTTTATACTTGGCTGTCTCACTATTGTAAGTAGAAAATATTTTATGTAAGTCTTCTGGTAACCCCAAAACTAAAACATATTGCAGACACACCAAAAGAAAAGAATCAAAGTATATCACTACACACAACAACAAAGCACAAGGCAAGACACTGAAAGAGGAAGAAGAAACAAAGGACCTGAAAATCAACACACAAAAAAATTAATAAGATGTCATCAGTAACTATTACCTACCAATAGTTACTTTAAATGGAAATAGTTTAAGTTTTCCCATCAAAAGACATAGAGTGGCTGAATGGATAAAAGATATGACCCTACTATATGCTACCTACAAGAGACTTACTTTATTTACTTGTTTGTTTAGAGACAGGGTCTCACTCCATCACCCAAACTGGAGCTCGGTGGCACAATCATAACTCAATGCAGGCTTGAACTTCTGGGCTCAAGCACTCCTCTTACCTCAGCCTACAAGTAGCTGGGACTATAGGTGCATGCCACCACATCTGGCTAATATTTTAATTTTTTGCAGAGACAGGATCTTGCTATGTTGCCCATGGTGGTCTCAAATTCCTGCCCTCAAGCAATCCTTCTGCCCAAGTCTCCCAAAGTCCTTGAATTACAGACATGAACCACTGAGCCCACTGAAGATTCACTTTAGCTTTAAGGGGAGTTACAGGCTGAAAGTGAAGGAATGGAAACAGATATTTAATGAAATAGGAAACCAAAAGAAAACAGATTGCTATACATATATGAGACCAAATATACTTTGAGTCAAAATCATAGCAAGAGATAAAGAAGGGTACTATATAGTGATAAAGGGGTCAATCCATCATGAAGACATAACAATTATACATGCACCCAACATTGGCACACCTAAAAATACAGTTAACAGAAGTAAAGGGAGAAATATACAGCAATACAATGATAGTAAGGAATTTAGTATCCAACTTCCAACAATGGATAGAGCATTGGGACAGAAAATCAATAAAGAAACTTTGAACCTAAACTACACTTTAGACTAGGTGGACCTAACAGACATATACAGAACATTCCATACAAAGTAGCAGAATATACATTCTTCTCAAGTACACACAGAACATTCTTCAGGATAGATCATATTTTAGGCCACAAAACAAGTCTTAACAAAATTAAGAAGACTGAAATTATATTGTGTTTTCTTTCTGGTCACGATATGAAACTAGAAATCAAAACAGGGAGGAAAATTGAAAAAGTCACTAGTACATAGAAATTAAATAACACATTCCTGAAAAACCAATGCATTAAGGGAAAAACCAAAAGGGAAATTTAAAAATATCTTGAGATAAAATGACAATGGCAATACAACATCCCAAAACTTCTCGAGGCAGCAAAAGTAGTTCTAAGGAAGAAGTTTATTGCAGTAGGTGCCTCCATTGAGAAAAAGGAAAGATCTCAAATAAACAATCTAATTTACACCAAAAGGAACTAGGAAAAGAAGGACAAACAAAAGTTAGCAGAAGGAAGACAACAGCAATAGTAAAGATAAGAGCAGAAATAAGTGAAATGGAGTCAAGAAAAAAACATAGAAATGGCCAACCAAACTAAGATTGGTTTTTTAAAAAGATTTTAAAACTTGACAAACCTTTAGCTAGACTAACAAAGAAAAAAAGACACAAATAAAATAAAGAAATGAAAGAGGAGACATTACAATTAATTTTAAAGAAAGACAAAGGATCATAAGAGATTATTATGAGCACTTATTTGCCAAAAAATTGAATAACCTAGAAGAAATGGGTAAATTCCTAGACACATACAACTAGCCAAAAGAGAATCATGAATAGAAAACCTGAACATACCAAAAATGAGTAAGAAGGTAGAATCGGTAATCAAAAACCCCCTAACAAAAAAAGCCCAAGATGAGATGGTGTCATTGGTGCATTCTACAAAACAATTAAAGAATAATTAATATCAATCCTTCTCAAACTCTTCTGAAAATTAAAGAGGAAAGAATACTTCCAAACTTGTTCACAAGGCCAGAATCATTCTGAACTATGACTCTGAAGCTGGACAAGAAAAGAAAATTACAGGCCAATATCTCTGATAAACATAGCTGCAAACTTCTCAATAAAATATTGGCAAACCAAATTTAAGAATACAACAAAAGGAACATCATACATCATGATCAAGTGTGATTGATTCTTCAGATGCAAGAATGTTTCAAAGTGTGCAAATCAATGAATGTGAAATGCCACACTAACAGAATGAAGGACAACACACCATATGACTATCTCAATAGACGTGAAAAAAAGCATTTGACAAAACTCACTATCCTTTCATGATAAAAACTTTCAACAAATTAGGCATACAAGAAATATACCTCTGCATAATAAAACCCATATGATAAGCTCACAGCTATCATACTCAGTAAAAAAAGCTGAAAGATTTTCCTCTAAAATCAGCAGCAAAACAAGATTGCCCACTGTCACTATTTCTGTTCACCATAGTACTGGAAGTTCAAACCTGAGCAATTTGGCAAGAAAAATGATAAATAAAAGGCATTTGAGTTGGAAGGAGAGAAAGACAATTGTCTCTCTTTGCAGATTACATGATATCTTGCAGGAAAAATTCTAATGACTTCACCAAAAACTATTGAAACCGATACAAATTCAGTGATGTTGCAATGAACATACAGAAATCAGTTGCTTTTTTATACACTAACAACAAACTATCTGTTCCTATGTCCATAGTCTGCTTCTGTCAACAAAGTCACTATACGTTCCTTACAGAATGGTCAATGACAGAAAAATAAAGATTATATTGAAGGCCTTTAAAAAGCATTTCAGAACCATTCCATAGTGACACTTACTCAAATTTAGACATGTTACATTGTGTAAATGCAGTAGTAAATAATTTTACTTGAATAATAAAAATTTAAGAAATTGTAAGAATAGTCACTATACAATTTCTGAGTTTTTGCTACAGTAAGTGTACATAAATATAGTAGAGCAGACCATTAATTCTTGAGGTCACATAGCCTGAAATCTTCCAAAATCCACAAAATCTTGAATGCCACTATTGCCTATAATTTCCCTGGTAAGGTGTACTATGTGTTCTCACAAATTTAAGCCATACTTTTATTCAACAGTCCACTTTTTATTTTATCTCATCTTCCATTAGTCCTAAATTCTACCAACATTCTAGAGTCTACACTTTTCTTCACTACAAAGAAAGTTTTCTCTTCAAAGACAGTTTCCTCAAAGAAGTCACTTTACCTGAGTCTCTGAATAGTTGAAAAGCAGCAAGACTTTCAAAACACAGGCTCTGGACAGTTGTCTGGGATCAGTCATAACAAACCCAAAAAAGAAACACTCAACTTTCCGCCACAGAAAAATTATAAACTACTATATCTAATCTAGTAGGAATTTACACAGTAAACACTTTTAAATTCTAAATGCTCAATTAAAAAAAGAATTTTCTATTTTTCAAGAAAGAATTTTACAAATAATTCAGTTTTGTGTTATATGAAGACCCCTTTCCATTGAAGCAAATCTCTATTGGAGCAGACTCTCATCACACAGCACTCAGAAACTCTCATGGACACCAACATTCTGTTAAAATTGTAAAGCCAAGGCTAATTTGTATAACTCGAGGCCCCCTATTTTTGCAAAGTTTAAAAAGAAGAAGTTAGAAATTTGCCTTAAAAACTGTTTATTTATTTATTATTCTCTTCAATGCACCTATGACCTCTTTATTCCTCAGACTGTAAATAAAAGGATTTACCAGAGGAATTATTATCATGTAAAATAAAGAATATATTTTGTCCTGATCTGCAGCTGATCCAGACCCAGGACACACATACATGAAGAAGAGAGTGCCATAGAACAAAGAGACAGAAAGCAGATGGGCACTGCAAGTGGAGAAAGCTTTCCTTCTACCCTTCTCAGACTTCTTTTTCAGGATGGCCAAGAGGACATAGGAGTAAGAGACGATGATAGTCATAAAAGTGAAAGATTGTATAAAGACTGAAAATACAAAAACCAGGAGCATATTACTCCAGGGTCAGTACAGGAAATTTTAAACAGTTGTAAAATATCACAGTAGAAATAATGTATTACATTGGACTTGCAGAAAGTTAATTGAAATAACAAACCCACATGCGTTATAGGATGAAAAAAACAATAATAAATGAAACACCTGATAATTGAATGCAGAAGGTATTGGACATCACTAGAGGATAAAGCAAAGGGTTACATATGGCCATATAACAGTCATAGGCCATCACTACCAGGAGGAAACTTCCTGTGTTTGCACCGGAAGCAAAAATATAAAACTGGATCATGCACCCAACCAGGGATATCATATGATTCTTAGATAAAAAATGTACGAACATCTTGGGAGTCACAGAAGATGAAGTGCATGCATCTGCAAAGGCTAAACTGCCGAGGGATAAGCACATGGGGGTGTGAAAGTGGGGATCCTTCCAGATGAGAGCCATCAGGCCACGGTTGCCCACCGTGGTGATAAGGTAGATCACCAGGAACACCAGGAACAAGGGCGCCTGCAGCTCTAGAAGATCTGTAAGTCCTTGGAGGACGGAGTTCATAATCTGTGTCTTATTTGTTTCCATTATACCCACTCATGCTGATCACTGCAATGAAAAAGTAAGTGAAGAACACAGTCATAAAAGACGATGAAAGTAGTCACATTTTATTTGAAAAAAGAAATGTATCTTCCTTGTTTATGTATCCCTTTACCCTTCAGTAAGTATTCTTTCCAAATGATAAGTGTTTGGAAAAGTGATTCTAAAAATTAAAAACATGTATATAGTAAGAATTTCATTGCCTGTATAAAAGAAGTGGGTTTACTGTTTAATTTGAACAATTTTATTGCAATTTGATGATCATCTTCTAATTTAAAAACTTTAAATAGAAATAGAATAAGCTATTTTAATATGCTAAATGTTAAATGAGCACACATGTTCTAAGTAATAAAGCACCTCCTTTCACATTAAAAACTGGTTGAAATGCTCACTATGACCATTATTATGGAATATTATCTTGGAAATTCTAATACACATGAGATGTTAAAATTAAATGAAATAATATAGTAGAGATATAATAAAATGTCATTAAAATTATAAAAGATAAATTCATATTTTTGCTGATATTGTATTGTTTAATTAAATAAATAACAATAGTAGAAATGACAATATGAACAATATGAATAGTACAGTGTGCAGTAGTGTTAAAACATAAAGACATTCCATAGAATAAGACATGACTGGAAATAGAAAAATATAATAATAAAACAAAATAAGGACTCTGGGAGATAGTTTCAAGTATATATATAAATTTAGTGTATTGCATGGGTGACAAATCATTGAGAAAAAATGATTTATTGAATATATAGTACAAGTGTAAATAAGTGTCTATCTATCTGGAAATAAAGTAAGAATAGTTCTCTCTCTCATACCTGATTTTAAAATTGTAATAGATCAAGAACTTGAAAGTAAAAATTAAAAGAGCAATTTAGGTTGGGCACAGTGGCTCATGCCTGTAATCCCAGCTCTTTGGGAGGCCAAGGTGGGAGGATCACTTGCGATCAGGAATTCAAAACCAGCCTGGCCAACATGGTGAAACCCCGTCTCCACTAAAAAAAAAAAAAAAAAAATTAGCCATGCGTGGTGGTGCACACCTGTAATCCCAGCTACTCGGGAGGCTGAGACAGAATTGCTTGAACCCAGGAGGTGAATGTTGCAGTGAGCCGAGATTGTGCCACTACACTCCAACCTGGGTGACAGAGCAAGACTCCATCTCAAAAAACAAAAAATAAATAAATAAATAATTAAAAGAGCAATTTAAACATTCTAAGAAAATTAATGAAATAAATATAATTTAATTACCTAACCAAGATAGGAATCCCATAAATTATAAGAAAGATATAGGCATATTTAATCTAATTTTTAATTTCATGAATATGTAGTATGTGACAAATCTCTTACTAAGTGAAAGATGAATACAAGTTTGGAAAAAATATTTACAGTAAATATGGTAGATAAAATATTAGTACCTAGTCACATGCAAAGAAATCTTACTAATTGATTAGAAAAGTTAAATAATTCATAGAAAAATTAAAAAGGAATTAAAAGGCAAGTCACTGAAAAATATTTTAAAATATCTAATAAAGTTAGGAAAATAATGCTCAACTTTTCCAGCATATATGATGTACTAACAAAGTAACAATAAAATGTAACTTTTCACTCCTCAGGTTAGCAACATTTGCTGCTTGCAGGAATTTGGAAAAGGCTGCTCTCACACTTAATGGTGAAAATGAATTACTAAGTCTTTTAAATAAAACTTGACTTGTTTTTAAGTAAACATACACATACCTTTCAACTCAGCAATCCATGCCTGTAATCTATTCTAGAGCAATAACATCACTTCATAGGAAGAGAGATCTACCAAAGCATTATTCATGATGGCAAAAGACTAGCAATAATATAAAAACCAATCAGGATGAAGCAAAGGTTGAACATATCCTGATGTAGTCATCCTAATCAAAATTGTGTCAGCCATTTAAAAATGAGTTACAGCTCTACCAGTTGACTCAGAAATTTCCAAAATTGTTAGTAAAGTGAGAAAAGCCTGATGTAGAGAAATGGATATGTTTTGTCCACATTAACAGATAATAAATTGTTAAAAATTTTTATTCTATGTATATCTGTGCACATACACACATATTTGCATATAACCATGTGAACATAAAGATAGAATGAAATTATATTGTTAATGTTTCTTGTCTGAGTATAGGAAGAGGAGAGAATAAGGGAGATAAGAGAGATAAGCAGTCCCCCCAAAAAAAGGGTGTAATAAAAACAAAATATATGTTATCACCCTATTTATGCAATTATATATCTCTTTATATGTACAAAGCTTTACATTAAAGAATATGCATGAGCTTGTTAATGGTAAGAAAGAGAAATGGAGCAAAACAAGAATAACAATACTATTACTGTACTTAGTGGGTAGCAATATAAATTTTAATAAAAAATAGAAATTAATAATTTTTTTTGTAAAACTGTATCTTACACAATTTTTTTTTGATTATGTAGCAAATTCTTTTAAATATTCTCAGTGGTATCTGACTCCAACCATTAAGAGTGATTTTTTGTGGGGGAGTAGTCAAAATGTTGGTAAATAAATAAGTGATCAAGTATAAATTTTAATAGTTTTCTTCATATCCAAGTACTTTTTTGGATACATTGCTAAGTATTGTATAATTTTTGTCGATATTATGTATGGAATATTTGATTTTTTTTAAGAAATTTGTTTGATTTTGTTCTGTGACTATAAACTTCGTCTTAAAGAAAATCTAAATGAAAAAATCTGAAGATATTTGGAGGTGAATTGAGAGCTTTTTAGATTACCTAGAAGGGGAAAATGCACCTGTAATTTGGTGTTTACATTTAGTTGTTTCTCAAAATAAAATGAATAACACAATTGCATATACATAATTCTTGTTGATTAACGTATATTTTTGAAATTTACCTGTTGATTAAAATTGGATTTGTTTAACTTTAAAATATATCCAAAGGCAATTTTTTCTTAATAGGTCCACATTAAGAAGGAGGATGAGTTGTTATTTCCCATCTTCACTAAGAACAGAGTGAGAGAATATTTGTTTTAAAAATCTACCTTTGAAAGTATATATTCCCAAGGAGCCCTGGAAACACAACACAAGCAGCAAGAAGACTGATTCACATGTCTCAACTAAAATTTGGTCTATGGACCCATCATTTAGTTTCCAAAGTGGAGGTTTTGTTCTGAATGAGCCTGACTAGCTTTCTTTTCAATCCCAGCCCATAATTGATATTTCCAATTTGGATAATTAGGTCAAGAGCTATCAAGTATTTTGAATATTTTCCCTTAAGATAGATAGATAGATAGATACATAGATAATAGATTAGATAAACTAGATGGATAATTAGATAGATAATAGATAGATGATAGATAGATAGATAGATAGATAGATAGATAGATAGATAGATGATAGATAGAGATAGATGGATGATAGATATAGATATGGTAGATTAGATAAACTAGATGATAGATAGATGATAGATAGATAGATGATAGATAGATAGATAGATAGATAGATAGATAGATAGATAGATAGATGAAATCTCCATATATATCTCCCCATTAGTTTGGAATTAAGGAGCCTAAGAAATTTATCACTGATGACTTTATCTCATCTTCTCATTATTCTATGAAAAAACAAGGAAGCTTGAACAGCATAACTTAATTGTTCATATATTGACAAAGGGAAGTTTCTACAGTATGAAATTACCTCTGAAACTTTTCAGTCATTATTATATTTTTCATTTGTCTCTTTCTTGTATTATTCCAAGTTTACTATTAAAAATAAATCTTAATGTGTATGTTTCATCAGTAAAACCTAGTATTTATGGTAGGCATCAAAAACTGTCTATCATGAAGGAAAACAGAAAATTTCACATGGTTACCAGGATTTTCATTTCTTACCTGGATATTTTATTTTTAAACAGGCAAATTGACAGACTGCAAATAGTGAAAATTAGACAGATTCAGGTGTCCACTCAGTTTCTGTAAGTCTTTTGAAGATTGAGAAAGTGTTAGTTTTCCTGAAGGAAAGTTGGTGGTTTCCTGGAGAAAAAAAAAAAATAGAAAAATATGTATATTTCCTATACCATAGATTAGGGCCAAAGTCATCTTTATAAATTGCCAAACTGATGAATTCACCACTGCTTTCACATCTACTACTGCAACTCCACCTAAAATCCTTAAAATGAAAAAAAGTGGAAGGTGCAGACTTAAGTGGTTGTTACTGTGCAAAGATTTTCCTTGGAAATATCCACAGCAAAAAGATAAATTTTGTACTCTTTGTAAAATCTATTTATGGGGAAAAAAAGAAGAATGGGGAATTCCCTCAGTGAAAGCTACCAATAGATTCCCTGTAGGATAAAGGCAAAGTTTTTCTGCTGGGCATTATGAGCTAATCAATGAATCACCCTAGGTAAAGGCAGGTATAACAACTAAAACCACGCACTTTGTGTTTTCAGGTTTCACTGTGAGGAAACCAACCTTAAAGAAAAAACTCTCCCTTAAACTGATATCAAGCCATTGTCAAGTGCATTGTTTTATCTCTTTAATGTCTCACGAAACCATCAACTTCTCTCCAAATTCAAGAAAACCATCACCTGTCTGGAATACTTAAATGACCTTTTAATAATCCAAATGTGTTTTTCTAACATGTCCTCCTGCTAATCTCTACATTTGAGCCAATGTCATCTTGGCAAAATGCCAGATTGCTGATGTCACTACTGCTCAGACCCATCACAGCATCTCCACTTAAACTCTCAAACAGCTTCGAATGACTCTTATAAGGAAAATCAAAAGCCTTAGGCCCTCATATTCAATAATATTCTACACAAAGTTTTTGCCTACTGTAATTAACAGGTTTTTCAGGTGAACGATTCCGATATTTTTTGACAATAAGATAAATCTAGGAGCTGAAGTTAAAAATCAGAATTTCATTTGTGACTCACATATGCAATGTCGCTGAGAAAAAAAAATGAGTTTATTGCTTTTTAAAAAATCTTACTATAAAAATTAAGAGTTCTCTTTTAAAAGTGTCCAAGCATCCAGTTTCTCTCCAGACCCATTGCATTTCTGTGTGGCATGCCAGCCTAGTGAGAGAAGGGACACATACTCAGTGAGTGAAGCTAACAGAGTTCATGAACCCAAGTGGAAGCCCTGAAATCTCCAACTAATTGACAGTATGTCTTCTGAAAGCAGGCCGTGAGAGTTACCAAGTCTGATTATTACCAGTAAGGGTTACAAAATTTTCCCTTTCACTGCCTTAGTCATAGTAGAATACACAACAAACTACGATCAGTTACAAGATACTAAAACCCCAAATGTCCGACAAATATGCAGCTTGAGCTGCAAAGCTTTCCTCTGAGAAATACTTAGAGCATAGTGATTAAGACTCACTTACTGAGGAGGGAAAATGTACTGTCTGTGGGTAGCTCTGTTTTGTGCAAATTTCATACACAAAAGCCTTTGTCCAACTCTAGGCAGATAAATTTGTAAACCTAGAAAAAAATTGACAATTTAATAAAACAATATAACTCACCAAACTTGACCCTATTAGAGACAAAAATCAAAATGCCTATTTTGACAGGAAAATTAGAGAAATCTCTCAAGTCCTTGTAAAAATAAATCACCAAGAATAGATGGTTTTACAGGAAAATGTTACCAAAATTTTAAGGATAAGACCGTTTCAATGCCATTATTCCATAACATAGAGAAAGGATTAAATTTTTCAAATAATTTTAAGAAAATGATACCAAATCTGAATTGGATAAAGAAAATGTGGTATATATACACCACGGAATACTATACAGCCATAAAAAGAAATGAAATCATGTCCTTTGTAGCAACATGGGTGGAGCTAGAGGTCATTATCCTAAACAAACTAACGTAGAGACAGAAAACAAAATACCACATGTTCTCACTTATAAGAGGGAGCTAAACATCAGGTACACACAGACATAAAGATGGTGAAAATAAACACTGGGGATTCCAAAAGGAGAGAGGGAGAGAAGGAGGCAAGGATTGAAAAGTTACCTATTGGGTACTATGTTCACTACTTAGGTGATGGATAGGGATCATTAGAAGCTCAAACCTCAGCATCACACAGTATAGCCATGTAGCAAATCTGCACCTGTACCCCTGAATCTAAAATTAAAAAATAGAAATAAAAGAAGTTAAAAGAAAAAGAAAATAATACCAACTCTGACAAAGTTTGCACAAATTAAAAATTTACTAGTTAATCATGTTTTTAAAATATTATAGGAAAGGCTGGATGTGGTGGCTCATGCCTGTAATCCCAGCACTTTGGGAGGCTGGGGCTAGTGGGTCACTTGAGGTCAGGAGTTTGAGACCAGCCTGGCCAACATGGCAAAACCCAGTCTCTACTAAAAATACAAAAATTAGAAAGGCATGGTGGTGCCTGCCTGTAGTTCTAGCTACTCGGGAGGCTGAGTCAGGATAATCACTTGAACTTGGAAGTAGAGGTTGCAGTGAGTCAAGATTACACTACTGCACTCCAGCCTGAGCAACAGAGTGAGACCCTGTCTCACAAAAAACAAAAACAAAAACAAAACAAAAAAAATTATAGGAGAAATCTTAAAATCTTAGGGAACAGAAACAAAAACATTATCTTTAAAAATTATAATATCTGCTTATAGTAATGGCAGAGTAGGTTGTTTTTCCTCCTGTAAAAAACAGAAAAGCTGGACAAAAATTTATGAAATAATTGGTCTATAGGGATCAGTGATCAGCAAGGCAATTATGGAGCCAAGATCCAGAAGAGAAGGGAGACTAAAGTAGTTAACCTGTTTTTCCCCTCAAAGAATCATTGATATTCAAAGCAACAGCTAATAAACTAAGATGATGAGTACAGATTTTTATAGATAATGTAATATCTCCAAATATTGAAAATAGGCACACTTTATGATACTTAAGTTTTATTCCTACATATATGCCCAACAAAAATGTGTATACCTGTGTACCAGAAGACATTGACCAGAATTTACACAACAGCATTAAATGAAATAGCCAAATATTAGACAAAATCTAAAGTATTTCATACCACATGATTCCCATAATACTAAGTTCAAAAACATGCAAAACCAATCTATGGTGTAAAAGGCCAAAGACACAGGAACTAACTTAAAGCAATTCCTTTGATTAAATATGTAATAATTTAAGCTTTAAAAGTATAATTATTGCAATTGATTAATCACATCAAATATATTAAAATTTTTGAGTTTATAGTAACACCCCCTTCAAACAAATGAAAAAAATAAATAAACCTCATTGGTCACCTTGGGAAGTTGCTACAGCTCTAGCTAAATGTTTTGAAAACAGATAAGTGAAGGGAAAGAATCAGGAATTTATTCTGCCTCTCTTTCATGAACCATATTTCAGAAATCCAAATTCATGAGAGAAAGTTCTTCTTTGTAGAAGAATTATAGCTAATGAATGCAGAAGAATAGACTTGGGGAATTTCCATTTTGCAACCTCTGATGAAATAAAAGATCTAACCAATAATCATTAAAATCATTTTGTTTTGGGTTCGTAGAGAACTCAATAAGGGGAGGCTTGCAATGACAACATCCGAACTGTCAGCAGTGAATATCACTAAAATTGGAACTGTTAAAAACCATAATACAAATACAATATGCACGTCTTGTTTAAATCCTGGTTCAACCAAAGAACAAAATTTTTCAGGCAAATTGGGAATATTGAACACACACTGACATTAAATAATATCAAACAACTGTTATTAATTTTGCTGCATTAAATAACAATACTATGGTTAGTTTAAAAGAAAGTATTTGCTAACATTACATCCACTAGAAGATTAATAAGAATGTAGTAATCAGTTGTAGTTTTAACAATTCAGTCATAAAGTATCACTGCAGAAATTAGAAACATGTAATGCCACTCAGACTAAAAAAAAAATTAAGGTTGATACATGTACAAGTGGAAATAAATTTATCTCTTGTCAAATGATAACAAGAACTTAAGAGATTATAACAGACCATCAACAGCAAATTATAGGAATAGGGCCCTAATTCAAAATTTTTAAAAAATGTAATAGCAAATTAATTATAACTTATATAGTCATTGTTAAGTTAACCACCAAGATGGGAAATTTAATCAGAATCTCCATGATGCCAATAATATTCCTAAAGAAAATACATTCAAGTTGCTTCCAAGATGGCCGAATAGGAAGAGCTCCAGTCTGCAGCTCCCAGTGAGATGGACACAGAAGATGGGTGATTTCTGCATTTCCAACTGAGCTACCTGGTTCATCTCATTGGGACTGGTTGGACAGTGGGTGCAGCCCACGGAGGGTGAGCCAAATCAGGGCGGGGCATCACCTCATCCAGGAAGTGCAAGGAGTCAGGGGATTTCCCTCTCCTAGCCAAGGGAAGCCGTGACAGACTGTACCTGGAGAGATGGTACACTCTTGACCAAATACTGTGCTTTTCCCATGGTTTTAACAACCGGCAAACCAGGACATACCCTCCCATGCCTGGCTTGGTGGGTCCCCTGCCCACAGAGCCTTGCTCACTACTAGCACAGCTGTCTGAGATCAACCTGTGACACTGCAGCTTGATGGGAGGAGGAGGGTCTGCTATTGCTGAGGCTTGAGTAGCTCACAATGTAAACAAAGTGGCCGGGAAGCTTTAACTGGGTGGAGCCTGCCACAGCTCAGCAAGGATTACTGCCTCTCTAGATTCCACCTCTGGAGGCAGGGCATAGACCAAAGGCAGAAGACAGCTTCTGCAGACAAACACAACCCTGTCTGACAGCTCTGAAGAGAATAGTGGTTCTCTCAACATGGCGTTTGAGCTCCGAGAACAGACGGACTGCCTCCTCAAGTATGTCTTGAGCCTGACCCCCTGTGTATCCTGACTGGGAGACACCTCCCAGGAGGGGCCTACAGACACCTCAAACAGGCAGGTGCCCCTCTGGGACGAAGCTTCCAGAGGAAGGATCAGGCAGCAATATTTGCTATTCTTCAGCCTCCGCTGGTGATACCCAGGCAAATAGAGTCTGGAGTGGACCTCCAGCAAACTCCAACAGACCTGCAGCTGAGGGGCCTGATTGTTAGGAGGAAAACTAACAAACAGAAAGGAATAGCATCAACATCAACAAAAAGGGCATCCACACCAAAACCCCATCTGTAGGTCACCATCAAGACCAAAGGTAGATAAAACCACAAAGATGGGGAGAAATCAGACCAGAAAAGCTGAAAATTCCAAAAACCAGAGTGCTTCTTCTCCTCCAAAGGACCGCAGCTCCTCACCAGTAAGGGAACAAAACTGGATGGAGAGCGTGTTTGACAAGTTGACAGAAGTAGGCTTCAGAAGGTCACTAATAACAAACTTCTCTGAGCTAAAGAAGCATGTTCTAACCCATCGCAAGGAAGCTAAAATCCTTGAAAAAAGGTTAGACGAATGGCTAACTAGAATAAACAGTGTAGAGAAGACCTAAAATGACCTGATAGAGCTGAAAACCACAGCACAAGAACTTCGTGACGCGTGCACAAGCTTCAATAGCCGATTCGATCAAGTGAAAGAAAGGATATCAGTGATAGAAGATCAAATTAATGAAGTAAAGTGAGAAGGCAATATAAGAGAAAAAAGAGTGAAAAGAAATGAGCAAAGCCTCCAAGAAATATGGACTATGTGAAAAGACCAAATATACATTTGATTGGTGTACCAGAAAGTGACAGGGAGAATACAACCAAGTTAGAAAACACTCTTCAGGATATTATCCAGGAGAACTTCCCTAACGTAGCAAGGCAGGCCAACACTCAAATTCAGGAAATACAGAGAACACCACAAGGGTACTCCTTGAGAAGAGCAACCCCAAGACATATAATTGTCAGATTCACCAAGGTTGAAATGAAGGAAAAAATGTTAAGGGCAGCCAGAGAGAAAGGTCGGGTTACCCACAAAGGGAAGCCCATTACACTAACAGCGGATCTCTTGGCAGAAACTCTACAAGCCAGAAGAGAGTGGGGGCCAATATTCAACATTTTTAAAGAAAAGAATTTTCAACCCAGAATCTCATATCCAGCCAAACTAAGCTTCATAAGTGAAGGAGAAATAAAATCTTTACAGATGAGCAAATGCTGAGAGATTTTGTCACCACCAGGCCTGCCTTACAAGAGTTCCTGAAGGAAGCACTAAACATGGAAAGGAACAACTAGTACCAGCCACTGCAAAAACATGCCAAATGGTAAAGATCACTGACACTATGAGGAAACTGGATCAATTAATGGGCAAAATAACCAGCTAACATCCTAATAACAGGATCAAATTCACACATAAAAATATTAACCTTAAATGTAAATGGGCTAAATGCTCCAATTAAAAGACACAGACTGGCAGATTAGAAAAAGAGTCAAGACCCATTGGTGTACTGTATTCAGGAGACCTCTCTCACGTGCAAGGATACACATAGGATGAAAATAAAGGGATGGAGGAAGATCTACCAAGCAAATGGAAAGCAAAAAAAAAAAAAAAAAAAAACAAGGGTTGCAATCTTACTCTCTGATAAAACGGACTTTAAACTGACAAAGATCAAAAGAGACAAGGAAGGCCACACATAATGGTAAACGGATCAATTCAACAGGAAAAGCTAACTATCCTAAATATATATGCGTCCAATACAGGAGCACTCAATTCATAAAGCAAGTCCTTAGAGACCTACAAAGAGACTTAGACTGCCACCCAATAATAATAGGAGAGTTTAACACCCCACTGTCAATATTAGACAGATCAATGAGACAGAAGGTTAACAAGGATAGCCAGGACTTCAACTCAGCTCTGGTCCAAGTGGACCTAGTAGACATCTACAGAACCCTCCACCCCAAGTCAACAGAATATACATTCTTCTCAGCACCACATTACACTTAGTCTAAAATTGACCACATAATTGGAAGTAAAACACTCCTCAGAAAATGTAAAAGAACAGAAATCACAACAAACTGTCTCTCAGACCACAGTGCAATCAAACTAGAACTCAGGATGAATAAACTCCCTCAAAACCACATAACTACATCAAAACTGAACAACCTGCTCCTGAATGACTACTGGGTAAATAACAAAATGAAGGCAGAAATAAAGATATTCTTTGAAACCAATGAGAACAAAGAGACAATGTACCACAATCTCTGGGACACATTTAAAGCAGTGTGTAGAGGGAAATTTATAGCACTAAATGCCCACAAGAGAAAGCAGGAAAGATCTAAAATTGACACCCTAGGCCAGGCGCAGCAGCTCACACCTGTAATCCCAGCCCTTTGGAAGGCCAAGGTGGGTGGATCACGAGTTCAAGAGATCAAGACCATCCTGGCCAACCAACATGGTGAAACCCTGTCTCTAATAAAAATACAAAAATTAGCTAGGCATAGTGGTGCATGCCTGTAGTCCCAGCTACTCAGGAGTCTGAGGCAGGAGAATCACTTGAACCTGGGAGGGAGAGGTTGCAGTGAACTGATATCATGCCACTGTGCTCCAGCCTGGGCGACAGAGCAAGACTCTGTCTCAAAAAAATAAATATGTAAAAAAAAACAAAATCGACACCATAACATCACAACTAAAAGAACTAGAGAAGCAAGAGCAAACAAATGCAAAAGCTAGCAGAAGGCAAGAAATAACTAAGATCAGAGCAGAACTAAAGGAGATAGAGACACAGAAAACTCTTCAAAAAATCAATGAATCCAGGAGCTGGTTTTTTGAAACTATCAACAAAATAGATAGACCACTAGCCAGAGTAATAAAGAAGAAAAGAGAGAAGAATCAAATAGACACAATAAAAAAGTGATAAAGGGGATATCACCACTGATCCCACAGAAATACAAACTACCATCAGAGAATACTATAAACACCTCTATGCAAATAAACTAGAAAATCTGGAAGAAATAGATAAATTCCTTGTCACATACACCCTCCCAAGACTAAACCAGGAAGAAGTTGAATCTCTGAATAGACCAATAACAGGATCTGAAATTGAGGCAATAATTAATATTCTACCAACCAAAAAAAGTCCAGGACCAGATGGATTCACAGCCGAATTCTACCAGAGGTACAAAGAGGAGCTGGTACCACTCCTGAAACTATTTCAATCAATAGAAAAACAGAGAATCCTCCCTAACTCATTTTATGAGGCCAGCATCATCCTGATACCAAAGCCTGGCAGAGACACAATGAAAAAAGAGAATTTTAGGCCAATATCCCTGATGAACATTGATGCAAAAATCATCAATAAAATACTGGCAAACTAAATCCAGCAGCACATCAAAAAGCTTATCCACCACAATCAAGTCGGCTTCATCCCTGGGATGCAAGACTGGTTCAACATACACAAATCAATAAACATAATCCATCACATAAACAGAACCAACGACAAAAACCACATGATTATCTCAATAGATGCAGAAAAAGCCCTTGACAAAATTCAACAGCCTTTATGCTAAAAACTCTCAATAAACTAGATATTGATAGAACGTATCTGAAAACAAGAGCTATTTATGACAAACCCACAGCCAATATCTTACTGAATGGGCAAAAACTGGAAGCATTCCCTTTGAAAACAGGCACAGGACAAGAATGCCCTCTCTCACCACTCCTATTCAATATAGTGTTGGAAGTTCTGGCCAGGGCAATCAGGCAAGAGAAAGAAATAAAGAGTATTCAATTAGGAAAAGAGGAAGTCAAAACGTCTCTGTTTGCAGAGACATGATTGTATATTTAGAAAACCCCATCGTCTCAGGCCAAAATCTCCTTAAGCTGATAAGCAACTTCAGCAAAGTCTCAGGATACAAAATCAGTGTGCAAAAATCACAAGCATTCCTATACACAAACAATAGACAAACAGAGAGCCAAATCATGAGCCAACTCCCATTCACAATTGCTACAAAGAGAATAAAATACCTAGGAATCCAACTTACAAGGGATGTGAAGGACCTCTTCAAGGAGAACTACAAACCACTGCTCAATGAAATAAAACAGGACATGTACAAATGGAAGAACATTCCATGCTCATGGATAGAATCAATATCGTGAAAATGGCTATACTGCCCAAGGTAATTTATAAATTCAATGCCATTCCCATCAAGCTACCAATGACTTTCTTCACAGAATTAGAAAAAAACTGCTTTAAATTTCATATGGAACCAAAAAAGAGCCTGCATAGCCAAGACAATCCTAATCAAAAAGAACAAAGCTGGAAGCATCACATTACCTGACTTCAAACTATACTACAAGGCTACAGTAACCAAAACATCATGGTACTGGTACCAAAACAGATATATAGAAAAATGGAACATAACAGAGGCCTCAGAAATAATACCACACATCTACAATCATCTGATCTTTGACAAAAACAAGCAATGGGGAAAGGATTCTCTATTTAATAAATGGTGCTGGGAAAACTGGCTAGCCATACATAGAAAGCTGAAACTGGATCCCTTCCTTACACTTTATACAAAAATTAACCCAAGATGGATTAAAGACTTAAATGTCATACGTAAAACCATAAAAACCCTAGAAGAAAACCTAGGCAATACCATTCAGGACATAGACATGGGCAAAGACTTCATGACTAAAACAGCAAAAGCAATGGCAACAAAAGCCAAAATAGACAAATGGGGTCTAATTAAACTAAAGAGCTTCTGCACAGCAAAATAAACTATCATCAGAGTGAACAGGCAACCTACAGAATGGGACATTTTTGCAATCTACCCATCTGACAAAGGACTAATATCCAGAATATACATAGAACTTAAACAAATTTACAAGAAAAAACAAAGAACCCCATCAAAAAGTGGGCAAAGGATATGAACAGACACTTCTCAAAAGAAGATATTTATGTAGCCAACAGACAATGAAAAAATGCTCATCATCACTGGTCATCAGAGAAATGCAAATCAAAACCACAATGAGATACCATCTCACACCAGTTAGAATGGCGATCATTAAAAAGTCAGGAAACCACAGAAGCTGGAGGGGATGTGCAGAAATAGGAATGCTTTTAAATCGTTGGTGAGAGTGTAAATTAGTTCAACCATTGTGGAAAACAGTGTGGCGATTCCTCAATGATCTAGAACTAGAAATACCATTTGACCCAGAGATCCTATTACTGCCCAAAGGATTATAAATCATGCTACTATAAAGACACATGCACTCATATGTTTATTGCGGCACTATTCACAATAGCAAAGACTTGGAACCCACCCAAATGTTCATCAATGATAGACTGGATTAAGAAAATGTGGCAGATATACACCATGGAATACTATGCAGCCATAAAAAATGATGAGTTCATGTCCTTTGCAGGGATATGAATGAAGCTAGAAACCATCATTCTAAGCAAAAACTATCACAAGGACAGAAAACAGAACACCACATGTTCTCATTCATAGGTGGGAGGTGAACAATGAGAACACATGGACACAGGGCAGAGAGCATCACACACCAGGGCCTGTTGGGGGATAGGGAGCTGGGGGAGGGATAGCATTAGGAAAAATACCTAATGTAAATGACGAGTTGATGAGTGCAGCAAACCAACATGGCACATGTATACCTGTGTAACAAACCTGCACATTGTGCACATGTACCCTAGAACTTAAAGTATAATAAAAAAAATTTTTAAAAGGAGTACATTCAGTTGTGTAGTTTTTAAAAAAGCCATTTGTTAGTGGAGATCCATAGGAATGAAACTGTACACCTATACAAATGAATTAACATTTTAAATTTATATTCCTAAGTCAAATAATCAATACATTTAAGATATAGAATATGTCTACATATTAGATTAATATTTTGGTGTATCTGTTGGAATTACAGGCAAAAAAGCTAACTAAAAATAACTTTTAAAATTCTTCAACAAGAGCACACTTTGTTAAATTAAGTTTAGCCTAAGGCTGCCTCCTTATATATTTTATGCCTAAAACTTTGTCTGTACAAACCTAAACAGAATTGTTAACAAACTGTAACCTGCTCTTGTACCAGTCACCGAGTTTTGGCTAAAGGTGGCCACCTGTTCAAACCATGTTCAAATAAGAAAAACGTGGAGCTGTAACCAATCTGGCTCTTTCTGTATCTCATTTTTGTTTTCTGTATGTCACTTTCCTTTTTCTGTCCACAAATCTTCCACCATGTAGCTGCCGTGGAGTCTCTGAGCCTACTCTGGCTGGGAAACTGCCCAATTGGCAAATTGTTCTCTGCTCAATTAAACTTTTTAAAATTTTATTCAGCTAAAATTTTTCTTTAACAAGTTTCACTCCTGTTGCAACAACTTAAATTTTAATTTTCATTTCCTATTAATTCTTTCTTCCTAAATATAATGCTTGAAAAAACAGCTTGCTCAAAGAACATGATTCATACTTTGCAAAAGGAAATATGTGTCAGTTCCATTTTGCTAAAATAGCTGATACATATATTAACGTAGGTCTGTCACTGAAAAGAAGTAAGTTGTGGGAGGCCGAGGCAGCAGGATTACCTGAGGTCAGGAGTTCAAGACCAGCCCGGCCAGTGTGGTGAAATCCTGTCTCTATTAAAAACACAAAAATTAGCCCGCCTGGTGGCATATGCCTGTAATTCTAGCTACTCAGTAGGCTGAGGCGGGAGAATAGCTTGAACCTGAGAGGCAGAGGTTGCAGTGAGTCGAGACTGCACCACTGCACTCCAGCCTGGACAACAGAGACTCTGTCTCAAACAAAAAAAAAAAAAAAAAAAAAAAGGAAGTAAATTGGTGGCTGACACCAAGAGAACCTGATCTCACCTTTAAAAGAATCTACCAGCTCAATTTTACACCAATATCCATACATATTTGACCTGTTTCTTATCCTTGTCTTCTGCCTCTTGGAGTATAGCAATGCAATCTCTATGCAAATTTTTTTATCATGCTTATAATTGCAAACAAAATATTCCTGTAAATAGAGTATAGAAGATCTGTACTGTTTGAGAAGGCTATATCCTGAGATATTTTCTAACCTGCATATTATTGAATGCAATTGTATTATATAATGCCTTATATTAAAGCTAGTATATCGACTTTAGATATGGAAAGTTTTAAATTTTGATGGTCCATTGTTCAAGACAAGCTTTTAAAAATTTTTGTCATTAAGATATACCAGAAATTAAAAATTAAAAAATACACCATTTTTTAAACTCTTAATTTTTATTACTATTTCTCACTTTTATTTCTAGAACACTTTTTCTGCAAGACTCTGAGTTTTTATCATTTTATTCTTGTATGGTAGGGTATCACAGAGCCTAGTGCAGTAAACTAGGTTTGTGAACTAAATGGCTCTTATATAACAGTTTCAATTATTGTCGGTTATTCAATGGAATTTAGATGTAGGGTCCCTGGAAAATAATAAATTTTCAAGATTAAATGTTCAGAAAACAAGGAAGTAAAATGTTTTTAAAGAAATCAACCATGGTTGATGTAAAGACACTTCAACTGGACCCAAATCCAAGTAAACATTGTACAAAGCTGGGTTTCTTCACGTAGTGCTCAGTGACCACCCTGACCACTAGCCCTCTGATGAAATGGCAGAGCCATGGCTAACCACAAGACTTGTTGACTTATTTATGCAAAGGGTGAAAAAATAAATGATTTGACATTTCCCTTTGGAACTGTTTACTTCCTTATAACTCTTCTCAATGCATGCATGACTTTTTTATTTCTCAAGCTGTAAATAAATGGGTTTAGCAGGGGAATTATAATCGTGTAAAACAGAGAATACACTTTGTCTTGGTCTTCAGCTAAGCCAGATGCAGGACGCACATACATGAAGATCAGAGTTCCGTAGTACAATGAGACAGAAAGCAGATGGGCGCCGCATGTGGAGAAGGCTTTGCTTCTGCCCTTTTCAGACTTTTTTTTCAGAATATCAAAGAGCACACGAGTATAAGAGATTATGATAGTCATTAAAGTGGGTATTTGTATAAAAGCACCAAAAATAAATATCATTAGTGCGTTAATAGATGGACCATTGCATGAAATTTTGAACAGTTGTAAAATTTCACAGTAGAAATAATGTATTATGTTAAACCTGCAGAAAGTTAGTCGCAATAGTAAACTCACATGAACCAGAGGATGCAGGAAACCAATTACATATGAAATACTTAGCAACTGAGCGCTGAGTTTGTTGGACATCATCACTGGATAAAGCAAGGGATTACATATGGCTACATAGCGGTCATAGGCCATCATCACCAGGAGGAAGCATTCTGTAGTTGCACTGGAAGCAAAAAAGTAAAACTGGGTGATGCACTCAGCTAGGGATATCATTGCAGTCTTGTCTAAGAAATTGACCAGCATCCTAGGGGTTATAGAGGTTGAAGTACAAGCATCTGAAAAGGCTAAACCACCAAGGAATAAGTACATGGGCATATGAAGATGGGGGTCGTTCCAAATTAGAACTATCAGTCCAAGGTTGCCCACCATGGTGATGAGATAGACCACCAAAAACACAACAAAGAAGAGGACGTGCAGCCATGGTCGATCTGTAAGTCCTGTGAGAACAAACTCTGTCACAAGAGTCTTATTTCCCTCTGATATATCCATACTCGTCACTGTAATAAGAAAACATGTTACAAAGACAATCACTAAAGATAACACAAAGCGGTAGCATTTTATTATATTTATACCTTTGAGTTTCCCATTTAATTAACAGTTTTTAAAGTCTAACTTACATCCATTAGTAAAATCTGTTTACAAAGTGTGTGTTTAGGTATTTGACACTAAAATTGGAAAATACTGAAATGAATGCATATATTTGAGGTGTAGGGGAGGCAAAATTTTGCCTCTACTCTCTTAGTTGGCCTGAGAATCAGATGGACATAAGCCAGATTCAGAAGAGAAAAGCATACAAATGTATAAAAGTTTTACATAACATAAAAGTCCTCATAAGTAAATGAAGACCTGAACATGTGGCAAAACCTAAAGGCTTTCATACTAGGTTGAACAAAGAAAAGCAATTGTGGAAAAGCAGCTAAATTATGCAGGGAGGTAAAAGGAAGATTAGAATTATTTTAACAAGCGTTGTTTGTATAGAATTCTCTTGGATAGAATTCATTAAAAAATGAAAATAATGTTTCATTTCTTCTGGTACAGGGAGGGCATCTTTTACATGGGAGTTTTTAACCACTTGTTTTGAGGAAGAAGAGGTGAAATTAGAATGCCCTTCTTCCATCTGCTGTTTCTTTATGTACCTTTAGCTCAAAATAATCCATCTGCCAAAGTGGCATATTTTGGTGTGGCATATTCTACCACCCTCCAGAGGCAATAAAACCATGTGGAAGACCATTGCAATGGAAAAAGATGCAAATCCAAAACCATTGCATGAGAAAGAGAATTAGGCTAATCATTGAATATAGGCATAGCTACCTAATTTTTATGGCATGACAAAAGAATTCATAAAAAATGGGAAAGGACAAAACATGTTGGAAAAATATCTGTAACATAATTTGCATTAATACTTATAAAAATATATACACAACACATATATTCTCTTTTTTTTTTTTTTTTTTTTTTGAGACGGAGTCTCGCTCTGTCACCCAGGCTGGAGTGCAGGGGCGCCATCTCGGCTCACTGCAAGCTCCGCCTCCCGGGTTCACGCCATTCTCCTGCCTCAGCCTCCCGAGTAGCTGGGACTACAGGCGCCCGCCACTACGCCCGGCTAACTTTTTGTATTTTTAGTAGAGACGGGGTTTCACCGTGGTCTCGATCTCCTGACCTCATGATCCGTCCGCCTCGGCCTCCCAAAGTGCTAGGATTACAGGCGTGAGCCACCGCGCCCGGCCCACAACACATATACTCTCTTACAACTTGGCAGGAACAAGTAGACAACCTAATGAAAAAAATGAGTGAAAAATATGAACAGATATGTTTACCATGATTAATAAATATGTAAAAAAAAACCGATAAATATATGAAACAATGTTCAACCTCCTTAATAATTAAGGATATTTTTTAAATTGTCGCATCGTTTTCATTTGTCAAATAAACAAAAAAGTAAAATGAGAAATAATATCTACTGATGATAGAAAGGTGAAAAAGAGTTGCAATCTAAAATAACTGACATAAATTTTAACTGCCTTTCAAAGCTGACATCTATCAAAATTAGTAATTTATATATCTTTGATCTAACAATCTCACTTCTGGATATATATTCTAGAAATATTGTCACCCAGATACAAACGTGAAACACAAGGATACCTAATAAAGCATTGTTCATGAAGACAAAGCCAGGAAACAAAAAGAATACTCATCAATTATAGAATGACTGAATAAATTATGGTACAGTCTGACTGTGGAATAGTCTTCAGATATAAAGAAAATGGATTTGAGCTGTACCTGTTAAAAATCGGAGCATTTTCTCAATGCATTATTAAGTAAAAAAATCAAAATAGAAAGAAATGTAAATTACATAGTTCCATTTATATTTTTAATTTTTTGCGTATAAATATAAATATGATATGAACATAGATAAAGATTAATTTTTTTCTATAACTTATAAACTATCTTTGAAAGAATTTCCAGCGTAGAGCTTCCCAAATGTTTTGGGGTAAATGTGTACAAAATGATGATTACCTGCATGTTAATAGAAATAAGAATAATAAAATGCTATTTTTACCTTTAGTAAGGAATATTTGGCATTGATAGTTCTAATGTAAAATTAGTAATAAATAACCTGTAAATTTTTCTTAGAAAATATCTATTAATGATCTTTTATGTTTCATGATAATTTGCATTTAAATATTTGGTAATAGACAACTATTGAGAGCAGGAATGATTTTTTGAAATAGTCAAAAATATCTGGAAATTATGTAAGATAGATCCACGTATAGTTGTTTTCATAGTTTTTTCATACACTTTCAACACTTTTCTTATTAAATTTTACTCATAAGGGCTTCATAGGTTCTATTGCTATTATGAATATAGTATCTGATATTTTCATGAAGTAATAAGATTGATTTTCTTCTATGACTTGGTTATAAACTATCTCTGAAAAAATACCCAGAGTAGAATTTCCCAAATATTTTGAAATGACCATATAATCTCCTTTGTTCCTTGAAAGAGAAACAAAGATATATTTAACACAAAAATTGAGTTTAAATAAATTATAACATTCATTGAAGAAAACAATTTCATAATTTCATAGCCATATTTATAATAAATAGAAATGTAATACCAGAATGAATCAGAAGAATTTAGTTTATTTAAACAGTAGGAACAATGATAAGTTGTTATTCTCCATCTTCACTAAGCTGAACAAAAGGATCCATAAGTTTAAAAAACTAAACACCCATAAGGATCCCTGTTATAATACACCAAACCTAACAGTTTCACTGGAGTATATTTGCTGAAAATAGGTTATATTAAGGAAATATAATTTTCTCCCCAAAGTGGAGATTTTGTCCTAAATAAAATGGCTTCACTTTCTTTGCAATCCAAGTCACCAAATAATAGATATTTCTAGTCTCATTTCATGAATTCAGTATAATGAAGCCAAGAAGTAGTAAGGTTTGGGAATTTTTTCCTTAAGAGTAAGATGAAAGAAATACCTTCAAGTTGGAGTAAAGGAGACAATGCTAGCTGTATTTATTGACTTTAGCTTTTAATCTCATGATTCCATGATATTTAAAAATCTAGGTATTATAGACAGCCACTAACTCAAAGGCTACAATTATTTACATTCTGCAAAACCACAAATCATGTAGATAACAATCTGCATATCTTGTATCTCAGCTCTAAACTCTCTATATGATAAAATAAATTTCAAAGCTGTGTTATCATTTTTATTATAATGTTTTCCCATTTACTTCCTTCTTCTATTAAACTATATTATTTATGAAACTTTGTGAGAAATTTGTCTTCTCTACAGAAAGACATCCTGTCCCATCTGTCTAGGTTTTGATGGTTGATTGAGAAAATCTCAATGCCTCACTGAAATTTTAATTTCTTGCATAGATACCTCATTATCACCTAAAGACAAATTGCAAAACGATAAATAATAGAAATTGCAGAAATCACTATACTCTCATCCAGTTCCCACAAAAACACTGGGAAATTGGAAAGTGATACATTTTCTAAAGTAGCACAGAAAAAGCAGAAATGAGATAGTTGTTACTTACACACTGAATTTAACCAGTAATTTCAAAATGGGTGGAGATAATATGTGTTTTATTTCCAAAATTGTTTTTGTTTAAAACCAAAGGAAAAAGGAAAGGAAGATATTCCCTTCACACTTCCAAAGGATTCCCTGTAGGATAAAGTTAAGTTCAATCTACTGGGCATTGTGATTTAATCATCATTTTACCCTTCAACTAGCTGCAACAATTAAAAACTCTACTTGTAATCCAAAGGGAATACTGTACGGACATCTATACAGAATATCAATGAACAGACTTTAGGAAATATTTGTTTTCTTTTCTCTTGTTTTCATTTACAATGCCATCATCCAAATATCTCCTTGATATGTCCTTTTGGAAGTCTAAAAGGAACATTAGATTCACCATGTCCAAATTTGGAATTAGAATTGTCTGTTACTCCACAGGCAGCCCTAGTTATCTTTCAGTGTTTTTTTATCTTGGGGAATAACACCACTAGACAGTTATTCAAGCCATAAACAGGAAGATATCCTTGACACTGAACTCCTCTTCAAATCCATGGATCGACCATTGCCAAGTCATAGATTTTCCCTTTTTTTTTTTTTTTTTTTTTTTTTTGAGACGGAATCTCACTCTGTACCCCAGGCTGGAGTGCAATGGCATGATCTCAACTCACTGGAACCTCTGCCTCCCGGGTTCTAGCGATTCTCCTGCCTCAGCCTCCCAAGCAGCTGAGATTACAGGCACCCACCACCACGTCCAGCTAATTTTTGTATTTTTAGTAGAGACACGGTTTCACCACCTTGATTAGGCTGGTGTCGAACTCCTGACCTTAGGTGATCCACCCACCTCGGCCTCCCAAAGTGCTGGGATTACAGGCGTGAGCCACCGCGCCCGGCAACTTTATCTCTTTATACCTACCTATCCGTTACTCACTCTCTCCAACTGCCGCCATATAATCTTCTGCTGCATGGAGCTGAGAGAGGTGGAATCTGCCAAAATTTCCTCATTGCCAGATCTACTTGCAATAGCTCTTCTACTCCAGAGAGCTGGGAGAAATGAGAGTTGCCACTCAGCTCTTGAGCCCGTTGGAATAGGTCTTCTGCAACACAAATGTGTATGAGGGGATGCATGAAGTAGCCAGCTCAAATGACATTGTATTCCATTGTTCTTACCAAGTTTCTCTGTTTTGTTAAATAAATTTTTCTCAATTTATTGGATGTGGGATGCTGGATGTGGGATGTTTTGCAAAAAAAATTAGGTAACCACTCATCTGAGCATGAGATGAGAAGAGTTTAGAATAAATATTATGCCTTTCCCTCCTATATATCTTAGAGAAGATTTATGAAAAATATGAGACGTGTGTAAAATATTAGGGAGTGAACAAAATGTATCAAGATCAAGTAAAGCAACATCATAGGGATTTTTTTAATGTGCAATGGTCTAGAATATGTGTAATATATTTTTATTATGTTATTTTTTTTCTCTCTGTTCTTTTGTTGAAAGTTGCAGAAAGACTAATAAACCTGTCATGATTTCTTCTTAAACTTGACAGAGCAAATTGCAGCTATACTGATTTTAAACATTGTTTGACTTTCTTATTTCTTGGAAGTATTTCTCAAGTGGTTCATTTTTGAAACTTTGGAGAAAGTCACACTGGTGACTCAAAGGATTGAGATGGTTTCTGAAACCAATAATAATAAGAAGAAACTTGAAAGTATGAATATTACAGATTGGGAACTGGTCATTTCCAAATATATTTTGGGAGTTAGTGGACTAATGCCATCAATTCACATCACAATTGGGTGAGAGATTCTGACGTTGACATCACAATTGAGTGAGGAGTCCTGACACTAATGGAGTTCAGGAAGAAAGAAGAAACTGATAATCTCCAGCTGACAAGAACCTGATTTGAATTAGGATTAATAAGTGTCGAAAGGCTTCTTCATATGAATTAAACAAAATGCTGTATAACTGAAATCTTGGCATAGTCTCTCATTATCAGCCCAGTACTCATTTAGAGAAGATGCTTTGAAGACTGATGGAAAGGCCTACTTACTAATAATGTAAATTGCTCCTCATATGAGAGTTGGAAAGTTATTTAGTGAAAATGCTATCTAATTTCCTGTCACCAAACTTCTGCAAATGTCCCTTGGGTCATTTCTTGTCATCACAAATGACTACCATTCTCAAGGCAACTTAAGTTTTTTTCCATAGGAACAGACATGATTACTTTCAAGGCTAGTGTGACAGAGAGCTTGACCTCAGGCTGCATTTCAGTCATTATAGTCACCTTCATCCTTAGTCCCTAAAAGTTCTCAATGGGCTTACATGGAAGGAGAAGCTGTCTTGTGCCAGCATCTCCTCCTCAATAGAACCATCTGGTTTCCCTGGTCAGCCTGCTCTCATTCATTTACCCACCTTGGATATTGACCCAAGGTCTCTACAAAGGGAAGCTAACTGCCCCCAGAAAAACTTGTTTCAATATTCTCTGAGCCATTTAAAAACATATGTAAAAATCATATTTTTACATATGTAAAAATCCAGCTTCACTGTTCATCAAACTAGGAAAGAGTAGGTTTTATCTTCTTTATCCCCAACTTACTTTGATTCTCCTTATTGAGTACATGATAATTTATCATCTTTAATGCTCCAAGAATTAGTTAATAAAATGAAACTACACACAGTATTGACAATTAAACAGATAACTGTGAAATCTGGTAGCAGTTAATTTGTCCTAAAGAAGTGTTTACATTTGCGAATTTTCAACTGTTCCATCTGTCTTCCCTGCCTATGTTTAGTGCTCATTTCATATTACCCTAAACAGAAACAGTGGTTGCTTTTTTGTTTATAGTGATCAGTCCTCTGTGATTGCACTGTGATACCCAGCATAAACATGTTGGCAAGCTAATGATATCCTTGTGTATCAGGATGAATAAGCATTTATCTAAAGTATAGAAGACATGAATCAATCTTGCTGCAGAATCCAAATATGGCATTGTTTGAAGATTTAAGTTTTATGAGAAGATTGGCAAGTTTTACTTCTTCAGTCTTAGCTTGGGCTTTAATATTATATTAACATTAGGTTTTGCTTATCCATAAGCAAATAAGAACCCCAATAAGAACATTAACATAATATTGATTTAGTATTGTGCCTCTTCGTTAACAGTGCCTGATGTATTTAACATTATACTGGCAGGACAGGCGCAGTGGTCCACGCCTGTAATCTCAGCAATTTGGGAGGCCGAGGCAGGTGGATCAATCGAGGTCCGGAGTTCAAGACCAGCCTGGCCAATCTGGTGAATCCCCACCTCTACTAAAATTACAAAAATTAGCCGGGTATGGTGGCTTATGTCTGTAGTCCCAGCTACTCAGGAGCTGAGGCAGGAGAATCACTTAAACCTGGGAGGCGGAGGTTGCAGTGAGTCGAGATTGCACCATTGCACTCCAGCCTGGGTGACAGAACAAGACCCCATCTCAAAAAAAAAAAAAAAAAAATTATGCTGGCAAAGTAGAATTTCTGTGGAATAAAAGCTAGATTCACAAATAGTCAAGTAGTCTATAGAAGTCTATCACAGCCTAGCCATTGGGTTTAGCAATAACATCTATCATAGTTGACAAAGATGTGAGAAATGATTAAAAAAAAAAATCCAGGACTTAACACCATTTCTGTCCAGATAATCAAGGAGGTAAGGAGGTCTTTATGGTCCCTATATTGCTGTAAAGAATCTTTATTAAAATATGAAGGTCTCTGTAGGTCAAAATTATTACAACCATTATTACCTTTTGGAAGAAAATAGTCATTTCTATCCCAAGCTTTTTAAATGGATTTGACTCACCTGCATACTATGCTTCTAATCCAGAGATTTTAAAATGATGGACTCAGTAGATATTTATTTTTGTACCCTATTTTATTAAAAAGTAAATAATGGTGGCTCTTAAAATCAAATTAATCATTTGTATCCATATGGTTTCCATAAGATAATGGAAATTGGCAAAATCCAAATCTCTCCACACATCCTTAAATTAAAAAAAACAAAAAGCAAAAACTTTATTGATGAACAAGAACAAACATATCCCTCCAAAACACCTTTAGTATAACTAGAAGACAGAATAGTATAAACTTCAATTTACCGATAAGCAGTAAATTATGCCCAAACATCTACTCTGGAGACTGGACCAGACTAAAGAGAAGATGGAGCCTACAGAATAAAAGAAGAGAAGAACTAAAGCCTCAGAGTAGCAGAACCCAAAAATCACTCTCAGAAATAGGAAGTTACATCCTAAGTGAAGGGAATACAGAAAACTTGATAGGAAAGAGCAAAGGCTATGAGCTATCAGAAGAAAGAGACATGGGAGTATGCAGGAGTAAAACAAGCAGTCTCTCTGAAAGCTCAACCTCTGTGGAAGGGGGAACACAGAAGAGGGAGAAACCCTTCTTAGGCTTGGGAGTAAAAGAAAAAAAAAGGAAATTAAATATCCCAAAGAAACAAAAGACAATCAAAATCAGAAGACACTTTAAAATTTTCTCCAAGAAAGGTCCCCAAAATTTGAAACTTTCATTTCACTATAGAAGAAATATGTGGTAAACCAAAACCAAAATAAAACAAAAACAGACAAAATTTAGTTAACTATCCAAACCACTCATACCTGTCTATCTATAAATGTAATTGATGATCCTGAACAATTTTACGTTTTAAATTGCCAGAAAGCAACTGAGAACACCCATGGTAAGTGTTAAAAGAAAAAAATAAAATATAAAATAAAAACCCAATACATTTTTTTCTGCTTAGGAATATTGTTCCTCCTGAAAACATCCATGGAGCAGGGATAATTGTAACACAGGACACAAACTAAAATTGAACAGCTTAAACAAGCAGATATTTTAAAATAAAACCTCAGATCAAAACTTCTAAAACTAAGAACAGATATGAGCTAAAAGATTAAAATATAGATGTGAAAAAGTTCAGGAAATAATTAAAGAAGACAAAACTTTTCTAAGAAATAAAGACAATTATTAGGAGCCAAGGAAAACTAGATTTGACTGAAACATATTAAAAGAAATTGAATGAATATCTTTCCAAAGACAGTTCCTATAAACCACATCTCCTGGTGTTTATGTTTTGAGAACCCCAATGGGGTTCTCAATGACTCTCTTTAAACAATATATTGCTATAGTTATTAATAATATAGTATTAATATTTTATAGATTGTAACACAATTATAACTGTGTTACAATTATGTCCTGCTCCATGGGTGTTTTATGTGACAGAAGCTATGTTGTGCCAGTCCAAGCTTAAGAAGTTGCTTCCACTAGCCTTTTGTGGAGCGCTGAGCCTTCATCTAAAGTTAGGTTATCCTGCCAGATAAATCACATGGAGAGAGAGAGGTTCTGAAACTATGCATAGAGAAAGGGGGGCTCAAAAATCTTAACCTCTCAGCTGAGCCCAGTCTTCTAGCCATCTTCAACAATGTACCAGATTTGCGAATGAGTCATCTCGGAAAATCCAGACCTATTGTGACCTCACATGACTGCAGACCAACTGGCGACCGCCCTGCTGACCCTGGTCAAACCATAGAATTGTGAGAGATATTAATTAGATTGCTGAAGAACCACTAAATTTTGGTCATTTTAATGCATAAATAAACAGAAACATTAAGAAAGTTCAGCAAATTTCAGGATACAAGATTAATGTGCATAAATCAGTAGCTCTGCTATATACCAACAGCAACCAAGCTGAGAATCAAATCAAGAACTTGGCATAGAAGGGACATACCTTAACATAATAAAAGCCATCTATGACAAACCCACAGCCAACATTATAATGAATGGGGAAAAGTTGAAAGCATTCCCCCTGAGAATTGGAACAAGACAAGGATGCCCACTTTCACCACTTCTATTCAACGTAGTACTGGAAGTCCTAGCCAGAGCAATCACACAAGAGAAAGAAATAAAGGGCATCCAAATTAGTAAACAAGAAGTCAAACCATTGCTGTTTGCTGATGATACAATCATACACCAAGAAAACCTTAAAGACTCATCCAAAAAGCTCCTAGAACTGGTAAATGCATTAAGCAAAGTTTCAGGATACAAAATTAATGTACACAAATCAGTAGCTCTGCTATACACCAACAGTGACCAAGCTGAGAATCAAATCAAGAACTCAACCCCTTTCACAATAGCTGCAGAAAAATAAAATAAAATACTTAGGAATATACCTAACCAAGTATGTAAAAGACCTCTAAAAGGAAAACTTCAAAACACTGCTGAAAGAATCATAGACACCACAAACAAATGAAAACATATCCCATGCTCATGGATGTGTAGAATCAATATCGTGAAAATACCATACTGCTAAATGCAATCTACAAATTCAATGCAATTCACATCAAAACACCACCATCATTCTCCACAAAACCAGAGAAAACAACCCTAAAATGTATATGGAGCCAAGAAGGAGCTTGCATAGCCAAAGCAAAAGGAACAAACCTAGAAGCATCACATGACCCAACTTCAAACTATACTTTAAGGCTATAGCCACCAAAACAGTGCAGTACTGGTATAAAAATAAACACATAGACCAGTGGAATGAAATGGAGAACCCAGAAATAAAGCCAAATACTTACAGTCCATTGATCTTCAACAAAGCAAGGAAAACATAAAGTGGGGAAAGGACACCCTATTCAACAAATGGTGCTGGGATAATTGGCTAGCCACATGTAGAAGATTGAAACTGGATCCTCACCTCTTGCCTTATACAAAAATCAAGTCAAGATAGATCAAAGACTTAAATCTAAGACCTGAAACTATAAACATTCTAGAAGACAACATCAGAAAAATCCTTCTAGACGTTGGCATAGGCAAAGACTTCATGACCAATCACCCAAAAGCAAATGCAACAAAAACAAAGATAAACAGATGGGACGTAATTAAACTAAAAAGCTTCTGCACAGCAAAAGAAAAAATCAGCAGCCTAAACAGACAACCCACAGAGTGGGAGAAATTTTTCACAAATTTGCATCCAACAAAAGACTAATACCCCAAATCTACAAAGAACCCCAAACAAATAAGTAAGAGAAAAAAAAATAATCCCATCAAGAATTGGGCTAATGATATGAATAGATCACTCTCAAAAGAAGACATACAAATGACTAACAAACATAAGAAAAAATGTTCAACATCACTAATTATCAGGCAAATGCAAATTAAAACCACATTGTGATACCACCTTACTCCTGCAAGAATGGCCGTAATTTAAAAATAAAAAAAATTAGATGTTGGCATGGATGTGGTGAAAAGGGAACACTTATGCACTGCTGGTGGGATTGTAAACTGGTACAATCACTATGGAAAACAGTATGGAGATTCCTTAAAGAACTAAAAGTCAATCTACCATTTGATCCAGCAACCTCACTGCTGCATATCTACCCAGAGGGAAAGAAGTCATTATATAAAAAAGACACTTGCACACACGTTTATAGCAGCACAATTAGCAATCGTAAAAATATGAAACCAGCCCAAATGCCCATCAATCAAGGAATAAAGAAAATGTATACTATTGAATACTACTCAACCACAAAAAGGGGAAAAAATGATGGCATTTTCAGCAACCTGAATTGGAAGTTGGAAACCATTATTCTAAGTGAGGTAACTCAGGAATGGAAGGCAAAACATCATATATTCTTATTTATAAGTGAGAACTAAGCTATGAGGATGCACAGGTGTAAGAATGATGCAGTGGACTTAAGGGACTCAGGTGGAACGGTGAGCGAGGAGTGAAGGATGAAAGACAACACACTGGTTACAGTGTATGCTGCTCCGGTGATAGGTGCATCAAAATCTCAGAAATCACCACTAAAGAACTTACCAATGTAACCAAATACGACCTGTTTCCCCAAAACCTATTGTAATAAAAATAGAAATACCTACAAATTAGCTCAAGTGTTAATTTTTGTATATATAATGAGGTAAAGTTATGATATTAACTGATGAGTCAACAGGAAGATTCACGTTATCATGTCATTCAGTATGCCAGTTCCTGAAGTGACAATGCTGTCTAGGCAAGTAAGAATTGTCAGAACACAAATATTCCTAAGTGAACTAACCACTTGCAGAATTACTTTCCCCTTAACCATTTCTCCGTGCTTCACTCTAGTGTCTATCTTCAGCCATTGTTCCAATATCTCACCCACTAATTTTCTGATACAGTAAACATGCTTGAACTTTAGTGTGAAATGATCTCGAGAAAGATGTGATAGATTTCATGAAGTGGATGAAAATTGTGTTGGATTGCCACTTGAATGAAATATAAAGCCCCATGGAGAAATAGGGCCTGGCAGACTTAAAACAATTAAAATGTGAAAAAATGTAGTCATCTTCTGGAACCTAAATGCAACAACAACAAAAAAGAAAAGTCATACAAACAGCTACGTGAGAAAAACAAAACTGAAAACAAACAAAAAGTTATCAGAGAAAAACTGATTGATATCACTTATAGGAGAATAAAATCCAACATATATGTAATTAGAGTTTCTGAAAAAGCATTCAATGAAATAGAATTATTACTAAAATTATAATATGAGATTTTCTAGAAATAAAAAATATGAATCTACATATCAGTAAGTTTCTTATGCACCTATGCACCTGTGAAAATTAAGGGAAACAAGTAATTTGAAACATACCATTTAAAAACTAAGTCATAAAGTAAAACAAATACCCTCTGGGCTTTCAGGTAAAGAGGACAAAACCAGGTTGGCATAGGAACTTTTCAATGGCAACATATAAATCCAAACATATTCAATAGACCAGTATTTCCAGAAATTCAGGGAAATATGTTTTCAATAATTTGTAATTATATCCTTATTGTTCTATTGATTTCCAATCTTACCTTATTTTCAATTTATTTTTCATGCTATCATCAGACATATATATATCATCAGATATATATATCTCATCAGATATATATATCATCATATATATATATCATCAGATATATATGTCATCAGATATATATGTATCATCAGATATATATATCATCAGATATATATATCATCAGATATATATGTATCATCAGATATATATGTATCAGATATATATATCATCAGATATATATATCATCAGATATATATGTATCATCAGATATATATCAATCATCATATACATATATCATCAGATATATATCTCATCAGATATATATATCATCAGATATATATCATCAGATATATATATATCATCAGATATATATATATATATCATCAGATATATATATATATATCATCAGATATATATGCAAATGATATCCCAGAAAGAGAGTAATGGCCAAAATATTGTTCTATATTGAATATATATTGAATGTTGTATATTGAATACGTATTGGTTTTTGTTGGTTGGTTTGGTTTTGAGATGAAGTCTCACTTTGTCACCCTGGTTGGAGTACAATGGTGCGATATTGGCTCACTGCAACTTCTGCCTCCCAAGTTCAAGGGATTCTCCTGCCTCAGCCTCCCAAGTAGCTGGGATTACAGGTGCCTGCCACTACCCCTGGCTAAGAATATATATTGAATTATGGAACAAAATGTTCCAGATTTTACAATAGCTATTAATCAGTAATTCATAACCTTTCGTTGGTACCACATTTACCTATAATACAATCCAACTCATTATCATGGCATAAATGGTTTCCCATTGTCTAATCCTTCTTACATCTCCAGTCTTATCTCTGATACTCCCGTCTCCCTCTCACCCTATGTTCTGACTATATTTAAACACTTGAAGATTCAAACTTAGAGCACTATTTTTACATATTGTGCTCCTCATTCTGAAGTGAGTACCTGGTGGACACCTTATAACTCTTATGCTTCCAGTTCTGCCTCAGTGCCACCGATTCTAGCAAGTTATTTTTTATTCTCCTCCATTAATTCCATGTAAGAGTTGAGCAATACTCTTTCCTGCACCACTTCTATGCCTGTACTTAGTTCTTTTCCAGCATTTTTAATCTCTGTTACAGTCACTATTTTTATAAATCTATTTCCTCCCCTAGGCTGAATTCCTTGAAAATAAAAATTGTGGTTAAATGTATCATAACTTTTCTTCAGTAATTGCATGAATGATTAACTAAATTAACAAATTAACATAAATAACAAAATTAAGTTCAAAGAGGCAACTGATCACTTTTGGGATGGTCTTAGAAGAGATAGAATTCATGCTGTATTGTAATTGTAATGGACACAATTTAGAAAATTATAAAGATAAAGCATTTTCCTTGATGAAGAAAGGAAGAATAGGAGCCAAGTTATAGAAACTAGTAAATTACATATTTAATGCAGGGATGAAGAATTTGCTTGGTTCCTTTATGAATCCTTATGCTACACTCAGAAATGCAGACTCTGCATAGCCAAAAAGAAGTATTAGAAGATTTTAGTCAGAGATAAGTGACAAAAAGCGATGTCTTATACTTCCATTTCCCTCAGTGAAAAAAGTAATGCCTATGAGACTTGCACTTCTACTGTAAACAATAGAAGATTGGACAAAATACAGAAAACAACTATTGTTTTCAGATAGTGTACAATAGGCAGAAGAGAACTGCTGTGAGCCCTGAGAATATATGAGGTGAACCCTATAATTGCCTCAGATTTCTGCCTGGAGACAATCTCCAGGCTGTGTCTTAAGTAATAGGAGCACAAACAGAACTGACAATCTTGCTGACAGGAGGAGACAATATCTTCAGTTAAGAGAAGTTGTTGTAGCTAGACCTTACAAAAGTACTAACAAAGAGAAAGCTATGCAAACAAAGCACTACATAAGTCTGCATAAAGGTACACATAAGGTTTTGTCTAAACATCTAACTTCATATGAATAAAACTTCAGTGGAAAAGCAAACAAGTGGGGGCAAAAACAGTAACCCAGTATCTATAAGTTAAAAAATTCAAGTAGATAACACAGGTATGAATTTTTCATGTTGCCAATAATCAGAGTTTAGAGAAACCCTTGAATACATGGGGCATTCATTAGACACCCCAGGAGGACTAAGCCTAAGTAACGGAGCTAAATTAGCTCTAAAGATAATACAAAACTCACCAAATAAAACCTGAAAAACAATCTTGAAAGGGGTAAGTTTACATGCAAAAATGTAACTGCCTGCCAGGATAATTTCCAAATCTATAATGTCAAAACTCCAATTAAAAATTTCTAGACAACTTAGAGGCAGAAAACCATGATACATAATCAGAAGAAAATGCAATCAATAGGAAGACCCTAAACTGGCAGAAATAGTGAATTGATAGGCAAGCATATGAAAACAGCTATTATAAAACAATATAATAAAAATCAGCATAAGAAGAAGAGATATAAAAAACATAAAGAAGAATCAAATGGAATTTCTAGAGATGAAAAAGGCCATATTTTATATTAAAATTTTACTGGATAAGGTTAAGAGAAGGTTAGCCTCTACAGAAACAAAAAAGGATTAGTGAACTTGAAAAAATGGCAATATAAACAATCCAACATGAAGCATAAAGAGATTTGTAGAAGTTTGAAAATAGATTAATAGAGTCTCATTGCTGGACAATATCAAGTGATACAACATACATGAAATTCATATTCCAGAAGGAAAGTAATGGACAAAAATATTGCTGAAGAAATAATGGCCAAAAGTTTTGCAAATTTTAAAACTTAAATTAGGAGATCAAAGGTCAATGAACTCCAAACAACAGAAGCACAAATAAAACTACACCAAGGCACATCATAATTAAATTTCTGAAAGACAAAATATGAAAAACATCCAGAAAAAAACACATCTTAAACAGAAAAATAAAAATAACGGATTTCTTGTCAGAAATTTTCCAAGCCAAAAACAACAGAATAACAAAATAAAATTGCTGAAAGCAAAAAGGTACTGTAGACCTAGAAGACTTTCTTCAGTGAAAATATCTTTCAAAAATAAAAGGGAAAATAATTGAAAGCAGATGGAAATTTGAGTTTACACAAAGAAATGAAGAAAAAAATGGGTAAATATGTGAATATTTTTCTCAGTTTTTAATGCCTTTCTAAATAAATGACTCCTTAAAGCACAAGTAATAACAATTGTGAAAATCATAACATGTAGAAATTAAATGTGACAAAAATAATAAAAAGACAAAAAGGACAGAAGTATACTGTTATAAAGTCCTTACATTACACATAGGAAGAAATATTATTTGAAGGCAGACTGCAAAAAATTGACTGTATATTTTAAACAGAGAGCAACTATTAAAAAAGAGGTTTAACTAGTACGCTAAAAGTAGAGATAAAATTGAATGGTAAGAAATCAATAATACAAAAGAATACAAGAAAAGAATAAGATGGAACAAAGACGAGTGAAACAAATTTTTAAAAAGAATTTCAAGAATTACATGAGATAGGTATCAGTTTTCTCAGTCTGTCATTAAAAAATACCATAGACTGGGTGTGTTAAACAACAGAAGTTAATTTTCTCAGCTTGAAGGCTGTAAGTTCTTAATTGGGATTCTGGTAAGGGCTCTCTTCCTGGCTTGCAGACGGTGCCTTCTCACTGTGTCCTCACAGGGCAGAGAGAAAGAGAGCAAGCTTCAGTATCTTTTCTTATAACGACACTAATCCTATCAGGAAAGCCCTACTCTCATGACCTCATCTAAACCTCATTGCCTCTCAAAGGCTCCACCTCCAAATACTGTCAAATTGGAGTTTAGGACTTCAACATACAAAATTGTTGGGGACATATAAATAATTTAATTTTTCTTTAGATTTCTTCTTTCCCCCATGGGTTATTTAGAAGTGTGTCCATTAATCTCTGAATAGATGGAGATTTTCCAAATATCTGTTATTCATTTCTGATTTAATTCCATTGTTGTCAGAGAACACACTTTGTATTATTTCAATCCTTTAAAATCTTCTGGGCTTATTTAATGGCCAGTTTTGTAGTCTATATTGTGAATGTACCATGTGCACTTCAAAGAATTTGCATTATTATTGGGTGAATTGTTCAGTGTAAAGGTCATACACATAGAAAACATTTTGAATTGAATGAAAATAAAAATATAATATATCAAATATACAATACAGATAAAAGTGGCACCTAAATGGAAATGTATAGCTTTAAATGTTTATATGGAAAAAGAAAAAAGGTCTAAAGTCATTTATCTACATTTACTCTTTAAGAAGTTAAAAAGTGAAAAAGCAAATTAAGCCCAAAATAAGGTAAAGGAAGGAAACAGTAAATAAATAAGTCAATAAAATGGAATAAAAACAATTGAAAAAAATTAATAAACTAAAAACTATTTCCTTGAAAAGATCAAAAATAATGATGAGCCTCTTACTAGAATAATTATTTTTAAAAAGAGGAAAAATAAACTACCAATGCCAGGAATGAAAGAGGAACATCATTAAGGATACTACAAACATTTAAAAAAGGGAATATTATTATACTAAAATATTACAATAATTTAATCATCTAGCTGAAATATATAAATTCTCATAATAAAAAAATAGCTACTGGAAAATTTCAACAAATACTTAAGGAAAAAATAGTTATCCTACACAAACATTTCAAGAAAATGGAGTAGGGAACACTTTTATTCAAAGGCCAGAAACATCTCATATCAAAACCAGATAAAGATAAAGAAATTCTGATATACCTCATGATCTCAAATTTAGATATCCCTAATAAAAACATTAATAAATAATATACAACCACATATAAAAATAATAATACATTATTACCAAGTGAGGTTTATCTCAGGAAAGCAATGTTTTCTTAATATTTAAAATAAATCAAAATATTTCTTAATTTCAACAGAAAATGAGGAGAAAATCAAATTTTAATCCACCAGATAAGACTGGGAAGGCTCTTATACACTACCCTTATTCTGCCCATTGTGTATATTTATTTCTACATTCTTCAACCAAGATCTTATCCTTTATTTTTGGAGTAAGTAGCTACAGATTTTCAAAATGCATCTTGTCCTTGAATTCTGGATCTTCTGTTGATGAACCAGGTGGCATGCTTTGCTTTAGCAGGTGAATAATTATAAGGTTCAGATTATTCAGTACTAACAGCTAGTATCTCCTTGGGGTGTCCTATATTCAGTCCCAGTGGCAGGGCTGAAAACTGGTCATGAATATGAAGCACTCCCCTAGAGCCATCATCAGTGGATATTCCTATATATACTTTTCATTTAATCAACGACTTTTGCTGACTTGCCTCAGGTTTTTTAAAACATATATTTGACACTGCTCATAACACAATAGTTATCTCAGGTTTATTCTATATGATGCTATTATAGTGGGTACACGTTATTATACATTTGTCCAAACGCATAGAATGCACAAAACCAAGAGTGAGCCCTAATGTAAACTATGGACTTTGGGTGCCTATGGTATGTCAACATAGGCACATCAGCAGAAATGAATGTGCTACTCTGTTGGGGGTGTTGATAATGCAGGAGGCTGTGCAAGTGTCCGGGCAGGAGGTATACAGGAAATCTCTGTACCTTCTTCTCAATTTTGCTATAAACCTAAAACTGTTCTTTTAAAAAGTGAAAAAAACAAACAATAAATAATAAAATAAAATAATATTATTTGCTGTGTTTCCATAGAGGGCGCTATTTCCATCAAGGCCTAATAACAGGCCTACACTTGTCTTTCAAAAAGGCCTTTCATTGCTGCACATCAAGTAATTAAAAATTCCAAATTCCTGATGGTGTCATTGTTTGGTAATGTTGATGTTTGCCAGGGACTCCAGCTGTATAGACACCTTTAAATTCATTTGGACTTTAGGATGATGGAAGATGTGGTTCTAGAAAGACTGTTTGGAATATATTCCAAACAGATTGTAAGTCTCAAAGTTCATGGTTTTTCCTGACTTCATTGAAACTCAGATTTCTTTTGAGTAACTCAATATGGGGCTTCATAAAAGGTTCAAGTGCAATAAATGCACTCACCAACATGCAGATAGTCCTCTTCTTATCCATCAGGGCTGCAAAGACAGCAATTTATTCCGTTGTGTTTAGAATGTCTATTGTGATTCCAGTCAAAATTATTCCCTAAAGTTTTACAGATTGTTCAAGGCCCTATAGTTTAATGAGGTTGATTAGCCACTTTGGGTTAGTCATATGTGTCACCACAGTTCTTAAGTCTTTAATTTCTTAGTTCCTCTGAGAGATAAATTATCATAATATTATCAATGTAATAAACTAATTTTCTCTTATAGGAATCAAGTCTAGATCTTACCTAACCAAGGTACATGTCTATACTGGAAAAAGTAATTATCTTAAATATGTATTGCAGGCTTTACCAAAAGAAGCAAATTGTTTTACTTTCTTCTGAAATTGGAATGAAAATAAAAATCCTTGGCCAGCTCTATAGCAGCCAGTCACCTTTAGTTTGCTATACTTCTTGAATGACTTTTGCCATTCATGGCACAGAGATCATCAGAAGAAGGATCTTATTTAGTCCTCAGTAGTCTATGGTTAGTCTTCATGAACTGTCTTTTTCCTTAGAGACCAGACAAGACTTTTATATAATTAGTTGATGGGGATTAATATTCCTGTTTCTACTATCTTTTTAATCAAAGCAGAAATTTGTCATTGTCCTCCTGAGATCTGGTTTTGCTTAATTCTCACTGCAGAGGAAAATTTGCACAATTCTAAAGGTTCTCATTTGTATGTCAAATTAGAAATGGGTACAGACATGCTCAATTAATACCTGATTAGAAATCAGCAGGCAATGACGAATTTCTCTATTCACATAACATCAAATCCAATAAGACACTTGTGTAGAGGTGACATTTCTACAGGGCATTCTTACTTTCATATTTTCCAATTTGTAATTTAATGTAACTCTGGTACCTACTATGACAGCATCACATTATCCTCAAAGTTTTACCTTGGTCCTTATTGTTGCACTCTCTGCCTCTTGCTGGTATCTCTATATATTGTGTTCCAGCTTCTGGTAATCCCTGGAAATTCTGTTCACCACCCCAAAGCTATTCAAGTTAGACCAAGTGTACATCTTTAGATTTCTCTGCTGAACTTTTGCAAGTAGATTTTAACTTTTTAAAAATCTATTGCCTTAACAGAGGTATCCTCTGCACCTTGCTTACCCACTTTATTTTCTCAATACTCTTTGACATATCCCAAACAGGAGTAAACAGAACAAACTTGACGAGTTTGTTCAGTGAGGCAAGTGTGGTTGTCCAAAGTACCAAGAGTTTTCCACCTCCTAGCCAGTAACAATTCAACACCATATTTTATACAGCACCTTCATCAGTTTATTTCCTTTTCATACTACTTTCATTAGCCACCAAAATAATTCCATGTAGCTAGACCATTTTTAATCATTTCTTTCTCTCTAAATATTACATACCTTTCTTCTATCATCAAGATGCAAGAGTAGCAGCTTGCTAACATGTTTGTCCATGGCCGTCTGTATAGTATTATATTCTAATAAAAGGAAGATTATATAAGGGTACCAAGCATCACAAACTGTCCTTATCACTGCATTTATCATAGTTTGTGTTAAAGGCATTTTCCATTAAGAGTAATTATATGTTTTATCTATAATCAACCTAAAGTGTCTGCATTAGAATATTTCTACTATCTCTGCACGGATCCTTCATCTACCATTAAGAGAAAGAATTGGGCAGGCAAACTTGTTGGATTTTTACTTTAACTATTGTGTATCGTAATTGGGAATGAGAAATGTATACTAAAGTTTATATAGGCTGGCCATATAATTCCATTCAAACTGAATGGATTCCTTACCTTTAAAATATTACTTCCCTGAACACACAGTCTGAGCATCCAGACTAACAAAACCTCATCAGGTTTCCAGTGTTTATCTGTTGGCAAAACGCTTCAATTATTTAACAGTACCTCCTAGTTTCTATGGTCATCTGGCCTTGTCCTCACACCTCTTGAAAAGTCAGTGGTCACACTAAGTGACCTCTAGTTGACCAGTAAATATAATCTCTGCCAGATTTCCAGCAAAACATGTTACAGCTCATCTTCTATTTTCATATTTTCCTCACCTCTTATAAGTCAAGTCTATCTTTTTGTGTTCTCCTGATAGAATTTCCATTGTGCTAATATCACTGATAACAATCAAGAAATATAGCTATTTTCCGTTTGCCTTTTTTATTAATTCATTTTGGTTAATTGTAGAGCTTTGAAGCTAATCATCTAAATTCCATTGATGAGATTTGTCCCCCAAAATTTACCTCAAAAAATTTTCACTACCACAAACCAAGAATAAGTTAGCAGCCATCCCAGCACTAAAGTCTCAAAAGATTTTCCCTACCCATCCTTCTGTATGAGCGTCATTTAATCATTGGACCACTGTAGTAAGTTTCAAGTATACAATGACAATCAAACTTACCCAGTGTTTATTTAGCCATGTTTATTACCCAAGTTTATTTAGCTTTAAGCAAGAATACCAAATAATGCAAAGCAGCAGCATTACAGAGGTCTTAGATACCCAGATACAACTGCCCAAGTTTCAGTAACTGAATGCAAACTGAAATAAGTACAGCTCAAATTAGCACAAGAAAAGTGCAGGGTCTAGTGTCTCTTAGCTTAAGTAACTTGCTTGTCACCTAGCACCTGGAGGTATGTTTGCCTCACCTCCATTTTTCAGTACAGCTGCATTCTATAAAATATAGGTTATATAATAAACAATCTTAAAAACTGATACAATATACTTGGGAACATTTTAGATCAGCAATCAGTTCAGACCAATCCCAGCAATATAACCTGCCTGTCTAGATGTCCATTCCTCAGGGGCATCTCAAACTGGGGGAAACAACTACAATTCAGCTGCAACCTTTTCTTTTCAAGGTAATATGGTATAATAGCTTGGATATTGTTAAAAATAATCCTGAAAAAATTATGTCTTTCTTGTGCAATTATAAATATTTCTCAGTATTTCTCAGTAAAATTGCCAATTACTACCTATAACTTTGAAGTCCCTAGCAAATAGCTATTTTGAAAAAGCTAAATGCTCAGATTAAAATGAAGCACAGTGTTTCTAAATAAGCTGATTTTGGGTAACGTTACCAAACCTTCACTGGATCCATATCCAAGTAAACATAATATGAAGCTGAGATCCTTTACACAGAGCTCAGGGACCACCCTGACCACTAGTCCTAATCTACAGGACTTGGGGTTTTCTCAGCAGAATATAAAGAAGAAATGGTTTGAATGTTGTCTGACAACTATTTATTTCTTCATGATTCTTCTCAGGGCATCTATAACCTCTTTGTTCCTTAGGCTGTAAATAAAAGGATTTAGTAAAGGAATTATTATTGTGTAAAATAAAGAATACATTTTGGCCTGATCTGCAGCTGATCCAGACCTAGAACTCACATACATGAAGAAGAGGGTGCCGTAGAACAAAGAGACAGAGAGCAGATGGGCACTGCAAGTAGAGAAGGCTTTGCTTCTACCCTTCTCAGACTTCTTTTTCAGGATGGCAGAGAGAATATAGGAGTAAGAGACGATAAGAGTCATAAAAGTGAAGACTTGTATAAATGCTGAAAAGATGAAAATCAGAAGTATATTAACTGTAGGATTGGTGCAAGAAATTTTGAACAGCTGTAAAATTTCACAGTAGAAATAATGTATAATATTGGACCTGCAGAAAGTTAATCTAAATAACAAACCCACATGAATCGCTGAATGCAGAAAACCAATAAAATATGAAATACCTATAAACTGAGTACAGAGGCTATTGGACATCACCACTGGATAAAGCAAGGGATTGCATATGGCTACATAGCGGTCATAGGCCATCACTACCAGCAGGAAGCATTCTGTGGTTGCATTGGAACCAAAAAAGTAAAACTGGGTGGCACACTTAGCCATGGATAGCATATGATTCTTTGATAAAAAAATTGATAAGCATCTTAGAAGTTACAGAGGATGAAGTGCATGCATCTGCAAAGGCTAAACTGCCAAGAAATAAGTATATGGGGGTGTGAAGGTGGGGGTCCTTCCAGATGAGAGCCATCAGGCCAAGGTTGCCCACCAGGGTGATGAGGTAGATGACCAAGAACACCAGGAACAGGGGCGCCTGCAGCCCTGGATGATCTGTGAGTCCTGTGAGGACAAAGTGAGTCACCAGAATCTTATTTTCTTCTGCCATGTGTGACCTGGCCAATCACTAAAATGAAAGAAGAGAGAATATAGTCACAAAAGAGTCATAACAATGATGACATTTTAGGTGTGACTGATTCCCAAGAGATGCTTCTTGTTTTATTAGTTTTAAATTTTTACCCTTATTTGTCCACTTTTATTTTGTTTGGTTTCGTTATTTTGAGACAGAGTCTTCCTCTCTCACCCAGGCTAGAATGCAATGCTGCAATCATGGCTGACTGCAGCCTCGACCTCCTGGGCTCGAAAATCCTCTTGCTTCAGCTTCCCAAAGTTCTAGGATTACAGGCATAAGTCACCACACCTGGCTTACTTCTCTATAATAATATACATTCAAAATTATCTGTTATAAAAAGTCTTAAAATCATAATCTATCCAAAGAGACATGTAAACTTAGTGCAAATCCTTTTCAATCTAACAGGGTTTTTTCTACAACTGCATATACTTATCTTAAAGTTCATATGAAAGAAAAAAGTTGCCATTTTCCCCAAGAAAATACTAAATAGTAAGAATAGTTGAGTACCTTAACTGCTATTGAGCTATGATATAAAGCCATAATAATCAAAATATTAAGATATTGGGATAAGAATAGACAAGAGGATCAGCACAATAGGATAGAGAGGTCAGAAATATATTTCAATACATAAAGGAATTTGGCATAAAACAAATATATCTCAATACAGAAGGAAAAGAATGACTGATTTAGTGAATTATACTGGCACGGTTGGCTATTTCTCTGGAAGTAAATAAGGTTAGGCTCTACCTCACATCACAAATATTTTCTAAGAAATTTAATGTAACTTAGAGATTTGAGAAATTCTTATTCAAAGAAAGAAAGCCAGAACAAATACATAGCTCCTATATAATTGTAATGCATGGCAGAAGAGTATCTATCAGAATCAAAAGGCATATAATAAATTAGAAAACGTATTTTATCATGGATATGAAAGCTACAGATGTATGTCTATAATAAAAACTTAAGATAGATAAGCAAATGGCAAAGTATCTAAAAGAAGAATGAGTAAATGATATAAATAAGCAAGTTTACAAATTTAACAAAAGAAAATGACCAATAAATGAAATGAAAAGATACACAAATTTCTATGTCATAGACACACACACACACACATACACACACATACACACCCCTTTATTTTCATATATCAGATTAGCAGAAATTAAAATGAATAAAATACTCACTACTAACTGAGGTGAGAAAAGTAATATTTTCATATATTACTGATGGAAATATTTATTGCAACAGTCTTTTTGGAAAGCAATTTTATATACTCTCATTAATTTTATAAAACATATATATACCCTTTGATTTACCATTTTTAATATATACCGCCTAGAAATAAAAGTACCACTACTCAAATATAAATATACAAAAAATATCCAATGCATTATGGTTCACAGTGGCAAAGACCAGACACATCCACAGTGAAATGGTTGGATAAATCACAGTACATTCATACTGTGGAATAAAATTCAGGCACAAAAAAAAGAACTGTCTATACCAATTGAATTGAGAATTACCACAATGTGTAGATATGAGAAGGGCAAGATACATATGAGTGTAAACAATATAATTTCATTATTGTAAAACAAGAATTGCACTTTTAAATCTCTCTTTGCATGGAGAAAAATATGGGTAATGGATACTAAATTAGTAGCACTGGTTTATGTAGTATGGGAGTAGATGCCAGATTAGGGGAAGTGGAGGAGAGAGCAAGAGGGATAAATCAAAATAAGAGTTCCACAAGAAAAACAGCATGTATGTTATTATCTCTTTAACATAAAATTATATAAACATATGTATGTACATGTGTCTACCTATGTATATGAAGGGATGTATGAAAGAACAGTCTCTAACATGTCATAGTGGAAAAAAGAATCAAGGACAATAAAACCTTATTGCCTTGTAAAGGAGATATTTTGTCACTGAAAATTTCAATGTAAAATTAGGGGTCTATAATCTCTAAGTTTTTGTACCTACATATTGCTTAAATGCAGAAATAACATTCAGGCAAATTCGCATGGTATTTTGAATATTATCAACGGAAAAAACTTTTGAGCATTGAGAGTAGATAGAATTTTTTAATACTCCAAAGTTATCTGTAATTATATAAGATAGAGATTCAAATAGAGTAACAGAATTTTTAGAAATTTTAGAATTTTTGTAATTTCTGTAATGTTCTTATTAAATTTATTCTTTTATACTTTATTTTTTATCACTGCTATGAATATAACATTTAGTGTTTTCATGAAGTAAAGAGATTTTTGTGAATGTGTGTGATTTATATATAGTCTCTAAAAGAACTTCAAAAAGAGGTTTTCTCATGAATATAGACCCTTCTAGATTACCTTGAGAAGAAATATGAATAAATTGTTCTGGCATTTTCATGTATAAAAATTTTTTTCATAATTCTATAGTCATGCCTCATAATACTTAGGGAACATAAATTTTTTTACTATGAGGAATATTTGAAAAACTGGGTTTGTATAATTTAAAAATATAAATAAAGGCTAATTTTCTAAGCATCAAATATTAGCATAAATAACAGTTGTGAGATGTGATATTATCTTTACTGAAAATAAATGAAGAATGAATTCATTTTAGGATTTTTATTTTTAAATATATACTCACAGAGAGCCCTAGCATATACAACAGAGCTAAAACCATACACTAATAATTAAGAACTATAAAAGATCTTTGCCCAGAACAAACTGGCCCAATTTTCCTTATAACCTCAAGTAACTGAATTATTGATATTTCTAGTTTTAGTTCCTTCAATGTATAATTTAGCCAAGAATGAGTAAGTTTGTGAATTTTTCTTAAGTTATGTAAGACATAAGGAGACAAAAGGAGTCTATTGAAGTTAACTCTAGAGACTTAGCCCATATTCCCACAATTCCATGGAATTAAAGAGTTTTTAATTTTACTCAGTCAAATAAGCCTTAAGCCAGAATTTCCTATTCTGAAAAATTACAAATAAGTTATACTTCAGTTGCATAGCTTACATCTTAATTGAGAAAACTTTTCATGTTATAAAATAAGCTCTGTTGGATTTTTCTTATTATTACTTAAATTTTTCATTTTTCATTTTTTTGCTAATCAAAGTTTGTTTAAAAACTTCTCAACAATTGTGTTACCTCCACTGTAAAAATTCTAACTGAAATATACATGTTCAAAAGGGTATTTACTTCTGTCTGTTCATATTTTGGTTGTCAATTATTTTTAAAAATCCTGTCTAGGATTTTAATTTCTTACTTAGACATTTTGTTATGTTACAGACAAATTGCAAAGCTAAAATAATAAAAATTATGAAAATCTCTGCACTCTCACCCAGGTCCTATGAAACATTGGGAAACAAAATATGCTCTTTGTCTGGAAGAAACATAAAATGTACAGAGATGAAGCAGTATTAGTAGTGTACCAATTTTCCTTGAAAATTCCGAACTGGAAGGAGATGGCATTTCTATCTTCTATCTTCAAATCCATTCTTTAAAAAAAAGGTAAATTCCCTCAATGTTTCCAAAGGATTCCCAATAGGATGAGTCAAAGTTATTCTACAGGGCATTGTGAGCTAATCATCAAGTCAGTCATAAACAACTAGTTATAACAATCAAAACTACACATTGTGTCCCTGGGGTTCACTGTTGGGGCATGTTTATAAAATATCATTGAATAGAATTTATAATAAGCTTGTTTCCCTTCCCTCTATTTCTCTTAATGGTGCCACAACCCAACTACCTAATTAACTTGATTTCCATTTGGAAATCCCAAAGTTACCTTAGAGTTAATATGTCCAAAGCTGAGACTAAGATCTTCCCCTATTTTACCCCCAAACCCAGTAATCTTTCAGTGTTTCCTGTCCCGAGGATAGGGTCACCCAACAAACATTTATGCAAGCCATAAACCAGGGACATATCTTTGACACTAACCTTACCCTCAACTCCATTGTTTCAACCATTGTCAAGTCTTCCAGATTTTATCTTTTAAAGATTTCTTAAATCCAACTATTTCTTTTCATTTCCCCCTTTATCCTCAAAGTCCAAGATACATTCCTCTATTGCTTCGATGTATTAAATAACCTTCTAACTACACTATCTGCATCTTCTAACACCATCATCCCATCCGTTTTCCACACTGACACCAGAATGTCTTTTCACCACCAACACACAAACACATTCTTCCCACTTACAACACATAAATAACTTCTCACTGCACATAGGATAACAACTAAAATTCTTAAGCCTAAATATCCATGCCCCTATACTGAAAAAGAAATCCAATAGTTATACAGAGTTGAGGGGTTTTGGACGTTGTACATGTGCACTAATTACTGTAACAGTAACTGCATATACAGAAAATCCCCACTCTCTTAGTGAATTGACATAATAATTTAGTTTTCCTTCATGCAAAGTATCAAGCACATGATCCTAATTGAAAGACTATTCTACTCCTTTTGGTGATTCAGAGTTTTAGACTCCTTCATCTTGTCACTCAAGCATTTTCCACACAGGTCTTCCTGAAATGTTTGTGTTCTCATCTGGGTTAAGCTGGAGAAAGAATGTTCACAGAGGGTTCAAGATATGAGGTGCTTATTCACTAGAAATGTAAGTGATGTATGCCACTACCAATTCTAAACTTAATCATATGACCACAGTTAACTGAACAAGGAGACTGTGTGTGTAGAAAGAAAAAAAGTGGACTTGGTGATTAGCTAAGTTTCTTCTACTCTGATCATCATGGGCCTGTTTCAGCCCCTCTCCACACATAAGACACTCTTAGCCTCTCCCCAAGGGAGTCAAACCCAATTCCCATCTAGTCTCCATCTCAACAAAAGCTAGGATCTCGAGGTGATAGCCTCTTCTCTCCATCAAATCCAGCTGTGACTGTTCTTTGTCTAGGTACCAATCACTTCTTTAAAATATATTGTTTTTGTCACATATAATAATTACATGCTCCCAATATACAGTTTTTCTTGGTTTTATCTGCAATTTCCTGGAGCACATGCAATTTACAAGGGCACTTATCCAGAGTACTCCCCAGGTCCAATTCACATGATATCAGCAACACAATGGGCTAGACTGCTGTTCTGCAAAATGTCCAGCAAACAAAGTTTCCTTTAGACACAGAGTAGAAGAGTTAGCATAACCCTGGGACAAGACTGACAATGTACACTGTTGACATCTCAGGTGAATGTAAAATGCTTCTGATCCTTATTCATGATCTGTATTGAAAATAATACATTTTCACATCAGTAACCACATATCTCACACCAAATACGGTATTAAAGTGTTCTATTAAGCATAACACATCTGGCAGAACAATAGCAATAGGCACTACAATATGGCTAAGTGTGTGGTTGTCTAGACTGGAATAAAAAAATAAATAGGATATTATGGGAATCAACATCATTGCCACCTTTAAGTCTCTGAGAGTAGCACTAACCTCTGATATTGCAACAAAAATGACAGATGTCTCTCTCAGATAAAAAAAACTCTTCAAGTAACTGAAGCTGACAGACCTCATAGTTCTCATGGGAAGCTGATATGGTTTGGCTCTGTGTTGCCACACAATTTCATGTCAAATTGTAATCCCCATGTGTTGCAGGAGAGGCCTGGTGGGAGGTGATTGAATCGTGGGGGCTGACTTCCCCCTTGCTGCTGTCATGATAGTGAATGAGTTCTCACGAGATCTGGTTGTTTAAAAGTGCGTAGCACTTCCCCCTTTGCTTTCTCTCTCTCCTGCCGCCAGTGAAGAAGGTGCTTGCTTCCCCTTCCATCATGATTGTAAGGTTCCCGAGGCCTCCCAGTCATGCTTTCTGTTAAGCCTGTAGAACTGTGAGGTGATTAAATGTCTTTTCTTCATAACTTACTCAGTCTCAGGTAGTTCTTTACAGTAGTGTGAGAACAAACTAACGTAGAAGCCTTTGATGGTCTATTTTTGGATAGAGCTGCTTGTTCTAAAAAAGACCACAGGAATTTGCAAATCCTTTAAATGCCAGGGAAACCTATGACCTGACTTTATCTGAGATGCTTTAACCACTTTCAAGAACTAGACTATTTGAAAAGTGTTAAGTCACAGAATCTGAAAGAAAAAAAGTATATTTACACAACAGCCCTCTTGAGTTGTAAAGGTTGCCTCTAACATTTTGCAAATGAAAACGTCCATAAGTCTCCCTGTATAAAGGGGTACATTTCATTCTTTGTGGATTTTTATGGTTTGTTCATGGCTTCCAAGTCAAAGGTTTCCTGCTCTGCAGCACTGTAGTAACTTGAAACTCATCTCCAAAGATATTGCTCAAGGGTATGGAGGAAATGTTATATAGTGCTGAATTTTGTTTTGTAAATAGTGAAAGCACAAAACTAGTTTTTTTTCATTTAAAAATCAGTTTTAGAGCAGTGTGGAGTTGCATAAGAAGTAAATACCTGAGTTCAGTGAGAGCTACATAAGAGCAAATTAAATTACCTATCGATTCAAGGAATTTCATATATCACCCAAATAGAAGGTCACATACAGCCTGAGTGCTCCCCTCAGTGATACTCTGGGGCTCCTGGTCCCATCACAACACATAGAGGGAGGAAAACTTCTAGGCCACCCTCTGCCTAGCCATGCTGCAGGCCATGCCCCAGTGTTATGCAGGAAAGACTGGTTCCTTTCTACACTCTAAAACAAGACTCTGGCTAGAAGACTTCCCTCCCTCAGGCTCTATTAAAACTATCTACAAACCTCTGAAACTCCAAATTGGAGCCTGTAACAACAAAATTGGGATATAGTTACCTGACTGCTTCCCTTTGCTCTCTATCCACTTACTCTTCTCCCCTCACCACTAAGTGAGAAAATATGGGCTCATTTTTTACTTCTCTTACTTTGTATTCTCCTTGTGCGATGAAGAAACCAGGCTTAGCCTAGCAGACATAGCCATATTTACAGTATAGAACTCTAATCTCTAAGACTTCCAGTTCATTTCTTAATATACTAAAAATCTGTGTAAAATAATGTAATATTCCTTCAAGACAAATTCCTGTTTTTGAAGTCAGAAGAGGAATTCCTTTTTTTCTCTTTGCATTACTTCTACAACAATTTAAAATATATTCCCAGACAGATAGAACCCTTATGCAAACTATGGAACCAGCTCTATACTCAGAGAGGCAACTGATAAAAGAAAATTAATACTTTTCATTCTCTTCCTCCCCATTACTTTCTCTCCTTAGTAAACATGAGTCCATTCAAAAGACTCTTACTCTTTTTTAGGGTAAGAGTCTTTTGAATGGACTCAAGTTTGCTAAGTTTGCTTACCTTGCTTCTAGAAAGACCTGAGTTGAATTTTCTACTATGTTCTGTTGTAGTTTGGCTAAGTAAAATTGGTTACTGGATGAAAGTCTTTTCTCCTACTAGGAAGCTCCCTCCATCCACAGTATAATGCATCCCTGTCCCAGGAATTCCAGCTACATGGTCAGCAGGGCCTCCCTTGTGTAGGTATGAGCATAGGGTGGACCCACTGGAGGCTGAGCAGTTATCTTTGTAATGGTGTCAGAAAGTGTAGGCTGTCTCCTCAATCTTTTCTTCTCTTTCTCCTCTCTCATATGCTCATGTTCACTTTCAAGTTGTAGTTCCATCTCTGCCTCAGTTGCCTAGCTTGTGTGGAAATAGGTGGATGAGCTGATTCTTGCACGATTCATGTGATGTCCCTTCCCAATCTGCCAGGATCTCTCATGTTGGCCTTGGCTCCTGTGAGACAAGCTGCAGGTTCTATTTCTGACTCAGCTAGGGACTCTGAATATGTCCTCCCACACCTAGTCTCTACAGCATGTCCCAGGCCATCACTTATGAACTGAGTTATCACTATTGGACTTGGGCTTTTCTCAGTGAAAACAACTCTCCAAAAGTCCAGAGTTTAAGAAGAGGGGTTAGTCGATTGTCCCGTATCCTATTACTTCCGATCCATTCTCTCATGGGTCATGACCTCAGCCTGGAGATGACCGGAGTCTGTGATTCTAATCAATGATTTTGTTAAGCAGTTCATGGAATAGATATAGCAAGAGCTGTCATGCTCTAAATGACAGAAAATTAACTTGACTAATTTTAATTTTTTCATGTAAACCTCTGAGATGAATATGAGAATATGGAGCAGGGAAAGGCCTGTGATCTTTTGGGAGTAAAGTGAAGGTCTCTGTCCTACTAATACTGTCTGACTCTTCTGGGCTTGGCATGGTGCCAGCTTTTACAGCCAAAGTCAGTGCCTATTGGAACTATTGATCTGGTCAACTAGTATGGGTAGGGTCCCAGCTGCCCTCCAAGGCTGTTCTGACTCTCTTGGGTCTCATTGATGTGGTCACCCCTCAGGGTCTCTCTTATGTCCTCCACCTACATGTCCCAACCCACCTGTTGCATGAGTGAGTCTCTTGGCTTCTTTCTGTCGCTGCAGGAATTTGCAGGTCCTGGCCATGCAAGATGGTGATGGGGACCAGCCTCTAAAGCTTAACCTTCAAGGGTCTGCTGCCTACGTACTTTGCAAACCAAGTTTACTTTGAGGTAGCCAGGTAAGGAAGGAGCAGAGCCAGAAATGATTTCTAGTGCCATAAATTGGAATCTGGACAAAACACACTCTTTTCCAAGTCTACCTTTGATGTACGCAATAATGCTCCTGCCACATATGTACACATCTTAATTCCCAGAACCTGTGAATATGTTAGGTTACCTGGCAAAGGGGAATTCATGCTTCAGAGGTAATTAAGGTTGTATGAAAGAAACTGAGGTAACTAAGGTGCAGGCATTCTAAAGTGGAGCTAGGAGATTGTGAGAGAATTGCACTAACACCTCTAAAAGTCAAACCACAGATTGTGCCAACGGACTTGGATGAACAATGGAAGTTAGTGTCTGCCAGTCTTCAACATTTCTCACCTGGGAGTGCCCTAATTAACTAACCAATTAGTACAGCTCTGTGATTTGGGATTTCTGCTCAGCCAATGAACTGCCTCTTTAAGGGACATGATTCAGGACTCAGACATAAGTAATTTAAAAGTCTGCTCTTCAGGCTATCTTGTTAAAAGGTCAAGTACTAGATTTTTCCCACCTCAGAAACTATGAAAAAAAATGTTAAAATAAGAAATTAATTTCCATTGTTTAATATTTGCAAAACTATTGTCCCCTTTGACTATATAGCTGCCTGTGGCTGTTTTCCTCTCGGGGAGTGTGAGGATGTCAGTCCTGCTCTATGTGAATCTAGCTGAGGAAAGCATGTAGAATGTAGTACTCTGGTCTCTAGGTCTCAACCCAAATCAGTGGGGATTTTTCTTGAAATAATATAGGTGTAATGATGAGAGAGAAAGGTTATACATTGACATACGGCCACTATGTAGGCAAGACTAATCAGCCTGTATGGCATATTACATATAAAATTAGAACACTTTGTCGCTGGGGTTGACTATAGAGAGATGGAGACAGGAACTCCTGCAGAGATTCTGCAGCCACAGGGTACACCTGCTTAAAATGGAGTCCCCACAGCAGAAGGCACAGCTCAGATGCAATGAGAGGAACCGGGTTCTGAAAAAACTGAACCCTAACAAACTATTCCTAAAGCCACTGTGCCTCATTTGGGGCTTTGGGTTATATCATTCAACAAACTGCCATTTCTTCACTTTTTTTTAAAGCCAGGGTAAAAGCAATGTATTATGCATATGGAAAAATCTTTCTTGAGTATTTTCTCAAGAGAATACTCTCTTGAGTATTCTCAAGAGTCTAAGTAATAAAAGTAAGGAGGTCAAAGTTTGCCTACTCATGAAAGGGCCAGATAGAATATATACACAATGTAGGTAAGAAAAAAAATTAGCTTAATATATTTAACTGACAGTTGATCAAGCACACCTGCTGGTTCAGGCAGGTGTCAATGCCAGAAAACACTATTCAGGTAGGATATGTGTGTCAGGAATGCAGTGCTCAGTAGGACTACTCAATAAATTAAAAAGTAAAAGTTTTAGAAGAACTCAGAAATTTTCTAACTATATTGCAGAAATTTGAATTACTTTTAGTATTTTTGTTGTTACATTTACATATCTTTCAATGGAGGCAATGAAACATGTTACTTTTCAAAATTGCTTTTAAACCAAATGGAAATCTTAGTTTTAAATGTTTTAAGAGGATATGTGTTGTCATATTTGGCCTAACAGTATTATTTTTATTAACATTCTGATATATTATTATAAATATCTGCTAAAGAGAAAGTTTGAAAAATGCCTTGTTCAAGAATTATTTAGAAGTGCATGAATACTTTGAACACTTTTTAAATTATATAGGTGGGGTCTTCCTTTAAATAACTGCAAGTAAGTTCTAAAACATGTATGTCTGTATTTCATGTAGTTCATTCATGTTACAAAAACTTGTTACTAAGTCTTTGTAAAATGAATGAACTCTTGTGTTTCATTCATGTTACAAAAACAGTAATGTGGCATTATAATTTCAGTTTGAACTTCATCCTTGAGTATGTACTTAAAACAACAACAAAAATGTGGTGTTTGTCCTTAAATGCTCATTAACTATTTTAATGATCAGAATAACTTATAACTAAGACAAGAATATTTAGTCTAAATTTTTTTATTCATTCACTTAACATATTGTGTCCCTACTATGTGTAAAACACAGAAACAATTATTACGATTTGTTTTAACAGAAAGGAAATGGAAAGAATTATGAAAGTGTTCTCCAAAAATATTTCTTTATCATTGTTCTAAGTGTACCTAAAACTTCTTTGTTTTTCATACTGTAAATAAAGGAGTCTGCAGAGGAATTATAATCATGTAGAACGGAAAATACATTTCATTCCACTGTTAATCTGGGCCAGACCTGGGGCACCCATACATGAAGAAGACACTGCTATAGAACAAAGAGACAGAGAGCAGGTGGGCACTGCACATGAGGAAGCTTTTGCTTCTGCCCTTCTCAGAATTCTTTTTCAGTAAGGCAAAGAGGACTTGGGTATAAGAAACTATGATGATCATAAAAGCAAAAGCTTGTATAAAAGCAGTGAAAACCACAAAATCACTAATGAGTTAATAAATGGATCAATGTAAGAAATTGTATATTGTACACTGAAAAAATGGTAAGATTTTTTTAAAATACATATTATTTCTTGAGGGTTATAGAGGAGATTCTAGACAAGAACTAACTAGTCCCATAGCCTGCCACTCATAAGTACCTTAAAATTGAATGTATTAACAACGAAGTGTTTTAAGAGCAAAAGGTACACGGTATATTTTATGCCAAAATCTTAGAAAATGAGACTTTGTTTTGGGTTCAAAAGTGTATTTTCTCATTCTTTCAGGAACTTTTTTATCTTTCTAGAACAAAAAATGATCTGATCCTCTTGGTATTACAAACGGGACTATCACAGTCAAGGTGGAATAAAACATTACAAAAACATCATAGTAGAAAGAATGGCCAGTGTTTTGAATATCTGGATTCAATTTAAGTGATAAGTTAAATAGTAAATTATAAATTTTATTTAAATAACAAATTAAATGGGGAGAAAGGATTAACCAAATTAATAGGCAATGACTAACATAAACATAGGTAAGGCAATGCAGAAAAAGCCTCAAGCTAAAAGTGTATCCATGAGTTTTACAAGCCTGGAAAGTAAATGGAAAGGAAACTAAACGAGATCCTGTGGAAACACAGGGTGAAAAAATATGTCTGTATCATCAATACATGTCTTTAATGACAAACTTTGCATAATTCCGGACATAAAATATGTTTTACATATTCAAATCCCTGCCTTGTTGATCTAAAGCAGGAACTACCTACTTATAAAACAGTAGGCCTAAGTATACAACCATTCAAGGGAACATTTATAAGTATTAGATTTACAACTCTTAAGGTTTAATGACAAGGCCAGCCAGTAGGTGTTACAACGTGACATATTTTTATTTCTATTAACTAGTCACCAATTCTGTATAACTGTAGCTAAAGTCTTCACTTCCCAAGTCTGTGCAGGCCTGAAACTCGTTTTCTCAAAGCTTCTGCTTTGTTAACTCAAAATTAAGGCACAATAATGGAAAATTTAAGGAAAAGTTTTAGAGTTAGTGAAAAACAACAGTAAAAATACATAGAACGATTGGGATTTTTAATTTTTAATTTTTTTTATTTCCAAAGGTTTTGGGGAACAGTTGGTGTTTGGTTATATGAATAAGTTCTTTAGTGGTGATTTCTGAGATTTTGGTGCACCCATCACACAAGCAGTGTAGCCTGTAACCTGTACCCGAGGTGTAGTCTTTTATCCCTCGCCACCACCAACACTTTCCACCGAGTCCCCAAAGTCCAATGTATCGTTCTTATGCCTTTGTGTCCTCATAGCTTAGCTCCCTCATATAAGTGAGACCATACAATGTTTGGTTTTCCATTCCTGAGTTACTTCACCTAGAATATTAGTCTGCAATTCCATCCAGGTTGCTGCAAATGCCATTCTTTCATTCTTTCTTATGGCTGAGTAGTATTCCGTTATATCTATCTATCTATCTCACATTTTCTTTATCCACTTGTTGATTGATGGGCATTTGGGCTGGTTCCACATTTTTGCACCTGCAAATTGTGCTACTATAAACATGTGTGTGCAAGTATCTTTTTCATATAATGGCTTCTTTTCCTCTGGGTAGATACCTAGCAGTGGGATTGCTGGATCAAATGGTAGATCTACTTTTAATTTTTTTTTTTTTTTTTGAGACGGAGTCTTGCTCTGTCGCCCAGGCTGGAGTGCAGTGGTGCGATCTCGGCTCTCTGCAAGCTCCGCCTCCTGGGTTGACGCCGCCTCAGCTTCCCGAGTACCTGGGACTACAGGCGCCCACTACCACGCCCGGCTAATTTTTTGTATTTTTAGTGGAGACAGGGTTTCACCATGTTGGCCAGGATGGTCTCGATCTCTTGACCTCGTGATCCACCCCACTAGACCTCCAAAAGTGCTGGGATTACAGGCATGAGCCACCGCGCCCGGCCTACTTTTAATTTTTTAAGGAATTTTCACGCTGTTTTCCATAGTGGTTGCATTAGTTTGCATTCCCATCAACAGTGTAAAAGTGTTCTCTTTTCACCACATCCACGTCAACATTAATTTTTTTTTCTTTATTCTTGCAGGAGTGAGGTGGTATCGCATTGTGGTTTTGATTTGCATTTCCCCCATAATTAGTGATGTTGAGCATTTTCCCATATGTAAGCGGCATAATGTATAAAATTCCATAATTGTGGCTGAATAGGAAAGCTCAATCTATTAAAACTTAACTTTCACAAATAAACATAAATTTCATATAATTTTATACAAAATCATACGGAGGTAATTTGTCTAGAAAATTCTAATTTATCTGGAAAAGCAAATGTGTAAAAAAAAAAAGCCAACATAATTTTTTTTTTAAAAAAAAAGGAAGTTCATGTTCCATGCCAGATATTGCAATTTATCAGAAAGTTACTTTAACAATTGAAACCATGTTTAACGTCATCAAGGTTCACTGTGGGTATATTCACTAAAATTGGAGCGTCTGTTTATAGACATGGGGAAGGAAAAATAGCAAAGCTGATTAAGAGCACAGACTTTGGAAAAGGCAGTTTTGGTGGCTTTGCTTCTGAGACTTTGGTCAAATAACTTAAAATGTCTAAACCTTGGTTTCCTCACTTGTGAAATAAAGTTAATAATGTGCACTTACAAAGTTGTTGCAAGAATCAAATGAGAAGATGAATGTCAAGCCCTCACCCCTGTACTTGATAGATAGGTAAGGAATCATTAAATGGTGGTGACTTTAATTATTTCACTCTGTCTCCCAGGCTGGAGTGCAGTGGTGCAATCTCAGCTCACTGCAACCTCGGCTTACTCGGTTCAAGCAATTCCCCTGCCTCAGCCTCCTGAGTAGCTAGGACCACAGGTGTGAGCCACCACCCAAGGCTAATTTTTGTACTTTTAGTAGAGATAGCATTTCATCATGTTGGCCAGGCTGGTCTCGAACTCCTGACCTCTGGTGATCCCCCACCGTCTCGGCCTCCCAAAGTGCTGGGACTAGAGGCATGCGCCACTGTGCCCAGACAGTTATTTCTGTTATTTATTTTAATTATTCACAAGGAAAGCAGCAACGCTGTTTTGTAAGAGAATCGCATTCTGAGTGAGAAAATCAAGATATGTGCTGTTGATTTGCCAAATTCTTGACAATAACAACTTAACCCTGTACACAAAATAACTTTTACAACCAACTCAAGCCATCTGCAAGTTGTCATGGAGACCAGAAAATAGTGATTTAGGTTAAGCAAATGAGGCACATCTTCTAGAACGACAAAAACTATAGGTATAGCATGTTTTAAAGAGAAACATTTAACATTTTAATGAAAATAACAGACATCGTGACATTTCACAACTAAACACTCCAGGCTGCATCTTTTCAAAAATGACATTTTCCTTCCTAACCACGGTACCATACTGACATCTGACAAAATTAACAGTATTCTCTCAACACTATCTTATAACTAGTATATATTCAAATTTCTCCATTTGTTTCTTATCTTTTACAGCATCACATTGCATTTGTTGTCTCTATCAAGACTCTTTTGACCCAGAACAGTCTCATTTCTTTCCTCTTCCTTTTCTTTTTTAATTTTTAATGAAAATGATATTTTGGAGAGACTGGGCCAATTATAAAATTGTCTGGTGAAATGTTTCCCATTCTGGATTAATATGCATTCTTTAACTTGTTTTCCTAATTCCTGTATTTTTCTTTTCCTAGTGAAAATCATATTCAAAGGCTTGATTAAGCATTTTTTAACAATATGCTACATAGAAGATGCCATTCCTTCACAGTGCCTTGCATCAGGAACCACATAATGTCTGTCTGTCTCACTAACAGTGAGGCTAAACCCAATCCCTGGTTTATTGCAGTAACAGCCAGATCTTCCTACTGTAGCGTTATGATTTGTCCCTTACATATAGCAAGTAGTTAATTACATTATACTTTGGCACTTTGAGAATATCCAGGTCCCCATCATTTTTTTCTCTCTCCTTCCTCCCTCTCACACTCCTCTCTCCTCCCAGTCTCCTTGTTGTTGTAGGTTTATACTTTTTTGTTGTTGTTACCTTGAGAGAACAGACAAAATATGTGTATATGTGTTCAACTAGATGTCTTTAATGCAAAGCTCAAGAACCTTCTCTTTTTTTTATTTTACTTTATGTTCTGGAATACGTGTGCAGAACATGCAGGTTTGTTACATAGGTATACGTGTGCCCGGGTGGTGGGACTGTAAACTAGTTCAACCATTGTGGAAGACAGTGTGGCGATTCCTCAAGGATCTAGAACCAGAAATACCATTTGACCTATCAATTTTTTAGCTAAGATTTTTAACATCATTTGATGTTCCTTGCCAGAATCAATTATGGCATTGCAGAGTTTAAACGGTAACTTTAAAATTCTATAACGTGCTTTACATTTTTTAGCTGGCATGCCTTAACACAACAACAAAAAGAGAAAAAATGTGGCAAAATGTTTTCAAATTTATCATAAAAAGAAGAAATAGAAATTTAAAACAAATGTCTAAATATTGTTTAGATTTCCTTGACCTTGCCAGAAGTTCACAGCAGCTTCTCCAAGTCCCCCAAAGCTCAACTTCCTTCTTATATGTAGTCAAAATGTTAACATAGTATTAAGGAAAGATTATTTGGAATTGCTTAATCCTTCAGCCAACGAATATTTCTTCATATGTATTATATAGTAGACTGTGGTCTGGAGTCTTCTTTGAAAGAGATGAAGCAATTAAGTTGCAAATTGCTTCAAATTTTATCTGATTTATGATTCCTGTTTCTCAAACTTTGTAGAAATTTTTTTTTTATCCTTAATGGTCAAATTATTCCTTACCGTAAAAACATTGATTTTAGGCAATGCTACTTTTTGAAGCCTTTCTCCTATAGAAGAATTTTACAGATAAATGTTTTTTACATTTCCTGAGGCTATTTTTAAAATATATATGTATTTCTTTATTAAAAATTATTATAATCTATTTATTGCACTTTTACATTTAACTTTCAACAACATTTATGCATGTAAAATATCTTAGTTTCTCAATAGTATTGGAGCTCCTGACGTTTCTCACGTTACGATGATATAATGAAAATAATTCTGAAGTGGTCATATTGGCTAAATGTGACAATGCAGTTTATGACAGTGATTCTCCCATTGGCTTGAACATTTGTTGGTTATGTAACTTTGGGAAACTCAGATCTTAACTTGCTCATAAACATAAAAACTTGTGTTTATACATTGATTTGAAAGTACACTCTGTAATGAATTAATACTTTCACATATATTGAATCACTTGATTAGCTCAACATACAAATGAGTGCATATTATTATCCCCATTTTACATGGAAGAAGTTAAAGCAGTCCCCACTTAAATTAGAATCAAACACTCACTTTTTTTTGTCTTTTAGCACTAGCAGTTTTACTGGAGTCTATTGTGGTCTCTTTTAGCTTCAGTTGAGACTTAGGTAAAATAACAAGGCTTCGGATTTGAAATCTTGTGTTTTTCTACTTCTCTAGGCTGCCTCCCTTGTAAAGGAAGGAAACACTACCTCCCTTCCATCTTCCCAAAGCTGTTGAAAGGATGAAATCATTCAGATGAACACCACTTAAAAACCTTGAAGTAATATTTAAATATGAGTGAGACTTTCTTATTAAGAATAAAGAATAATTCAAAATCTGAAGATTAGTACTTACCCCACCTGGTTTATGTTAACTTAAATGAGATAATATATTAACGTGATACAAATATTGCCAGATAGTTCTCCAGGTGGCTTCGAAACAACCTAGTTCTCTCCCTTTCCTTGCTTGTAGTCTCGTAAATAACTGTAGAAGTGTTGGGTATGCCTCATCCTGAAATAAGGAGGAACCTGCTGGAACAACCTGGGTTCTGTTCCAGTCCCTCCTAGAAACAGGACATCCTTCAAGGCTTTGTCCCAGCAATTCATATAATCTCCCAGGATATAAACCAGGGCAGGCTTCTTTCTAGGGTCTCTCAGCTGTGGTGCAAGCAGGGCATGCACAGACAATACTCCACTCAGTCTGGGAAGCTTTCCTGAGCCTTGGGAGACTGGCTTATCATGAATCCGAGCCTTCTGTGGTCCCTTTATAACTATCTGCAAGTAATAAATTAGCTTCATGGAATTTATAGTATATTTAGGTGTTCTGTCTCACCAGGCTGACAAATTGGTACTCAGTGCACAGGGTAACTCTTCACAAATGCCTGACATATATTTATATGTCTGGAAAATAAATAAATTCTCTTCCCACTCTAAGGTTATGATATGCATAAATCTTACATCAATGCATTTAAAACAACTAAGACTATGTGTTTCCTTTATCAAGCATGTATTTAAGCACCTGCCATATGCCAGGCCCTGTCCTAGGCTCTGTGGTTTTATACCTATTCAACTCACTATCACTGGTAATTACTAGGAAAAGTAATAGACTTGTTAAACTGTCATAAAGTAATTCACTGGGTCTTCATTTTTAAAAATAGTAGGCATGAGAGATTTTATTTTCCAAGATATGACTGCAACAATATGTTCTATCTTACATGCTCCTTAGCAATGTGGCCTTCGCACTCCCCCATTAAAAGGGGAAGTTTAAATCCCCTCCCCTTAAATTTAGTCTGAGCTTAATGACTTGCTTTACCAATGGAATGCAGCCAAAGTTATTTGGTGGGACTTCCACAGTTAGGTCTTCCACTTCTGCTTCAGTCTCTTGATGCTAACACTTAGATTCAAACTTGCATACTTTGAGAAACTCAGGATACATGAAGAGGTAAGGTACAGGCACTCTAGTCTAAGCCCAAGTTGAGCTACTAGATAATAGCTACTGTCAGCCATATGAGGGAGCCATCTTGACCTCTAGCCCAGGAGCCCCCTAAGATGACTGTATCTCCAGGAAAAGCCTGACTTCAACAGCATGCTACACAGCTATGTCAACCCAAAGAAATATGAGATACAAAAGTAAATTGTCTTTTAAGCTCTCAATGTTGGTGTATCTTGCTAGATAGTAAGACATAGCTGGAACAATGTATCAAGTTGTTCTTTTCAATGAAACATTATACTCAATATATGGGAGGAAAGGAGAAGGAAAGGAAAGGAAGCTATCATTTTATCAGTTCAACTGAATTATTTTAGGCCTTTTTGTTGGATTTGCTAATAAGATTGGCAAATATATAATTCTTAGTAATCACAAAAAATAAAATATATCAATTACTGGAAAAGTGGTTATTCATGTCCTGAATAAATAAAAGTCAATCTTCATTTCAGGTTTTAATCAGTCTTCTAGAATTTGAAGTCTCTGGGAGACACAGAGGACGTGAAGTCCTAGGCATCAGAAGAGTCTGAAAAAATATATTTTCAGATAATTTTAGAGTTGTGCAAGGTATAGCATGCCTTTCTGGAATGCCTTGAAGAAGATAAACATGAATGTGAGGACCGAAAAAAAAAAAAAAACTTGAATAATACAAGAACAGAGCAATGCCCATCTGAATGGTCAAAAAGTCCTAAAATATAAAAGATTAATATTTGAGAAATTAAGGAGGAAGGAGGGGAGGAAGAGAATAGAAGAAGCAAGAGAGGAGGAAGGTAGAAGTTTGTGTAAATGCAAACTATCATGGACGGAAGAATGGATAGATTAAGAGAGCAAAATTTATATGGGATGGCCATAAGAATATTTTAAGGAATATGTCTTAGGGGGCATATGGGTGGATCAGGCTGCTCTATAAGAGGAATCATGTAGCCATTCACATACTCAGAGGTCAATGGAAACCAGATTTATTCTTTGGCTTTTTTATTTTTAGCTGTATCTGGAAGAAAAAAATGCTATGAGCTGAATATATTCATAAGAGGATAAGGTCGATCAAAAGTAAATCAAGCTATTTTACAGAAAATCATTTGTAAATGTAGATTTTTTTGTCATAGTAGTGTTGCCTGTTTTTGTAAATGAAACTTTATAGTAGGTGTTTGCGGCTGGCTTATTAGACTCTGTATAATGTTTTTGAGATTTATCCATGTCATTGTGTACCATTAGTTTAATGAATTTACTATCATGCTGTAGTCCATTTTGTGAAAACACCACAGTTTATCCACCCTCCAGATCATGGGCATTTGGGTTGTTTCCAGTATTTGGTTATTTTGAACAAGTATGAATTTGTCTTTCAGTGGACATATGCCCTCATTTCCCTGGGTTTTTCACCTAAGAGAGAGCAACTGCTATTTCATGGGATAAACAGAGTGAGTAGCATAACTAGCTTATTTGACAGATGTAGTTGATGATTTCTTAACAACTCCTCTATATCACAAAAATATCCTCAGTAATAATCACAAAATAAAATAAAACAAATAATGATCAGGAAAATAATGCAAACAATGAAAATTTTCATTTATTGGACTTCATATTATGATACTAAATCTTTTTAATTACAGTATAAACATGAAAAAGCAACAGATTAATTCCTTTAATTACATTTTTTTACAGAAAACTAATACATTTACATTTTGATCTGTCACAGTGATAATTAATATTAATTTCTGTTTTCACGTCTCACTTTTGCAAATTTGTGAATGATTTTCCCAAAATGTGTCTTCTTTATGTATTGATATACAATAGATGCCATAACTAGGTTCATCAATAGTTTCACTTATAGTTGATTGAAGAACTAAAATATACTTTCCAAACAAAAACATTACACCTTGCAATTTGCATTCTAGTTTGCAGTTGTAAATTTTAAATGCAAATAACATTTCAAGTTATCCTATACAATGACAAAATCAAAGAAACTCGAATTCTATTTAGCTCTATAATCAATGTGCTATCATTACTTTTATTCCAACACCTAAATGTAGGAATGTGTAATACCAATGGTATTGGAGACACAGAAATGCAACCAAAATAATTCCAAACTGTTATGGATTTACTCTTAAAAGGAGTCATATAGCTGAATTCTCATGGGACTAGAGCAAACGTAAAGCTGGAAGTTCTCTGAATAAACTTCTAAATAGAATGTAATGTTTACTATGTTTATGCAATAAAACATTCAAAATTGAAACACAATACATAGGAGTAATAATAGGAAGTGTAGCAATGTTTTGAAACTTAAACCAACAAAATACTTTTTTAGGGGTGGATATTTTATTACTGACATTTTTTAATTGCTGGAAATTGATGATAATAAAAATCAGGACTACTTTTGATCAATTTTATTATTCTTTTAAAATTTCCCATGAATAATGAATCCTCCTTATTGCTACCACACAAGAGAGATCAATTCTACAATCCAGCCTTTAGTATATCACTGCACAAAGTTTAACTTTAGACAATACTGAAGAAATGTCATTTTTCTGTCATAAAAGATGATAACACCTGTTACCTTTAGCCACTTGGCCCCAAGTGAAGATGCACATCAAATAATAAAAGTCCCAGTTTTCTTGCCACAGGAAAGAAAAGAGGGGTCCAGGAAATTGGGAAATTAGAGGGAGATCTCTGTTGGGAGCAAGCCCCCCAAAGTCTGGCCATAAACTGGCCCCAAAACTGGCCATAAATAAAATCTCTGCAGCAATGTAACATGTCCATAATGGCCATAACGCCCAAGCTGGAAGGTTATGGGTTTACGGGAATGAGGGCAAGGAACACCTGGCCCGCTCAGGGCGGAAAACCACTTAAAGGCCTTCTTAAGCCACAAACAAAAACCTGAGCGATCTGTGTCTTAAGGGCATGTTCCTGCTGCAATCAATTTGGCCCATCCCTTCATTTCCCTTAAGGGATACTTTTAGTTAATTTAATAGCTATAGAATCAATGCTAATGACTGGTTTATGTTAATAAATACGTGGGTAAATCTCTGTTTGGGGCTCTCAGCTCTGAAGGCTGTGAGACCCCTGATTTCCCACTTCACACCTCTATATTTCTGTGTGTGTGTCTTTAATTCCTCTAGCGCCGCTGGATTAGGGTCTCCCAGACCGAGCTGGTCTCAGCAGATTTCAGAGAGGGAGGAGATTGGGAAAGCAACCCCATTAAGTTGTTTATGAACTCCTGGCTCACCTTTAATCTTTGTGTGCATGGATCAGATCTTAAACTTTCAGAACTGAATTAAGAGACAAACTATCACCCAGATGCCACAATGGCCACTGGGTGGCCATTCTAATAGGTATGAGGTAATATCTCATTGCAGTTTTAATTTGCATTTTCCTGATGATTATGATGTTGAGCATTGTTTTATATACCTGTTGGCTATTTGTATGGCTTCTTTTGAGAAATATCTTTTCAAATCCTTGGCCCATTTTTTTATTGGGTTATTTGGGTTGGCAGTGGAGTTCCCAATTTGATTGAGGATAATTGACTGCTGACTGGGTTATTTGTTCTGTTGTTACTGAGTTGTGTGAGTTCCCTACATATTTTGGACATTAACCTCCAACTTTATCATATGTATGGTTTGAAAATATTTCCTCCCATTCAGTAGGTTGCCTTTTTACTCTGTTGATTGTTTTCTTCACTGTACAGAGGTTTTTAGTTTGATGCAATCCCACTTGTCCATTTTTGCTTTCATTGCCTTTGCCTTTGGGGTCATATACAAAAATCTTTGCCAAGACCAATGTCAAGATTTTCCCCTATGTTTTCTTCTAAGAGCTTTATGATTTGGGGTCTTATGTTTAAATATGTAATCCATTTTGAGTTTATTTTGTGTAAGATGTGTGATAAAGGTCTAATTTCATTCTGTTGGTGGATATCCAGTTTTTCTAATACTACTCATTGAACAGACCGTTCTTTCCCCATTATGTGTTTGTGTCACCCTGTGGAAGATCAGTTAATCATATGGATCTGTTTCTAGCTCTATGTTCTGTTCCATTGGTATATATGTCTGTTTTATGTCAGTAATATACTGTCTTAATTACTATAGCTTTGTAGTATATTTTGAAATCAGGAAGTGTGATGCCTCCAGCTTTGTTCTTGCTCAGGATAGCTTTGGGGTCTTTGGTAGATTCATATGAATTTTAAAATGCTTTTCTATTTCTGTAAAGAATGCCACTGAGATTTTGATAGGGATTGCACTGAATCTGTAGAATTCTTTGGAAAATATGTGCATTTTCACAATATAAATTCTTCCCATCCAAGGTCAAAGGATGTCTTTTCATTTATCTGTTTCTTCTTTAATTCCATTCATCAGTTCTTTATAATTTTCAGATTTAGTCTTCATTGGTTGTATATATGTGTTTTCATTTTAATTAAGAATACTCATTAGTATTTCTTATATGGCAGGTCTAATGGTGATAAATTCTCTCATTTTTTTTCTCAAGGAAAGATTTTATCTTTCCTTCATTTTTATAGAATAATTTTTCTGGGAATGGTATTTTTGCTAACCAGTATGTTTTTTTTTCTTTCAGTACTACAAATATGTCATCTCACTCTCTCCAGGCCTGCAAGGTTTCTGCTGAGAAATCCACTAGTGGTATCACAGGGTTTTCTTTACATAGGATGAGTTGCTTCCCTTAAAAGTCTCTTTGTCCTTAACTTTTGACAATTTTATTACAATGTATCTCAGTATGTTCTCTTTTAAGTTGAACCTATTTGGAAACATTTGAGATTCTTGAATCTGGATTCACAATTTCCAAATCTTCCCCAAATTAGGAAGGTTTTAGTCATTATTATTTAAATTAGCTTTCTGCTCCCTTTTTCTGTCTGTTTTCCTTAAAATTCCATAATGCATTTATTGGTTTACTTGATGGTATTCCATAAATCCCATAGGCTTTCTTCACCCTTTTTCATTATTTTTTTCTTTTCTTCTCTGACTGGATAATTTTAAATGATCTCTCTTTGAATTTGCAGATTCTTCCGCTTAACTGTGTGCTGTTGAAACCCTCTTTTGCATTTTTCATTCCACTCATTGTATTCTTTAGCTCCAGAACTGCTCTTTGGTTCTTTTTAATGATTTTCATCTCTTTGTTCAACTTCTCATTTTTTTCATATATTATTTTCCTGATTCCACTAAGTTACCAATCTGTTATTTTGTAGCTTGCTGAGCTTGTTTAAAACAATTATTTTTAATTCTTTGTCAGGAAATTTGTAGATCTTCATTTCTTAGGGATTCATTAGTGGATTTTTTTGTATTCCTTTAGTGTTATCATGTTTTCTTGATTTTTCCAGTTCTTTGTAGCCTTGCTTTGATGTGTGTGTATTTGAACAAGGAGTTACCTCTTCCAGACCTTACAGATAGGCTTCAGTTGGGAAAGATCTTCACCACAGATGGGTACAAGGGTGCTGGTCAGATGGGGTGCAGCAGCTTCTACTCTAAGGTGGTGCATTGGTATGAAATTCTAACAGCTGCATCAGCTGAGGTCAGTGTCAGCAAATACTATGGGGGCACTTGATGGCAAAATTTGTGGGTGTCCATGGCAGCAGCAATAGTTTCTTGGGCCCTTCTGTTCTCCATTTCTCCCACAGATGGAGTCTTCTCTGAGAAATATGGGCATATTTCTCAATGGTACCAGGGCCCAGAAAGTAGGTGCATGCATAGCAGTGGCAGCACTGGAGCCCAGGGAGATATATTAATATTAGAGACAAAAAGGTCAGGTGGCAATGGAAATACAAAGGGCAGGAAAATGCAAAAGTAGCTCTGAAGCAAAAAACGAAGAAAGATTTTGAAAGGGAGTAATTAAAGATGACTCAAAATCTCAATCCTGGAAAACAGGGACCTTATTGGTAATCTTAATGAAATTCATAACATTGGAAGATCATACTACATTAATAAAGATGCATGAGATTGATAGCTGATATTAATTTTGTCAATTATGGTATCTTCAATGTATCAAACATTGTGCTAAACATACAGTCTCATAAATTCTGACTTTAACCTTAAAAGATAGGTCCTAGTATTATTCCTCTTAACTATATATAAAGTAACTGACTCAACAAAAAATCTTAGGTCATTTTCAATGTTCAGACAAGTAGTAAATGGAAGAATAGATGTTTGTACCCACAAAAACTGACACCAAATATCCCAATAAAGATTATCGCTATTGTCTCTTCTTAACCACTGTGTTTTATTGCTTCCTCAGGGGTCTCAAAAGTCACCTACATACATGTGCTTAATGAATACAGAAGAGGAAATTGAAGTCCAGGAAGTTTAAGAAACTTTTTAAAAATCATGCAGTAAGTACCATATCCAGTCCCAGAGCCATGTGCCCTAGTGTTTTATTTAGTGCCCTTTAGAAACTTTACTCATAACAGGTACTTCATTCTAATAGAAAGCTTATTTTTCTACAATGTTCACCTCTGTCTCTTACCGTTCCCACAAACAAAATGCTGTTCTTAGGTGTAGGTAAAAAGTGAAATCTTAAAAATAAATTAGTGTTCAATCAGAGAAACCAATAAACCTCATTAGTCAATTATTCGAGGTAAATAATTGCATTTTCCTCAATAACGGGGTGTGTGGGTTTTTTATCTGAATCATTTGGTATTATATCATTAATCTTTTCAGTTCATTCTGCCAGTATTGGTAAGTGAAAATTATTCACTACAAGTGCTGAATAATTTGCATTTACCAATACTACATAAGAAAGTTTTCCTAAGGAGGCAAATTCGAGACAATAGTAATTTGGATGAGAATGTGTATCCTATGCTTCCATCTAGTGGTGGTCTTGCGCTATTACACGATGATGAAGACTGCTTTGCTTTAGTGTCATCCTCTTGCCTGTAAAACAGAGCAAGATTCTTCAGGTGTCCTCACTCGTATCACAGCTGATTCTGTATGCCAGGAAGGATGTGATAAGAGACTGAAACAAGGGTCGTGGGGGGGACGATGGTCTACTGGGTATGAAAAAACGATGATCTACTGGTTATCTGGTAATTCTGGGAACTGGAGAGGAAACAGGATTTCTGAGTGAGAGCAGGGTTTTTTGGAAGGATAGCAAATGCCCCCTACTGGCTGCTCTAGGCATGGCCAGTTATATTTCCAATGCATCAAAGCAAAACAGTTACGCGCAATTTGATGACGGGGACAAACTCAGAGAAATGCGTTGTTAGGTGATTTCCTCATTGTGCAAACATTGTAGAGTATACTTACACAAAACTCTATGGTCTAGCCTACTGCACACCTATGCTATATGATATTACTCCTAGGCCACAAACCTATACAGCACGTTATTATACCAAATACTATAGGCAATTGTAACACAATGGTACGTATTTGTGTATCTAAACATGTATAAACATAGACAAAATAGAAAAGGTTCAGTTAAAATGCAGTATAAAAGATGAATTGTATAGGGCACTTACCATGAATGGAGTTAACAGGACTGAAAGTTGTTCTGGGTGAGTTAGTGAGTTGTTCTGGGTGACTGAGTGTGAAAGCCCAAGACATGACTGTACACTACTGTCAACTGTACACTTAGGCTATACTAAATTTATACAAAATATTTTTCTTTCTTCAATAATAAATTAACCTTAGCTTATTGGAGAACTGCAGTCATATATGTGGTCCATCACTGACCAAAACGTCGTTGTGCAGCACATGACTGTAAATATGAAAACTAAATTAGTTGATCACTTAACCTCTCTAGTCCTAGCTTCCTCTGCATAAAAGAGAGCAGGAGAGACATTAAATGTAGTCTAAATGATTTCCAAAAGTCTTTCCCTATTAAGATTTTATGACTCTACAATTTGCAAATCAAGATATTTTGCCTAGATGACATCCTGCAGACACAGTGGGAAATTTATAGAAGCTTGGAATTTGTTGTTGTTGCTGTTGTCAGATCCAGTCTAAATAAGACCTTAGCTTTTCTTTTGTTTTCTCTTTATAGGCAAAATAATGGCTACATACCCCAAGATTGGCGACACAGCCATCCTTTCCAAATTTTCTCTTTATGTCGCTGCCAAAGAAATAAAAACTGGCTGACTGACATCATCAGAGTGGAAGAAGAGTAAACAGGAGACAATTTATGCAAGGGAGAGCTTAAACTACTACGAAATTCTCCAGTGACCCTGTGATTCATTTTGTTTCCTGGTAGTTACCACTTTCTAGTTCTGACAGATGTGCTTTTCTGCTTTTTTTTTTTTTCTTAAGAAGCTTACTGAGCTTGCAAAGGGAAGCTCTAAAGGAATAAGGTTAAGGAGCTAACTCAGCATCAACAGAGGCAGATGCCTTCTTGTAATTGAACTAAAACCCTTAGACTTTCTGTAAGTCAACTCTCTCTAGTGTAAGCCATTGCCTTATTTTTATTTTTATGCAGACCATTTCCCACTTAAAATTCATCATCAAAAAACAAACTGCTTTTATTTCTTCCTTAATGTTTATAGCGATATAGATAGTCTAGCAAAGATTATTCAGTAAAGAGGTCAGACAGATTCTCATCATGATTCATCCCTGCGATGCAGAAGGAGACACCAGGGCATCCTAACATAATTTAAGTGACAGTGAGGAGGCATATGACTTGACAGATATTTCCGAAAAATAAGTGCCCCAAATAGCTCCACTGAGTCCTGTAAAGAGGACATCTTCTATTCCAGTGCTTCATTCCTTCAGATCAAAGACCACTTCGTGAAGTCTCCTCTTCAATCTTGCTTATTCTTTATCAGCTACCAATATTTCTTTGCGAACGTAAAAGTTTAGCAGTCATCAAAGGTTGTCTCAAGATGATAGGACACAGAATTTTGGTAAGGAGAATGTGCAAAGCACCAATTTGCCTATAAATGAGAATCTCACTGATTTACCTATGAATGAGAACTGGCTGTCATGGAGGAGTACTATTTTGGGAGAATGTAAGTATCGTGGTTTTCTTTTGTTTTGTTTTGTTTTGTTTTGTCTTGTTTTGTTTTAAAATGGGATCTGAGATCAAATAAGTTTGAGAGACACAGAATTCAGCAGAACAAAGCAGGCTTTTTTTTTTTCAACTGAAGCCTTGAACGTGTTAATATTCATTCATTATTTAAGAAATATTTACTAATACCAACTATACTTCAAAGATAATTATAAGTGTTTGGGATGCCTCAGGGAACAAAACAAAGATCACTTCCTTGCAGAGCTTACATTCTAGCCGGATAAGACAGATTATGAACAATAAACATAATGTAAATTATATAAAACATGCTAAGCAGGATGAAAGGTAGATTGGTAACACAGGTTGTAGGAGGAAAGAAAGAATACGGTATTTTTAAAAAGAGTGGTCAGGGTATACTTCATTCAATAGATGACATTTTAGCATACATTTGAATTTGTTAAGGGAGTTAGCCATATAGATATCCAGATGAACAATATGTCAGGCAAGGGTGACAACCAGTGCAAAGGCCCTGGGGTAAGAGTGTGACCCCTAACAGAGTAATAAAATGTATAATGTTTCCCAAACTCATTTAGTACATAACAATTTTTCACAAAATGCCTTCAGTGTAGCCAAGAAATACTTTGGGAAATGTTAGTGTAGATGTTGCTTACTAAGTGAAGAGGGGACGAGGTAATAGATAGTGCTAGGGCCGAGGGGTTGGTGCCCTGGATCTCGTAAGAGCACTGAGGTGGAATGTACTGAAACAAACTTTGACCACAGTGCGGTCTTCCAACAACCAAAGTGACAGTAGCTTAAGATGGGCAACTTTTCCTACATTTCTTCCATTGGCTCTTCAAAGAAGGCTTACTGGCTCCGAAATACCTGAAGAAAATGCTTCAACGTTTCTAAACATTACAGAAATTAAAATTACAATACTGATTGAATTACTTAACATTTAAAAGTCTGATAATACCAATGTTAAAAAATATTTTAAGAAATAAGAACTCTCATTCACTGCTAGTGGGGAAGTAAATTGGTACAAGCACTTTGATGAGCAATATGATTGTGCTTAGTAAATTTGAAGGTGTGAAAATTATTTGTCCTAGCCATTTTACTTTTAGGTATTTATCCTAAAGAAACACTTACACATGTGTACAAGAAAATATTTATAAGAATTTATTGCAGGATTGTTTATAATAGAAAAATAAGAAACAATGCCCATCAACAAAAATACGAATAAATGCAATGTTATGCATCCATACTGAAGTGCCATATAGCAGTTAAAATGAATTAACTAGAGGCACATTTATCAACATAATAAATCCCTAAGCATTAAGTTGAAAGAAAAAGTAGCTTTTAGTAGTAAAAGTAGAATATGACACCACTTATATAAAGTTTTAAAACATGCAGAAGTTTGTACATTATTTATAGATACATACATATACAATAATAGTATAACTGCATATGATTATAAACACTAAATCGAGCCTAAGAAGAGAAGCAAGGATTTATTACATCATTCTGTATATTTGTAATCTTTTATATTAAAATATATTTTAAAGAGAAAAGACATGCTTAAGAAACATAGGAGAAGGTTTTAATGCATGGGCTAAAAGAAGCCATAACCCAAACCAAAAGAAATAAGTATGATTAAGCAATTACACAAAATAGAAGGTGTCAAGGACACAAATCAATTTGAGGAAATTTAAGAATTTCTCTCACAACACTATATTTCTGGGAAGAAAATGGCTTTCTTCCTAAGTCCTAGTAAAAAGGTCAACCGTTGCTGTGTTGCTCACCTTGTGCTATTCCAGTTGAAGAAGATTAATTTCAATGACATGACCATTTATTGGTGCTTTGCATATGTGAAGTAGAAATATTTTCTTAAATATTTTCTCTAAGTATGCAAAGCACCTTTAGGAGAGTGTGTGGCTATAATTTAACAGTGACAGTGTGTGCTTTGCACACTGACCAGGATTAAGTTCATTTTTATTAACTGGGTTGCTTGCTATTAAATAAACCTTAAATTAAACCACTTTTGTTATCAATGAAATAAACCATCATCTTAAAATATGATTATTTACCTTAAAAAAAATAATTTTATTTTGTATTCATGCTAAGGCAGTCTGTATGGCATTTGGGGAGGAAAAGATTCTTTCTGGATTAAAAGGAGCCATAAGATAATGGAAAAGGTCTTCAAACGTGTAATTAAGATTAAATTAATCATCTTTTTTTCTCAATAAGCATATTATTTTGCTGAGTCACTAAGTATATTTAAATGATATTGCATTGGATTAAGAGGATTAATGCTTAACCTCACTTCTTTGTTTGCTTAGGACTGCCGCTGAGGGTTTACTGAGTATGGATTGAGCATCACACTAAAAACCTTCCCCGGAAAAAGGGACCAAAGGATGTAAACTGAAAATTTTAAAAATCTGCTTTGTTTTCCTCAAATTGCTGAAGATCCAGGTAGATATTTGCCTGTAAGTGCTGTGAGTCAATTTAATCTGCTAAAACAAAGTGCAGCATTGAAGACAATGTCTTTCTTTTTCCCCTAATGCATTTCCCCTGACATGCTGTTTGTTTTTTAAAAGACACATGAAGAAGAAACTGTGATCACAGTATTGGTTGCGTTCACCTGCATCCTTTCTGTTTTTTTGTTTTGGAAGAGATGGTCCTGGCTTTCCAGTTAGTCTCCTTCACCTACATCTGGATCATATTGAAACCAAATGTTTGTGCTGCTTCTAACATCAAGATGACACACCAGCGGTGCTCCTCTTCAATGAAACAAACCTGGTAAGATGCTCATAGTGCAGTCCATGGAATTACTGCCCAGTTTCTCTCAACAGTTGTCTCAGACCTACAGGAAACCTGGAAACGTATCTTTAATGGTAGCACATCTTTGTAACCATGTCTGTCTCTAGAGATAGCATTCATGCATCATCATAAATCACCTCTGTTTGACATCCGAAAGAGCAATATCTTGGAATTTGCTGACATTTGTAAATTTATTTATGCTTATTTGGGAGAAAACAGTTAAAGGGTTCATGTAAGGATCCTCTTTCAGAGAATGTATTTCTTCAATTAGTAGTACATTTATTACTAATACATTAAATACTTGTTTAATGTTTCTTCAAATTTATTTTGAGTAGAAATTAGTCTAAGCACCAACTTCATTTAATGTCAAGTATTTCTAGGGTATATAGTTTCATGGATTGATGAAATAGTATCAAAAGGCATTAAAGCCATTTGTCTTTCAAGAATAATTTTCATACGTTTGACAAATCATGAATATCAAGACATCATCATTATTATCTTCCCATCAATAATCAGGAGCATGTTTGGACGTGCTAGTAAGGGAGATAGCTATCTGTGAGAGTGACCTCTTTATACACCAATTTGCCTAGGGCTTTATAGGTTTTAGTACTAAAAATGCCAGGAATCCCTTCAGCCCCAGGCATACTGGAATGATTTGTCACCCTACTACCCATATACCTTTAATAATCAAATAATGTCTTTGAGAAAGAGTTCTCTTTTCACCAAGCACCATATTTCCAAAAAGACCCAAAAGGAGAAATTGAGGAATGAAGAGTATCATCTGGTCAACACTGGCAGCCAATGGGGTGACAGATGTTTAAGCTAGATTGCTCTCACATCCTAAATATGTATTATGCATTCACTGTAAGATCAGGAAAGAGAACATAAAATTTTGATAAATATCTTCTGAAGTCTCAGGTTTAATGACCAAAACCAAAAGAAGTGTGTTACTAGATTACTGATTCCTGCACTGCGATTAAAAATCAGGGACTACTGCTCACACTTCCCTTCCATGCTTCTGCTCCCAGACCCAGACCTGAGATGATATGAAGTCTTGTTCCATTTAACCACTTTCCCAGTCTTCGTCATAGCAATTAGCTAAGGAAATATTTGGGAAATGTAAGAGTGTACCACCAGACTCTATTTTTTTTCATATAGCTTATTACGTTTTATAGTATGTTTTATCTAATTTTAAAAATCAAAGGACACTGCTTAAAATATTATCTGTCATCCATAGAGTAGACTTGTACAGTCTGGTGGATGTTTAGATGAGGAGAAGAGAGATGACTATAGTAGCTAATTCATCACACCAACCCACTATCAGTGGCAGAGTTGCTACAGAAAAAATCTACCATGTATATTTTTTAGGTGACATTTAAAGAAAAAGAAAAGAACATTGGTTCTTTGTGGTGAGGTAGAAATTTTTTCTGATGTTAAATGCCTCATTTTTAGATCCTATGTAAAGGAAAAGAAGAATTTTAGAGCCTATGCAAAAGCAGACTTCCCCCGTAGGAAACGCCAGGATTTCGGCCATGTGGGGCCAATCATATTTGTTGTCACTTCTATATTCCTAAATGAAGTGCTCCTTTGAGTCACAAGCCAGAATGGGATTCATTAAAATTTATATCTGCTTCTTTTGTTCTTCAAAGAAACACCCTCCAGGGCACTGGAGATTGCATAAACCATCACACTGGTCCAGAAGTAGCCACTTAGAATGAAACCCAGGCATTTTCCCTGAGTGAACAGAGTAACACAGCCAGCCAATTTCTGAGCTGTCATTCAAGCACTCTGTCATGCAGATTTTAGGGCATTTGACCAAAATACAGTAATTACTGTATAGAGTCATTTTTAGAGTAAGAGGCCCAGGAGTCTTCCTACCTTAGTATGTGAATAGATACTGTGAGGTTCTTTGCCCAGCACCCGACCTGATTATCAGCCAATAATTAAGTAATGAATGAATTAATGAATAATCCACTCTTCTATAATGCAAAAGAACTAATAGAGTGAACATGAAAGGAAGACATGATCTTTGAAAATTATAAGGGGGATTTATATATGCATTGTTTGGGGCCAGTTTTTATACAATAAGGCTCTTAAATGTTTTGCTTTTAGTTGTTTTCATTCAGAATATAACCTCACTTTTTAATCCAGAGATTCCCTTCTTTCAAAACCTAAAGACTTTAAAAAAATATGTATTCAAACATATCTTTTGTTTCCTAAAAACAAAGTAGGGAGAGGTGTGAATAAAGTAAGTTATGGCAGGTGGAAAATGTTCCCCTTTTACCTAGAGAAGAAATTTTACTCCTGGATGATGCAAAGAGGATTAAGCAAATAGACTCACTGAATATTTATTCATTCTTTCAACAATTACACTGAGTGATATTTACATGCAAGTGCTGGGTTGGGGCTAAAAATGCTATAAGAGCAACGTATTGACTCTGGCCTTGAAAATAATCAGCAGAGTGCTGGAGTCTGCTCAGTCTGGCTTGCAACAGCCAATCATTTTCAGGAAATTTATCAGCTGGCTGTTAAAAGCACACATTATTAAAAAATAAATTATATAAGCCTGCAATTAAATTAAATACTTTCTAAAATAAAGGTAGCAAATACTTAAAACTCACCACTTCCCAATGATTTCTCCACACTTTATCATCTGTTGCTCTTGAGGTTATTTAGGTCTATTGTAACTGTATTGTAGAAATACTACAGTATACCATTACTATACTATACTATACTATACTATACTATACTATACTATACTATACTATACTATACTATGTGCTAGACACATCTCTGCCATGCATGTTGTTGGTAGCCTGAAATCAGCCATGGTGGAAGTATTTACACCATGGAAATAAAACACTACTATAAACTGGGGCTTTTTTTCCTAAAGAGTCACTTGTTAAACATTACCCTGAACCTAATGTAAAAGCCAGTAGGTTCTCAGGCATGGCAAATCCAATGCTACTGCAAGCAAGACAGAAGAGAGTGGCAGAGACTACAACTACAAGGTATATGCTCCTCTGAGGGAAACTGGCTGGTCAGGTTCAGCCTTCTCTTGTTTTTGTTTGTTTTTTAATTTTTAACTTTTTTTTTTCTGAAACAAGGTCTTGTTCTCTTGCCCAGGCTGGAGTGCGGTGGTCCAATCATAGTTCACTATAACCTCAAACACCTGTGCTCAAGTGGTCCTCCCACCTCAACCTCCCAAGTAGCTGGGACAACAGGCGTGTGCCACTACACCTGGCTTTTATATTTTTTTGGTAGAGATTGGGTCTGTCTATGTTGCCCAGGCTGGACTCAAACTCCTGGCCTCAAATGATCCTCCAGCCTTGGCCTCCCAAAGTGCTGGGATTATAGGCATGAGCCACCGTGCCCACAGCCTTCTCTTGTTATAAGAGAACTTGAGCCTCGTGTGGCCAGATTTTCTGATTTTTTTCAAAAGAAGCAAGAAATCCAAGCTTTTCTCTGAATTTTTCCAAGTTAATGTACCACGTGAACCATTTTTTAAAAATGTCTGCAGACTAGCTGCTAATCTGGTCTAATTTCCTCATTTCACAGATGAGGAAACTGAGGCCTCCTCACTGAGCTTGTGATCTGACAGAGACCCAAGTGAGATGTGGGAACTGTCGTGTTTCAAGTGAAGCATTCTCTCTGGCTGGCTTTTCCACAGAAATGTTCATCTGCCTAGATTTTTTCCTTTACAAGAGACAGGCTATTGAAAAAGTCAGGTATGTATTTCCAGAGTTCAGAAGTTAGGAGTTCAATCAGAGCCATAAGATTCACTACATCTGATGTACCACGTTTTCTCTAAGACTTTTCAAAAACATCCAGAGCCTGGAAATAAAGATTGGATCAAGAATTATGAAGGTTTTCTTCGTGATGAAAAATTGGACCAATTGATTTTCCCACTACTTTACCTTATTCCTTGGATTTGCATCCATGTATATAGCCTAATAGAACATTTTTGCTTCATTTTGTATTTTTCTAAAGAAAAATAATAAGCCTACAAAAAGTTTTTAAAATTTTGCCTACATTATTTGGAACAGTTAGCTGAGTTTCAGTGTGCACTGGTTCACAGTAAAGCTTGACTGAGAAAAACGTCCATGTTATCAAGAGGCCATGCTTCTAGAATGACAAGGAGAATGGAGTGATAAGGTGGAGAGTTTTGACCAGATTCTTATTTGGAAAGGATTATAAATGGCAAGTTCAATTTTTTCTAGATAATTTATGATACAAATAACAATAGCAATAATGGATTTTTATGTGGAAAAAGATACCTAGAATCCAGTTATGCTTTTGTTTTTCCAAGCTCACGTCTAATCCTGATTCATGAAACTACATGATTTTTCCATGTTTAAAATCATAGCATAGAAACCATTTTGTATTTTCTTCACTTAAGCATTTCTCACATTGCTTCATAGACACCATAATGGTATTTTAATCACTCCATATTATTAATTTGAATTAAAGGACAAGAATTATCTCCTTTGTTTCTGAACATTTATTTTCAAGTTTGCACTATTATAAGTAACAGCAATAAATGTTTTCACACATTTTATTTTTTTCTTTACCGAGAAAATTATGATTTTTCTGGAATTGTATAATTGAGTAAAGCACATGAAATATTTTTATAGTTCTTGAGATGAATTTCTAGGGGAGTTTACCAATATTTATACTCCCACCTGCAAAATGAAAAGGATTTAATCATATCCTTTTTTTTTTTTTTTCCAAGACAGTCTCACTCTGTCACCCAGGCTGGAGTGCAGTGACACGATCTCGGCTCACTGCCACCTCTGCCTCCCAGGTTCAAGTGATTCTCCTGCCTCGGCCTCCTGAGTAGATGAAATTACAGGCTCCCACCACCACACCTGGCTAATTTTTGTATTTTTAGTAGAGATGGGGTTTACCATGTTGGCCAGTCTGGTCTCGAACTCCTGACCTCAAGTGATCCGCCCGCCTTCGCCTCCCAAAGTGCTGGGATTACAGGTGTGAGCCATCGCACCTGGCCTCATCATATCCTTCACAGCATGGGGCACTAACATTATTTTTTGTCTTTTGCTAATTTAATAGATATAAAATGACAGTTATGGCTTCAATTGGTATCACACTCTTGACCCCCTCAATTAAATACTTTTAAATTTGCTTATTAATTATGTCCTCCCTTGGGTAACTAGTCTCTTCGTGTCAGACCTAGTTCTTTTCAAATTCTGATTCTAGTTAACTCATCAAATATGTAGGCCTCCAGGCTCCAGGGAAAGCAGTTTTATAAGGCAGCCAACCGAGTGTGTGTGACTCAAGTCAGATGATTTTTTATCATTCCACTTATAAAACTCCAATGCCGCAGAATGAGTTAGGTGCATTTCCTTTTCCTCAATCAGTTCTAGTTTTTAATCCTTTGACTACTATGTCCTCCTCAAAGACCCTCTTAGTCCCCCTGAGACCACTCAGAATCAAGCCTTTCCCTCCTCCCAGACCTCTGCTTTCTTTGTCACACAATTACAGTAGAGTTTCTGACACTGAGAAGAGGGAGCATAGAAATATGTTTTCTTTGTGTGACCCAGGAAGGAAGAGGCCCCAATTCAAAGAGAAAAACCACACCTATTACCAAGACTCACGCCTACTGTTTCTCAATCTTCATAATACTTTGTGGGAAAGGACAAAAATTAGGAATGCCAGTGAGAGGCTCTCCCACGAATTGAGATTTCTTTGCCTGATCCCATCAGGACTCAGACTCCTAGAAGATCCTCTCCTCAGACAGAAGAAATCCAAAAGCTTCTTCTCAGTAGCGGCTAAACTGAAATCATTTTTTTTTTCTAGAATGGGGGAGAGGGGAGAAGACACAAAGGGATTTAAAGTGGTATGTGTATAGAATAAGACTAGAACACTCTGAGATAAATCTGATGCTCCATGATATAGTGATCCTTTATTAAGCAAATTTCCTTCTGTCTCCTTGGTTTTATTTCATCCTTCATTTTATTTACCTTCCTATGTATGCATCAGAGGCCTTCAAACGAGGGTGTCTATCCTCCTGGGGTACAATGTATTATACCTCTAAGGGTAGATGCAAGGTATCTGAGGGGCATGTAGACATGAATAGTTTTAAAACAGTTTTTGGATCTTTAACTTCCCTCTGACCTCTTTCTTAAAACTGATCTACTCACCACCTGCAGTGTCCTTTATTACCTCCTTTTAATGATTGCTCTGTCCCACCTGGCAATATACAGGCATCCCTCTCCCTCTTCCTGAATCCTACGAGTATTGCCCCAGCGTGTAAAAAGTTCCTGGGTACAAAGAGATCATTACAAATATTGTTGTTGAGATAGCGGATGATGCTGTACTTTTCTTAATGGCAATTCTCTATTTTTTGCTTTTAACAAAATTGAAGGAAGAACCTAATTAATTTGTCAGGTTATAAATAATTAAACTGATTGTTGAAGATAAATTCTACAGTGTGAGTTTTGAAAAGTAAGTAAGGAGTTTAAGTAATTAAGTTGCTTTGTTAAAAGAATACTGAAACAAAATTTCTTCAAATTCCATGTACTTCCACATATATGAACAAACTTTCTCAATATTTCCATCTATAAAGATTAAAAAATAAGAACAGAATTAATGCAAAAACCGAGTTTTATTCCAGCAATGAGTAATACCCATTTGCCGATACATAGAATAATTGGAGAAAGTGAATCATCAGTTCATTAATAAATACAATTTTAATAAAATTTTATTCTTAATTTTAATAAGTATCAATATTTAAACAAATTGTTTTATTCCATTCATAATTATTATAGAAAATAAAAAAGTTAATTTCTATGCTTACACATTTTTCTTACAAAGGTACATGATGGAGTGATAAAATTATATGAAGTAAATAAAATGGAGATAGTAGTTTTTTTTAAAAAAAGAATGATATAAAATTTCTGATTTTTAAAAAGCTTGTTCAGGTATCTTTAAATGCATAATGTGTATATTTAGATTCACTGGATACACTTAAAGGAACAATATGTTTTATCTGAAATCATCAATATTTGAGTAATTTCAAAATTTATGATGAAGAAATGTAAATGTCTATTTAAATATATGTGAGGGGAATATATAGATTTTCAAAATTCTTTAAAAGCGTATTTAAGCAACAGATCCTTTTTGGGAAATAGAAGGTATAAAAAATACAAAAAAAGGCAAAAGTAGATAAATATGGAACATCTCATTGTGCACCTGAAGAGCCCTCAAGTTAGAACAGGTGCAGGTGCTTTCGCACGCTGCCAAGAGAGCATTTCACAGTGGGCTCTGTCTTAAGCATTCTTGGGATTCTTAATTAAGATTTATCCTTTTCAATCTCATGGAGAGGTATGCTTCTGAGCACACACATTAGTGACATGCCATTTAGCTGTATTAAAAGATTATTACCAAAGAGGTTTACAAATTTTCATGAGTTTTCACTCATAGTTACATTTCCATTTTTCTTAAAATAGTAACAAGTAGTTAGATTTATTAAATGTCTACTATTTTCTAGGCCGGTGGATCTCTTGAGAAATTGTTATACATGCAAATTGTCATACCCCAAACCTATTGAAACAGAAGCTCTAGGCATAGGGCCCAAACAGAGCATAATTTGGATGTATGCCAATGAAAATAATGTTTACTTTGGCTTGGTGACTTGAACATAGTAGACATTTAATAAAAGCTAGCTGCTATTTTTTTTTAATAAATAGTTCATTCTAGCTCCTTGAAAAAACTTTTCTAGTTAATTCTAGCTCCTTGGAAAAACTAGTTGTATGTGTTCAATTATTCATAGGATATAATGGCTTAACATGTTTAAAATAAAACTCATTGCCTTCTACCAAAAACAGATTTCTTTTCCCAACTTCTGCATTTCTATCAATGATAAACTACACATCTGTAAACCTCTGATGGTTTCAGCCAGAAACTTCCCTATTGAAAGACCACACTGGGTGATCTCAGGTGCCCATAAGATGTATTCCTTTTAGCAGCTGCTCCAGATTCTGAAATTCTCCCCATCGAAGTCACTTTATTGTGTAAGAAAGTTCACCTACATGTCTTATATTAAAATTCACATTGGTTTCCGATGTGAATTAATATTTTGTATTAATACAAAAGCATATTAGCTATTCAGAATGACTAGGATCCACTTAGTAGAGCCCTCAGGGTCTTGCGTTATTGCTCCTGCTGCCCACGATGATGATGATGATGATGATGATGATGATGATGATGATGATGATGACAGCCACCTTTTTCTGGAAGGAGGTGCTGAGCAAGGTCTCCGGCTGAAGGCTGCTGCAAGTTGCTCACAAAGGAGCTATGCTAAAACAGACATTTCCCCTCCACACCCACAGTATCACTGAGAAGTAGGTGTCACAGGGCAGAAAACAAATCAGGGAGGTCCAGCAACCTGCTCAAGCTCACCGACACAGGGAGAGACAGGGCCTTATTCCCAGTCAGGACACCTAGGGCCAAGAGGCCACTGCCTGCTTTCCTTCGTCCTAGAGAACTGTAGGTAAAAACAGACATCACCTACTTCACAATTTGACCTGGCTTCAGGCATAAATATTGCCATCCCTCAGGCTCTAGAACCCCGGATGGGAATTCTGCCCGGTGCGCTCTCAGCCTGCACCCTGTATTTTCTGCTCATTTTGTCTTTGTAGAACACTGCCTTAATCTGTTTACAATCTTGCGGTCCTTTCGTTTTCTCGCTGTCTTCGTGCAGAGATTGTTCAGCCCCAGTGACCCCAAGGATCACCTAGGTAGCTTGTTCAGGTGCAGATTACTAGGCCCTGCTTCCTAGGGGACTGATTTAGTTGATCTGGGACAGGAGTCCATGAATCTGAGTTTTGATCACCTCCACTCAGGTAATTGGGATTTTCCAGGTCTAAAAACCGTATTCTGAGAAACAATATGAGTTTGTGCATTAAATCCAACTGAGTTTGTCACTTAATGTGCTCCAAAATTTGGTTTACCTTATTTGCTCCACACTTATATAATAAAGAACAAATGTTGACAGCTCTTTGGCTTAATATGAACTGAGAAAATGAGCTTTTATGTATGTATTTCAGAACATGTTATGTTGAGCACAGATGGCTAACCTAAATCAAAATATCCAGAAGCATATGTATCTCAGAAGTTTTTTTTTTCCCTTTGGGGGAACAGCAAACAAGAAACTAGAATGAAGAAAGATGACAGTACCAAAGCGCGGCCTCAGAAATATGAGCAACTTCTCCATATAGAGGACAACGATTTCGCAATGAGACCTGGATTTGGAGGTGAGTATTATCCTCTCAAAATTCATTTCAAAACCCATTGCACTGTCAAAATGGAGGTGAAAATTTAAAACAAGACCAAAATGCAAGTAAAGTCCATCAGTTTAAAACAAAAAAAGAAGGCTTTTACAATCACCTTCTCTTTAATGAGAACAATTGATGAGTTATCCATTTTAAATTGACCAAAAAAACTCATTTTCCTACTATGCACACTGTAGTAAATAGTATGTGTTCCATAAATAGAGAATGGATATATGTTGCCTATACACCAACTTATTTTCTAACTAAAATCCTTAAATTGGATACATGTTATTTATAAAATCTTATTGAATATTCTTATGAGCTAGAATGCCATGCTTTGGGGGAAGAATTAGTATGGCAAATGCCATGGCTTCCTCTGAACGTACTCTGCTGAATTGTCTTTTAAAAACGGTTTATCACTTCTAGCAATTAAGATTGATCAAGTGTTAGAATACCCCTTAATGTACTATCTTATTCCATCCTCACAGTGATCCTATGAAATAGGCACTGTCATGATACTTAATATTGCAATGTGAACACTGGGTCTTAAGAGAGGTTAAGAGATTTGCCCAAGGCCATGAAAACAGAAAGTGGTAGAGCTGAGCTGCGATGGCAGGTAAAGAAGATGAAAATTCATATTACAGGTACATAATTGGAACAAAGACTTTCTTCTCCTTAGACTACTTAATGTACACACAGTTGCATCACTGAGGGTACCAAGTTTTCCAACAATACACAGGATATGGTGAAATCATCAGGTTAAACTCTCTGGCTTACAGCTAAATCCATCCTGATTCTTCTTTCATTGATGGAGCCTTCCACTTCCACAATTCCTGAACTGACAACTTTTGAGAATCCTAGAGATGTGGAGATGAGGGAAGTATGGATGAGGGTGAGAAGAAAGATCCTCTGGCAGTATAACAGATACAGCCTTCTGATGAATAACGAATACCGCAAGTGTTCAGGGCGGGGGATACTCTTCTCATGATGTGGTTATGACCAAGGGAAGCACAATAGGCATGTAGGTACTGCAGAGAACTAATTTGTTAACAGGCAAAACAAAAACGTATGTTAAATATTCTCACGTTGAGGATTGGATTTTTTTAGGGGGTGGTTGTTTGTTTTTTCAATTTCCTGAAATCCATGTGGTTCCTGTTCTTTTTTTTTTTTTTTTTTTTTTTTGAGACGGAGTCTCACTCTGTCACCCAGGCTGGATTGCTGGCATGCAGTGGCGCGATCTCGGCTCACTGCATCCTCCACTTCCCAGATTCAAGTGATTCTCCAGCCTCAGCCTCCCAAGTAGCTGGGATTACAGGCACGTGAAACCAGGCCAAGCTAATTGTTGCATGTTTTAGTAGAGAGAGGGTTTCACCCTGTTGGTCAGGTTGTTCTCAAACTCCTGACTTCAGGTGATCCACCCACCTCGGCCTCCCAGAGTGCTGGGATTACAGGTGTAAGCCACCACACCCGGCCAATTCTAAGGGTCTAACCTTGATTTCATCACATTTGTGACTCAGACTTTGGTGAGCATCAGGATCACCTGGGGGTTCTGAAGGCACAGCTTACTGGGTTCCACCCCCAGAGTCTCTGACCCACTAGATCTGGGTGGGGCCAACCATTTGCGTTTCTAACAAATTCCTAGGTGATGCTGCTGGTCTGAGAATCACAATTTGAGAGCTCCTCGGGAGGCTGAGGCCAGAGAATCGCTGTATTAGGTGATCACTGTATTAGGTGATCAGCATCAGATGAAATCATGGTGAGTTTAATTTTTTGTTTTGCAGAGCATTTTTCACACTTATTGAATCATAATTTAAGATTTCAGAAGCCTTGAGATGAAGCAGGTTTAGAAATATGTCTCTTTTTTTCTTCTGAGACTATTTCTTTATCTTTTTTTACTTTTCTTCACTACTTCTCTTATGTATCTTCCTTACGACCGTTCTCAACTGTGTTTCCCCAGCCAAATTTTCCCAAAGTTTATATAATAGGTTCTACAACTACTACGCAGATATTTTGTACCTTGGTCCCTGTGATTCTATAAAAGATCTTTAAAATATTTCCCCTACCACCATATAACAAGCAGGAATCTTCAGTCGATACATTTGCCTGTCCCTGGGTTTTCGGCCACCAGGGGGCGCCAGTCACACAGGAATGGCTTGAAACTGGCCACTCCGGAGCCACAGTTGGAAGCTCTTTTCAACACGAATTCAAAAACCTGCCCTAATTCATGTCAGGTTAGATTTCTCAGTTAAACTCGCTCCTATCCTAGAGGAAAGGGTTTTTATGGAGATTATTTGAGGCCATGTAAAGGAAGAAAGATTGAGAGAAAAATGACTATCCTTGAATGTAGACCTTGAACCAAGTGCGGTCTAGAGAGGCTTTGACACTCAAAGTGGTCCATGGACCAGCCGCAGAATCACCTGGGAGTTAGAAATGCAGATGCACGGGCCCCAACTCAGGATTCTAAATAAAACTCTGCAGTGATTCCCCTAAACCTTACAGTTTGAGAAGCACTCCTGTAGATGACGGAGAGCCAACTCTCCTCTCTTATCTTAAAACATGTATGCCTTCATTCTCCATCCCTACCTCGTCCTCCCCCCGTCCAGAAAAACATGAAATTGACCTGAAATTTCCACTGTGCTTGATCTGTTAGAGATACATTTAAAGATTTTTTTTAAATGAAAATGCATTTTTTTAAAAATACTTTCTTTCCCGAGGCGACTTCGTAGGGTTGTTAAAAATGCAATTGAAATGTGCTACTTAGTGGCAGGCGGCAAATCATCCCATGATTAAGAAATTTTTCTGACAATCATATACTGGGGTGAAATGGTGTCCAAATGGCTTGTGTGATTAGTCAGTTTGAGCCGAAAAATCTTCATAAATTCAGTCAGAAGTGTCAGTCTGGTAGCTCTGTGAAAGACACCCCTTAACCTTCTCTTGCCTGTCTTGGTCAGAACAGCTTCTTATACCAGTGACCCATTTCTCTGTTCTCATGGCTGCCTTCCTTGGGGAAATCAGACTGCAGAATATAAAAGACAAGCTTTAATTTATCTTCTTTCTTTATGCTTGTCCGCAACACAAACACACGCACATACTTTTTCCCTCTTGAGCTAAATGTTAACTTCAGCACTTCTCTTGCCTTAATGTGTCTTCCTAATTAGCTTTAACATTAAAACCAGCTGCTACTGCAGTGTTTTTTACTTTTATAAAGCATTAGAAGATTAATTGACTCATTATGTGGAAACAGGAGGATATAAATTTAGGGGAGCTTTTTGTTTAACTTGGGTTATAAATTGCAGCTCATTTTCTTTATTTATGTTTTCCCCACCTTTTACGTCTCCCATAACTAAGGGCTTTTTTGTTTTAGTTTTATAGATGATAATTTCTTTGTTTCTTCAAAGTGAAATCATTTCAGTATGCAGATACTGGCTACAGAGTCAAGACAAAAGCTAAAGTTATAAAAGCTGCTTGCACAGTCTTTGCTTGTCAAAGGAGAGGACTATACTGTGAGTCAGAAGGATCTGGCTACTTTCCTATCATTAACTAACTTTGGGTTTCAGGCACGTGTTGTAACCTCTCTGAGTATGCACTCCCTCGTGTCAAGAGGAGCTAAAATCAGCTCTCTCTAGCTAACAAAGCAGCTATAATTAAAAGATTAGATGATATATTATATAATGAACTTTAAATGCATTATACAAATCAGATGTATAACTTTTATTTAGCCCTCATTATTCCAGCCTGCATAAAAACCAAATAGATGCTATATCTTGCCATATACAAAAAGGATTATAAATGTGTGTGCTACTACCTAGTTAGTGATCCTGAGAAATCAACACAATCATCGTAATGGTTAATATTTATTTAATTTTCACTATATTTTAAATGCTTTAGGTACTGAATTAATAAAATTATCTAAAAATTATTATTTACACTGTTACATTTATTACTGATCCAATAGATAGATAACATGTAAGTTGGTTTTAATACATCTGAATGGGGTTAGGCTAAGGACTTGACAAGCTTCCTTTCACATAATCACAGCAACCCAAAAAGTAGGTACCATATATTTAGTTCTGTTTTACAGATTACATGAGGAGTTGAGGTATTTACAGAAGTTTGGTACTAACTCAGGTTTATATGGCTACAAATTCCATGGATTTGAATCCATATGCTTTATTGCCACCTTCTATCTGTGACTCAGCTCCTTTTTTGTAAAAAGAACGATCTTTGGAGCTTTTATCTGGCTCCCAAACTCTGATTCTGCGTTTTGGCTTTACATGCTGCTCACTCTCTACTCTATCCTCAAGAATGCTAGAGCGTAATACAGTTCCTCAAACCCATGAATAAGGTGCAGTGGGACATGGAGCTCAAACCAGGCAGAAATGACGGCCTGGTGCAGTGGCTCACGCCTGTAATCCCAGCACTTTGGGAGGCCGAAGCAGGCGGATCATTTGAGGTCAGGAGTTCGAGACCAGCCTGACCAACATGATGAAACCCAGTCTCTACTAAAAATAAAAAAAAAATTATCCAGGGGTGGTAGTGCATGCCTGTAATCCCAGCTCCTCAGGAGGCTGAGGCCAGAGAATCGCTTGAACCCAGGAGGTGGAGGTTGCCGTGAGCCGAGATTACACCACTGCACTCCAGCCTGAGTGAGACTCCATCTCAAAAAAAAAAAAAAAAAGAAAAAGAAAAAGAAAAAGAAATGAGGCCAGACGGCACCCAAGGGCATACATTTTCCTTGCAAATGGAAGAGCTTATCCCCACCAGAACCAGTATAAATCTGGAGGACGAAAGGAAGAAATCGAAGGTATTTCCAGAAACCCATTCCTAATAGACAAGCTATGTTTTAACCCCGATCTCAGATCAGCCTTCAAACAACCTTTAGGCTCCAGTGCTTGGGCAACAGTGGCATAAATAGGTCCTTGGAGGGTAGTTTTACAAGACTGTCCCCAGGCTTGTAGAGACAGTTGTCAGCAACTAGGATCTATTTATAAATCATGAGGTACTAGCTGCAAGTTGCTCTCTGATTTAAAAAAATAAATAAATGATGAGAAGCACTGTATCTTTTTCTTTTCCTTTTTTTTTTTTTTTTTTGAAGATTGGACTCATTATCTAAATGTGCGTAGGATTGGGAGTAGTGGCTTACATTCCTAAGGGGCAGGTTTATATTTTTGCTTAATTGCAGTAGTGATAACATTTATTATATGCCATTTATTGACTACAAATTAAGTTCAGTAACTGTACTATGTCTAGTCCTCAAATGAGTCTCCAAGGTAAGTATTACTAGACAAATTTTATAAATCAGGTAAACTGAGCTTAGAGACATTACTTACTCTCATTCACATAACAATTGTGGAGCTGGTTTCAAACTCTAGCCTAAGTGACTTTCATGCTAGAACTTCATTTGGGACATTCTGCCGCTCCTCCAAGACCTTTTCAAATTTTTTCTTCCCTTGGAGTTTTGGAATTATTGGGAAGATTTACTCAATCTAAAATACCAGGTAGAGCCATGGCAAAGATATTTTCGTGAATTGTTATTTTGATTATTCTACTAATTCCAAGAAAAAAGGCACACACACGTAAAAAAGCACCAGAGCCAAACCCTATGAAGGAATAATAGTGAGATGTTCCCAAGTTAATGCTTAATCAAAATCACCATTAAACACTATTTAAAAATTGTCATAATTTGGCCAGGTGCAGTGATTCATGCCTGTAATCCCAGCACTTTAGGAGGCCTAGGCGGGCAGATCACCTGAGGTCAGGAGTTTGAGACCAGCCTAGCCAACGTGGTGAACAAAATTAGCTGGGCATGGTGACACATGCCTCTAATCCCAGCTACTCAGGAGGTTGAGGCACAAGAATCACTTGAACCCAGGAGGCAGAGGTTGCAGTGAGCCAAGATCGTGCCACTGCCCTCCAGCCTGGGCGACGGAGTGAAACTCTGTCTCAAAAAAAAAAGTCATAATTAGTGTTATAGGGTATATAGTAATTGATCCAATATGTCAGGAAGAAGATGGTAGTTAAGATGTAACTGAGGTATTCCAGAAGCCTGAAGCAGGAATATATTTGCATGCCATCCCTGTGCCTGGCCACCTGAAACCCTTGAAAGTAAAAAAATGATACCGAGGGCATGGATTTGAGGATCCAAAAAAGGGAATTTGTTAATAAAGTGAAGGTGACATCAGTTAATTCCTGGGGCAGTCACAGAAAAGATACAGGACTGGCAAGACATACCTTGGGTTTCTATAGTATTATGCATTTAAAGGGCTGTCGAATTATAGGCACGCCTGTCCCATGTAGCACATCCAGGCATTACGTAGCCTCAGCCTCATTAAGGAAGCTTTTCAGACTTGACTCCTCTAAATCTTTCTTTGTTTCTTTTATCTTCTTTTCTTTTGTTTTCCTTTCTTTTCTTTTCTTTTTTCTTTTTCTTTTTTTTTTTGAGAGAGAGTCTAGCTCTGTCACCCAGACTGGAGTGCAGGGGCGCCATCTCAGCTCACTGCAGCCCCTGCCTCCTGCATTCAAGCAATTCTCATGCGTCAGTCTTCCGAGTAGCTGGAATTACAAGCACACACCATCACGCCTGGCTAATTTTTGTATTTTTAGTAGAGACGGGGTTTCACCATGTTGGTGAAGCTGGTCTCAAACTCCTGTCCTCAAGTGATCCGTCCACCTCGGCCTGCCAAAGTGCTGGGATAACAGGAGTGAGCCACCACGCCCGGCCTAAATCTTTGAATCTCGATTAAAACAACCAGCTTGGATCCATTTAGGCAGGATTTATATTTTCTCAACCATAATTGAAAACATTTTTTAAAACTCAGGACTATAGAGACAATAAGGTTTAATCGAGAATGGCTTATATGGAAAGAGAACATATAAAAGACTACATATATAAATATATAAATTATTTTAACACATATGTACATAAAATTTCCATCGCAAAACTAAATGTTGATGTTACTAACATCAATTTCGACTCACACTGGAAGTGGTGAAATCGTTTGTTAGGTGTAACTAGGAAATGTCAGTCTAGTCTGGATTCTGTTGGTTGTCATTCAGGTTTTCTGGGCCCATGAACCTGATTCTGGGTGACTCAACTGTACAAGTGTCAGCAGTGCTCTGTCTGAAATTGCTCCAATTCTACTCTCAGTATTTTCTCATTAAATGGATTTCTAAGGATATTTGCTTCTTCACAAATGCAGCCTGTGGTTGCTGCTGATCTGCAAAGGGACACTTCGGAATCTGATCTGTGTTGTCCCTGTGTGGCACTGTACTTTTAGTCTCAATAAAATTTTCTCTGTGTTCCTCTACTCCACCAACCACAGCACAAATGGAAAAGGCTGATATTTTTGACACCAGAGAAAAGGTCCCAACATTGCCCACGTCAAGGATTCTATGACACTCCCTGACTATGAGATATGACCATTACCATATTTGTACTTAAGAGTACATAATTCTACATACTCTTAAGACATGTTTTCAAAACACTTTTCCTTTTTAAATCACTAGTAGGTAAAAAGAATAAAAAACTAAAAAAAAAAAAAAAAGAAAACTGGAGGCACCACTCTTATACTAGAGGAGGAAATTATTGGCATGATCCCAAGCAAATGAGTAATGATTATTAGAATACCATTTATTTACACATGTGCCTTTATTATAATAATTGAGTATATAATAACTGATTCAATGAATAATGGAGAAATTTGTTGTTTAAAAAAACTTTAACAGTAATTCAGTTGCTGTCCAAGAGAATTAATCTCTCTGTTTTAAATGGTTTTAAAATGATTATAATGCATTCCTCAGCATATTAACCATTCTTCTTTCTTAAGGGTCTCCAGTGCCAGTAGGTATAGATGTCCATGTTGAAAGCATTGACAGCATTTCAGAGACTAACATGGTAAGTTTCTTCATGGGATATTGCTCTTTTTCTGAAAAGACAGAAACTCGGCAGTGTCAAAATCACTAGTGTTTTAATAAATCATTTTAATTATGTATGTTATTTATGTCTCCTACTTTGATTAATCATAGGGTCATGATTGCTGTGCTCTCTTCCATCCTCTTCATTCTAACCTTGATTAGAATTCTCATTCCTTTTCTACTCTTCTATTTTCCTTCTAATGGATTTCTAGTGGTGGAACACTGTAGAACATCATGATATATTTACCAATGTAGCAAGAACTGGGAACAATTGTATAAACAGAAGGATGACCATACTATATGTGCGATATGAAATCCGAATCATGAGTCCTTGCCTGTAAAATAATAAACAGTTGAACCAGCATTGATGGACTGCTTTCAAATATATCAAATGATATTAATTTTGCTTATCTGTAGACAACCAGTAGCAGAGGACAAAGAATTTTTTTAAGTTCATGGGACTAAAAATTTAATTAAAAATTTGTCTACTCCCTTATATTTTTCTAGAAATCTAAAAAAGACTGCCATTATTTAATTTTGCAATGAAACATCTGTATTTTCCTAGAGTATTATTCACTCTATGAAATATCCATAAAACTTGAAACTGATCCCTTATCTTCAAGCTTCCTGTTAGCCTTTTTCTGTCTTCTATGACATTTTGCATGCCTTGCTTTTCTGTTTCTTCTTCCCGTCCCTTAATCACTTTGGCTATTTTTATGTTTTAATATTATCAACCGTAATTTTCCATTTTATTTTCTCTATTCCCAATTTAGGACCACTTTCCTTGTTTACATAATTACCAGAGACATTTTTCATTTAAGTGATTTTAGGTTTTTCAGTTTTTTTGCTCTAAGAATAGTTAATAACATTGCTAGCTTATACATACAAGCACCTACATATTTGTTTTCAGATATATTTCCTTTTTACTCACTCTTGATCTATTAATTTGTTAATGTAGTTTCAGAGTTTGGTTGAGCCCCCTTCAGTTTGTTTTTCTATCCCAAATAAAGGGTGCCTTTACAGCTTCAAATTTTCAGCACCTGTTTCCTTGTTGTCTTAGTCTGTTTGTGTTACAGTAAAGGAATACCTGAGGCTGGGCAGTTTATAAAGAAAAGAGGTTTGCTTGGCCCATGGTTCTGCAGGCCATACAAGGAGCATGACACCGCCATCTGCTCCTGGTGAGGGCCTCAGGAAGCTTCTACTCATGGTGGAAGGTGAACGGGAGCAGGCATCACATGGCAAGAGAAGGAGGAATGGGGGGTGGGGGAGGTACTAGGTTCTTTCAACAACCAGCTCCAGGTGGCAGGGGTGAAGAAGGGAGAAGACTGTCATGGGAAATAATTGAGAACTCATTCATTACTAAGAAGATGGCTCCAAGCTATTCCTGAAGGATCTGCCGTCAAGACCTAAATACCTCCTGATATGGTTTGGCTCTGTGTTCCCCACCCAAATCTCATCTTGACATGTTGAGGGAGGGACCTTGTGGGAGGTGATTTGATCATGGGGGCAGTTTCCCCCATGCTGTTCTTGTGATAGTGAAAGAGTTCTCATGAGACCTGATTATTTGAAAGTGGCAGTTTCCCCTGCACATGCTCTCTCTCCTGCTGCCCTGTGAAGAAGGTGCTTTCTTCCCCTTTGCCTTCTGCCGTGGTTGTAAGTTTCGTGAGGCCTCCCCAGCCATGCAGAACTGTGAGTCAATTAAACCTCTTTTCTTTATAAATTACACAGTCTCAGGTAGTTCTCTATAGCAGTGTGAAAATGGACTAATACACCTCCCTTCAAGCCCCACCTCCAACACTGGGTATCAAATTCCAACACAACATTTGGAGGGAACAAACATCCAAACTCTATCACGTGTTCTTACCCAATGGCTATGTGTCTTTATATTTAAATTGCTTTTTCCATCTCATTTCTTTGTCCTCAATTGCTATCTTTTCCGTCATCCTCTTTAGATGGATCTCTTTCCTTTTCTTTCAATACTACACCACTTTCAGGAGTTAATGATAAAGGCCCTAACTGGTACCTACTAGTAAGATGCAGCTTATGAATATGTTTTGGTTTGGTTTCAATTTTGTATTTGGTTTGAATTTTAGTTTTTTATCTCCATTCTACCCAAAGTAGTAAACAATTTAATGTTTGGGCCAAGAGCAGTGGCTCATGCCTATAATCCCAGCACTTCGGGAGGCCAAGGTGGCCAGATCATTTGAGGTCAGGAGTTCGAGACCAGCCTGGCCAACATGAGGAAACCCTGTTTCTACTGAAAATACAAAAAAAATTAGCTGGGTGTGGTGGCACATCCCTGTAGTCCCAGCTACTCAGTAGGTTGAGGCAGGAAAATAACTTGAACCTGGGAGGTGGAGGTTATACTGAACCAAGATCACACCACTGCAATTAATCCTGGGTGGCAGAGTGAGACTCTTTTTAATAAAACCAAGGAGTAGCTCTTCCATGATTGGGAAAAGTTAAGTTATTTTCTTTTCAAACTCCATTTTCCATCTGAAAAGATTTAGTTTGTTGTTTATCCAATCCACTCATTTGATGGCCATTTTTACGTACATGAATCCTTGAATTTCATTCCATTTTCTGGAATATTTTACATGTGTGTTCTTATAAAACTTTCAAAAGTTGTTTTTATATATGCTTTAGAATAAGTATTGTTGATACATAAACTGTAGCTTATATAGTGATTTTCAGAGTGTTAAAATTTAAAATTTAGATTCTGTGTATTATTTTTGTAATAATGCAAATACTGCAATTAAAGATAAAAAGAGAGAGACAAAGTGAACAAACAGGGATCTGTTGAGGGAGGGACCTAGAAAATATCAATCACTAAAATCAAATAATCTTTTCATCTATATCCTTAATTCATATTTTTATTTATAGTGATTCCTCCAAATCACTAAAAGTTCAGAACACATAAAAATTCTAGAAAGTTCTAAACAAAATCTTCTATGACCCATTACACCTTGTTTCAGTCTGTAAACTCTTCAGCTAATGGTCTGCCTCATCCTTATCATTATCTAATTCAATATTTATTTCAGCTCAATGTAAGTCTTAAAGATTCATTTGCCATTCTCCTGCAAAAGGGAATAGCACTAATAGGACTCGCTACTCAAAAAAGATTGGTTTAGAAGATTTTGCCCCTTTCTTACCCAAAGGCAGCTCTTTTACTGATACTTCCCCAAGCCTGTTGTGCTCTGAGAACAAGCTTTTATTTCCCCTTTCCTGGAATATTATCCAAGTCATTTCTGAATGACATATTATCCAAGTCATTTCTGAATGATACTTCCCCAAGCCTGTTGTGCTCTGAGAACAAGCTTTTATTTCCCCTCTCCTGGCGTATTATTCAAGTCATTTCTGAATGACCCAGTTTGCATCTAAAGTCCTTATTGTTTCTAACCAGCAGCACCCAGAACTGGACATCATCTTTACCTCCTGAATAAGGTTAGCTGTGCTAGTCCGTATCAGATAAAACTGGACTGGGTTCACATGCCCAGTTTGAAAATGCTTTCTGATTGTCAGTGATTCACCCTTCCCCCTAGTGTTGGTTTTTTTGTTGGTTTGTTTATTTGTTTTTGCTTCTCATTTATCATCTTTCTACTCTCTCATCCGCCCTAACTTCACTTTTGATCTATTTAAGATTTGTCTCACCCTCCTCCCAGAATGCTGTTTGGCCTGCTCCTGATAGTGCCAGCGTGTGGTGACTTGCTATATCACAGACATGCACCAACGTCTGCTATTTGACTGCATAAACTCAGTGTTTGCCCAGTGAACTTCAGATCACACTGAGCATCTAATTCTAAATATATGCTTATTAAGGCTCTCTGTGCAGTAACCCACACAATTCCTTGTATTATGTTAATGAAGCAACCATTCTGTTTATTTGCCCTCACCCTAATTCAAAATTACACATGGCTAATGTTCCTAGATTAATCCAGAGCCATAAATCAGTATAGCTCTATTCTGAACCTAGGACAAACTAGCTCATAATTAATTGGTGACTCATTCAGAGTTTACTGAAATGTATCCTTTGTTTGTATAATAAATGCCAAAGTTCTATGATATGCAATGGTTCAAGAAAAATTTGATTAGTGTTGGAAAAAAAGATAGTAAGAAGTAAGCAATTGTGAAATAGTAAGAAGTAAGCAATTGCAAAATAGTAGGAAGTAAGAAATTGTAATTGTCCAACAGCCAATAATTTGGATGAAGCTGGGGGAGTTTCTATTCAAACAACCAAATATTTGGAACATCTGAGAGCCAAACAAAACTCAAATTATTAACTAAATAAACTGTTTTTTCTAATATAATGCTAGTACAGTTTTTTCCTCTCATCAATACATTCTTACAATGTAAGAATAAACAGTAACAATTCAAATCCCTGAGCCATACTGAATCAGAATCTCTGAGAACTAGCTTCTGGGAAATGTGCCATTTCAACAAACTTCAAAAGTCAGTCTTTGCACACTAAACTTTGAGAACTACCATTTCACAATATGCTTTCTATCTCTCAAGCTGAGGATGATTCTGTCTCTGTCCCAGGACTTCTGACAACTTGCTTTACACGAATAGCTCTAATAAACACTGTATCCATGTTTTTATGGGACTGTAGTTTATTCGATTTGGGAAAACTTCTTTAACAAAAATAACATGAGTATCAATACAAAATCAGTTTTAAAAGTGATTTAGAATAAAAAAGGAAGTCACAATAAAATAATGGACAATAAAATAGTAAAGTTTCAGGTTCCTTTCTTCTGAAATCTCTTTAGGTTATTTACCAGAATGCTTACACAGAAATGCTTCCCATTTATAACCTGGTTCCCCTTCCCCAACTTGAATATTCTATTATAACTCCCAGAAATTCTCAACGTTCACTAGGCTCCATGTGAAGGAGAAGCTCAAAGCATAACCTCCTTAGCTTCATCCTAGATCTACTTGAAACTACAATATTAACCATTCACTTAAAAGTCATTAACACCATAGGAATGAGTCCTGGGACTAACAGTGTTGAGTGGTCATCCTGAACCATATTCCTACTGGTTTTTTTGGTCTCTTTTTCTCTCTGTCTAGGACTTTACAATGACTTTTTATCTCAGGCATTACTGGAAAGACGAGAGGCTCTCCTTTCCTAGCACAGCAAACAAAAGCATGACATTTGATCATAGATTGACCAGAAAGATCTGGGTGCCTGATATCTTTTTTGTCCACTCTAAAAGATCCTTCATCCATGATACAACTATGGAGAATATCATGCTGCGCGTACACCCTGATGGAAACGTCCTCCTAAGTCTCAGGTAAGGAAAGCTGCCTATCGCCTTTGGCTTCCCTGTACTGCAGCCATCTGCACCAAAGCTGATGATGCTTATTTCAGATGAAACTCACAATGTTGCTGTCTGTTTAATGCTGCTGGAGATTGGGACACAAGCATAAGATGTGATTTTCCCCTGGTTCTAACATCCAGATTTTAAAAAATGATTTTCTATTCTAACTCTACCCACTCTGGGTATATGTCGATTGGACAAATAGAATGAGCTGAATTATGGAAATCCTAAAATCTGGCACACAATATTATAAGTAAACAAGCCTGTTTTCCTCCTCACCAACTCCACCCCACCCTGGCACCCCACCAAGCAGTTTTGGAACCTTGGATTAGCTAAATAACTTTTCTTAGTTGTCTCCTTCATTTTTCATGGGAAGGCATGGCTATCATTCAAGCTAACACCAATTTGCTCTCTTTTTCTTTTCTTTTAATTTTAAAATGTGCATTCCAACACTTTGCTATAACAGTCCTCCCTTTTTAATGTTCCATATTTTCTTTTAGTCAAATGAGTTCTGTGCATATTGAGTGGCTTATCATGGATAATTCTAAAAATGTTTGGTAAACCCAAGCAACTCAGCTTTTTTTAATGTCCTACAAACCTTAGAAAAATTCTAAAGTAGGGTGAAGAAATGATACCCCAAAAGATATCCATGTCCTAATTCCTGGAACCTGTGAAGCTTATCATATATGACCAAAAAAGAAAAAAAAATCCTTGCAGACGTGATTAAGTTAAGGATCTTGAAATAGGGAAGAAATTATCTGGATTATCTGGTTGGGACTTAAATGCAATCAAAAGTATGCTTATAATAGAAAGGTAGAGGACAATTTCATGCATACAAAAGAAGAGTAGGCAATGTGGTCATAAGTCAAGGAATGTTGGCAGCCACCAGAAGCTATAGGACACATGGATTTTCCCCCTAGAGCTAAGAGTGAAGGGCCTTTATGACACTTTGATTTCAGCTCCATGATACTGATTTCAGAGTTCTGGCCTCCAAATCTGTGAGAGAATAAATTTCTGTTGTATTAAACCACCAGATTTGTAGTAATTTGTTACAGCAGCAGTAGGAAACTCATACAGATTATTTTTGCTCGTTAAAAATACCTTAACCACTTCGGCACAGAGCTGTTGCCAGGCATTTTATAAGTGCTGTCAATGTTCTTAAAATGCAATTAAAGGAAAATATCACTTTCAATGGGTTTTTTGGGGGGGTTGGGGGAGGAACAGGGCCTCACTGTGTCACCCAGGCTGGGGTGCAGTGGCACAATCTCAGCTCACTGCAGCCTCTGCCTTCTGGGTTCAAGCGATTCTCCTGCCTCAGCCTCCTGAGTAGCTGGGGTCACAGGTGCCTGCCACCATGCCCAGCTAATTTTTCTATTTTTAGTAGAGACAAGGTTTCACCATGTTTGCCAGGCTGGTCTCGAACTCCTGACCTCAAATGATCTGCCCGCCTCGGCCCCCCAAAGTACTGGCGTTACAGGTGTGAGCCATGGTGCCTGGCCTCAATAGGACTTTTAAGTCAGGAGTAGCATAGGACTCATACATACTGGAGTCAAGTCTCAACAGGAATCAGGAGCAGAACGACACTATCTGGACAAAGAATCAATTGTTTTAAATTAATTTTGGTGGGGGGAGGTCCAGTAAATAATTAACTCAGTGGATTTTTCTTACCCTGCACATTCCAGGAAATATTTGGCCCTAGCCAGGCTCTTGCAGGGTAACCTCTAACCCCTTGGAATATCCTAAGTGATGAGAGTATCTTTGTTTACTTTGGGTCCGGGGGCCAAGCCAGATGGTTTCTGCTAACAATGTGATTTACGGTGGAGACTTTGAGCTACTAGATATCAGCTTGACCTCTGGAGGGGGCTGGAGACTAAGGTCAGCCATGTGGGTGGTCAGTCATTACTATGTGGCTACTCTCAGTTGAAAGTGTAGATACCAAGGCTTGGGTGAGCTTCCTTAGTTGATAATGTCCCCAGGGTGTTGGCACATATCATTGCTGAGAGAATTAAGCGCCATCCACATAACTCCATTAGGAGAGGACAACTGGAAATGTGTTCCTGGTCTCTCCTGGACTCTGCCCTGTGCCTCTTTTCTACTGTTGATTTTCATCTGTGTCCTTTCATTATAATATAGGTAACCAAGAGTACAACAGCTTTGCTGGGTTCTGCGAGTCATTCTAGTGAATCTCTGACCCTGAGAGTGATCTTGGAGATCCTCTAACACAGGAGGAACTCAAAATTGTTGTCAGCACAGCTCTTCCAGCCAACAGCAGAGCCAATCCAAGCCCAGAGCCAGATCCCCTGGTTCCAGCTTGGTTCTGACACTACCTAGCCACCTAGCCTCTTTGGTCATTAAGTCACTCACATGTACTATGAAGGAAATGAACTGAAACACCTCGGAGGGTCCTTTCTAGGTTTAAAGTACTAGGAATACACCAAAATGAATCCTTGGCTTGATGTTTTGTTGCATGACTATTGACAATAGAATTAGCCCACAGCAGACAAAATGTCCCTACTCCTCTGGTTAACTCAAGGGCACCACAGGTAGGAGCATCTGTTGCCTTTGTTTTTTGCAAACCTGCTCAGGGGCCCTTTATGAACCTCTGATCTGCTATTGTGGGTACCAAAGTTTCTACTTTGAGGCAAGATCATAGTACAGCAGCCTCTGCCTGAAGCCAGGAAAATCTAGGAGGATATAAAATTTGAAAAAACCGTTCTCATCAGTATGCAAGCCTTTTGGCTTAATAGTACCTGAATTATGCATTGTGCACATAGATCTATAACTAAGAATGCTCCAGGCTTTTCACTCACTACTGGAAAGAGAATATCCTCGGGTAAACTTGCTTTGTGAAGGAAACCTTTAACTTCAGGTTTTTATTGCCACCATTCCAACCCTTTGTTACTACAGACTATTTATGTGTGGATCTTCCAGAAAGCAAAAAATATTTAAATCTATTTAAAAGTCTCTCACTTTGAAGAGTGTTTTTCTGGAGACATCAGAGCCAGAAAATACTGAGGGGGCTGATCAGGAAATGGTGAACTCAGAAGCAAGGTATGAGAGCTGAATTCACTCATTGACTCTGTGTCTTAAGAAAATCATCTACCCTCCTGAGTTTGCTTCCTTGCATGTCATTTGGACAGAAGATAATACTGCCTGTTTTGCATTATTCTTGAAAGACACACAGAACCAGCAAACAGTAAGAAAGCTTCAATGTTGCATGCTCATTTGGCCAGATGGTTAAATGATCTGCAGTTTTCTTTTTCTCATTCTTTTTATAGGATAACGGTTTCGGCCATGTGCTTTATGGATTTCAGCAGGTTTCCTCTTGACACTCAAAATTGTTCTCTTGAACTGGAAAGCTGTAAGTCTCACTTCCTGGTGGAGTGAGTGCACATCATTTGAACACACCATCACATACTTACATGTAAATAAGCATGCTCTTAACAAACATTTTAAAATACTGATATATTTATCCAAAACTGAAACAATTGTGGCTTCTTTTTTTTTTTTTTTTTTTTGGTTTCTGTTTTTTATGAAGGTTGATGGCAGTTTGTCTGTTAAAGGAGAAGGTTCAGGGGAAAAGTGTTTTGATAATTGCATATTCTGTAGTTTCCACAATAAAGGAACAGCTCCCTAAAAAGTCTATTCTTGCTACTGTTGTTACATAGACTGACACAGACTTTCTACATTTGGAAAGCTCTGGAATTCACGTTCCCAGATGAATCACAATCCTCCATTAAGTAGACTTGGATTCCCTAGAAAAATCTGACTCTAGACATAGACCCCCTAATCAAAGCCCCATCACAGGGCATCTGAGCTGTCAATCACTTTTACCAATCAGCTATTTTTGATAGAAGATCTTAAAAGCTGACTGCAGTTTTTGCAAATGTGTCTAAAATGCTGGGAATCTCACCAGATGTCTACTCCACAGATGCTCCGCCCTAACTCCATTAGAAATTTTCCATACCACTATTTGACTTTAGAAAATTTCTTGTAAGATTGGCCCATTTTGGAATTTCATCCAAGGAAACTAAAAACAAATGGGGACTAACAGCCTGGAGTCAGGCCTGTGACAGTGAGGGGATGCTATGGTGTCACTCTGAGGCCTGGCTTAACACTCTAAGAGAATGTACACAAATATGGGAGCAGCTATCTGGGGAGTTTCAATTCATTGTGTGGGCACAAGATCCATACTATACTAGTCATCAGGGTCTAACTTTTAGAGATTCTTTTTCCTCCTCCTAAAAGTGTGTGTATGATCAGTCCATTGGCAAACATATTTTTATCACCTAATATGTACATGTCATTGGAGTAGGCACTAAGGATACAGAGCCACATAAGACATGGTTATAGAACTCATTGAGCTTACAAGAGCTTATTACACTTACAAGACTGATATTTTCATGTTTTAGATGCCTACAATGAGGATGACCTAATGCTATACTGGAAACACGGAAACAAGTCCTTAAATACTGAAGAACATATGTCCCTTTCTCAGTTCTTCATTGAAGACTTCAGTGCATCTAGTGGATTAGCTTTCTATAGCAGCACAGGTACAGCATTTTACATGGGTGATTCATCAGCATTTATTGGACATCTACTGTTTGCAAAGCACCACAACATGCGAAAAGACCGGAATCCAAGCGAGTGTCCCCTTTGGCCAGCACCATCATTCCTCTCCTTTTACAGGGAGCAAGCTCCACCCTTCCATACATCGTTTCTTTCCCACTCATGCAGCCACCTCTAACTAGATGCCTTGCTTCCATTCTTGACTTCTCCAGTCTCAATACAGCAGACAGAGTAATCTCTTTGGAACATAAAGTTCACAATTCTTTCCTGTTCTAAACTTTCCAGTGTCTTTCCATCACATTTACAACAAATTGAAGTTTCTCAACGTGATCAGTCTCCTGCCTAATGTGGGACTCACCCACTTCCTCTGCCCCTCACCACCTGCTACTCTCCCGACACTGGCGTTTTTGCTTGCCTGCCTCATTCCATCTACAGGGCCTCTGCTTGGCCTTGTCCTCCCTCTGCCTGGGGTGCTTTCCCCCAATATTCTCATGCCCTTCTCCCTCATTTCAGTCAGAGCTTTGTTCAAATAGCTTCTCAAACAGTGCTTTCCTAACCAAACCAACCCCGTGTAAAACAGGCTTCCTTTCTCACCGTTCCCTATCTCGGTCATCACAGCACTTACCATCACCTGAACTATGCGTTTATTTGACTGCTTTGTTGTGTGAGTGCCTCACCAGGAAAAGGGTGGGGAATCTGTCTGCCTTGCTCACCATTTCTTCTGCAGCACCTGGAATGTTCTTGGCACGTGACAGATGCTCAATAAAAATCAGCTGAATGAATCCATCCATAAAGTGCATCATTGCCCCAAACAGAAAACCTATCCAAAATTGGGCCTATATAGTACTCTTTACTATGACAGATATATTTCTGAATTGACAACTTTTATCCAAGACACCTTTTAAAGTTATATGTGATCCCCATTGACTAAAGTTGGAAGCAGCCTCCTTCGGTTCCCCTCTGCCCTCCTCACCCTCCACTATCATTCCCCTTCTGGATATTAATATTCTGGGTTATTTTAGGCCGAATCCATATAAAATGCCACTTCAGATTCAATGCAGCCATGCTTAGGCCAGCCAGAAAGTGTGCCAACAGCTGTCCCTGAGTTTCAGAGCTGTCCTGGCTAGAATGCTTTACCTACTCTGCCTTGATAGTGGTGTCTCTTCTCCTCAAAGATTCTCCACTCTGTTCTCAGATCTTGGAGAGTAGTTATCAAGTTTGTATCTAAAACCTGCAGCTTTAAGAGAGAAGTAGAAGTTGACATTGCAGAGAAGTTAAATGATTCTCTAGGAACAACAGCTATTTATCTATTTAGACCCAGAAGAAATTCTCTATTTCACTCCATTATTTGTCTACATTGCTTGGGATTCAGCAAATGATGCTCTCAATTTTAATCATGTTTATTGCCTTTTCTGATTATGTAAGTAGCACATATTTATTTGTTTTGATCACTGATATATCCCTGGCTCATAGTAGATGCTCAAAGGCTAATTATTGAATGAATGAATAAATGTTAGATAATTTGAAGAGACCTCAGAAAAATTTAAAGGAAAATCTCTTTGTAATCCTACCTCATAGAGATAAACTATATTATTATTTTGATATATTTTTCTGCTCCTCCTTCTTCTCCTCCTTTTCTCGGTTTGTCTTTCTCTATATGAATAAATATAGGCATATATTTATCAGGATTTTTAATGTTCTTACTTAATCCTAAATTAAATTAATATTTAAATAAAAGAATGTATGCAATGAAGCATGGTATATGTGAAGTATAATTTATAGGATGTGTTTTCATTTTACTATTGCTAAAATGAAAAATAACTTTGGCATATGATAAATTGTAAATAGATATTTGCAACATTTAATGCTAATATAATGTAATATATATGAAGCATAGAAATCAAAAAGAATTGTCTCATGCACAGAACATATGCAAAATATACAATAATTATGGCATTTCTTTAGCTTTTGAAGCACAACTATCCATTAACATATATCCAACCGTCCTCCTAACAGGAAGTTAAATTTCACTTCAAAATTCTAACTTTACCACTAAATCATTCCATTTGCTCTACCATAATTTTATTTGTGCTTGTCAGACTTTTTGAGCCCTACCAGGCAGCTACAACACTAGCTGATTTATATCTTTTTCTGGTCATGTTTTAGAATCTCTCTAAAGCCAGGAAAATACTGGCATGGAAAAACTTACTGCTTACAAAGATGCTTGCATTTTAAAATGAACTTACAAATCTTTAACGTTCAAAGGTAGTTACATTTTTAAGAAATATCATTTTGGTTCCTAAGAAAAATGAAAAAAAATTAGAATTAGGTTCAAATGTACATGCTTTGTGTAACATGAGAAGGAGACTTATCCATAATACATTAATATTCTTTAAAAGCAAGTTACGGAAGAATATATTTTAAAAATCCCATATTTGTTATTGAAGAATGTATGTATACATATTTATGAGTGCATGAGTGCTTATATACATATCTGTGCATATCGTGTGTGTGTGTGTGTGTGTGTGTGTGTGTGTTAAAAGCCTAGAAAGATTAACAATAGATACCTCTGAGAAGTAGGTACAAAAAACACTTGTATTTTTTAATTTGTTACAATATACCCATTTTTTTTAATGACAGAGATTGGTAGGAAAAATGCCGAAGGGAGGCATTTTGGAAGTTGTATTCAAATATCAAATCAATAATCATATCTGGGTTCATTTAACCATCCCTTAGTTAGGTTTCGGAAAGATTACATTTAGAAACTTATTTTAGTTCATGAGCATGTGATAGCTCTGCCTCACATTATCCACGAATCATTAAACATAATCTTCTGACAAACTCAAGTGTCTTTTTCAGACTAGTTTCCTGTTTAAATATTTTAGCTTCCTCAAAAATAATTTTTGATTTGTTTTCTTCACTCCTATCCTTACAACTACCAGCCACAACCACCACTCCCAGGTGTATAGAAAAACTATACATCTGACTCTGGCTATAAGAGTCAGAAATATAGTTATAGGACCTTAGTTTCCATTTTACAGCTGAACAACAGGGTGTTTTTTTTTTTTTCTTGGCCTTCACCACTACCGTTGCCACTGTTCAAAAATCACCACGACCTGGCAATATTAACAAGCAGATGAGGGCTTCTGCCTCCTGATCCCTTTCTCAAAATTCTCAAAATCATGCACTATAAATTTACAAAGAAAAAAGAAATGACTCCTGCCCCTAAGGGATGCATTGAATAATTATTCTTTATCATAGCATAATCTAATGGCTGAATGTGTAAGTAGTAGAAACAGACTGCCTAAGTTCAAACCCTGTCTCTATCATTTATTAGCAACCTGACCTTGGACAAGTTGCTTAATCTCTCTAACCCTTAACTTTCTCATCTTTAAATGGGTTTCATAATACTCTCTATATCATAGGGTTGTGAGGATACATGATGTCATATAGTTAAGTACCTTAGAATGTTATCTGCCATATAATAGAGGCTCAATAAATATTAGTTAGTAGCTGTCATCATCACCCTATTTTCATCCACATTATTTTGATCCTTTTCATAGAGAGTATTAAGGCCTACTTTCAAAGGGCCATTGAAGGTGACTGTCTCTAGGTATAAAAACCTTCTTTATTCTTGTCTTGGGACTGACTCCCCAAATACTGGCCCAGTCCTCCATTTCCCTGGGTGCCAACTCTCTAGCCTTTTTCTCTCTGTTATTAACTCCTCTTCTTTCTACTGTATGGCAAACTAATGGAGGCAGATGTACCCGTCCCCATCCAAAATTTAGTTCAGATGCCAAAACTGATGATGCCATACACATGACAAAAGGGTATGAAGTGATTTATTACTTACATAATGAGGCTTTCTAGAGAGAGATGGGCAGGCTCCCAAGCAGGTCTGAAATGAAAAATGGCTTGAGAAAACAGGAAGGGGCTACTGGCTTGGGTTTTTATGGTAGCTAGGGGGTGCAGCTAGGGTGAAGGCTGCCTGTCGTAGGACAAGATGCATGGTTTGAACTTTTCACAGGTGCCAAAAAGAGACCTAGGCTTTTTATTAACTTGCTCAGATGTAGGGCAGAAGGAGAAGTTGGGCTTGAGAGCTTTTAGCAGTCAAACATCAAAAATAGAATCAGACTTTTTATTGTACTACCCAAAATGAAGGCTTCACAACGTTCCAAGGCAGCACCACCTTTCCTGATAGGGAAATGGACTCCCCATGACCTGCAGGTTCAACTAAAATACCACCCCTAGTCTAAAACCACAAGACAGAGCCACAGTTTGACTTCCTGGTTACTCCACCCTGCCCCCACCCCACCAAAAAAAAAAAAAAAGGACAACTGTTCTTCAGAAAATTATGAATAAAGAAAGGATGCAGTTAACTAATTTTATTTCAAGTTAATAATGAACAGAAAACTATATACCTTAATACTGTCTTTCTTTTGAATTTCTTTCACAGGTTTTCCTTATTTCTTTTAACCTCACAGTAGTTATATAAAGTTGTAAGGTCAGAAAGCTGTTATTGTACTCTACAGCCATCACTGAAACTCTCAGTGGTACACAGTAATAAATTGGGGCTGTGATGTAGGTGATACAAGACAATGAGAAGCTTAAAAATAATTTATATTTTAACTTTATAATGTACTATGTGATGTATATTTTATTACTCCTGGTAATAAAATTGTTTGGTATTCCTGAACATATATAAACTGACTGTTAGAAGCTTAGAACTAGGTAAGGAAGAAAAAGATAATGAGTATTTCATTGAGAATAGGATTCTAAGAGTAGAGTCTGCCAGTTCAGTGTGGGTTGGCCAGGTGTATTTCTTAGGCCAAATGCCTAAGTACTTAAGTGATCCATCTAATAGGTTTGCCGTCTTGGGTTTCTAAGAAATTACTGCTGAGACTAGCAGAAGGGTTTTCCAACTCTGCAATACCTATGATTTTTATTTTATAACTTTTGACCTATAGTCCCTGTGTTTTGAATAATGTTATTTGAAAATAAACAGCATTTATCATAGAAAAAAAATCTTGCTACTTATTCAGAAAAGATGTATTTCCATGTTTCCTCATGTATTGCCTTATTTTAGTAAAGATTTAACAAGATTAGCACATAGTTATTGTGAAATAAAGCAAGGTAATATAAATTAGAAATGTATGAGAAAAAAAAGAAAAACAAGGATAAGGTATTATATATATCCTGGTATGTGTATGTGGTCATTAAAGAATGGTGCTCAGAGAAGTCCTGTAGATGTCTGAAAATTTGGCTTTAAACTTCCTTGTAGTCAATGGGAGAGGTAAACCTGAACAAAATGTGTGTGTGGATGTCACCACAAATGGTGCTTTTAATTAGCGCAGTTAATATTACCAACGTGAGTTTATATAATTTCAATAGGAAGCAAAGAAACATCAGTTGGTTACTTTTTTGCAGATTCATCATGCACAAATTATGGTACTTGTGAGACTTTAAAATTGTAAAACTAGCTTATGGATGCTGTTTTCTTTCTCCTTTGAATCCCCAGCTGTCTCCATCTCAGGTCAAAATCCAATGACCTAGTACATACTCTGAATCTTTTCATTCAGTTAAATGTTTTTTTCATTTGTTATAGCTAATAAATGGTTTATTGGTTCTTTTATGCCATTATTAGTCATGTATTGAAGACTTTCCCTCTTGCAGAAACGCCACAATACAATATATTGTGGAGACAGATCTTTAGAGGCCATCCCACAAAAGATAACCACTATTCATCCCTGAACTGCGGGTTTGGAAGTTAAAGGGGATCTTTGAGTCAAATAATTAAGCAGACTGCAGTTCAGCTGGTTGAACAAATGTTGATGGAGTGCCAGGCCCAACTAAATGGAGATGAGTTTGTCAAATTCCGTGTCCCCAAGAGCTTGGAGTCTAAAGAAGCAGGTCATTTCACTAAGTGCAGTGTTTCTAAGGGGAAGCTTGCTCTAATGAAAACTTTGGCTTTTTTCCACAGGTTGGTACAATAGGCTTTTCATCAACTTTGTGCTAAGGAGGCATGTTTTCTTCTTTGTGCTGCAAACCTATTTCCCAGCCATATTGATGGTGATGCTTTCATGGGTTTCATTTTGGATTGACCGAAGAGCTGTTCCTGCAAGAGTTTCCCTGGGTAAATCTTTCCCCATCTTTATAAAATGTTAACATGGGAGAAAGTTCAAGGGAGGTAAATAAAATGGGTCATACATGGAGAGGAAAAGAGAGTGGTGGTTTAGTAGGGATAGTCAGAGATGAACATCCAGGTTGCAGTATCGATCTTGACATCCTCAAGGGCAAATTGTAATTGAGTTCTTTCCTTGGGAACCCGGATTTTAGGGATGAAGTCTTTGCTGACTGACCTGCAGTTGGGTGATAGTAAAGAAAGGGGGTGAAATTATGAAGCATAAACAGCCTCACTTTTAAAGCTTATCTCTTTTCTTTTTTAAGAAAACCTCCCCATGCTTTATACAAGTCCATTTAGCTTTTCAGGACAAACCCTTACATCACAGAAAGGAAAACCTTCAAACTAATTCACACTATACTCTTAGTGTATTAATAACAAATTACCTTGGTGGGTTAACAAGAATGTGGAAGGGATGCTTGAATTTGAAAATATGAATACTGATTAGAAATTAGGACTTAACTAAAAGACCAAAATCAGAATCAACCACAGTGGAATTTCAGGTACAGTGGCATATTAGTTGGCAGGAGATTTTAGGTGGAGAGACGTTGCCAGCCTCATTAAGTCACTACACAGGGTTGATTATCTACACCGTCTAACATGCTATATGCCTCTGTCACACACACTGATTTATGGGAACCATTTCAGACCCACTTAGCAGTTATTGAGATCTTAGAAAGTAGAAGATACCAAGCTAAGCACTTAGATGACATGTTACTTAATGAGAACCCAAGAGATAATCCCACTTGCCTTTTTTGCTGGTCAGGGCTGATCCCCCTCATTTTATCTGATTTTGCTCTTTCATTTGTAGTGCTCTATCTAGAGAGGAGATTGTTATTATTACAATCATTGTTACAATTATTGTAATTATCACACAATTCATTCCAGAAAGGGTGGTTTGTAAGTTAATGTTCACAAATTATATGCATACTTCAAAAGATCATTTGAAAGACATAAATTATTAATATTAACAATTTGCTCACCTCCTTTCCCTATTAAAATATTCAATCTACAAGCATTTGAGACTTGAATATCTTCAAGGAAAAAATACCATCTGAATAAGTAATTAAATTATTTGAACTGTTTCTTCACATCAGAGCATGTGCCCTAACCTCAGTACTGCAGTGTGGCAGCATAGACCCAAATACAAGACCAAGGGCACATTTCCAGCCCTCTAGACACAATGAGGAAAGCACTCAGTCTATAAACGTTTATGAACATGATTTTCAGTCATATTTCTGAAGTTGACTGCTCTGCTCTTATACTGTGAAAATGACAGCAATAAGAGCTACTTCCATGGAAGGGTGGAGTGAATTGGGAACACTAAAACACTTTTAAGACATCCTTGAAATTCTCTGCTTCTTGCAACCACATCTGATCCCTTAGGGTTAGGAAATTGCTATGCAGATTTATGTAAAATGCATGCAAATCAGAAGTGTCCCTCTCCCACTTTTTAAAAAAATTATTTTAAGAGAACAGTAGTATTCCTATAAAACTGTTACCTTCTCAGGATTTGCTTCCTACCACCCTCACTTTTTTTTCAAAGATAATTTGCCCTCTTCTTCCCTAGCTCTTTGCAAATGCTTAGCTGCCCAATTCTCTGGAAGGTCCCTATGAATACCTATTCATCTGTCCCAATTACCTTTTCTCTTCTGCCTCCTTCCTTCACCTTCTCCACAGCATTTGACATTATTAGGCATCCTCTCCAAATCTAGGACCAACTTTAGTGGTCAAGAGTTCCAGCCTCATCTTCCTCATCTGCAAAATGAAATTATTCATACTACCTCCTAAAGGTCACTATGAGAATTAAATGGGAGAATTAATTAATTTCATCATGTCAACTGCCTAGCTTGATGCCTGGCCCATAGTGTTGGATGAAACCAACTACACACACAATGCATTAGCTTTCAATACTCTCCGCTAGTCTAGTTTTTTTCTACTCCCAAAGACTTTTTTTTCCTTTTCTCTTTCCTGCTTTTTCTTCCACTCCTTAAGTATGAGTAACTCCCTCCCAAGGATCTGCTCACTTTTGACTCTTATCAAATGGAACAAACTTTTTAATTCCAACTACTGTCCGTATGTAAGCATGTTCCATTTGGGTACTTTCAGTTGTATACTGGACTTCACCTTCAGATACTACAAGCGTTCAGCCTGTTTAGAACCGAGTCTTTCCTTGGGAACCCAGACTTCAGGGATGAAGCATGTGCCAACAGACCTGTAGCTGGATGATAGTAAGGAAAGAGAGTGAAAGTATGAAGCATAAATATCCTCACTTTTAAATCTTATCTTTTCCCTTTCTAGGTACACTCCCATGCATTACCCAAGCTCATTTAGCTTTTCGTGACAAACCCTTACATCACGGAAAAAAAAGAACCTTCAAACTAATTCACATTATACTGTTGGTGTCTTAATAATAACTTACTTTAATGGGTTAGCAGGGAAGCCACTTATTCTCTTCACTTTTCCTCATTCTGTTCGGGGCCTCCCAGTTTGTTGAGCCTTTCATATCTGAAACCTCAATTTCCTTCTTAATCTTTGGCAGTGATTCTCAAACTATGGCCTTAGGACCCATTTACACTCTTAAAAACTAATGAGGACACTAGAGAGCTTTTGTTGCTGTGGGTCGTGTCTATCATTATTAGCCATATTAGATGTTAAAATAGAATTTGAAAATATGTATTAATTCACTTAAAACTAGGAATAATCAATTCATTACAAGTTAACATGGTAACATTGTATGAAGCATAATTATTTTTTCTAAAACAAAAACATTTAGTAGGAAGAGTGGCATTTTTAAACATTTTTGCAAATATTTAATGTCTACCTTTATAGAGGGCAGCTGGATTCTTATCTCTGTTTCTTCATTCAGTCTATTGCAATAGGTTTTGGTTGAAATACAGGGAGAAATCTGACCTCATCAGATACATAGTTTGAAAAGGGAGTAGTATTTTAATAGTCTTTCCAGATAATTGTGGATAGCCTCCCTTCACATTACACCAAAACTCAGCAAGTGATAATCCCTTAAAGTTTAATTGCAATGTGCTATCTGAAACAAATATTTTCTACTCTGTTAGATTACAATCCATTGGTCTATCTTATACTTTTGATTACAATCCATTGGTCTATCTCATACTTTGAATAGACTTTTCACTGATGCATTGGTCATTTGGAAAACATTGGTTCACTGAGTTACAGAGATCTTCCAAATGTTTATATAATTCATTATACTGGTTTGGATCATAATCTCAAAAGACACAATACCAAATGCCATAATCCTGAATGTTGAAATCCTGAAAGATCAAAATCCCTAAAGTCTAAATCCCTCAAGTCTAAAATCTCAAAAATCACAATCACAGGATAATTACATCATGTTAGGCCAGTTACTATGCACTATCTTCATGCAATTGCCTATAACCTATCACTGTAATACACTTTCATATATGAAATTTTCTTTTTGATTTTTGGTCTGTTTTTCTTAAGTTTTTTTTTTACTATTTTTAATTGTCAGAATTATATTATAATTGGCTATGCTATGTATTTCATCTTTGCATCATTTCTAGTAGTGGAGATATAAAGAAGTTAGACTGTTAGAGAGTTCTAATTTGTATTATGCATTTTTGCAAATTTAGCTCCATGAAAGTGCATTATCACATTAAATTTGTGTGTAAGTATTGTGCATGTATGTAAAAATGTTGAAACTTTCTCAATAAATGAAGACATGTCCTTTTTGTACATCTGCATTTGTGAAATATAAAATTTCATGAGATCTCAGCTCTTTGTGTGACTGCATATGTGGTGGTGACCATCATGGTTTTTGATCGATCCTCAAAAGACTTAAGTTGTTCATCACGGTGTTTCAGATGACCACAGTTATAAAGCTGGGTGCCCACAATGACCCACCATAGTGATATGCATTTATATGTTTCCCTTTTGACCTATTTCTGTATCAATATGATTCATCTGCTCATAACTGTTATGCCTGTGCAACTGTTGTTAGTATACCTGAGTGTTTATGCTTACAGAAATATGTGTTATTATTGCCTTATTTTACTGTGTAAAGTGGCTTATGAAGTGTTATGTCTTTTTTTATGTTTCTTAAATAAATTACCTTTTTAAAATATAAATAAATAGCTTTTAAATTTTTCAAAATTATTTTTAGAACAATATTTTCAGTATTTTGATCTTTCAAGACTGTGATTTTTAGAATTTTAGACTTTAGAGATTTTGATCTTTTGGGATTTCAGCCTTTGGAATTATGGAATCTGGAATTGTGTCCTTCGGCATTATGATTGGCTCCTCCTCCCCACCTGTGTTTCTCTGTCAAAATCTTGCCATCTCTACATGGCCGAAAGCCTTCAGTGATGACTCCAAGCACACATGGTCTCTCTCATCTTTGAACACGTGGCATTTTCTGTATCTCCTAAGTAGCTTACTTCCTCTATTTCATGTTTTGCTGTGGGACAGGAGTGGCTTATCTTTTGACCTCTATTAGAATGTGAGCTCCTTAAGGACTAGGACCACTATTACCATTTTGTTGTTGTTGTTGTTCCTTCAGCGAGTAGCACAGTGTCCTCCTGCACATAGTTCATATTCAGTACGTAGTTGTTAAGTTGCCAGTGTTTAGACCACCATATTTTTCGTTGCTAACTGGAAATGATAAAGGATGATTCATTTGCTGGTGAAGACCCTCCCACATTTGCCATGTTTCAGGTAAAGAGCAGTAGAGGGTGCATAGCATAAAAGTATTCACTGTGATTAGGCAATTCTCATAAGAGATAATAGCTACCATAACTTGGAATGTGTGATGGGTCAAAAATATGATTATGTCTCTCCATTCAATTTGGTGTGGAGAGTGTGAGACAATTATAAAGTTGTTCAAGGATATTTAAATATTATACTTTCTCCTCTCATTTCCACTTCCCTCCTTCTTTCTTTGCCTCCATCGTTCTTGCTTGATCCCTCTACATGAGGTATGCCATTCTCTACAGAATGAATTAAGTAATGGGCTCCTTTACTGGAAAACAGATATGGCAGAGGAAGACAACCGAAGTTTTCAGGCCTGTAGTCACTCTCAGAGAAAAAATCATCTCCTAACAGAGGATATGTCATATGCTTGGAAAAGTGAATACTTAGGCAACTGGATAAGAGCAGTTTATTTAATGGTCACAGAGATTATGAGAATTTCTAATGACAGTTATTTGTACCACCTTCATGAGAAAATGGTTGTCAGTTTCTGGTCATAGAGCAATGTTGGAATGTCAAGCCACCTTCCTTTCCTTCATATCATGTAATATTTTCGTTCTGCCTAGGCCTATATGAAAAATATTTTTACTCACTTGAAGGTGAATATAAACACCCCCTCCCTTCAAAAGAACTACCTGCAACACAGTTACTGAGGGGGTGAAGAAACTCAGTGGTTCATAAGTGGTGCCTGTCTTCCCTACTGCTATCATATCAGTCAACAAAACTCTCCACCATGCATGACTAAAAATAGCCAATGAAACTGAAAGATTATTAATTCCCCCCAGACTAAAGGGTTCTTAAGACCCCATCTTTAAAAAGTTAATATGTTGAGGCTGCAAGAGCCCAGGGGAATTGAATCAAAGGGTCAGACTAAATATTTTCTCATAACACTTTCCTAACTATGCGTAGCAACATCAGTAGTGGGGAAGATAATTTTCTAATCCAAACACATGACCTTCCTTTGACTAAATGGTTGCTTCATATAATTCAAAACTCCTTTATTGGGATATTAACTTTAATGGGTTTGGAAGGAATACTATTTGTCAAGATTAATGTATTTTTGAGGGGTGGCGCAAGATATAATAAGTGTATTTAATGTAACTATAATACTCCTGACTTCAAGTTCTATTGCTTTAGGAATTTACATCTCAGTTTTCTCATCATTCACTCCCCCTACCCAACAATCCCTCCTCTCCACTCTAATTCTTTTTTTTTTTTAATTACTCATCTTAAAGAAGGAAAATTTAGAATGCTGGTTTTAAAATAAATAAGGCTATTGTCAATTAGTTGGATTAAGCACCCTTTTAAAGAAAATGATTAATAGTTTATTGCTTTCTGGCAAATATAGATAGCGCAATTCCTTTTTATTTGCCCAGTAGTTATCAATTTCAAATACATGACGAGACCAATCAGGCATATACATTTGTGTGTTTGTTTAAAATCCTTATTTTGTCCGCTAAGCTCCATATTACTGCACAATGAAAAAAAAATAAGTTCTATGTTTTATATCTTAAAAAACCAATAAGAGAAGACATTAAAAATTTTTTAGCTGGGCGTGGTGGCTCATGCCTGTAATCCCAGCATTTTGGGAGGCCAAGGGGGGCAGATCACCTGAGGTTGGGATTTTGAGACCAGCCTAATCAACATGGAGAAACCCCCTCTCTACTAAAAATACAAAATTAGCCCAGGTGGTGGTGCATGCCTGTAATCCCAGCTACTCAGGAGGCTGAGGCAGGAGAATCACTTGAACCCAGGAGGCGGAGGTTGCAGTGAGCCGAGATCGTGCCACTGCACTCCAGCCTGGGGGACAAGAGCAAAACTCCATCTCAAAAAAAAAAAAATTCAAATTAATGAGGTTAGCACCTAAGTGGGAATATTAGTTCATGATTCCTTCACTTCCTGCCAGTGAAATCTTGAACAGAGTAAGACATTGGCATACTGAAAATGTCAGTATGGCACAGGAAAGCCACAGTGTCTTCTTTGTGCCTCTTGGCATAATTCTGCACTCTGAACAGAATTTGCACTCTGCTCTGACAAAATATGGGGGAATCCCTTAGCCACTCTGAGCTTCTATTTGTTTTCTGTTATGTGTGGCTAATTATTTACCTAGATATGTGGTAGGTAAATATTTGATAAAAGCAAGCAGGTTTTATTTAATAATCTTGGCTTCAGCTATACCTGTAATGTTAATAAAAATTCCATGCTTAATAAAATTCCATGCTTCATGTTCACTCTTTGCTTCATGTTTACGTAGCAAGTATGTTTTAGAGCCAGGGAATACAGACAGCACCCTCTGATATGCAGATCGTTGATAGTACCATTGTTGGGGGAAACCTGGGACTTGATGAGACAGTGGTCTGTGTTCAATGTTAAGAGCTGGAATAGCATTTAGGTTTCTTATTCTGGAGTTCAAATCAGTGTGAAGGTGAGATTCCAAGTCCTCCTATGGTACTGTCAAATTGCCAAGTTGTGTTGATCTTGATCATACAAACTAAAAACTTTATTTGAAATAGAATGGCTCTATAGAATTGTCATTGTGTTTGATATGGGGCTCTCTCAGATGAGAGCCTAACAGAATTATTACAGAAAGGATAGAAAGGTGTTGGTGAAAGCAGTCCACATGCTGTGGCTGTACATTTAGGAGTAAATCACAGTGCTCTTCCTGCTGTTTGAGACTCTGTCTGTTGACATTACAATGTCCTCACAACTTATAAAAATCATTAGCGATTCCATTTGCACCTCCCTGGTGGGAAATTAAGAAATAAAACCATACCAGCCAGTGTACATTTCAAATATTTACAATTGTATACTTTCTCTCCAGGTGGTACTCTGGCAATATCCCTCTGAGAAATTAGTGTAGACATTGAATGGCCCTCCTCATGGCCAGCATTTTATTAAGGAGATCTCAGAGTCACTTCGTTCTCCATTTTCCCCCTGGAACCTTGATCTTCTTACCTCTGATGATCATGCCAGAGAACAAAGAAGTAAAAGGAAGAGGGGAAAAAAGGAAAGGGAAGGGGGAAGGCAGCAGAAAGGGAGAAGAAGGGAAGAGAAGGAAAGGGAAGAGGGGGAGGGAAGGGAGGAGAAAGGAGGGGAATGGGGAAGAGAGTGGAAGGGGAAAATGTGAATGGAATTTAGTTGTTGCTAAGTAAGTGTTTACAATGAACTGAACCCCTACTAGCACACTTATACTCAGAATCAATGGAACTGTAGTTTCATTAACAATCGACAAAGAGAATAACAATGGCTTTTTAAGTATTTTCTGTGAAAGGATAATATAGAGAATAGCAATCTTGAATGCTACTAAAGATCTTTCAAGAAGAAATAAGCTCCCCGGAAGCATGAAATATTAAATGTAGACATAAAGACAGGTTATAAACAGTAAAAATTGTGAAAGAATGGGAAAGGTTAGAGGAAATGATTTTAGAATACTCTTTTAAATTGAATACATGTTTACCTTTCTGGCATGCTTAGAAGAGGCCCATCTGAGGGTGAAAAACAGAAAAGTCAGACTCTGTTTTCTGTGAAGCCTTTAAATGGAGGAAAGGAAACCTTCTGGATAATAGGGTAAGGGCAAGAAAAAGAGACAGAAAAATCCAGTGAGAGTGTTTGTTTAGGCTCAAGATATATAGCTGGTCAACATGCACACACCTTCCCTCCTCTTGGATCACCAGGTTGATATTGTTCTAGAAATGCATCCCCTGGTGTGATTCAGCACCAGATCCTGGAAATGAATGGCTATATCACTGAGCTTGCCACTATTCTCAAATGGCAGGAATCACCACAGTGCTGACCATGTCCACAATCATCACTGCTGTGAGCGCCTCCATGCCCCAGGTGTCCTACCTCAAGGCTGTGGATGTGTACCTGTGGGTCAGCTCCCTCTTTGTGTTCCTGTCAGTCATTGAGTATGCAGCTGTGAACTACCTCACCACAGTGGAAGAGCGGAAACAATTCAAGAAGACAGGAAAGGTACAGCCTTGCTCTGACTATCAGATCCCTTGGGGAATGTGGAAAAGACTACCCTTATCTATTGCCCTCTCTTGACAGTGTTGTAAGCCTTTGTATTAAGTCCATATGCTTGTCAAGAGGCAAGTTGACAGTATGGTGACAATTTAACATTGAACCTTACCCTCTGCTCTGTGCTGGCTGTTTTCTTATCCTCACTCACCTTCATCAGGAGTTTTTGTGTGTGCAAAATTTCTCTCAATATGCTCCTTTCCCCCAACTGTACCCTTTGAATAAAAGGGGTTGACATACAAACCACATTCTTTCAAATGGATGATGATGATAATAATAATAGCTAACATGTAATGGGGGGTTATTATATATTGGCATCATACCAACCATGTAACATATTATGTCAGTGAACTCTCACACCAAGGTCAGTATTTTATCGCCCTCATTTAACAGAGGTGGAATAAATGCAGCTGGGTGGTAATTTGGCCAAGGTCACACAGCTGAAGAGGAATCAGGCTTTGCTTCTGGGTCTCCTTAACTTCAAAGGCTGTGTGTGTGCTCTCAACCAATAAATGATATGTTTCTCTCCATCGAGAGCCAGCATTTATATATCTCTTCTTGTCACTCGGGAGAGTGGTAGAGCATAAAGGGAGGTTCTTCCCCCCACAGTATCCTAGGAATGAGGTGCCTTCTGGGCTCTAAATGTTATCCATGTTTTTTGTGACATTGTTTAATAAATGTAGGTAGATTGCTCTCTACCTGCTTCATTTCACAGAGGATTTGGGCACCAGTTTCCTGCTTTTACAAGAACTTATATAAGATATTGTACTTCAGAAACTTAACTGATAAGAGTCATTCGTTTCTAGTCTACACTTAACAGAATAAACACACATACGCACACATACATATGTGCATATAGTATATATGTATACATATACATCCCATGTAGAGAATATCTATACACATATACCCATAACTTCAATGAAATCTATTCATATTGGTTTAAGTTTTTTTTTACATGAGGATTTATATGCAACCAAACATTATTTAATATTTTTTCTACTTCTGAGAGCATCTCATACTTTCAGGATGTTTTTATATCCTCTTCTCACACCGAACCTTCCTGTCAGCCCCCAGTATAGATCTTACAGAGATTATTATCTCTATTTTATAAACGAAGAAGCAGAGTTCTAGTGAAATGAAGTGATTTGCCAACAGATTCTCAGCCAACAGAACTGCAGTTGCAATTCAGATCTGGAATGCTCACTTCATCCTTTGATTTTACATCCTTTGAGTCAAAGCTCTAATAAGAGCTGATTTTGTTTTCTTGCAGATGCTTTCATTTCTTTGCTAGCAGCATGTGACTATGTTTGCCTGTCACTTACATGCCCACAGTGAGTGCTATGCACGTGTAAGGAAACCAGGAGCTGTTAGAGCAGTATGCGGCAGTGGTGCGTAGGCATCACCCGGGTCCTCGTTAAACTCTAATTCAGGAGGTTTGGGGTGGGACCTGAGACTATGAATTTCTAATAAGCTCTAGGTGATGCAGATGCTGTTGATCTATTACCCATACTGAATAGCAATGATTTGGATAGTCTGTGAAGTGAAAGGTGACAGGAAAAATGTGTAAGGAGGGAAAGAATTTTCTTCATGTTTTATTTTGTTTTTATACGAGGAGTGGCTAACACAAGAAATAGGCACTGAAGTACTTTTGGCTCACCTCCATCTAGTCCTTTGACTCAAAAATGTCTACAACTCCCTGCCCCCACCTGCCACACAACGTGTGTTCACTCTGCCTGATTGTTTTATAGTTGTTGATATTATACACAATCTTTTTGTGTACCACTATGCAGAACTTCTTTTCAGGTAATAAGCATCCTCCATTTTAAAAACTATTTTTCACTTTTTAATTGTAAAATTACTATAACTTAGATTTTACAATCTGAATTGTTTTTAAGTGTGCAGTTCAGTAGTGTTAAGTATATTCACATTGTGGTGCAACCAATCTCCAGAGCTCTTTCATCTTGCAAAACTGAAACTCTGTACCCATCAAACAGCAACTTCCCATATTCCCCTCCCCCCAGGCCCTGGAAACCACCATTCTAAGCATCCTCAATTATCTCAAATAAATGCAACTATCTCAAGGGAATGTCCTATTTGCCATTCATATCTTTGTGGGACAAAATGAAGAAATGATTGAAGTCAGAAGTGATGGTAGGCCAGGCACAGTGGTTCATGCCTGTAATCCCAGCACTTTGGGAGGCCAAGGCAGGCGGATTTCTTGAGGTCAGGAATTCCAGACCAGCCTGTCCAACATATGAAACCCCGTGTCTACTAAAAATACAAAAATTAGCCGGGCGTGTGGTGGGAACCTGTAATCCCAGCTACTCAGGAGGCTCAAGCAGGAGAATTGCTTGGACCTGGGAGGCCGAGGTTGCAGTGAGCTGTGATTGCACCACTGCCACTGCTCTCCAGCCTGGACGACAGAATAAGACTCCGTCTAAAAAAAAAAAAAGAAGAAGTCTTGATGGCAAACCAAATCCACCACATCCCAGCTTCGTGTTCCAGGTTAAGTCTCCTAAACCCCTTCTGTGTTTCCACAGTGGTGTCATTTCTTCCCCATGTACTTCACAGGGCTGTTATGATGATCAAGTGATATAGTAAAAGGGCGTAAAAACTTTGCAAATATAAAGTGCTATACAAATGGAAGTTCTTATTGTGAGTAGTGCCCAGAACACCTGCCCTGAGGGAATAGGAGTATTACTAGGAAGAGTGGGAACAAATCCAATAGGATGAGATGCCTTGGAAGAAATAGGATGCAATGGGAGAGGCCGGATAGAAGAAATGTCTGTGGGTTTGGGGGCTAATAGATGACACCTGTATATATATATGGAGTTGGAAGCCAGTATTAGAGAGAGAGCCAGTTGTGGGAGCCAGATATATGGATATAACAATGTCACCTTTGTTATTGGTAAAGCAGTTTGGAGAATGTTGCTTAGGTCTGTGAGCAGGAGGGCTCACTAATATTTCATCACTAGCTTAAATGTACTCACTGTCTTGGTCACTGGCAAAACAAGAATGTTCAGGCCTATCCCTGGAAGGACAGTATCTCTTTACTTCATTTCAGAGAAAAGACCTGGACACCAATGCGGACACCAAATGGAGGACTCAAAAGGGACAGAGCTAAACGTGCCAGTTTCTTCTCCCAGACTGCTACAGTAGAGTGGCCAAAGGATGATGAGAAAGGGCTGGAATGTTAGGCCTCGCTATGGAGTTCCTCTCTATGAAAACAAATCAGGCAAAACTTGTTTTCATCACCCCCCTACCACCATTACTACTACCATCCACCACCCACCATCATCCACCACCCAGCACCATCCACCCTCTACCACCATCCACCACCACCACCACCCACCACCCACCACCACTACTCACCACTAACCACCCATCACTTACCACCCACTACCACTATCTACCCCTAACCACCATCAAACACCACCACACACCACCCACTCACCCACTGACCACCACTTACTACCAACCACCACTTACCACCTACCACCACACCATCCCCACATCCACCACCACCATCCCCACCACCCAACACCATCATCAACCACTGTTCACCACCATCCACCACCACCATCCACCAACACCACCACCATCCACTAACATTACTAACCACCACCCACCACCATCAACCACCACTACATCCTACTATCACCCACCACCATTATCCAACACCACCATCTACCACCGTCACCCACCATCCACCAATAACATCACCAACACCATCCACCACCATCACCACCACTCACCACCCACCACCACTACCATATACCCGCACCACCATGCACCATCTACCAACACCACCAACCATGACCACTGCCAACTACCACCCCCACCACCACCTACCACCACCACCATCCCCACTCACTACCTCTACCCTACTCACCACCCACCACCACTATCCACCACTACCACCATTCACCACCTACCACCCACCACTCACCATCAACTGTCACCATCCACCACCACCACTTACCGCCACCCACCATGACCACCATCCACCACTACCAAACGCCACCATCATGAGCACCATCTACCATCACCACCAGACACCAATACCTACCACCACCATTCACCAACAGTCCCACCACCACATATCACCACCACTCTCCACCATAACCACCACCACCCAACACCACCCACCATCTATCACCCACCACCACCATTCACCACCACCACCACCCACCACCCACCACCACAATTCACCACCTCCATCACCTACCACCACCATCCATCTCACATTATTACTATCCACCACCACACACCACTACCACCCAGTACCATCATGTTCATGTACATATTCCAACCACCTCTCTCCCCGAGACACTCAGAACTGGAAGAACAGCAGGTCTATAGAAAATGTATCCCTGGTGTTGACCATTGCTTGGAAAGAGGAAAAATAGCTATTTTCTTTCTTGGCTGGGTGCGGTAGCTCATGCCTGTAATCCCAGCACTTTCGGAGGCCAAGGCAGAAGGATTGCCTAAGCTCAGGAGTTCAAGACCAGCTTCAGCAACATAACAGGACCTCGTCTCTACTAAAAATAAAATAAAATACTGTCTCTGGGGATGTATCTATTATGCGTCCTTCTGTAGGGGGTGCCCGACAGTGATGGTACCTTCACAGACATATTACTCTTCGGGTCCCAAGGTTTGGCTTTCATACTTTCCATTGTCCCAGCATGGCAGGGCACTTGAAGCTACTTCAAGCCCCATCCGGGCTGGAACTGGTGTCGGGGGAGCCATGGATGAATCGTATGCCCTGGTGTTGGTGTTGCCTCACTCCTCTGAGCTCTTCTTTCTGATCAAGCCCTGCTTAAAGTTAAATAAAAGAGAATGAGTGAAAAAAAAAATTAGCCTAGTGTAGTGATGTGTGTCTATAGTCCCAGCTACTCAGGAGGCGGAGGTGGGAATGATCATTTGAGCCCAGGAGGTCAAGGCTGCAGTGAGCTATAATCACACCACTGCCCTCCAGCCTAGATGATAGAGTGAGAACCTGTCTCAATAAATAAAAAATAATGATAAATTTTAATTTAAAAGTTAAAAAAATAAAAAGGGACAACATAACTCAATTATGGGCCCTTGATTAGTTCACTGACTGCACAAAATAGTCTTCATGTCTTTTGAATTCAGTAAAATATTAGGTTTTTAAATCACTATAAATCGAAGACATGTTTTGGCAGCATTTATTCTGCAGCCTCCAATTTGAATTCTGAATAATTTCATCCGATAGTAGCCTCTCTCTATTTGTTCATTTTTGAATTTTCCTATGAATCAAGAAGTGATTTTGTTTTCTCCAAGAGCAATTACTAACAGCTGCTTTGTAGACACTGCTCTAAACTAGTGAGAACCACTATCTTCCTCAGAGTAAAACCTTCAAGAAAATTTTAGTTTTGATTCAATCAGGCACTGGAGCCAGAAAGCATTGATAATTTGCTCCTTCAGAAAAATAAACCAGTTTTATGTTGTTTAATTGGGCCATGTTAGGATCATTTATAGGTGCTCTGAAGCAAAAATGGGAAGGCCTGGCTAATTTGCATTTCAATGGAGCAGCTAAAGTCTTTCCCTATCCCATCCCCAGTTTAAGCATAAATGGATCACCGATGACATGGTTTTAGTTTTGGACCAAAAAATACATATATACGGAGGATACTGCTATATTTTCTATAAAGAAAAAAATAAGTTGAAAAACAAATCCAATTGGCCTATCTTGCTGTTCTGATAAATCATATTTAACTTTATTAACATTATTTACCATAATTCCTATTTGTAAAACCATATTCAAGACCTACTTTAAAAAAAAGTTTTTTGACAGATTTCTAGGATGTACAATATTGATGCAGTTCAAGCTATGGCCTTTGATGGTTGTTACCATGACAGCGAGATTGACATGGACCAGACTTCCCTCTCTCTAAACTCAGAAGACTTCATGAGAAGAAAATCGATATGCAGCCCCAGCACCGATTCATCTCGGATAAAGAGAAGAAAATCCCTAGGAGGACATGTTGGTAGAATCATTCTGGAAAACAACCATGTCATTGACACCTATTCTAGGATTTTATTCCCCATTGTGTATATTTTATTTAATTTGTTTTACTGGGGTGTATATGTATGAAGGGGAATTTCAAATGTATACAACTTTAAAGCCAGATGATGTTTAAAAACAAAACTCTTGAATATGAGTTGGATAGTCCTAGATGGAACTGGGAAAGAGCAAGTCACCTCTCCTGCCCTAATGAAAATTTGAAAGCTGTCTGATTTACATCTAAGAAAGAGTTTAGGTCCTAGAAAAGTTTGACTCCATAAATAAGAGTCATAGGCATGTGTATTATGGGAAAAACAGTTTTCCATTGGGAAGGGCTTTATAACTACTTCATCTGAACCCTCCTTCTTTCTTAATGAAATGTTCTTTATTTAACTAGGGAAGAAAGCTGGACTATAACAATAATTCAAAGATATTTTGTTTCTTAGTGCCAGCCAAGTGCCTGGTTATCTACCAGAGCTCAACCGTCCTAGGCAAGAACATCCACATAGAGGTGGTATCATCCACACTCACACAGCTGAGAATCCTATGAAGGATCTCCAATCTCCTTCTCCAGTCAAGTATTTATTCTTATTTAAATATTGTTTCAGGCCAGGTGCCGTGGCTCATGCTTGTTATCCCAGCACTTTGGGAGGCCGAGGTGTGCAGATCATTTGAGGTCAGGAGTTCAAGACCAGCCTGGCCAACATGGTGAAACCCCGTCTCTACTAAACGTACAAAAATTAGCGGGCATGGTGGCACACGCCTGTAGTCTGTGCTACTTGGGAGGCTGAGGCAGGAGAATCACTTTAACATGGGAGGCAGAGGTTGCAGTGAGCTGAGATTGAGCCACTGCACTCTAGCCTGGGCGACAGAGCGAGACATCATCTCAAAAAATAAATAAAATAAAAAAAAATATATATATATATAAAATATTGTTTCATGTATTTGTGAGCATAAGTGGAGAGGGGAAGCTAAACTTCCACTTATTCTTCTCATTCTAATGTTAAATTAATACATCAGTCATCAATAATAACATCTCGCATTTTGTAGATCATGTATTGTTTTCACAGCTTTTTAGAGGTTTTTAATTAATCACTTTGTTCAACAAATGTTTATTGACCACCTACGTGTGCCAGGCACTTCACTAAGTGTTATGTACTGAAAAAATGAATATGAAATAGCGTTCCTGCCTTCTCTAAGTGCATAGCCAACAGGAGCAGTGAACTGGAGCTATAAAACATGTGACGAATGTTAAAACAGAGGTATGTACACTGTCTGGTGTGAATTCTGAAAGGGGGATACCAAAGAAAGGAAAAGAACATCTCCAAAGGGATGTGGACTCTCAATTTATAAACAACTGGAGATGCTTCCAGATATTGTATTGAGTGAAAAAACTGAATGAAATGTATTTATCCCATAGTAATCCTTAATATCTTTGGTCGAACCAAGTAAACCAGGTCAAGTGGGTATTAAATAAATTTTTGTTAAGTAGGAAAACCTCCTATGATCAGTGTTCATTTTGCAGATTGGCAGTGTGCATGCTTTTGTTTTGAGTATTTTCTGAACAAGATTCAATTTAAAGAAAAGCCCTTGGCAGGAAATATGAAATATTCCGATACCTATTTTGATTGCTGGGATTGAATTAAGAGAAATAAATTAAATGGTGTATTACTTTCAGTGTAATTCCTTTTATTTCACCATAAAGTAAATCAAAATGATTTGAATTACTTTTTCACCAGGTGAAGAGACAAAAATTTTCTGCTTTTTAAACCAATAACATTGGTTTTGATCCTCCGTTCTGAATCACAGAGGGTTCTAGAAAAGTATCTTCCTCCTGGGTACAAAATATCAAAAGGAAAATTATTTTTCTATTATGAATTCCCTCACAGGTAGGCTAACTCTGGGATACTTCATTCTATTTTCTTAATACAACTTTTCCAATTCTTTTGAAACTTCCCAAGGATTATATTTGTATATGATACTCTCCAAAATTGAGCTAATATAATGTATTAAAACCCTTCTCCATTTCATTGTAGATAGACCATAAATAAACTTCAAAAAAACTATTTATTTAATGGGTTTTAAGCTTGATTTAATAGTAGTATTTTGGTAGGATTATATTTTCAAAATATAGCACAGATTAATATTCTAGATGGCCAGGAATTTATAGCTATTATTTAGCCTAGCACTGCAATTGTATTACATTTCTGATTTTGACAAAACCAGATGTTTAAAAAGGGACAAATATACAAATGAACAGAATAAATCTACACTGTTCTCTTCAACCAATACTCAGCTTCTTCAGGCTTTTCTGTTTTTTTCATATACTTTGAAGTATAACATTCAATATGTCGAATGCTTCCCCTGGGCATATTCATTTCCCTGTTTTGAATCAAATGCATCACTGAATACATTTGGCAATCTAGTCTAGGAGAATGGGTCTCTATCACACCCCCACACTTGGCATTCCTCTGGAGGAGCATAAATGCACATTTGTTAGCCAATCAAATGTAACTTTTGTTAATGGCTAGCAATACAGGCATTGTATTCTTCAATAATGTACATCTAACACTGAAAAAGAAAATATGTTTACTGCTTAAGGGAATTATTAGAGTATTTGGAATGAGCTCCTAGGAGTTTTGCCAGTTTTCTTCTCTTGAGATTGGTGGCTTGTGAAGTCTGTGAAGAGAGGACTGTTTCCATTAGCTTCATTTCTCCTCGGGAGCAACAAGATTTCTGTTTGGTTCTTACTCCAAGAAGAATCAAATCACAGTTTACCTGAAAATTATGAGAGTGAAGACAGCATATAAGAGTTACCTCATTTTGATTTTCACTTCATTTATTCATCACAATCCTGAACAGATTGTGCATGATTGTTCACTGAGGGATAAGCCTGGATAAAATGCAAGGATTTCAGAAAATAAGCTGCTTTCTATGATTAAGAAGAAGCCAGCTCGCTCTGTAAACGGCCTAAATATAGAAATGGGCTATTTTATAGGAACTACTTTGGAAAACCCATGAAATAATATACTTTAACTTAGTTTTATTGTTTCTGTTCTGGTTAGAAAATAAAGCTTCATTATTTAAAAAATTTTAAATATCCACTGGCAAAAAAAATCATCTACCCAGAATTAAACAGTTCACATTTTAATGTACATTCTTAGAGGTTTTCTGTTCATAATTTACATTTTTTCAAATGGAACACTTTTGTAAACACTTGTGTTTATTAATCTAAGCACTTATATCAAGGACTGTCTGCTGGGGATACAGTAACAAAAGATGGACATGGCTCCTACCCTTATTGAACTTACATTGTGTTGGGGAAAGTGTCTATTTGTAGCCAGATTTTCTTCTCTGTTCCTGAAAACTGATTTCCATATGCTGCAGAGCTGTTCACTGAATGGGTGCACCATAGTTTACTTCACCCATCTCGTCCTGCAGGACATTATTGTCATTTCCTATTGTATGCTGTTACAAATGGGTTGCAACTAACAATGTAAAGAACACTTAGAAGTAAAATTATTTTTGATACAAATGAAATGTCTAGCCATATTCAAATTTCTGCACTTATTTCCTTCAGAAGAATCCCTGTTTGCAACTAGAACCTGCCGTGTCAGACTCACTCATGGGTCTGCCTAGAAGCTCTGAGGTGTAGATTACTGTAACTGAAGAACCTTTTAAATTTTTAGTTCATTTTTCCCCATGAAGCAGAGCCTTCTTATATATATCTGCTGGCATTCCCTTTTCATAATGGAAGTTTCTGCATTGTCTAAAATACTTACATTAAAGCAGTCCTATGTATTGAAAACCTGCTTCTTTCCATGACTGCTATCACCGCTACAAGCCTTTGCCATCTTTCTAAGTAAGAGAGTAACTGAGATTGCAAATATTTGCATATGAGTTGCTACAAAATCATAACTAGCCTGTGACTACATTGTCTAAATCCTTGCAGGTGAGTTAATCTTCATGAGTAAGGTCTATTGTTCCTTACTGTGCCACTTATAAGCCTGTTCAAATCACACACACACACACACACACACACACACACACACACACACCTCCCTGTACATACAATTTTTTTAACATGGAGATGAATGAGAGAAAGAATTACGTCTATTTATATCTATTTCTGTAACCATTATTATGATCAACATTTCAATGAGAATAAACAACACCCTCAAAGAAGCAAGAGAAAGAAGTGACATGAAAACTGCTATTTCAACATCAATTCTGTACTGGTGCTGCTGTTATTTCTTGGCAAGGCCTTAGGCATAGCAGTCAATGTTATATTCCAACTACCTCATTTATGGAATGGAGCCACCTAGTCTTTCTCTGTAAACACTGCTTTAAAACACTCTATCACACTATAGTGTCTTGCTTTTCCAACTGCAAATTTTTTCTTTCCTGGATTTAACAAATAACTTAAACATAATTTTTTTCTCTTTTAAAGAAACCATGAAAAACAAATGCACTGGACATTTAAGAAGATGATTTTTTTTCAGTTTATTGCAATAGAAAGGGCATTTATTAATGATAAACATCTCAAAGAAAAGGAAGGAGGTCAAGGGCTTCAAAGAGTCAGGTATGCAAGCGAGTCACATTCACTGGGGAAGGATAGAGGTGGGTCTGATCTTGGAATATGTGAGAGTGGAGTGGTCATTTCTCAGAATACAAAATGTGGCGGGGATTTCCAGACCTTTGATACTTTCCAGGAACACACAGGATCAGATGAAGTTCAGCATTGTCAAAACAACATTGTCAGTTGTTCCTTCCTTTCAATCCCCTGCTGAATCATAACGCTATTTTTGGTCAATGATGGGGCCAAGTGTAGAAAAGAGATTTCACAAAGTCACTGAGAAAAAATTATAACAGTTTTCTTTTTAATATATTGATATTTAGTTTGTTGTAGGAAAGACCGAGCTACATTTTATTATTGGTTAGATTATTTGAAGGATTTGCTGTTACTCTCAGTTCTAGGATCAGTACAGTTGATTATAGAAACTTATTTTCTGCAAGAGTGTTTCAAAGGTTTTCTACAAAATTGTGGTGCTAGCTGACCACTCCTTACCTTAGACAATCAAAAATAGGTGAAATTATAATGTCATTAGCAAGTCTTTTGAAACACATTTTGTATTGTGAAATAAGACTTTCTGAAGTTTGAGGTACAAGCCAGTGTCCTTTAAAAGTGACATATATGTTCCAATATTTCCAAAACTAGCTAACTCAACAAGGGATCCTAAGTAAGGAAGAAAGTACTTACACTTACATAACTTTTTTTACTTCATCAGAGAACATTAAGGCAGGTTTTTCAAGTATTTTGCACTTCAAAGAAGTGTTATAAACACAAACCCACACATCAAATAAATTTTTGGAGCAATCACACTGCCCAAAAAAAATATATATATATATTTCAAATTAGGTTGTATCTTGGGTAAGGTCATATCTAAATTAAATCATGAATCAATGGGAAGGTAGCCTTGGGACCAGCTAAATTACTTGTAAATAAATATGCAGTTCAGGTAGACAGAAGAGAATGAGAATGTTTTGTGAAAAGGAACTTTAATAACTGAATATGATTTCTCAAGATAATGTGAATTAGAAGTAGGTAAGAAAAATAAGGCAAAAGAAAGACAAGGACAGAAGTTTAAAATGTGGTTGCTCTGCAAAATGATGTCCTTAAAGTCCCATAGCGTATATCTTCAGGGCAGATTTGAATTTGAAAATAGAATAAACTGTATTTGATTATTTGGAATACTATCCTGGTCTATATTAATCAGATGATTATTGCTTATTTGTATGAAAGATAATGTGCCTCTCTGCAATAAAAGCAATTAATTGCATGTTGGTCACCAAATTGCATGTTGGTTATCAATACAACATACCATCTTGACAAAACTAATCAGCCCATTTCAAATTACTCAAGTTATTTGAATTACTTGATTCTATCATGATATTATCATTTATGCCTTCTATGTAATGGCTTGTACTGGTGGAGTTCCTGGTGAGTTCTAATTTGTTAATGTAGGCTATACATTTAGTATATTGCTGAACCATGTTTTATCGAAATAACCTGAACTTGTAGTAGGTACAGACAGAAAATGGCTTTATTTTTCACCAATTGCTGTCAAACATGCTCTACTGGCTATTCTTTCTCTGCCTCTTGCTGACATCTCAGGCTGATCTCACAGCTTTTGGGATATCATGAGTTATTTATAAAGCCTTGTCTGATTTTAATGTGTTTTCCCTACCCCCACCCCCCAACTAATTCAGGCCTCAACCCTGGACTGAGGAAACTGTTGTAGGAATAAGGAATAAGGTAGAATCTGCTCTTTAATACATACCTCTCCCCCATCCTTCATTCCACCGAGTTTGGAGTAGGGAATGGATGGAGAGGATTAGGGAAAGGACTGGCAGAAGTCTCTTTACTTGATGATATGTACTTTAGCTCTCTTGGTTTGTTGCCATTCTCTGGGTGGCAGGCATGGCTGAGTAAGCAGTTCACCAGGAGCCTCACCCTTGGGGTTTAATGCTTTGGAGACACCATCTTGAAATTCATAATAATCTAATCTTTGAATTAGTTTTTTGAATGAAGTCTGAAGGAAGAAGGGAGGAAACTGCATGTACCTGTGTGTGGCACATGCAGTTCTGCCACTGTCCCGCCCTGTGGGATGTTTCTGGATCTCTCTTTCCCAATCCCCTCTCCTGCCAGGCCCAGTGGCCTGCTGCTTGCTGCCCCAGGTAGAGGCCTAGACACAGATGCAGAGAAGGCTGGGATGAGGTGCACTTTCCATAGCATTTGGAGCTGGTCATGGTGGCAGCCAACTCCGCCCTGGGCTGTCAGCACTACAGTGTGTTTGGAGAGCAACCAGGCTGGAGCAAGCCCCTTGCTCACTCCCTATCCAAGTAATTAGCATGTCCTGGCTGGGAGGGTGCCATCTGTTGGTGTTCACCCATCTGCTGAGGGTTGGGGAGATTGATGTCCCCATCCCTGGCCAGGCACAGCAGTGTTGAGCCAGTGGCTAGCAGGAGGGAGATCGCAGCAGCCTGTGGCCATGTGCTCCTGCACACACGTGGGCACTAAACTAAAAATAAAATGCTAAGCCCCTTCCTGACTGAAAGAACTCCCTGTGGAAAAAGGGACCCCAGAAAGTCCTTAAAATTGAGTTCATGTCCATGATGGAACAGGGGGTCAGAAAAGCCTCATTCTATGCCCCTCCCTTTTATGGTTTCGACACAACTGACCTGAAAGTATGGCAAAATAGAGATTTTAAGACTGACAGAGCAGACTCTGTGGCAATAAGATATCAAATTATAAACAGGTCCTAAGGCCATTCCACGCAAGGGTTAAGTCACTCACCCCTGCACTTAAAGAAAAATAAACTGTGTTCTAACTGCCACAAGGTTTTTATTTTTCTCTAGCAGCTAAACAAGTACTGGCCTTGAGATAAGCAATATTAAAACAATTGTAGCTTAGCACTGGACACTAAATAACTGACCTCCTATTCTACCAGCCATAACTTCAGCTTTGATTGGACAAGAGACTGATTTCAGTAACTTTATCCTGATAAGAAAACCACCAACAATAGACTAGCTCTGGCTGGTTTACAGAGGTTGTGTACTTGCCTGGCTTTGCATCCCAAAAACATCTCTTGACATATAGAGCCTAATTGCAATATATTTGAATGTAAAGTTTCCACCTCAAAGTGAACATGGGTCATATGTTATTAAATACATGCATATTTGTTCAATATGCAAGTGTCAGGACCACCTTCATGAATATTCATAGCTCTTCCCATAACTGCTGGGCATGTAGGTTTAGCCAACTGGTTAAGCATTAAAGTCCTACCCCCACCCCCACTCCTTCCAAAGTGCCTCTTCCTGGTCTTGGCCAGAAAGGAAGCCTGAGGGATGGGCACCTTGCAGGGTATAATCCTTTATGGGAAATAAAGTCTCCTTTCCTTTACAATTTTATATATATTTTTTCTTAATTTAGCAGCACCCAATGGCCCTGCAGGGCCCTGGGTGCCTGTGAATGTCGGCACTCACCTTCCTGCACCAGGGTAGAGCACGGCACTTAGCAGCAAATAAAAGATACCACCCTGATAGTAAAGAAAGAGAGACAAAAGAAGGGAATGGTTTTATATGTTAATACCTTTAATGGCACTCTTTTGAAAAGGGGCTCTATATTTTCATTTTGCAACAGGTCCCACAAATTATGTAGCTGGCCCTGGTGACAGCTATTCAAATGTTGAAGCTTTCAAGGGATGCAGGGTGTGAGATAAAGTAACAAATGTCTGCTTCTGGCCAGCCACATAGCCCTTGCTGTGAAAAAGCAATGTTGCTCATTCTGCCTGTCAGCCTACCTTCAGAAGCCCCTGACTCAGTGACAAGCACAGCCCTCCGGAAGAATGCCTTGAGGATGAGAAGCAGAACCGAGCACAGATTCCCACATCTCTTGCCTAAATCACTGCATTTTTAGAAAAGATAAGTCCAATGATCCTAGCTTTTGCCTTTTCCTGTCCATAAGATAACATCTGACAGGATTAATAATTATACCTCTGTGATTTGTAACCAGATGTACTCTTGCACCCAAACTTTGATGAGATTTTGCTCTAATGTAACTTCTGAGTACATTCGATGTAACTTCTGAACATGCACAGAACCTCCACCACCTAATGTATAAGTTATGGGTGGAAACACTGCTTTGGAACAGTCTAACAGAACTCTGAAAGGCTCTCCCTGGTTGCAATTGTCAGTGAGACTCTGAATGAAATTAATTTAATTCTTTGAAAGTCTAGCTTTTTCTTTAGTTGACAAGGAGAAGGTTGATCTGGAGGTGAGACTGGGTTTATTGAAATTAACCTTGAGATCTCTGACAGACTGCCTAAGACCCTGTGTCTCTTTTCCTGTCTGGGCCAATGGACCCCACTGCTTCCTGGTCCACTATGCCACTCTCTTTGTCACCTTCCAGGTTGTCCAAGCCTAACTACTTTCCACAGCAACCACTCAGCCCAGAAGATGCTCAGTGGTCCTTGATGTGACAATCTGTGTGAGAGTAGGCTGCTTCCACACTGCCTTTTTGCCTCAGAGTGCTATGATGAGGTCACCGGCCAACTCCTTCTTCAGGATATTCCAGGTGAGAAGCAGCCTCCACATTCCCAGGGCCGTATATCTGGGGTACAAGAACTTTCCAACCCCAGTGGGATCTTTGGGACCTTTGGCCAATAACTTAGTTTCCTGGTTCCTCAGTTTCCTCACATGTAAAACTTGGAGAGTTATAGTATCTTCCTTTTAGATTTTTGTGTGTATTAATAAGTTTATGTACTCAGTTTTTTAAAAGGGCCTGGAAAATGGAAAGTGGTAAGTATTGAACAAATAAAAAATAATAATATTGTTTCCAGTTTGGGGGATTCAACTGAAATTTCAAGTCAAAATCCCACAGAGGTTATTTCACCAAAGGTTGGGCCTCTAGGTTTATAAATAACATTTGTCTGTAATTTTCTTTTTCAGTTATTTTCCTTTTCTATATTCAGAACCAGTTTATATGAGGTATATTTTTCTCTTCTTTGAAAGTTTTAAAAAACTTCATTAACAGACCCATCAGTACCTGACTAGTACCACCTTAGTTGGTCATTTTTAGGTCATTATGATATTTTAAAGGAAAATAAGTAAACTAATGTTGCATCATAATATTGGGGCTTCCTGACCCATATATACATTCTGTTAGTCTTGTAGGAAACATTTTCAATAGGAGCTTGTGTACCTTTTAACAAAGCAACCCAAAGAGTATGAGCAGAAAGCACCTCTGCAGGAGTACATATTTTTATAAGAATTGGGCAAGTCAATTTCAAGATTTATGATAACATGTTAAGTAAGAAAACATCTCTGTAAGGGAAAGTCATTGGAAAATCCTGAGGCATATTTTCACCTGCAAGTGCTGGGTTGCTGGAGAAAGGAGGTCTGCAGAATCATTTAAGAAAAGTCATGCAGCCTAACACCAACTTTCCTATAGGCACAGGCTGTAAAAGAAATTGGACTCTAAGCAAGAAAAGAAAATAGGAATGCTTACCCAATTCAATTTTGTAAACAGAGTAACTACTCTGTGAAGAACTCTGTTGCAGTTCTCAGAATTAAAGAAGCACATTTCTTGCTCCCAAGGAGTTTAAATCATAGTTTTATAAATATGCAAAATATAATTCCAAACGGTGATGGTATGCTTGTTATCAAGTTAAGTACGTTGAGTTCTATGAGCTGTATCGTAACTACTATAGTCTTGAAAGACCTCGGCCTGGGTCATTGTTAAACAAATTTGACTTTTCTGAAGGTACTAAGACACCAAGATTATCCCATGGTGATATGACATCAATTTGAAGGTACTCTGCTTGATGAATTGTGTAAATTAAGTGAAGTATGCATGTATAAAAGGCCCAACTGCATTTAATTCATTCCATGGAATCATGTTCAAGATGTCATATGGGATTTAACAGTAATGCCTCTCACACTCAATAGCATTTTACAGTTTTAAAACTCTTTTGCTTACTCCACCTCACCTGAAACTCACAGCATCTTTCCGAGTTAGGTGAAATTAACCACTTTTGGAGAAACATAAACAGAGGTCCAAAGAATATTACTTGATAGGCAGTATGGGTGCTATGGTCTGAATGTTTGTCCCCACCCTGGATTCATATACTGAAACAGAATCACCAATGTGATTGGAAGGTGGGGCCTTTGGGAGTAGATTATGTCACGCGGGTAAAGCCTTATAAATGGGATTATAAAGAGGACCCACAGAATTGCCTTCCCACTTCTACCACGTGAGGATGCAGCTAGAAGGTGTCCTCTGTGAACCAGAGAACAAGCCTCCAAAACTGTGAGAAGTCCATTTTTGTTGCTTATAAGCCACCCAGTCTTAGATATTTTCTTATAGCAGCCCAAATGAAAAAAATGGACTATCAAATGATGTATTTTTGAGCAAGTTCCTTAACCTTGATGTGTCTGTTTCCTTATATTAAAAAGTTAGCCCAATATAGTGGTATAAATATTAAAGTCATATACTAGAAAGACATGGTTTAGATATTTTCTGGACCAAAGTGAATACAAACACATAGGGGGCAGTACTCACATAGTTTAAAGCAATGTGTGTTTCCTGGAATCGTATGACACAGTAGCATTATAAAATAAAGCTTTACAACAAAAATACAAATATTAATCATTTTATAAGTTCTTCAATGTTTATAGACTGAAAGGTAATTCCAATCAGACTGATTCTTCTTCTAATGCCCTTTGAAAATTGGAGCACAGACCCTTAAGCCTATGGAATTTGAGTGCCAATAGGGATATCACAGTACATCTGGTGCAATCTTACTTTATAAATGAGGAAAGTGAATGTTAGCAAAGAGAGTTTTCCAAATTCATATACCTGGCCCCTCCAGAGTTAGATCTAATAACCATAAAAAGTACATTTACACACCACCATTTTTAGATTTTTTTGCACCCAGCATCATTGTGACTGGAGGTAGGAGTAGGACAGGGTTGCACTTTTGCAGCCTGATGCCCAGGCTGGACAGGTGCACAGCCACAATGAGGTGGCTAAAAACCAAAAGCTCTACAGGAAGAAGAGCCTAGGAGACCACAGAAGAGGAAGACAAACTTGGCTCTAAAAAGAGTCTTTTAATAAAGCAATCCAAACGGTGTGAACGTCAAGCACCTCTGCAGAAATGTAACTTATTTTACAAGGCTCATGGACAAGTCTGTTTCAGGGTTTATGGCCGAGACATGAAGGGAATTCTCTTCTTTCTCCTGTCTCCTTGGCATCTTGTTCCTCAGTTACAGAGGAGGAGCGCTAGTCTGTTGATTAGAAATCTGGAGGCTTCTAGACTTTTCCGGACAGATCTTGAGAGCTGCCATCTACAACATTGTTTTCATGAGAAAATTAATTACAGAAACAAAATAACTGACTTTTAAATGAACCTATGGTGGGGACTGGATAGCAGTCTGCATCTTGTCCTCTGGAAGAACTTTTCCAAAAAAAAAAAAAATACCAGAAACAATACATGTAGGAAGGCCATATATTCTAGAAGCCTCCCAGGCAAGGTTGCAGACCATTCTCCACTCCCATCCCATGCCACCCTTACTTCCTCACCTCCTCTTCCTCCTCTCAGGCAAGGTTGCAAGCCATTCTCCACTCCCATACCATCCCACCACACCCTTACTTCCTCCCCTACCTCCTTCCCTCCCTCCCCCTTCCTCCCTCCCTCCCCGCCCCTTCCTTCTTTCCTTCCTTTAGACGGAATTTCGCTCTTGTCACCCAAGCACAAACTAACTTTCCTTCTCTTTTTCTTTTTCTTTTCCGAAACAGAGTTTTGCTCTTGTTGCCCAAGCTGGAGTGCAGTGGTGCAATCTCAGCTCACTGCAACCCCGCCTCCCTGGTTCAACCAATTCTCCTGCCTCAGCCTCCTGAGTAGCTGGGATTACAGGCAGGCACCACCATGCTTGAGTAATTTTTTTGTATTTTTGTTAGAGACGGGGGTTTCACCATGTTGGCCAGGGTGGTCTTGAACTCCTGACCTCGGGTGATCCACCGGCGTCAGCCTCCCAAAGTCCTGGGATTATAGGCGTGAGCTACCGCACCTGGCCCCTTCTCCTTTTCTTCACAGGAATGATGGGCACTGTTTAGGTCTGAAAATGGAACTATCATGACTTTTTTGCTTGCTATGCTAAGAAATCGGAATTATAATGAAAAAAATCAGAGAGAACATACTGATATACTAATTTTGCATTAGAGGAACTCCTACACAAGATGTATGATTTCCCCCTGCAAAGCTGACTTCCATATGTACTTTTGTTCTGTTAGACATCCTGCGGCCATTTTATATGCTGAGAAAATGGTATTTTGTGTTGACATTATAACTTTTTTCTACAACCGTACTGCTTTTCCAAGTGGTGGACGTGTGAGAATTTACCTTTATCTGAATCCCGGGAACAGCAATATTATTCTATATTATCTTGAGTAGATGTCTTGCAGTCAAAATAAAGAGCGAAGTACATTACCAATATCATATCAACTAGAGATTTTTGCTGTTGACTATTCTTTTTTACCCTGTAAGGGCTAAATTTGATGTTACCCTCGAGTTTTTCCAACTGGAACCTGCCAGGAAACTTACTAGTTATACGAGTATTAGTAAAACGTGAAAAAGACCAACAGTTGACTGACTGGTTTGGCTCTAATCTTGTTTCTGCATCTTCCTAGCTGTGTGATCTTGTGCAAGTTAGTTAACCTCTCCTGACTCAGTTTCCTCAACTGTAAAATGGAGGTAATTGCAAGGTTGTAGTGAGGATGAAGTGAGGAGTATTTGAAACACCTAGCGTGGTGCCTTATAGCCAGGAAGAACTCAATTCAAGACTTGCTATTATTGTTAGTTTTAGACAAATACTAGACAAGGGTGTACTTTGTTCCCATTTGTTCATGTGCCACTTGATCCTTAGAAGCAGCCACTGGTCTCAGTCACCTTGACGGAACGAAATGTCGACTTCCTCTGGGTCCTCTGGCTGTCTACAGAGCAAAGAAAGGCACAGGCCCGCCACTGATTTCCCTGCTCCCTCATTTGTGCCTCCTGACTGGAACCAAATGTTCCAAAGCAGGGAGTGTTAGGCTGAAAGGACTCAGATAACTGCATTTCTTCTGTTTCTATAGCCATAGTCGCAACGAATTTCCAGTATCTTTTAAAACTAGGATTGACTCTCTCTCCCGGAGCGAGATGATATAAATGACACTCGGCTTGTACAAATCAGCATTGTGTAGCCACACAGCCCATAAGAAAGCCATGGGAGAACCCGGACCACCAACTCCCTAAACTTGCACCGCTGGTATTCCTCTTCAGGCCTGCTTCTCTATTCATAAAAGGAACGGAGTTGCACCAAAACGCTCTCTCAAATCCTCTCCTGCCGCCCCAAGTTAAAAGAAAAAAAAGGAGAGCCGGGTGGGTGGCTCACACCTATAATCCAGCACTTTGGGAGGCCGAGGCAGGAGGATCGCTTGAGCCCGGGAGGTAAAGGTTGCAGTGAGCCAAGATCGCTACCACTGCACTCCAGCCTGGGCGAGAGTGAGACCTTGTCTCACATACCATAAAAAAAAAAAAAAAAAAAAAAAAAAAAAAAAAAAGAGGAAAAAAAAGGCCATTTATTTCCTTCCATATGGACTAAAGAAACGCCCGGGCGTGAACGCGGAACACCGCCGGGTAGCCAGGCCTCCGGGCTGCCACCACTTGCGGGCCGGCGTGGCGGGGCGGGGCGGGGGCTGGAGCACGGCCCGGAGCGTGCCCACGCTGCCCCGCCTCCAGCCGCTGCGCCGCAACGCAGTGGGCTCGCGGCCGCGAGCAACAGGCCGTGCCGGGTGAGTGGGGCGCTCTCGTGGGCATCCCAGCGCCGGGGCAGGCCGGGTAGTGCCCGATCCCGCGGGGCGCGCGCTGCTGCTTTAGGCACCCGGGCTCGGGTGCGGGTCTGGGAGACCTGTCGGTCGGCGAGAAGCCTCGGTGGCCGGCGCTGTGGTTGCGGGACCTGGGACGCGCTCCCAGGCGTCCCACCTCCCCGGAGACTGGGGCAGGGTGGGTGGGGCCCGGATCTAGGGGTAGGGTCGCGGAAGCCTTGGTTACAGAGAGTCGCACACGTGGCCTGCTAATGGTCGCGACACCGGTGACGAGCGCACGGAAAGTTTGGAGGCTTAGCAAGGAGGGTGGTGCCGGCCTCCGCCCGGTGGTGGCAGAACTGCCTGTGCGAGCACGGCTTCCACGTGGGCTGCGCCGCCGGGCGTCATGTCGGGCCTAAGAGACACGCTCTACAGCTGTGAAATCTGAAGTTCAGGTGTGTGGGGAGAAGGGCAGCTGCATTACATCATATGCTTCCAATTCATTTACCAGCAAATAATTCCGCAACGATTGGCCGACAGCTGGGTTGTCCAACAGGTTACTGAGACCAGGTTATTCACTGTTTTCAGGAAGGATAGACTGGGAGGAAGAGGATCTGATTTCGCCACTCATTAGCTGTAAATCTGGTGCCTCGGGTTTCATGTCACTGGGCTCATCTTTGAGCAGAGGAACCTGATTTACTCAGCTTCTTCTGCTGGTACTGGTTTTTGCCTCCTGGACATCAAGCTTTGTAACCTCATGGTCACGAAAATACATTGAGGTATAGTCCGTTTCCTCTCTAAAATCAGACTAAAAAGATAACTGCTGATCACTCCTTTAGGTCAATAGGAGAACCAGTTTTCCCTCTGGATTGATTAACATATCTCTGAGCCAAAAAGAAATGTTTTAGATCAGTCTGGGCAACCTTGTTACAAGCAATATATAATTTCTGACAGCCGTGTGTTTAACTGAGCTGCGTTTGACTGTTGTCCTCCATTAGTGGACCTAAAATTCATCTAGAGAGCGTATTACGTTAATGCAGATTATGGGCCTCAGCCATCAGAAGTGGCAATCCAGTGGGCTTGATGAGGGCCCAGAAATTTGCATGCTAACAACCTTGCTGGTAACTCTGAACTACATTCTGTAAAACTGCCCAGGGGATGTAGAAATTCATACTTCCCTCCCCGATTTAGTAATAACTACTGATGTCTAAAGTGCCTTTTAGCTTTTACGATACTCTTGAATCCTGAAGTGACAGCTGCAATCAGAAAAATAATCCCCTCTGCACAGGCCATCTGTTTTTTCCGTAACTGTTTTGTGTAAGGCCTTTGTGGTTTGTCTCCAAAATTGTATACAGACAAAAGATGAAAATGTGAAAAATTCAGCAGACATTTCTTGAGGACCTCCTATGTACCACACCGTGCTTGTTTCCGGGGATATACAAATCCTTTCCTTCAAGAGCTTCCTCACGTCTTCATGTCCTCAAATATTATAGAAAAGGAGGTTAGGGTACCTTTAAAATATAGTGACTGTCTGTCTGTTGCCTATAGTATGGTTGTCAACATTGATTTTCTTATAGGGTTTATCTGTGGGGTAGTCACCAAAGTATGAACTGTAAATCTTTTAGTCTTTTTACATTTAATGCTTATAGTCAACTCAAATGGAAAACAATTGCTCTTCAAAAACTTTTCTGTGATTTTACAGAAATATTTACTCCTATTGGGGTGGTCTCTAAGGCTTATGGGCAAGGTTGTGTTGGCTGTACTATTCTAGACAAAGCATTGTCTTCTTTAATTACTATAGTATTGGATTCTAAGATATGTGTTTTACTTCTTGCTGTTTCCGAAATTATGATATGTACCTTAAGACTTTTGTATGTTTAATGTGGTAGGATGCTTCATCTATTCTCCCCTCTGCTCTAGAAAGCTGTTAAGAGGAATGGTTGTCTTACAGTATGAGTAGTGTGAGAATCAGAGAAATAATGTATTTGCCCAGAAACCTCTAAGCTTAGGCTCCAATTAACTGAGCCTCAAATCATTTCAACATGAACACAGAGAAACAAATGATGTAACTTTTGGCAGTATGGGTAGTGAAATTTATATTCTAAGGAAAGCATTTGTTATACAGTATTGGGGTTTGTTAGTGATTGTAGATGGGAAAGATTCTTTTAAGTGATTTTATTTTGGCTTAAGTGTTTTGCATTCTTTGATTAGCCACACTTTCTGGTGAATGTGCTTATACTGTATTCATATATTATGCTTAAAGAAAAGCTTTTCGTTTGCATCTTCCTCCTGCTCTCTCCCCTTAAATGAATTTTAAACTGACCAATTGTGAGAGATAAGAGATGTGTGGCTGAATATAAAATGACTCTATAGGGTGCCTTTAGTAATACAAACCTAATAAACCAATCTAAGTTTTTAAAAATTAAACGTGAGCAATGTGCTGTGGTCCCCAAGGCCATCTTTAGTTCAGCAATTTGCTAGGAGGACTCGGCTGATTTATTACAGGGAAAAGATATCAAGCACAGTCAGCAAAGGGAAGAGGCACATGGGTGAAGTTCTGGGGATACCAAGTGCAAGGCTCCAAGGGTCTTCGAGCGGTCACACTGGCTGTGCTCAGTTGCTCCAGCAACTAGTTGTGTCAACACTTGTGAAATGTTGCCAACCTGCGAAGCTTGTTAGAGACTCAGTGCCCAGGGCTTTTACTGGGGGCTTTTCACTTAGGCCACCCCTGCCTGGCACATACCAACGTTTCCAGACTCCCAGAGGAAAGCAGGTGTTGGTATAAACTGTAATGATTGTACATTTTAGGCATGGTGAGCCACTCCTATCAGTTAATGGTGGTGGAAACTCTCCCAAAATCTTAAGTTCTCAGACATCGGCCACAAGCTGCACTTTCAAAGGATAGCAGTCAGGCCTGCTATGGAACGTCTTCTGCATAAGCAGTACCCCTTCCCGAATCCATTTTTCTATCTCTTTGTATTTCTCCATCACTTGAGAGTTCCATGTACTAGCAATGCTGTGCCTTCCTGAAGCCTTAATTCTTTCCTGGAGAATTCAAGCTGGTCTGTTTCACTTAAAGGAAACATTTTCAGAAAATGTGTCTTACTGACCACATATCCTAAACACTAAAGTTTATTTTTTTTTTCTAAGCTTCAAGCTTTACCCCTCTCCTGTAGTATCAGTTTGTGTTAGTCTTCCACCATGTCCTGTGTTTCCTTATCAAAAGCACCTGGTCTTTTGAAGGAATGGAGCTGTTTAGAGGGTTTTATATTTTGACATTTCCTTTCTTAATTTGTTCAGTTTACATCTGGGTTTCAATCTAAAGTTTCTTTTATAAGTTGCAACACGTCACACAGTATGCAACACATCGTTCCAGGATGCTTACTTCCCAGGCCAGAACATTAATTCCACTTAGTCTACAGTGTAGCTGAAATACTGCTTAGTTATAATGACAAAAGAACAGAAAACAGTATTCTTGCAATTCTGATAACTCACCAAAGTAGGAAACTATACCATTTATAAATAACAAGTCTTTCAGAAATTTTGGTTTTTATAAGTACAGTGGTTCTTAACCTTGTCAGGAGATAGGGACTTCCTTAAGAATCTGTTGAAAGTGATGGAGTCCCTTCCCAGAGGGAAAGGACTTTAAGATAGAATTTTGCAGTCTCAGGAAATTTAAATAATTTGAATTACAGTTCTTGGAAACAGATGAGGGAAACCTACCCTCTAAGTATCAATAGTTGTGGTTTGGAGGCAGTTCTGAAGGAGCTTTGCAAGGCTTGGCTGTGTGGCTTCGACTACTCAGCAGTGTCAGCAGCAGAAGCATCACCTGGGAGCCTGTTAGAAATGCAGAACCTCAGGCTTCACCTTGGAGCTAGTGGATCATATCCTGCATTTTATTGAGATGCTAAGGTGATCTGTGTGCACATTAAAGTTGGAGAAGTGCTGTGTTAGGGGCTAATGATATTGGTATTATTTAAAATCTTCAGTTAAAAAGTTATAGTTTTTTCAAGGCTTTAGATATAACTACTTTTAGCCTTCACTTTTCAGCCTTTAGGGGCTTTATTTCTTTAAACGAAGGGGAGTTTCTGATAAAAGTGGCCGTTTTCAGGAATAAGCTCAGAGTTGGAAGTGAGCAGGTTCAGGTGGTTAGTGGAGACAGGAGAAGGCAGTGGCCTGCTCCAGCCACCAGGAGACACCGCGGGTCCAGGGCGCATTGATTGACCTGCGCAACAGTTGGGGTGGTGCTGCGGTGAGGAGCACCTGGCAGTGGGCGGCTGTTAGTTTTTCTCTAGTCAAATGTTTGTAACTCAGAGTACATCTAATTAGATGTGGGCCCTGATGCTGATGGGAGCCAAATCCAAGATATTTGACTTTGCTGTGTCAGTGGCCACAGGCTAAACCTGTGAGTAGGAACTGCTGAGACAGTTGAATAGGTTTATTTGGGATAATTATACTGCCTAATAAATAATACCATGACATAGTGCTTGTGTAAAAGAAAAACACGTTCTTCTTTAGATGAATATGTCATCTGAGTGGTGGTTGAGCTTGAATCATATCTTAGAAGAAATGGCATTGGCTTAAGGCTGTCTCCTATCCTGGGGGAAGTAGCTTTGACCTATGAAGAGTTCTCACGAAGGTGTAATGGTCATTCAGTTGTGTGTGCGCGCGATCCACTAACACCAATGCTGGCACTCCTTGTAAACCTAACCATGTGTGTTTTGTTCTTTTGGTAGGTTTGCATTTCCTTACTGCTTTGTCTTGAAGACAGAACGATGCCAAAGAAAGCAAAGCCTACAGGGAGTGGGAAGGAAGAGGGGCCGGCTCCCTGTAAGCAGATGAAGTTAGAAGCAGCTGGGGGGCCTTCAGCTTTAAACTTTGACAGTCCCAGTAGTCTCTTTGAAAGTTTAATCTCGCCCATCAAGACAGAGACTTTTTTCAAGGAATTCTGGGAGCAGAAGCCCCTTCTCATTCAGAGAGATGACCCTGCACTGGCCACATACTATGGGTCCCTGTTCAAGCTAACAGATCTGAAGAGTCTGTGCAGCCGGGGGATGTACTATGGAAGAGATGTGAATGTCTGCCGGTGTGTCAATGGGAAGAAGAAGGTTTTAAATAAAGATGGCAAAGCACACTTTCTTCAGCTGAGAAAAGATTTTGATCAGAAAAGGGCAACGATTCAGTTTCACCAACCTCAGAGATTTAAGGTAACCAGTTTCCCCATTGCAGAATCCTCATACATTTTAAAGTACTAACATTTGGCCACATATCAGCTCAAGGGTGAATACGTAGTTTGATGATGGTTAGTCTCTTGCCAGTTTGAGAAGGGGTAGCACCTCTTTGGTCTAAATGCATTCTAACTAGGATTAAGATTATGTGTTATGTTTGGTTGGACTGTTAGAAACTCCAGCAACTCAGGGTAGACATTGTTGGGTATCATTGAGCTGCAAAACTAATTATACTGCAAGTTTATAAAGTTGTTAAAGTGGCACTACAACTGCAGGAGTATGTTCTGTGAGCCAGTTTATGTTTTTCTATATGATAGACATTTCTATTTGGTTTGTCACATCACTGTAATTTAAGGCATGACAGCATCAAGGTGATCATTTTTTCCCGAAGTTGCTTCCCTTTACTGCCTGCATCTAAATGGAGGCTTCAGAGCCATGACCAGATCACATGCTAGATGCAAGTCCAATAAAGAGACTTCACCCTTAATAACACCCGAATGGGTGACATTGAGGTACCTGGAACTGCTCCTGGTAAGGCTTCATAGGTGGAGGAAATCTTTGCTTTGCAAATGCAGAGGATTGGCAAATTTTTAAATTTTTTTCTATATCAGGGATTGACATTTGGGAAATAATTTGCCTCCTCTATGCTTGGTTTCTACATTTATAAAATGCAGATTTAGTATGAACTAATTTGTTTTCCTCAAGGTTTGAGATCTGTATCTCATCTCATGACAGATGGCCCAGAATAGGTGAGGGGCTGTTCTGAATTTTAGATAAACTTTTATCCCCATTCAGAAACCCCCTTCTGTGACCCTTCATTAAATCAAAATGGCAACATAGGAGGAGAAAGAGAGGGGTTTGTGAGGTTCCATGTTGAGAGGAATGGATTCTGGCTTTATTGATGGCTTCTGGGGCTCTGTCGTCAGTTACCAATAGTGTTTCCAGTGATTTAACTTGAGGTGGCTTGTTATATCCCATTGGGCTTCATCTGGTGAATGCCCTTCCCTTTCTTTCTTGTCTAAAAGATCTTGAACCTATTCATACTCTGTATGAGGTATGAGTGCTCTTAGATTTTTCAAGATGAGTCCTGATTCCAGCTATTCCATCTCAAGCAATCATACAAAGTTGAAATGTCCCTGAAATGCTAACCTTGTGGCCTAGGCACTCAAAAAGAATTTACAAATCATTTGTCAGACCAAGTTATGATTTGAATTCAGAAAATATGGACACCGTCAATAAAATGCTTCTCGCTGAGCTAGTCCTTGACTAGAAGTAGCACTTTTAAGAGTGGTTTTTAGAAACCTGAGAACTCTAAACATAAATGAATTCAGTGAATTTGATTACGTGTACTTTGGTCATAGACCAGCAGAGAGATGATATTTGGCATATGTGTGGTATCCACTGTGGCTGTCATTTCTCTACTTTAGAATCATCCCCCGCAGGGCTTTTCTCTGCTCATCCACTTAAGTGCTGCACATTCCTCGTCTGGGATTCCAGTGTCCAAGAACCTGTTTCTTTTGCCTTGTTGACTAGGCTCTGGCTGAGTTTATTAAAGCAGGAAGGATGAGCTTTCTCAGCCCAAATTCAGCCCTCAGGCCAGACTAGGATGTGCCTTTTTTTTTTTTTTTTGAGACAGAGTCTTGCTCTGTTGCCCAGGCTGGAGTACAGTGGCACGATCTCGGCTCACTGCAACCTCTGCCTCCTGGGTTCAAGTGATCCTTCTGCCTCAGTCCCCCTAGTAGCTGGGATTACAGGCACATACCACCATGCCTGGCTAATTTTTGTGTTTTTAGTAGAGACAGGGTTTCGCCATGTTGGCCAGGCTGGTCTCGAACTTCTGCCCTCAGGTGATCCACCCGCCTCAGCTTCCCAAAGTGCTGGGATTACAGGCGTGAGCCACTGTGCTGGGCCTTTTTTTTTTTTTTTTTTTAATCTCTTTGTACCACCCGTGCTGGAGAGACCTATAAGCCATAGGAGCTCACCGTCTTACACTAGAGTCTGGATTCTAAGTGCTATATTATAAGGTGGTTTGGCATTGTGTGTGTTTCTTTAGTAATGGGCATATTAACGTCAGAACAGAGGAAGTCTAGAAGGAGTTTATCCCTGGCCAGGTTGAGAGACTGTTAGAGTGAACATGCAGCCCTTTGTTTATTGGGTCTCAGACTGTGCACAGCTTATTAGTATAGTTAGTTTAAAAACGAGTAAGGAGGTAACCAGGGAGCCATAATAAGTTGTTTGGACTTGCTTTCAGTAATCCATATATTAAAAGTCCTGGTGAGAGGAATTATCACAATTATTTGCATTTTGCTTAGCAGGCTAGAGTTTACCAAGTAATTTCATATATTTTAACTTTTGAGCTTTCTAACAGGCATTTGAAATAGGGCAGCTTTTGTTCCATTTTCTTTTTTTTCTTTCCTTCTTTTTTTTTTTTTTTTTTTTTTTTTAAGACAGAGTCTTGCCCTGTCACCCAGGCTGGAGTGCAGTGACGCAATCTCGGCTCACTACAACCTCCGCCTCCTGGGTTCAAGCAATTCTCCTGCCTTGGACCTCCTGAGTAGCTGGGATTACAGGTGCATGCCACTATGCCCGGCTAATTTTTGTATTTTTTTTTTTAGTAGAGATGGGGGTTTCACCATGTTGGCCAGGCTGGCCTTGAACTCCTGATCTTGTGATCCACCTGCCTCGGCCTCCCAAAATGCTGGGATTACAGGCATGAGCCACCGCACCCAGCCGTGGACTCCATTTTGTATGTGGAAAAACTGGAGTTCACAGATGTGACCTTTCCATAACTATTCCAAGCTGATAAGGGTTTCTGACTCCAAATTTAAGGCATTTTCCTACCATACTTTGAAAGATGTATTGAAATTTAGTAGGGCTTTTTATATGTTTGCTTTTGCCTTTCTTTAGGCATATACGTGGTCTTCTATTTTAGCCATGGCGTTGAGTTTTGATTCTGACGGGTAGGTCAGTGGAGAGAGGAGGTCACAGCCAGCCGGGAGAGAGACTTCCACCTTCTCCCTTTCACTGTTCTAGGTCCTCCTTGGGCTCGCTGGATATCGAATCCTGTGGTAAAGGAGAAGACAGGTTTCAGGAGCCTTGTTTGTGCTTGAGTCAATGTTAGTAAAGCAATATCGCTTGTATACTGCTTTGCAATTTAAATAGGATTTGTGATAAGTTGTTTTATGCTGTTCGCCACAGTGTTTGAGTGGGAGTGATAATATCTTTATCTTAAAGATAAACAACTGAAGTCACCTTGCTTGTAATTATAACTTGAACCGAGGTGGTTTGACTCCAGATCTCTTCTAGTAGGCCACGGTTGGCAGATTCAGAGGCTAAAGGTCCAGATGAAATAGAAAAATTGTGCCATTGATAGCATTTTCAGTAACCTTTAAGAAGAAAAGAGACATATTCATTAGTTACCCTGATAGTTGGGTCGGGAACCATAAAATCACCTATACAGTCCTGAAAGACCTCTCATACCATCAGAGAGAGAAAGAGAGAGAGAGAAGCCCTGGTTTTCTAGTGGTTCCAGTTACTATATAAAAATAATTACAGAACCAGGTCCTGCTGGCCTTTCCCTGAAATAGATTAGGCCCTTTTGGAGCTCTGTTAACTCTTTGGAGCTATTCAGATGACATTAAATTATTTTTTCTGTGTTAAGTAGAAACTCTGAGATCTATAGAGAAGCCCAGTGGTCTGTATAAAGAGGTCCTTGGCTAAATCCATGGCTCACATCTGTAATCCCAGCACTTTGGGAGGTCAGAGCAGGAGGATAGCTTGAATCCAAGAGTTTGACAACAGCCTGGGCAACAAAGTGAGACCACCATCTCTACAAAATAAGAGAAAAAAATTAGCCGGGCATGGTAGCATGCACCTGCAGTCCCAGCTACTTGGGAGGTTGAGATGGGAGGATCATTTAAGCCTGGGATGTCGAGGCTGCAGTGAACTGTGATTGTGATCACACCACTGCACTTCAGCCTGGGTGACAGAGCAAGACCATGTCTTAAAAAAGTCTTTTTTCATATTGACCCAGTTCTTCCCAGTTCTTTCTCACTTGATATTTTTAATACAGTGGATTCTTTTTCACTCCTGTGGTAGAAGGGACTCCCAAGCTGTGGCCATTGGTTTGCTCAGCAAGTATTTAAATATGTTGTCATGCAGTCTGTGTGCCAGGCACTGTACATTCATATGTTTAAAACTTCAGTCTCTTTAGTGCCCTTTGTGATTTGTCTTTTCTTAAATTCTCTGAAAGGTATGGACTTTGGAGCCATGCTGCCTGAATTTGAATCCTGGCTCCATCATTTACTAGTTGCATGGTCTCATGCCTCAGTTTCCTCATCTGTAAACTGAAGATAATGTTAGTACCCTCTTTATGAGGCAGGGTTATTGTGAGGGTTGCATAATTGATATTTGTAAAGCACTTGGAGACAGTGCCTGGCACATAGGAAGTGCTAATATCTACATGGCCTAATTGCCCCCCTCCTCTCTTCTCACCAGCCTTGGTAAAATCAGACTTCCTTCTCTCTCCTGGGAATATATGGCCCATCGCTAGGCCCCTAAGTCTGATGTCTGCTCTGAAGAGTTGATAGTGGAGAGAAGGAACATTACCCAGCCTGTTATTTCTTCTCTGTCTGTACCTTCTTCCCGTGTTATCATTTCTGTTCCCATTGCTTTAAATATCCATTTTGTGTAGGCAATTCCCAAGTGTAAATCTTCAGTCCTTAGTTTCTGCCAGAACTTCAGACCGACTTAAAGACATCTCCATGTGGGGGGGGGGGGGGGGGTCTTAGCATTCCAAACTTAACATTCCTAATATAAAACTCTTTTTTTTGTCCTGAAAACTTGTTTTTTAGTAAGTTTTTCCCATCTCGTTACGTGGAAAGGGGAACTGATTGCCCAAGTCAAAAACCCAAGAGTATTTTTTTTAACTCCGCTCCTTTACATTGAGTCTGTCGGCAAGTCCTGTCTGTGCTGCTTCTAGAGTGCATCCCACTCTTCTACCTCCCTCCTTGCCTTTCTTACCACCCCAGTCACTTCTCGCTTGAGCTGCTGCCTGAGAAGCTTCCTCACTAGTCTCTCTGACTTCCACTCTTTTCTACAGTGCATTCTTCACACAATAACCAGGGTGAGCTTTCAAAAATGTAAATTGGATTGTGTCCTTCCCTGCTTAAAAGCCTTCCGGACTCCCAATTGCCCACCTTGTCAGTCATCCCTTTATCTGTTCACGTCTGTTACATGGTGTTTCTGCACTGGAATGGAAGATTTTTGAGACCATGGGTATTGGCTGTATCATTGCATAATTCCCAGTATCTGGTGTATAATAGTTGTGCAGTAAAGACTTCCTAAGTGAACAAGAACATGCTCTTATTCTTATTTCTAATACATTTTTCACTCCCCCACGCCGACCCTTTCTTTTTTCCTTTTTTGTAAAGGATGAGCTTTGGAGGATCCAGGAGAAGCTGGAATGTTACTTTGGCTCCTTGGTTGGCTCGAATGTGTACATAACTCCCGCAGGATCTCAGGGCCTGCCGCCCCATTATGATGATGTCGAGGTAAGAGATGGAGAAAATTGCCCCATGTTGGGAAGAATGAGTTGTTGAGAGCCTGGTTTAGTAGAGTTGTCAGGGTGAGTTCACATTATTCTCTAAGGCTCTTAGGTCTGTATTCGCTCTTTCTGTGCAGTTTCTGAGATATTGATTTCATCAAAATGTTGGGCCAAAGTAAATCCCACTAAACTGGTTTCCTGCTCTGTCTCAAAGGAACAGCTTGTTTCCAACCTTACTAATTTAAAGAGCCACACATTCGTCTGAAACAAGTATTTATTGAATTTATCTACAGAAAGGTGTGCTTGGCTTTTCCTTTAATTTCACAAAGTATGGTCTTTAATAAGATGAGGTCACAAATAATCCTTCATGTGCTTTCATTTTGTTCTTTTTCAGTAGCTGCCAAAAATATGTATATATTTTCCATTTGTGAAAATCTTGGGGCAGCTTGAATGAGGGTCATGGTTTCACTTAAGCATTGGCATCTTGACAAGTGTTGATTTCACTCTGATATGGCTTCCAAAAAAATTTAACTCTTTGGCTTATGTATTCCATAGTTTTATTTTTGTCCTAATATAAGGTGTAAACACAGAGTTATTGGTAAAAAGTCCCCTTTTTCTCCTTTGATAGCAATTTGACATCAATACATTTTCACAAAATGTTATTTTTAATATTTTTAATAGAATATCTTTGACTGAATAAAGAATAAAAAACTCGAAGTTTTCCTATCTCCCCAGGCCCTTTCAACATTCAGGATTTAGACATTCAGTAATATCTGAAGCTTGGCTTTTCCATCAGAGATTATGGGCTTTTAGCTGTCTGATAGAAGATTTAAAGGAATGAGATAGTGGGATATAAAGAACTCAGCGAGGCTCTAAGAAAGTGAAAAGAATGAATATCCAGTGTCAGGATTCACGATTCCGTTTTTAAAAATAAAACCCAGTAGTGGCAACTTTTGTTTAACTGTGGAATGACATGCATTTCTCATCTTTCATTTTTATTTTTTATCGGAAACTTGACCCTTGTGCAGTGTGGGGGTTAGTGGTGCCAACACCTCATGCAGTCAAAAATCTGCTTGTAACTTTTGACTTCCCTAAAACTTAACTACTAGTAGCCTTCCATTGCCTAGATATCTTACTGATAGCATAAATTGGTTAACACTTATTTTGTATGTTATATGTGTTATATACTTTATTCTTCAGTAAAGGAACCTGGAGAAAAGTTATTAAAATTATAAGAAAGGGAAAAGTATTTTTAATATTGTGTTTATCAGTACCGTAAGTTTACATCATTTGTTTACAAGCTGAATCGTCCATCTGAAATGGTGGGTAGCCACAGCTGCAGGCCTTAATCTACAATACACATCAAGCAATTCAACTTTTTCTTGTAACGTTACGACTTTTTTCTGTTTCTCGGGAGTACTTGCAGTAGCAGTAGTGGCACATCATATGGGTCCCATGGTGTTATTCACGGCTTAAGTTGTTGCACTAAACATGATGAAAAATACACAAGAACTGTTGAGAGATCATTTTTTACTGTGATACACAATTCACTGGAGAGAGGAACTGCTCATGTGGAGATAATTAGCATCACACTTGAGCTCGTGGCAATAGCAACAGGAGGTAGCACAAAATTATTACAGTAGTACAATATGTACTAAAGTTAATTTTATTCAGCTATTCCATATTGCATCTTTAAGTTTGTTTACATTTCTTGACTGCAAATGGTGGTCTAGAAGTATTTGTATAGGTAAGTTTTGATAAATTTTAACCTTCTGTAATAGATTTGTGAATATTTTATGGTAGTAGATGATAGACTAGTATCTACATATGTTTTTATATTTGATGCATTTATGACATTCTTAATTCTTTTGATATTTTTCATGTTTTTCAAATTGTTGCAAATCTCCTCCAAATTTTCCAATATAATTTATTGAAAAAAATCAGCATATAAGCGGACCTGCACGGTTCATCCCCATGCTGTTAGGCCAGGCGTGGTGGCTCACGCCTGTAATCACTTTTGGAGGCCCAGGTGAGAGGAGTGCTTAAAGCCAGGAGTTCAAGACCATTCTGGGCAACAAAGTGACACCCCATCTCTACAAAGAAGATAAATTAGCTGGGAGCTGTGGTGCATGCCAGCTTCCCAACTACACAGGAAGCTAGGGCAAGAGGATCATTGGAGCCCAGGAGTTTGAGAGGCTGCAGTGAGCTGTAATTGTGACACTGCACTCCAGCCTGGCCAGGAGAATGAGACTGTCTATAACAACTAAAAAAAAAAAAAAAAAAAAAAAACCTGTGTTGTTCAAGGTTCACCTATATATTTGTCTATTAGCCCCTTAGAGGGCTAATAGTCCGGAAGCACTTTGTGTGTGAGTTGTCAGGAAGCTCTCTGATGCTCCTGGGCCTTGTGGGTCTCTAGGTTTTCATCCTGCAGCTGGAGGGAGAGAAACACTGGCGCCTCTACCACCCCACTGTGCCCCTGGCACGAGAGTACAGCGTGGAGGCCGAGGAAAGGATCGGCAGGCCGGTGCATGAGTTTATGCTGAAGGTATGTGATAACCGTTGTGGGCACCTCATTGTTAGAGCCATTGTGGTTTCCCCTATTGCTAAGACAAGTTCAGGCTCAAGGTTTAGAGTTCGTGTGATGGTCCCCGTGGGAATATATCCCTGGGTTTCAGGGCAGGGTGCTTCTCATTGCTGTCAGCCAGCACATGTAATTTCTGAAGGAGTCTTGGTGGTTTGCACTTGGAGAAGTGGGTTAAGGAAGTATTAAGTTCATTTCCCAAATAACCTGTTTTCATGTACAGTTCAAGTCCAACAGGAAGAAAGAGAATTCAGTGAACCACTGACTCCTCTAGAGGAAAAATGGAAGCTCTGGCCTTGGGCAGCTTCTCCACATCCAAGACGATGGTCAGCACAGGGCTGGAAGTTGCTTAGGCAGAACATAGCCAGGGATCCCTTAGTTTTTTTTGTTGTTGTTGCTAAAATTCCAGTGTGACTCATTTTCATCCTGGTTATATGTCAGGCTATCTCTGTGCCCCCTGCATAGTTACCAGAACAGTAGTAATCAGGAAAGTTCTTGAGGATTCCTTCTCTGGGGATTCAGGTGGCTTAATCATGTGCAGGTTCCTTGGCATCTTGCTGCTGAGAAAATCTGTCTTTGAGCAGTTAACATCGATGGGAACATAGCCAATCCCCAGCAGAAGAGGTTGTTGAGGAAAAGAACGTTACATGGATAGGAGTAGTTCCATAATTCAACTTTATACTCTTTCTTAAAACATGTAACTTAATTTCCTTTAGCAATAAAACAATAGTTATTTTAAACCATTCCAAAGATTCTACCAACCTGACACATTTGCATATACTTATTGTTTTTCTTGTGTCTCGAAGTTATAATTAGCCTGTTTCTTACTCAATGCCTTGTGTGTTTCTTGATTTCAAAATCCTTACCTACCTCCCAGTAACTAAGGGAAACAATCTTGCTGTTTAGGATGGGTGCCTATATTACAGGAGACTTAAATCAATAAACAACAGTAAAGGTAACCTTACTGGTTTTTTTTATGCTTTTAGTCAGTGGTCATCAAACTGTGGCCCATGGACCAGAAAATCTGGCCTGCTGCCTGTTTTTGTAAGTAGTTTATTGGAACACAGCCACACCCATTCCTTAATGTCCTGTGTTCATACTACACCAGCAGAGCGGACTAGTTGCCACAGAGATCACATGGCCCGCAAACCAAAAATACGTACTGTCTTTCCATTTGGCTCTTCACAGAGGTTGCCAGCTTTGTTGCATCATGTTTACATAGATTCACGGTTGGTTATCTTTAAAGACTAAGCCATCTGTACTCTCGGAAGTCAGGGCTGAGTTACTCAGGCCGGTGACCTGGCTACTTGCTCTGCCCGAGAAGGTCAGGCTTCATAGTGGCCTTTAAGTGTAAAGGGTGTGGATTCTTTGTATTGTTGCCATGCCCATGCCCATTAAACAGTCAACACAGAGTCCATTAGGAGATGCACTGAGTCTCCTGGACAGAGAAAGACCATGTTGTACAGTATTGTTCAAGTGTGTATGTGTATGTGCATGTCATTTTTTTTTTTTTTTTTTTAAGACAGAGTCTCACCCTGTCACCCAGGCTGGAGTGCAATGGCGTGATTTCAGCTAGCTGAAACCTCCGCCTCCCGGGTTCAAGCAATTCTCCTGCCTCAGCCTCCCGAGTAGCTGGGATTACAGCTGCCTACCACCATGCCCGGCTAATTTTTTGTATCTTTAGTAGAGACGGTTTCACCATGTTGGCCAGGCTGGTCTCAAACTCCTGACCTCGTGATCCACCTGCCTCGGCCTCCCAAAGTGCTGGGATTACAGGCGTGAGCCACTGCGCCTGGCCCACATTTGAGCTTTTAACCAGTGGGCCTCTTCAGGCGAAACCTTGTGTCAATGCCCAATGATGAAATAGAAAGGCTTAGTGGCTGTGGTTGAGGGATGGGCATGGGAGGGTGACAGTGGGGGTCTTGGAGCCCTTATCCGCTTCTTTCCCCTATGCTAGTGGCAGCCCGTGCAGTTCATCTGCAGACCCAGACTCCCAGGATGAGATCACGCCTGTGATGGAAACACCACTCTGTGGCTCAGGGATCTGACAGATCTGAGTTTGAATTCAGCTGCTGTCACTTATTAGCTGTATGTCCTTGGTCAAGTTATTAATCCAAGTCTCAGTTTCCTCTTTATTAAAACAGAGATCATGATATTTACCTTGCAGGCTATGAGGATTGAAAAATATTATTTTGCTGCCTCCTTTACAATAAATCTTTAGGCGGGGTGCGGTGGCTCACGCCTGTAATCCCAGCACTTTGGGAGGCCGAGGCAGGTGGATCACCTGAGGTCAGGAGTTCGAGACCAGCCTGACCAACATGTAGAAACCCCATCTCTACTGAAAATACAAAATTAGCTGGGCGTGGTGGCTCATGCCTGTAATCCCAGCTACTCAGGAGGCTGAGGCAGGAGAATCACTTGAACCCAGGAGATGGAGGTTGCAGTGACCGAGATCACGCCATTGCATTCCAGCCTGGGCAACAAGAACGAAACTCCGTCTCAAAAAAAAAAAAAAATCTTTAGAGGCAATATCTGTATGTCTGTCTGAGTTTTTCTGTTGCTTCTTGTCAAATTACCACAAACTCAATGGTTTAAAACAACATAAATTCATTATTTTATGCTTCTGAAGGTCAGGAGACTAAAAGGGATCTCTCTAGGGTTGCTGTACTGCATTCCTTCAGGAGGCTGTAGGGGAGAATGTTTACTTACGTTTTCCAGCCAGGAGGGTGGGGCAAATGTGTATGAAATGAATGAAATATAGTCATGTGCCAGTTGACATTTTAGTCAACAACAGACTGTATATGTGACAGTTGTCCCATAAGGTTATAATGAAGCTGAAAAATTCCTATCACCTAGTGTTATTGTAGCCATTGTAAAATGTTGTAGTGCTACGCATTACTCACGTGTTTGTGGTGATGCTGGTCTAAACAACCCTACTTCTTTGCTAGTCATATAAAAGTGTACAGTAGGGCCCTAGGCTCTCCCATTCACTTACCATCACTGACGGGCTCACCCAGAGTAACTTCCAGTCCTATGTAGATGTACCATTTATTATTGTTTATACTGTGTTTTTTCTTGTCCACGTTTAGATATATTTAAGTACACAAACACCATTGTGTTACAGTTTTCTACAGTATTCAGTACAGTCACATGCTGTATAGGTTTGGAGCCTAGGAGCAGTAGGCTGTACCATGTAATGTAGGTAGTACACTATACTACCTAGATTTGTAAGTACACTGATGTTTGCGCAGTGACATACCACTTTTCTCAGAACATAACCCCATTGTTAAGTGGCATGTGACTGTATACCTGAGAGTCTCACTCAGGCTGGCACAGAGACACTCAGTAAATGATAGTTATAATTATCAGTAAAGCATTTACTTGAAGTACTGTCAGTTTGTTGTCATTCAGGGAAAATTTGCAACTAAGATAGCTCTTATGAATATATATCATGATATATTCCTCTTGCTTTGAGGAGAATCTTAATTTTTTTTTTTAAGCTGGCATTTCTTGAGCTCTTTCTCCAGGGCTCATGGTCTTAACCATTGCACTAGACTACCTCTTGTAGTTGCAGAGAGAAGATGAGCTGCCCTCAAGATTCCCTCTTTTCTCCATAGGTAGCTGCTACATGGAATATTTTGGCCTGAGTGGGATTGGGAAGGAGGCAGCTCAGGGCAGGAGTAATTTGGGGAGAATGTTTTGGTCCACCCACTTGGAATAGGGTAGAGGAGGCTCAGCTGCCCAAGAAAATGATGAATTTTTGATTACATCTTATTTTTCAGTTGAAATAGGGATTGTATAGTTTTTCAATTCATCCCAACATTCATTGAGCCTGTGTTGAGTGCTAGGTGCTTTGCTAGGGTAGGCTCTGGGAAAGACAAGATGGTAAGATACAGACCCTGCGCCTAGAAGTACTCAAAAATTATCAGGAAGTGGGGGACTGGCGGATAAAATCATATAATCCAATCACATGCCCATCATTGCCCTAAGAGCTTGGAAGCAGCATCTCTAATCCTCAAAATAATCCTGTAAGGTTTGGGGCTATTAAACTTCATTTTACAGATAAAGAAACTGAGGCTTTGGGCAGGTAAATTGCCAGATCATCAGCCAGTAAGTGGCTGTGTCTGTGTGACTCTAAATTCAAGCTCCTACTCTTAACCACTGAAGCATGCAAGAGGGAGGAAGCAGGCGTCCCAGGCACAGGATGTTACCTTCCTTGATCCCTGCATCAGGGCAGGGTAGTCTCAGGTGAGTCTAGTCTCAGCTTGAGAATGAAAAGATAGTGACTTCAGGCACCGAGAGCCTCTCGTGGATCATGGTTAACAGTGACAGGCTCACGGACACAGAGAAGCTAGACTAGCTGCACACGACATGAGCCCAGCATATAGACTGTGCCTTGAGGTTGTGGTTTCTAGAATGGAGAACTGAGACTCAAAGCCCATATTTATCTCCCTGAAATGAAGAGGACTGAGAAGGAATACTTATTAACTTCTCTACCCTTTCCTATTCCTTCCTTTAGCCGGGTGATTTGTTGTACTTTCCCAGAGGAACCATTCATCAAGCGGACACTCCTGCGGGGCTGGCCCACTCTACTCACGTGACCATCAGCACCTACCAGAACAAGTAAACACTGCCTCCCAGCTGCACATGCTAGGACAGCTCTGAGTCCTGGCCTGCAGCAGCCACATTCAGGAGGGATATGAGGGAGTTGGCCCCTACCTCCTATGCAAACCCCAGGGTTTATGTCCTTTACTGACTTCCACATTCCTTTGATGTCCCATGTATGTGACTGGTCCCTCTGGACTTGCTTCTGGGGACATCATGAACCTGACTCTGTAGGATGTGGGGCATTGCCCAAATAGAGAGTCACATAGTTTGGAAAGAAAGAGACTAGCTGTGGGTACATCAGTGTGTTAGTGATGCCAGGCTGGGCTCATACTCTCTCTCTTTTTTTTTAATATGATAAAATATATAGAACATAAAATATACCATTTTAAACCATTTTAAAGCATAGTTTGACATTAATTACATTCACACTCTTGTGCAGCCATCACCACTATTCGTTTCTAAAACATGTTTATTCCAACAGAAACTCTGTACCCATTGAAATCTCTTGGTCTCTTTGAGGGTTTCTCTTTTTACAGTCCATGAAGTTAAAGTAGGACAGGCAGTCTGGAACAGCAGGAACTAAAGTGCATGTGCTGACAGCAGTTCCAATTAAAATCATGTTCATTTCAGCTAGTACCTCCTCACTGGGTGGCAGTGCTGTGTGAGTTATATCCAAAAAGCAGCAACCTTGCTGGTCCAAATCATATTTAAAAATACTAATCATGGCCAGGCGTGGTGGCTCACTCCTGTAATCCCAGCACTTTGGGAGGCTGAGGCGGGTGGATCGCTTGAGGTCAGAAGTTTGAGACCAGCCTGGCCAACATGGTGAAACCCCATCTCTACTAAAAAAAATACAAATATTAGCCAGGTGTGGTGGTGTGCACCTGTAATCCCAGCTACTCTGGAGGTTGAGGCAGGAGAATCACTTGAACACAGGAGGTGGAGGTTGCAGTGATCCAAATCACGCCACTGCACTCCAGCCTGGGCGACAGAGCGAGACCCTGTCTCAGGAAAAAAAAAAAAATACTAGTCATGAGTTAATGTGTTAAACAAATATGTACTAGACATTGTGTTTGTTGCTGGGAATTCAAGGATTTTATCGAAGGGGTTTTGAGAGAGCTTATACTTTGGAATTGGTTGTAGGAGAAGAGATGGTGTGATAAATTCTATTGTAGGTTTGCAGAGGAGACTCTTGGAGCATAGAGGAATGCATTTAGCTAAGTAGGGGCATTAGAGAAGCCTTCAGAAATGACACCAATGCTGAGTGAGTCTTAAAGGATGAGTAAGTAGGGGTGGGTCAGCAGATCAGAGTAGGAGAGGACATTCTAGGTCCAAGGGACGGCAAGTCACCTCCTACCTTCAGGGCCAGAACTTGCAAAACAAGTTAGTAAGCATACCTCTGCTTCCTCATCAGACTTTTCAGTGTGAATTTCACCTCTACATTTAAAAGACTTACTGGAGGAATTAGCTGAGGCCTGGCCCTAGTTTAGTGCTATCTTTCCCACAAGTAGAAGGCCCAAGTTTGTATTAGGCTTCCATTTTGAAAAATGCCCTCATCACTTTGGCTAGGTAGGTTCCTTGCATTTTAAGGGACAGAAAGTCACCAAAGCCAGCTCAAGAAGTGCAGGGTCACTTGAGGGAGTGAGTCCTAGAAACTCCAGGCTACAGAGAGGCTGGAATTAGAAGTCCATTCTGGATTCAGAGCAGTTCTGGACCACATAGTTTGGCCCTTTGAATATCCGTGCATCTGTGGGTGTCCCATCGTTAATGTTTCTCAGGTACTCCCTTTCTGTAATTCTCTTTTCCATTTCTCTTGCTGCTACCAACTGGTTTTCTAGTGACTGGTGTTTTCTCCCTTCTGTTCCTTCTTCAGCTTCTGTTTACTCATAACATTAGGCCATCACCAGTTGCTACTCTGACCTCCATCTCATTGACCCTGTTAGCTTTTGCTTCTGCTAAGGACCTGACTCACTCTCTGTTTCCCAATCCCAAGAGTGAGGAACTGGCCGGCTGCCCCTGGGTCCTATTCATTTCTTCTCTTTTCAGCTGGGGCTGGGAAGAGCTTCCTAAGTTACAGAAGTTGCCTGCTTAGGATTGTGGGTGGGTACCATGATCAATGTGTCCAGGCTGGATTTTGACCTGTGTCTTGGACAGTGATGCTGGAGCTAGAATGAGAAGATGTGACTTGAGGGCCATTGCTCCCCAGAAATGATCCTGTGTTTTGAGCCTAATGCTCCTTCAGGTACCATGTAAAGGTGAATATTTGGGGCCTCTTCCTAACACCTGTCAAGGTAGCATTGTTGGAGTGTTTGGGGGTCTGCTGTATGTTGTTGATTTGGTTGTTTTACCAAAGTGGACCCTTCAAGAGATATTCCTAAATTGTGGGAAGTCCCAATATCTATTCTGACTCTTAGAGGAGCACTATTTAACTTCTACTAAATTCCTCCATGAGCTGTTGCTGTATGACTTCCACCTACATAAACCTGCAAAGGAAGCACATATTGTATGGTGCTGAGAGATCTGCATGTGCCCTCCGGGTTGAGACTCAATTAAAGATGCAGGGTTGGATATAACATTAAGTCACAAAGCAGTGAGGCCGCCAGGTAGTAGATGTCTTGGGAAAAGTGTCTCTCATGTGGCTTTTGTCCTCCTTTGCAACTTTTCTGGGAGGGAAGCATAACAGTGTTAATTTTGCTTACTGAGTGAGAAGTAAAAGTCATACTGTGAATTTCCATTTTCTACTAGCCGGCAATTTGAAATCTGCTGGTGACACAGGAAAATTTTAAATAGCTAAGAAATGTTTAAAGAGAGCATCCCCACAGAGTGCATTTCTTACACCGGCACGCACTTAGGAATGAGCCAATTCCAGATACCCCAGAGAAAGCAAAGGTAATTGAATAGGGATATTTGTCCCTAGATGTTATTTTTAGTCACTGGCTTCTATCCCCCGGTAAAACCACTGCTAGACATAATTGTTTTGGAATTATTGATGGTAGATATTTTCTTTAGGAGTAGCATCCCTTGTAAGTGACAAGGAAAATGTAACATACAACTGTTCAAATAATTACACAATCCAGATATCTTGCTGTTACCCCAAATTTGTTGTATTTATTGCACATAAAATTTGGTTTTAGATCCTATAATGACTGTTTAAATTTCCTACAAATCTCCCCTCATAGACACTTTTGTTAAAAATTTGGTCCATTGAACTTCCTGTTTTATGAAAGTCTATGGTTAATTTTCTGAGAGCTTTTAAGAGAAATCAGTATTGAAGCCTAGCTTCCCACTTTTAACTTTGCAAGTGAGTGTCTGGAACGGGGAGGGAGGAAACAGGGTGGTTGATGAAGGTCTTAGATTTCCATGCTGAGTAATGTCCAATTAATGGAACTCAAAATGCCTGGACAGGGAAGCCATAATCCAATTTGTAGCTTTTGGCTTTACTAGCAATAAGTATTTTATGTATATTTCGTATGCACTCACTGTTTTGGTTTTTTTTTCCCCCTTGGTGCATATCCTAGTTCATGGGGAGATTTCCTTTTGGATACCATCTCGGGGCTTGTATTTGATACTGCAAAGGAAGACGTGGAGTTACGGACCGGCATACCCCGGCAGCTGCTCCTGGTAAGGAGTAAAGGCAGGTAGGAATGAAGGATGGTAGCTGCAGCCCAGGCCAGCTGAAGTCCTACCTTAAGGACCCCAGGATACTTCTTCCAACATGAGCCAGGCTTGTCTACTGTGCTGCACTGCTGAGCTGTGTGACTTGCAGAATGAGTGGAGTGCCATGTGTTATGTGGTGATCCAAAGAACTGTGATGTTGTACAGACAGCTCTGTATTTCACAGTGGCAGTAGCAGGCAGTGTGAAAATGTTGGTTGAGTAAATGAATAGTACGGCCAGGAGAACTGTAGATTTAGCACACATCAGATTACTAGTTAAGAGAAACTCACTGTACTGGAGATCCTGGCCTCGGTGTATTCGTTGGCCTCCTGTTCTTTTATTACATTTTGAAACAGGAGTGTTATTTGATTAGTTTTGAGATGAGTGGATTAGAGCTGAGTTGAGCAAAGGTTGCTTTCTCTGAAGCATTCATCTTAGGACAGTGACCTGCTTTCCAAAAGGCAGAGCTCAGACTGTACCATATTTCCAAGGATCTCTATTTCTAGGCAAAATTCTGAAAATTTTTTGCAAACAATAGGCAGCTTAGAATTAACAGTGTTTATAAGGAAATGATGAGATATCATTCTTAGGGGCTCAGGTTGTCCCTTCCCCTTTGGAATGACATGGATTAATGTCTATACCCGGTGGCTGGCAGTTTTGCAGTCTACTGTGGAGACTGAGCTGGGCAGTAAGTTCTGCTGGCATCTGGGCCAGGACTCACTTCTGTGTTCCTAGCAGGTGGAATCCACAACTGTTGCTACAAGACGATTAAGTGGCTTCCTGAGGACACTTGCAGACCGGCTGGAGGGCACCAAAGAACTGCTTTCCTCAGACATGAAGAAGGATTTTATTATGCACAGACTCCCCCCTTACTCTGCGGGAGATGGGGCAGAGCTGTCAACACCAGGTGGAGCTTGCTGTTTTCTTCTGGGTGGTCAGAGGCTAATGCAGGATGTTTACGGTTTTTCTGGGTAGGCTCCTTTTTGAACAGATGGAAAGTATGAAGTGCTTTCGTGTTAATGTGGACCACATCCATCCTTAGTGAATATGGGCAGACGAGATGTGCTGCACTCAACCTTTAGCAACCTGTATCTTAGAAGTCATTTGGAAAGAACTTGTATCCCACCCTGATGGGAAATAAGAGCCCTGTCCTTTTGGGTGAGAAATATGTATATTTATAGGTACTCTGGTATTCATAGTCTTCAGGAAGTTTTCAAAATTTGAACATTGAAATAATCTTGTTGGAATTAAGTCAGGGTTGGGTTGTCTTTATTTGTGTTGCTTAAAGGAATACCTGAGGCTGGGTAATTTATATAGAAAAGAAGTTTATTTGGCTCATGGTCTGCAGGCTGTACAAGAAGCATGGTGCTGGTATCTGCATTTGGAGAAAACCTCAGGCTACTCACAGTGGAAGGGGAAAGGGAGCTGGCATTTGCAGAACACATGGTGAGAGAGGAAGCAAGAGCGAGGAGAAGTGCCAGGCTCTTTTTAACACCAGCTGTCATGGGAACTAATGGAACAAGAAGTCACTCACCGCCCCCAACCCCAGGGAATTATCTATTCATGAGGGATCTGCTCCCCACAATGTGACCCAAACACCTCCCCTTAGGCTGCACCTCCACACTGGGGATCAAATTTGAACATGAGATTTGGATGGGACAAACATCCAAATCATAGCATGGGTAAAATTGTTACCATCAGCCAGTGAGATTCAAGAAATGTCCAAGATTATCATCAACCTTCTCCAAGGCACAGGTGCCTAATTTATGACAGATTTAGGCTGCAAATGATATAACATACTTTTGGATGGATGATGTCATTGATGACTTCCAGATGGATGATGTCAGTATCCTATAGCAAAGACCACCAAGAACATACTCCTGAATTCAGACGAAATTGGATTTATTGACTTGTTGCAGTGGGAAGACCACACACCATTGAGAACTGCAGGGCATCTCAGTAAAACGGTGTTAGAAAAGACTTATAGGACTCAGGTGTATGTTAGGTGATTTTGGAGAGGGTTCAAGGAAGCAGGGCTTTGCTCTGGATTGGATGCTGTCAGGAAATGGAAGGGATTCTATGATTAAGTCTCCTAAATGTTATCTGGTAGGCAGGAGGAATGTATGAGGCTGAAGTTATCAATGGTAAAGCGGAAGTGGTCACTCATTAGCCAGAGTAGGGGGATGTTCGGTCAGTGTTGTGGTTTGGAATATGTTCTTGCCTTGCCTGAGTCCAGACATGAGTATGTACGGAGTGGTGGTGTTTTGTTTTGACCTATCATGGTGACAGTGATCTCTGATGTTAGCATTCTGTGGAATTGCCTGTGTTCAACAGGAGAACACAAAGACCTAGCTGTGAGTGCCAGGCCAGCTTTTTGGCTGCTGTTCTTTCTCAGGGTTGAGTGAAAAGAGTATTTTTTACTAACTTTAATAAAACTCTTAATTATGACCAAGAGAGAACCACTGAGATAGATAATCTATAAGGTCCCTTCCAACACTGATTCTATATACATTTTTATCATAGTCTTTGGAGGAAGCTTAGAATTTGTTTTTGATTGTATCTATTCAAAATAGCAAATGTTTTACAAGCACATGGTTTAATCTTTAGCAGAACAGTTTGCTTATGCACCAGCTTATGGCCCAGACTACTTCAGTGTTTTCCTTATCTTAGGCATTATACTCAATAAAGTGATGATCCCTCACGACTCCTTCCCCACGCAGATGACCCTGTAAGGCTAGTCTGTTTTTATTGGGTATTGTTCCACTAAGTTAAATCCAATTTGGAAAAAAAAAATTTTCTGTGGACTTTATTAGATGGCTTTTATAGGATACTATTCTTGACTTACATAGACTGAATAATTGACCAGGGTCACACACCTAATAATTGGTGGAGTAGTGCAATTTTGAACTCAGGTAGTACTTCCAGAGTCCATATGTTGAGCGAGAAGCTTGTAGAGGACAGAACCTGGAGGAGTGAGTGTTCTGTGCAGAAAGCACCACAGCCTTATGTGCTATGATAGCCACTGTACTTCGATGGTATTATTTTTGTCTATTTATTGTACTTATAAACTTACATTATTTATCTATGTCTGTCTTCACTGTAAGAATGAGCTGCATAATGATGTGAACTATAATATCAGTACAATGTTGGGGTAAGCAAATTCTTCAGTTGGAGTGTATGCCATGTTTGGATTCACCTGTAAATTGTTAGTAAATGTGTTTCCTATGTGTATGTATAAGCAAGTTTGAATCTGCCTGTTTCCTTTTTTGAAGGTCGGCTTTCTCTCTTTGGGGTTTTCTAGGTGGAAAGTTACCGAGGCTGGACAGTGTAGTGAGACTGCAGTTTAAAGACCACATTGTCCTCACAGTACTGCCGGATCAAGATCAATCTGTGAGTATCCAAGAGGAGGAGATTTCCTGTCTTCTCAGGGTGTTTTTCATCAGAGGCCTCAGGTTATTAGATTAACCACTGGTCTCTGCCCTTCTTTAGGAATCCACCTGCATTCAGTTTAATGCCATTTCTTCAGGTCAGATGATGACCAAATCTCACAGTTCCAATTCCATATTTTCTTGCCCTCATCCTCACAGAACCTTCCTTCATCCCCTTTATGTGGTGATTAATGTCTGGTCTTTGCTTCTCATCCTACTTCGGGCCTTACTGTTCTTGCTTGGACAGCCACAGACCTCATTCCTGAGTTTCTCAGCCCCAGTCCTCCACACTGTGCAGATCTATATTTCTATGTGGTTTTGTGGATATTGTTGCATCTCCTTAAACTCTATCCTGTAGATTATGGAGAACAAAGTATATATTCTGTAATTTTGCTTCCTAGCCCAGTGATTCCCCAAACTGGCTAACTGATCATGGAGTCAATTGGAAAGCTTTTTAAAATTATAAATTCCTGGGTTTCATCTGGTCTTGGAGCCTTTGGATTTATGTTTTGATAGAGCTCCCTGTACAGTCCTAAAGACCTTGGAACGATCTCATACCATATGGCTCCACCTCATTCCTCCTAATCAGCTCTCTAAGGAGCTATCCCATGAATGATCAAGGGGGATGAGAGGGGCACTCAACATGTCTCGATAACCAGATTGTTCCAGCCGTCAGGGCCAGAGTTGGAATATATATATGAATATACATGAATAGATATATATATATATATATATACATCCTCAAAAGTACACATTCCTACATCCCTGTCTAAAAAAAAAATAGTGATTCTGATAACCAGTCAGTTTGAGACATTGTACGCTAGGCTAAGATTTTTTTGCCCTTATCTAAGAGGTGACAAAGAATGACTAAAGGCTCTGGAAGAGACAATAAACTGCACTGTGTAACATGGGGAGTGAAGGGAGATAGGGACCATTTGGGAGGGTAGTGTAATTGAAATGGAGTTTTTTATCGATCACACAGCTGGTATTTCTCAGGAGTTAATGACTTCATGATTATAAATTGTCAGTTTATACCTAGAAATGTCAGATTTTTTTATTCAAAAAAGATAGTGCAGGTATGATTAAAAAAACTGAGGATTTCATTGATAAGTTGATACATAAATCACTGCTTTTTCATTAAATCCTGAAGATGCTCTTCCAGGTAGCACTCCAGCTGTTTTAACAACTTAGAATGCCCATTAATTGCCACATACAAATAGTAACCTGTGGTGACTAATGAAGTATAGACATTGTGTGGATGCACACACCCGTCACTTTTTGCCAAAAGGATTCTTTACAGTATTCAATAAATTTCACTTGAGCACCAAGGCTTTTGAAATTTTTTTTGGTGTTGACCTATTGGAAAACCTTCCTAGTACTGACACCTTCAGTGTTGTGTTGTTGATGGCCTAATGCATTTATTTTTTCCCCAAAGGATGAAGCTCAAGAAAAGATGGTGTACATCTATCATTCCTTAAAGAATAGTAGAGAGACACACATGATGGGAAATGAGGAGGAAACAGAGGTTTGTTTCAACTGAAAACAAATGCCTATCCTGTGACTTGGGTGGTGGTTGGGAAGAATTGATTATTTTTGATTTACAGGTAATATGCTTTTTATGGCTGCACTGTGGACTTAACCATTTTGCACTACTCACAGAGCTCCTGCATGGGGATGATTAAGTCAGACATTTCTGTGATACATGCACACCAGTTTTAAGACATACTAGCTGGGACCTGTAGCCTTATAGGAATGGTATAATGTAAAACATTTCAAATTACTAATATCACTTACTACATAAATTAGGATGCCTTTTATATAGAAGTTGGCATCTTTTATGTTATCTAATTGTAGTGTGTCTAAAATACTCATGAGGGGTATCAAAAATAATGATGTATGGAGAATAAATTTACAGGAAAATGCTACTTCAATGACATAAGTAGTATACATATATTTTGACAAATAAATTTATCCTTTCAGTTTCATGGACTTCGCTTCCCTTTGTCACATTTGGATGCACTGAAGCAAATTTGGAATAGTCCAGCTATTTCTGTCAAGGACCTGAAACTTACTACAGATGAGGAAAAGGAAAGCCTGGTATTATCCCTCTGGACAGAATGTTTAATTCAAGTAGTCTAGTGCCTTTGCAGAATCAAATGCCTACTATTTTATATGCATATATTAAAAGAAAAGCAAAGACCTGAGCCGAGGAGAGGATGAATTCAAGTTTCCTTACCTGCGTATCTACTAACAAACATGAGACCTCCCTGTTACAGGTGGTCAGTTGGCCAAATGTACTAACGGGCACATGAAAGAAAGAACAGCAAATTACCAAGTGTCTCAGAAAATGACAAAACCATATTTTGACAAGTTTATTTAATCCAGTGTGGTAGAAAAGGCACAATTCCAATGTATCATTTAGAATTGAATGTCATTAACCTGGCTTTGTTCTTTGGAAGAAACAACTTCTTTAAAGAGCTTCTTTGGCTCTAGAAAAATTTCAAACAATTAAAATAAGAAAAAATTTTAAACTGGTTTTTTATAATGAAAATATACATACCTTTGTGTATAGACAAGCCCATGCCCATTAAAATAAAGTTATCCTGTAACATAAATTTTATTAAATAATACTTCCCCACAGATGAGAGGCACGCAACACCTATGGACAAAAGGGAGTTACAGAGGCTGCTTAAAAGATGGAGAAAAGCCTGAGATTGAAGGAGGAAAAAAACCCAGTATTTAAAGTCTATAAAAAATACTCAAAATAGTGGGTCTTCGAGTTTAAAATAGTCATTGTTATTTTACATTCTAAAGTGCATGTAGGTTGATATTTTTTAAAATATCATTGGAGAATTTAATCTTTCTTTATAAAAATAGAGCATTTTTCTGCTTTCTGGCAAAAGTTGGGGATAAAAGGAAAAAAAGTTGTCAAAATGTAATTTTCAGTCCAATTCACCAGGAAAACATGCTTGTGAATTGTGCAGTAAAAGGTGGTAATGACTACTGGAAGCTAAGTCAAAGGTGATTTCCTACCTGATTTTACTTACTTAAATAAAAGTTACTTACAATGGGAGTGAAAAACTGAGGTTTCTGTTATTTAGTAGAGAAATCAACTCCACGTTTACTTAAAGAGATGGTAAGGTCAAGGTTCAAATGCTACTGTGTTTTAATTTGGATATTTGAAATTTCTCTTGAGGCAAAAAAAAAAAAAAATTGATGCCTCTCCTTAAATCTAGGATGAAGTGTCAACATGGAGACAGGTAACCACTGTTATAGAGTCTTGTCACCTAAAGGGATGTCTTGGTTAACACGTAACAGTGCAAGTTTGGCCATAGGTTATTTATTTGTACTTTTTTAGTTTGAAGGACTGAGGAAACAATAGCTACAGAAAATACTTCTTGTGCCTTATTCCTAACAAAGCTGAGGTCCCTGCCTGGGGTTAGTTACAAGTATAAATACTTAACGAGGTGCGTTCATTATAAAAGCCTCAGTATAGAAACCTTAAAGTTTATCTAGGAAAGTTTAGTATATTTTCAGGTGTTGCTAAAAAATTACTCATCTGTTTGCAAAAGTATGACTTGACCTATAGAAATCTGTTTCTTTATGCTTTGTACTCATACAAGCATCTAGGTAGGATATTAATAAATAATACAGGATAATAGCATCACCAGTGTCCAATAACGGGCCATCAGGAACAGGATTCACGTTTGGTGGATATGAGAGAAAATAAACACTTCAGGAAACTTGCTCACCACAGCTGGAGATCAGGAATAGAACCTTTCCAAGATATCATAATATTTTCTTTATAGGAACACTGAGTAATGGCAAGAATATTTTGAGCTTTTCCATGGTTAAGAGCGATAGTCTCAGAGGCTGGAGAAAATGTTCATTCTGCTCAGTGATCCAGGAGTGTGAGGACAGTAGCTTCCTTTCCACGTCCACAAGACAATGACAGATGTGTTTCCTTCTTTGCTCTTTCTAGGGATCTTTCTAGGGATGTTGATTCTCTCACAATATTTCAATGTCCCATTTCTGTGTTTCTTCTCCCTCCAGGGGCTGATTTACAATTACATGAGTCTTGTCACAATAATTTCCTCCTAAAATAGAAATTCCAAAAGAAAAGATTATTTGTTCAGGCAGGTGCTTAGCAATTTCACAATTTTCACAAGCTTCTGTTCAGCTCACCATTTCGGTGGATGAATGTGTCATTTACAAAGAAGTCTGAAATGGGAAGCTGAGTTTGAACAGGCTTAGCCATTATTCACCTCAAATTGGACCTTATTATGACTCAAATTGAAATACTAAAAGGTATAATACATGATTGTATAAGTGGCGTGCCTTAATGTGATTCTTTAGAACAAAGTGCTCTTGAGAGAACTCTGGCTGAATGTCAGGTACTGTGTTTTTGTTTCTACACCAACAAAACTGTGACTAACCCAATTAAAGCAACAGCCATGAATAATATTGGCCCTGACCTTGCTGAATTCAAAAACAAGGTTAATTGATACCTACCATAAATTCTACCTGAGGGTTTTTAAGGACCATGGCAATTCCTGGCAAAAAGCTAGAGATGTTTCTAAGAAACAGATGACATTCATTTCATGGTTTATGGTGCTTGAAATTTAGAACTGTTCTGAGTTCACGTAGCAAATGAAAGTTTTACAACTGTACTAATGAACAAAAACCCTAAGCTTTGTTGTTTGGCTTTTTCTGCTAATTGTTTTGTTTGTAAAACTGCCTATCTTAATTTTCTTCAAGCATAATTTTAAATGACTTAACATTTCTCTTATACATAAGGATGTCCTTTACCCAAAATGAGGAGATTTGGAACTGAAACTAATATCCAGGGACACAACATTGGGTATCATCAAAGGCCCACCTTTAACATCAAGGACAAGTTGATCACTGAGATAAGAGCTGATAGTTCCATTTTTATTCAGTCTCCACTTCTGCCTGAATTGCCCATGTTCAGTCCATAGAGCTACTTTAGCTCCAGGTGTGTCCCGGCCACCAATCACATCAAGACATGTATCACTGGCCTAAAAGGGTTAAGAAATGATTAATTGGCAGTAGTATGTTTGCTAAAGTAAGTTGAATTAGGTCCCTTTTATCTTAGGTAAACAAGTCATAGACATGAAGTGTGTGTGTGTCTTATCTAAAAAAATACTATATAGTATAATTTCAGTAAGCCTTTTTTAATGTCTTCTTTACGGCTGTGGGTAGGAGATGGTACAGAAATAAACCAACTGAAATAGAGGTACTTGTTTTTAATAGGATGTCTACATCTGACAACAGATGTTCAATAAAGATTTGGTGAATTGGAATTAAATGTTAAATCCCTGTTTGCTTAAAACGTATTATGTTGAGCTTGGTTTTCTTATGAAAACATTGCATGATGGGCTAAAGATATCCAGACAATAATTACTTTTAAAAGTTTTTCATTTTTGAAGCATGAGAAAAAGTAGATAATCCATTGGTGATACAATAAAACACAGTTTGAATGTTTTTAAAGTAGTGTTCTATTCCCAATGCATTAAACATAACGGAAGGGTCATAGAAAAGAACCCTAAATTTTATTTTCTAAGCTTCTTCCAATAACAGCTTTCTTCTTCTACTGCTTCTTTGTATACTTTGAAAATGAAAGGTTTCAACATATTTAGAATCACAGAGATGGCTGATTTTATCTGGGCCATCAAGTAAGGAACATCTTACAAAAGCACATTGTCCAACTTAGATCTGGTGACTTATACCATTGGTTGTAAAAAATCACTTAGGTATATCCATAATATGTGATAACCTTTGTGTTTACTTAAAAATTGAAACTGGATTTTCTTGTTCAAAAAATTAAGTTAATTTTATATAAATGTTTTAGTAATATATGGCAGTATTTTTATAATCAACACCTGTTTCTAAGAAGTTGCATTGTTTTATCATGCCAGTTGATTTGACAGGATTCTAGTTTTCAAAATAAAAAACAGACCAGAAAGTGGCATACTGTATCAGTGGGATTGCTTACCTTGGATTTAAAGAGTCCTCGGCAGTAGTACCAGATCTGAGTATTCTTTCCACTATAGGGAGAAATGCACACAGATGTTGCCCTGGTGTCTGCTAGACTTCCAGTGACTGTCAGATATTCACCCTGGGCACGGTTCTTTATTCTGATGTACACTGCAGGCTATGACAGGAGAAACAGCCATTTAGAAATAAACTTTTGAATCTGGAAATGAATCCTTCCAGAGGAGGAAAGCTGGGAGGGAAAGTGAGAGGTAACTATCTTAGTTATATCAGTTTCACTCTTATTCCCTTTAGTAAATCTGCATAGATTAATATGGTAAATCCTTAGGCCGTGGAGCATAAAGCTTAAATTGTACAGTCTCTATTACACTTTGTGAAAAGTGCCCTTTTGAACAGCATGAAGTAAAAGTTTCTTTCACTAGAATTCCATGTGGTGAGGAGTGGGGTGGTAAAGAATTAGGGACTTGATGAGTTTCATTCAATAGTGTGTCCCAGCTGTGCTGAGGGAGGTAGGGGAGTTATTACCTACAAGGATTTTCTAAAAACTTCAGAAAGACATACTGTGGAGCTATGACTAAATGCCATAAGTTGGCCCTGGGAGGTCTTGAAAAACCCAGATAGCTGAGGGCACTAGTAGCTGTGATTATTTGTTTATATAAGACCTTTATTTCTTCAAAAGTAGAGACCATGTATGTTTAATGACTATACTTAGGTACTCAAAAATTGTGTAACAAAGGACTTCATCCCCTTGGCCTGGAAGTTTTAAGATACATACAAAAAGTTTTAAAATATTAAACCTGGGACTTGCCTCTAAGGAGAATAGCTAATATTTATTGAACACGTAGTATGTGTAAGCAGCATGCTAAATGCATTCTGTGCCATTATGTTATTTGTCAGAATAACCACAAAAACCTATTAAGAAAGTACAATTATACCCTAGTTTTACAAATAAGGTGAACACAGATGTAAAGAAGCCAGGTTCCTCTTAACCAGGATGCTCTCAGACCTATGTTGAAATGCACTAGTTGCTCTTAGGCACAGGGAATAAGAGACGAATTCCAAAGGTGGCAGTGTAGGACAATGAAAGAGCAGGGCACATAATGGAAGCACAACAGAAGCCATTATTTCAGCCCTATGACTTAGGCCTCCAGCCTTAATGTAATAAATGACACCCAACATGACACCCAACATCCCCACCTTTGGTTCTTCTCATTGCCATCCCAATTAGAACCCTGGCTGAGTAATAACAAATGGTCTCTTAAGAGAGCACTTTCATGCTAAGAAACATAAGTGCTTAGGTAAATGCAATAGGTCATATGGTAAGAGAACCAATGAACAGTCTACTGTTTTTGAAACTTGATAGATCAACGTGAAGCTAACTGAATTTTGGTAATTAAACCTTCCTAAGGAAATACACATTCTCAGCACTTAAGCCAATAGAAGGACAAATTATCTGGCCATTTAAACCAGGCGAACAAGCTCTCTACTTGGCAAAATGTTTTAAATGTTTCAAATCCCTACTTCCAACATTAACAATGCAACAGTAGTGTACTTAAATGTCTATAATTCAGCCGGATCTACTGCAATTATTAATTCTTGAGGCTTCAGTATATCTTTATTACATTTTCATTACCTTGTACATATAAGAAAACAGGCGTGACCTTCACAGATGACAGAGTTCCAATTACTTTAGGACCAGACATCACAGTTTTAATCAATTAACTCAGGCAAGGTACTAATTACCCTTATTACACATTTGTAGTCTGACTGCTCTGTAATTATACTTAAAAACACTGATATACATTATAAGTACCTTAGTGACTTCCTAATTCCCAGCCTCAAAGAGGATCACATTTTAATTAGTCCTGAATTTCTAAACAAGAATATGAACCAAAGCAGTACCAACAGCCTTACCACAAATTTAAATGTGACCCACAAACTACTATTTTAGAAACTCAGAATTCCTTTGTTGGATTTCAAAACTGTGACCTAAATAAACAAAAGGAAAAATAATCTATTAAAATATTATTTTGAAATTAAATGTTTAATCAGAATAGGAATCAGGTAGCTCCTAACGCACAGTGAAAGAAAATAGCATACTATTCTTGTTAAAAAAAACTTCCTTGTAAAAGTAGAGGTGGCTGTTCTATCCTTTACCAGACAATCTTGAACAATAGGCAGGGACATCCTTCTTCCCCAACAAGGAACCACCATTAAAAAATGAGGAACATATTTTCATTGTTGAACTTGGCTACTAAAGTCTCTAACAACAGAGGGTCAGCATTATTATGTAGTTAGTAAAAGCTAAACTGAATTCCTATCTCTACTTTGCTTTTTCTGATGGCTTTTCAGTGGGCTTACTCCCTGTTCCACATGATAGGAGTGGGGAATAAGCAAGATGTAAAGGTCATGAGATCGTCTACCACACACTCTGTGCCAGGAAAGCCATTAATGTTTCAGTATCCCTCAAAAGAGCATCTCAAGGGACATTGTGAATAATAATAATAATAAAAAATTTTCAAAATAAGTGTATTACCATAGTAATATGAGCCAGAGCCATATCAGACTGTTCATATACATTATCTTATTCAACCGTCACAGCAATGAGATGTAAGCAATGTGATCACTGCTTCACCAGTGAGAAACCTAAGGTGCCAAGAAATGAAGTGACTCACCAAGCTGCACTGCTTACAAATGGCAGAGCCAGGATTTGAACCAACAGAACTCATGAGTGGTGGGATGAGAATGGTGTGTGTGCATGTGTGCATGTGTGCATGTGAAGAGGGTGAGAGAAGACCAATTAGGTTAATATTTTATTGGCTACCATTTATTTAACACTTAAGTAAGGGTTAAATAAGTGTCAGGTCAGAACATCAGAGCCTCAGCATTTAGATCCACTAGGCTATATTCAGCTCAGTGCCTGAAATAGGTGGTACTCTCTAAGTGCTGATCTTAGGCTGATGGAAAGTAGAGTGTGGTTGCTTAAGAACACAGATTTTAAAGCATAGTAGATTTGGGTCCAAATCCTGGTTCTGACACTTGATGTGCTTTTATTGTCACAGGTAGGAATCATTATCCCCATTTTCCAGATGGAGCCTTATTCTTCTCTCAGAGCCTTATTATTCCAACTAGAAAATGGGGATAATAATTCCTACCTCAAAGGACTGTTGTTGGAATCAAGCAAGAAAGTGTTCTAAAGAGATTAGAGAGAGGTACTAATGCCATATCCACGGGCCATCACACCCCTGACAGTTTCACTTGGGTTTTCCACCTTCCATGAAACCTCCCCACTACTCCTACACATGTTGATACTTCCTTTCTCTGAACCAGGGACTGCCTGTGGCTTTTGGATAATTATGCATTGTTTTGCATTTTATGTTACTGCTTTGAGTTGGACATGTTTTACCCAACAAAAATGTAAGCTTTAATAATATTGGCAGAAATCGCATCTATCTTTATATTTTCCATTATACTTTGCATAATATCATTGATCCATCCACTGATATATTCATTCCTTCATTAAATAAATAGTTCCTCAGCTCCTACAATATTCCAGATATTGTTTCAGGCACTAGGGGTAGAGCAATGAGCAAAACATGGACAGTCCTTGACTTCACAGGGTTTTCTATAGAGTGGGAGAGACCCCGATCCAACCATAACGCTAGGGTTATAAACTGCATACAGTGTTTTTGTAGAAAAAGAACCCCCAGGTCTTTTATGATCTAATGTAGATTGGGAGAGAAGGTGGGGGAGGCATTCTTGAGGACCTGACACTTAAGTAGAATTTACAGGGATGACTAGTCAAATAAAGAATGAGGGAAGAACACGATACAGAGGGTGCAGCCCATGTTAAAAGTCTTAGTGGGAAACCACTCTGTACTTTGATGCCTGTGACACAACCATGTGAAAGATGAGGTTGGAGAAGCAAGGTGGGGTAGCGGGTAGATTGTATTCTAAGTGCAGTGGGAAGCTTTTGAACAGAAGACTGACAAGCAGTAGGTGTGCAATAAATACTTATTTTAATTAAATTGCCAGGATCCATCCTGAGTATTATATAAGTAGGGAGGGGAATATCCAAATGCTTAGAAATTAAAACTAGTACAGTATCAAAGTTCATTCCTGTTACCAAGGTTTGCCACAGAACTTACAGTATCTTAGTTTTCCACGAAAAGTGAACATGGCCAATGAGGCTTTGGACTGAAAACTGAAATCCAATGTTGACTTTAGATACAATCTTACAAATTGGTTAAAATGTACAAGATATCCGCATCCTAATTCACTCCCCCTACTATGTAAATGGCAAACTAAATTAAATGATCATTATTTCAGATGCTGTGGTTTATGACATTTCTACCACAAAAGCAAGCTATTTGGAATCTTATGGTTCTTTTCTCCTTACCTGCTTCATAGGACGGAGGGAACCAATTGTTTTCCATCTGCTGAATGCTGTCCAGTTTGGGATCTCATTAGGCCTGAGTAGGATTTGTCTTCCCAAGAAATTGGATCCTTCATAAGCTATCCATCTATGAGAACAAGAAAGAAAAAAGTAGTGTACTTCAAAACAAAAAAAAATCCCTCATCAAAAGTATCTGCACTTTGCCTTATAGGGTTCATAAACTTCTAGGTTTGCAGACTTTTAAAATTGCACATTTTTTCCTAACAAAAATCAGGGAGGTATAGGAGAAAACCCACTGGCCTAGACTCAGAAGATTTGGGTTCCAGTTACAATGCTGGTTTCCTTTCTTCCAAAATGAATGCAAGGTTTCCTCCATCTCTGAAATCCTATATTTCTTTGATAACATTGTCATAGCATTATAACATTTAAAGGCAGACCATAACCTCCTATTAACCAGCAGAAAATCACACTCCTGCCCCTAGAGTCACCATCACATGTCCTTCAGGGCCTCTAAGTGTGGCTCCAGTGAACTCTCCAGACATATCTTCTTCCACTCCTCCCTCCACAGCTTCCCCAAAGCCACCAAGACTTCTTAGAATTGTTCACAGAAGTTCTCCATCACCCTCTTCAAGGCCCAGCTCCTTTGAGAATCCTCCCCGAAACCCTTGCCTTCAACTTTGGCAGCATTAAAGTGTGTAAAAGTACACTGGAGTCTCAAGACTTATTTAATGGAACACAGTCATGCCCATTGCTTTAAGGATTGCCTACGGCTGCTCTTGCACTACCATAGCAACTTCAGTAGTCATGACACAGACAGATGACCCACAAACTGAAAAGACTATCTGGCCCTTTACAGAAAAAGTCTGCCAAGCACCACCTTAGGTGATTACTAAGCTTGATGACTAAAGAGAATGTGCTGGAGTCACTAAGAGCACCTGAAATTCTCAGCAGGACTCAAGGTCAGTGTACACAGTGCTTTAAGAAAGTGTGTGCAGGATGAGATGGCTGCCTTGCTTTATTTTGATAAAGCACCTGGAATTGTGGCAGGGGTTGTCCTGGCTTGCACCAAGGGAGGTAAAGCCTTGTGGATGAAGCAAAGAGCACCAGCAGCAGGCAAGGTAGTCTGCTTATCAGATGGACCAGAGCTCAGGAACAGGGTCATCCAGGGCTTAGGACACAAGCTACAGAGGGTTGCTTGTGCTGCTATGGCAGCAACTTCAGCCCCTCGATTTTCCAGATTAAAAACTTCTAAAATTCACAAAGTGCAATATTCCTTAGGGACTTGTTCTTCAGGTAATGCAGGAAAAGATACCAACTTGAGCATAAGTTGTGGGGAGAAGGGGAGAGCTGAGGAAAGCTTGATGTATTACAGCTATGAAAGCTTGGGTAGGGATGACTGACTCAACCTGACCACCACTAAGAAAAGTCCTCCTTGCTCCCCACAACCAAGATCAGACTTGACCAAATTATGGAGAGATGAATGAGATGGATGGCCCATTCTTGACCCCTCCTTCCTACACAAATCTAATCAATCAGACTGGTGGAGAGGCAGGTCAGCATGACCACGGACAGGCTTAGCTGCCTCTCCCGCTGCAGATTCTTTAAACTGTCAGGGAAGTTTCAGTTATAAAATCTAGGTAAGATTTTAGGAAAATGTACCTAATTATATATTGATTTAAATGAATTCCACAGTTGGAAAACTGTGTGGGATGGTGCATTTAAGCATGGCTGTCATCATCACAGATCAAAGATGTGGCATAGCATGGGGATTAAAACAAACCCAACTTGTAACTAAGGGAAGCTGGCTGTACATTAAGTAGTATTCTGTAACCTAGGAAAATCCTTAGGCAGCCTTCACTGTTCCTTACTCCATGTTCCAATTCTCTTAAAGAGAATTTGGAATAGTGAGAGTAGGTGGCTAATAAGCCAAAGAGAAGAAATAAGAATGTCAAGATAAAATGGCACCAGTGTTCCAGAAAAAAATGAAATAAGAAAGTGAGAAATTTTCAGAAGTGAGTCAAGTATCAATTTCACTCAGAAATGGGAAGAAATGAATTAAAATGTTGTGAAAGACCTATATCACAGGGATGTAAAATTTAGTTAATTGGTAAATAATATATTGGAATCTTATGCTTAGATAGAATAAATCAATTTGTCTGAATAAACATCAAACCATTTAAAATGTTTTGCAGAAGAAAACTTAAGCTATTTATACAAGTGTATAATATAAAAGCCATTTATTATAATAGTTTGCTTAATTTTCACCTCCACTTATATTATTGGCTTTCTCTTTATCCCCAGATATTTAAACCAGCACAGTTGATTATCACGGAATTTCAAAGCCATAGAAAAACTTTTAAAGCCATTTTTTTATTAACCGTCAAGAGCTATGTGTGTTTTTTTAGTTGACTTTTGCTACCAGAACACTAACAGTGCAGGAGTAGGGGCTGGTTTATATGCCGGACTCTTCAGAACTGGATTCAGAGGCAGATTTTCCAGGAAGCAAACAGAGCTTCAACTTCAAGGCCCCTCACTTACAGGCTTCTCACCATTTCTGTCCTAAGTATTCACATTGATATCTAATATTTCTATCATAATTTTAAATTTTTTCTTAAAGGCAGCTTTCTAATTTGTAAAAGCACAGGCCCCTGGGTCTACCCTGACTGACTGATAACCTAAATGAACAACAATACTGGTAGGCAGGCTAGGCCAACCAGTGTAGTCCACAGGCAAGTGAGTACCCTGGAGGAACTGCTCTAGAATACATGGCTATTAAATCAAAAAACAACATCGAACTTGGTCTTGCCAGCAGTCACTTGCCTTAAGCAGGAAATTGTCTTAACCAAAGTTGCTGGGATATTGAAATTTCTTCTGAAAAGAAAGTTCAACTGGGTAAAGTCATTTGATTGACCTACTCTATGACACATGCTGTGACCATATGGTAGCCCTTCTCTTCCAAAGGGCTCTTCCTCAAGACCACTTGAATGCGTACTACTACACAGTGGACTTGGTTTGCAACTCTGCAACTCTGTCTTAAAACAGTAACTGAACCAGACCAAGCCTTTTTCCCATACTTACAGTCCACTTTTTACCCACACAGACTGGGTGTAGAAGTGTAGGTCCTTGTTCAGAACAGAGTTCACAGCCTCTTCTAGATGTAACTCTCTTCCCTCACAATGCTCCAGAGCAAAAAGGCTGATGGAGGGTTCTTCAAAAACCTATTAGCAGAAAAAGAAAGCGTCACCATAGGAGTGGCCATATCTCAGTGACATCCCAGTCTGAACACAGGGTACCCTGAATCCATTGTATTCTTAAATGCATGGAGTTTACTGTTTTACTCTCTAAGGTTGCTATAGTCAAAACTGCACTGGAAAGATTAGATTTTATTAATAATTTTTGTTCACTTTTTTGTAAACTAAAATTCAAGTTATCAGAAAAGCAATCAATCTCATAATAAAAACAGCCATAATAAAGAGACCCATGATTCCAAATCACAGATTAAGGTCTTGTGGTACTGTAATATGGACCATAATTAGTCCTGCCAATGCTTTTAGCTGGCAACAGAATAAATATGGAATGGAATGGCACCCTAATTTCTAGGAGGTCACAGGAGCAGTCACTAGGAATGTAAGACTCTGTGGTGGTAAGCTCTTAAAAATATTCCTAGGAGGAAGAATAAAGGCATTTTTAATTTAAAAAAAGCTGAAATGCACAAGAATGGTGGTGATTTCTGCATTAAAAGTATTTCTTCAACCCATCATGTCAGACAAGAATAGACTCAGTATTGCTTTTTCATTCATTAATGTATGCAAGACACCATGTTAAGAGACTTTTGGGGGGATGATAAAACAAGGCACCATCTATCCTTGTGTCTGGGGAATTACTAACAAATAGTTAAATTAAAACTGTACAGATATTGTAATGTAATCCAGTGCAGAAAAAGATATGCTGTGTCAGAGTCCTCAGTAGAAAGCTAGATTATTTTTAGCAGAAGGGAGCAGGAATCAAGCTTCATGGATGTGGTGGCTTGTGAGCTCAGTCTCAAAGGATGCAGTGGATCTGGAAAGAAGATGGTGAACAGAGGGAAAACATTCTGTGCAAAGCAAGACAAGAGAAACACATGGGACATGTTGGGGGAACGGCAAATCAGCCCAACAGGAAACAGCGGCAAGTGCTCCCACAGTTTGTTATGGTGCATTGCACTGCTTGCTTCTCCTCCCACACTGACAGGACAGAGACAGATCTATTCCCAGTGGAAAGTTCTTGAAGCTTCTGAACTAAGGACTATGAGTGGGCTGAAGCAACTGCAACTCGGTAGATAAGAAGCAAAGCACTAGCAGCAGGGGCAGTGGAGGGTCAAAGAACAATAAATGAACAGGCAGAAAATAACAAGCTCTCACAGTGACCCTCACAAGGGACCTGCTTATACTTGCATAAGAGAAGGATGAATTATGAAATAGTTTTTCTTTGCAGCAGTGTTTGGAACAGTGAAGGGTGTGGAATGATTTAAACGCCCATCAGGAGAGGACTGGTTACATAAATTATGGTTCATACACAGAAGAATCATATACAGCTGTAAAAAAGAATGGGGAGCTCTTTATGAAAGATCACCAAGATATATTGTTTAGAAATAAACACAAAGGATGGTATGAAAAACGTATTTCATACACTACCATTTGCAGAGAAGGAAAATTTCTGTGCACATACATATGTATGCGCTTGTACACACATTAAAATTTTTCTAAAAAATAAAAAAAACTGGTAACCATGGCTGCCTGTTGGGAAGACTGTGTAAGAGAAGATAAAGGGCACAAGTGCACAAGTGGAAGCAAAGTTTTTCACTAAGTGCCTTTTGGTATATTTTGACTTTTGAACCATGGGAATATTTATTTTAAATTGGTATTATTAATTTTAAGTTGGTAATTATTACACGTTGGCATTGTGTATATGTATTTTTTAATGGCCTTCAGGCAATCTGTCTGACAACAGTATAAGTGAAGAACAGAGAGAATGGAAGTAACGGCATCAGTACTGGTGCAATATATGAGGTCAGAGAAAAATAGACCCAGACCTAAAACAGGGGTTAGGGGGAAGGTTAGGAGTAAAGGATGGCCAGGAAGACTATTAATATCACAGTGATAAAACAGACATGCTAGTTAAGGCAAACAAATGGAATCAGTAAGTGAGGAAAAATGTGAAAAGTCATGGCTTGGGACATGCTGGTATAATCGGTTATATATAAAGAAATCAGGAGGAAAGCATGCCCAGATATCTTAATGTTGAGATAGAGCCAGGATAATCTTAACAGTGATGTCCAACATATACTGGACCTTTTGATCTGGAGTTCCAGGGAAAGACCAGGTTTAGAGATGTTGGGTTTGGGAATTCTCAGAATCTGGGTAATAACTAGAGCCATGGATAAGAAAATGGAAATGCAAGGAAACTAGAACTGCACTGACATACACAGGTGGGCGATGATGAAACATGGGAGGTGGAAGTGACTGAACAAATGAATCAGGAGAAGACAGCCAAAACAGAACCCATTTACACTGTAGAAGTGAAGGAGGAAGAGAATTATAAGGAAGACTTGCCCCATGGCATCAAATTCTTTCCATGTCGAGGGAGAGGGTGACTGAGATATGGCTGTTTGGGTTTGATAATCAGAAGGCAGCTAGTAACCCTATGAATGCTGTTTCAGCACCATGTCAGAAATGAAGTTAAAATCTAGGTTGTAAGGGCTGAAGAGTAAGTGGTGAGAAACTGTACAGGCTATAAAGGTATACAGACTATTAGAAAAATTTGGTGAAGAGCAGGAGGGAAACGGGGTAGTGGCCTATGAGCATGCTTTGTGGAAGGCGTTAGTGGAATAGAGAGAAGCTGAATACTGCAAGGCAAAAAGGATGTTCCAGGGAAGGAGGGAGAGGTACAATCCATTGCTTCCCATCAGTTCATGAGGAAAAAGATCACTTTGGAAAGGATGAACTCCACCTCTGAAATAAAAGGAAAGATAAAAAGGATGCCCAGAAATGTCCATTTAAAATCAGGAAATGTGTGAATAAATTTCTCTTTACGTTATGTGGCCAACACTGTCTGCTGATCAAGGAAAGTTTAAAGCATCTTCCAGAAGTTCCTGAAGTGATAGAAATGTTATGTATCTGGACTCTCCAATATGGCAGCCACTAGCCACATGTGGCTTGTGTGATCAAGGGATGGAATTAATTTAAATAACCACAGGTGGCTAGTGCTATGGTGTTGGACAGTACAGATTTAGGAGTTAGAGGATACTGGCAAAGAATGTAACAATTGCTGTGTGCAGTGAGACCATAAGCTAAGATGGACAGGCTACCTAGGAGCATTGATTTTCCCTCAGTAGACACCACTGACTGCACCAGGAATAAAAACTCATCTCTAATCACTGAGTTATTGAGTGGCCACAGGCAAGGTTAGGCACCTCTTCTGCTATCTGCAAAATAAATTGGAAGCATCCCAACAGTTTATAAAATAAACTGAAAGTAAGCAGACAATAAAAATCCACAGCCCTGACTATATTGGTGGATTTTTTTCAACATCTTCACTCTCAAGATTTTTAGAAAGTATTCCACTTTACCTTTTTACACACATCTACTTGTTGAGTTACTGATTAGTGAGGAAGAACAGATGGCAAGGAGCCTGGCCAGTGCTCCAAGTCAACAATCAGCAGCACTCTCCCCAGAGAAGAGCTGGCTGGGGTAAGAGCAACAGACATCTACATCAAAGGCATTTACTGGTTACATGATGTTAACTGTTTTATATCCCAGAGGGGGAAAAAATCTAGAAGCCTATTATGAGAAAGTAATTTAAATGCTAAGCATTATTCTAAGAAAAATTGACCTGTGTACATTTTTCCTCTTCCTTTTGCAGAATGCCTACAAAGATATTTTTCAAAACGCTGGTATTGTCACTGAAACGCCATTAAATTCAATCCCATCATTCTAGCAATTCTACCTCTAGAAATGTATCTCAAGAAAAGATAAAAAGCTTGATGGAGGGAACAAAAAATGTGTAAACATCTATGTTTTTAAAAATAATGATGCAGGGATATTGAGAAAAAAATTGTACAAGATGACAGAAAATATTTGAAACATTTTAACAGCTTATATAAATTAGTAAGGGTACTCTAAGAAACCTATTGGACAAATGGGCAAAGAAGGTAAGCCAATAGCATTAACCAAAGAAGAGACATAGCTAATAAACCAGCGTGGAAAAATATCCCACCTCTCATAAACAACAAAAGGATATCATTATGTGGTCCAACTATCAAATTTTACATTTGAGAACATCTACTGTTTTTGAAGCTTTGATTTTTTTCTACTTTATTTTAATTTAAATATTTAATTTATAAGTATACTTGAATTATAAATGTATTTAAAGGTTAGGAAGATTAGGAAAGTCAACACAGTGCTAACCTGGGCAGGATGATGGGGGGTGGTTAATAATCTTTTGGAAATAAAGGGTACTGAAGAACTATTAATATTTTAAAATCATATTTTTCTGATACATTTCCCTAACATGAAAATAGGAAGAGAGATCAACTATTAATAATCTTTAAAACTGAAGATGACACAGTAATCCGAACTTTCCAAGCATAAAAAAAAAAATATTTGATTACAGTTTGAGCTCCACAAATGTCTTCGCCTTAGTCCATGTTAACTTTGAAGCTGGCCAACCATTTGTGGCTAAAGGCTCTTCTTAGATGTCAGCAGTTAACAGGACATTCCTGCCGGATTAAGTCTAAATCATGCAAAGAGGATACAGTTTCTAAAAGGAAGATGTAGTTGTCAAAGAAAAAGAATACTCGACCAAATTGTATAAATGAAAATTTCAATACAAAAGAAGAAAACTCATTGTTCCTCCTCATCCCATCAACTAAAATAATAATTTAAATAATTTAAGTGATAATAACAGTAGAAACTAACATATATAGCACTTAATATGTGCTGGGAATTATTGTTCTAAGTTATATACCTATATCTGTATCCATCCATAGATATATATGTGCAATACCTTATTCATTGTTCTGAAATCCAAAAAGCTTTAAAATCAAAAATTTTTTTCCTAGTCAACATAACTCTACCTGAATAAATTGAAGTCTATTTATAATACTACCCAATTTGTGTAGCTGTGCATAAATTTCACTATAGGAACAGAAATATGTTTAATTAGGGGTACAGTCCAGAACCCTGCTGGGTGTGTTTCCTTTTAGGCCATACATGAATCATATTACTGTTTAAAATTTGAAAAACTTTAAATCCCAAAATACATTCAGTTTAGGGATTGCAGAACTGTATTTTTTCATTTTTTTTCCTATCAACTTTTATTTTCTGTTCTGGGGTATATATGCAGGGTTGTTACATGGATAAATTGCATGTCACAGGGGTTTCATGCACAGATTATTTCATCGCCAGGTAATAAGCATAGTACCCAATAGGTGGTATTTCAATCCTCACTCTCCTCCCACCCTCTCTGCTCAAGCAGGCCCTGGTGTTTATTGTTCCCTTCATAGTGCCCATGTGTATTTAATGTTTATCTTCTACTTATAATTGAAAACATTACATATTTGGTTTTCTGTTCTTGTGTTAATAAGCTTCAGATAATGGCCTCCAGCTGCATCCATGTTGCTGCAAAGAACATATTCGATATTCTGCTTTTTTTATGGCTGCACAGTATTCCATGGTGGCTATGTACCACATTTTCTTTATCCAGTCCAACGTTGATGGGTACCTAGGTTGATTCCATGTCTTTGCTATTGTGAATAGTGCTGCCCTGAATATACATGTGCATGTGTCTTTATGATAGAATGATTTATATTCCTTTGAGTATATACCCAGTAATGGAATTGCTAGGTCAAATGGTAGTTCTACATTCTTTGAGAAATCTCCAAACTGCTTGCCACAGTGGATGAACTAATGCACATTCCTACAACCAGTGTAAACATTCCCTTTTCTCCACAATCTCACTAGCATCTGTTATTTGTTGACTTTTTAATAACAGCCATTTGGACTTGTATGAGATGGTATCTCACTGTGTATTTGATTTGCATCTCTCTACTGATTAGGGATGTTGAGCATTTTTTCATATGCTTGTTGGCCATATGCATATCTTCTTTTGAGAAGTGTCTGTTCATGTCCTTTGCTCCCTTTTTAATGGGGTTGTTTGTTTTTTGCTTGTTGATTTGTTCCTTTTAGATTCTGGATATTAGACCTTTGTTGAATGCATAGTTTGTGAATATCTTCTCCCATTCTGCTGACTGTTTACTCTGTTGATAGTTTCTTTTGCTGTGCAGAAGCACTTTAGGTTAGGTCCCATTTGTCAATTTTTGTTTTTGTTGTAATTCCTTTTGGGGGCTTCCTCATAAAATCTTTGCCAGGGCCCACGTCCAGAATGGTATTTCCTAGATTTTCTTCTAGGGTTTTTTACAGTTTTAGGTTTTATATTTTAGTCTTTAATCCATCTTGAGTTATTTTTTGCAAATGGTGAAAGCAAGGGGTTCAGTTTCAATATTATGCATATGGCTAGCCAATTATTCCAGCACCATTTACTGAATAGGGAGTCCTTTCCCTACTGTTTATTCTTGTCAACTTTGTCAAAGATCAAATTTTTGTAGGTGTGAGGCTTTATTTCTGAGTTCTCTAACCTTTTCCATTGGCCTCTGTGTCTGTTTTTTGTACCAGTATCATGCTGTTTTGGTTACTGTAGCCTTGTAATATAGTTTGAAATCGGGTGGCATGATGCCTCCAGCTTTGTTCTTTTTGCTTAGGATTGCCTTGGCTATTTGGGCTCTTTTTTGGTTCCCATGTGAATTTTAGAATAGCTTTTTTCTAATTCTGTGAAAAAATGTTGGTACTTCGGTAGGAACAGTATTGAATCTGTAAATAGCTTCGGGCAGTATGGCCATTTTAATGACATTGATTTTTCCTATCCATGAGCATGGAGTGTTTCCCTTTGTTTGTGTTGTCTCTGAGTTCTTTCAGCAGTGTTCTGTAATTTTCATTGTAGAGATCTTTCACCTCCCTGGTGAGCTGTATATCTAGATATTTTATTCTTTGTGTCTATTGTGAATGGAATTGCATTCTTGATTTGGCTCTCAGCTTGGACGTTACCGGTGTATAGAAATGCTACTGATTTTTCTACACTGATTTTGTATCCTGAAATATTACTGAAGTTAATTATCAAATCTAGGACCCTCTGGGCAGAGACTATGGGGTTCTCTAAGTATAGAATCATATCATTTGTAAAGAGAGATAGCTTGACTCCCTTTTTTTCTATTTGGATGCCTTTTACTTCTTTCTCTTGTGGGCTTGTTCTGGCTAGGTCTTCCAGTGCTATACTGAACAGCAGAGGTAAGAGTGGGCATCCTTCTCCTGTTCCAGTTTTCAAGGGAATGCTTCCAGCTTTTACTCATTCAGTATGATGCTGGCAATGGGCTTGTCATATAAGTCTCTTTATTATTTTGTGATATGTTCCTTCAATGCCTAGTTTGTTAAGGGTTTTTATCATTAAGGGATACTGAATTTTATTGAAAGCCTTTTCTGCATCTATTGAGATAATTATGAGGATTCTGTTTTTAGTTCTGTTTATGTAATAAATCACATTTATTGATTTGTATATATTGAACCAACTTTACATCCCAGGAATAAAGCCTACTTGATTGTGGTGGATTAACTTTTTGATGTCCTGCTGGATTCAGTTTGCCAGTACTTTGTTGAGGATTTTTGCATCTTTGTTCATCAGGCATATGGGCCTGAAGTTTTGTTTCTCCATGTGTTTCTGTCAGGTTTTGGTATTAGAATGATGCTGGCCTCATAGAATGAGTGGTCAGAAACACGCCCAGGGTCACTCAGCTAACAGTTATTAATGGTAGAGTCAGGACTTGAACCAAGAAGGTCTCTAAGACATTCAAACCAAACTCTTCACCAGTAAACTATAATCCTTCTCATAGAGCCTCTCTCATTTGGTTTAGAAAGTCAGTTTCAACATGGATTTACCTTTCTTACTGATCTTTGTTTTCTCCTTATTTAAAAAAAAATTATGATACATTTTAAAAAGAATAACATAGATGACCATATACCTAAAACCCAGAAGTATTACATTTTAATTTTACTATATTTGTATCACATTTTAAAATAAATAAAACATAGCAAATACAGATGAATTTAAACTCCCACCACCCCCAGAGGTGACCACTATGCTCAAGTTGTAAATCTTTTCAGCTCATGTTTTTCTGTTTCTATTAATGGTTATGCATCTTTTGTTTTTAAAATTTACAGAAAATGTATTCTATTGTAACATCTTTAGTAGCCTGCTTTCCTTGCCTACTGTGTTTGAAATTTGACTCTTCATACGTGTAGCTGTCCAATTCATTGTAACTACTATATTTCATTCCCTTATAGGAATGTGTGGTTATTTGTTTCATCCATCATAGCTGCAACAGACATTCTTATTCCCCCCACCATTGTAATTAACACTTCTTCCACTAGCTATATATGAATAATCTTACTTCCCTGCAACTAAGCCAAACCTTAGTATTTTCAGATTTTAAAATGCCTGTAGCTAGAGTAAGCTAATGTTATTTATAATTGTTTTAATTTGTATTTCCTTGATCAGTAGTGAGGGTTAACATCCTTTGGATGTCCTGAGCCATTTTTCCCTCTTCTATAAACTGCCTATTTATATCCTCTGTTGGTTTTTGAAGTGGATTTTTCTGAATTGGTTTGAAAGAGCTCTTCTAATTATTTTATTTATTTATTTATTTGTAGAGACAGGGACCAGCCATGTCCAGGCTCTTCTGAACTCAAGCAGTCCTCCCAGGTCAGCCTCCCAAAGCACTGGAATTACAGATGTGAGCCACCACACCCAGCTAAGAGCTCTTCTTATATTCGGTACACTAAACCTTTGTAGGTTATATGGACTGCAAATATATTCTGTGGCTTGCTGTGGCAGTCTGAATAATTAATGCCTGCCTCCTCTCCCTACCCCACAAATGTTCACATCCTAATTCTTAGAACCTGTGAATATGGTGAATATGTTGAATATGTTACCTAACATGGTCAAGAGGTACTTTACAGATATTAGTAATTAAGGACCTTGAGATAGGCACAATCATCTAGATTACTCAGGTAAGCCCAAAGTGGCCACCAGGGTCCCTGTAAGAGGAAGGTAGGAGGGTTAAGAGACAGCAGATAAAGAGCAGAGACTAGAGTGATGCACTTTGAAGATGAAAGAAGGTCATGAGTTAAGGAATGCTGGTGGCCTCTAGAAGCTAGAAAAGGTAAGGAAATGGGTTCTCCCCTAGAGCTTCCCAGATGAAATGACTGCCAACACCTTAATTTTACCACAGTAAGACCAATTTCAGACTTCTGACTTGTGGAACTGCAAGACTGTAAATATCTGTCATCTTAAGCTACTAAGTTTACAGTAATTTGTTACATCAGCAATAGGACACTAATACATTTGCCTTTCACCTTTTTCTTATTCATTTGTGCTTTTTCTGTTTGAAGAAATCCATCCTACTGCAGTATCATCAGGGTAGATTCCTATATTTTCTTCTAAGTTGTAAAGTTTGCTTTTCACATTTAGCTTGTTATTAATCCATCTGGAACTTATTTTTGTGTTTGGAGTAAAGTAGGATTCTAACTATCTTTTTCCATGGAATGGGTCAATTGTCTCAACACCATTTATTTAACAGTTCATCATAGCTCCATTGGAATGCTGTTATCTTCCAAATTCCATTACTATATAGGTCAGTTTCCATGCTACCCTATTCCTCTGTCCCATTTGTCTCTCCTTGTACTGATTCCCACTAATTATTACTGCTGTATAAAGCAATATATACTTGGTAGGATAAGTGACCCTACATGTTGTTCTTAAAAATTATCTTGGCGATTTTTGACCCAATAGCTTTTCCAAATTAATCATAGGATAAGCTTGCCATGTTTTACTCCCCACCTCTACCCCCTAAAAGGAGAGAACACTGTGTTTTGCCTGAAACAATATTAATTTGGGGAAGACCATATCTTTACAATATTGAGTCCTTTTACCTATAAAAGATTGTATCTCTCAATGTTTACTTCCTTCAAGAGTTTTTATAAAATTCCTAGGAAAAAAACTTATTCCCTTGTGTTAGATTTATTTATAAGTACCCTTAATTTCTATGGTTTAATTGCTATTTATCTTATACTCTGCAACTTTTAAAAATGTGCTTTAGCCCTAATAATTTATCATTTACACCATAGATGCTCTTGCCAGTTTTGTTTTCTCCTTTTTTGTTTTAATCTTATTTTATTTTTTAGATTTTTTTTTATTAGATAGAACTTCAGAATACCGAATAGTAGTGGTAATAGGGAGACCTTTGCCTGCTGCCTGAATTTAAAGAGCGCTGTTTCAGATATCTCACTGGGAAGTGTGATGTTTACTGTAAGTTTTTGTTGGCCTGCATTTTCAAAATGTGCATAATAGTTAATACCATTAACTATATATATAGGTTCAGCTAAAAAGTTTAATAGTAACCAAATTCTTCTACACTTTTTTTTATTATTATTATACTTTAAGTTCTAAGGTACATGTGCACAACATGCAGGTTTGTTACATATGTATACATGTGTCATGGTGGTGTGCTGCACCCATTAACTTGTCATTTACATTAGGTATTCCTCCTAATGCTATCCCTCCTGACTCCCCCAACCCCATGACAGGTCCTGGTGTGTGATGTTCCCTGCCCTGTGTCCAAGTGTTCTCATTGTTCAATTCCCACCTATGAGTGAGAACATGTGGTGTTTGGTTCTCTGTCCTTGTGACAGTTTGCTTAGAATGATGGTTTCCAGCTTCATCCATGTCCCTACAAAGGACATGAACTCATCCTTTTTTATGGCTGCATAGTATTCCATGGTATATATGTGCCACATTTTCTTAATCCCGTCTATCATTGATGGACATTCGGGTTGGTTCCAAGTCTTTGCTATTGTGAATAGTGCCACAATAAACATATGTGTGCATGTGTCTTTATAGCAGCATGATTTATAATCCTTTGGGTATATACCCAGTAATGAGATTGCTGGGTCAAATGGTATTTCTAGTTCTAGATCCTTGAGGAATCGCCACACTGTCTTCCACAATGGCTGAACTAGTTTACAGTCCCACCAACAGTGTAAAAGTGTTCCTATTTCTCCACATCCTCTCCAGCACCTGTTGTTTCCTGACTTTTTAATGATCGTCATTCTAACTGGTGTGAGATGGTATCTCACTGTGGTTTTGATTTGCATTTCTCTGATGGCCAGTGATGATGAGCATTTTTTCATTTGTCTATTGGCTGCATAAATGTCTTCTTTTGAGAAGTGTCTGTTCATATCCTTTGCCCACTTTTTGATGGGGTTGTTTGATTTTTTCCTGTAATTTGTTTGAGTTCTTTGTAGATTCTGGATATTAGCCCTTTGTCAGATAGGTAGATTGCAAAAATTTTCTCCCATTCTGTAGGTTGCCTGCTCACTCTGATGGTAGTTTCTTTTGCTGTGCAGAAGCTCTTTAGTTTAATTAGATCCCATTTGTCAATTTTGGCTTTTGTTGCCATTGCTTTTGGTGTTTTAGTCATGAAGTCCTTGCCCATGCCTATGTCCTGAATGGTATTGCTTAGGTTTTCTTCTAGGGTTTTTATGGTTTTAGGTCTAACATTTAAGTCTTTAATCCATCTTGAATTAATTTTTGTCTTCTACACTTTATAAACTCATTCCTTCCTTTCATTCTGAGGCTGGATTTATAGTCTCCCTCTATTTGTAGCTGTGCCTCTTATTCAGTATCCTTCTACAGAATGAATCATTGTCTTGCCAACTCTTATTCTACTTCCTAAGATCATTTATGTTATCACAGTCTTAATTTTATCTGAAGTTTTTCTACAGCCTCTTGTTATAATGTTTCTTTGGTTTTGCCTCCTTGGAGCTGCCAGGGCTGGATTATTACTTCAAAGGCAGCCAAACTTCCATTCCAAGGCCCCAGTGGGGAAATTAGAGAAGCAACCAGCTAACTACTGCTCCCATGGAAATGCAATAAAATAGGTTACCCTACACACTCCTGGTCCAGCGCTTAAATGTTTTATGCAATAGTCTGAAAAGTCGCAGTTAACTCCACCTTAGATCAATCAACAGGTTCTCATGTATCTTGCTCCTGTCTATATATGCTATTATTCTTTTAATACCCAGTCTGACTTTAAAGCATTTCATCAATAGCTAGCAGCTGGAAATTACCATTTTTTCAACTTAGGTTCCCCACCATCCCCCAACTTCTAAAGCTATTATTATAATATTGTAAATGGATAAGACACAAACCTATAGTAAGTCCAAAGTACAACCCCTCTTATGGAATGAGCTCTGAAGTAGAAGAATGAACTTTATACAACTACTGCCTATATATTTTTAGGCATGAATGAATGAGTTTATTTAGTCAGCTTATTACATAATGGACTCTTGATATTTTTATAGCATTGTGCTAAGTAGAGGGGACATAAGAGTGACAGAATTCAAAGCTACAATAAATATAAATCATCCCCTCAATGGCTTTGCAGTTTCAGTAACTGTGATGAAAAGGAGAAAGTGAAAAGCATCTTAAGATGCAGAGAAAGAATATTAAGGCAGACAAAAGTCACTTTAAGAAATGAGGATCACTGAAGGCTTCCTAGAATTGAGGTCCTTTAAATTAGATCTCAAAGAATTTAGAGAGGGGAAAGAAAAACTTCATTCTATGTTTCCACATAAAAACACAAAATAGAGAAAGTTTAAGGAAGGTATTGGGAGGGGGGAGGGAAAGCTTGTAAACAGGATACATGAAAATGATTGAGCAATAATATTGGAAAAGTAGGACCTAATGTCATGGTCTGGGCTTTATGGGAAGGCTACATGCTCAATGCTGCAAATAAAAAGAACTGAAAAAGAAAGAGGCCAAAGGAAGAAAATTACTTATGTACCCATCACAACAGTTTTAGAAAGACAGAATGAGGCTCTAAACTTAGTCATGACAATGGAAAGGAGATAAGAGGAAAAGCTTAAGACATATCATGGGGCTGGGTGTGATGGCTCACACCTGTAATCCCAGCACTTTGGGAGGATGAGGCAGGCAGATCCCTTGAGGTCAGGAGTTTGAGAACAGCCTGGCCAACATGGTGAAACCCCGTCTCTACTAAAAATACAAACATTAGCTGGGAGTGATGGCACGTGCCTGTAATCCCAGCTACTTGGGAGGCTGAGGCATGAGAATTCCTTGAACTTGGGAGGCGGAGGTTGCAGTGAGCCAAGATGGTGCCACTGCACCCCAGCCTAGGTGACAGAGCCAGACTCTATCTAAAAAAAGTGGGGGGAGGGGGGTAATGATGATTGCTTTCAACAGAAACAGAGCAGAAAAGAAGAACAAGTCTATGAAGGAAAATGGGATGCTGGCAAAACATGCTGAAGACCCATGTGGAATCTGGGAATGAAGCTCAGGGAATAACTGAGTACTGCTTACTCTAGATATCTGCAAATCTTCTACACTGATGGAGGTAAGAGCTGATGTTATGATAATGAAAATTTCTAAGTACAGGAGAGGAAAGGCCAAGAATAGGTATCTGAGAAACATCTACACTTGAGAGACCAAGAGTAAGATAACACTTAGATTTGATGAGTTTGTTATGCCATCTAATTCTTTTTTAATTCATATTCAGTACTTAGCACAGTATTTAGTAAAGAGCAGGTGTTCAATACTTTAGATTGAATAAATATAAAATGCATCTTCAGCAATGGTGTTATTGTGCAGCATTTGTGATATTTATATAAAGAATTCAGCTGGACGGTGCAGTGGTTTGTACCTGTAATCCCAGCACTTTGGGAGGCTGAGGCAGGTGGATCCCTTGAGCCCAGGAGTTTGAGACCAGCCTGGGCAACACGGTGAAACCCCATCTCAACCAAAAAAACACACAAAAACTAGCCAGACATGGTGGTGCACACCTGTAGTCCCAGCTACTTCGGAGGCTGAGATGGGAGAAAGAATTCAGCCACCTTAAATATTTTTCTTTGATCAAAGCAAAATGGAGTACCTTTAAACTTTCTTCTACAAAATTACTAATCAGATGTGTTTTTCATTCATGGAACTCTACACCAACGCCCCAAGCATCATCCTAAGCCTTTTTTTTTTTTTTTTTAATCATTTTATTGCCCTTTTCCACCCAGTATGATTACTCCTAAATATAGAAGGCTTTGGTTTCAGCCCCCACAAAACACTTAAACTTCCTTAGGCATGATATTCAATCTTTTTCATCTTAAAAGGTCTTCTTGTAATCACTGTTAAGCAATCAAGCCATTACCAAACCAAGGCTACTGAAAAACTTAAAGAGAAGACAATAGAAACCCATTCACCATGTTTTGAGATAGATATTTAGGCCTATTATTAGTCATGTAATTTTTCCAGATATATATCTCTGAGAAGAGCCTGATGAAAACCCTGGGTTTTAGTTCACTTTCCTAATTCTAGGCCACCTAATTTGTTATTATTTTTCCCAGATGCTTACATAGAGCTGTCTTAGTATGATTAAATTAAATTTCCCTATATTAAATTACCTGATGATTTTAGAATTCTAAATGAATTTTGAAAGAGAACTGGGGACCATATTCTGAGGCAGACTTTTGTACTTGTCTACCATATACTTCATTTGAGAGCCACCAAACCACCTCCAGACTGTCACTAAAAATTAATCTCAAGTTTTTAAAAGGAAGTTAGCTCTGCTACAGTGGCAGAGATAAATTATTAAAATTTCACCTCCTTTCATTTTCTCCAAAATCTAGTAACAGAGAACACCTCTATGAGTTTATACATCTCTGATAGATTGTATTATTGTTTGAATATACTTTGTCAACTTCATCCCTGCCCAAGTGAGAGTCTATTCCCCTGCCTAATTTATGTCAGGCTTGGTCTTATGACTTGCTTTTGGAAACAGAATGTGAGTGGACACAATGATGTGTGCATAGGCAAAATGAATCTGAGCAGAAGCTTCAAATGTGACTCTGTGATTGTGACCTTGCTCCCTCTTTCCCCTGTCATGAAAATAGTCATGTCCCCAATTGGAGGTGCTCCCATTAGCCTGGTCCCAATGCAAAGCATATATCAAAAGTGTATCTAAAGCCAACTAACAAGCCTAAAGTGGAGGCCATGCAACTGTCTTGCCATTTTGAGATAAAATATGAAAATGAAACGAACATTTGTTTTAAACCACTATGATTCTGGAGACTGTTGTGAAAGCTAATACATGATATTATTCCTTCTGACCTTGTGAATCCTAAAGCCAGATAAATTCTTTTTCATATCCAATTAGAAATATGACCAGGATACTTATTTGCAACAGAACTGGAGGCTGTCCATGATTTGAAAATACCTGTTCTAACAGTTTCTTTACAGAAGAATTAACTGAGATACAGATAAATTAAGAGATTTGCTTAAGGTCATATTCGTTAGAAGCAGAACTATGAACTACACTCCTAGCTCCATTCACTATAAAATGACTGCAACACTGCAAACTATGTGTCAATGCCCCTCTAGAATGTAACCTTCACCTGTACCAACAGAAGTTAGCCTGGAGCACACTGTCATTTTCAAAATATACTTATCTTCTATGAAGATGAAATCTTAAGACTTCTCAATATTATACCATTGTGACACTTAAGCACCAAGCCATAGCATGTCTGGGAATACCAACTGCAGGCAACATCCCTAGAATTCTGCAGTTTTAACTAACAAAAGCAAAAGCAAAGGATTACCTCATACTTACATAATGTCAACTTAATTACACAGAAACATTTCCTGGAATGAATCCAGAATTACACTGGATTGTGGCATAGGCAGCAGTATTAGGAAATCTACGAAAAAAGGCATATCAATTCCTAACTACGAAGATAGTGGGGAGAATCACAGAAAGAATCAGAATGAATCAGAGAAGCAGAATAGGTAGTGTATCTAGCACTGTCCAGGGAAATGAGACAGAATCTGGAGGGTGTGAGCAACTGGGACCTAGAGAGTAAAAGGACTCTCTTTTAGGAGGAACATTAGCCTACAGGCTAATCTCAAGGTATCTACCTTATTTTACCCAAATCTTATGCTCAACAAATAACCTCCTGATGACTAATTCAGTTTCCCTTGTTCTTCCAGAGAGGGGGAAAAAGTGCCCAGGACAGAATTTTCGAGCATTCCAGTCACTAGAATCCACTTATTACAAAACACTAAATTGACCTTCTGGTTTACATAGCAATCTCCCTAGGTCTGATCAACTTAAGGCTTTGGGACCCCTGTTGAGGTGTCTTCATGGTCACTTTGCAGATCTTTGTAGGATATCCAAACTCCCTCATGTTCCTCCCACAAACCTGCTGCTATAACACATCTTCGCAAAAGATGTTTTAAATATTTTCAGTATATTATGAATGGCATTAAGATAACTAACATGCTACCCTTACATAAACTGAATATATTCTTTAACCAATTCTTGAAGTGAAAAGTCTATAGATTTCAAGTACTTCCCAATAGGCACCTTCACTTATGCTGCCTGGATAAAAACTAGGACCAAAAACAGGACCAAAACTAGGGACATGCCACTCCACATGACAACTTACATGAAAACATCTCTGTTTATTTTCATCCCAAATTTTTCATTTTACACTTCATGAATCTAAAGGAATTATAACCCTTCAAAGAAAAATAGTAACACTAATTTTGACCCTGCTTCTAAAATGCCCTCCCTAGAAATTTTGTTGGTTTAGTTCACTGAATTAAGAGTTGTACAAAACCCTTTCAGGATAGTACTTTCAAATTTAGACCTCTATCTTTTGCTTTTAGAGTTAACACCAAGTAAGTATCTTTCTGCTGATTTGGCCACTAAAAATTGTTTAAAAAATTGCTTTCCAGTAAACATGGACTACCTTCCAATGTCTTTTCCAGCATTATCAAAGACTGCAGAGACTTGCCAGATCACATTATTTTTTTTAAACCATTTTTCCTCCAACAGACAAGAAGTATTAGTAGCCACTTATTCTTTCCATGTTGGTGTCTACAGAGCCACTGAGAGAGACCAAGAACACTATTTATATTCTTGTTCTCAGCCAAGACTCTATAATTAGTCTGATACCAAGAATACTCTATCCAGGAATGCCTTGTGAAATAGGACTACATTGCTTAGGTTGAGATCAAAGATCCTGAGTATGGCTATTATCCTTGGAGTCAGCTCTGACAGAAAGGTTTGAGTTACTGCAACTATTATGTAGAGTTTCTAATCAGCTCTGTGTAAAACTGAAGCTTTGACCAAACATATCCCCAAGGAATTGTCATAATTAGATATCTTGAAAGTATCCCAGATCCTCACTACCTCCTCTGCACAGATCCTATTGACTAGGGGCCCAGAATTGATGTCCTGGAGTTGTGATCCCATTTATCTCACATTTGAAATTCTAAATAAATGTGGTAAAAAGGAAAACCTACTTACTCTATAAATATGGGCCTCAGAGGTGACCCAGATCATTCTGCACACACCAGACAGAAAGGCCCTGGTTCCCAAAAACAGGTTTGAATTTAGTATCTGTGGTGGCCCATGCCTTAAAGTAACATAGTTAACCTTAGTAGCAGACAAACTGTCATGTGACTTACCTAGTAGAATAATAAAGTGGTCAGGTTATTTTTATACTTAAGCAGCTATAAGAATAACAACCATGGTACTAATAGCTAACATTTAAATGAGAACTCACCATATGCTGTGCACTTTATAAGCATCATCTCATTTAATATCCCAATGGCCTTGTAAGTGCTATTGTTATTATTTTATTTTTATTTTTACAGATGGGTAAACAAGTAACTTTGCCAATGTCACTCAAATTGATTAAAGTATCAAACTGGGAGTTGAGGCCTACATTATTCTAGTTCTTGAGTTTTACACCTCTGCTTTTTTTAAAAAAGGAGAATATTACATTTTTGTTGGAGTTCATGAATGAACCTCAGTTTTACGATTGACAAATGAATTATTCATATTTTTCAGATTTTTATATTTCTCCTTGTATCATTTCTTCCAACTTCACATTATCATTGGTGGTAATTAAACTGGACAAGAAAAAGAATCTTATAAGTATGCATTTTGCAAAGTACTTACATAGTCAATGGGCTTGAGAGATTTGACTTTAGATGCTGGGCAACCGCAGGAAGTAAGGTCAGCATAGAGGCCTTCTTCTAACACACAGTGATTAACAAACATGTCTTCTTGGTAATAGAGGAGCCAGCTAAAAGCCAAGCAGTAAGACATTCAATCAAATTGCATTCACTTGGCAGTATAGGCTCATTATCATGCTGTGGGAATTGGGGTAGGGGTAGGGCATAGAAAGTGGTGCAGAGCACCACCACACCAGCTTTAAAAAAACAAAAAACACAACAGCTACCACTATCATTCCTCAACTGCTTATGATGCGCCAGGCATTAGGCTGGGCACTTTACATATACTATTTCATGGTGTCCTTAATAATTCTATGAGTTAGGAACATCCTCATTTTTATAGGCAGCAAAAGTAAGGATTAGAAAGGTAAGGTGATTTTCCCATGGTTCCTCAAACTACTCAATGATAGAGATGAAATTTGAAATAAGACAATGTGTGCTTTAAGCTAAAGACATTCTTTTTATTTAGTGCCTTCAAGTATAGCACTCTGGGATTAGATTAGGGTGATTATTAAGTACCTGAACAGATTATAAGTTCTTTTTGGGAAAAATTAAAAATGTTTGTATTCAGTTTAGATGAGTATAGAAGACAGATTGTTTTAAAAATCACACAAGAGTATATAAAACCTGTCACCTAGAAATCTGACAACTAATGGAAAATTTTAAAAAGAAATAAATCCCTTAGAATCTTCAATAGTGAGTTATCTTCAATACAGCATTCATCAAAAGTTTGCTAAACACAGCCTTTTGAAAAGAAGGAGCCCAAGGGAAAAATTAAATGGCTGTTACTAATTTAGTTTTGGTGTGGTTAAGTTCTAGCCCTGTATTTTAAGATCACCAGAACTGCACTCTTGCTAGACCAGTTTAACTTTGGAAAACCGTAGAAATGCTGTGTGACATTATAATTTACTGTCATGTCTTCTAATGTAATAAGCATTTCATAATCAACACTTATCAAAGGTTTCTAGTGTGCCAGGCATAAAGCTAGTGCATTATTTTATTTAGCCCTTGTAAGAAACCTTTGAGGTAGGTACCGTTATTACCCCTCCTTTACAGATGAGGAAGCTGAGGTTCAGAGCGATGACTCATTTTGCCTAAAGTTATATAGCTAGAAAATGGTGGAACTGGGCTCAAATCCAGGTCTCTCACACATTCCAGGTGTTTACACAATGGCCATAGTTCTTGTATTCTTTTATCCTGCTGTTGTATGTTTCCTACATGAAGAGACATGTGTGACTAGTTTGTCCTAGAATTCAGTGTCAAGAAAAATACATTTTCCTCCAGAAAAACTTCAATGCTTCTCATTAACAATGATCCTAAATCTTGTAAAATATTTTCTTTTATCTTAGTGGAGAAGGAACTTAGAGCCAAATAATAGTAACAAAATTATTTCAGGTCCTTGCTGTGTGTGTGTGTATTTCTTATTAGAGTTGCAGATCTCTATTTAACTTATACTGCCCTACTTTATGTGTTTTAATGTAAAACTCTCATTTCCTTTTCAGAGGTAAGTATATAAACAAAAACAAATACAAGGAGGCTCAAGGCAGAACAGCTATAGGAAATAGGAGAAGGAAAGGACTGCTTGATTTAGGGTTAATCAAGAAGGTGAACAGAAATAATAGAGTGGACTGAACCTTAAAGAATATATCTGAATTATTATTAAGCAGGGGTCACAAGCTTATATACCTGCAGGAGACCACACAGGTAATGCAGATGAGTAGTGTACCAGGTGGAAAAAAATTGGGAATGGTGGTGATTATGGTATGCTGGAAAGCACATATGCAATCTACTCACTACCAGCTAATTACCGACAAAGACAAAAGCTTTCTCCAAGTCGTAAAATCTTCTGATTTTTAAAGAGAAGGTGGAAAACAGCTTCTTCTGAAAAATATCCTAAACGTAAGTATTAATACAATTTTTTTAACTTAGTGTATAGCCCAAACAAATGACACCTGCTGGCTAGATTTACCAGAGACCTCCAACCTTTGGTATGAAACAGGTGTCAGCAAACTACAGCATGTGGGCCAAATCTGCCCCACTGCTTGTTTTCAAACAGCCTATAAGCTAAGACTGGTTTTCACATTTTCAGAGGGCTTAAAAATTTAAAAGAAGACTATTTCATGACATGTAAATGTTACATACAATTAAAATTTCAATGTCCATAAATAATGTTTCATTGGAACGCAGCTGTGCCTATTGGTTTGTGTATTGTGTATGGCTGCTTTTGTGCTACATCTAATAGCAGTGTTGACAGTAGCTGGGACAGAGCCTGTGGAACCCACAAAGTCAAAAATATTCACTATCTGATTCTTTATAGTTAAAGTTTGCTGACCCCTGGTATAGTGGGTACGGAGGAAAGCAAATGTTAGAAGAGAGGAGAATAGGATGGGAAATGGATAGGGAAAGGAGGCTAGTTGATGGTAAGGTCAAGAAAAGAAAGAGCTTGAACTTGATCGGACTGGTACTAGAAAACGGCTGGGAATTAAAGCATTAGTAAAAATATTAAACTGGATTTTGGGACACATAATTGTACTGTGATTTGTTTGGGGTAAACACTAGAAATAAGATGACACTGAAGCAGGGGGTAATTAAGAGACTGAAGTTTTTCAAGTGAAAAATAGAAGGCCCAGGTCTCTAATGATTCAAGGGAGAAAGGAGGAAAACTGACAAACCTAAGATATTTTAAAAGAAAAGAGAGACTTTGATAGGTTATTAGGTAGATGTTTGATACATAGAGATGCCAATGAACTGTACAGTTAAAGATAGTTAAAATGGTAAATTTTATGTTACATATATTTTAGCACAATAAAAAAATTGTAGAATATATTTTAGCCATGGGAATCACATGTAGTTTCATATACACGTGAAAAATATACAGTATATTGTTGCCATTGGAAGAATATCAGATTCAGAGATGAGAAAAAAAAAGACCAAAGGAATCATGGGTCTGAAATTTGGTATGTGATCTTGGAAAACCTTAACTCTGAACCTGGTTTCTGCATCTGTGAAATGGGGATGATAAATACTTTGTTAAAAGGTTAAAAAAATTAGGATTAATATGTCTTACTTGAATAAAAACACCAGGTATTTTTATAGCATTCTACTATGTGAGACGGTAAATATACAATATAAACATTCAAAATATTTAGGAAATAATCTGAGATCACAGTGAGAGACAAAAATCAAAATGTTCCCTAAGTTGGTTAATCAGCATTCTGTTTTTCTGTATTCCATCACAGCTCAAAATACAAATTAAGCAAAATTAATATAGACCAGTTAGCAGGTAAAATGCCTGTTGAAGATAAATTTTAAGGATTCACTGTGCATGCAAAAAATATATCTCTGTAAATTTAAAAGTATTAGTTATTAAATAACAGCAGAAACCACTAAGTAAGCATACTTACCAACCTCGAAGAACTTTAAAAGAACATGGCATGAGTGAAGTCAAATCAGAAGTTTCTTCTGTAAAATCTATACATTCACCTTGGAACCCTGGTTTGCTGAATGCTTTGAGCTACAAGAACAACAACACAACAGTTAAATAGAAAAAAAATGGTCTTAGATGATCACGAGCAAATAAAAACCTTTAATTTCATGAATTTATAAAATGCAGCAAAATATCAGACTCATGTTTTATCTATTATCAATGAATTCATGTTAGGGATAATGATATGCTCCTTAAACTTGCTTTCTTACATGTATTCAGGAATGGAATGTCACTGTTTGTTTACCATTTTCTTGCCTCTCTTCCACCAAATTGTGGGAAGAGAGGCCTAGAAATCAATTCTACCTAGAAGAGTACATCAGAGTCCTCCCTCCACTAACATGTGGTCCTTTATTCTCTCAAAAAATCATTATGCCCTATGTTGAGACTAGATGTATAAAATAAGAAGCAATTTAGTGCTAAACCTGAAAGAGGCTTAGATTAGTATGAGGCTACATGGTATGCTGCTTCTCTCCCTAGCTCTTCCTGATCCACAGTTAATATAAGAAGAGGAGAGCACGAGCACATGCCCTTAAGCAAGCACTAAGAGTGCCCAGGAGGGCACAGAAGCAGATGGCAGAGGAGATAATAATGACGGGATTAGTGGAAGATTTCTGGTGAAGAAAGAAAGATATCTGTGTTATGTATTTCAGCTTACAGGCTTCGGTTTTCTGATAAGAATACCTTAAATGTGCAGCTTACAGTTATATACAACTACATGTCTACTTTAGTCAATTTTGTCAAGAAAAATCCATGAAATCTCAACTATAATTCCCTTTAGACCAGATATATAATAATCTGCAACTCTAGTAGCCTTGAATCTACAATAGGAATGAAAAAAATTAAAGAGCCCGTAAAAATTTCATAACACACTGGAGACTTGGAACAACATGGCCCACAGGTCCACCCTGCACTGACAGGCCTGCACTAGGGCACAGAACATCACAACAAACCATCTGCTCATGCTGTCATCGAGGATAAGGCTTTTCTGAGCAGCTAATGTTCACCTCCCTCGTCTTCCCAAAGGCCTCTACTTAGAATTGTTTCTTGGTTATCTCATTCTGCTCTGACCTTACTTGATCTGTTATCAAAGATCAGTCAAAATCAGGGAGGTGAGAAAACTACTTCCCCATATCATCTGTGGCTTGCACAACACCACTTCCTACTGTGAAACCACACTGTATTTGGAGGATTAAAACATCAAGGGACTTCTTGCCTTAAGGAGATGTGATCCAGCAAGTTTCTGCTGTAGTCCTAGCAGATATAGAGGATAGCAAAGAAATGAAGTCCAAACCAAGACATACTTAGGTTTTTTAACTTAAAGATGTATAAAATGTGAGGCTAAAAAGCAAATCACTTTTAACCTCCAAAAAATGCAGAGACATTTCTCCTGCATAGAAATATCTTTAAAAAAATAAAAGAAGGGGGAGGAGCCAAGATGGCCGAATAGGAACAGCTCCGGTCTACAGCTCCCAGCGTGAGTGACGCAGAAGACGGTGATTTCTGCATTTCCATCTGAGGTACCGGGTTCACCTCACTAGGGAGTGCCAGACAGTGGGCCCAGGTCATGGGTGCGTGCACCGTGCGCGAACCGAAGCAGGGAGAGGCATTGCCTCACTTGGGAAGCGCAAGGGGTCAGGGAGTTCCCTTTCTGAGTCAAAGAAAGGGGTGACGGACAGCACCTGGAAAATCGGTTCACTCCCACCCTAATACTGCACTTTTCCGGCGGGCTTAAAAAACGGTACACCACGAGATTATATCCTGCACCTGGCTCGGAGGGTCCTACGCCCACAGAGTCTCGCTGATTGCTAGCACAGCAGTCTGAGAACAAACTGCAAGGCGGCAGCCAGGCTGGGGGAGGGGTGCCCGCCATTGCCCAGGCTTGATTAGGTAAACAAAGCAGCCAGGAAGCTCGAACTGGGTGGAGCCCACCACAGCTCAAGGAGGCCTGCCTGCCTCTGTAGGCTCCACCTCTGGGGGCAGGGCACAGACAAACAAAAAGACAGCAGTAACCTCTGCAGACTTAAATGTCCCTGTCTGACAGCTTTGAAGAGAGCAGTGGTTCTCTCAGCACGCAGCTGGAGATCTGAGAACGGGCAGACTGCCTCCTCAAGTGGGTCCCTGACCCCTGACCCCTGAGCAGCCTAACTGGGAGGCACCCCCAGGCAGGGGCACACTGACACCTCACACGGCAGGGTATTCCAACAGACCTGCAGCTGAGGGTCCTGTCTGTTAGAAGGAAAACTAACAAACAGAAAGGACATCCACACCAAAAACCCATCTGTACATCACCATCATCAAAGACCAAAAGTAGATAAAACCACAAAGATGGGGAAAAAACAGAACAGAAAAACTGGAAACTCTAAAAAGCAGAGCGCCTCTCCTCCTCCAAAGGAACGCAGTTCCTCACCAGCAACGGAACAAAGCTGGATGGAGAATGACTTTGACGAGCTGAGAGAAGAAGGCTTCAGACGATCAAATTACTCTGAGCTACGGGAGGACATTCAAACTGAAGGCAAAGAAGTTGAAAACTTTGAAAAAAATTTAGAAGAATGTATAACTAGAATAACCAATACAGAGAAGTGCTTAAAGGAGCTGATGGAGCTGAAAACCAAGGCTCGAGAACTACGTGAAGAATGCAGAAGCCTCAGGAGCCAATGCAATCAACTGGAAGAAAGGGTATCAGCGATGGAAGATGAAATGAATGAAATGAAGCGAGAAGGGAAGTTTAGAGAAAAAAGAATAAAAAGAAATGAGCAAAGCCTCCAAGAAATATGGGACTATGTGAAAAGACCAAATCTATGTCTGATTGGTGTACCTGAAAGTGATGGGGAGAATGGAACCAAGTTGGAAAACACTCTGCAGGATATTATCCAGGAGAACTTCCCCAATCTAGCAAGGCAGGCCAACGTTCAGATTCAGGAAATACAGAGAACGCCACAAAGATACTCCTTGAGAAGAGCAACTCCAAGACACATAATTGTCAGATTCACCAAAGTTGAAATGAAGGAAAAAATGTTAAGGGCAGCCAGAGAGAAAGGTCGGGTTACCCTCAAAGGGAAGCCCATCAGACTAACAGAGGATCTCTCGGCAGAAACCCTACAAGCCAGAGGGGAGTGGGGGCCAATATTCAACATTCTTAAAGAAAAGAATTTTCAACCCAGAATTTCATATCCAGCCAAACTAAGCTTCATAAGTGAAGGAGAAATAAAATACTTTACAGACAAGCATATGCTGAGAGATTTTGTCACCACCAGGCCTGCCCTAAAAGAGCTCCTGAAGGAAGCGCTAAACATGGAAAGGAACAACCAGTACCAGCCGCTGCAAAATCATGCCAAAATGTAACGACCATCCAGACTAGGAAGAAACTGCATCAACTAATGAGCAAAATAACCAGCTAACATCATAATGACAGGATCAAGTTCACACATAACAATATTAACTTTAAATATAAATGGACTAAATGCTCCAATTAAAAGACACAGACTGGCAAATTGGATAAAGAGTCAAGACCCATCAGTGTGCTGTATTCAGGAAACCCATCTCATGTGCAGAGACACACATAGGCTCAAAATAAAAGGATGGAGGAAGATCTATGAAGCAAATGGAAAACAAAAAAAGGCAGGGGTTGCAATCCTAGTCTCTGATAAAACAGACTTTAAACCAACAAAGATCAAAAAAGACAAAGAAGGCCAATACATAATGGTAAGGGGATCAATTCAACAAGAAGAGCTAACTGTCCTAAATATATATGCACCCAATACAGGAGCACCAAGATTCATAAAGCAAGTCCTGAGTGACCTAAAAAGAGACTTAGACTCCCACATATTAATAATGGGAGACTTTAACACCCCACTGTCAACATTAGACAGATCAACGAGACTGAAAGTCAACAAGGATACCCAGGAATTGAACTCAGCTCTGCACCAAGCGGACCTAATAGACATCTACAGAACTCTCCACCCCAAATCAACAGAATATACATTTTTTTCAGCACCACAACACACCTATTCCAAAATTGACCACATACTTGGAAGTAAAGCTCTCCTCAGCAAATGTAAAAGAATAGAAATAATAACAAACTATCTCTCAGACCACAGTGCAATCAAACTAGACCTCAGGATTAGGAATCTCACTCAAAACCTCTCAACTACATGGAAACTGAACAACCTGCTCCTGAATGACTACTGGGTACATAACAAAATGAAGGCAGAAATAAAGATGTTCTTTGAAACCAACGGGAACAAAGACACAACATACCAGAATCTCTGGGACGCATTCAAAGCAGTGTGTAGAGGGAAATTTATAGCACTAAATGCCCACAAGAGAAAGCAGGAAAGATCCAAAATTGACACCCTAACATCACAATTAAAAGAACTAGAAAAGCAAGAGCAAACACATTCAAAAGCTAGCAGAAGGCAAGAAATAACTAAAATCACAGCAGAACTGAAGGAAATAGAGACACAAAACACCCTTCAAAAAATTAATGAATCCAGGAGCTGGTTTTTTGAAAGGATCAACAAAATTGATAGACCGCTAGCAAGACTAATAAAGAAAAAAAGAGAGAAGAATCAAATAGACGCAATAAAAAATGATAAAGGGGATATCACCACCGATCCCACAGAAATACAAACTACCATCAGAGAATACTACAAACACCTCTACGCAAATAAACTAGAAAATCTAGAAGAAATGGATAAATTCCTTGACACATACACTCTCCCAAGACTAAACCAGGAAGAAGTTGAATCTCTGAATAGACCAATAACAGGATCTGAAATTGTGGCAATAATCAATAGATTACCAACCAAAAAGAGTCCAGGACCAGATGGATTCACAGCCGAATTCTACCAGAGGTACAAGGAGGAACTGGTACCAATCCTTTTGAAACTATTCCAATCAATAGAAAAAGAGGGAATCCTCCCTAACTCATTTTATGAGGGCAGCATCATTCTGATACCAAAGCCAGGCAGAGACACAATAAAAAAAGAGAATTTTAGACCAATATCCTTGATGAACATTGATGCAAAAATCCTCAATAAAATACTGGCAAACCGAATCCAGCAGCACATCAAAAAGATTATCCACCATGATCAAGTGGGCTTCATCCCTGGGATGCAAGGCTGTTTCAATATATGCAAATCAATAAATGTAATCCAGCATATAAACAGAGCCAAAGACAAAAACCACATGATTATCTCAATAGATGCAGAAAAAGCCTTTGACAAAATTCAACAACCCTTCATGCTAAAAACTCTCAATAAATTAGGTATTGATGGGACGTATTTCAAAATAATAAGAGCTATCTATGACAAACCCACAGCCAATATCATACTGAATGGGCAAAAACTGGAAGCATTCCCTTTGAAAACTGGCACATGACAGGGATGCCCTCTCTCACCACTCCTATTCAACACAGTGTTGGAAGTTCTGGCCAGGGCAATTAGGCAGGAGAAGGAAATAAAGGGTATTCAGTTAGGAAAAGAGGAAGTCAAATTGTCCCTGTTTGCAGATGACATGATTGTATATCTAGAAAACCCCATTGTCTCAGCCCAAAATCTCCTTAAGCTGATAAGCAACTTCAGCAAAGTCTCAGGATACAAAATCAATGTACAAAAATCACAAGCATTCTTATACACCAACAACAGACAAACAGAGAACCAAATCATGAGTGAACTCCCATTCACAATTGCTTCAAAGAGAATAAAATACCTAGGAATCCAACTTACAAGGGATGTGAAGGACCTCTTCAAGGAGAACTACAAACCACTGCTCAAGGAAATAAAAGAGGATACAAACAAATGGAAGAACATTCCATGCTCATGGGTAGGAAGAATCAATATCGTGAAAATGGCCATACTGCCCAAGGTAATTTACAGATTCAATGCCATCCCCATCAAGCTACCAATGCCTTTCTTCACAGAATTGGAAAAAACTACTTTAAAGTTCATATGGAACCAAAAAAGAGCCCGCATTGCGAAGTCAATCCTAAGCCAAAAGAACAAAGCTGGAGGCATCACACTACCTGACTTCAAACGATACTACAAGGCTACAGTAACCAAAACAGTATGGTACTGGTACCAAAACAGAGATATAGATCAATGGAACAGAACAGAGCCCTCAGAAATAACGCCGCATATCTACAACTATCTGATCTTTGACAAACCTGAGAAAAACAAGCAATGGGGAAAGGATTCCCTATTTAATAAATGGTGCTGGGAAAACTGGCTAGCCATATGCAGAAAGCTGAAACTGGATCCCTTCCTTATACCTTATACAAAAATCAATTCAAGATGGATTAAAGACTTAAACGTTAGACCTAAAACCATAAAAACCCTAGAAGAAAACCTAGGCAATACCATTCAGGACATAGGCATGGGCAAGGACTTCATGTCTAAAACACCAAAAGCAATGGCAATAAAAGCCAAAATTGACAAATGGGATCTAATTAAACTAAAGAGCTTCTGCACAGCAAAAGAAACTACCATCAGAGTGAACAGGCAACCTACAAAATGGGAGAAAATTTTCACAACCTACTCATCTGACAAAGGGCTAATATCCAGAATCTACAATGAACTCAAACAAATTTACAAGAAAAAAGCAAACAACCCCATCAAAAAGTGGGCAAAGGACTTGAACAGACACTTCTCAAAAGAAGACATTTATGCAGCCAAAACACACATGAAAAAATGCTCATCATCACTGGCCATCAGAGAAATGCAAATCAAAACCACAATGAGATACCATCTCACACCAGTTAGAATGGCAATCATTAAAAAGTCAGGAAACAACAGGTGCTGGAGAGGATGTGAAGAAATAGGAACACTTTTACACTGTTGGTGGGACTGTAAACTAGTTCAACCATTGTGGAAGTCAGTGTGGCGATTCCTCAGGGATCTAGAACTGGAAATATCATTTGACCCAGCCATCCCATTACTGGGTATATACCCAAAGGACTATAAATCATGCTGCTATAAAGACACATGCACACGTATATTTATTGCGGCATTATTCACAATAGCAAAGACTTGGAACCAACCCAAATGTCCAACAATGATAGACTGGATTAAGAAAATGTGTCACATATATACCACGGAATACTATGCAGCCATAAAAAATGATGAGTTCATGTCCTTTGTAGGGACATGGATGAAATTGGAAATCATCATTCTCAGTAAACTATACTATCGCAAGAACAAAAAACCAAACACCGCATATTCTCACTCATAGGTGGGAACTGAACAATGAGATCACATGGACACAGGAAGGGGAATATCACACTCTGGGGACTGTCATGGGGTGGGGGGAGGGTGGAGGGATAGCATTGGGAGATATACCTAATGCTAGATGACGAGTTAGTGGGTGCAGTGCACCAGCATGGCACATGTATACATATGTAACTAACCTGCACAAGGTGCACATGTACCCTAAAACTTAAAGTATAATAATAATAAAAAAAAGATTATAAAAAAAAGACTCAGAAACTTAAAAAAAAATAAAAATAAAAAAATAAAAAATAAAAAAAATAAAAATAAAAGAAAAGCCGCATGAGAAGAGAGACAGGTTGTCTTGTTCACTAACTACATTCCCAGTTTGTTTATTAGTTGTATACTGCTGAGCTGAAGATTTATACTTCAACATTTTCACAATGAAGCCATGAAACATCAAATCCTGGACTACTGATACTGCCAGTGAAGCATATTTCAGATGGTATATACAGTAGCCACCTCCAGTTTTTTGTCTCAGTCTTCATACCCGGAAAAATCAATTAAAATTCATATACACACGCAGAAATAATGTTATAAAGTATCTCTTGATTTGATGGGTTAAAATAATCTTTGTCCAAACTTTAAAAACTGGGTTAAATGCTTATCTGAGTTGACTAGATGAGATATGGTATATGATTCACCCAGAATTAGACCAATTCTACAAAAATATGCCTCACTTTGATCACCTTATCAATCCTCAAAATAGAACAATTCTCATAATAATGTTCTGAGGATTGTCCATAGAGAAACCAACTCTGAGCTTGCTGATTATAATAATTAACTTGTGGTTTCTACTGTTGGTGAAATTAAGGACAGAGCCTTGGAGAAATTCAGTCCTTGGAAAAACTAGCTGGATAAATGACCATGTTGGCTACCTTTACAGAACAATCGATAACAAATATACAAAACAACTCAGGTTGCTTAAAACCGAGGCAAATTGACAAATAAGAGATGAGTGTTTTCCAGACTACACCCATCCTTCTGTGCCATGTTGGTACGGCTCAATCCCTAACAGCTCCCCAACTGGAAATGGAAGCGAAGGAAAAAAAGTATTCCTCTGGTTTGCTTTTCACATGTATTATTGTATTTCTTTCTTAGAACTACCAGTATTGAGCAGAAATTATCTCCACTATATTATGAAGATTTTACAGAAATTCTTTTTGCTACATAATTTTCACTTATATACTAACAATATGTGGTAATATATATCTTTAATATGACAAACTAAAAATGCAATGAACTACTGACAAAACACAGCTGTGCTCACTTATTCTACAATATCAGCATTATTTTTAATGTAATTTTAGTTACTCCAATACTAAAATAGTTTCTATGAGAAACTTTCTTCCCTGTCTAAATAAGACTTTCTCTAGCCCTTTGAGCCTCCCTCATAGAAATATGTTGATTATTAAGGAAAAGTCTTATTTCCATTCTTCTATTACATCACATCTTTCTCATATTGTAGTGTTATATATTTCTCATATTGGTTATATATTCTACAATGATTTCATTTCCCTTATTAACCATAAAGGCTTTCTTTACTGAAATAATTCTTCCTAAGTATTTCTGTGATTTGGCTCCTATAAAAATGATCTGGTTAAAGTGCCACAAAGAAGTGTTTTCTCTTTACTGCTTGTGAATCTTACTGTATTTGCCTAAAGCTGTGATTTTCCTATCCCCCATACATGAAAACAGTAGCAACAATTATTACAGATCCTGTGATCACTTTAAAATTCAGTGAGGCTAAATTATCCAATATAAGAAAACGCCTAGTTGCTTTTCTTGGTGAGAATCATGCATAAAATGGAACAGGGGCTCAATGTTTAAATAAATCCAAACATTTAATTATATCTGGAAATGGACTTTAAAAAGATTCTAGAAACAAAAGGTACTTGGCTGAGTCAAAGGGGAGAACTGGTTAGAATTTCTAGAGAATGATGCCTAACTACAACCTCCTCTGAAAACTAAATTCACTGTTATAAGATTTAATCTAGTGCTAGATTTCAGATATTCAGGACTTGCTGTAAGAGAGATGATGACGACATGCAGATAATACATATTCTGTTTGGTTTTTGTTTTGTTTGGGGGAAAAATTAAAAAAAGTCACTTGCTAATGGTGAAGAATTCTATAGCGATCCTGTATATCTTGAGTTGCTAATTAGACATAGCGACCAACCTTCAGTCTTCAGGAAAAAAAAATCTTCTCAATAAAAGGTGGTGTTCTCTGCATGTTCTCACTCATAAATGGGAGTTGAACATTGAGAACATATGGGCACAGAGAAGGGAACAACACACACCAGGATTTGCTGGGGAGTGAGGGGCGAGGGGAAGGAACTTAGAGGACTGGTCAATAGGTCCAGCAAACCACCATGGCACACGTATACCTATAAAACAAACCTGCACGTTCTGTACATGTATCCCGCTTTTTTTTTTTAGAAGAAATAAAGACAAAAAATTAAAATAAAATAAAACTTTCCTAATCCCAAAACAAAAAATAAATAAAATTAAAAAATAAAAAGTGATGTTCCACCAATATCTCAAATAAGCCATATCTCATCATAATGTTTCCAGGTCAGCAACAATATTTTTAATCACCATAACACTCATAATGTATATTAATCCCTACACACATACATTTTCTGGCTTTTCCCCTCTTAGGTTGCTTGAGGTTCCCTTTAAAATCACCAGCATAAAAAAATTCCCTCTCTGACTTGAGCTCTGAAATGAAACTTCCTCCTTATTCCTCAGGGAAAATTAGTACCCCATCTGAACACAGCATCTGTATTGCCAATCTGACTTTTGTAACTACTGCCTGTTGAAAATACTTTCTAGTTATTGAACGGAACCAGCGTGTCAGCCAAGATCTGTTTGTTTAAGTAAGCATAAACAAGAAGAATGTCTGAAAATTGGTCCACTGAAAATAACAAGACCTTTGATACTGGGTAAAGCAAGAATGTTTTGTTCATGTGTTACCAAATATCCAGCTATCATATACCTGTCAGAAATGCTTATTTCACAAGGCAATAACTTAGCCATACCCAGAAAAATGAAGTGGAGCTGATTTCACTGGGCGTTTTCTGCTGCTTCCTCTCTTCAAGTTAGACTGGAAATACTATCAAGAAAATCCTCCCAGCAATCTGCCCCAAACAAGGAAGTCCATAAAAAAAGAACAAGGAGGTAGGAGCAGGAGAAACAGAGATTTAAAAAATGAGGCTTTTTATCTGTACTTAGAACTCAAAAAATGTGCAGTTTGAAATAACTTCTCTTTCTTCTATCTACTCATGTTATTTTGATTCATGTGAAAAAATACTTTAAAAATCCACAGTTGGGAGTTTTCAAAATTTCAACATAAAAATCTGGCAGGAAGTGTCTCTAAATACAACAACTCAATTATATTCAGAAAGGAAATGTTCCCAATAGGCCTGAGCTAATCAGAAAATAATAAAACCCGAAAGCATTGTGAATGCAAACCTGGTAAAACTAAGCTGGTCTGAAATAAACACTGACATGAATATGAAAAACATACACATTCAGAGAAAAACACACACATTCAGAGAAAAACACTGAGCATTATGTAAAGGCAGCAAATGCCAAATATTTAAAAGTAATTACTATATTTGGCTTTTTGACAACAATTTTTCTGAATTTGTAATTTAAAATAAAACGAAACAATGTCTCTCACCCCCTCTTCCTTCTATAGTTGTACTGCTCGTATCATGATTATGTCTTTCTTTGATGTAAAACCCTGAACATGTGGTTTTGTCAAGTGCGGTCCATACTAGAAATGTCTCTTTTGCTACTTCTAGTTGTGTGTATAGCACTTACTTGTATTCTGAATCTCAGATTTATTGTCTATAAATGGGAGTAATACTGACCTTATGGACTTCTGAATTAGAAGTGTTAAATAGGCACAATTTCTAGCCCTCAATAGAAAATAAGCAAATGTTGGGCTCCAAAGTATTGTCCAGTCCCCTTCAAACTATTAATACAGTAGAAATGAATATAGGGTTTCAAGTTCACTAGCTCAGAAATATTTGATTATAGGTATTAGAAATACGTGTACATAATAAGCATGCCAAGACGTGACTTCTCCATGGTAAGTTTGCTCTTCCAGAAATAAATATAATATTCTATGAAGAATGTGACACTGAAGAAATAATGGACGATGGGAAAGAAAGAGTGCCAGAAGTTCAAAATGACCCTAAAGTGGTCAGAGCTACCGCTCTGTCAGGAGAAAACAAAAGGAAGTGTGACAAACCCAGTCTAATACAACCACTGACAAAGATGTGAATTCTTCTGCTCATAGGTACCAAATGCAATTGTAATCTGCTCTGCCAGAGAGACACATAAAAGTTATCTGCAGAAAAGAGAAAGATTTGAGAGAAAGGGTATAAATGCTTTTAGTAAACAATTTAACAATTACAAGAATATTTTTAAACATACCAAATGCGGAGGTTCATTTATCCCAAGTGGTTCCTGAAAAACATATTAAAACATTTTCAAAATTGTAATCACATAATCTGTCTTTTTGAAAGTTTTGAAAATACCCTTTGAAAAAAATTTTTTTTTCTTTTCTTTTTTGAGACAGAGTATTCCTCTGTTATCCAGGCTGGGGTACAGTGGCACAGTCTCAGCTCACTGCACCCTTGATCTTCAGGGCTCAAGCGATCCTCCCAACTCAGCCTCCCAAGTAGCTGGGACTACAGTCATGTGCCACCATGCCCAGTTAATTTTGCTTAATTTTGTAAAGACGAGGTCTCACTGTGTTGCTCAGGCTGGTGTCGAACTACTAGGCTTTAGGGATGTTTTACCTTGGCCTCCCAAAGTGCTAGGATTGCACCCCTGTGCCACTGCACCCAGCTTGAAAAATTTTTTTCATGGTTTGACCTATTTATGAGACTCTTTGAACTGGCTATGGATCTCAAATAACCTACTGAATTCTCTTATAATAATTTTGGTATTTATAACTAATTCATATTAAGTAATATTGTAGGTGGAAGAAAAATATGGCCTAGTGCCCATTACAAAGAAGGAGTGTGAATTTCTGAACATTATCTCATGGGCACTCTTATTGTTCTACAGGGTTTATTATCCAAACTGGCCACACTCTTCTACAACTTCATGAATTTGCATACAAGGAGATTATTCCTTCTTTGTGAAATGCCCTTTCTGCCTAGAAAAATTGGTTTTATCCTTTAAACTATCACTCAATTCACCAACACATCCTATTCTGTGGCAAGGTCTTCAATTCCCCAGGCACTGATTGTTCCTTTTCCCTGCTCCCCTGCACTGCCTACACACTTCATTTTCTCACTAATCATACTATCATTAATTGTCCATACATCTATTTCCCCTGGGAGACAGAACCATCAGGACAGTCTTATTCAATTCTTATCTCCAGTGATTAGCATAGTGTCCAACACATCAGAGACACTAAATAAATGCTGTTAAGTGAATGAACTGATCAAATTACAAAGCCATCTCATTCATGTGTTAATATCTACTACTGTCTATGGAGTCTATAGAAATTCAAGTGATATTGCATTTTCTTTCTATATACACACATGACATCATTCAACAACTCCACTTTTAAAAAGTGTTTTCCACATATTTAATTGCATACTATTACATGATGCAGCACTGGCTATGTTCATACTTCACTCACCAGTTGGATTGGCCGTATCGACATGATTATATTATTTGATCCTCCCCAGTCAAAAAAGCATTTGTATTTCCCTTTTTCTAAAATGTATTGTTCTCCACAGAAGAACTTTTGCTGGTAGGCAACCCATCTAGTAGGGAAAAAAGAAAAAACAAAAAAATAAAAACAAGTGATATACAATTGAGCAAACAACAATCTTAAACACCAAAGACTCTCAAGGTTCTTAGAGGAGGCAACTTACACTCCACTTTTAACATGAATGGATCTTGTTTTACTGCCAAAGCCAATTTCTTCCAAATCAGAAATTTCCTGATTTGTAATGTCAATAAACTTCCCACTTTCTAGGTCAGATTCAAATAGTGTGACAGAAGATTCTATAAAATTCTAAAAGGAGAAAGAGGAAAGTTTAGGAAAACATACATATTCTGTTTTATGGACTGCTATTATCTAGCAAAATATCACATACTGATGGGGTAATTTTTACACAAATAACTCCAGGAAGAATTTTAGATGGCCCTGGAAACAATTTTATAGCTATTACTTCCATATAGTTTAAAGGAAAAAATCAGCCTGAATTTACTTTAATTGGGAAGATATTACATTTTTGTATAAATAGAAAGTTGTCAACAGTAAATTGCTGAGACTTATAGGCTATCACAAGCAACATTAATTGCAAAGGAAACTAGTCTCACTTGTGCCTAAGGAATAAAAACTATATGAAACAAAAGTAAATAGTGTACTGTGGCAATGTGTGACAGGATTTTATGAGCTTAAATGTAATAGGAAAAATAGATATAATTTGCTTAACAAAAAATGCTCATTAAAATTTAAAATGATGAGAGGAAATTTAAAAAATTTATAGTGAGTCAACACATTTAAAACAAAGATAGAAAATCTCTATGACTCAAACAGATAAACCGGCAAAAGACAAAGACAGCTCATGAAAGAGAAAATAACAAATATGCAAATGTCTAATTTCATTAGTAAATTAAAGAAATTCAAACTAAAACAATTAGATAAAACTTTCTTTCTTTTTTTTTTTTTTCAAGAAGCAGTTTCGCTCTTGTTGCCCAGGCTGGAGTGCAATGGTGTGATCTCAGCTCACTGCAACCTCTGCCTCCCAGGTTTCCGCCATTCTCCTGCCTCAGCCTCCCGAGTAGTTGGGACTACAGGTGCCCACCACCATGCCCGGCTAATTTTTTCTATTTTTAGTAGAGATGGGGTTTCACTGTGTTAGCCAGGATGATATCGATCTCCTGACCTCGTGATCCACCCGCCTCAGCCTCCCAAAGTGCTGGGATTACAGGCATGAACCACCGTGCCCAGCCCAAAACTTTCATTTCTTAAAGAAAGATCTAAAAGTTCCGTTTTGTCAAAACATATTGCTCATGGAAACAAGATTAAACATCTATTTTAGAAAATGACTTAAAAAATAGTTTTAAAAGAAACTGTTCACACTCTCTGACCCTGTAATTCCTTTTTGAATTAAGAAAAGTCTCCTAAGGGAACTAAATGGTGAGAAACTTGTATGCAAAAATGCATTATTTACAATAGTGAAAAATTATAAACAATGTAAGTATGTCCAAAAAAATGGTTTAATAAGCCTTTTACTTCATCTGTTACTTGATGGAATATTAAATATAATTAAGAGTTTTTAACAAACTAACAGAATAAAGTCCAGGGTAAGCCCTATGAGATTACTAGATTACTACCATCGCTGCTTTTCTACACAATTAAGTAACTTCCAAAGTCACCTAGATTTAAATGTAGCTCTTCTGCTTGAGAATAAGGAACAATGATGAACAACCTTAAAAACTGTATTCCATTTTATATTTTAAAGCACTTGCATAAGTTAGTAGAATCTCAGGTACAGTACTCCCTACTACTAAGAGAACACCACTGAGCAATTGCTTCAGGCCCAAAGATAAGTCTTAAGGATCAGTAATTTGATTACTTTTAAATTCCATAAAATCTCTCAACTGAGTCCCTGCATTACAATCTCCAGAGGGCAATGTGATATGAGACATCGGTGGAGATCTTATGTATCCATTAATTTAGGATAAACAATGGTCTCCGCTGCATACCAACTCAATGTCAAAGATCTGAAAAGAGGCGTAAAGTCTGAAAATCGCAACAAAAGCAAATATAAAATTAATCTAGTATAGAACTAAGGAAAAACAAGGACACCAATAAAGTGTTATTGAGGAAGTCAAGGAATAAAAATTCCCTAGTCCCTGGAGCCTAAATACTGCTATATTCCTTTTGGTCCTCTCCTTAAAAAAAAAATAAAAATAACTACTCAATATGGCCCTTCATTATCTCACTTTAGATTCATCTTTCCAAAGTTCTCCCTAACATCCCGACTTAACCACATTTCCCTAAACATGGCAAAATTTCACTTACAGGAGGGTTTCTCAATCTCAGCACTATTAATACTGGGGACCGTGTAATTCTTTGTTGTTGGGGGCTGTCCTTCACATTGTAAGGGTTTGGCAGCAACCGTTGCCTCTACCCTCTAGATGTCAGTAGCACCACTGCTCCAGATATGACAATCCAAAATGTCTCCAGACACTGCCAAAGGCCCCCTAAGGGGTAAAATCACCCCCAGCTGAGAATCAATGGGTTATAACCTTGACTTTACACATTAACATGTTAATCTCTTGCTAAACAGGCACCTACCTTTTTCCTTCACCCTGTTTCTAGAACTTCTTCACTTGGTTAACTCTTTTTTGAACTTGAAATTTCAGCCAGCTGTCATCTTTTCCATGAAGCCCTCTCTATTCAAGTGGGGATAACTGACCAACTGATCTTTTTCTGGGGACCCTGAGTACTTTGTACTTAATACAATCATAGCCAAGCAATACCAAACATTTATATAAGTGCTATCTTCCTTACCAGACTGCCTGCTGTGTAAATGTGGGGGTTGAGTCTGGCCACTCCTGGCATCTAACAAAGAAGGTACTCAAAAGATGATTACGGAAACAATGGATGAAAAGTTAAAAAAAATTCCATAATAATCATGGCAGTTCAGAAAAACAGGCAAGTTGCATAAGCAGTTGAGGTTAATACTCTTGGGTGTTAGAAATATTTTATAATCTCATGTTCTATCAGGAGTCATGTCCAATTTTTGTGAACAGATTTTTTAAAAGGTAGAAAATTAAGGATAAGGAAGCTAACTCACAGCTTGTAAGTACCGGAAAGACAAGATAGGGCTACTTAATGCACCACAAGCATTACTGTCTTCAAAGTCTCCTTCTTCAAGCAGAAACTGCTGGCCTTTAAAATGTTCTTTTTCATAGGCAACCCACCTAGAAATACAGGGGACACCCAAATGACCCATTAATAAAACTGTAGTCAAGAAAGCAAAACAGAGACAATCAAGATAAAGCTCATAGTGGTTCATCTCCATATTGTAAAAAGCAACACATTAGTTTTGTTTCATTTATAAAGATAGACAAATGGTGTGTGCTTCATAGATCAATAATTTTTATAATTTGGAGGCTTTTCCCAACAAAAGGTTAATTATAGAACTGCAACAAAGCAATGCTTTTTAAATGTTTGTGGTGTGACTTGATACTACAGCGCAAGTTGGTCAGAGAACAATGTGTCAAGTAAATATAATACAAAGTGCATATAGCCAATGAGAAAGGATACAAATTTACATAGAGATCCAAAGATAGTCATTTTTATTTTACTAATTAAGCCATTCTGGAATGACAAAATGATTTTTACATGAAACATTGATTCAGGGTTTAAATAAAGCGAATCTGTCACGAGGCTTCAGTTCTAAAACAAAATACAAGATGGTTTATCAAAGAGGAACCAAGAAATTCGACTGAGCTATTATTAGCTTCAGGGCCCTACATGTATACAAGGACATCTGTAAATACTTACAGGTGGGAAATGTTGGTCCCACTACTTTCTTGACTTCTAATCTAAAACTATCAGTACAAGACACTGATAAATACCATGAGTTATTAAGCTCCTCCATAAAACTTACCTTTTTATAAACTAATCCACAGTATCTAATGCAATGTGGGCATAGATGGCTCATAAAACAAGTTGGCCTTCTCAAATCCGCCCTTAGCCACACTGCATAGTTAGACTGAGATGCCCTCCAATAGTGCAGATTCCAAGGATGACTATTTCTGAGCTCCAGGGTTGGGAAATTTGAAATTCAGGAGCTTGACAAAATAAAGCCTAGGAGGGCTGCCTACTACTGCTTTTTCTTTCTTCACTCCTACTGTGGTTGTGAAGGTACAGAAAGTATTCCAAATAATTGTTTTCATAGGGCACAAAATAGCAGCCATTGATTGTTACTCCCTCTCCCCTTCCTGTAAGTATAGGTATGACGGTGGGGCAGAGGGTCCACATGAATTGGAATAAACCTATAAACCTATTTATACATCTCAGTATATCTGTAATATGTAAATGAACCAACATTATTTTATTCTTAAACAATTATATGAAAATAAATTTCACAAAACAACTTTTAAATTCTAAGCTTTATTTTATATAAGTGTGGCTACTCAAAACACGCTTTTATTTATATCTGAATGGGAAAAAAAATAAAAGGTATAAAAGACCTTAAAGGATCAATTAAGATTCGCAAATTTATTATATGACAGTCCAATAAGCATGTACTCAGTTTTTCTTAATAGACTAAGTTTTGATTAAGATTCAATTTATATATCCATCTGGTATATTTAAAGATAGGTATTATCTGAGAAAAGTTAAGAAACATTAGTTTTACTTTCCCCAGATTCCTCAAGGTGGTACAGGGATGGAGTCCATGCTACCTACAGATACAATTAAATAACAAAACCAAAAAATGGTAGAAGTTGTGAAAAAAATAATCAGCTATTCCTCTTTAAATGGGGACATCACATCTTTCTCTTGCAGATGTCACAGACAAATGAAAGTTTGTATCCTGCATTACAAGTCATGTTTACTTAGGATTTTTACAAAATAGCTATTTAAAAAAAAACTTAGAGAATAACAATGCACATTGCACAGAATTTTAGCAGATAATTTTCTGTGCAGTAGAAAATTGGTTTTAACCTAAGTCAACCTAGTTAATAGGAAAAACATTTAGATCTCAAAGTGAGGAAAAGGCAAAAATATTTTACAGCAGGGTTATCAAGAAACATGTGTGTTCACAAACCAGACAATATTACAAATGAACACAATAAAAATGTGTTTATCCAAACCATATTTGTTCTTCAAGACCCTAATAAATTTTTTAAATTGAAGGACAAGGAAGTAAGTGATTAATATGTCAGACTAATAATTGATATAATCTACATATCCAGCATATATAATCTCTTACATTTTTATTGTGACTAGTATGGCTATTACTTAATTTACTGCCGGAAACTGCAAAGTCTAGTTCTCTAAATATAGGCCCTTGAGTGATCTTAAACAATTCATTTAACTTCTGTGAATAAAATATTTTAGTAGCATCTTTTACTAGAGTAGCTATTAGCAAAATTATATGATGTTACTGCAAATACCAAGAGATACTGATACTTAAAACAAACTAACGTTCCAAAATAACCAATGTATCAACAGAGAGACAACAGAATGTTTCTAGAGGGATTCCAGCATTGGGTTGACAATGATAAATAAACAATGAGGACAGTTTCTTCTTCATTGTTTCACCTACCAGGATACGAATATAAAGGTACATCCCAGGCCCATCACAGATTTGGGGGGCTTCTGCCCCAGGAACTGCTGACTAAGACTGCGATGGTAGCAATGATGGTTACACTTGGGTTTATATCCAGGGGTTCCTAGAGAGCTTCCTCAAAAGCAGTTCAGAGCCCGGAGGGCAACCAATGTCAAAAATCCTTGACTTTGGAAACACATAACCCAGATCCTTTTTTAACAAGGGAAGGCTCACTGGCAAGGTCCTTGGTACATAAGTCAAGTATGATCAACAAAATAGTGGATAAAAACTGGGGCTGTCATTCACGTTCATAACTTGTGAAAACCTAATTTTATCTTGCAATTCTTATAGTCTATCCTGTGTTCAGAAATACAAGGTGCTGCAGTTTCAGAAACTATTTTCTACATTTAATATATCTCAAAATATTTAATACAAACAAGAGTCCACAGAAAACCATAAGTAACTAATATTTTTTACTTTCCATATTACAGAAGGAATGTATATTTTTAGATTAAAAACAAATCATTTTTGCTTTGCTTAGCACATTTTTGTGCTGACCTTCAAAAACAGACTACTTGTGCAAATGTTAAAAATATGATACTCACACTCCACCAATGACACGAATTGATCCAATTCTGTGAAAATCTCCATTATTTTTCAAAAAATTAGGAACAGAATCTATATGTTCACTAAACTCTTTAGCCTGTCCATGGAAGTGAGGTTTTTCATAAATAATAACCTGAAAAATTATTTAACATGTTTATATTTTAATATAGACACATATTTACTTAAGTGACACCAAAGACCACAAAATGTACAGGGACTACTATCTATTTTTTTTTAATTAATATGAGGAGATTTCAAAAAGTTCATGGAAAAGGTGTATTACAAAAAACTATGCAGGGATTGCAAAATTTTTTGCACCAAAATCAACTTCTACTAACTTGTTATAACACATCTGAAAAGGATCTACTTCGAGGTGCTAAGAAGAACAAAACAGTAGTTTGAAAAAAGCCCCTATCAGAGCAACACAAATTTTGCTAAAAATGATGCAAGAATAAACAAATTTATGGTGAAGCTTGGGTAGAAGAATGGTGAAATCACTAATGATTTACAAAACGTTTATGGTGACAATATCCCAAGGAAATCAGCAGTTTACATATAGGTAACTCATTTAAGAAGGGACGATATGATGTTGAAGATGAAGCAAGAATCGGCAGACCATCCGCGTCAATTTGAAAGGAAAAAATTCATCTTGTTTGCACCCTAATTGAAAAGGACTGATGATTAACCGTAGAAACAATAGCCAACACCACAGATACCTCAGTTGGTTCAGCCTGCACAATTTCGACTCAAAAATTAAAGTTGAGCAAACATTTCATTCTATAGGTACCAAGACCGTTATGCTCCGATCAGCTGCAGATAAGAGCAGAGCCTTCAACTGAAAATTTAAACAAATGGGATAAAGATCCTGAAGCATTTCTTCAAAGAATTATAACAGGAGATGAAACATGGCTTTACCCGTATGATCCTGAAAACACAGCGCAATCAAAGCAATGGCTACCAAAAGGTGGAAGTGATCCCGTCAAAGCAAAAGCAGGCCAGTTAATGGCAAGGGTCGTGGCAACAGTTTTTTGGGATGTTCAAGGCATTTTGCTTGTTGGTTTTCTGGATGGCCAAAGAACAACATCTGTTTATTATGAAAGTGTTTTGAAAAAGTTAGCCAAAGCTTTAGCAGAAAAACACCCAGGGAAGCTTCACCAGAAAGTCATTCTCTACCACGGCAATGCTCCCATTCATTTCTCTCCTCAAACAAGGGCAATTTCCCAAGAGTTTCCATAAGAAATCATTAGGCATCCACCTTACGCTCCTGAGTTGCCTCCTTCTGGCTTCTTTTTTTCCCCTAATCTTAACAAAAACTCTAAAGGAAACCCATTTTCCTTCAGTTAATAACATAAAAAAGACTGCATTGACATAGTTAATTTGCAAGACCCTCAGTTCTTTAGGGTGAACTAAATAGCTGGTATGACTGCTTACGAAAGTGTCTTGACAGTGACGAAGCTTATGATGAAAAATAACGTCTATAGTTATTTTTATATTTTAATTCCATTTTTTCCATGAACTTTTTGAAGTCCCCTCATGTATACTTACAGTATAGCACAATGTTGGATATTCACAAAGAATATGTGAGTCTTTATCATCATAAGGATAAAATAGCTTATTTAATAAGAAGTTTCTCTCATATTACAATAATATACTTGAGTGTGATTACATTGTTTGGGTCACCCAAATACTGGGATCATCTCATAGGGTAAACTGCCTTATAACTAACTGATTCTTGAATTATCTTTATAAGTATATCCCTGTGTTCGGAATTTTAATATAGACCTTCCTTCTACTTACTGAATTTCCCCTAAAGAACTCTCTTGAGATTCCAGGGTATAACAATAAATTATCTATTGACTTTAAAAATACATACTGTTTCTTACAATGCTAACTGCTTCTATGGCCTACTATTCATTGAGAAGAAACAGACATGCAAATTCTAGAATTTAAATACAAAACTTCCTAAAAAATAAGAAATTACTGAAAAATATTATTTCTAAAGATTGGATATTTGATTCAAATTGAGGGGATGCAATACATATTGTCAGAAACAAATTTTTGGCATTTACTTCAAATTTGGATTGGAATAGTATTTCTCCTTTACTATTTTGCTGTTTTTTCACTTCTCAAATACTAGCTGCATTAAGTATGAGGAAGTGATAACAGCATTTATCCACATTCTCTCACTTGGTCCTATTTGTGGGTAATGGAATAATTTGTGCACAAATGTCAACTCAATATCTTGCCAAATAAACCCCATGCTTAAAAACACTAAATCAAAAGGTTATAGCTTCCTTACGACTAAAAACTGATAATATTAGGGAAACAATATATAGTACCAATCCTGCACTTTTCCATGTTAGGTTTGCACAGGGTACTATATTTGAGATGACAAAGTTTTATTTGGGTTTAATACATGTTACATATGCTGACCACATTCAAACTCAGTAAGAAATACAAATTCTTTGATGGGAAAGCCACAAATTAATATCAAACAACTTATAAATTGTGATTACCAATCCATTCATATACACCTACAACCTGTCAAACTGCAAATGTCCAAGGAAGATCCAGCCTGTCACAACTGAAGTCCTGATTGACCAGACTAGGAGACTGAGACAGAAGGCATTCAGACAGCTTCACAGCTAATTGTACATCTTTTACATCTTGACTGCAAATAGAATCACCTAGGACTCTTTGCAAACTGTTGACCACGGCCCAAACTAATACAGTATCTCTGGGAGTGCAGCCCAGGCTCAAGCATTTTTAAAAACTCCAACATGTATAATTCCAACATACAGTCAAAGTATATTAGATACACTCAGATAAAGAAGTTTTAAAAGACTACATCTATGTGGCTGAGAGAATGGAAGTCAGTTCCATAAATCAGAAAGCCCAGAAATGGGAGAGTTGAAGGAGTTGCATCTTGCTTTAGAGAAGAGGAAGACGAATGAATCCCTGCTTCCATACCTGCCTCTGGAGGTGCTGTAACCTAATTACAAGCAGGCCTGTTTGCATCTTTTATCACTGTACTGGTTTGCCTTCTCTCTCTCTCTAAACATACTTTGTAATTCTGTTTCCTCCTTTCTTTCCCTGAATTTGCTTGATCCTGGCACCACTGCTACCCATTTTCATTGCCTCGCCGCTACTTTTCCCTTTGGATACTCATACTTACAAACTGCCATCTACCTGATAAGAGCTACCTACACTTCCTTTTGATCAGCCTTGATCATGTTCCTGAGCATCACTCCCAAATGCCCGCTAGATATCTCCACTTCAATAACTAGCTGCTTTCTCAAGTCCCTTCCCTCAAAACAAAAATCAAACCTATCACCTTTCCACCCTGTAGCAGAATGTAGTGAGTCTGACTGATTTATTGGTACAGACCTCCATCTTTGCAGACTGATCCCACTCTCCATTCACAGCCATAGGGTTGGGCCCTCATCAAACATTTTGTGCATTCACTTCCCACCTCCCCAAAATCCATTAGCTAAGTATAATCATATGTGGAGGTACTTTTTATTCCAATGTTTCAAAATTATTGGAATAAATATTAATCCTGAGACTCTTTAGCCTGCTACAAAAATCAGTCCAAGACTTACCTTTAAGTTCATGGGCATTTCCACTTTCAGTCCACCCTTAAGATGACAAGATAGTTTAATATTAGACAGGTAAATATTTAAAACATTTGAATGTAATATCTGAAAGTGATATATGTAGGTTACATAAAAATCTAACCAGTGAAGATTACACACCAGTCAAATTCAAATTGTGCTAAATTTTAAACTTTAAGCACAGAACTCTATAGTAGCCAAAACCAAGTTATAGTGTTCCTCATCAATGTAGATGGGGCAAGAAATCTTAAGGATACACTTTCCAGATTACAACTACTATGAGGAAGGAAACTGAGCTTTAGTCCTTGAGTACACATGACCAATTAAGATTTAATCCCACTTCAGAGTGTCCCAAAAAGAAAAGTGGTATTGCTAGTAAACTTAGAAATCTCATTCAGCAGAGTAGATTTCTTAGCCAGCTAATCCAAAGGTCTTCCCTACAATTATTTGGGCTTTTTAAATTAGAGCACTGAGCTAACCACACTAACCTTTCCAAGTTCTACCAACACTTTTTCTCACATGCACTGTCTTTGTGACCTCAAAGTTGTACAGCATAAAAAGCAACTCTTTCCTTACAAAAACCCCAATTCTGTAGTTTTTTTTGTTTCAAGTGCTACTCCACGTTGTGATATTTCTTAAAATGTTTTAGTTTGTCCTAGTGGCTATGTTTTTAAGGGGCATGGACTAACCAAAAATGGTTTATCACATAGCCAATGTTTAATTGAACAGTCTGCCACTCAAGTAAATGTTTGTAACAAAAAAGAAATACTGTAAATACTGAAGGCACTACAGTACAATAGTTTGCCAATTCAGTAGTACACATATTCACTTGAGATTGAGATGCATGAGCAAACATCATGGTTATTTAATTTTGGATTCATGGGTACTTGGGAAAAGGAATGCTTCTTTTTAAATTTGCTTACCATTTGAAGCGGATGTAATGATTTCATTTCTGCTGTAGAAATCTCAAAGAGCCCATGGTCTTCCTCCAGAACTGTAGCTTGTCCCTTAAAATTAATATCTGGGTAGGCAAGCCAACTATATAAAAATAGATAGTTAGTTAAAGTATAATAGTACTGCTTTAGTCTGGTTCTGTAAGTAAAAAGGGCTACCAAAATAAAAAAACAAAATCCTCCATCACAGAATTACACTAGTAAAACACACTCAAAGTGAGAGCCAGACATTATATAACGATAATAGTTACCATGTTATTTACATTCACACATTATCCATCCTATAATAAGCTATCTGTCCTATAATAAGTCTGATACATTTTCCAATCATTAGGCATTACTTTTATTTTTCTGATACCTAAAACACGTGGCACCTTTAATTCAAGTGGGAAATAATTAGAAAATCAAAAACAATTTCACTATATTCCATTCTTTTTTAAACTGGAACAATCAGAGGTAGGGATTCCACAAGGTGTTTTACATTTTGAGCCACGTTTTCAGAATCAATATCAGTTCTATTGGCTGCCTAAGGAACAGTATTTGCAATTGGATTCCCAAAAGACCCATCTTCCAGCTAAGCTTGATAATTACAGACATTCCTCATGGACACAGCCAATTACTGGCCTACCCCAAAGTTGTTTTTTGTTTTTGTTTTTGTTGTTTTTTCTTGAGACAGAGTTTTGCTCTTGTTGCCCAGGCTGGAGTGCAATGGTGCTATCTCAGCTCACCACAACCCCTGCCTTCTGGGTTCAAGCGATTCTCCTGCCTCAGCCTCCCAAGTTACTGGGATTACAGGAATGCGCCACCATGCCCAGCTAATTTTTTTGTATTTTTTTAGTAGAGATGGGGTTTCTCCATGTTGGTCAGGCTGGTCTCGAACTCCTGACCTCAGGTGATCCACCCACCTTGGCCTCCCAAAGTGTTGGGATTACAGGCGTGAGCCACCACACATGGCCAGCCTGCCCACAAGTTCTAATTCACATGTGGGGGAGACAAAAATGTTGTCCTACAGTGTCCCCAGAATTGTATACCAACCATCATCAAAGTAAACAAAAACAGTGAGGGAGCAGAGGGTTTCATGTTGAGCCAGATATCCACAGGGTTTGGAGTCAAGTCAATCTGGGAATGAACTAAGACTGAACTTAGACCCATAGTCCTAACAGATACCTCTAGAACCAGAGAGGCCTAGTATCAAATCCATGCTTACCGGCTAGTAGCCTGGGACAAATCACTCATATATAATATGAGAGTAACACCATCTGCCTTTCAGGAACAGAGGAGTCATAAACAAAAAAGCCATATGTGCCTGATACCACAGAGGCAGTCAGTGACTATCAGAACTTAGACACTCTAGAAATAGTTCAGGCTCCAAAATTTTAGGCCAGGGACATGCTTTTATTTCTCAATCACAGAATTTGTTGGATGAAAAGACAATAGATCCATATATCAAGAACTACATCTCAGAATTCTATACCTGCTCCTGTGAGTCATATATCAAAGCTCTAATTAGATCCAAAGAATCTTTTAACCCCTGCAGTCTTTCTTGGGTGACTGAGAGTATAAACATTAGCTAGAAACTTTAGAAAAATGTATGTCATCTATTGAAATATGAAATTGGTGGCCATCAATCACTATAATAAAAAGGAACTGATACGTACACTCCTGACTTCACAGTGAAGGACACAGATTTGGAGATATTCAGTTCTTCCAAATTGGGGACTGCTCTCTGTATGTAGACAGGACAACAGGCTGGGTCAGATTGTGGGAAAAGCTCTATTTCTGGAATGCTGCAGTCCTGAAAAAAAAAAATAATTTGGCTTTGAAATCAACTAGAGTCACACAGTCCAGTCTTCTCAATGTCCTGGACATACAGTTACACTGTTCTCATTATTGAGTTGAATTTCTTCACAAAGAAAACATAAAGGAAATATTGTTTCTCCTCACCCTTTTTTTTTTTAAAAAGTTTTTCTAAAAAGCTGTTAATGACATGAAAATCATAAATTTTATGGAAAAATTATTGTCTCAATGTTTCTGCTTTGTTTTTTAAAGATTCGTTCCATTAAGCAATGCTTAGAGTTACCAAATTGAGTTCAGATTTCAGAGTTACCAAACTATTTGAGTGCCAAATGTCTGTAAGCCTTCCTTCTTAGCAGTATAATAAAACCATAAGGGAGGAAGAGAGTTAAATAAAAGCTGATCTCATCGGGGATATAAAAAAACAAGTAGAGAAGCAGTACCCTCTTCAGTGTTTATCTAATTTACATTGACAAAAGAAATAGTCATTAGAGGTGAGGGTAAAGGAAATCTGTTTTCCTCCCTGTAGGACTCCATTTCCTAGTGCAGTAGGTTTGAAGAAGAAAAGCATTATGAAATTGACCCTTTACTCCATCACAGTCTTAAAAAATCATGCACCCATTGTCCTGTGAGACCTTCCTTAAAAATTTCCCTCATGCATATCTCTTCTTACATATTTCCACTGTCACAGCCCTTGGTTAGGCCCAAACTTTGATTACAGGCCTACTTACAACCACTAGTCAAGCACTAGCTACTACTCTTTAGACAGCTGAACTTGTTAGAACATCACTTTCCTCAAGAAACTCATTGGCTTCAGACCCAAGCACATCAAATTCATGTTTCTGTTTGTCTTTCTATAATAGGACACCAAACTAGTGATCCACACTAACTTCCTACAACTCTGCAATCATATTGGTCTTCATGCTATCTCCACTTCCACTCCAGCCTCTGTAGGCTTTGCAGATGTTTCCCCTATCTCAACTAAAGAAATAATTCTTTGTATTCTTACTTTCAAAAAGCTCTTCTAATAGTCAAGTTCTAACTCAAAAAAAGACCTTATCCCTTCTTAGGGAATCAAAATTACAATTATTTTTTCCCTTCTCTGAAATTACAGGTACATTTCTGTCTTAACACACTATCTCAATACTCATGAGTATTTAATGATAGAACTCGATACAACTCAAGTTTTAGTAATTATCCCCTATGACACTGTGAGATTCAAATGCATATGCTTTAATAGGTAAATGTAATAATAGAGGTGGCATTTATAAGAGACTGAACAATTCTACTTAAGTTTTGCAATTCTAAAAGTATAATAGTCTGATTTTTCAACTTTTCCCCAAACTGAATTCTCAATCATTCTTATTAATATACAAAAGCAAGCAAGTTTATACATCTCATTTTCAGAAAATTGGTTCTAAAATGCAAAATAGTAAAGAAGCATAATCTAAAATATCCTTTAAAGTATAAAAGTATACTTCGTTCTAAAGTTTCACTTCAAAAATAAGCAGAAATGTTTAGAACAGTCACCTGTCAATCCTCAAGGCTCTTTTGTATGCTATTAATAATAGAGTTCTAGTAACATTATTTCAAATACTTCCAAATTAATGTCCCCCCAGGGATCTGAGTTATAGTAACAAAATACATAACTAACTGTCTCACACAAACAAATTTCCTCTGCATTGTGTTGTACAAACAATGTTTGGGTGGTGTACTCTAAAAGGGAAAAGCTAAGAAGCATTCAAGTCTACAACAACACAGATGGAAACAGTATAATAGCAAAAGTGTAATCACTAAAAAATGAAAATAAACAAAAATGAGAAGGCATATGTTTGCTGTTATCTTCACTAGAAAACTAATTTTTGCTCTAGTTGATTGAAAAAGATTTCACTGTTAAGTTCTATCTTCACGGTGGCTATTCACAGAAATAGCATGCTTTGCAAAACATATGTATAATTCTTGATGGACAAAGAAAGTCAAACACGAGCAACTGCAAGCCACTTTAAAGTAACCTAGAAACAAAAAACAATTTAAGTTTATATGGCTTCCTTGTATACTTTCGTAGTCCTGCTACACTTTTCAAATATATTAGTGAAATTTGCAAACTTATACTATTATGGCAATTAGTAAGAATGAAGACAGTTTTATAGTTAACAAAATCACAGTAAACAAACACAGTAAGAAAATATATTTGTCTCTACCTTATATAAGATACCTCAGTCCTGCATCTAACAACAGATCTTACCATAAGAAAGATGTCATATCTTTTAAAAAAAACCTTAAATACACAGTAAACATAGTAATTTGCAATATTCATTTATTCTAATTTTATAAATGAAAGCACTTGAATCAAGATTCACCACACTACTACCTTCACCCCCAATTATTTTCCCTGGGTACAAAGACAACCCTTAACTGGAATCTACAATTACTGATTACTGAGGTTATTCGCTATACCTGTCAATCCTCAAGGCTCTTTTGTATGCTATTAATAATAGAGTTCTAGTAACATTATTTCAAATATTTCCATATTAATGTCCCCCCAGGGATCTGAGTTACAGTAACAAAATACGTAACTAACTGTCTCACACAAACAAATTTCCTCTGCATTGTGTTGTACAAACAATGTTTGGGTGGTGTACTCTAAAGTGAAGACATCATGAAATAACTATCTTTAAAGGACATTAAAGTCTTGACTACACCAATATAACAACTAATATAAAGATGATTCAACAAGATAAAGTTGGCATAGAATAGGGAGAAGTGAATCCGTCATGGAAACAACCACCATGAAAGTGAAGCAACGATAGGAAGAATTCTGACAACGTTGGAAAAAGGAAGCAGTTTGATGCCTAATTATTACTTTGTAAAATATTTAAACAAGGCTCATGCCTCTTCCATTCAATGCTCAATAGTTTTATTTTCCTTCCTCACTAAAAGTTGTTAACCTGTTCGAGACACACGAACTAACACTGCAACTAAAAAAAAAATGATTCCGAGAACAAACACTAGAAGAAAAAGTACAAGCCTGACTTACTCTTTCTTATAATATATTCTAAGCAAATGGTGGACGTGCAAATATCCATTCAAATATCTATGCTCACCAGATTAAATCTGTTTGATTTTATTGTTTGATTTTGGTGGGGGGGGTGAGAGAGGTGGCTGTTTGCCATATATTACTCATTTTTTTCCCACTAGGCCTTGGCATAGTGCCTGATTTCACAAAGAAAGCACAAAACCACAAGTGATATAAATCTTAGAAGAGTTCAGTTACGAACTAACTAGTCATTTTTTCAAGGAATTTCTAGTTGAGTTAATAGAGTGAGCACTCAAATGGTTATCTGCAGAACTGAACTGACTACAGTTAAATCTTTCAGTGAAAATGGACATTGCTCTCTCCACTTCAGCCATCTTAATCTCCTTGCAGTATACTAGGCCACCAAAGCTCACCTCTGTATCTGACAAAAGTGGCTCTGCCAGGAACTCCCTCATATCTCCCAGACTGCTTAACTCCTGTTAGTCCTTGCAACATTCCAAACAGGTGCCACCTCCTCCAGGTGACACGCCTCTTCCCAAAGGTGAGTTGTTTCTTCTGTGTGCCCTGGAGAACGCTTCTCACATCATATAATCATGTGACTCAGCTGCTCTCCCCGAGTCTTTAAGCAACCTGAAGTAAGGAACCATATCTCACTTGTATTTCTATTCCCTGTGCACACCACAGTATTGGCTCAAAAGCAGACACAAATATTGTTAAATATAGGTTTGCCTACAGCTTTGCAGACAGTATTGATTCACATAAAATATGTGCAGACACCTTTATAACTTAGAGTTTTTCTGTAGGCTATATTTAATTTCTCTGAATGCTATAGACCACTGTCAAGAGTTTAATAATAACAATCCAAGTCATCATGATAGTTTTCATCTCAATTTATACTTTTTATGTATATAAATGAAATCTCCATAACTTGAAAACTACATATATCCATTACTGTCACATGAGTAACTGTACTGTATCACATATTATGAAGGAAATCTTAAGAATACATGTGAGGAGAATTCTGTCCTTATCTAAGATGTCCTTATCACTAATTAACCCCTCCTCTATACTACCACAGAACTTCTTACAAAATATTTTATTATATTGGAAGACCCTTCTCATCTTAGTATTAATATTTTCTAAGCAGAAAAGTAAAAAATACCTTCCCTTCCTATTCCAATCCTCCCTTATTTCCCCTAACACACACACATGCATGCACACACGTCTATACTAAGTAGTAGCAATCTACACTAGAAAAAGATATATCTGGAAATCAATAAGGAATCTCTAAGATTCCTGAATAGTATACTTCTAATTAGGAACAGTGTATACTAATTAGGAGTATTCTGTAATACTGTGCTGCTATTATTATTATTATTATTATTATTAGACAGAGTCTTGCTCTGTCGCCCAGGCTGAGTGCAGTGGCATGATCTCAGCTCACTGCAACCTCTGCCCTCCAGGTTCAAGTGATTCTCCTGCCTCAGCCTCCTGTGAAGCTGGGATTACAGCTGCCCACCATGACATCTGGTTAATTTTTGTATTTTTAGTAGAGACAGGGTTTCACCATGTTGGCCAGTCTGGTCTTGAACTCCTGACCTCAAGTGATCCACCCACCTCAGCCTCCCAAAGTGCTGGGATTACAGGTGTGAGCCACAGTGCCCAGCCAATACTATACTATTATATATTACTAGGAGTATTACAGTAGGAGCAGTAGCATACTAATATAGTAGTATACTATTATAGTATAGTGTATAGTATACTATTATAGGAGAATACTATTCCTATTAGCTTATTTTAATAGCAATAGTATAATCCTATAAAATATATATATAGTACATCATGTAACATTTTATATGTTTATTTATTATTACTTTTTGAGACTGAATCTCACTCTGTCGCCCAGGCTGGAGTGCAGTGGCGTGATCCTGATTGACTGCAACCTCCGTGTCCCGAGTTCAAGTGATTCTTGTGCCTCAGCCTCCAGAGTAGCTGGGATTACAGACTTGCACCACCACGCCCGGCCAATTTTTGTATTTTTAGTAGAGACAGGGTTTCACCATGTTGGCCAGGATGGTCTCGAACTCCCAATCTTAGGTCATCTGCCCACCTCAGCCTCCCAAAGTGCTGGGATTACAGGCATGAGCCACCACGCCCGGCCCATGTAACATTTTATAAACTACATTACCTCTGGTTAATATTTTTAATTGCCATTCACTCTATTTGCATAAATTCAAAAGATTATCAATATGGTAATGAAGATTAATAACAGCACAAAAATTAGCAATGATTTGTAAACATCGCCAGGCCACAGCACAGGTTTACTATATGATAAATAAAATCAAATAAAAAATAGAAAAATCTACAGTTGTTACCTTTAAGACACGTTTGAGAGAACCCAATATAAAGTTTCTTTGTGGATGCCTTCTGTTCTGAAGAATCCAGTCACGATTTAACACCTTTTCCCCTTCTTCTAGCACACATTTCTGACCTCGGAAATGTGGTTTCTCATATAAAATCCAGCTAAACAAAGAGAAATGCAATGATGAGTTATATTTAATTTTCTAAGAAATAAGGCATATAAGTCACAGACCATTTTGTCTACTTAAATTTTTTAAGCTGGGATATCTTCCACTATTAGCATATAACCCTATTTTTTGAAACAATGATATATGCTAATTTAAGTACAGGCGAACAGTAAAGAAAAAATAAAAGTGCATATACCTTGGAAATAAAAATACTTTCTGAACATAGTACCACAATATATTTCTATGTCTATATTTATGTATGTATGCTCTTTATAGATGTGGTCTATACGAAACTATACAGTTGCATAAAAAACAATAGTGCAACAATTCCAAATTATACTTCTAATTTTCTTGTTGCTGAATAACACAGGACACATGTCCCATTTTATTATATGAAGACGAGATTACACCATATGATTTAAGACATGAATGCTGACCTGGGTAGCCTAAACACTGGACAGATAAATTCTGGCTCCAGCATGTCCATGGGTCATGGTCCATAATAAATAGATAGGGTTGCCCCTCATTTTTAGACCATACAAAGATTCCTTCACTTCTTGAGCAAGTCAGCTATACAAACAACTTTAACTATGTGGCCTTCACATTCCTCAGCATCCCACAAATTCTGAACTCATTTTCAAAGCTATGCTTCATTCAACTGAAGCATTCACCCAAACTTGCCAAATCTATCCTGCTAATAATGTAGTTACAGAATGGTATTGATTGTATAGATTAGGTCTTGCAACTTACTGGCTTAAGCACTAAAAACAGATTGTATTTTATGCCATAGTAAATAAAAAGAACAATTAAGTTATAACACACTAATAATAATGTTTCAAAATCTTCTGTCGAAAAGTAGAGGAAGGAGAATATGACTTCAATAAAAAATAGAAAAAAAAGCATTAACAGCAAGAAGACACATTTAATTTAAGAAAATATGCTATAAAATTTTAAGAAACTTCTTACCAGCCCCTTACAACTTTTATTAGAACTCCATTTGGAAAAGACCATGATGTAGCATCAGGAATATTACAGTAGACTTCTTGTTTATATGTACTTTCATGGAGATCATAGATAACCATCTGCAACACAGTAAATAGCAGTAAGTAGTTACAATAACTAATTTTTAGAATGTATTTTAAATTCTAAAATGTCCTAGAACATAGAAATAAATATCCTAAATATACAAAAGCAAATGTTACTTTAGATGTTAAATCCTTGAATAAAATCATTATCTAAGTCACTTATATTAAATTCCTCAAGCCTGAAAGTTACCTAATGTTTAACCTTTATCTTAGTTTGAGAAAGTTATCCTTACCTTCCCAGGTCTTGGGTTACATCTCAGAGTTTGTTTGTCAACATTCTGAAATAATAAAAGTGGAAAAGTAAGCTTTAAGAAACATCGGTGAAAAGATGCATAATTCATTTTCTTAGCAGTCTTGTATCCAATTTATCACATATTTAGTTAGTGATCATTATGAGCAAGGTGCTTCTCTCGATACAAGTGATATAAATACAAATATATAGGAAATTAACACATTGTCTCTGCCCTCAAGAAGTACATAGCTTAGAATGGGTCAAACAGATGATCATATTTGCATAGCTCTACTAAGCCAGGGGACTAAGTTACATTCACAGGTAAAATACAAGGAAAACACTAGGTTATGGAAATGGCACCAGCATGGAGGTGAGGGCATACAGAGGTTCAAAGAGGCATTTCTGAGGAAGTAGTATTGAGGGACCTTGAAAAACAATATTTCAGTGAGTGGAAAATGTGGCAGGTTGTGATGGGATAGTGAATAAAGAAATTCTAGGAAGAGAACCATCCTGGGGAAAAGTGTACTGGTAGGAAACACAGAGTGTGCACCCAGAGTGTGGGGAGACAAGGCTGGCAAAACAGAACTTGGGAGCCTTATAATGCAGAGTTAAGAGGTGCCACTTGATTTGGTAGGCAGTGGAGAACCATGAAAGAAATATTTCTTCAAATCCTATCATTTCTTTTAAAATGACTTTGCTTTGCAAGGTTTTGGTTGGTCTTTGAGTATTACTATTTGCCATGAAGATTGTTTAAGGTAAAAATACAGGCCTTGGACATCCTGTATCTTTATCTTGAAAGTACCATGATCTTGGAAATGCCAGAAAGGAAAGTCCCATATTTAATAAGCATTCTACATTAAATATTTAAATATTTCTAAATCAAAGAAAACTGTAATTGAATTTAAAACATTTTCCAGCTATAAAGTTTTCAGTTCTTTTGTTTGATTTAGGTTGCTCACTGCCCTGCGTTGCATGAACAACATGAGTTGTTGTAGTGCGAGGCTGCTGTCAAATACTTAAAAATTTTACTTAACAGAAAGATTTTTCATGAAACTAATAAGCTAAATGCAAAGTGACAATTTTCCCACATACAGTACCTTGAGAAATTTGGAATGTTGTCACTTAATTTAGTTTGAAAAATATTAGCAAAAGACTTCAAAATAACCTTGCTTCAGTATTATGCTTTTTAAATTCTGACCAAGCAATTTTTTTTTCTAAGTAGTCCAGCTAAAATACATGAGTTATGATATATTTCAACCAAAGAATCTGATATTTTTATGAAACAAACTTTATACAACTTCTACAACCTCAAAACATTTTCTTTTTTGCTTTGTTTGTTTGAGACGGAGTCTCACTCTATAGCCCAGACTGGAGTGCACTGGTGCGATCTTGGCTCACTGCAACCTCTACCTCCCAGGTTCAAGCCATTCTCTGCCTCAGCCTCCCCAGTAGCTAGGATTACAGGCGCCCGCCACCATGCCCGGCTAATTATTTTTTATTTTTAGTAGAGACAAGGTTTCACCATCTTGGCCAGGCTGGTCTTGAACTCCTGACCTCGTGATCCACCTGCCTCGGCCTCCCAAAGTGCCAGGATTACAGGCATGAGCCACCATGCTTGGCCAAAACATTGACTTTTCTTAATAAGCCTTTAGATAATTTCGTGACCCAAAGCTTTAATAACTATTATTAATACAATAAACAAAATAACTTACCTCTATAAATGGGCTCAATCTGCCTGGGCTGTCTTGAACACGGAAATATTTTGACACTGGTTCCTGAAAAATTCCACCAAATCTGGCTCCTTTTTCTGAGGAATGACTTTGGGAAGTCTGCAGATACTGATGATAAGCACTCTTTAAAGAAGAATGTAGTTTAGAAGTAAGGTCAGATTTCTGGAGAAACGAGGTCTTTTCTGGCCACAGACCAACTTGCAGATTGGAGGTAGTAGGTTCATTTGGCATCACATATGAATTCTTAGAAATTCCAACGCTCTCCTGGTCATCAGGGTAAAATGTGATGGAAGGATCTGGCAACTGGAAGGTAACACGCTCCCCACTTCCAGCTCTCAGATCTCCTTTATGCAATACTGCTGCCTCCTCCTCCTCTTCTTCCTCATCAGCTGCCTCTCTGTCATCTTCATCAAAATTCATCTTTAAACGTTCTGACACTGACTGGAGAAGGGATAAAACAGAAGAGGACTGGTTTTCACTGTCTCTTGATTTCCTGGGGCCATGGTGACCAGGTGAAACCTCACTAGATAGAATGTCCTCCTGTGAGCTGTCATCCTCATAAATGGGAGACAATGCTAAAGGATAAATTTTGTACCTTTTGGCCTCCACTGATAAGAACATTTCTGAACTATCACTATCAAATGTCTCACCTAATTTAGTACCTTTTTCAAAGTGATGGACAAGGTCAGTTCTACTCTCAGACCTTTCACATGCCAGAACAGGCATGCTGTCAGCGGACGTATCATGAAACAAGACAGACTGTGTTTGTCTTGCTTCTGCGGAAGCATACTTGTCCTCCTCTTGAAGGGGCTCTTCGTATAATATAGTAAAGGAAGAATTTTCTTGTTCATCTTGAGAAACAAAAGCTAAATTATATCCTTTGTCACTATAATCTGTCTCTCTCCTCTTGTCATATATTGCAGTAAGAGACATTCTTTTGTCTAGTCTTACTGTGGTATCCCCAGGTTGAAAATCTGGCATTGCTGGGGCTGGGTAGCCCTCATAATCCTTACTTAATGTAGGGGATTCATATCCCCTGAAATATGTAGGAAGTCTATTTTCATGTGCTATCAAGCCTTCCTTTATTTCTGTAGGCTCTTCCTTTGTTTCTTCAACACTCCCTTCAGCATACTCTTGTGGTGTTTTACTTTCAAATGCAGGAAGCATGGCCTCCCCTTGTTTAGTGGTCAATTCTAGTCCTGTTCCATGTATTTTCTCAATGTCTACCACTGCGGGTAACACTTTGTGTTTCCCAATATTCTCACCACGATCTTCTGGGGATATTTTTTCCATTTCTATCACAGAGGGTGTGGACACAGTTGCTCCAATAGTCTCTTTAACATCTCTCTTGCATGCTTTTTCCATTTCTAAGGGGGCAGGTGCTGTCTCGTGTGCTTCCTTCACTTTTAACACACACGGTACTATTTCAGTATTCTTAATGACCTCTTCAGCAGTCTTTCGGTAAGTAGCTTCCATTTTCAACACAGACCCTTCAGTGTTCCCGGTAAAACCTTTGGCATTTTTTTGGTAAGTATTTACTACCTCTAATGCAAGGGGCATCACCTCAGTTTTGCCACCGTCTCTTTCAGTATCCTTTGGGTAAGTATTTTCCATTTCTAACCTCACAGGCATCACTTCAGCCTTTCCAATATCCCCTTCAGCATCCTTTTGGTAAGTATTTTCCATTGCTAATGTAACGGGTATCACTTCAGCCTTTTCACTAATCCCTTCACCACCTTTTTGGTGGATATTTTCCACTTCTGACAAGGCTATCGTCCCAGTCTTGCCAATATCCCCTTCAGCATGCGTTTGGTAAATATTTTCCATGTCTACTGTAACAGGTGTCATCTCAGTCTTTACAATATCCCCTTCAGCATCCTTTTGGTGGATATTTTTCACTTCTGGCATCATAGGTATCACCTCAATTTTGCCAATATCCCCTTCAGTATCCTTCATCTTATAAGCTTTTTCCATTCCTAAAATGACAGCTGATCCCTCAGTTTTTTCAATACAGCTCTCGGCATCCATTTGGTATACTTCTCCCATTTTAAAAACATTAGCTTTTGGCTCAGTTTTCGTGACATTCAATTCAGCATCCATTTTATGTATTCTTCCCATTTCTATCATAGGAGGGACTGCCTCATATTTCAGAATATTCAATTCAGCATCCTTTTTGTTTGTTTTCCCTGTTTCTAACATGGAAGGTATAAGTTCAATTTTCCCTATATTTATTTCATTATCCTTCTTGTGTACTTTCCCTACATCTGACATTGCAAGAGGTGTGTTTTTACTGTGTCCTGGCAAGTTTTTTTCAGATATACATACAAGGCTATCAGACAAACTGCTTTTAGATGTACCAGGTGCATGGATGTCATCATTCACAAGTGGAGGCCATTTGAAATTTAATACAAGAGTTCTTCTGTCCTCTGTCTCAGTTTTGTTATTATCCACATTCTCTATTTCCATTGTCTCATTACAGTCCTCACTGCGAAATAAATGTGTTTTTACCCTATCATCTAACCGTTTATGTGACATGTCTTCAGCTAGTAAAACCGTATCTGATTCCTGCAAATTTATACTATCAGACAGTCCAGATCCATTTCCAGAAAATAGGGATTTTTGGTAGAGAACAATTTCTCCTCCCTTAATTGACTCTGTGCCACTAGCTAAGTTACTTAGGGAGAAGAATTCATTTAATACTTTATTTTCACTAATTTGTGTGCTTTGATTTACTGGCTGTTCTGAAACCAAGAACTCTCTAACTACATCATGTGGCTTAACACTATCACTGTTCAGAATTTTTGAAGTATTAGCCTGAAGTTCAGAATCCCAAGTATCCTCAGTATCTTCAAAAGTATCATTTCTCAATTTTTCTTGGGCTACATAAATAATCTCATTGACTAATTCCCTAGCTTTATCTTCTAACAAACAAGATACATTCATACTATTAGGATCAACAAGAAGATTCTTCTCACCAACTGTTGGTGAAACACAGGGCTTCTCTTTGACTTCTGACATGTTTTCCATGCCTTGCTCTTCCAAACCCTCTGTCTGTTGTATTTCTGTTAGTGTCACTTCTGATGGGTTTTTCTCAGAGATGTCTTCTTTCAGGGTACCCAGATTCATTATACCTTCTATGGCTATATGCTCCTGGCAGGTACTCACTGTGTGTTTGAATTTTAGTTCTTCCCTGACAGAATTAAAAATCTCACCAATCAATGTATCGGCCTTTTTGAGTAAACTACTTTTGAGGTCCAAAAGTTGGTCATGTGCTCTTCTCCTGGCTTCTATGTGCTCAGCAGAGGCTTCAGAACACTGTTGGCCTGAGCTGTTAACTGACGCTGCAGGCCCAGCAACTGCTCCAGTCTCTGCTTCCACGAGATTGTCAAATTGGGCAGCAGTTGGGAAATCAATGGATATCTTCCCAGTATAAATCCCAAAATGTTCCTGAAATGGGGTTACTTCTGTCCCAATTGAGACAGACGTTTCAAATTCCAAATAAGAGGTAGTAGGGTACAACAGGTTAGTTACAGAGGTACCTTCATGTGTGAGATCTTTGGTAACTTGTATAGAATCCAAATTATTTTGGGGCTTATGTGAATTTACTATCATGCTAACTTCTTCAGGGTAACTAGAGGAAGATGACACACTATCAATACCACCATTTAAAAAATGGATGTTCTCTTTCTTTCTGTAAGATGAGGATTTCTTTTCCAATTTCAGCACAGAAGGTACTTTAAGGAAGCTTGAGTCCTCAGATGCAGAAGAATTTTTTTCCAAACTGGAATCAGAATCCAGAAAAGGTGAATTTACTTTCATGCTGCCAGTTTCTTGGAATTTAGGGGAAATATTAGTTAAGCTGAGTTCCGCCATTTCTGAGTGACCAGAAATCTTTTTAGTCCCACAAATATCCAAAGATTGATGAAACACACAAGTGTGAGCTTCACAATTCTGCGCCATTTGCCTACTGATTTTTTCATCATGAATAGGTGGTAAAATCCAAGATATATTACTTTTAAGAAGAGCAGGAGGAGAGCCTAAGGCATCTACCTCTGGTTCTGGCTTATCTTCATATTTGGAGGCAGCAGGAGAAAGCTCAGCTTGGCAATTCTCTTTAAGGCCAGCATCTGAACATTTCTCTCCTATCTCATTATGATTAATTGATTGAAAACGTTTGCCCTGTTCAACTTCTAGAAAGGTTAATTCTGACAAAATAGGCTTTTCTGGAACATGGGTAATTTTCAATGGAAAAGAAGACATTTTATCCTGAGAAATGTTTCTGGGCTCCACTTTTGAAAGAGATACCTTGGACAAGGATATAGTTTTTCCTCTTCCAGAATGTGACTCCACAAGAACATTGTTCTGACCATCAATTTCAGCTTTTGATACAATGTTAGCAGTTTTGGCTTCCAAGGAAAGAGAATCAGACTTCTCTATTATGCTCATATTTGCTTTAGTGTTTGAAGACACTAACTCTACTCTATTAGGGTCTTGAGATAAAATGGAACTGCAATCCTTAGAGAGGTTTCCAGAGTCAAAGCTCAATAGCTCCAACCCAGTTAAGTGAGGGCCACTGGCTTCAGAACCTGGAAGAACCTGGCATTTTTCACTATTAGAAAGAACTTCTTTGAATTCAAAAATTGCAGATGTATATTCAAGGCAAAAGGAAGGAGGAGGACTCTTCCTGCCTGCAGCCTCAACATGGTTTTTCACATTTTCTTCTTTACACTTCCTAGGCTGATAGGAAATACCAACAATGTTGACATTCCCAGTTTCAATGGGCACAGGAGAACCCTCATTCATTAAATCAGGAATATCCAACTTGCTCAGCATCCCAACTCCAGAAACAAAGGTAGGAGGTGAAATACTGAAATTTAGTTTTTTACAGTCAAGGCTAAGAGATGTTTTAGCATCAGGTGATACTTCAGCTTGTTGAGGACTCTCAGAGTCAAGAGGAGTTTCTGAAATGTGACTTCTATTAAGTTCAAATTTCAACTCAGGTGCATTTTCATTTCCTAAGCTTGCTACAACTGCTGATTCACTGATGTAATTTAAAGAGGCCAGGTCTTTTTTATTCATTCTAATATGAGGAATTTTATCATGTGACCTAAAATCAAGCTTTTTGGCTTTGGTTTCAAAGTATTGGTCAGTATCTTTGGGTAATGACTCAATTTTATCTTCTGGAGCTTTTACATGACTTGAAGCTATGGATTCACCAGCTGAGGCACTTTCTGTTTCTCGCCTGATTTCTCTAACAGCCACATTTTTCTGTGAGTCTTGGGCAGACAATCTCTTTCCTTCATTTACAAATTCTGTGTCTGTCACAGCATGTCTCTGAAGAGCAATGATATTGGTGTGAGTGGCAGCTTGCTTTGATGAGCTATCTATGGTTTGCTTGTCAGAACACTCACTCTCTGGCAACTGCAGATGTTCATGCCTAATTGATTTATTTGGACTTGGCAAATTTGTACTTTCCTGCTCAGTAGTGTCACTCCCATCAGATTTACTACAAGAGAAATCAGAAATAGCAGGGCCCTGAGGCTCAACAAGCTCCTCTCTTTGCACCAATGTCCTATTACTCATCACAGTGCTGTTTTCTTTTATCGTATTTTCTGTTGTAGTTACTCTCTGAAAATCTGGGCTGCAAGGGACTTTGCGATGGTTACTTCCTGTTAACAATGCTGAACATACCAAATTTCTGTTAGTCTGAGAAACCGGTTCACAACTTAAATGGTGCTGTGAGTCAGATTCTCCATCGTAGCTGGAGTTAGTCACAGAAGAAGGGGATGACCTATTTCTCTCAATACTCCCCCAAGCATTTTTATTTAAAAGATTATTGGAAGAGGCAATATTCTGCAGTTCTGGGTTATTTGTCAAAGAATTTTCCTTGTTGAAACTTGTTTTGCTACAATCAGAGTCTTCTAATGGGCCTTCAAGTAGATTTCCTTTCATAGATGAGTCTGTACTAGCTGATAACAACAGTGGCAGTACCCCAGCCTCAATCTCACTTCCAGGGTCAATGTGTCTGTTTGTACTAGAGTCAGAACTTTCATTTTCTCTGTCCAAGGTATTCACAGTTGCCAAGCCTGTCTGTTGCTTTAAATATTTCCCAATGTGTCTTGGGCCTCGATATGTTGCATATGTTACTGAAGGCTTCTCTGGTTTACCATCGATTTGTCTGTAAAAAGAAAGCATGAGAGTATCAGGAAATATAATTAATAATACTTAATACTAATCCCAGCAACTGTGGTAAAAGTACATCTTTTAAACACCACTTCCCTTAATATGTACCAATTTGGGGAGTAAATCCTAGAACGCTTTAAATTTACCTTTATTAAAAATAATAAAAATTTAACAAGTAGCACCTGAATGTCAATGCAGCATGAAGAATGTTTGACCTCCTTAGAATTACTCCTTCTTACCTGATTACATACATACCTCTGACTGTGGTTAACAGAATATGAGTCCAAGCCTTGGGTCCTAGTTCTAATCTCAAAGGAGTGTCTGACTCTAAGTAACCAGCTTGACTTTGGGCCTCATATTACTACGAGTTTAGGGATACATCACTGACTTCTCCACCACATTAAAGCATCATAATGACCTTCTATTCCTTTACTCTTACATGTGAATTTGAACAGCAATGTTTAGCACGTAACTTGGAAACGTTTTAAATGAAAACAGATGGCAAAATGTCTAGCCCACAGTAAACACTCAGTATGTATTTGTTAACTCAATAAATGACAAAACTGCATTAAAATTCTCTGTGTTCAGTTCTTCAAATATTCATTTAGTATAGTATTAAACTGCTTGGGCAAATGCAAAAATCAAAAAAGATGTCTAGAGTAAGTATAGAAATCTAACCACAGTATAAAGATCCTGATGCTCTCAGCACCCAATTTCCTTTGGAGAATCTACCACTACGAGTTCTCACATCACGCCATACTATCTTATAGCCAATTACACACATCATTCTCTGCCCTTTAATGCCAGCATCAGAAGGAAACTCTAATGCCCTCTAAGACTCAGCACACAAATAATTTCCACTGCAAACCTATCCCTCTACTACTAAGATGGACAGTTAGTCTTTGATCTCTGGGTGCACAGAGCACAACATTTGTCACATTAAATCATAAAGATCTATGCACTTATTTATTTTCCCCACTAGCCTGGTGGCTATTTGAGGGAAGGTACTGTGTCCTAATCATCTTTCTGTTTTTAAGTGCCCCACACAAGATTTGGCAAGTTGTATATGCTTAATACCTTCTCATGAATTAATGAATAAGTAAAGGAATGATACTTACTGCTAAGTAATCTATTTCAAAAGAATGTCTTAATTCTTATATGTGATAATCAAAATGTTTTACATTTTGAACTCTAATTACCTTTCAATTTCCTGACTATAAAAAATAGCATGCACTCATATGTTCATCACAGCACTATCCACAATAGCAAAAACATGAAATCAACCTAGATGTCCATCAATGGTAGATTGGATAAAGAAAATGTGGTACATATATGCCATTGAATACTAAGCAGCAATAAAAAAGAAGAAAATCGTGTCCTTTGCAACAACATGAATGCAGTGGAGGCCATTATCCTAAGTGAATTAACACAGGAAAACCAAATACTACATGTTCTCACATATAAGTGGAAGGTAAACGTTGAGTACACATAGACCCAAAGAAGGGAACAATAAACACTGGGGCCTAATTGAGTGGGGAGGATGGGAAGAGGGTGAGGACTAAAATACTACCTGTCAGGTACTATGTCCATTACCTGGGTGACGAAATAATCTGTACACCAAACCCTCACAACATGCAATTTATCTCCATGTAATAAACCTGCATATGCACCCCAACTCTAAAATAAAAGTTGAAATTATTTTTTAAAAAAACAGTATGGTAGAAAAATCTGATGTGTGTTCTACTTGATTTTTTTCTGATTAAACATATGATTAACCAAACCATTACTGTGAAATACACATGAATAATTTCGAAATTCAGTTATCAGTATTCCAATACCTAAAAAATACATTTTATTGCCAACTTTAAAGCAGTTACATTAAGAATTCTAGATTTGTCTAATTGATAAAAGAGAAAGTATATCTCTTTTCACATGTAAAAACTTCACCAACTGTGTCTCTTAAATACTTCTTAAATTTTAGCTGAAATAATTCATTTCAACCTATATATCTCCTGGCCCCTTAAAATACTAATGCACCAGTATTGTAAAAAATTATGTTAGTTATATTCATTTATTTTTATTGTCCATTATAAAGCACTAAAGGAGATGCATAAAGAAAAGCTTTGTGTTCCAAAAATGGTTTTAGTTGCTGCATGAATTTCAGGCTAGATCAAGGACTGTTATGAAACAAAGTCAAAACTTGGATAAGATACCATTATTTGACATTTGGGTCTTTCCCTATTGGTATTTTTTAAAAATCTAATCCTTATGAAGACAGAGCCCAATGTATTGTTTTTATTAATCTCTCTATGTAAGCCTCGTGCACAGAGCCAACTATGACATAAATATCTAATAAAAATGCGATGGCAACTTCTATGTGTAAGAAAACTAAGTACAAAATTCTGTTCTTACATATGAATCTTCCTATTGTTACATGCAATATGGAAAAAAATGTTTTGTACCAAACATTTTCTGCTTCATAATGTAGTGATACTTCATACCAATTTTAATAATGTATCATGTTTTATTCAAAGTAAGCTATATGATAATAAGATTAAACATTTAATTTGTAACTACCAACAAAACCCCAAAAGTTGAATGAATGAATGAATGAATGAATGGCGAATATAAAAATAAAACAAAACAATGAAAGAAAAAAGTTGGATAAGGCAACCAGTCCATGAAAATAGGCAAGAAGCAAAAATAGGTAAATGAATGCTATTGGTAAAACGCCATATCAAAATATGTAAGTTATTCAGAAAATACAAAAGCCTTTCAGAACAACATATGAAGATACAGAGTCTGAAAAAATGACAGGTTTTTTTTTTTCAAAGTTTTAACATTTCATACCTAAAACCTACTGTCAACAGGCTACAATGTTTCTTTTTGCAAAAGATCACAGAAGTAATTCTGAAGAAATCAATACCAAGAAATGTTCATGGTCAGTGGAAATAAGAGAAAAGGATCAGAAATTCATTCTAGTATAGTAAATTTAGGTCCTCTTACTGCCAACTCTCTCTTAATCAAACCTCAAAGCATTTTATCCTGCATCAATGCAACTTTTGATCCAAAAGGACTTCTAATAGACCACAGAAAAAGTCCATTAAATTTCAACTCACTATAATAATACCTTTTGGTATTGGGGTCCTTTGCAGGGTAGGCAGTGGGAATCATTGTTTTATATTTTTTAGGGCTTTCTGAGTACTTTCAAGAAGTTGGTTAAGTTAATTTATATTAAGTTACATGCACTGGTTTAAATTTCTAACTAATATGCTGCACTGGAGGTAGAAATATTATATACTTGTAATTAAAACATACATTCTTTAGACTAAACAATTATACTATATTTAAAGAATAGGAAATCAAAGTGACAAGTTCAGCTTCATATATTATAGTGAGTCCCTTCAGGTACTAATGAGCTACACTCCCTCTGCCTTTTTTTAAACTTTCCATTTTTAAAAGGTTAAGTCATGCCAACATTATGTTTTAGATCATTCTTTCATGGAGTATAGTTGAGTCCACACAATTCAATAATATTTTTTTTTTTTTTTTTGAGATGGAGTCTCGCTCTTTCGCCCAGGTCGGACTGCAGTGGTGCTATCTCGGCTCACTGCAAGCTCTGCCTCCTGGGTTCACGCCATTCTCCTGCCTCAGCCTCCCGAGTAGCTGGGACTACAGGCACCCACCACCGTGCCTGGCTAATTTTTTTGTATTTTTAGTAGAGAAAGGGTTTCACCGTGTTAGCCAGGATGGTCTCGATCTCCTGACCTCGTGATCCGCCCGCCTCGGCCTCCCAAAGTGCTGGGATTACAGGCGTGAGCCACCGCCGTGCCCAACAAATTAAATAATCTTAAGAACATAAAGTTGTCCTTTAATTTTTAATTTTTCCCTAGTAAATAGAAATGCCTAAAAGTATATAGCTAATAATAAGCTGAAGGTGGAAAATTAAAAATTAAAAATCTTTTTCTCCACATTGTATTTAACAATAGGAGGAAGAGAATTTTGTACTTAGTTTTCTTTCACAAGGAAGTTACCATCACATTTTTATTCTATATCATTTGAATTTTCACAAGCTAAACAGAGAAAAGGGAGTATTAACTTCATGCATTTTGTAATTACACATAGGATCTACAGCTTATGCTATATACCAAAGGTACATAATCCAAAGAACAGTAAGAAGAAAAGTAAAATATCTAAAAATTTCAAATATTTAAGGAAGTAGGCATACATATTGAAAATCTGAAAAGGTTTTACAGATTTTAGCCCAATACATAATTACTCATTATGTGAAGGTTTATTAAGCCTCTAGGTAACACATACGGATACGCTCTATTCTAGATAAATTTGATACACTTGATACTACAAAGGTCAACCAAAGACATGTATCATTCTTCAAAGAAAATCCTGTAATAGCAGCCTGAAAGTCATAGCTAAACTTACAGCAAAAGTATCTAATTCACATTTAGGAAAATATGACAATTATCTCCCTTTTTTACTTGCTCACTCTCTTCAAAGCATAACAGGTTGCTTTCCAAATGAGGAAGATACATTTTGTGAAACTAATGAAAGACTTTACATTTAACCTTTTTAAAGTAGTAAATAATTTTTTCAAAAAAAAATCACTTGTTTCTCCTTCCCGTTAACTGTCTGCTTCTTTGCTATTCCAGAATCCCTATAAGTTTACTAAAGACAATGACAATTTCTCCATGTTGGTCAGGCTGGTCTCAAACTCTCGACCTCAGGTGATCTGCCTGCCTCGGCCTCCCAAAGTGCTGAGATTAGAGGTATGAGTCACCGCGCCTGGGCTAAATTATAATTCTTAGGCATATTGACAGTTGTCAGGAGGAAGTTGCTGAAACTGTAATTCTAAGCCTGGTAAACTGTGGGATTTTCAAAGCTAGGCCTGAAGGAAGCCGGCATCTCAGTCAAACTGGCAGTCAGGTGGTTTTTTCCTTTCCTCCTAAATCAAGAACCACCATTATTTGTTGAGGAGACTTTGGAGAATTGCCTTAAGCAATTATTCTATTTACAAGGAATTATTCTACTAACAAGTTATTATTTAGTAACAATAAATAAGAGGAAAAGTATCCTCTCTCTTTTTAATCAACTAGTACCAAAGAAAAAAAATCTGACCTAACCAATCAAAATCAAAGGAGAAAAAGTACAAACTTCCCATTCTACCCAATTACTGTAACAACCTCAAAATTATCACCATTTTAAATTACTTTAAAATGCTAGATGTCAAATGCGAGCAAGCAAAACAATCATCTAAAGAGGTTGTTAGAATATTGCTGGGCCCCACTCCTGCAGAGATTCTGCTTCAGTGGATCTGATCAGATAATGTGCATTTCTAATGAGGTCCCAGGTGATGATGCTGCTGCTGCTCCAAGGACCACACTTTGAATAGTACTGCTTTAGACAATCGTAATCCCATATTATGGATGCAGCACAATTGAGCCACTTTTCTGCTGTCGGACACTGGTTTCCAAATATATGTTCCTATAATGTTTGAATGAACACCTTTGTACGTTATCAGAAATAACCTACAAACTTAAGGCTCTTGATATATATTGCCAATTGAATTTCTAAAAAATGCTACCAATTTGTACTCCATTCCTAGCAGGGTATATGAGTGTCAGCCTTATCAACTCTGACTCACTCAGGGTATTATCATTTATTATTATTGTTATCAATTTAACAGGGGAAAAAACTCTCATTTTAGTTTGCATTTCCTTGATAATGAAAATAAATGTTTTTTCACTTATTAACAGATTAGACTTCTTTTATTTGAAAGATTTGTTTATATTGTTTGACTTTTCTATTGGTGAGTTGTTGTCTAAATTGCTTATCAAAGCATTCTCTGTCATTTTTGTGTATAATTTTCTCATTTTCCATTTAAATTTATTATTGCTTATGTTATTTGACATAAAAGAATTTGAAAATTGGGAATAAATTTTAATCTACTGATCTCTTTATTGATACCTTCCATTGCTATTATGGTTAGAAAGTCATTTCTCACCAAAATAAAAATGTACAATTTAACTTTTTTATTGTTTTTAACATTTGTTACTCTATCTTAATTTACTTTAGTACAAAGATGAGGAACACATAATGCCATCATATTCTAGGGTTCAAATTACATATAAGAGAGTATATTTCTAGGCTGCCTACTCTGCTCGATTTAAATGTCTAGCAAATATTACATCAGTATGACACTGTTTCAAATACCACAGCTGGATCAATATGTTTTAACATCAGGTTGAACAAGCCCCACAACATTATTCTTGATGGACAAACTCTAATCTAATTTTCACAGAGCTGTAAGAGAGGTCTGTGCCTAAATCACACGTTTACTACGAGGAATTAACTGAAAGCACCTACATGAAGACACCTGGAAACTATAAAGAACTTCCTGGAAACTATAAAGAACTGTATAATTATAAGGTAGTGCTTATATCTCACTATAATATTTTTGATGGCTTCTTCAAATAATAAATTCTCCAGCAGAGGTAAAAGTAAAATCAATAAAACAGAACCTTACTAGTTACAAATGAATACTTTTATGTCACACAAAATATTGAATGGACTCAACAATGTTATAAACATTCCTTAATTACAAAATATTCCTTCTACCTCATTTGAGAGTAAAAGGAAAAACAAGTGGATGTGTGTTTGTTAATCAAACAATGAAGAAAGTGGTGGTAAAATGCTCCTTCAATTCAAGCAATATTTTAGTTTCTTGGAGCTGTGTAAAGATTCATAAAGCTAGTTTCATGAACAGAGTCCATTTAATTGCTTTTCTTAATGGCTTTAATTAAATTTTACAGAACAAAGATATTGACAGAATAAGAATATAAACCTGAGGACCATTTTCCCCGAAAATGCACATATTGAATACATTGCCTGTCCTGACACAGGAAGAATCTAAGCAACAGAAAACATTACCATGCAGGGAAAAAAAGAATCTTTTACTAAGACAAATTTTGCAGGCCCTAGATTACCTGTATGGTTCTCTGTACCATGATTGATTACTTGTATGGTACAGAGAATCATACAATTTCTTACCCAGTAGTAGGGACACTACAGAATATCTTTTCCAATCCCACCAATTACTAGGATTAAAGCTAAAGCTCAAAAGCTAGGTCCAAAAAGCTCAATTTTTTTTGGTTCAATGAAATTTTAAACTTACTTTAGCAAATTAGTGGTTTCTTGGTCACTGTCTTGTGTTGTATCCAAAGAAAAAGCATCTGAGAGTTCGGATGAGTTAGAGTCTTGTTCTTCTGTTGGATGTGTCTGGGTTCTTAGGGAGCCACTGAAAATCTCTCTCTCCCTTTTGATCCCGTCTTCATGATGGTCACTGGGATTTTGTAAATCCTTCTCAGTTTTATCCTGGTCATCTTTGAAAGAAGACTGCTTAGCTTCACCTAGAGATGATTTCCCCGAGATATTGAATAAGTTACCAAGAAACTGAAAAAAGCTTTCTTTTGGCTGTCTGTCACTTTCTCCTATTTTGGTATCTGAAGTGGAACTGGAAAGATCATATGCCTTTTTGGGATCTTCCTGCACTGGAAGAGTGACTGGCTTCTCAGCATGGTTCCTTTTGTCCTCACTTTGGCGAATCTTTGAAAACAAAATAGACAATCATAAGCATCATTATTTAAATAATGAAACAGACTGATAAGCTATTATAAAACAGATTCTGTGTAGACACCAGGGATACATTTGTGAATAAGACTAATGGCTTCTGTTCCTTTGGGCAGTTCACAATCTACTGAAGAGCACAGTAAGCATGACCTTTAAAAAGCTATACGGTAAATGTCATGAGGGGAGAAGTACTGCACACATGGGAGCCCAGAGCACGAGCAACTAGTCCAGACTTGGTAGAAGTGAGAGCACAGAAGGTAACTTGGGGGATGCTTCCTAGAGGAAGTACACTCTTTAAAGAGGACAGAAAAAGTGACTATGTGATGCTCATGCATGTGTGTGTGTTTTTAGTGAGGTGTCAGCTCCTAAGGGAGTTTAATATGACTGGAGGTTAGGGTACGAAAATGACAAGAGTGAGAGGTAAATATGGAGAGAGACGTAAAGAGACCACAGTAAACCTTATGAGTATTTAAATTTAGCCTTTATTATTACAGAGATAAGGGAGAGTATTTCAAGTTCTTGGTACTTGAGATAACACCTCAACAGACCTCATCATTTCAGCATTGTGTTAACCCATAAAGCTGGCACAATATGAAACATTATTCAAGAAGATGAGGAAAAGACAGTAACATGGTACTTCAGTTCAGAGAAAGAGCCCACTTGTGACCCCTTCCTGGTAAAACAGGAAGTCCTGATACATAATGTTAATTCAAACCATGGATAGCATTGGGCATACTTGAAGACAAACAGTTGCAGAAGTCCATTTTGCCTGCTCATAGTTAAGTTACTGGTAAAGCAAACTCACATTAATGCATACTCTGTATGAGGAAAAACTGAGCTGCTATATCAGAGTATGTTGGCATTCCACTTCATGCTATTTCCAGATTCTAAAAAGCTTTAGGCCCATGAGCCAACTCACCCTGCCTTCCAAACATGCTCACTTACGTAATTGTAAAAAGAATGCCCATCCTACAGTCTCTGTCACCTATTATGCTCACTAGCCCTTATAAAAGGAAAGCTCAAGTGTGAGTCAGAAAACAATCAGGACACCAAGGCAAAACCACCTTAGGGCACTTTAGGTTCACATGACAATGTTTTATAAGAATCTGATCTTCCAGAAGGCAAGAACATCATAATTATAATGTCATTTTTTCACCTCATTCCATGTTTTGATCTAAGTTCAAATTAGTATAAAGGAGTATTTCACTAACCTTTAAAAAAGATTTAGCATATGAAAGGTTGAGAAAATGTTTAGAACTTATTAACTCAGCAAACTGATTGCAAGCAAACAATACTTTTAAATTTGTTCCCACAGGTGTCAAAGGGGATTTCTGAGTAAGCACATGGCATTGTTTGATGTGTTAGGATTTAATACATCTTGTGAGCCTCTACATTTAGAATGTCACCAGCCAGATTCTAGAGACACTGCACATCTCACCTTTCACTAGTTTCAACTACAATTTGATTCCAGTTGTCTCCACCTCACCCGTCCAACCTTCTGCTCATTCTGAGAGCTGGCACTATAAGTCACCTGTGCCCTCTCCTCATATAAACAGCATAAACAACCTCTCAGTTTGGCAGTAGAAGATATGCTAATTGACATTTTGAAAATGGTCATTTATATGAAAGATATACATTTTTTGTTAACAATTTGGTTTATTGTAACTTTTAGCCACAATATTTCTCCCCAGGTCAAAAAGAACACTGGAACATGAAAAGAACAGTAATTAATTCTTTTCTATAAGTAGTATGAAGTGGCTGCTCATCCTATGTCGCCACTTGAAGAAAGCGAACTACAGGCTGCTCATTAAAATATCATAAATATCCTTAAAATGCTTTAAAAATTTGCAAAAGAGTCTTATATAATCTGGGCAATGATTTAAAAGAAGAAAATGAACAAGATTACCACTTTTAACATCATTAAAATCTCAAAACAGTAATTTTTGTCAAAAATGTATTTATCTCCCTATTATTTTTACTTGCTCATTCTTTTCAAAGCATAACAGGTTGCTTTCCAAATGAGGAAGATACATTTTGTGAAACTAATGAAAGACTTTACATTTAACCTTTTTAAAGTAGTAAATAATTTTTTAAAAAAAAAACTTGTTTCTCCTTCCCCTTAACTGTCTGCTTCTTTGCTATTCCGGAATCCCTATAAGTTTACTAAAGAGTATTTTTTAGTTCCCTTAAATGTTTTAGTTGCTTAATTTTTCCCTCATAATCTTACGAGAAATGCGTATTCGTAATTAAAACACCTTCAACAACAAAAAGTTTCTGAATTTAGAAACAAAAAAGTAGCAGGAAAAATACACTGCTATTCAAAGTAAACACCTGCAATAAATTATGTATTTATAGAATTAAAATTTTAAGATTGATCTAAAGCAGTTGTTCTTCACCCTCAACCTGGACAAGTTCAGCCTACCTACAGGCCCTCATTATGCGGGCCCTATATCTGTCTGCCAACAGGACTGTCTACCATTGTAGCAATGAATGAGTAGAATGAAAGCACTCAGGACTCAGGCAAACATTAACAAAATGTTCATTCTAGTTGCTCTCCAAGATTTTGGTATTATGTGTATACTATATGAATGTTACTGATGAAGGCATATGTATCTTTGGAATTTTCAATGTTTTTCCCTCATGTTCAATATGTTGTAATGCAGTACTCTTAGTCCAAATGCATTTCTCTATCTACTCTCTTTGCTATGTTGGGGCCCAACGCAACAAAATACAGGAAAGCATTATGTATACTGATTAATAAGATTTAGCTGAGGTCTTCAAGGAGCTTACAAGCTAGGAACATACTCATCATTATATTAATATCACTGTAGGGGGCTTACAAGAGATATGTACACAATGGAAGACATAATTAACGAGTGGGGATGTAGAGAAACCTTCTTTGCATAGAAGATAACATTTGAGCTTAATTCGAAGAGTGTTAAGAGTATTCTAGACACAAGCCATAGTATGCACAAAGACACAGAAGTTTGAAATATGTTTACTATGGCAGGGATATGGCTGATGAAGACTGGAGCACAGAAGATAAAGAGTTTGATAAGATGACCAGTTAGAAGTGGTGGGTGAGGAATAATATGGTCACAGATAACTGAGTTCTCTAAATTAGACAACAATTTGATTAGGTAAGCCAAAAAAAATGGACATGGAGAATAGAAAGGGAGGTGAAAATTAGGGCTCTGGGTAAGTGGCAGGTAGGGCAATGAACTATTTAGTTGTCAAATGTGAAATTTTTGGTCCCTTGTGATACAAAAGTTGAGATGTCTGATAAACAGAGGCACAATTTAAGAATGTAGTTTGGCAATATACGATGTGCGCAGGAAAAAAAGAGGAAACAACAAAAGATCCCTATGGAAAAAAAAGATTACAAGTCAAAAACAATGAAAAGAAGAAACCAGTGAAAGAGATAGAGGAGGTCAAAACCAGACCAGGTTAGTCTCTATAGAATACCAGAGATCTCCAAAGAAACAAAGAACACTTCAAAAGGCAGACAGGAGTCAAGAATGCCAAATGCCACTGTGAGCTCAAGAAAGATGAGGACTATCTTCCTCACTAGTCTTCAGAAACATCAGGCACACACCCACCTTGGGAATTTTGCCTTTACTCTTCTCTCTACTTACAATATTCATCCCCCAGATACCTATATGACTCACTCTCTCTCGCCTCCTTCAGACCTTTACTTGAAAACCATCTCACCAATGAAAATTCTCTCAGCATGATCTAAAATAGCAGACCCCTCCACTGTAAAACTGCCTAACCGCTTTCTGTTTTATTTTTCTTCTTGTACTTACTATTATAGTAAATACACACACAACACACACCTACAACATTTAATATGTGTTTCCTCCTTTAGGATGTAGCATCCACAAGGCCAACGATTTTTATCTATTTTATTCACTGCAGTATCTCTACCACCTTGAAACATGCCTGATAATAAGAGGTGCTCAAATGTTTGTTAGAGTAATAAATGAAGAAATGGAAAAGCCTTAAGAATGCAGGAGAAACAGTCATAACAGTTCAAGAATTCATGTGTTCAGTCCAAAACTTGAGGTGCTAAACAGTGAGTAGCTAACAAGGAAATAGGAATAGTCATAAGTAGATGGGAAACCTTTTCAGAGATTTTTAACTAGAAGGAAGGAAAGACAAAATCCATTTTAAGTTCCAGGACAGAACTTACTGTTTTGTGAATCAGCTCTATACTTGTTGGAAAGGGAGTGACTATGGTATAAAGAGATAGATGACAGGTTCCAGAAGGAAAGGAAGGAGGTGATGATATGAAGAGAACAATATAATTTCTAATACTTATAATAAAGACAAAGTATTAGCATTGGAGAGAAGGACATCTTCTCTGCCAAGTAAAGTGGCAAGGAGAGTGGCTAAAGCCTTATAAATTCTGTAAGTGAAAAGACAATATGGCCCAACAAATGGCTCTGACCTCAGTAAAGTGAAAGGAGAGAAAAGCTGAAGGAGAGACAAAAAGGTGAAACTAGGATTTGGGTTCTCAAAATTTAGAGAATTTGAAACAATGTTTCTGGGGAATGCAGCTCCAAATGAACAGGCTAAAACTAGGTAAACAAAAAAGCAGTTAGGTTCAATGTAAACTTTAAAGTATTGATTCATTCAATAAATAATCAACAAGATACTATTATGGGCATTTAGATGCAATAGTGAAAAATGTACCAAAATCCTGGCTTTCATGGTACCTACATTCTAGTGATGTCTGAACTTTTTTGCAGGTCTAATTAGCAGTATTTTGTCACCTCCTTAAGCAGCCCGTAGCATGTGATGGGTGCTGTGGCACCTGGTATAGTAAACAAGATCAACATGTAGACAATGTTGCCCTGCCCCCTTGAGCAGTGGAACTGCTAAGCATCAAATGTGCACCCTCACCACAGGACCCAAAAACAGGCTGCCAGGAGCCTGACACTACCAGTGACTGTGCCCCTTTCATCAGTGGAGCTGAATGGCATACACACACCACTCAGAAACTGGGAACAGGACTGTTAGGTGACTACTGTCACTGACGATACTGCCCCCAGCAAAACCAAAGCCATATCACTGCTTCCACAGACCCACATAGTCTAGGCCACTGAAGCACTCACAGATGTTGATGACAGCCCAAAAAAACATATTGTGACTACACTACTTTGCCTACCTAGAACCAAATCCAAAGCCAGACACCATGTATCACATCTGTAAGAAAAAATCTTTCCCTACAAAAGCTACTCCATAAAATTGAAGAAGGTACTTATTCCACCAGATGCATAAGTAACAATGTAGGAATACAAGAAACATGAAAAAGCAAGAAATGTAACACAAAGAAATACAGTAATTCTCCAGTAACAGACAACCAAGAAAAGAAAATCTATGAAATGCTTAAAAAGGAATTCACAATAATGATCTTAAGTAAATTCAGCAAGATACGAAAAAATACAGATAGACAATTCAATAAAATAAGAAAAACTATTTATGATATGAATGATAAAGTCAACAAGATAGGTGTCATAAAAAAGAACCAAACAGAAATGTTGAAGCTGAAAAAATTCAGTGAATAAACTATACAATGGAAAGTATCAATAATAGATTAGATGAAGCAGAAAAAACTTCTGAACTTGAAGAAAGGCTTTTTAAAATGATCCAATCAGAAAATAAAAAGGAATAAGGAAAGCCTAGGAGGAAAAGAGATGGGAAAAGGCACAGAAAACCTATTTAATGAAATAATAGCTAAAAACTTTCTAAGTCTTGGAAGAATATAGACATCTAGATCCAGGAAGCTCAAAAGTCCCCAAATAGATTCAACCTCAAAAGGTCCTTTCTGAGGCACATTATAGTCATACTATCAAAAGTCAACAAATTTTCTAAAAGCAAATATTTCTAAAAATAGAGAAAAATGTCAAGTCTCATACAAAGGAATCTCCATTAGAATAACAGCATATATCTTAGCAGAAACCTTATTGGCAAGAAAAGAATAGACTGATATATTCAAGTTGCCGAAAGAAAAAAAAAAAAAAACTCAACTAAAAACATACCCAGCAAAGCTATCCCTCAGAAATGAAGGAAAAATAAAGTCCCTTCCAGACAAACAAAAACTGAGAAAATTCATCACCACTAGATAGACTTTAAAGAAATGCTTAAGGGTGCCCCACATTTGGAAGCAAAACATTATCTACTATCATAAAACTACAAAAGTATAAAGCTCACTCATAGAGAAGATACATAAATGAGATAAAGTAATCAAACCTCATCATGATAGAAAACCACCAAAGATAAACCATAAGAAAGGAACAATGTATATACGAAATGATCAGAAAATAATTTAAAAAATGACAAGAGTAAGTCCTTATTTATCAATAATAACCGTAAATGTAAATGGTTAAATTCCCCAATGAAAAGATATAGATTAGCCGAATGGATAAAAAAACAGAACTCAACTATATGCTACCTAAAAGAAACTCACTTCACATATAGAGACACATACAGAATGAAAGTAAATGGATGGAAAAAGACATTCCATACAAATGGAAGCCAAAAACCGACTACAAGTCAAAAACTGCAAAAAGAGACAAAGAAGGCCATTATATAAGGATAAAGGGACCCATTCAACAAGACGATGTAACAACTGTAAATCTACATGCACTCAAGACGGGAACACTCAGATACATAAAGCAAATAGTATTAGATCCCAATATAATAATAGCTGGGAACTTCAAAATCCCACTCTCAACTTTGGACATATCTAGACCAAAAAAAAAAAAAAAAACTTAAGGAAATCGCGGATTAAATTTCACTATAGACCTAACAAACATTTATACAACATTTCATCTAATAGCTACAGAATACACATTTTTCTCATCAGCAAATGGAATATTCTTCAGAACACATCATATTTCAGGCCACAAATTAAGTCTCAACATATTTTTTAAGAAATCAAAATCATACGAAGTATTTTTTTGACCACAATGGAATAACACTAGAAATCAATAACAAAAGAAATTTTGGAAACTGTACAAACACATGGAAATTAAACAACATGCTCCTGAATGACCGATGAAAAAAGAAGAAAATTAAAACATTTGTTTCGTCAAATGAAAGTAGAAACACAACATACACAAACCTATAGGATACAGCAAAAGCAGAAGAGGGAAACTGATAGCAACAAACATCAAAATAAAAAAATTATTTCAAATAAACAACCTAACAGTACACCTCAAGAAACTAGCAAAGCAAGAATAAGCCAACCCCCAAATTAGAAGAAAACAATAATCAGAGCAGAAATAAATGACATTCAGACTAAAGTATAATACAAAAGAGCAATGAAACATAAAGTCGGTTTTTTATAAAAACAAAATTAATAAACCATTAGTCAGACTAAGAAAAAAGAAAAGACCCAAGTAAAATCAGAATTGAAAAAGGAGACATGATGACCGATACCACCATAATACAAAGGCTTACCAGAAATTTTTGTGAATAATGATACACCAACAAACAAAAAAAACCTAGAGGAAATGAATACATTCCTGGATGTTGTGGGAAGTCAGGGACCCCAAACGGAGGGACCGGCTGAAGCCATGGCAGAAGAACGTGGATTGTGAAGATTTCATGGACATTTATTAGTTCTCCAAATTAATACTTTTATAATTTCTTATGCCTGTCTTTACTGCAATCTCTAAACATAAATTGTAAAGATTTCATAGACACTTATCACTTCCCCAATCAATACCATTGTGATTTCCTATGCCTCTCTTTACTTTAATCTCTTAATGCTGTCAGCTGATGAGGATGTATGTCGCCATCCTCATCATGTGATAATTGCATTAACTGCACAAATTGTAGAGCATGTGTGTTTAAACAATATGAAATCTGGGCACCTTGAAAAAAGAACAGGATAACAGCAATTGTTCAGGCAATAAGAGAGATAAACTTAAACTCTGACCGCTGGTGAGCTGGGCGGAACAGAGCCATATTTCTCTTCTTTCAAAAGCAAATGGGAGAAATATCGCTGAATTCTTTTTCTCAGCAAGGAACATCCCTGGTAAAGAGAATACGTGCCTGGGGGTATAGGCCTATAAATGGCCCCCTTAGGTGTGCCCGTATCTTATGGTCGAGGCTGTAGGGGTGAAATAGACCCCAGTCTCCCATAGCGCTCCCAGGCTTATTAGGAAGAGGAAATTCCCGCCTAATAAATTTTTGGTCAGACCGGTTGCTCTCAAAACCCTGTCTCCTGATAAGATGTTGTCAATGACAGTGGTGTCCGAAACTTCATTTGCAATTTTAATTTCGCCCCAGTCTTGTGGTCCTGTGATCTCGCTCTGCCTCCACTTGCCTTGTGATACTCTATTACCTTGTGAAGTACTTAATGTCTGTGACCCACACCTATTTGCACACTCCCTCCCCTTTTGAAAACCCTAACAAAAACTTGCTGGTTTTTGCAGCCTGTGGGGCATCACAGAACCTACCGACATGTGATGTCTTCCCCGGACGCCCAGCTTTAAAATTTCTCTCTTTTGTACTCTGTCCCTTTATTTCTCAAGCCAGCTGACGCTTAAGGAAAATAGAAAAGAATCTACGTGACTATCGGGGCAGGTTCCCCGATACCTGGACATATACAAGCTACCAAAATTGAAGCAAGAAGAAACAGAAAACCTGAACAGACCAATAACTAGTACCAAGGTTGAATAAGTAATAAAAAGTCTCCCAACAAAGAAAAGCCCAAGACTACACAGCCTCACTGCTGAATTCTACTAAACTGTTAAAGAACACCAATTATTCTCAAACTATTTCAAAAAATCAAAGGAGACAGAATTATTCAAAAATTCATCATGCAAGGCCATCATTACCCTGATAACAAAAGCAGACATGGACACACAAACACACACAAAAGAAAACTACAGGCCATTACCCTAGAATAACAAGATGCAAAAATCTCCAATAAAATACTAGCAAAATAAATCCAACAGCACATAAAAAAGATTATATACCATAATTAAGTTGAATTTATCCCAATGATGCAAAGACAATTCAACATATACAACACAATAAACATCACATCAACAGAATGAAGGATAAAAACCTTTTGATCATCTGAAACAGAAAAACGTTTAATAAAATTTAATATCCCTTCTTGATAAAAACTCTCAACAAATAGGTATATAAGGAATGTACCTCAATGAAATAAAGGCCATATATGACAAATCCACAGGTAACATCATAGTAAAAGTAGAAAAGTTAAAACTTTTCTGCTAAGATCTGGAACAAGATAAGGATGCCACTCTTACTACTCTTATCCAATATAGTACTGGAAGTCCTAGCCAGAGCAATCAAACAAGAGAAAGAAATTTAGGGTCCAAATTCGTATAGAGGAAGTCAAACTGTCACTGTTGGCTGATGATATGATCGTGTTTCTAGAGAACCCTGAAGACTCATCCAAAAAGCTTCTACATCTGATACATGAATTCAGTAAAATTCCAGGATAAAAAAAAATCAATGTATACAAATCAGGAGCACTGCTATACCCCAACAACGACCAAGCTGAGAAACAAATCAAGAACTCAATCCATTTTACAACAGCTGCAAAAAAAAAAAAAAATACTTAGGAGTATACCTAACAAAGGAGGTGAAAGATCTCTACAAAGAAAACTACAAAACACTGCTGAAAGAAATCATCAATGACACAAACAAATGGAAACACATCCCATGCTCATGGATGGGTAGAATTAATATTGTGAAAACGACCATACTGCCAAAAGTAATCTACAGATTCAATGCAATTCCTATCAAAATACCACCATCATTCTTCATAGAACTAGAAAAAACAATCCTAAAATTCATATGGAACAAAAAAGAGCCCACATAGCCAAAGCATAGCCAAAGCAAGACTAAGCAAAAAACAAACAAACAACAACAAAAAAACAAATCTGGAGGCATCACTTTACTTGACTTCAAACTATACTACAAGGCTATAGTTAACAAAACAGCATGGTACTGGTATAAGATAGGCATGTTGACCAAAGGAACAGAATAGAGAACCCAGAAATAAAGCCAAATACAGCCAACTGATCTTCAACAAAGCATACAAAAATAAAGTGGGGGAAAGGACAGCCTATTCAACAAATTGTGCTGGGATAACTGGCAAGCCACATGTCAAAGAATGAAACTGGATCCTCATCTCTCACCTTATACAAAAATCAACTCAAGATGGATCAAATACTTAAATCTAAGATCTGAGACCATAATAATTCTAGTAGATAAAATCCATAAGACTCTTCCAGACATTGACTTAGGCAGAGAGTTCATCACTAAGAACCCAAAAGCAAATCTAACAAAAACGTGAAAAAATGCTCAACATCACTAATTATCAGGGAAATGCAAATCAAAACCACAATTGTGATACCACGATTGTGATACCACAATATTTAAGTATGGCAAAAAATGACCATAATTAAAAAATCAAAAAATTATAGATGTTGACACGGATTCAGTGAAAGGAGAACACTTTTACACTGCTGGTGGGACTGTAAACTAGTACAATCATTATGGAAAATAGTACGGAGATTTCTTAAACAACTAAAAGTAGATCTACCATTTTATCCAGCAATCCCACAACTGGGTATCTACCCAGAGGAAAAGAAGTCATTATATGAAAAAGTCACCTGCACTCACATGTTTATAGCAGCACAATTCGCAATTGCAAAAATATGGAACCAGCCTAAATGCCCATCAACCGAGTGGATAAAGAAAACGTGTGTGTGTGTGTGTGTGTGTGTGTGTGTGTATTGTATGTGTGTGTGTGTCTGTGTGTACATATACTGTGGAATACTACTCAGCCATAAAAAGGAATGAAATAATGGCATTTGCAGCAATTTGGATGGAGTTGGAGACCATTATTCTAAGAGAAGTAACTCAGGAATGGAAAACCAAACATCATATGTTCTCACTTATGTGAAAGCTAAGCTAAAAGGATGCAAAGGCATAAGAATGATAAAAATGGACTCTGGGGACTTTGGGGGGAGGGTGGGAGGGGAATGAGGGATAAAAGACTACACATTGGGTACAGTGTACACTGCTTGGGTGATGGGTATACCAAAATCTCAGAAATCACCACTAAAGTACTTATCCATATAACCAAACACCACCTGTGCTACTAAACTATTAAAATAATTAGAAGAAATAAAAATGGGCAATTAATCTGAACAGACATTTATCAAAGATGACACACAAATAGTCAACAAGTACATGAAAAATGCTCAACATTGCTAATTATCCAGGAAATGCACTTCAAAACCACAATGCGATATCACACCCCAGTTAGAATGGCTACTATCACAAAGACAAAAAGTAACAAATGCTGGTGAGTATGTAGAGAAAAGGGAACTGTTATACACTGTTGGTGCGAATATAAACTGGTACAATCATTATGGAAAACAGTATGGAGGTTGCTCCAAAAACCAAAAATAAACTACTATGGGATCCAGCAATCCCACTTCTAAATATACATCTAAAGAAAAGGAAATCAGTATGTCAAAGAGATATCTGCACACCCATGTTTATTGCAGCACTATTTACAACAGCTAAGTATGGAATTAATCTAAGTGTCAAAAGTATATCCAGAGACAGCCTTCTCCTCTGTCCTCATTACTAACCTCGTTACAAAGGAGTTACCAACCCTCCCTGTTTCTTTTCCTTTACTCCCAATCACTTCCTAAGTCCAGACAATTGGGCTACCTCCCCAATAATCCTAACCATGACCTTTCAGGGACACCATTCTAACGACTAATCACTCCAATGGACTGTTCTTCTGTCCTGATCTTATATGATGTGTCTGCAGAATGTGAGACTGAATCTCTTCCTGAAAACCATTCTTCCTTTAGATTCCATGGCATCACTCTGAGGTTTCCCTTCTTACTCTCTGAATACTCTTCTCCATCTCTTTCACATTCACTTCTTGTAGCCATCCCTCATATAACATGCTTCTCCAATTTCCAGCCTATATCAGCTTTTCCTTCATGCTCTTATGAAATCTCTTGCCCACAGACTCAAATATTCAGATGATGATCCTCAGATTAGCTCAGACTCCTAAACTACCAACCAGACATCTATCTCCATACCTGGATGCTTCACTGGACCTCAAACTCAAAACATTCCAAACTGAACTTGGCCATGCTATGTCTCCTTTCTTCCTTCTTCTATAAAGTTTAAAATTCCCACTTGTTAAAGTCAGAGAAAACATCAGGACACCATCACCATAACTGCGCCCCCTAGAATAGTGTTATCGGTGGCCTAACCGGATTTGCTGCTTCCACATCTGTTATCCCCCACTATGTTCTCCAGACAAAAACCACAGCAATCTTCTAGAAGCCAAGTATGATCATTCTTAAATCCCTCCAATGGCTGAGCATTGCCATCAGGATAAAATCCAAGCCCCCTGGCATTGCCTTCAAGGTCTTGGTGGATATAGCCCCCATGGCTTTCTCCAATTTCATCTCTTACCACTCACAATGCTTGCAATGCCTACTGTCTTCACATGCATTACTATTCACTATCTCCTCCTTCCTCTCTCCCTCCCTACCTTTCTTTCTCTCACACTACTGTGTATCTTTGCAGAATGCTATTTCCACTGCTGGGACTTATCCCTTGCTCTCTTTGCCTGGAAAATTCCTTCTACAATTCCAGTTTTTCAGGACGGAAATTACATTTACGTTCTTCCAGTGTATATCCCTAATATCATATGTCTGCCTTGACACCACAGGGTGTAGGTAAACAATAATCTTACATACTTTCATCATGACTAGGATTATTACTGAAGTTATTAACGGTAACTAAAATTTGGCATTCATAAACTAAAACCCACTCCTTATTAAATAATTCTAGTTAATGTTCTACTAAGACATCTGGCTGCCGCGTATTACTTGGAAATTTTGCCAAAAGTTGAAATTCCACCACCAATACTTGAAATTCACAATTTTGAGAAAAATGCTTTATTAGTTTATTATTGCTGCTATCTTGAATTACAGCTTAAATGATGCTAAAATTTTTTTTTTTTTTTTTTTGGAGACAGTCTCGCTCTGTCACCCAGGCTGGAGTGCAGTGGTGCAATCTCGGCTCACCAAAACCTCCACCTCCCAGATTCAAGCCATTCTTCTGCCTCAGCCTCCCAAGTAAATGGGATTACAGGCGCACGCCCATCATGCCCAACTAATTTTTTTATTTTTAATAGAGACAGGGTTTCACCATGTTGGCCAGGCTGGTCTCCATTTCCTGATCTCAAGTGATTGACCCGCCTCAGCCTCCCAAAGTGCTGGGATTACAGGCTGATGCTAAAATCTTAAATCAAAATCAGTACCTTTATAAAGGATTTCATCGTGGTGGGTTGTCTGATTAACTCCTCAGTGAGTACTGATATATATTCATGTCATTATTTTTCAATAAATGGATTTTACAACTAAATTTGTAAAGATGAACTGTTTATACTCCTATTGTTAAAGTAATTTTGCTTCAAAGATAACATTAGATCGTTATCACAGAGTTATTCTTTTCATTAGAAAATGACAACAGGCAAGGTAGGTAGGCAACTACCTTACCTTAATGCAGCTGGTTATAGTTTAAAACAATAAGCTATTTGCAACTTTTATATCATCACACATCAGTGTTATGATCAGTTCTAGGATGTAATTAATAACTTATTACCAAGATTATTTTAAAAGCTAAAATTTTACCTTCTAAAAATGTTCTAGTATAGAATTAAAGTTATATCTGGCGTGTTACTTTCACTGTTTTCAAATCCATATAATTTTTGATAAAGATATGTAGTTATATGTACTATTTAAAGTAAGTGCCCTTAACCACAGGTGACCCAAAACAGTTACCTCTCATATGTATCAGAGAAAAAATATGCGTGAAATTGCTGATCTAAATAAGAAAAGTATGAGTTATATAGTATCAATGGGTATGCGTATGAAGGAAGGGCCGTTGATGGGCCTTAGTTCAATGGGAAGGGAGATAAAACACTAGATTCATTCCCAGGTGTCAAGATTGGGTAGTGTGGTGGTACTTCCAGAAATAGCAGGAAGCTAAAATAAAATGAGTTCAACTTTGAGTATGTCAAACTTTATACTCAGAGACATCTGAGAGGAGAGGTCCGTGAAATAGCAGGCTTTATCACCCTGAAGCTCACGATATATGCTGGGCTAAAGGAACATATATGAGCTAGTCACTAGCCAAGATGCAGGCAGAAATCAAATCAACCAGGGCAGGTATACAAAGAGAGAAGAGAAAGGAACAAGAAAAGGAATGGCAGGAAAGCCATTCCCTCCTGTTATGATATAAGTATTTCAGCAAAAGCACTGGGCCAGAATAACAAATGCTTTTGATTCTCTGAGAGCTTTCTGGCGCTCACTCTCGTGTTCCAGAATCAGTATCTGACACCTGTAAAGGCAAATTTTCTCACAAAAATCTAGAGTACATACATGTTCCTTCATATTCAGTTTCCATTTTGATAAGATATTCCATCATACCGCAATGTAGGAACATTCCAGGTATACCATAGTTGAAGTGGCTGCAAATCAAACCAGATACCTTACAACACAATCAATTCAATAACTACAAGATGTCAAGTGCCCAGACTACCATCAGCCACAATGACAGGCTTAAGCCCTGACAGTCCATTTGGTCAACTGGACAGCACAGTAACACACAGCGCATTTTCCATTTCGGGCACTCCAGTAGCACTCACTTTTTTTTTTTAGAAGCAATCAAGAGGCAAGATTTTGACTTCCAGCTAAAGTTGAATATGGTATGCCTTCTTGTATGTACCTTCTTCTCAAACGTTATGCAGAATCAATATTTCAAATATGTGCCTTCTATACTATTCACCCAGAATAAATCACCACCATTTTCAAGCAAAGATTCACAGTATTTCTAAGTTTTAGCCAGACTTTATATGGCAAGAAGGCAATCATTTTACCAAGTGCCTACTCTGTATCAGGCATTGTACAGTACTTAACATGTTATCTTAGTTAATTCTAAAACACCTCTATGAAATAAGGACCCGCCCTACTACAGATCAATAAACCAGGATTCAGAGAGGTTAAATAAATTTCCCAAAGTTACCAAGCCACCACCTGGAAGATCTAGGATTTAAGTCCAGGCATATCTGGTTACAAAGACTGTGTTCTTTCCATCATTACACATGTAATTTCAAAACTGTTCCAAGGAGGTGCCAGGAATGGCAGGGGCAGAGAACAGTGGCTGACTGTGAAGCTCCAGGCAAATCATTCCCACCATCAACAGGGAAAACTGTGCTGTAATCTATTTATACACAGGGTTGCAGGTACAATTATTGTTGGGGTGGGAGCACTGTTATGTTTGAAAAAGAGACGTATAAAAATCTGTACGTTAAACTGACATGATACTGCTGCAACTATTTGCATTGCTGAGAAAAAAAGACAGCAGACACCAGGAGCAATGGTGTATGCCTGTCTGTAGTCCCAGCTACTCAGGAGACTGAGGTGAGCGAATTGCTTGAGCCCAGGAGTTTGAGGCCAGACAGACATAGCAAGACCTGTCTGTTAGAAAACAAACAGGCTGGGTGCAGTGGCTCATGCCTGCAATCCCAGCACTTTGGGAGGCTGAGGCAGGCGGATCACGAGGACAGAAGATCGAGACCATCCTGGCTAACACGGTGAAACCTTGTCTCTACTAAAAATACAAAAAATTAGCCGAGAGTGGTGGCACGTGCCTGTAGTCCCAGCTACTCGGGAGGGTGAGGCAGGAGAATCGCTTGAACCCAGGAGGTGAAGGTTTCAGTGAGCCGAGATCGCGCCACTGCACTCACTCCAGCCTGGGTGACAGAGCGAGACTCCATCTCAAAAAAACAACAACAAACAAACAAAGATAGCAAGCATACACTAAAGCCATACATATTTTAAAAATTGGTTCAGTAATTAATTTCCCTCTAACCAAGACAACATTTAACACATTTAAATTTGACTACCATTTTACTCTCACTGAGAAAGAGTTGAAAACCTAATAAGGAAAGAGGAGCTACATAAAATCAAAATATGAACAGATGCAAATATTTAAAATATTCATCTTACTACATAATTCTGTATTCTGAATACGGGCATTAATGTAAAGAACAATTAGTGATCATTCTTCCTCAGTGAAATAGTCTTGGGCTACAATTCTTCCATTTCTACATGTCAATTATTAAACAGTGGCAACAAAAAATGCGGTTCTTTGTAATAAGTGATTTACTTATTAGAAATAAGGGTAATGTGTCATAAATATCTGATATTGATATGCAGTAAGTTAATACTTATTAATTTCATTTTATTTACAAGAATATCACAGGCATACACCAAATACTTCCTCTTAAAAGATGCTAAATCCTTCAACAAAGTTGCATGATTAGTCATGAGCAGCATTTCTAAAATGGGACCAGTGGTAGATTTCATATAAGGCAGATGCCAAGCTATGGAGAATATGCATAATAATCATTGATGTATTGAGGCCTGGGTTGGAGAATCTATAACCTGCGGTCCAGATATAATAATCTTATTTAGCTCATGGTTCATTTCTGGAAAAAGACTTACTGCCACTGTTATTTTTATGTTTTAATAGGATTTCTTTTTGATAAATGAAGTTTATGAATATAGCTTAAAAATTCAGTACACGAATAGGAAGAATCATGGTACATAACTGCCTCTGAATTCTCTTGCCTCTGTTCATTATCAGTGGGAGTTGTGTCAAGTGACTTAATTTGAGATTTGCTTTTTTCAACTACACACAAAGGGATACAAATTCTGTTTAACACTGTGGATAGAACATACACATTGATTTTTTCCTTTTGAACAAAATACTCTAAAATGACAGCAAAAGAGTATTTTTGTTGTTGTTGTTTTTAGTTATAAGTACAAAGACAGGAAGAGAACAGATATAACTGGTGATACAGTTTGGATGTTTGTACCCTCACACTGAAATATAATCCCTGATGTTGGAGGTGGGGCCTGGTGGGAGGTGTCTGGGTCATGGGGGCAGAACCCTCATGGATGGCTTTGTGGTGTCCTTGCAATAGTGAGTGAGTTCTCGTGAGATCTGGTTGTTTAGAAGTGTGTGGCAGCTTTCCCCTCTCTCTTGCTCCTGCTCTTGCTATGTGACATGTCTGCTCCTTCTTTGCCTTCTGCTATGATTTCCACCAAAGCCGAGCAGATGTTGGTGCCATGCTTTATGTAAAGCCTGCAGAACTGTAAGCCAATGAAACGCCTTTTCTTTATAAATTACCCAGTCTCAGGTATTTTTTTATAGCAATGCAAAAACAGCTGAATATAGCAGGCAAGAGATTTCAGAAAAGGTTTAGAAGGCAAAAGCAGACAGAGGCAGAGAAAGCTTCTACCTAAGTGACTGCAAAAAGGGACTCTGAACCTAACAATCATCCCATAGGCAATCTGAAATGACTTAGGATTTGAAGACACTAGGAACCACTTAAGGCAGTGTCAGACATGGGATTAAAACTAAGAGTTTGCTTGAAAATCTTCAAATAGAGAAGTTGAGCCCAAGGGCTCTTCCTTCACCCAAACAGTAAGACAATCCTCCCTACTTTCCACCACTAACACTCCCAAGAAAAAATAAAAACAAAAAAACTGAAAAAACATCTCCGAAGATATTAAGGCTTTTGGAGAAACTGAATTTGAGATCAAAGGAACATCCACAGGGAAATGTCTGGAACATTGATAATCAAGTCTGGAGCTCTAGATGGATGTCACGTAAAGACACAGGAGCCAAAAGATGAACCAAAGGATCGGAAGATATTACTTCAGAGGACTGACACTGAGGAGAACTGAAGATTTTGAGAAACATCTTCATGAAAAAGTATTTAGCCAAAAGAAATCAGTGATGGAAACTGAAGGAAGTAGCCAGAGGTAGGGATGGGACCAAGAAAGGACAATATCACAGAAGCAAAGATAAACCAAAGAACATTTCTAAAAAGGAGAGAAAGACTTGAAAAAAAAGTGTTTCAACTGGTTAAATAGAATGAGAACTAGGGAAAGGTTACTGAATATGGTCAGCAAAAGGTCACTGGTGAACATGAATGTAACTGGTTTCATGGAATAGCTTTCATTCAATCAGCGACTACATACTGAGCATCCATGACACGTGCGCCAGACACAGTACCAGGCTTCCCATGTCAGAGGGAACTAAAAGAGAAACAGGAGTCCGAGCAGAAAGCATTAAGAACTGAACAATGCTTAAGACAGACTTTCATAAGGAATTTTGAGGTAAAAGGTAGGAGTAATGTAGAATAACAGACCAAAAGGAAAGGAAACCAGATTCACAAAAATAAAACAAAAACATTGTTTTTAATTTTATATATTTAAAGAGAAACACAGAGACCTGATGCAAATCAGAAGCCAGTGAAGATGGAGGGATAGTAGTAGTCAAGGCAAGGGCCAAGGAAAGGCAGTAAAGTAAGGACACCAATACCACTGCACATGTTGTAGTCAAGATGGGGGCTTGAGGGAATTTAGCCTTTCAAGGCAGAAAGGGATAAGTATTCATCTGACATAGGTAGAAGAGAGCAGGGCATAACACAAAGTAGATGTGAATGAAGCAAGAGTTTAAGGCTACAAGACAATGATCAAATGTGGACTAAATTTCCGGAAGCATCTCCAGCTAGATATAAAAACCTTATTAACATAAAATACATATTCCAGTAGAAAAATAGATGTAAATGTTAGAAGTAGCCGCCGATGTTAGTAAAATAGCAAAATTTGTGTAGCATGTAAGTGGTATTTTAAGAATAAAAAATTTAATGATGTCCAAAGTTAATATAAAATATAATCTCTAATTGTTTAAAAATACAGTTAATTTTTGTAGTTCAAACTTGTCTTGCAACCAACAATCTTTGACATCATCATTGGGTATCTCAAGGTCAAACACAAAAAGAAGACTATATAAGGTTATGTTTACATAAATCTGTTATGGTTCTGATCAACTGGGAAATGCTGCATATTTTTTCTCTTATCACAGAAAGCATTATAAAATTTATGTTACATTACCAAAATACATATTTGTTATGATGCCTGGTAGCAACAGTCCCTGAACAACTGGGTCTGTGCGGCTAGGTTGAAGAAATCCTACCAGTAGGTTCCAGAAGGTTTTTTAAAAAGTTACATGAGCCAAAATGCACAGGATACCCCAGAAAAAGTGCCACGGTATCCTTTCTATTACGGGATAACTGCAGTTTCTGTATATAAGTAAACTCATAGGCTTCAAATCACAAGAAAAACAGTTTCATGACTGCATGGTATTTACTTAGGGGCTTAGATGCCAAAATGAAATTATCCTCGGCACTCAAAATTAGATGTTAAGAATGGATGGAAAAGATTGTTAGCATAGAGGCCCAGCTATTCTATTTGCCAAATATATTTACTGAATCCACAAAGATGTAACTTTCAGAGCCTCTGCAGGTGGAAAACAGCACTACTGGAAATAAGAGGCTGAATTTATCCAAGTTTGGAGACTGAAGATTTATTTAGGTGAAAGTATAGCTAAAATAAGCCAGCAGGTATAGGCTAAATGGGGAAAGAAGCAGAGACTAAGAGAAGAAAAGGGAGCAAGGAAAGCAGGAAGGTTTGGTAAAGGGTGAGTACAGAGTCAACAAGGGATTAAGAGATGGAATGACAAAAGCTGATAACCAAAGAAACTTGGAAGTTTGAGATCTCAGAAGTAACAGCCTTCCTATGAAACAACACAAGGGCAAGTTTTATAGCATTAGAAGTAAAAGTCTTGAGTAGGGCAACTCAAGGCATGTAAAAACTGAAAAATCAGCAGCAGCTATAGAGCCCATACAATGGTAAACCAGCAGGCTGGGTAACAACTGATTGCAGAAGAGAAGTTAAGTGAGATACATGAAAAAACCACCAGAAGGAGGATTTAGTAGCCAGACTCACAAAGGAGTGAAGAAAGGAAAGCAAGGTGATCTTCATTTTTTCCTTTCAATAAGTATTTTTTTATTATAATGGAGAAGGCAGAAATAAAGAATTAAAACAACTTTGTCTTTATAATGTGTAATGTACTTGGGCATTATATAGTTTTTAAAAATATTAAAAAGTGCCCATATCAGTAATGAAGAATTGAAATAACTTTTCAGTCTTTCTACTGACCAAGCTAATTTATTCTGAAATCCCCAGAAGGTTCAAATTTTCTCCTTGACTGTCACAAATCATGTGAAAAGAAAGCAACTGGGACCAAAAGCCATGATTGTGGGATAGCTACCAAAACGTGATCACATACCTAGAAACTGGAAACATCAAATTTCTAGAAAACCGCTTATGAATAAAAAGAGAGATCAAAAGGTTTAGTGATTTTCAAGGATTTTCAACTACTCATGGAGAATCCCCTATGTAGGTGTGTAGCTTATCTACTTTTTGTGCTTGTCCTCTTAGAGAAGCCAAGAACGACATGCAAACTAACCAAACACACCTAACACAGAGCAATGATATGTAGAAACAGATTATTAACTTCAGCCCTCCAAAAGCACTATTGCTTTGCAACATTTCAGAAAACTCATAAATCCCAGAACTTCCTAGGAAAAAGAGACCATGGAGGTCATGTGATCTGACTTACAGATTAGCAAAGACACGAAGAAGTTAAATCCTCAGCTGAAGATCACACAGTTGGGTTAGTGGCAAAGCCAAGAACACCACTCTGTATACTCCCTTCTCAGAGCCTTTCCCCACCTGTCCAGACTCCCGTCCCACCTCCTGATGCAAGTGTCTGACAAAGTTGGGCTGGATTTCCACAAAAAGTAATTATACAGTGTTCTTTTTGAAATGTAAAATAAGATGACAGAATCTAAAAGAATTAACAGCAATTTAAGATATTTGCTTGATATAAAATAATATTAATTTAAAACTATACCTTTACTGCTTCTGATGAAAGTACATTTTCCTTTTTCTGACTTGTGCTCATGGGCTCATTTTCAACACTGAAAAATAAAAACCACAGTTTCTTTTGAAATTAAAAGAAAATTACGAAACTAAAAGTTTTCTGTATTTAAACTCAAACTGAAAGGTCCTTTATCTGCAATGCTCAAAGATTGATACACCATGTTATACCAAGGATATATTGATTTGAATCTCTAAATTCAAAAAATGCATTCAAAAATGTTCATCTAGTCTTCAGATATTTGTGTGAACTCATTGTGCCTCATATTTTCTTACACAGATAATCAACATCACAGTAATGATATATCTGAACAAAAGAGCACCTGTGTATTACTTTCATAACACTGGCAAGTGCTAGCACTCTAAGATATTATTTATGTGAAGGTTCCCCATAGCCAGATCTTTTTTTAATGCCCATGCTGGGTGTTATTTGGAACAGAATGCATTTCTATTCAGCAAATCACTATAAACATATAGGTCCATCTAGTGAATTCTGGGAATACTCAAAAATAGATGTAGGTTTATCTAGCCCCAAACGTATTCCAGATGGCACCTTAAAATCTGATTTCCCAAATAGTTACTTCTAACTGTCTTTAGTCTGGAATACCTCCTCAGATGCCTTTTGGGATGTCATTATAAACTACTTTCCCAAGACACATTTAAGATTTTTTTTTTCTTTTTTAGAGATGGTCTTGTTCTGTTGCCCAGGCTGGAGTGCAGTGGTGCAATCATAGCTCATTGCAGCCTCTTGGGCTCAAGCAATCCTCCTGGCTCACCCTCCTAAGTATCCAGGACTACAGGTGCATGCTACCATGCCCAGTTATTTCATTTTTTGTAGAGATGGGGGTCTCAACTATGTTGCCCAGGCTGGTCTTGAACTCCTGGCCTTAAGTGATCCTCTAAACTTGGCCTTTCAAAGTGCTGGGATTACAGGCAGGAGTCACTACGCCCAGCTTCCAGAACTAAATATTTATATCTCTGTTCAAACATTATCCTGTTTTCATACTTTCATAATACTAGACAAATTAAGTAGCTTCACTCTAAAGATGACTGACTCTCTACCATATGCCAAGGATTCTGCTTAGCCTTAAGGATATAAAAATGAGCACGTCAGGTTCTTTGCAAAACTCAGTCTAGTTAGAGAGACTAATACATAAACCTTAACAATACAGTTTCATAAGAGTTATAACTGCTAAATGAACAAAATGCTACGAAGCATAAAAGAAATAAGGAGCAACCAATTCTGCCTACTCAGTAAAGTACCCTCAGAGGAGGTGCAAAAGCAGGTGGTAATAGAGAATCGGGCATTTTCTGAAAACCAAATTTTATTTGTTTGCTTTTAATATAAGTCTGGAGCACAGAGCTTGCGAAGGACAGAGGTAATCCTCCAAGGGATGAGACTGAGACCAAAAATTAGTGAATACCAGACTATGAAGACCAGGGCTGACCCGTTATGAAATTTGACCTTTGTCCTACATGCAGTGGGAAGTCTTCAAGGAGGGGACAAGCGTAAGCAGGAGGATGACTGAGAGTGGGCCAGATGTCGAATAGTGGTCACTGGTGGTGGAAGGCCCGGAGAGGAGGAAGTATCAATAGCTCTGATCAAATAAAGGCTGTCCCAAAGCGGATCAGATGGAAAGAGAGGACACGATTTATGCCATTTAGATTTTCTATCCATAAAAGTCTATGTTATTACGCACAGTATCCAAGAAACAAATGGTCATGGTCAAAAAATGGAAACAAAAAATAAATCATGAACACCTGGAAAATACAATGGATTAAAATGTCATTAAGTCCAAGACTCCATGCAGAAACACATGGACCAAACGGATACCGCTAAACAGATCCTTAAAGCTTCTAAATGTCAACAGAAAAAGAATATACATATATATATGCATATATACATATATATATGCGTATATACACATATATATACATATAGGTGTACGCACCTATATGTACATATATGTGTATACACATATATACATATATGTATATACACACATATATACATATACATATATACATATATACATATATACACACATATATGAGCTGTGTGTTAAACACATAAAAAATTCTGTGGGACAATTCAGGAACAAAATCAGGAATAAAACAATAGAAAATATTGTACAATACAGAATTGTAACCCGTACAAATGTATAAAATAAGAATTTCTCATAATTGCTTCTTTAAAAGTGAATAAATTCTTATCTCTTTTTTTCTATTTTACTAGTCTTTATCTTTTGCCAAAAGGCTGTTTACAATTCAGTTTTTTTTAAAGTAAACGTGAATTGATTTTGGTCTATTTAAGCTCAAATTAACAAAAACAAACTGGCAAATACATGTAAAAAGATCATGTTATAAAGATTTGGGGTATAATTAAGAATAATGCTGACCTTGACAAGTGAATTCTCTAACTACAATCTATTTTGAATGATCTACCTAAAAACTACTTAAACATACAACATCTAATTTTAGTCTCCTAGTTCATGCTTCAAGATTGCTGAAATTCTGCTTTATTTGGTGTGTTTACAGGGTTTTCTATAAACATACTGCCTAAGACTGTAAATGAAAACGGTAAGTTTCTTTTCTAATATAAAAGCTCTCCAGAAAATACAGCTAAGTTCATGAGATTATGGCAGAACTCAGTCTTTTCAAATAGCTGTAATTACTTCCAAATACAAACTACAAACACACACACAAATTCCAGAAAAACACAGCAGTAAATCAGCACATTAAGTACTGAGCAAACAATGGAAGAATTTAAGTTAAAATCACCAAAAGAAATATTACTTGATATTTCTTAAAATTCTCACTTACATCCTTTAAGTTGCATGATTCTTATTGCTAAACCAAAATTTTAAAATGTGTTGAGTTTTAATGCAAACAACATATTTTAAAATTTTGGTTGACTGATAAAAATCATTCCTTTTATTAAAATTTCAACACTTTTCTACATGAAACATTCTTAGCATGGATAACATTATTCATGCCCTAACTCCTGATACAACTGTTACCCAGAACCACTTGACATTACTAGAATACACAAAAGTTTACACTCCTACAAATCACTTTATTCTGCTGCTTGCAACATCCTTCCCCACCCTAATCAACTCTAAATCCTTTACAGCTTAGTTCTGGTTTTACTTGTATTTTTTGTGCTCTCACTGCATGCAGCAATACCTCCCACATATTTGCCACTCTTTATCATTAACAGCTAGTTTTTCATCTTCCCAACGAGAATATAAACTTATTAATTCAGAAGATCCCAGAGCCTGGCACCCCGCCTGGCACCACGAACGCACTCAAATAGTTATTTGTTAGACAAATTTTAAAAAATAATCTATAACCAGGCCAGGTGCGGTGTGGCCTGTAATCCCAATACTTTGGGAGGCCAAGGCAGGCAGATGGCTTAAGATTAAGAGTTCGAGACCAGACAGGGCAACATGGCAACCTTGTCTTGACAAAAAAAAAAAAGGGGGCTGGGCATGGTGGTACGTGTTTGTAGTCCCAGCTATTCAGGACGCCACTGTACTCCACCTGGGTGATAGAGTGAGACCCTGTCTCAAAAGAAAAAAAAAAATCTATAACCATATTTCCATTTGCGCCTGCTTACCTTCATCAGAAAACACTGTTACATTGGGAACAATATAATTATAACATCAGTCTTTTTTTCTTAAGGAGGAGCATATAAGTCTCTTGAAAGAATATGCCAGCCATTCCTATCCTACAACATACTTCTCTAAAACCATTAAGTAGGGAGTGGAGCTGGTGGGAAAAAATTACTCAACAAGAACAAGGTCATTTTCAGTTGATTTAAAAATAAAACAAAACATTAAAAAATGAGAACACAGTAGCTACATATACTCAAAAACAGTGAATACTCAGATGTTTGCTTAGTACAAATATAAAATAAAATAAATAAAATAAAAAGGACTCAAAAGGCTTGGGGTGATATTTTCAGTCTCTTAAAAAATAAATACCAAGGAAAGAGAACCATGTTCACCTCAAGCTTCATGAGAGACCACAATCTGTTCCTATTGTTTGCTCACAATTTAACCCCCTTTGGGACCCAGGGTATTTCAATTAGGAATATTTTTAGAAAGCACACATTTTATTCATGGCAGGGGGTGAAGAGCAGAATTCAAAATCACATGTACGCACAAATAAAACCACCTTACATTTCTAAATAGCCTCATCTTAGCTAACAGAACTTTAAGAATCAATCTTTCAAAATAGCTCAAATATGAAGGTCAATGTAACATAAAAGCTCCTCATTTTTCAAGCAACTTTATTTGGACCATGGCTGAAAACGAATCCAACATACAGCCATTTAGCCTTTGTGTGACTCTGTGCCAGACAAAATATTTTTCATAAGCAATGGAAAAAAAAGGATCACTTTAACCTTCTAAATTTCAAATAATTTACATAAAGGAGAGCTCCTAACCTGTCACTTAAGAGATATTATTTTCTTAAAATTAAATTATAACAAGATTCCCTAACCAATAGCAGATAAGCAGTGGAAAACTGGGCCCAAGAACTCACTCACCCACTCAACAAACTAGCAGTGCACACATGTGTCAGGCACCGTTCTTGGTGCTGGGGGTTGCACAATGTACAAACCAGACAAGGTCCTTGCCCTCATTCTTTCAGAACTCATGTCTATATGCATCAGAATCACCTGAGGCATCTATGTTTCTCAAACAGATTTCTGGGCCCGACTGTCAAGGAATCCAATTGGAACGGGGCCCAGGAATCTATATTTTGAGCTACAAATCACCCTTTACCCCAGATTGTTCTAATGCAGGTGGCCCTCTGACCCCATTCTTGATAAACAATGGTCTGAGAGCCTCTCTATCTTTAGCTGACATCAACAACTGATAGCTGTAGAGGGAAGAAAAAAATCTGACCAGGAGAATCTCCACTTATTATTTAAAGATGTTAAGTGTGGCTAAAGATTAGGTAACAATTATTTAGAAAACACTACCCATTTTCCAACACTGCCGTTCAGCAAAGCTTCTCGATCCAGAAAAGAGGTGTTGCCCTAATGAGCACATACAGCACTGAAAGTACAGGGTGGGACCTGGAAGGAAAAAAATCCCCTTTTTTCAGTCCATACCACAGACTGGAGCACAAGGGAAGCTTCTGGGCCTCTTTCAGAGTCAATTTCTCATGAGGTAAGAAAGCACCTTCTTGGATGGCCACAGGACAGACTCACAGAAACAAAGGGTACACTCAGTGGAGAGGGGTGAGGCACAGTAAGGGAGAGTAAAGCTCTCCTCCCCTCCTGTAATGCACCTGTTGGGCACCTCCTCCTCCTATGCCTTTCTTTCATACATAACTGTGACTGCATCAGGGAAATCTGGAAATGGTAAAGACTTGATACAGCTTCCATAAGCGTCTTCTAGAGGCTTGCTTACCTCTTTATGGATGCCAGAGTCTATGAATTCTTGCCATTTCGAGAGAGGAAGCGATCTTTGGTGCTAATGCCATCACTGGCAGCAATTCAGAGTACCCCCAAATATGAGGTCACTTAACATAAAGTATTCCCTAATTTGGGAATGCCCTTACATCTAAACAGCACACCCCAACCCTCTGTCCACAGGGACATTTCTCCACTTCCAGAGCCAATTTACCTTCTCTCCTTTGTTTCCAACCCCGCTCAAAACTGATGCCGCCTGAAATTATCCTCCCACTTGAGATTTTCACTTCTACTACATGAGCTGTGGTCTACAGTAGAAGAATCAGCAATACTGTTGAGAACAGGGAAAAAGAATCAGGGCAAATCTCCCCATTAGTTTATCTTCCCCAACTACTGTAAAACTTGCTGGTTCCAGAAGCCTGGTCCACTCACCAGCACCTCCCCTTCTACCTCAGCTTCATTAGGCCTTTCCTTCCTGGCATGTTCCTCCTCACCACAGAGCCCACCTGACCCAACTCCCGTGATGAAGTCCTAAAAGTAACCAGAATCTATCCTTCCCTTAAAATGTGATCAAATAATACCCCAGTCTTCCAGGTGAGACTTTCCCTTGGATTAAATGAAAAATAATGCAGAACAAGATGAGATCTTTACCTATCCACTCCCTCTCCCACTGTCATAAGTAGTAAAATGCTTTGCAACAACTCAGAATGAACTTTTGTCTGTTTCAGAGACAGCACCTTGAGGACAAAATGCACTTCAGTCAAAATGAACGTTTTTGGATCTGATTTTACAACTATGTAAATTAAAAAGGTTCAGACCAGCTGATATGAGATCTCTGTCAGATCTAAAATCCCACATTGCTGTGTTCTACAACAGAAGAATGAGTGGGAAAAAAAACAGGTAGACCAACCTTGAGGCTTTTCTGGTAAAAGATGAGAAAGACTATGGCCAAGAAACCAACTTAGACCAAAACTAGTATGAGGGCATTATAACAAAGAGGCAGAAATGTCTACCGTCCCTTATTTCAAAATTACTGAGGCTCGCTCTGGGCCTGCCCTCTATTCCCTCAGATTCCACCTCTCAGCCCTCCTTTAGGCCCTTAAATACAGCAAGGACTTCATCCTCACACCCTCCCAAAGGGTCTGCTCAAGCCATGGGATCTACATTACCCTTGGGATATTTTTCTTAGAAACACAGCCTCACGTGACAAGTTCTATAATTTTCTTTGCTCAAAGCTATACTGCAGATACATTATGGATTAAATTGACTTTCGTGCACTGGCCTGGAGTCCCATCCGGCAGGTCCAATGCTATGGGGAAAAAGACAGAGTTCCACACCAATGATTTCCAAACCACCATCTGGAAAACTGTCCATTCACAAATGGTGTCTGCCAGCAGAAGAGTGGTACTTGTATTTTTTTTAATGGCTATTAACGGAATATAAAACAGGTGGTTATGGCACTATTTCTGGGCTTCAAATTAAAAGGTAACTAAAAGCTGCAATTTTAAGGCACTCAAACAGTATGTATTTTAGCCCAAACATCTGGCAGTTGAATGATTTCAAAACTCTAGAGAAAAATCAGGAGGAGAGAGGAAAGGTAGGCATGATTATGAGGCTCTGTTGCTTCACAGTCTGAGACTTCTGACACTCCTTTTCTCTATAAGGTCAGTCCTCTCCTATAATTTATGTATCTACCTTGAGGCTGACTTATTTCCTGTTCCCCAACTCACGCCCCCAAAATAAGACCCATAATTACAGTTAAATCACAGGCTGCAGAGTGAGAATCTCAGTACGTCTGAGGTGTGCCTGAGCTGTCTACAGTACATGTGTTGTGAATGACTGTTCCATTCTCCCCAAGTTCTCCGTCCACCTCATAACCTTCAGATTCTGAATGTTTGACTCACCCCCACAAGATTCAATACCCTGAATCCCTCGCTGTGATGTGAACTCACAACAGTATTTTAGCTGCTTTCTAAAATGGAGCATTCATTCACATATCATTCAACAAATTGTCCTGAAGACAGCGCACTGGAGACCCAAGACTGTGCCCTCACAGAGCTCCCCAGAATCTGACCTTGGCTGACCTCCCCCCCAACTGAAATCCTTCCTCCTCTGTAAATTCTTCCAGACACAGATAAACAGATAATATATGTGTGGATATAAAAACACATTTACACACACATATAAACACATGCCCAGTGATACTTTCCAAAAGTAAACTCATCATTTCATTTCAACTCCTTACTATGAACTAACACCATGTTACTAACACCCACTCCTCCTCTAATTCTGTGTCTCTGTCCACACTGGCATCTGTGCCACATGATTGTGCCCCAGGACCTTCTAAGTGAATGTTCCTTCTGCCCAGAAAGTTCTTTCCTCAGACTTGCTCATGCCCAACTCCCGGATATCATCTGGGTCTTTGCTCAAATGCTACCCAATAGAGACACCTTTCATATCCACCCTACCTAGACTCACCACTTCCATTATGGTGAGTCCCTCCCCATTTTATTTTTACTTCAAAGCATATTATATATTAATCTATATATTTTCTGCCCTCCCCATTAGAATACAACCCTATGTAAGTAGAGACACATTTAGACATGCAAACAAGATTCTGAAAAGTGATGACACGACTAAGTTGTTCTAATAATTATATTTTAAATTATTTTTACAACATATAAATATACGCATTATTGTCAGAAATGTTAGAGCACTATTGTTAAGTGAAAAAAATTCAAGTTCCAAACTCTTGAAGAAGAACTTTTACTTTTATAAAAATATTTAGACATGAAGACATATTTAGACACACCCATAGGGAATCATTTGAAAGAATGATATATGTTTCTGAGTGGGTAGGGTTATGAGTGTGCTTTTGCTTTTTCGTCCTCTTATAATTTTATACCTGTTTTGTAAAAGCAAATATTACTATCAAAAAGAGAAAAAATACAAAGTAGCATAGTTGATGAAAAAGAAAGCAAAAACAAGTGAGTGCAAAAAATGCAAGCAATTAAATAACAAAATACGAATACTGCAAATATTACCTAATGTTAATTCCTTTGCATCATAATATATGCAACATTGCCAAAAATTTTTTATTTGCCTACTTAGAACAATGAAACACCATAATTACAGTTCACATTTTCAGCTTTTACTGATAAAAAGCACAATGCCATCCTTCCATCCTGTGAATGCTCCTTTGTGCTTTGACAAGACAATAAAAGGCAAGAGAGTTTACATCTCACCTAATTTGTCCCCAGTTATTAAAACATCAAATTCAAAACATTTCATTCTTTGTCATAAGAAGCATAGTAGTTACAAGAAATTTATGATCTGCCACTGAGGTAGAAACCACTTTTGTATACATTTTAATATGAAAGGTAAAAATTTCTACTATATCTTCTAAAAATTACATAAAACAAATATTGGTGAGACCACCCAAATACCATTTTCATGTCACTTCTGACATTGCCATTTGTATTGTTTGTCATAAAGAACATAGAAAATATTTTTCCTTAACTGTTTTCTATAACTGTACTAGGGTCCATCTTGGAATTCTGCCTATTACAATGGGTTATATTTTTGTGCCAACAGCTTACGTGAAATCAGCACTTATAAAGCATATCTGATTTTATAAGTATGCAAGTGCTATGGTTTGGATGTCTGTCCCCTCCAAAGTTCATGTTGAAATTCAACCCCCAGTGTTGGAGGTGGGGCCCAATAGGAGGTGTTTGGGTCATGGGGGTGAATCCCTTAGGAATAGATTAATGCCCTCCCTGGAGTGGTGGTGAGTGATTTTTCACTCTGTTAGTTCCAGGAAAACTGGCTGTTAAAAAGAACCTGGCACATCCTGACCCCTTGTTTCCTTTCTTCCCAAGTGATTCCTGTACCTTCCACCATGAGTGGAAGCAGCTTGACACCCTCATCAGATGCAGATGCCCAATCTTAACATTCTAGCCATCAGAATCCTGAGCCAAATAAATCCCTTTTCTTTATAAACTACCCACCCTCAGGTATTCCTTTATAGCACAGAACACAGACTATGACAGCGAAAAACCTCTGTTTTGTAATCTTTTAGCAATTTTTTTTATTATTATACTTTGAAGTTCTGGGATACATGTCCAGAACATGCAGGTTTGTTACATAGGTGTACACGTGCCATGGTGGTTTGCTGAACCCATCAACCTGTCATCACATTAGGTATTTCTCCTAATGCTATCCCTCCCCTAGACACCCCCTGACAACCCGACAACAGGCTCTAGTGTGTGATGTTCCCCTCCCTGTGTCCATGTGTTCTCATTGTTCAACTCCCACTTATGAGTAAGAACACGTGGTGTTTGGTTTTCTGTTCTTGTGATAGTTTGCTGAGAATGATGGTTTCTAGCTTCATTCATGTCCCTGCAAAGAACATGAACTCATCTTTTTTATGGCTGTATAGTATTCCACGGTGTATATGTGCCACATTTTCTTTATCCAGTCTATCATTGATGGGCATTTGGGTTGGTTCCAAGTCTTTGCTATTGTGTACAGTGCTGCAATAAACATACGTGTGCATGTGTCTTTATAGCAGAATGATTTATAATCCTTTGGGTATATACCCAGTAATGGGATTGCTGGGTCAAATGGTATTTCCAGTTCTAGGTCCTTGAGGAATCGCCACACTGTCTTCCACAATGGTTAACCTAATTTACACTCCCACCAACATTGTAAAAGCATTCCTATTTCTCCACATCCTCTCCAGTATCTCTTGTTTCCTGATGTTTTAATGATCACCATTCTAACATGTGAGATGGTATCTCATTGTGGTTTTGATTTGCATTTCTCTAATGACCAGTGATGATGAGCTTTTTTTCATATGCTCATTGGCCGCATAAATGTCTTCTTTTGAGAAGTGTCTCTTCATATCCTTTGTGCACTTTTTGATGGGGTTGTTTTTTTCTTGTAAATTTGTTTGAGTTCTTTGTAGATTCTGGATATTAGCCCATTGTCAGATGGATAGATTGCAAAAATTTCTCCCATCCTGTAGGTTGCCTGTTCACTCTGATGATAGTTTCTTTTGCTGTGCAGAAGCTCTTTAGTTTAATTAGATCCCATTTGTCAATTTTGGCTTTTGTTGCCATTGCTTTTGGTGTTTTAGTCAGGAAGTCTTTGTCCATGTCTATGTCCTGAATGGTATTGCTTAGGTTTTCTTTTAGGGTTTTTATGGTTTTAGGTCTTACATTTAAGTCTTTAATCCATCTTGAGTTAATTTTTGTACACAGTGTAAGGAAGGGGTCCAGTTTCAGTTTTCTGCATGTGGCTAGCCAGTTTTCCCAAAACCATTTATTAAATAGGGAATCCTTTCCCCATTGCTTGTTTTTGTCAGGTTTGTGAATGATCAGATGGTTGTAGATGTGTGGCATTATTTATGAGGCCTCTGTTCTGTTCCATTGGTCTATGTATCTGTTTTGGTGCCAGTACCATGCTGTTTTGGTTACTGTAGCCTTCTAATATGGTTTGAAGTCAGGTAGCATGATACCTCCAGCTTTCTTCTTTTTCCTTAGGATTGTCTTGGCTATATGGGCTCTTTTTTTTTTTTTTTTTGGTTCCACATGAAATTTAAAGTATTTTTTTTCTAATTCTGTGAAGAAAGTCAATGGTAGCTTGATGGCAATAGCATTGAATCTATAAATTACTTTGGTCAGTATGGCCATTTTCACAATATCGATTCTTCCTATCAACGAGCAAGCAATTATTTCCTCATAGCCATCATTGAGAGGTTAGGTTATGGAGTTCAATTTATACTCAAAGAATTAAAAAGTTTGGAAACAATGATAATTGCAAAGATTTTCTAGCTATTTCTAGCAAAAGCATATAGGTGAACACATGTTTAACTCTGTCCCATGGAAACGATGGTAAAGCAATTAATAAGAGGAAATAAGCTATCAGGTTAAAAAAAAAGACGAAGAATAACAGCATTCAGGACAGATGAGATTTTTGAAGGAGAGAAAAACAGGAAGAAATATAATTTAGAATAAATAAAACTTTTATCGTTTCTTTGTGTCGGGAACATTTCAAATGTTATCTTCTAGCTATTTTAAAGTATACTATTGTTAACGGTAATCCCCCCCACTCTAACAGTGAAGTGCTAAGCTGAAGTGATATACTAAAAACCCTGATTTGATCATTACACATTGCATGAATGTAACAAAATATCATATACTCACTTCATAAACAGTACAATAATTATGTATCAATAATTCTTTTACAAAAAAGAATAGATAAAAACTCAGAATCCCATACCCCAAAATATGGCACTTTGACATGCTGAACTGAGCAGCCTCAAGGTCTCTCTGAATCCCACCTTCGTCTTTTGTCTTTGATCCTCTGTCTCTCCCAAAGCACAGAATGAAGTTCTGTTCTCTGAAGTTCTCTTATCTGCTTAAAGTTTGGACCCATCAAAGAAAAAAACAATTACCTCTAGTCCCTTCCCTAGTTTTCATTAACTGAATCATATTACAAGAAGAAAGACTGAAGTCTGTCATAACATCTCAACAGACTTTTGTCATAAACCACTGTCTGTTCTGTGGGCCCAACAGACTTTGTCCCAGGCCTTTGTTATGTTCTTCAAGCCCAGTGAGTTCCCATAAAAAGTATTTACTATTCCCCTAAAATCATCCACTTCCCTCTCTCTTAAGAGGTGGGGTATATAAGCATCTCTACCCTACTGGGATATTTGGTAATCAATTTTTTCCCCCTGCATGCTAATAAATTTCGATGTCATTTCTCCTATTAATCTGCCTCTTGTCAGTTGATTTCTTAGTGAACTCACATCCCCAAATTATAACATTTGGCAGGAGCCTAGCAATTTTTAAAAAGAGAAGCCTCCAGACTCTGGAATACCAAGAATAAAAGTATAGAAAGCACAGACCACACACAGGGAGCTTGAGCCAAACTCTCCATTCTAAATCGTTAAGATATAAGCCTCTCAAGTGAAAGAGCCTGCCAACTGTCCAGCAAAATGAATTTAAAAGGCACTGTGCAAGGTACATTACTGTGCATTTGTAGAGTCTACACTGAAGAGAGATTTCAAAATTCACAAAGAAAAAATGAATCACAAAAATAGGTCCAGAAATCGTACTAGCCTCAGATTTCTCAACAATCCAGAATTAAAGAGAAGACTAATAGAGAAATGTCTTCAGAAATCTGAGTGCAAGTAATTTTGAGTCTATAAATTTATACCCAAACTATCATTTACTAAAGTAGAAAAATGTATTTTCAGAAGTGCAAAGACAAAAAAAATATCTAACATGTACCCTTGTTTGTTAGATATATGCCAACAAAAGGAGGAGTTAACCAAGAAAGAGGAATACGTGAAGTCCAAAAATAGGTGGTCTTACATAGGGCTGAGTAGTAGAGAGATCAATACAGCAAGCTTGGGAACTACTAGATGATACAAATTACAGGAAGACACAGAGACCAAGAGAAAGGTCTTGGAAGTCATGGGGTAAACTGGTAGATGTGATTTAATGATGTAGAAAAAAGCACTGAAAGTGGTTTTATAAATGTATTTGTGCATCCTAGAAGTAGCAGCAATAAGCAAATGAAAAACAAGGTAATTTACTCCATGAAAAACAAAATATCACACAAAGAAAGTAACCATAGTACAGCACTTGGCTTAGCAGAAAACAACAGCTAAATATTCATAGAAATCTACAGGTTTATTTAATCTTCCATTTATAATGATTATTTTGGCTGGATGAGTAATGAGATGTGGAAGGGTATAAAATAGCTGAGTGCTCATCTACCAGAGGTCAATATATATTGTCCAAAGTTTATAAACCAAGAACAGAAAAACATTACTTAGACACATGTTCCAGGAGAAACAGCTTAAATGAGATTGAAAAAAAATTAAAGTTTCCTCTGAGAGCCTCAAAAATGGGCTCACATCTGTTAAATGCTCCTACAGTCCCCTACATGTTACCTTGGTACTTATTTCAAGAGAGAAGAAAGATTTGGGCAATGTCTGCCTTCCCCACAAAACTGCATGCATGCTTTGAGGCAAAGACAATGCTGCACCTTGTTAACTGCTGGATTCCCAGGACCTAGACTGGTGCTTGACACAGCGACACTAAATTAATTCTTTTTAAACACAGGTGAAGCTTTCAAATCAAATAACCAAAATGTTAGGATCACATGGAAGAATTAACCAAAGCATTTTCATATGTGACTTTTCCAATAAAATATAAATCTTTCTAATTTATAAGGCACATCAATTTTGTACACACTTAATAGCCCATGGAGTTTTGGCTGGTACGCTAAAGCTGAGAGAGACCTTAGAGATGAAAACCAACTCCCTTGATTTATCACTAAAGACTCTGAGGTTAATAACCTGTCCTGGGTCATACTGGAGAGGTCAAGGTGGGTGACAGGTGAGCACGTAAAAATGAGTTATGTTGATATATTTGTGGCTGCAAGTGTCAACTCCACCCAGTTTCACATTAGAGATTAATAATATAGAAAAGTCTCACTCCTACTTGTACAAAGTGTCAAAATATCAAATTACTCTGCATTACAAAAACTACTTCTGTTTATTTATATCCTTAACTGAAACTTTTCCCCTTTGAATAAGTTAATGTAGTGCATTCTCTCTCTGGAGGATTTTTGCCAACTCAGGATCATACATTCTCTTGTTTTCTTTTTTTTTCCTTCTTTTAGCCACAGGTATTCACCAGATTTTAATCCAATCTTTTTCTTACTTTATGAAATAGGTAATTCACATAATTTTTAAGTGTACAAAGGCATAAGACAGTCTTTCTCCTGCCTCTCATCCCTTCACTCAGTTCCCCATACCCCCAAAATAAGTTATGCAACACTAGTGACAGATTTATTTCATATCCCCTTCTTTTGTATATACAAATGGGGCATACTATACACAATTAGTTGTAGCTTAAGTTTTTTTTTGTTTGTTTGTTTGTTTTTGTTATTTTTTTTTTTTTTTTTGAGATGGAGTTTCACTCTTATTGCCCAGGCTGGAGCACAATGGTACGATCTTGGCTCACTGCAACCTCTGCCTCCCAGGTTCAAGAGATTCTCCTGCCTCAGCCTCTGGAATAGCTGGGATTACAGGCAAGCACCACCACACCGGCTAATTTTTTTTGTATTTTAGTAGAGATGGGATTTCACTATGTTGGTCAGGCTGGTCTCAAATGCCTGACATCAGGTGATCCACCCGCCTTGGCCTCCCAAAGTGCTGGGATTACAGGCATGAGCCACCACGCCCGGCTTTTTTTTTTTTTTTTTAACTTAATGTATCTTGGAGATATTTCCTTAACAGTACATAAAAAGCTTTCCTATTCTTTTTGGTAGATACATCATATTTCACTATATGGATGTACTGTGATTTATCAGTTAGTCCACAATTGAATGGCATTCTACTCTATTTTTCATCTTTTGCTATTAAAACAATGCTGCAATGACTAACTTCTATAGGCAACTTTTGGCCTGTTTGCAAACTGTACATGTTCAGTGGAATTCCCTGAAATCAGAAATGCTGAGTATGTGAATCTGCAATATTGATAGGTCATATCAAATTTCTCTCCAAAGTGGTGTATCAATTTATACTCCCACTAGTAGTGTATAAGAGTTCCAGCTTCCCCACATGAAACTGGAGTTTTGCTTATCAAATAGGTAGAATATGGTATCTTGCTATGGTTTCCATCTGAAACTCTCTTTTGAAGGAGACTGACCCTTTCTTTGTATTTAAATATAAATCTATAACCTGCATAAATGTGTGCATTTATTTTCCTCTCCCAACTCTCAGGAGTATAATTCTTGATTGTCCATAGCTCTGACCCAGTCCATCTGGGCAGATGTCCAGCTGCATGCCATTGTCTTTTATTTCCATTCCAAACCATTTTCTAAGGGCAGCCTTCTTTTACGAGTCTTCCCAAGTTAAGCGGAGGAAGCTGTCACATAATGCTGTAGGCTTTGAATTCAGGAAGGAAAACTTGACTCTTGACTCTACTACCAATATTGTGAGACTTTTGATTACCTACTGAACCTCTTGAAGCCTTAAATTATATATTGTAAAAGGGAGTAAAGATACGTTTGCTCTGAGGATTAAGTGAATTGATATTTTTAAAGTTCCAAGCTCAGGGCTTAATAAAGGGTATTAAGGGTACCCTTAATAAAGGGTAGGGCCTTAATAAAGGTTAGTTTGTTTTTGTCATCATTAATTGATTAGGAAGAAAGAAAACAAACACACACTTGGTTAAGCTCTTGTTTCAGTGCTTTAGCATACTTCCAATTAAAAACTCCTGGGAGTAAGTAAAACATTCAGGGACAGTCCTGCTGGATGGAGTTGTACCATTACTTGGCCACGTACAACTGCCAAATAAACACTAAGAATGACTTATTACTAGTGGAAAAACTTCGATTTGTTCTCTAACAGCATCAACCTTCCTGGTGTTTCTAAGTGCCTACTTGAAGGTTGGGGAGGGTACCACCCCTAGCTGAATGTTACTAATAAGTCCTTTAATGCTCCAATCAACAGTCACTCCTCACCTGAACTAAGGGGACGCAAAGATGAAGACAAAGCCCCTGACCTTGGGTCTAGCAATCCTGTCTCAACTTCTTTCCATCAAAAAAAAAGCACTGCCACTTTTTTGGAATGTTGATTCCCGAAGGGATGCCCTTTTCTGCCTCTATCCAGGACTTGCAAAGCCTGAAGGGTCAAGGAGGAAAGCAAGAGGAACCAAGGGGCAGCATTTCCATTCACCTTGATGGTGCAGTTACTATCATGTTTCCCCCACTATGCTGCCTTGGCAAAGGAAGCTAACCAAACCATGCTTGGAGAAAAGTTAATAATGTGAGAACATATTTTGAAAGCCCAGTTAAAGTTCTCATACAACGTATGACATTCGTGAAACATTAAGTATGCTCTGAACGAAACAAGTCACACACTCCAAAGACATGTTTGGTTTATAATGAGTTCATATTAAGAACAGAGATGTACACTTTTATCTCCTCCATTAATGTGTGAATTCTATGAAGGCATATTTGGTCATCCATTTATGGTTATATCCACATTGCTTTGCACCATATGAGACACAAAGCAGCCACTCTAACTTATGGATTGAACAGACTCAAAGTAGGTATTACCTCCTTAACTTTTACTTCATGCTGATTCCTTCTTTTCAGCATATAGCCTAGATTATTTTCCTTAATTTTACAACCACCTACAGTTTGTTGCTATCATTTTATTTAATAATTGGTAACTAACGTTTCTTATATCTGGACTTTGGTATATTTCATCAGAACTTTGGATAGAAAATATTTTGTCTTGAGGGAATATTTTCTCTTATTTTACAAAACTTGCTATTACCCTTTTTACATATTTTCCGCTGTTATGAGTAAAAAAACTTAAAAATGTTATAACTGTCAATAAAGTTAGAAGTTCTGATTATATAAACTTACTGCAGGTCAATTTGTGGTACCTTTGCAACTTTAACACTTTCAGAGCATACAATTGAGTCCATTTCCAAGGAATGTTCACAGCAAAAAATAGAATTCCCAAATTAGCCATCTGGTAGACACCTTATTGAACCCAAGAGATGGAAATCACTTGGAAAAGGTGGACTTTTGATACCCTACAACAGGCTATATTTTGACTCTGCTGCCAAGAGTAAGCTTTTGCTTTGAATTAACCTAGAGGAGCAGAGGGGGACAAGATTCTCACAAATTACACACCCCTAAAGACTTCTGGAATTCTCTCGTCATCTTCACTACTGAAGGCATGAACTGCTGATGTGACACAGGTATCTCCTATCCAACTAACTAGTTACCAATTATTTTTAGTGCTTCAAATCAATAAAAATGCAATCATCATGACAATTTAGAAAACAAAGCTTCCTTTCCTCACATAACTGATGCTGTTGTCAACACTGGTAGTTTAACCTGAAGGCCAATAGCTCTCCCATGCTGGTCATCAGAAGTACTACTGACATTTCTGACAGTACAGAGTACCTCCTACACCACAGCTCATTAGCAGCCTGGTCCCACCCATTCACCTCCTCTCACGATTTAGGGTAATCACTCTCCACTGGGAGTGGTATCACTCTCCCTCCCACCCACCTGGGTGGAGGAATTTTCAGTTATCCCAATGACCAGAGGATGCTACTGGCAATTAGTGTGTGTAATCATGGATACCAAACATCTTGCAAAGGACAAAAGAGTCCAGTTCAAAGAATTGTTCCATTCAAAACGCCCATAGCATCCATCACTGAGCACTCTCCCAAACTCAGTTTCTTCAATTGTCAGATCGTAAAAGTGGACCAACATTTCACACTGAGTGTGAGATTTACATGATACGTTGCAAGTAAAAGTACCCAGCCCAGAAGTAAGTGCACAGTCAGCCCTTGATAAATACTGTTCTCACCTTACCATCTCTCTTCACAGTTACAAACATTGCACAGAACTCATTTTAAACAGGTCCATCATGCATGATACAGCCAAGAAACAAAGTTGAGCAATCATTTCTTGAAGCAGATAAAGGCAGGAATTCCTCCAAGTTTCATATTTCAGCAATATCTGTATAACAGGCTTTTGCAAAAATTCTCTGAGCCTTAAATCTAGAGCCAAACATTTTGTCTAGAGACCTTTATAACCCAGTTCCAACCTAAATTTCTTACTGCTCCTTTCACTCTGTCCCATTAATGTATATATCCCCTAACAGATCATAAACCCCTTGCAGGCCTTTGCTCAGTCTGGAATGCCTTTTCCCGGAATACCTGTTCCCTATTCTCTCTCTTCCTAAGTTCTCTTTGTATAGAAACATCACCAATTCCTTGAAGACCCAGTTAAAATCATCCCTACCAGGAAGCACTTCCTGGTCTCCCCTATCACTTCTAATGAGTCCATTCCTTGTATGCTTATAAACTGGGCTTAACACTGCACCAGTGATTCTCAAACTGGGATCCACAGAACTCTGGGAGTTTTTGAGTTTCCTATGAAAACTTCAATTGCAGTTTTCCTTTTTATCATCTAAAATAAATTAATATAAGCATTTCCTGGAAATGGTCAACCACCTAATATGAGTACAATCAAGCAATTTGAGTGCCTACGCCTAAGTTGGGATATACAATAGTGTTGATGCTAATAGGCCTTCTTTAATTGTGACAAAGAAAGAATACATAATGAAGTGTTGTCACCAACTGAAGCCCATATAAATCACAGCACACCATAAAAACAAAGATTTTCCTATGGTTCAAAACAGTAAAATATTGGAAGACCTGTATCAAGGCATGGCAGCTCCCCAAAGACCTGGTGTTTGTCCCAGTACGCATTTTGTGAGCAGGCAAAAAAACAGTTTCAGGATGTTGTAAATTCGACTTTTACGGGTCTCATAATTATGTTTTAGTTTATTTTTTAATTTTGTACTCCTCTTCATCTAAAATCATCACTACAGAAGGTATACCCAGCTCTCATAATGATAAAAGTTTTTATGCCCACAAAGAGAAATAGCCAAAATACTCTTTCATTTTGAAATAAGATCACAGTGACAAATTGCAATTCTGTTTCCAATCTTGTTAACATCAGGGTGTTGTGTTACTGGGACATTCAGTACTATAAAGCGGTTCCATTTGTTTTATTAAACTTTCAATAAAGGCTTTGTGTTTGTTTATGCCCTTGAAATGAAAGATTTAAGCTCATTTAAAACAGTAAAACACCCACATAAAGGGTCATCTGCTATCCCCCTAACATCTGGCAAGTTCCAAAAAAGATGAGAACAAAATTAGCGTTGATATAAGCACAATTAAAATCTTCATCGTTGAAAAGCCATAATTTGTGCCAATCTGGAGATGATGAGAATAGAGAAGTGGTAGGTGAACAAGGAACTAGTTGCTGGAGGGGTCAGCTCCAGTCAGTAAAGAAATTAGAATTGAGAAGTGCCTTAAAAAGCCAAAATAGGGCAGAGAGGCAAGCAGGATTTCAGGCCATTACTGACATGAGCCTGAATTTGACCTGCTTACTCCTTTCTAACACTGACTCTCAAGTTCCCAACTTTTGCTGCGCCTACTTGGGATTTCCTTGCAGACTGCGTTCATATTATCCAAGACTGTTAGTGCTGTTACGGCGGTGGCAGGCACCACAGGCTGTCTGCCCACACCAACAGAACTAGCTGACACCCTGGATGAGATCTGTCAGACTTAAAAACTATTTTTAACTTCTGTGTAACTTTGAATTTTAAACTCTCAACAGTCAGAGCAATAATAGCTGAAACGTCCCAGGAGAATAACCACTCAATTATCGTAGGAGCTTTCTTGGAAACATGTGGCATGTTATTAACAGACGGTCATAATGAAAATGTTTCACAAGCGGGGAAACCGAGGAACACACAAACGACTAAAATCACATCACAAAATCTGAATACTAATGGAATTGGCTCACTCTCAGTTCTGTTTCCTATCCATTTTTTTTAAGCCCACCAGGAAATCTTGAGTCCGAAGTAAACACGGTTTTCTGGAGTGTGTCCTTCCAATGACAATGGTCATTCTAGTGCAATCTCGGGAGAAGACAGTGTAAGCCTCTCATAAGTTTAAGAAAGCGAGCTGCGTTTTACTTAACCCCTCTTTCTTCGGGGGGATGAAAAGACTCAGAAACAGGCATTTAAATGAGGCATGTCTAAAATTTTTTGATTTTTGAACATGGGAAAGTGAAGGAAAGATAAAAATATTACAGAGAAAGGGTACATTTTGATTACTGAAACCAAGACAGCTGGAAACCTGATTTCCAGAATCTGTTTGGGAACTTGAGGCAGATGTTTCTAGGAGAGATGAGAAATAAAGAAGGGTGGCGTCATTTACATGTCCAGTCCATTTTGGTGAAAGTCTTGGGAACGCATTATCACAATTCCTTTTAAAAATCATTTTGAGAAAATTTAAATAAGATGGCAAAAATACCAGCTGAGGGGGTGACGCCCCAAAGCTTTACCTTTTCCACTTTTGCCCCGATCTCCTCCCACACAAGTGGTGCTGGGATCGCGCCCCCAATTCCCCTGGCCGACGGCTCCGCTCGGCTCACAAGTGTTTCCCATTACTGCAGGCGGGACGCCGGGGAAATCGCTTTTGCCACAGAACTTGGAGAGTAGAGCGTGTGTGGAACGGGAACCCAATCACGTCCGGGCAGGGGAAAGTGGGAAAGGAAGAGCGCGGAGCCAGGCGGGGATCGGGGGATATGCGTCCGGCTGCCGGGCAAGAACTTCACCCCGATTTAACCTGCAGAGGAGAGGCGAGTAGTGCGGCACGGGAACGGGGCAAGGAGGAGGAAACTTTAGCAATGGAGGAAGGAGAACAGAAAGTGGCGAGCGAACTGCAGCCTGGCCCAAGAGCGGCCCGCTGCCGGCGGTCAGGCCGGGAGCCTTCATCCCGCGAATATGTGCAGGGCCCCCCCGCGACCCCCTCCTCGACTCCCACCTGGCAGCGGACCGGCCTGGAGCTGGAGGCGGGCTCGTCCCCGGCCTCTCCTCCTCTTCCTCTTCCTTGTCCCGGGAAGGACTTCGGGGAGCGAAGAACCGGGAGAAGCTGTGCCAGGGGGCGCTGCCCCTTCTGCGGCCGCTGGACATTTCCCGAGGGGGCCGCTGGCCCGGGGCTGTCTGAAGGGAACGGCCTAGGTGTTGCCTGGTGCCCGGAGCCCGACCGGGCGCCGCGGGATGCGGCTAGGGCAGACCGACTCGACGCGAGCTGCCAGCGCGGCTCAGTCTCTCTCGGGCAGGAGAAGTGCGGACGCGACGCGCTCCTCGCGCGGCAGCTCCTCACGCCGCTGCGGCTGCTCCTCCTCCCGCCCTCGCCCGGCGCGGCCCGCCCCACCCCGAGGAGGAGCCAGTGGCCGCGGCACCGCCCTGAGCCGGGCGCAGCCGCCACCGCTGGGGCGCTACGTGGTCCCCCGAAGGCGCCGGCCTGAGAGCCTGAGGGGAGTCGCCCAGCGTGCGACGCTAGGCTCGGGCTTACGGCTCAAACAAGTTCAGGCTGCAGCCTGTTGGGCTTTGCCTTCAATTACTTTCTGTGACCGTTGTGTTTTCTATTCTACAGTCAGAGCACAGAAACGGTTTTCTTCGGGCTTTTGAAAGAGGTTTATGAACTAAGGTTTGTGAAAACACTTGGCAAACTGCAGTACCGGGGCGCCCCGGACTTGCTGGGAGCTAAGAAACAGCTACCGCAAATACAGCTCCAACCCTGAGGGCGAAAGTCGCGTTAGCACAGAACCGGGCGGCGGGAGGGAGAAGGGGGTACCTGTCAGGCGGTCACCACCTCCCGGCGCGTTCTGCTGGCTTTCTGTGGTGTGACTTTTCCTAACCGCGCTGTGCTTCAGACTTTTCACACGCCATACTTCCCTGCGAACTCTTTCAAAAACGGCACTGATCAAAAAGTATGATTTCAAGCTTGTCAATGCTGCAACATATTTTGCAGTCGTTACACAGATGCCACTGAAATCTGGGAACCAAAGGGTGCTTAAGACTTGTTTTAAGTCTAAGTACAGTGGTATGGATTTTTCTTGGTTTTTCATACCCTATAGCAGCTAGTACAGGAGATACTGAGAGGCCCATTCACCCCAAGTGTTTTGTTTTTGTTTGAAGGCAAGCTGCCCCTGGAGTAGACGTCAAGGAAGTGATATGGCTTTTGTTCATTAAAAAATGTATACAAGTAAATGAGATAAAAATGAAATGTCCACAGCAGAGGGGAGCCTTGGAGTAATCTCCCCTCTGGCTTTCGGGTGCTGGAGGAGAAGGTTGCTCATAAGTAGATTGCATACCTATAAGCCCCAAGTCCTTTCAGCACCTGCTGGAGGCTATTGAGCCTCCCTGCCTCCCCACGCTGCCTCCCAGAAGCCCTCCAGCTCCTACTAACTGCAATAGAGCCAAGACACTCATTCTCATTTGTTCTGGCAGGATTTAACCCATTAAAGTTCAGTCAGCCCGATTTCCATCAATCGGGTTCATCTCAGTCTATCCCTCAAGATTAATCCTTTTTTACTCTTTGGTAAATTTTTCCTATTTCTCTGTGAGCCTAGTCTGAGAAAATAGAAAAAGACTAAGATAATAGACTAGAATAAGACAAGTTCCCAATTCTAGCTTTATTATTTTATAAGAGAATCTCCACTGAAGACCCACTTACCAAAAAGCCCAAAGAGAGTAATAAAGCAAACTGTTTCTTCCAGCTAAAAGGCCCAAATGATAATTTGTCTTCCCAACGTATTATTGAATGACTATCACATTTGTCCCTGACTTGTTCTGTGATCAAACCAGGCCCCAGTGCCTACCCAGAGGGTACTTCGTTCAGGAAGTTTTTCTTGGAATAAAAATGGGGGGGAGTCAATAGGATTTAATTAATGAATTATGGTTTTAACTAATAATATATCTAACAATACTCTGATCTCCACTCGGTAGCACAGCAAAGCACTTAAGTGAATGGTAAATACAAATAATGCCATGTTTACACTAAGACAAATTGCGTCTATGACAAAATAGCTTAAAGTCATAAAACAATGACCATTGAATTTTCCTTCATTTGCTTTCTGAGCACTTATTAGTTTTCTATATGTCCTACATTGTTATAACCTGAACTCATATGAACAAATTTCTAAATACTAAATTCTAAGATTGCATTAGGAAGCCTGTAAAAATGTCAAATTTTAGAGCTGTAAGGATCTTAGAGATACTAATTTAGCACAGTGTCATTAATTCACTGATCCAGTTATTCCCCGACGTTTAGTGAGTGCCTGCAGTAGAAGCACATCTACAGTGAAGCCGATGAGGCTCAAGTTTCTTGGCTCCCTGCTGGCACAGTCTCTTCCAGTGTGAACTCAGCAATGGGATCCATGGCCAGTTTTATCAAATTTACAAAAGTAAATGTTTTAATGTGATTAAGACCACAATCTCTTTTTTTTTCCACTTAGATGTCCACTTAGATTTTCTTTTCCACTTAGAGTTATCAAGAGCATTTGGGAATCTGCTAGGGAATTTCAGTTGGGAATATATTTAGTTTGGACTTAGTGGAATATATTTATGTGGTTTCCAGCCTCTCCAAAGTATAGTTATTTCTTAAATTCCAATTTGTTTGTAGCGCAGCTCACCAAGTATTACACCCAAGATGCAGAGCCAGAGGAGATATATTCTGTGGTCTCTGACACTGAAAATATGTGGGTAATAGAGGTGAGACAAGATTTGAAAGGTAAAGCAGCATCAGGTGTCATGTGGAAAATTATTCCAGGCATCAGAAGACAAAGTTTCAACAGGAAGGATTGCCTCCGATTGATGTAATTTCTCTCATAGCAATAATATATTCAATAATGCAGTATATTTAATTTTTTTTTTGAGACAGAGTCTGGCGCTGTCACCTTGGCTGGGGTGCAGTGGTGCAATTTCAACTCACTGAAACCTCCGCCTCCTGGGTTCAAGCAATTCTCCTGTCTCAGCCTCCAGAGTGGCTGGGACTACAGGCGCCCACCACCATGCCCAGCTAATTTTTGTATTTTCAGTAGAGACGGGGTTTGACCATATTGGTCAGGCTGGTCTCGAACTCCTGACCTCAGGTAATCCACCCGTCTCAGCCACCCAAAATAATTTTTATAACTGTAAACACAAAACATTTTTTCTTGTTGATGTAAACCATGTAAAATAGAATTTATCAGAATTCTTGTTTGTAGGGTACAAACCTGTAGCAGTACCACAAGCTTTGTGTGTGTGTGTGTAGTACTGCATGTTTACACAGCCTTTCTATCAATAAGAAAAACAGAACTAGAGGAAAGATTGCATTATCTTTTCATTATTATGGAAAATAATATTACTAAATTATTGTCATATGAAAGGCTATTGAAGAGTACACTGCCAAAAATATAGGAAAAAAAGTGATTGTGCAAGGCATTTAGTAAGAAAACAAATTGTTTTTCTAGTCAACCTTTTAAAATTAGTAATTTGCATGGTTTATGTTTTCATTCAATATATTCATTTTTATATCTAATTTTCTTTTAAATCCTTTTTCTTTAAAGAGGACCCTCCAAATTGTAAAAACTTCAGATCCCACAAAACCTGGATATGTCCTCTAGTGCATACTATGTGTCAGATACATGCTCATTCTTAGACATAGAGATACGGTGATAGATAAGACCAAATGCTTAACATCAAGGAGCAAGTTTAATTGGGCAAGATGAGCAAATGGGGTAAGATGGGAAACATAGGACGGATCCCCAACTTAATCTGAAGGGTTCCTGGAAGGCTCACTAGAGGAGATAACTGTTAATATGCTCTCTTCTTCTCTGCCTCCTTTTAGCACCTGATTTCCACCTATAATACTGTAATTCAATAACTTGTGTGATATATGAGAAATCCTGAAGTTCATCACACTGTAACTGAATTGCCATTCCCACAACGTAAGTACCATTCTCAAAGGTATGAGAATAGAATGAAAGTGTTGATCCTTGAAGCATTTAAACTGCAAGAGTAGTTTAGTAATGCTAAGCGTTTTTGTTCTGAAAAGTCCACCAGGGAATAAGCTTCTGTATATATCTTAGAGCACAGTATTTACTGTGTGGCAGGTGGCCCAGGAATATTAAGACAGCTGTCAACATCAAGGAAAGCACCAGCCCATGAAAAAGCAAGCAGATGGATTGGGGCACTTCACTAGCTGCCTCCTAGAATAATAGCTGTGCGTGGCCAAATGAGGCAGTGTCATGCGGCCCAGGGCAGCAAAAAGCTATTACTGAATATAAGCACTCAATTAGGAGGTGGGGTGGGGGGAATATCTTCTCTTTTCCTTTGTTTATATGCTCAAATTTTCATTAAGAACTCCCACAGCAAATAAAAAAGGGGAAAAATGATGTTAGCATTTCTCATTGTTACTTTCTAATTATCATGGTTTGTAACATGGGGAAATGCCTGTCTTGCTGCTTCAATGAGAACAGATGGTAAAATTTTTAAGTAATTGGTTATTCCAACTTCTATGAGATGCATGATGTTTTATTGTATTGTTTGTCTGGTTTTTGTTTGCGGAACATGTGGAGATTGAGATCTTTCGAACACACATCTTTTAATGCTTAAATTAAGTAAAATGTGTTAGTCTGACCTAAACTACATTTACACTTTTCTCCCTTTGATATGATGATACTTCAAAGAGAAATTAGTCCTTTACAAAAATATAACATTAACATTAAAAATTAAATATATAGCTTTCAAACAGCACAAAATTTGCTAATATTGAAACGTACTTTTAAAAATGTATAAATAGGGGTAGCATGTCTTTGACAAACACTGATTATAACATGTGTTCCAAAATAGTTGTTCACACCAATTCAGTGTGATGTGTCTTTTATCTAAGTCAAATGCTATCTAAAATATAAGGTCATATGTAAGATATTAAGTTTTATTAATGGAGCTTCATAAGCATGACGTAGATAATGGCTCAGAATAATAATTTACTATTAGATGAGAAATTCATCCTCTATATTGTTTTCCCAAAATATTTCATCTGACTTCATAAACTCTGCACTGTAATATGCACTTCTGATATACAATTTTAAAAGTATTCCATAAAGAATGATTATTTATAAATTTCTAGACTGCATTATATTACTGTTAGTTGTAAGTTTTGTTTCTTAGGGCTTTATGAAACAAAGCTTTGGAGCAAAACAAACAAAACAGAAAAAGTGGCTGTGAACTGGTTTCCTTTTTATCTTATTGTGACGTTTTATAGTATACATGTCCCAGAAGCTAGAGCTTTCTTACTATGGGTACTTTGTTCTCAGTTTGATTTCTTGCAAATGGTTTAAAAACAAGGCATAGTGGCAGCTGCTTTTGTGAGCAAATGTTTTGATTAGGGAGAGAAAGCAGCTGGAAATGCTACATGCTGTCATATAAAATGAACCAGTTTTCACATGGGAACTTTACCTAATCTAAAATTGAGATTAACGTAATTTCCTGTACATGAATTTTCTTTGCATAGAATAAAATAGAAATCTATTCACTTTGATTACAATTTGGAGTGATGAAATGATGAACATAGTGCTGAATATAAACTTGACATGTCTATGGAAATCTTACTCCATTCTGAAAGAAAGTATCATTAACAAACTTCCAGAAAAATTTATTTAAAAATATTGCTAAAGGTAGTAGCAAAAAAAAATCCATATGGAGCTTATAAAACCAAATGTTACTATAGATGACATAATTTTTTACTTCTTAAAAATGGGGCAAGTACATTTCTTAATGACCCCACTTTCATTTTGAAAGACCTGTAAAAAATTATTTAAAGTATAACTTAACTGGATTTGCAAATAATGAACAAAAGAACCAGACAGCAATATTTTAATTAGTTTATCCTACCAATTGAATTCCTTCCTCACCTCTTCTAGTCAGCTTTTCACTGGTAAAGGAAAAAAGCAGTTACCTATGAAAAGAGGTAAACAGAAGACAAGAAGTTAGGTTTTCTTCTTTGTTTTGCCCCTTACCATGACCTCTGGAAATTTTATGAATGAGACTGCAGATACTAAAATGTGTTTTATTTGTCCTTTTGTTTTTGTTTTGTTTTTGGTTTAGGGATGGGCTCTCTTTTGCGCAGGCTAAAGTGCAGTGTGATCTTAGCTCACTACTGCATTGTAGCCTCGAATTCCTGGGATCAAGTGATCCTCTCACCTTAGCCTCGCAAGCTGAGATTACTGGCACAAGCCACCTTGCCTAGCTATATGTCTTTAAAAAAAAAAAACACATATCAACATGAAAAAGATGTAATAACTATTATTTAATGTACTTAGTCACATTTCCACGATTATTTCTCACTTTGAAAATTACTGGAGGCCAGGCATAGTGTCTCACACCTGTAATCCCAGTACTTTGGAAGGCAGAGGCAGGAGGATCACTTGAGCCCAGGAGTTTGGGACCAGCCTAAGCAACAGAGTAAGACCTCATCTCTACTAAAAAGAAAAAGAAAAACATTAGCCAGGTGTGGTAACAAGCACCTGTAGTCCCAGCTCTTTGGGAGGCTGAGATGGCAGGATTGCTTGAGCCCAGGATGTTGAGGTTGCAATGAGTCATGATCATGCCGCTGCACTCCAGAGTGGGTGACAGAGCAAGAACCTGTCTCAAAAAAAAAAAAAAAAAAAAGACCAAAAAGTTACTGGAAAGGATGTTGAGTACTTGACTTTAAAAGGACAGTAATTTCTATCCAAACCCCTGTTATGATGGGGTTTGATTAGTCACTGCAGAAGCACTCTGTTTAGCAAAGAACAAAAAGCAAAAGGAATGATATTTTTATAAGCATTCAATAGAAATTTTTACTGAAATATCAAAGTAAAAAGAATTCTCAATTGATTTCATATTAATAACCATTCTTAAGTTTTCATTCATTTCTATGTCCTATCTTCTATTTCATTTTTATTCTTTTCAGTTCCCCAAATAAGCTCTTCTAAGTAGTCAGTTTCTATATAAGTCATTTGGTCTACTTCTCATACAGGTAAATGTATTGACATACTGCTTTTATTATTGAGTACAGAAGACAATTAATGAACAAATTGTTTTTATGAACCATGCAGTTGGTATTAACTTTAAGTAATGCCAAAAATTGGAATGGTGTTTTACCTCCATCTGACTCAACAGAAACTCCACTTCAAATGATCAATTATATACATCATGAAATGAAAGAGCTGACCATACTACAATATAAAATCTGTCTCTGTAAAAGTATCAGCCACAATGCAGTCTGAGGGAAATAAACTTACTGAGTTCTGCCATTTTCATTCCAGTACTTCCCACCATGTAAGTGTATTCTATAGGTAAATTTGACTTCTGTAATTGAAGTAAAACCCAGTCTAATTTAGAATAGGATATATCTTTAAAAAATTAATTCATTTTAGGGGGGTACATGTGCAGGTTTGCTACATGGCAATATTGCATGATGCTGAAGATGTACCTTTAAATAAAATTTAGCAAATAGCTACAGGCAGGTCACTTGCCTAGTGGCTCAGGAAGGTAGTCAGAGAAATAACAAATACATACATACATATTTTCTGAAAAGTCTACTAATCACTCTACATTTCAGAAAAGTCTATAAGTCATTCTACATTTCAAGAAAAAAAAGAAAAGAAAAAGAAAACTTCTGAAATAAAGATCCAGGTAGAATCTAAATCATTGACCCTGAATTTATTCCTTTTGTGTTAGCTGCTTTGAACATGATTAGGGAAGTTTGTGGGAGGAATATATATTGAGAAACAACAACAACAAGTTATATGTTTCAAAGAAAGAAACATACAACTCAGCAACAGTTATAAGATTACAAAACAGTGTGATAAATATGAACAGGCATGTCTCCTTTCATAGCACTTTATTGTGCTTTGCAGGTAGTGTGCTTTTTACAAATTGAAAGTTTGAGGCAACCTCTTGTTGAGCAAGTCTATCAGCCCCATTTTTCCAACAGCATGTGCTGATTTCCTGTCTCTGTGACACATTTTGGAGATTCTTTGGAGAATAAGTAATAATTCAACTTATAATAATTATAATAATTCATCATTATTATATCTGTTATGGTGATCTGGAACAGAGGTCTTTGATATTACAGTTGTAATTGTTTTGGGGTGCCATAAACCACATCCATATAATGTAGTGGACCTAATCGATAAATATATGTGTTCTGACTACTCCGTGGACCTACCGTTACCCTGTCTCTCTCCTTCTCCTTGGTCTTTCACCTTGGGCCTTCCTATTCCCTGAGACACAACAATATTGAAATTAGGCCAATTAATAACCCTGCAATGGCCTCTAAGGTTTCAAGTAAAAGAAACACTTGTGTATCTCTCACTTTAAATCAAAAGCTAGAAATGATTAAGCTTAGTGAGGAAAACACGTCAAAAGCTAAAACAGGGCAAATGCTAGGCCTTCTGTGCCAGACAGTGTTAGCCATGTTGTGAATGCAAGGACAAACTTGAGGGAAATTAAAAGTGTTACTCCAGTGACTACATAAATGAAAAGAAAGTGAACCAACCTTATTGCTGATACGGAAAAAGTTTTAATAGTCTTGATAGAAGCCACAACATCCCCTTAGGCCAAATCCTAATTCCCGGCAAAGCCCTAACTCTCTTCAATTCTATGATGGCTGAGAGAGATAAGCTGGAAAAGAAAAGTTGGAAGCTAGTAGAGGTTGGTTCATGAGGTTTACGGAAAGAAGCCATCTCCGTAACATCATAGTGGAAGGTGAAGCAGCAAATGTTGATGTAGAAGCTGCAGCAAGTTATCAGAAAATCTAGCAAAGATCATTCATGAAGGTGGCTACACTAACAACAGATTCTTAATGTAGATGAAACAGCCCTATATTGGAAGAAGATGCCATGCAGGACTTTTGTTACTGAGAGGAGAAGTTAATGTCCAGCTTCAAAGTCTCAAAGGATGGGCTGATTCTCAGGGACTAATCAAGCTGGTGACTTTAAGTGGATGCCAATGCTCATTTACCATTCCGAAAATATTAGGGCCTTTAAAAATTATGTTAAATCTACTCAGCTTATGCTATAGAAATGGAACAACAAAGCCTGGATAACAACACATTTGTTTACAGCATGGTTTACCGAATATTTCAAGCCCATTGTTGATACTTACTGCTCAGGAAAAAAAAAAATTCCTTTCAGAATTAGTCACTCATGAGCTCTGATGGAGATGTACAAGATGAATGTTGTTTACATGCCTGCTAATACAACACCTATTGTGCAGCCCATGGATCAAGTAGTAACTTCAACTTTCTAGTCTTATTTTTTAAGAAATACATTGTATAAGGCCAGAGCTGCCATAGATAGTGATTCTTCTGAGGGATCCGGGCAATGTCCATTGAAAATCTTCTGGAAAGGATTCCAGATGCCATTAAGAACATTCATGAGGCCGGGCACAGTGGCTCACGCCTGTAATACCATCACTTTGGGAGGCCGAGGCAGGCGGATCACGAGGTCAGGAGATCGAGACCATCCTGGCCAACATGGTGAAACCCGATCTCTACTAAAAAAAAAAAAAAAAATACAAATATTAGCTGGGCATGGTGGCACACGCCTGTAGTCCCAGCTACTCAGGAGACTGAGGCAGGAGAATCACTTGAACCCAGGAGGTGGAGGTTGCAGTGAGCTGAGATCATGCCACTGCACTCCAGCCTGGCAACAGAGCGAGACTCCGTCTCGAAAAAACAAAAAACAAACAAACAAACAAACAAACAAAAAAAAAATTCATGATTCCTGTGAGAAGGCCAAAATATCAACATTAACAGGAGTTTGGAAGAGATTGATTCCAATCCTCATGGATGACATTGACGGGTTCAAGACTTCAGTGGAGGATGTAGCTGCAGATGTGCTGGAAATAGTAAGAGAACTAGAATTAGACATAGACCTTGAAGACGTGACTAAGTGGTTACAGTCTCACCAGAAAACTTGAATGGATGAAGAGTTGCTCCTGATGAGCAAAGAAAGTAGGTACTTACTAATAACCGTATATCTAATTTAGGACTAAAATCAGGTGTATGCAAGAATCAAAACAATCTGACAGCTGTGTGGCATTCTGATATGAATTGCTTTTCTCATAGCTAAAAGTTGTTAGGTTGAAAGTATTACTATCATGAAATCCTAAAAGGAACTTGGTCCATCTTTATTATTAAGAGTTAAAGTGTTTATTTTAATTGGTAGCAGTACTGTATTTTCTAATATATCTACAACTTCACTCTTGGTGAAGATGCTGTGAACGTTGTTGAAATGACAACAAAGGATTTCAAATATTGCATAAACTTAGTTGTTAAAATAGGGGCACAGTTTGAGAGGATTGATGCCAGTTTTGAAAGAAGTTCTACTGTGGGTAAAATGCTGTTAAACAGCATCACATACTACAGGGAAATATTTTGTGAAAGGAAGAGTCAGTCAATGTGGCAAACTTTGTCGTTGTCTTCTTTTAAGAAATTGCCACAGCCACCTCACCCTTTTGCAACCACCACCCTGACCAGTCATCAGCCATCAACATGAAGGCAAGACCTTCTACTATTATAGCAAAAAGATTAGAGTTAGCTGCTGTCTCAGATAATAATTAACATTTTTAAGCAATAAAGTCTTTTAAAATTAAGACATGTACATCATGGTTTTAGACATAATGCTATTGCATACTTAATATACTATAGTATGAACATAATTTTTGAATGCACTAGGAAGCCAAAAAGTTTATCTGACTTGCTTTACTGCTATATTCATTTTATTGTGCTGGTCAGGAACTGAACCCGTAATATCTCTGAAGTTATTCCTATACTGGGAAAAGGGAGGAAGAAATGCCGAATCATATGATTTGGGCAGGCTGTGCCTGGGGTCCTGGGTGGATTTCACAAATCACAGCTCTAGAAGCATGGATGGAAAACTTGCAACCAGAACCCAGTTGAAACACTATTTAACAGATTTTGAATCTATTGAAACGTTTATATTAGGAATATTACACTAGTCAAAAAGCAGTATAAAAGATCAGGAGTGCAATAGTAGGCCAAAAAAAGAGATAATTTTTGCTTGCCTTCTGATTTGGTGAGGAAATATGGCAGTGAGTGAGTGCTACTACATTGTGAATCATCAAATACTATGTGTAATACAAGAACATACAAGGGCTTTGGAATGTTAATATGAAACTACCTTTAAGTGAACTCTTTGCTGCATTATCTTGACCTTCTTTAAAATAATTGTATAATTAAAAAGTAAATGACAATGACAAGGTATGAGAAATAGGCAGATGGAGAAACTGCTGCACTGATCCTAATGTGACCTACATAATTTAATTTATAGCTGCCAATTATTGCTTGAGACAGGTTAGACGAGTGAATCAAGCTGGAGAAGTCTTACTAATAACCATGTATCTAATTTAGGACTAAAATCAAGTGTATACAAGAATCAAAACAATCTGACAGCTGTGTGGCATTCTTACATGAACTGCTTTTCTCATAGCTATTACCTGGAATTCACTCAAAAGTTGGCAGGTTGAAAGCATTACTATTATGAAATCCCAAAAGGCACTTGGTCCATCTTTATTATTAAGAGTTAAAGTGTTTATTTTAATTGGTAGCAGTACTGTATTTTCTAATATAGCTACAACTTTCAATAATTACTTAATTTATATAATAAGTATACATACATTTCCCATATTGGTTGCAATTATCAATCTATTCAGGCAGTTTATTTTTATGAGTGATACCATTTCAGGCATTCTTTTTTGAACATACTCATCTACCTTTTATTCTAATTCTTCAATATGTAAAATTCAATTTTCTCTACATTGTTATTTCATATAAATTTTTTTCTAAATATTTTAATTTTGAAAATATTTCAAACTTATTGAAAAATCACAATAGTATTAAGAACTTCTTTTTATTTCCTGAATCATTTGAAATTATGTTGTCAAAATGAAGTCCTGAATACTTTGATGTGTAACTCTTACAAACATGACTATTCTCCTAAAATCCTAACTGCAATTCCACTCTCAAAATCAAGAAACTAATGTTGACATAGTCTACCACCTTATCTGCAGACTCCATTTAAGTTTTGACAATTATCTCATTAATGTTCTTTTTAGCAAAGTGATCCAGTCCAGAATCACATACCGCATTTAGTTGTTATGTCACTTTCGTCTCCTTTACTCGGTAAAAATTCCTCAGTCTTTCATGACTGGGACTTTCATGACTGGGACATTTTTTTACTCTTACAGGCCACATTTTGGTGGAAGCAGGATCTTTTTATTTGGAAATGCCTGGTGTTTTCTTATGGTTGGATTCAGGCTGTATATTTTTGGCAATATCCCAAAAGTAATGCTATGTTATCATTGTGTCAGGTGGTACCTAATTCTTTTTTCTTTCTTTTTCTTTCTTTTCTTTCTCTTTCTTTCTTTTCTTTCTCTGTTTCTTTCCTTTCTTTTTTTCTTTTTCTTTCTCTCTCTCTTTCTTCCACCCACCTTCCTTCTTTCCTTCCTTCCTCCTTCCTTCCTTCCATCCTTCTTCCTTTTCCTTCTATAATGCTCTGTTCTCATTGTGTCAGGTGGTACATGATCTTCCTTCTTCCCTCCCTCCCTCCCTCTCTTCCCTCCCTCCCTCCCTCCCTCCCTCACTCCCTTCCTTCCTTCCTTCCTTCCTTCCCCTTCTTTCTTTTCTTTCTTTCTGACAGCGTCTCACTCTATTGCACAGGCTGAAGTGCAGTGGTGTGATCTCTGCTCACTGTACCTTAGACCTCCCAGGCTCAAGCGATCCTCTCACCTCAGCCTCCTGAGTAGCTGGGACTATAGGCATGCACCACCCAGCTCACTAATTTTTGGAATCTTTGTAGAGATGGGGTCTCACTATGTTTCCCAGGCTGGCCTCAAACTCCTAGGCTCAAGTGATCCTCCTGCTTCAACCTCCCAAAGTGTTGGGATTACGGGCGTCTGCCACCACACCAAGCTAAGGTACACGATTTCAATTTGTCCCATCACAGATAATAACTTGGATCACTTGATTAAGGTGATGTCTGCAAGCTCCCTTAATTGTATGCTAGCTATTTTTTTTCCTCTCTGTAATTAGTATTTTGTGGAGAAATAATTTGAAGCTATATAAATATCCCATTCCTTGACAACATTTCATTATTATTTTTAGCATCCATTGATGTTTCTAGACTGAATAAATTATTACAATTATTGTCAAATGGCGATTTTCTCATTCCAACATTCTACATTTATTTGTAGGTGTTCTAATGTTATCTCCCCATTAGTCATTTATTCACTTATTTGTATCATATAGATATATAAATTCATATTTCATTCAATGAGTTATATAGTCCATTACTATCTTTATTCATTTTGATGTTCAAAATGTCGCAGGTGTAGCCAGTTAATGCCCCTTCAAACTGTCTTTGTGTCCTTTTGCTATGTCCACATAATTATTTGAGCATTTTTTAACTTTCTGGAAAAACAAAATGTTCCAGGCTCATTCTGTATTTTTTCTGCTCCATTATGGAAGTAGCCATTTTCCCAAAGAGCCCTACTTCTTTTTAGTGGAGAATATAACCAAGATACCTACATGTGGGTGCCAGGTGTTCTCATTGCTGTTGGAGTCACTGCTCTTAGGCACATACACAGGTATATACACACAAACAGCATCTTTATCTCTGTATCTATATCTCTCTCTTTCTACCCATTGAAATTCATGTGCTCATACCGATACCTCCAACTGTAATACAACAATCCTTCTAGTTTTCTTTCCACACCTGTAACTCTCTTCTCCTACACTCTGGAGGATGACTCCCATTATTGTCAATATATTATTAGATTCTTTCCTTGATAAATGTTACTAATCATCTGTTACCACCACCACCTCCCTGGACGTCGGGTGTAGAAGCCCTCTTTACCCTTCTCAAGCTCCAACATCCCATGCCAGGCAATGTACATGCCTTCATCATCCTACAGGTGTTCCAACAACTGGTGCTAGGCTGCTCCTGCTGCTCTATCATCACCTCCCTACAAAGATGCGTAACTTGGTTGGCGCCACATACCATTTTGCATTCTCCACCAGCATTGTGTGAGAATTCCAATGATTTCATGTTCTTGCCAACACAAGGTATTACCAGTTTTAAAAACTGAAGCTATTTTAGTAGGTGTATAATGGTAATAAATCATAGTTTTTATTAGCATCTCCCTCATGATTAATGATGTTAAGCATCTTTTCCTGTATTGATTGACCATATTCTTTTGTGAGGTATCTACTCAAGTGGTTTGCTCATATTTTGTTGTTGTTGGCTTCTTTCTATTGATATATAATAGGTCTTTATATATTATGCAAGTTCTTTGTCAGATATATATATTGTGGATTTTTTTCCTGTTATGTAGTTTGTTTTCCATTTTTAAAAATTGTACTGTTTGTCTTACACTTCAAAAGAAGTTGTAGTTGTTGGGTGTAGTGTTCTACACATATGAGTTGGGTCTATTTGGCTGACTGATTCAGATCATCTATGTCTACTGTTTTTTTTGTTTTGTTTTTTTTTTTGTCTAGTTATTTTACCAATTGCTCAGTAAGAGGTATTTAGATCTCCTACTGTAATGGTGAAATTGTTTATTTCTCCCTTTATCTGTCAATTTCTGCTTTATGTATTCTGAAACTTTGTTACTGGATGCACACACATCTGTGATGAATGATAATAAAATGTCTTTATCGCAGTTAATTCTTTTTGTTTTGAAGTCTATTTTATCTTATATTAATATATGCACTCAAACCTTCTTATACTTAATGCTTCCGTAATCTTTTTTAATACATTTACTTACAACATGCCTGCATCTTTATATGTTAAATGCATTTCTTGCAGAGAGCAGATAGTTATGCTTTTCAAAAATTCATTCTGCTTATTTCTAACTTTAATTGGAGAATTTAATCCAATTAAATGTATTCCAAGTATTGATATAATGGTATTAAGGACTGTTTCTTCCTTCTGTGTTTTGTTCCTTTGTCCCCCCTTTCCTTATTACGTGGATTAATTGAATATTTCTTAAATTCTATTTTAATGTATTGGCTTTTTAATATTTCTTTTCCATGTTTTTAAATAGTTGCTCTAGGGATTACAATATGCATCTTTAATTTATACTGTCTATTAGAGTTAATATTGTATCAATTCTTGTAAAATGTAGAAGTTTTACAACTGTTTGGGTCCTTTATCACCCTCACCATCCTTTTTTATTACAGTCATCATATGTTATTTGTATATCTACATACATTATTAGCCCCACACAAATATGTTATTCTTTTACTTAAACATTCACATGTATTTTATGGGTACTTTTTAAAAAGCCTTCTACATTTACTCATATATTTATCATTTCATTACTTCTTGAAAATTAGACTTTTCCTTTGGTGTAATTTCCCTCCACCCTGCAGAATTTTTTCTTGGTTTCATATCTTAGAATTCTGGATTAACTTTCTTATTTTTCTTTCAACACTTTAAAAAATACTGTACTACTGAATTTGGCAGGGTTTCTAATAAAAATCAACTTTTTTATATCAGTTTGTATAGAAACTTATTTGTATCACTTTTACTCTATAAATAAGGTTTTCTTCCCTCTGGATGTTTTTGATATTTTCTTTGGTTTTCAGCTATTAGCTTTGCCATATGTAAGTTTATTTGTTTTGTATTTACTCTATTTGGGGGTTTCTGAGCTTTTAAAATCTATAAATTATGCCTGTCATTTAATCTAGAATGTTTTCAGCTATTATTATTTCTTCATAAATTTACTCTGCTCCATTCTTTCTTTCCTATCTCTGTGAGCCTCCAATTGCATAATTAAAAAATCTTTTTCTATTATCCCACAGGACCCTTAGGGAATGGCTAGTTTGTAGAGCAGTCAGAACATGCACATTTATCAATTAAGTTTGCAGTTTTATATGGGTGAGTTTCATGGCACCCCAAAATAATTACAATAGTAAAGACCACTGATCACAGATCATCATAACAAATATAATAATAATAATCATGAAGTTTTAAATATTGTGGGAATTAGCAAAATGCGATACAGAGATACAATATGAGCAAAAGGTGTTGGAAAAATGGTGTTGATAGACTTGCTCAACACAGGGTTGTCAAAAACCTTGAATGTGTAAAAAACAGGTTTATCTGTGAAGCACAATCAAGTGATGCTCAATTAAATGAGGTATGCACTATTATTTTTTCTGATTGCAGTTCATTAGTATACTAGCTTAATATATGACTATACATTAATATAAATTTAGCCCCTTTGAAAAACAATTTAAAGTAGGGCTAAAGAAAAAACAAAATCATGAGTTAACTGAATATAAAAATTTCCTTAGAGTAAGACACTCTTAGCATGATAACTTTTCATTCTGTCATGAAATAATCTCATGCAGGCATTTTTCTCAGTTTGTTTCTGGGAGGTAGAATATATTAAGAGTGAAGACAGAAATTTAAATAAATATAAAACTGATGTGATTAAGTTAGATAAAGAGTACTGTATAATCTTTAAGACAAATTTAGGTCTTCTTTGAGGTGACAGTAATTTGAATGTTATATCAAAAGGAAATATCATTGTAGGCTCAATAAATATAGTTGCTGCTTGCATACTCCTTCTACTTTAGGGAAAGCCTTATTCATATAAAGACTAAGAACCTGCTCACTTAGTATGATTTGGTTGGTACTGATATCAATGGAGGCTTCCACCTCAGGATTTTCCTGATCTCTTTCAAGAAAGAGTCATAGTCTATTTATACCCATTCCTCTCATAGACAATTGAGTATCTCTGTTATATCTAAAGTTCTTATTAAAAGAAAAATACTGCCTCTTGTCTTTATATAGATTCACACTTCATTTTAATCAGTAAACATATCAGTAATATTTTTTCTGAAGTCCTATGTTAGATATATTCCGTATTAGAAAAGACAAACTTTTAACATTAACAAGATACCATGTAAATATAGGGTCTTAAAAATCTTTTCATTTATTCTTAAAAAATCTTGTGCTGCTATGCATAAATAAAATGAAATTATTCACAGTATGGGGGTTTTACAATGTGAAAAGCAATAAGTGATATTTTATGAAACTATAAACTCACTGATTAGAGAGAGTATTTAAGATAATAATAACCCAGCATCTAAAAATGCACTAAAAACACTATCAAATGTATAATAAAGTTCCCAGAAATGGCAAGAGGTAAGAGCTGATGTATCATATTTAAGAATTACAAAAAACAACATATTTTTTTAAAACCCCTAAAACTTGGTAAGAATAGTATACTTGCAAGACATAACTATAAATCTGCCTAAGAAAGTCCCAGGGAAGAGTTAGTGATCACCAAAGTGTGAGCTTGCTATGACTTTAGGAAGGTGCATGCATCCTGATACACATACACACACACACACACACACACCCACAGAGCCTAAGAAGAGTGTGAATGTGAAACTGGCTTTAACTCCAATAGTAATGATTACATTTAATTGGAGGACACATAAATCAATTTTAGTAATGTAACATTGATACTTCATAAATCATTTGGAAGAATTTATAAACTTTTCAAAGAGATTATAAGAGACAGACCAAATTCTGAGCCTAGTCCTTTGTGGACATGTTATTCGTTTAGCTAAATGGCAAAGGTTTAGAACACTGACGCATGATCATGAAATGTTTGTAATGAAGTAAACATTCTTAGCTGTACTTGTTACATAACTCAAAAATACAAATATCTACAAATTGAATTATAAAAATGTTTCTACTGCAGGGAAGTTTAAATTTTTCCCGATCTGTTCACAGATTAACAGGAAAAAAGGCATACAAATTTATTTTGTGCAGTCATGTTCACAGGAGTCACACAAAATATAAAAACTCAAAGAAATGGCCATATGGAGTTTTTATACTATCCTGACGCTACAGAAAGAATAGCTAGAAGCTTCACCCAGAAGAGTTTATGGTGGCAAGACAGGTTATGGGAGCGGGGAAGAGGAGGCTTGGCTAGCAAAGGTCATCTGGTTATATAGATGAAACCTCACAGACAGCAGAATCTCAGTTAAAGGTGTCAGACTCTCAGTTAATCTTTCCTTGATCCAGACATGGGAGGGCCTCAGAGAAAGCCTGGCTGCATCAGTGCAGATTTTCTCTACAGTAGAAAATCGTTCCCACAAAAGACAGCTTTGTAGGGCTACTTGTGTTTGCAGGCCCTCTGCATAGCTTTCTCAAAATACACCAAATAAGTATATTTTGGCGTGAAATATTTTTGTTTCCATCACTATATTCTAACATATACATTTCAAGACTATCAACAGTAGCTATCATTTACCTCAAAATATTGGTAAAAATCATCAGGGAATCTGAAAGTCCAAACCAGATGCTTGGGGACAATTTGTATGTGTGATTATACTTTTAAAAGTTAACATATTTGATGCTTCATAATCTGCCTTATCTCTTGCCACCCATTTAAAGAAAAGGAAGAATAAAAACCAGAAGGCCAAGACTTCATACTTTTCATTCTTAATGGGAAATTAAAGGAATTTCAAAGAGCATTGCTTTTCAGCCATTTGCACCTAATTTTTCATTTTTAATACAATTATTTAAGAAGGAAGTAATTTCAAATTGTTCTATTGCAATTTAGAATGTTTAGCTTTGCTGCGAAGCTATGTAAAAGGTAAGAACACAGATTCCAGAGCCAGATCTTGTAGACTCAAAATCTGGTTTCTTCCATGTATTTGCAATATGCTATCTCTTGCCTCACTTTATCATCTGTTACACGGGTCAACAAACTTTTTATGTAGAAGGCATCAGACAGTATACATTTTAGGCTTTACAGGCCACATATAGTCTCTGTTGCTTTTTTTTTTTTTTTTTTTTTTTGAGACAGAGTGTCACTCTGTTGCCCAGGCTGGAGTGCAGTAGTGCAATCTTGGCTCACTGCAACCTCCACCTCTTGGGTTCAAGTGATTCTCATGCCTCAGCCTCCTGAGTAGCTGGGACCACAGGCACATGCCACCACACCTGGCTAATTTTTGTATTTTTAGTAGAGACGAGGTTTCCCCACATTGGCCAGGCTGGTCGCGAACACCTGTCCTCAAGTAATCCACCTGCTTTGGCCTCCCAACGGCCGATTACCTGCTGGGATTACAGGGATGAGCCACCATGCCTGGCCTAACAACTCTTTAAAAATGTAAAATACTTCAAACTATACTACAAGGCTATAGTAGCCAAAACAGCATGGTACTGGCACCAAAACAGAGATATAGACCAATGGAACAGAACAGAGCCCTCAGAAATAATACCACACATCTACAACCATCTGATCTTTGACAAACCTGACAAAAACAAGAAATAGGGAAAGGATTCCCTATTTAATAAATGGTGCTAGGAAAACTGGCTAGCCATATGTAGAAAGCTGAAACTGGATCCCTTCCTTACACCTTATACAAAAATTAATTCAAGATGGATTAAAGACTTAAATGTTAGACCTAAAACCATAAAAACCCTACAAGAAAACCTAGGCAATACCATTCAGGACATAGGCATGGGCAAGGACTTCATGTCTAAAACCCCAAAAGTAATGGCAACAAAAGCCAAAATTGACAAATGGGATCTAATTAATCTAAAGGGCTTCTGCACAGCAAAAGAAACTACCATCAGAGTGAACAAGCAACCTACAGAATGGGAGAAAATTTTTGCAATCTACTCATCTGACAAAGGGCTAATAGCCAGAATCTACAAAGAACTCAAACAAATTTACAAGAAAAAAACAAACAACCCCATCACAAAGTGGGCGAAGGACATTAACAGACACTTCTCAAAAGAAGATATTTATGCAGCCAACAGACACATGAAAAAATGGTCATCATCACTGGTCATCAGAGAAATGCAAATCAAAACTACAATGAGATAACCATCTCACATCAGTTAGAATGGTGATCATTAAAAAGTCAGGAAACAACAGGTGCTGGAGAGGATGTGGAGAAATAGGAACACTTTTACACTGTTGGTGGGACTGTAAACTAGTTCAACCATTGTGGAAGTCAGTGTGGCGATTCCTCAAGGATCTAGAACTAGAAATACCATTTGACCCAGCAATCCCATTACTGGGTATATACCCAAAGGATTATAAATCATGCTGCTATAAAGACGCACACGTATGTTTATTGTGGCACTATTCACAATAGCAAAGACCTGGAACCAACCCAAATGTCCATCAATGATAGACTGGATTAAGAAAATGTGGCACATATACACCATGGAATACTATGCAGCCATAAAAAAGGATGAGTTCATGTCCTTTGTAGGGACATGGATGAAACTGGAAACCATCATTCTCAGCAAACTATCGCATGGACAAAAAACCAAACACCACATGTTCTCACTCATAGGTGGGAATTGAACAATGAGAACACTTGGACACAGGAAGGGGAACATCACACACCGGGGCCTGTCGTGGGGTGGGGGGAGGGTGGAGGGATAGCTTTAGGAGATATACGTAATGTAAATGATGAGTTAATGGGTGCAGCACACCAACGTGGCGCATGTATACATATGTAACAAACCTGCACGTTGTGCACATGTACCCTAGAACTTAAAAGTATAATAATTTAAAAAAAGTAAAATAAACATTAAAGGCAGTACAAAAATGAGTTAGCAGTTTACTGACACTTGATCTATATAATAGAGATAATACCTCACAGGGTTCTTATGACAATTAAATGAATATATGTAAAGTGCTTACAAAGTATGGGCACATTGTAAAAGCTATGTTTATCATTACTACTATATTTCTAATCAAATTTTATTTTCAAAATATCTAGTATTCCTGGGTGACTTTTAGCATTACTTGGTGATTTGAAATTTGGAGACAGATTTTATCTTTCTTGGTTTATTCTAAATTGCCAGAAAAGCAGTTTAACATGGTATGCCGATGAAGCTTCTAAATCTGGCATTGAAATCAAGTGATTGGAAGAAAGAGCCATAAAGGTTCTGAGGCAGGCGAAGCTGAGCAGGAGCATCCATACGGAGAAAGATGAAAATGTAATAACTAAGTAACCTGAAACATTCAATTAAACACAATAACCATTTCTTAATCACTGTAGTATTTCTCTCTAGTCGCAGACGTACACAAACCTATTTATTTAGGTGACCTTGTAATACCAGTCATTTATTTTCATGAACAAAGGAAATAATCAGAAAGCAGAAAATAGGTACAAACTCAGTTACAATGCAATAGTATTTTAATGCACATGCACCAGAGTTATAAGCAAGATGAATTTGCCTTAAGTATTGCAACTGACTGAATGTTTGTGTTCTCCCAAAATTTCTATGTTGAAATTCTAACCCCCTATGTGATGACATGTGATGATATTAGGAGGTGGGGTCTTTGGGAGGAGCCATGTGAAGATGTAATGGGATTCATGCTCTTATCAAACAGACTCCAGAGAGTTCTCTTGTCCTCTTTTGGCCATGTGAGGATACAAGAAGATGGCAGTCTGCAACCAAGACGGCTCTCACCAGAACCCAACCATGCTGGTAATCTGATCTCAGACTTCCAGCTCCAGAGCTGTAAGAAATAAATTTCTGTCGTTTATAAGCCACCCAGTCTATGGTACTTTGTTATAGCAACCTGAAATGAATAAGACAAGTATTATCAAGAGTAACTGCACATATTTATGGAAATCACAACATGATATAAAAAAATTACAAAGAAAAAATATCTTAAGGAGACAATTTGTAACTTTTTCGCAGAGAGCTTAGAAATAAAAAACAAACATATAAAACCCAGCTCTTTTGTGATTTATAAAGCACAGGCTGAATAGGGCCATATACAAATATTTAAATATTTAACATACAAGAGGATAAGTTTCAAACATTTTTACAAGGTGTTATATTCAAATACAGAGCTTAATGAATTAAACTCTGTAACACACTGATGTCTAGACATGAAAGAAAACTTGCTTCAGGTTTAATAAAATACATTTTAATTGTATAATATGCTAAATACAAATGCAATAATCTCAGCTTATTCACACTTATATGACATCCTGTGACTACACTGTTGCCCAACTTCTACATAATCTTTACATGAAAATGTGGAGTAGGGATGGATGTTTATAGACTAAAAACTAGATTTTGGAGATCATGAAAACAAAGAAAAAGGGTACTTCTCCTTCTTCTAAATATTTGCATAGGTATGAGCTACTGTAGTTTGTGGAATACCAAATAATTTAATGTCAAAATAGTTTTAAGGACTTTTATCAAAGTCATTTGTATCCAGAGTTTAAAATTTGAGTAGTGTTAATAGCTTTAAAAGAAAAAAAAAGAAAACAAAAAAAGCAAAGAGTAGTCTCTAGTCTCTGACCTTCCCTCTACCATCCCTGTCCTGGTTGCTGTCCCAAGTAAGAGCCTTTTCTATCATTTTAATTGTTATTCTGGCAGATATATCTGTATTTCTAATATCTATCATACTCTTGAATCATCTGTCTTAAAACAGACTGCTTGGTACTGAATCCTAGTACCAGACTTACCAGCTTTTTGAACTTTGGCAAATTACATAACATTTTAACGCCTCAGTTTACTGATCTATAAAATGGAAATAATAAAACCTGCCACATAGGCTTATTGGGAGGATTAAATGTTGAAAATTCTGTATGTGTAATACCTGCTTATAATATAATGATCATATAGTAGTAACTATTATTAATTTTATTACTACCTTATGGTAAGTGAGTGAGGATTTGAATTCTCAATCAATTCTTTCTCCATCCTAAAATAGTTGTAGCATATCAGTTTTTTAAAAAATTACATTCATTGTTTCCATCCTTATGTCCTTCCTATATCTGCAGCAACTTTAGATTAATGAGATTTTCATTTTGTATCCTCTAAAACAATTTACAAGAGAGATGGTAAACTAGCTAAGATGCTGAGCCATTGGAATTTTCTGGGTAACTTTCAATTTGCCAAATGCCAAATCACTGCTATTTCTGGACTATAAGAAACTGGAATATAGAACTTTTATTGTAGCTTTATGTGCTTTTATTAAAATCTTTGTGAAACATGTACCACTACTGCAGTTACTATAACATCTTTATTACTCACTTACTTTTGCCTTCTATTTTCATCATTTTCAAAGCTAAGCATACTTGAGATGGTATATATTGTATATTACAGTTTTTCTTTATATGCAGTGTTTATCAGGATCAACAATATTGCTCTATATACTGTTGCTCAGTGATTAAAATGAAGGTTTCTATTTAGAGTTCACAATTATAAGTGTTCTCTAATTTGTGAGAACTAATAATTTGTGTGCCTGAGATATGTCTAAAATTCTAAAGAACATTTATGTAGCAGTTATGTTCATGAAAAAGTTAAAAGTCACAATTTATTTTAACAAAGTGCTATGGTAAATTGGAGGCATTTAAAAGTGAAAAACAAGATGTCAGTAATGATTACTGAACAGTCAAATATTAATTTACTTTATACCTCTTAATCTGAAGATGCAATATTTTCATTCAGCCAATGAAATAAAATTAGATACTATCCATGGAAAGGTTCTCAAATTATCCCTCATTAAATTTTAAGTTCTCTGAAGATAAGGATATGTCTTATTTACCTCGTAACATCATTGCCTAGGACTATGTCTGACTAGTTGGTGTAGAGATGTTCAACATACACTGAATAAATAAATTCAGCTTAACTTAGTCTCAGATGGTTTACAAATGCTTGACAGTATGACACGAAATACCATACTAACAGAGCATTATTCTTTTCAGCATAAACAAAGCGCACTAGTTGGCACATTATATTTTACATTTTATTGACAGTGACACATAGTAAAAATTGAATATATATTAATTACCCATGGTCCCTTATAAATATTTAAAGTTCTTTTTCACAAGCACAATTCATACTGCAAAGTCATAAACTAAATTTTTTAAAAAGACAATTAAAAAATAAAATATATTAAACATATCATAAATTATGATGGGATGAGATGGCTTATAACTGACTTTTAAACATTCTACGTACAATCAAATGTAGACCTTCACTAAGAACTTGATAATTCTAGGGAGCCCTTTTGAGGGAATATTTAGTTTTTAAATAATTAATGGCCAAATTAGCATACCTGAAGTCCTATGTTCTTAAAAAGGTCAGAGTCCATAAATGCAAGCAGAAAATTATATTTTTTGATGCATAAACATCTTTTACAAAATGTATTCTATTTGTCTTAGATAGATTCCTTGAATTGAAAATTGCTGAGGTTTCCAACTATTATCTTTTCATGTCTTCACAGTCTGGATCTGATCTGATAACAAAAAACAAACAAAAATTATCAATCTCTATAGGGCAAAATCTATTTTCTAAAGTAATCTAAGTCAAATCTATACAACATGTTGGAAACTTATGTATACATGTGCTTTTGTTATTATTATTTTTTAGAGATAGGATCTTGCTATGTGGCCCAGGCTGTACTGGAACTTCTGGGTGCAAGTGGTCCTCCCACCTGAACCTCTCTAGTAGTTGAGACTACAAGTGTGCACCAGGTCCAGCTACACCTGCTTTTTTAAAAGCACAATTCATCTATAGTTATTATTTTTATCAAAGTTGTACATTTGCATAGAGTCAACTAGTTCTATGAGATTTCTAGGCAAAACAGCAGTACTTTGCTTCTTCTCCATTCCTCCCTTTCAGGGGCAACTACTTATAACTCCCTTTTAGATGAATACTTATAATACCTCTAAATAATATACTTTTATTGTTACTTCTTCAAATATCATTTCCTTCAATGTAATATGAGACATCAGCTCTCTCACACTCCCATGCTGCTCCTAGGCAACCCTCATAATACTTCTAATACCCCCATTCTCCTAACACACTAATATAGTCATTGTCAATATGATGACTCTGTAAATGCTATTCACAGCTAAGACAGGTGGTATACTTTTTCTTTCCTCTTCTATATTTTATCCCTCCTAGAGTTAATAATTGTCTTTCCCACTCCCATCCAACTCATCTATTTAATTGTATGTACTTAACACTAATTCAATTGCACCACTCCCAGAGTTTAAACCTTTATTACTATGAAGTACATTACACAGTCCATCTACTTTGCCTTCTTGAAGAACTCTTCCACAGAGTCTTATAAAAAACTCTAGAATCTATACTCATTTTCTCTATGCCTGCCACAGTCATTTTGTTACAATATCTTCCTTATCATTCTAGGGTCTCCATTAATATCCTGGGGATTCCTTCCCCTACTCTCTGTGCTGGTTTTCCTGTCTCATGATCCCTCAATTTTCTCTTCTTGGTTTATTTCCTTTTATTTTTTTGATAATGCTGGTACCAAGATTTTCCTGTTTTTGAAAAATATTCTTCTCAGTGGCTACCTTAGTAAAAAGGACAGAAAGTAAATTCTTGAGATACCATATAGCTGAAGATGTCTTTATTCTACTGTCAAAATGCACTGATACTGCCTGAGTATATAATTCTATTATTCCCTCCTTGGACTCTTCCAGGCATTTCCCAATTATCTTACAGCTTCCAAGTTGTTGCTGTTGATAAATCTGATGTTATTCTGTTTTCTTATTCTTTTTTTCCTCAGGAAGCTTTAATTTTTTTTCTCAGGAAGCTTGCAGAATCTTCCACTGTTTGCAGCACTGCATTTTAGTAATGATACCTGCTGGTATGGGAATATTTTTATCCACTGTATTGAGCTCTTGAGAGGCCTGTCAACTGAAAACTCATCAATTTAGTTCTAGAAAATACTGTTCGAGGATTTGCTATCCTCTACTTTTTTCTGTTCTCTCTTTCTGAATTTCCTATTATTTGGATATTGGGCCTCCTGAACATGACCCCTTTCTTTTCTTTCAAATTTTCTATTCTTTGTCTTTCTGCTCTACTTTCTGGGAGTTTGCCTCTATTTTATCATCTTTTTAAAACTAAATTTTTCATTTCAACTACTATATTCTTATTTTCCAAGAACTCATTTTTTTTCGTTCTTTCTTTTCAAGTAGTTTACTGCCTTTATTCATGAAAGTAACACCTTCTCTTATCTCTTTGAGGATACTCTTTAACAGTTTTTTGAAATGTTCTCTCTATATAAATTCTACTTACTCGAACCCACTTTTCTTGTTTGTGCACATTCCCATATTTCATAATGTTTTCATCCTCAAATGCCTGGTCATCCTTTGCCATCTGTTCATATGTATAAGTGAACACTAAAAAATTGATTGGAATTTGCAAACGTGTGTGAAGCTTGTCAAATATGGTCTTCCTTTTAGTACGTCTGGCTAAGCCATTTCCTTGGGATCTCCAATATTAATACCTTTAGATATTTGCTCTTAGGCTGGTCTGATTCCCCAAAGATGACTCTTCCTATATCCTGCCTACTGTCATTGTTTTCTGGGAGAAATAGGAGCAGTAGAAGAGAGTTATAATATTCAGCATGAAAACTTTTTTTCCTCATTTTTCAATTCAGCACCACCAGACAGTTGTGCACCTAGGGTTTTCTAGTCCAGAGACACTGTCTTTGACTCTGCAGAGAATAAACCTTCAATTTTCTCTTAAAGGGAAGATGTATAATCATATCTTCTCTTTTCATCCCACGTTCATCCTTATTTTCAATTTCCACCAATTTCTGAGGCTTTGCATCTGCAATGTAAATTAGGCTGCTTTTCAGCTTTCCCCACTGGTAGTTTAAGATTCAGCTTTCTCAGGTCTGTTAAGTAATTCAACACTGATCAAATATTCAGCTTCCAAAATTTGGTTGCCATTTTCACTACTTCCCTTCTTTTTGTCCGTATATATTAATATCTTTTTAAAAAGTCTCTTTACTGTTAGTGAGAGTTGGGAATGAGATGAAACTAAGCATACTTGATCAATCTTCTTTCATTGGAATACTCCTGCATAGTTTGTAAGTCTAATATTCACATCTGGGAGCATTATTAACTTTTTCCATGCAGACAAAGCAATAAAATGAATACACTTTATTAGTTATTTGGGAAGATTTCTTTTTAAAAGTACCTAATTTGAAAGTTTCAGGGCAAGAAAACTTACAGTTCTGCAATAGTTTCTGTTTACTCTCTGGCAGTTTAAAAAATACTTCCTAGTCTATTCAGTGTTCTTGTCTTTGGGTTATTCTACATACACGATTATTGAGACTGTTTCCAAAGACAACAGAATCGTGCCATTACATGTGCCATTTAATATTTCACCAAAAAGCTTCTAACCTTAAACTTTATTTTTAAATTTTTTTGAGACAGTCTTGCTCTGTCACCCAGGCTGGAGTGCAGTGGCATGATCTCGGCTCACTGCAACCTCCACCCCCAGAGTTCCTGTCTAAGCCTCCCTAGCAGCTGGGATTACAGGCATGCACCACCACGCCTGGCTAATTTTCTGTATTTTTAGTCACAATAGTGTTTCACTATAGTTGGCTAGGCTGGTATCGAACTCCTGTCCTCAAGTGATCTGTCCACCTCAACCTCCCAAAGTGCTGGGATTACTGGCATGAGCCACTGCTCCCGGCCCCAATCTTAAATTTTAAATAATAATATTAAATTAGCCCCAAATGAACCAAAGGCCTTCTTGTTTGTCATACTAGGAAATTCCAGAATTCTGGAAGCAAAATCAGATATAAGTTCAGAATACCCTTCACAGCTACATTCACATAAAGAACTTTGGCTAACACAAACTACTCTCCTATATTTACTGCTATTTATTTTTTAAAAATAGATTTTTGTCTCTTTTCAAATCTAGAGACAGTTGGGAATATGACAATATAAACTATTTGTTATTACACAGAAAATATAACCAAAGTGGCCGGGCGCGGTGGCTCATGCCTGTAATCCCACCACTTTTGGAGGCTGAGGTGGGTGGATCACCTGAGGTCAGGTGTTCGAGACCAGCCTTCCCAACATGGTGAAACCCTGTCTCTACTAAAAATACAAAAAATTAGCTGGGCATGGTGGCAGGCACCTGTAATCTCAGCTACTCAGGGGGCTGAGGCAGGACAATTACTTGAACCTGAGAGGCAGAGGTTGCAGTAAATCGAGATCATACCACTGCACTCCAGCCTGGGTGACAAGAGACAAGAGTGAAACTCCATCTCAAAAACACACACACACACACACACACACACACACACACACACACAAAAGAAAGAAAATATAACCAAAGCACCTCCTATTTGAAACCAAATGATACACTTTTTTATCCTGTGGCTTAGTTTCCACCTTTTTTAAATAGAGTGTTTAGGTAAAAGGGTAAACTTAACATTTATGGGGTGCTTTCTTATGCTAGGTACTTTAACAGTATCTAATTTAATCTGTACAAAATATAACACATTTTATTTTTTACTTTTACAGATTAAAAAAATCTTCACAAGGTAACAGATGTTAGCTAACAGAGAGGTAAATTAATAAGTAGTAGAATAAATTTGCTGGACTCAGAAGCCTAAGTTTTTTTTTTTTCAACTATCAGTCAATGCTTTCTATATAAAACAGAGGTACTACTGCTTACCTTGCAGAAAATTGTAAAGGGTACATAAAGTAATATGGAAAAACAAGGACACAAAAGTATTTCCAAAATGTGTCCTCCTTACAAAGACTTGGGAGGTAAGACAGATAATGATGGATCAGAAAAGTGAAAGAAACAAAAATTAGGTATCAAGACCAGAGTTGGCAATTTGTATTGTGATGTTGGATTGCTACTGACACCTAGTGGCTAACTGCTAGTGACAAAATAAAACCAGAAAAGAAGGGATGGAGAACCACACTTTAAAATCCAGAAGACTATCAACCTATTTTCAGTAAATATTGTGCTCTGAATTAGGTTATCATGAGTGACAATAGGGTTTCCATCCATGCTATATCTTCATTGTTAGCAATGGTAAGCACTCTGTAAAATATGAAATAAGGCTGAAAACATACTCCTGGTATCTTCTCTGGAATATTCCTCTGTAGCCTGTTTCTGGTGGAAATCCACCCCATTGCCTTCAACACTTCTTTACTGCAGTCTAAGAAACTAAGTTGCTGGGTTCACAGAAAAATCCCGTAGTTCTTCTGAGAATCACTAGAGGTTCCTGATTGTCACTAATTGTGAAATATGACTTGAATGTTCCTTGCAGTTTAATGGTGTTATGATAACTACATAAACATAAAAGACACAGAAGTACAATAGTCTGTCCAGTTAACTAAACCACCATATTATACCAATAACACATACAAATATTTATGAAATGTACATTTCGCACTTTGAACCAAAGAAATACTATGATGTATGAGCAGGCAGGCTACTCTTAGATCTACCATGATATGTGCTATATCCCTGCTATTGTTTGCAACATGCAGAAGATTTAAAAAAAAAAATCACACACAACTGGCATTAAAAGGTTTGTGTAGAAGAATTTGTAACTATGAGACTGTAGCTAGAATTTATAATATCCTGTTATTCACTCTTGTTCAGGGCAGAGACATTCCCCGTAGAAATGATCTCTAGTTGTTATGCTCAGAAATGGAATTTCTGACTTGGCCATTAGGATCCTGCAATAAGAACCTATGAGCTTGGTTTCATTCACAACTATCTACTGCTCTGTGTGCTTCAAGCCATTCTTTTGGCTGAGAGACCATTAGGGTAAATGATATATGTTAATTTATTCCCTAATATAGTAAGCCTGTACCAATCTATGATAACTATTTTGATGAATAGCAACCAGAACTGCAAATATACAAAATATCAATAAAAGATCAGTATCTCTAATACTAAATATGAATATTACAAGTTGTGTATACATGCTATGTATAAATGGAGCTATATCTGTAGTATAGCATGATTCTTCTTCTTTTTTTCTTGAGATGGAGTCTTGCTTTGTTGCCAGGCTGGAGTGCTGTGGCGCAATCTCGGCTCACTGCAACCTCCATCTCCTGGGTTCAAATGATTCTCCTGACTCAGCCTCCTGAGTAGCTGGGTTTACAGGTGTACACCACCACATCCAGCTAATTTTTCTATTTTTAGTAGAGACAGGGTTTCACCATGTTGGCCTCGATCTCCTGACCTCATGATCCGCCTGCCTCGGCCTCCCAAAGTGCTGGGATTACAGGCGTGAGCCACCGTGCCCGGCCAGCATGATTCTTAAAAGAAACATGTCATTCAGACTTATTTTTAGTTATTGACATTAGGGCCTAACATTTGTCCCAAAATTTAAATGTGCTTCTATTACTAGATCTGACAGGAACTTGTTGCTATAAGTTTAAATTGTTTTCTATATGTGTCATATATATTGACTGTAAAGATTCAAACACTTTATGTAAATAAATCCTTTAGCAATATGTGATAGAAGTAAATGGAACAAGGTATTGGATACTTACTGTATTGTTTTTTCTGATAGCAGAAATAAATGGAAAGAGGAAAAAAGGCAATGATATAATAAAATAAAATGTAAAAAAAGATAAAAATATGAATAAAAAGGAAACAAAGGCTGAAGACACACAGTATTTTGTAATGTACCTTGAAGCCAGTCTACACCTTCTTGCAAGCCTTCTCCTTTTATGGCATCACTAGCACTGAAATGAAATCCATAAGAAACATAGCCATCTCATTACATCACAAAACTATAAGAATAAAGGATTACAATTTTGCCATATGGAGAATTAACACATTATAACAACATATATCTGAGCAAAACTGGTTAAGCATTGAAATTGAAAATAAACAGAAAATAAAAGTCTGAGTGCTCAGGAACAAGATATGTTTACAATTTATAAACAGATTTTGAAAAAAGTTATTTTATCCCAGGATTAGTTCTTACACTGACATTAACAAAACAAATACTTTTATTTTTCCAGTGGTAGAAAAGTTTTGTACAGCCCACTATCCTACTTTGCTCAGTTCCAATCATTCAATCTCATTATTAGAAATGCTTGACTTGAGTTATAATACAGCCATATTATGGTGTGCCTTTGTTTGAAATGGAATTTGATATCTTTAGGATAAAAACCCATAATTATAGGTTTGGTAAGCTGGTAGAGTAAAACAAAAAGTCGGTAGATCTCAATCATTTTCTTATTAGCTGAGGGAGCTTGACTAGGTCATTGAACTCTTCTGTCTTCAGTTTTAGCATCTGTAAAGTGGGGGAATAGTATCATTGACCTCATATGGTGATTGTGAGAATTAAATACTTGAGGTATGTATATAAAACACCTAAAACAGGGTGCTTCCATTGTCTTTCCATTCTTGAGAGACTAAACTTAAATTGTTATTGTGAGATTTTATGTATAATCATAATTAAGTATATAAATTAAAATAATAAAATGCAGAGGATTTTTAGAGGATCAGATAATCTTTTTAAAAGGTACAGTTTCTCGTAACATGTCATTGATCTAGTCATTTATTTTCAAAATATGATTGTTTAATAGCAATTAATATATATGATTAGAGTTTCTGAATGATTAGGGTTCCTTTTAGTGTGCTGAAGGCATGACTTTAAAAAGTATAGTGAAGTACCTAAAATAATTAACTTAATTATAATCCAAATAAAAATTATCTCCCAGAAATTACTTGTTAGACTAAGAATATGGCTTATCATAGAATTATTATAAAATACAAAGAAAGAAACAAACAACATGAGATACACAATTATTCAAAGCAAATTACTTATTATCCATGGTAAGAGTAAGAGATCAGTAACCGAAACACTTAAATCAAGAAAGATAAATATATTAATTTTATCATACACCTATAGTTCCAAACAATTAATACAATGAAACCCTTCCCCTCTGGTGTAGGTGTCATTACCCTACTAAAAACTGCATCTTTTCCTAACAAATGTTCGAATTCTATCTTTCCTCTCAAATAAATAAGAATAAAGCGAAAATCTTGGCCCTGTGTGATATGACCCCTGGTTATTTCTCAGTGGCCTCATTTCCTACAATTTCCCCTTAGATTTCTCTGCTCTAACCAATCTGGACTTCTTGCTGCTCCTGGAACACACCAGGTACATTCTCATCCAAGAAGAGGCTTTTTCTTGCTGGCCTCTCTATCTGGACAATTATTCCTCCAAACCTTCACATGAATTGCTCTCTAACTTCAATTAGGTCTCAGAGAGGGAGGAACTCCCACTATTCTTTCTCTTATTATCATACTTTATTTTTTCTCATCTTCCCAGCTGACATTTTATAAATTTATTTGCTTATTATTTGTCTCCCCCACAAGATGGTAAACAAGTATACATACACACAACATGCACACACACACACACACACACACACACACACACACACACAATCATGATGCCAGGGATTGAGTCAAAGAACGCATCTGAAGGAGAATAATACAATCAGACCCTGAAAATCAGAGCTGACTATATGTTTAGTACAATGGTCAAACATAAAACATAAAATTTTTCTTTAATTTATCAGACTATACTTCTCTAGGATCTTCTCTTCATTGCTCAGTAAATTTACTTGTACCCAAGGCAGGAGACAGATAATATTTTATCTCTGTATCACTGAGAGCATTACCTTTATATTTAAAATAGAAAAAGGATAAATACATTTTCAATTTTATACATGCTTTTAAAAATATTGCCAAGAATAAAGAACAAAACAAATAAATGAGATACTAATTTGAACCTAGTGAGAAGAGGTCCAATTTGAATTAAGGAGAAGTCACAATTATACACATGTTTAAAAGAAACACTTTGCTTTCTTATATAAGTTATCCAGAAAATCTAGCAACTGGCAAAATAACATCCTACATCCTTATAAGCATCAGGATATTACTTTTTTTCTCACAGAGAAATACTGAGATGTCACAATTGAATAAATAAATCTGTTAAAATGTAATGGTTAATTATTTTAAGTAGAAAAGATGGTTATTTAATAATTAGATCCATGTTTTTAAACGTGCACTTTCTATCAAGCAGTCACAATACTTAATACAACACAGAAATTAAAAATTATTCTATTTTAGAAGTAATCAATTTAGGTATGATTTAGAGAAATATAAAGGCTCTAGCTCAAGACGTTTCCTTATCCAAAATCCCACCATTCTTTACCTATCAAATACCACAGGACCCAAATTCCAACTCAAGAATCATTTATTAGACACTAACTTTTCCTCTGATCCTAGAGTAAGGAAGGTTTTACTTGGGATATGCAGGGTTTAGCTCCTGGGAAGAGGTGCTGGAGGCTCTGAATACTGGAAAGTGTCAAGAGCTTTCCTAAGGTCTTTACTATTACTCTTTCAGCGCCAAAACTAGTTCCTAAAGTTGTTTTCTGAACTCTATGACCTCCTTGCTTCATATTCTAGTTCACCCTTCTTGTGGCAGTGGATCTCTCTGCTTCTGTTTCCAATCTTCCCCACAGATACCTTCTTATAAAAAGGGGGAAACTCTGGCATGGAAAGGACCTCTTACAGCAGAGAGAGGTAGGTGGGTGGGTAGAAGGGAGTTTAAGATGGTAGTCGTAGGCACTAAAATACTATCTAATGTATAATCTCTGTTTATCCTTATTAGAATATTTTGGTAGAAAGGCACAATGGAGTTAAATAAGAAACTGTTTTCCAAACAAACAATGCATAACAATTTCAACATTAATTACTTAAGAGTTCAACCTTATTAGGATGTCTAAGTAAACTTAAAATTTCCATTTCCATTTATTCATTTTAACAAATATGTATTGTGTACCTATTACATACCAGGCACTATGACTATTGTAGGGATTATTAAAGTGAAGAAAACTGACAAAACCCCAGCTGTCAGGGAGCTAACACACCTGTATAGGCAGACAGACTATAAACAAAAAAAAAAGCAGTCACATGGTAATAGTGACTCTAGCAAGCCAGGAAAATTATTTTGGAAAATGATTCAAAGGAGGGGGATACAAGTGCACATGCTCTTAGATGGGACTGTGCTTGGCTGACTCCATGTGCAGAAGGAAATCAGTGTAGCTGAAGTCAGTAAGTAAGTGAGCTTTTAAGTTATTCCATTATAAGAGTTGTTTATATTTTCCTATCCCCCCAAAAATTTGAAAAAGGTTTTTAACAGTAATATATTTGTAAAAACCTACAATGCCACAATTCTACAAAACAAAATCCTTAGCTTATATGCCACCATGTTTGATCACTTATTTTTAAAAAATGAGATCAGAAGAAACAACTCTGAAGCTTGTATATTTTTCAGAAAGCTACAGTGAAAAGTAAATATAAAACTTTACCAAATATGCCAGGGTTTATCTTTGATGTTCTCTAAACACAGCAACTGAGACACTTTTACAGATGTCACTGCATCTCTAAGATCCATTTTATTTGCAAAGAATAAGATTGGAATTCGACGGTGTTTAATATCTAAAAGAGAAAATAAGATTATCATCACACTTCCAGCTTTTTAGGTCATTTTGCAGCAAATCTTTAGTACTGAAACCCATGAAATTTTTTTTCAATTATCTTTTTTCATATCACACACACAGAAACATTTAAAGACACATACTGTCACACTGTTAGGCATGTATTTGAGCAGTAACAAAATTTTAAAAATACTTCCTAGGACCATCTGCCCTCTGGTTAGGAGCTTTAACCAAAGATGGGTGAGGTGGGACTGGAGCTCAATAAGCATTACAGAGAAGTACCTACAAAAAAGCATTAAATATTTTGTTTCCTTTTTAATGGTGAACAGAAAGGAGGCAAACTTCAAGTAGAAGTAGAAGGAAAAGAAACTGGGAACTTATTTAAGTTTTTTGTCACAATATCATAAGTAACAAGCTAGATTTTTAAAAGATATTTTTACCTTGTCATGATTTTGGAAACATTTTTCATTTTTTTGAATAGACAATACATTTAAATAGTTCAAAATTCAGAAGATACAAAATGGCATACAGTAAAAGAATCTCCTTCCTAACTTTGTCCTAGGACAATGGTCTCTGTAGAAAAGGCAACCCATAACATCAGTGTCTTGGCATCTTCATAGAAATATTTTATGTATTTGCAAACATAATTATTATATATTATTTTCATATAGCAGGCCAACCTCATTACTTTATACCTTTATCTTTTCATTTATTTACATATCTTGGATCTGATCCCATATCAGTACATATAGAGCAGCTTCTTCATTATTTTAACCGTTCTGGAATATTTCTTCTTTTAGTACTATGTACTATTATTTAACCAGAACCCAACTGAGATACCTGTTACCAATCTTTACAACTATGAACAATCCTGTAATGAATAAATGTGTATATAGGTAATTTTGTACACCGGCCAGTATGTCCTTAGGATAAATTTAAGATGTGGAATTGTTGGGTCAAAGGACATAAATTTCTCTTTTGATAGACAGTGATTACCAAACTGCTTTCTCTTAAAAATTATATCAATTTACACTTCAACAACCACGTATAAGAATGAGTGTTTCCACTCCCCTAGCCAAAAGACTGCTATGAAACTTCTTGATATTTTCCATATCATAGGTAATAGAAAGGCCAAGAATCTTTCCATATATTCAAAAGATGTTTAAATTTATGTTTTTGTTGACTTACCTGATATGTCCTTTCCCCATTTTCTATTAAGCTTTTATATTCTTACTGATTTTTAGAAACACAAGTAGTATAGAAATATCCCTGTAGCTATGATATGAGTTGCAAATATTTTCCCTTGCCTGTCATTGTCTTTATCTGTTCACAGTACATTTTGCTATTCAAAGATTTTTTATGGCCATCAATTTTTTTAAAAAGTTCATATACACTTCAGCTGAGAAATCCCTCCCTTGGGAATCTATCCCATAAAATAAAGGAAGTAGTACATTAAGATCCATAGACAAGGCTTCAGTTGAGGAAATCAAAATCCCCATTGTTTGAAGTATATTTTATAGGAACTATTTCATTTTACTGCTCAACACTGAAACACTTTTTAGAGAAAAACTGGAAAGATTAATATGAAAGGAAGACATAATCAAAAATGCATTATCAATCTAGATACAAGACTGCTAAGTTTTTTGTTTTTTTTTTTGAGACAGAGTCTCCTCCGTTGCCCTCAGTGGTGCTATCTCAGTTCACTGCAACCTCCACCTTCCAGGTTCAGGCAATTCTCCTGCTTCAGCCTCCTGAGCATATGGGATTACAAGTGCACGTGCCTGGCTAATTTCTGTATTTTTAGTAGAGATGGGGTTTCACCATGTTGGCCAGGCTGGTCTCGAACTCCTGACCTCAAGTGATCCACCCGCCTGTAATCCCTCCCAAAGTGCTGGGATTACAGGCCTGAGCCACCACGCCCAGCCAAGACTGCTAAGTTTTTAACATTAAAAAGTCAAATAAAATGTACAGGGCGGATAATTTTTTTTCAAAAATTTCAGTAAGCTTGAGGTCATCTGTTAAAAATACCAAAGATATTGTGGTTAAGCAGTAACATTTATTAGAAAGCCCCACACTATTTCTATTTCATTTCTAACAAATCCACAGTTCTCTTAAACCACCATCCTTTTCTGAAAGTCCTAGCACAAGCACTATTTAAATTTTTTTGGCATGAGGAAGGCTAGAAATGCAGAGTTCCACAATACTTACTGGAGCACTGTTTGTAGTGGGGGCTTGGGCGGGAGGAAAGTATACATCAACAGGTGAATGATTAAATAAACTGTGGTACATTCATAGTAAACCATATTAGGCATCATTAAAAAGAATAACTACATAATTATATATAATTTGATTTGGAAGGATATCCATCATTAAGTGTTAACTGAGAATAGAAACATGCAGAAGAGTGTAAAGAATATGATTCCATTTTGGTAAATAACAATGATAGTCCCCACAGTCCTCAACCCTACAGATATTTTTGGGAGATATATATATATATATATATGAATAAATATGTAAGAAATGCTGTAATTAAACACACACAAACTCAGATACACATAGAGAAATGCATGAAAATATGGTAACAAATAATTTTAATGGGTGTTGAAATACACAGATCTTTATTTTATTTTTCCATCTGATTTTTTTTTTTTTTTTGCTTTGGTACAATTTATGTAATCAGAAAAAAGGGAATTTTTATTTTTGAGGAAATAAATGTTAGACACCCCAAAAACAATGCAAAATGCTTTACATTTACATTGCATGCAAAATTTACAAAATATGGTGATGTACATAAAATATAAATTTTGTATAACATATATGTTTTAAATTCAAAAATTTTAAATGAAAGATAATTACATAGTATAAGCAATACCCAAAGAACAAAACATTACACATAAATGAACCCCAAAGAACAGATACAGACTGAAAGACACACACATACCTGGATGATTCAGAAGAGTATCGAGTTCTTCTTTGGCCACAACCATTCTTAATCTATCACTACTATCAATGACAAAAATAATAGCTTGGCCTTCTCTGTGTAATGTAAAGAAAAAGAAAAATTAAAGCTTTACTTATAAATTTTTCCATGTTTATTATCCATGGGCATTTCCTAACCTAAGTATTATCTCCTTATGTCCTATGTCCATATATCATTAGAATTTTTGGTGTTGTTTCTTATTAGTTTATATGACTGATAAATATATTAATCATTAGTCATATTTCATGTAAAATACCTTTTCATTTGGATAATAAAGTAAATTTAATGACTTGCTACTTCATAATTTTAAAAAATGAGTAATTTTTTCATTAAAATATCAGAATATGAGAAAATGAGTTAAAATACCATAACCCTATTACACCGATGCAATAATTATTAATATTTTGGTATAAAGCTACACTTTGTGTATATTACATATGAATAAACTATATATGTATTTAAAATGGAATCCTGTATTACACCTTGCCTTTGCAATACATATGTAAATTTCCTTGATTTTTTTTTTTTTTACTACTATGGTTTTACTACTACTTTTATAAATTATTTTTACCATAAACCATAGTGAGAAATACATTTTGTATTAAGATACAGTAGACACATAGGTATATATAGATGTATTTTAAGTGAAAGTCTTCTGAAAAAATACTTACAAATAGCTTTTATTTTATTCTATTTGATTTTTTAAAAGCTGATAGCCAGTGATTGAACTAGTTAAGGATTCACCCATGGATCACATAGGCACTTGAAAAATTATTGATTATTCCTCTGCACTATCTTCTTTTAATGGTTCTAAACTATTGCACTGCATGGATGTGTCATCAAATACTGTATCAAACATTTGTTGCTGGACTTTTAGGTTATTTCCAATTTTCATCATTATGAAAAACTTTAAGGCAAATATCCTCCTACATACCTTTCTTTTAAAAAAGTTCTGATGCTTTAAGATTTATTAGAAATGTTAGGAGTAACATTTCTAAGACTACATACATAATTTAAAGTTTTAGAAAAACATTTCCAAACTGTCCTCCAGAAATGCCATATCAATTTACATGACTCAGTACTTTTCTCACTCCTTTGCCAGCACTGGCTATTATCATTATCATCATTCTTTTCAATAATTGCCATTCTAACAGCATATTATCTTGATCTAGTTCATTAATTGCCAATGAGGTTCAATATCTTTTCATATATTTATTGGACATCTGTACTTTTTTTTGCGAATCACTTAATCATAAATTAAGTATTTAAACTGCAATGTGATTAATAATCAAATGATATACAAAATAAAACTTTTTATATACCATTTTCTCCTATCATTAAAAAAGGATAATGCTGATTATCACAGACATACATTACCAGTACATATAGAAACCAGAACAATCAAAGTACCTATCAAGATCTATAAAAACGTTCAATCACTTTGAGCCAGTGATTTTATTTCTGAAATTCATTCTAAGGAATCACGAACTGGGGCTAAGATTTATACAAGATTTTGACTGAAGGACTGTTTACAATTTTCAAAAACAGAATAGCCTTCATGTCCTAGAGTAGAGAAATGGTTAAAGAAATTTTGGCAAAGCTGTGTGAAAAAATATTAGGCAGCTGTTAGTTATATTCATTGCATGTTTTTCCTGATTTACCCTTACCACATGTTAACTGAAAAAAGCAAGATACAAAATTATACATGGTACATAATTTAGATGGTTCCTTTTTCCTTAGTTATATAAAGTATATGTTATATATTTCAAAAGGAGGAGAAAGATACCAAAAAGATTGACAATGGTGAATTTATGAATAGTGAGATTTATGGGAAACATGTTTTCAATATTCTCTTCTATATTTTCCAAATTTAAAAAATGTGTACTCCTTATATTTTTGCATGCTATTACCTTTTTATATTGTAAAAATAGTATGTAAAAATTATATAATATTTAACATTATGGCATCATATAGATGAGAAAGTAAATGTCTCTCTTCACCAAACAGGATGTGAAAAAAAAAAGAAAAGAAAAATAAAAGAAAGTAAACTTCCCTTATAATCCTACTATTCCAAAAATAAATGCTACTAATGGTTTGGTGCATAATCCACTAAGAACTTTCTTCTTTCTATACATAGTAAGTACATATTTATAGCAAATGTAAATTTCCTTGATTTTTTTTTTTTACTACTATGGTTATATATATAGCAAAGATAAATATTTATAGTAACATTTTTACATAATTGATATAAAAATGTTATAAATAATGCTAACATACAACCTTCTATGTATATTTTTTTGCCCATAAGCCCTGGTCATAGAATACTTTTCTAAAAGTAAAAATGCTTGCTGGAGTTTATAAACATTTTTCATTTTAACAGATATCAATAAATTACCCTGAAAAAGATATTACATTCTCACAGGAGTGGCTCACTTTGACAAGAGCATACTTTATTAATCTTTGTAACCTTTTTCAGTCTAATAGATCAAAATGTACTTGTTTTGTTTCACAGTTAGAAAAGTACGAAAATAGGGAAAGTAAATTTACTTTTATTGTTGATTTTTCAATAGTAATCATATTCTCCATTCAATCTACAATGTAACCACTCTATTCTAGAATTCATAAATTTCATCCAAAAACAGTACAAAGAAAAAAGGAGTTAAAATCAAATAAAAACAAAGTTTACTTTCCTACTATTTTCTCTCTATATATATTTTTGTAATTAAAATTAAAGTATTTTTAAAGTAGCTAAATACATTTTTAAAAGGAATTATTTATCAACTAATTGGAGGAGGAATTTAAAAAATCCTGTACTGAAAACTCAGGTTTCCTAAACACACAAACAAATAAGAAACACATAAAATGCATCTCCCCAAGGAATTTAATGCAGAATACCACAAACATGCCACTTTTCCTTTTCCAAACTAACCCTCGAATCTGAAGCACTCTCTTTTCCCTCTCTCTCAGAAGTCTTCTGGACCTACGATTTAAATAGGCCTTCAATTTATTGAAGGACTCATTGAAAAAAAAATTTGAATAAATTTCCTCTGGTTCATATCCCAAATATATACCATTTAATGTTTGGTCTCACATTATTAGGAAAGAGTTAATCTAAATCTAAATCTTATCTGGTAAATATCACATACCATTTCAAGGCAGCAGTTCATAATGACAAAAGAGAGTTTAGTTAAGAGATAGTGTTTTTAAGTTTCAGACTCTAAAAGTGAAATACATTGCTCTTAAATGAAGTCCTAACAATATTAGAAGCTAATGAATTTATTTTATTACCATATGCAAATCTCCAGAAGGTATAACACATTTGGGTCCTAGTAACTTGACAGCTATTAGTCTGAAGTATAGTCATCCCTCCGAATTGGCGAGGGATTGGTTCCAGGATCCCCTTCAAATACCAAAATCTGCAGATGCTCAAGTCTCTTATATAAAATGGCTTAGTATTTGCTTATAACATATGCAAATTCTTCCATATTCTTTAAATCACCCTAGATTACTTATAATACGTAATACAATGCCTACATATGACCTCATTTATATGCTTTCAATACAGTAGTTTGTGCACGGCAATTTAAGTTTTGCTTTTTGGAACTTTATGGCATTTTTCTCCCCAAATATTTTTGATCTACAATTGGTTTAATCCAGGAATGCAGAACCCAAGGACATGAAGGACCAAGTGTAAATTAGTGAGCACTTGACTTGCATATGCTGAAAAATGGCTTGTTTCAAATTATTCATAGAACAATGGATCAACTGTTAGGCAACACTGTTATTTTTAACTAAATTTAGTCAATAATATTTACTGGCCTATATGCTGAGCATCATACTAGGTCTTGAAAAAATAATATGAATAATAAATAATCCCTTCCCTTGAGGAGTTCACACTTCCACTAGGGAGGCGGCTATGGTGCATAACTTCAAGACATGGTAAGTATGATTAGAGAGATAGAAATGGACAAAGTGCCAGGTGAACAATAAGGACAAAATAACTGGGCAGAACAGTGAAACTTCAGAGGAAAGGACTTTTAGCTGAGTTTTAAAGCAGGAATATGTTAACCTTAAACTGAAGTGAAGTAGGATAGAATGGGGCATTAAAAACAGAGAGAATAGTACATGCAAAGGCCCGAAGTCATGAAGGACCTGAAACATTTGACAAACAATGTTGAGTCTCATTACATATTTTTTAAAATAGGAAATGTTCATAAATTACATGAAAAAAAAAAGCCAAACAACCTAGCCATATAATTCTTTGGATTTCTAATCATTATTATTAGTAAAAACCATCTAGTTAAGCAACATTCACAGATGTACTTACTTATAATAGTGTTCCCAGAGATTTCTGTATCTTCCTTGACCTGACATGTCAAACACTGTAAATGACAAACTACAAAAAGAAGCAAAACATGACTACATTATAAACTAAAGCATAACTTTTACTTAAAATTTTAAATTATTTACAATCAAAGAAATTACCCTTCATATGCAATATTCAACATGTGCCAATTTACAAGTAAAAGTTCTATGAAATAAATGTATTAATATAAACACAATTTTGCAATAAATAACATAAAAAACTTCTTTGCTAGTGAAGTTATCAGAGTTTGTCTAAACTCTAAATTCTGAAAAATAAACCAGCCATAGTGGTTAGAAACACTTTAATACCTATGAGATTCTGAAACAACAAATTACTTTATCTAAGGGTAGGAAGAATGACCAGGTAGACCTAATATTGTTATTTTTCACTAGCAACTTTTTTGTTAAGGGATAAAGTGGATTACCTGGATGATTTGAATTTCTCTATGCTGAATCCTATTGTTGGAAGGATATTTTGAGATTGAGCCTTTAAGAGAAAAGACAAAGTTCAGAAATTTACAATTACCAGAGATGAGTTTTCCTCAAGTTAAAGTATCCAGATTTTCAGTTTCTAAAATCTGTCACTAAGGAGATGATAGGATTTAACAAAGTTATATAATTTTTTCAATAGGATCACTCTGTGTGAATTCTTTATAGAAGTTTAAGGTTTACTAATTATGAATCTGCATAATATTAATTCACATTTGTGGCTTGTGGCATGCTACCAAGGACATAAGCGTTTGTTTTATAAGTGGTTTAATAAGTGTTTTTTTTTTTTTTGAGATAGAGTCTCACTCTGTCACCCAGGCTGGAGAGCAGTGGCGCAATCTCGGCTCACTGCAAGCTCCACCTCCCGGCTTCACACCATTCTCCTGCCTCAGCCTCCCGAGTAGCTGGGACTACAGGCGCCCGCCACCACGCCTGGCTAATTTTTTGTATTTTTAGTGGAGACAGGGTTTCACCGTGTTAGCCAGGATGGTCTCGATCTCCTAACCTTGTGATCTGCCCGCCCTGGGCTCCCAAAGTGCTGGGATTACAGGAGTGAGCCACCGTGCCTGGCATACTTTCTAATCTTTCAACACATACGTGAGTTTGTATATGTTCCAGACTGCCCTCATGTGTAGATGGTTCCTGCCTTTATGGAGTTTACAAGCTAGAAGATGTAAATAGAACACAATTTTGAGCAGAGATAAGTGCAAAAATAAATGTTTTGGGGGTGGGAGGCAACAGAAAGGGGCTGGAAGGTGGCATGGAAGAAAAGTGCTCAGGAATGGTCTCTCTGAGTAGGGGCCATCTGACCCAGGAGTGAATGACAGGAGGGGAAGAACCATGACAAGTTATTGACAAAGAACAGTCCAGTCAGAGAAATCTGTCAGTGCAATGATTCTGAGGAAGGAAGGAACTTGCCACTGAGGAAATGCAGAAAGCCTAAATGTCTCAAGTGTATCGGGTAAGATAAAGAGTGATATGTTGAGGTAAGGGCTTGAAGGCAATGGTAGGGAATTCTGCGTGGAGAAGAGATTGAAAGGGGGCTAGAGTACAGCAGGAGACATGTTGACAAATCCCACTGACAATTAAAATGTATTATACTAACAATCTAACTTGTTAAATGCCTCCTAGCACTTTCATCAGAAAAACTATTCCTCTGTTTGAATAAAAATATATCTACTTTCTGATCCAGATGCCTAGAAATTATTATTGACTCCTCCCTTTTTTTTACATTCTTTATGTAATCATTCTCTAAGCTTTTTGGTTCTATCTCACTAACTTAGTTCAGACCCTTATCATTTCTTGCTTTGAATTACTGTACCAGCCTCCTAATTGCTCTTACTTGCCTTTGCTACCTTGAACAAGTTACTTAATTTTTCTAAGCCTGGTTTTCTCAAATGTGAAATATATTATTATTATCCTTTACTCATAAACTTATCATGATAAGTAAATAAGTTAATGGATGTAAAATACTCAACACAGTAAATGCTCAACAAATGTCTGATATTATTATAATTACATGCTCACTGATTTCAGTCTCTTCCCCAATTCTTCCCATATTGTCACTATAACTTTAAAAAAAACTCCCTTCAGTTCATCTTGTTGCTTTTATAAAAAAACAGTATTAGAGGGGAAAATTTTGCCTCACACTATTACATTCACTCTGGTAGTCTACTTCTGGGAAATTTAAATTCAAGGAAAGACAGAAGCTCAAAATTCACTGGAGCTTGGTCACTTTAATAGCATGGTAATGCACTAGTAGAAAGGCCCTCCAGAGCTGCCCTTGTTTTGCCTTTCTGAAGTTTGTTTACTTAGCTTTTTCCTTTTCCTTCTATCCATTCCAAGATCTGATCTAGTATTTTTCCAAAAATATATTTTTGTTTATGTAAGACAAAATTCATTTCCTGCCACTAAGATTCCTGCCTCATACCTTGGGTTTCCTTCATTTCAGAACAACCTTTGCAATAAGAAGTTTCCTAAGTTTTAATGTTCCCCCAACTTCATTATTTTGATTTTAAGGGCTTTAAATGTGCCAATCATTGTGAAAAAATCATCAGCTACTACTATGAGGAAAAAGACACCAATAACAAAATAGGAAGCTAAAGTTTAAAGAAGTCTCAAAAAATGTATATTAAAATAGCAACCCTGTCTTCACTGAATTATAATTAGAACATTTCCCTAGCGTCCCCACGATCACCTAACTTCTTCACAAACTCTTTTTTATTTCCAGAGAAACTTGCTATTTTACTTGTAGGAATAAAATTCATAAATTTTCTTTTCTTTCCATCACTTCAAAAGTTCTAGCAGAAAGTAATCAGGAAAAAAAAGAAACTTCACAAATTAATTAGGGTAGAACAAGATATGTGAGCAATTGCTTCCAGACTGAAGTGGAACTCATTTTCCTCTAACATATTCCAAAAGATAGTTTACAATATCAATCTCCCTCTGCTCTATCCAAGAACAAATACATTTGGTTATTCTGAAAATTGGACAGGGAATGGCACAAAGTAAACAAAGAGTATAGGAATTACAGTCAGCCCTCTGTATCTATAGCTTCTAAATCCACAGATTTAGCCAACATGAATTGAAAATAATAATTTAAAAAAGATAACAATACTATTTAACAATAAAAATATTACAAATGTATAAATACAATAAACACTATTTACATAGTATTTATATTGTATTAAAGTATTATTAGTAATCTAGAGATGATTTAAGGTATACAGGAGGATGTGCATAAGTTATATGCAAATACTATACCATTTTATATAGGTAGGAGGGTGGAAGGGGGTGGGTGGGAATGTGTGTCCTGGAACAAATCTCCTGTGGTTATCGTATTGCCTTAGTGGAACAAAACATTCTGAGACAGTTCAAGGATACACCAACATAAACAGGAACAGAATAAGATTTCTGAGAGAGATCCTATTTGGTTAGTTTCATTAAGTCTGATAAAAATGATATCCTTGGTGGTATCAATCATAATCCCCTGGCCAAAACTAAATATTAAAAAATCATCCATCAATCTACTCATCCAAAGTGCCAAGCATTATTCTAGGTATCTGGGATTCACTGCTGAAGAAGAGAAAAATCTATGCTCGTTTATAATGGGAGAAATTTAATAAGCCAGTTATCAAATGAATATGCAAGTTATCAACTGAACAATTTTAGATTGTTTTAAATTTTAAGAATAAGGGTGGCCAGGCACGGAGGCTCACGCCTGTAATCCCAGCACTTTGGGAGGGCAAGGCGGGTAGGTCACCTCAAGTTATGAGTTCAAGACCAGCCAGGCCAACATGGTGAAACCTCGTCTCTACTAAAAATACAAAAAAAGTAGTGGGGTGTGGTGGCGCGTGCCTGTAATCCCAGCTACTCAGGAGACTGAGGTAGCAGAATCACTTGAACCCGGGAAATGGAGGTTGCAATGAGCCAAGATTGTGCCACTGCACTCCAGCCTGGGTGACAGAGCCAGACCCTGTCTCAAAAAAAAAAAATAAATAAATAAACAAAAAGAATAAGGGTAACATCACCAAAATGAAGTAGAAGCAAGAAGCAATTAGGCTTCACTATCTCCCACAGAAAACCAAAAACAAATATCCAGTACTAAGATTAGCACAAGTAATATCCCTTAAGAAAGGAAGAAAGGAAAAGAGGAGCTACAAAACAAGAGAAAAATTAACTAAATGGCAATAGTAAGTCCTTACCTATCAGTAATAGTATTAAATGTAAATGAACTACATTCTTCAATTAGAAGACACAGAGTGGCTGAATGGATTAAAAAAAAATAAGACCCAACTATGTGCTTTCCACAAAAAACTCATTTCATCTATGAAGATACACACAGGCTGAAAACAAAACGGATAAAGACATTCCATGTAAATGAAAACCAACAAACAGCAAGATTAACTATACTCATATCAGATAAAACAGATTACAAGTCAAAGACTATAAAAAGAGACAAAGTAAATCACTATATGAGGAAAAAGGAGTAAATTCAGAATGAGAATATAACAATTGTAAATATATGTGCCTTCAACATGGGAACACCGTATATATTAACCAAACATTAATAGAGCTAAAGGGTGAGAAAGACTGCAATACAATAACAGCAGAGGACTTCAACACCCCATTCTCAGTAATAGACAGATCATTCAGACAGAAAAATCAACAACAAAAGAAATCCAAGTTAAACTGAACTCTAGACCAAATGGACCTAATAAACATTTATGGAACATTCCATCCAACAGCTGCAGAATATACATTATCTTCATCATCAAATGGAACATTCTCTAAAATAGATCATGTTAGGCAACAAAACAAATCTCAACAAATTTTAAAAGGTAGAAATCATATCAAGTATCTTTTCTAACCACAATGGAATAAAACTAGAAATCAATAATGAGAGGAACTTTGGAAACTATAAAAACACATGGAAATTAACATGCTTCCTAATATTCAATGGGTGAATGAAGAAATTAAGAAGGAAATTCAAAAGTTCTTTGTGATGGTTAATACTAAGTGTCAATTTGATTGGATTGAAGGATGCAAAGTATTGATCCTGGGTGTGTCTGTGAGGGTGCTGCTAAAGGAGATTAACATTTGAGTCAGTGTGCTGGGAACAATCACCTTAATCTGGGTGGGAACAATCTAATCAGCTGCCAGTGTGGCCAGAATATATAAAGCAGGCAAAAAAAAAACCTGAAAAGGCTAGGCTGGCTTAGCCTCCCAGCCTACATCTTTCTACCGTGCTGGATGCTTCCTGCCCTTGAACATCAGACTTCAAGTTCTTCAGTTTTGGGACTCGGACCGGTTTCCTTGCTCCTCAGCATGCAGATGGTATATTGTGGGACTCTGTGATCACGTGAGTTAATACTACTTAATAAACTCCCCTTTATATGTATATCTATCTATCCTATTAGTTCTGTCCTTCTAGAGGACCCTGACTAATATAGATTTTGGTACCAGGAGTGGTTCTAGAGGAACAGAATATTAAGGATGGAGTTCTTTCATTGGTTTTGGGGTTTCTGGAGTTGGCTGCTTAATATGATTAGACCCCAAAATGCTAAGGACTCTACTTTTAATAGTATGGAGAACACTGATAGTCCTTGGCACGAACTGTTTAGAGAGTTATGCAAAATAAATGCATTTGACACTCTTGATTCACTGCTCGTGAGCGGTAAGTAGTTTAGTGACTCTATACATAATACCTTTGACTATATGTGGAGAACCAAGGAACATAATGAAGTTGGTTGGTTGCTCTTAAGTTCACTGGACAAAGTAATGAAAGAAAATTATGAACTCAGGGATTGTAACTCCCAGCTTCAGAAGCACATACTGAGCCTCAAAGCTGCTAAGACTGCCCTGAGTGAGAGTCTTATCTCCTGTAGAGAAAGAGCTGAAATTGTGGAAAAACAGGCACAAGCTCTTATATCAGTTGCTGACCTGCAATGAAAGGTGCATGCACAGCCTCGCCAGGTACCTACTGTTGAAGTGAGGGCATTGATTGGAAAAGAATGGGACTCTGCAACTTGGAATGGGGATGTGTGGGAGGACCCTGATGAAGCTGGGGACACCAAGCTTGTAAACTCTGATGAACCTTGTTTTGCCAGAAGAAACAGCTTCCCCATTCCCAGTAGTGGCAACATCCCCTCCCCCACCCATGCTGCCATCAGCCTTTCCACCTTTGTCTGAGGAGATAAACCCTGCGCTGCCTGGGACAACAGTGATGGCCTCCCCTGAGGCAGTTGCCAGGCAAGATAATGTTGATTCTCCTCAAGAGTCACCCTCAATACCCCCGCCTGCTTCTAGAATCCCGGGGGGATTCTAAACTAAAATCCCGGAATAACTAAACTATAACTAAAATCCTGGGGGGGCCCCAGAGGTAAGGTTGAGAGTGTGATCCATGAGGTGGTGCACTACACTCAAAAAGAACTGCTCGAGTTTTCTAATTTATATAAACAGTAATCTGGAGAACAGGCTCCTCCTACCTTTAAGTCAACAAGCTAAGAAGGGAGTTAGTGTTGGCTGGGGTGACTATCCGGGACTATCAAGATGAAATCAGACTATCACTCCACAACGGAGGTAAGGAAGAGTATGTATGGAATATAGGAGATCCATTAGGGCATCTCTTTGTATTACCATGCCCTGTGATTAAGGTCAATGGGAAACTACAACAGCCCAATCTGGCAGGACTACATATGGACCAGACCCTCCAGGAATGAAGGTTTGGGTCACTCCACCAGGAAAAACAAACAAACAAACAAACAAAAGCAGCACCTGCTGAGGTGCCTGCTGAAGGCAAAGGGAATACAGAATAGGTAGTAGAAGAAGGTAGTCATCAATACCAGCTGTGACCACATGACCAGTTACAGAAACAAAGACTGTAACTGCCATGAGTATTTCCTCCTTTTGTTAAAAACATGTTTGTGTACATATAAACTTGTACTATGAAAATATATTCATTTTATTTTCTTTTTCCTTTATCATGTGACATAAGATTTATTAACTTCATTTCAGCATTTAAATACTGTTGACTTTATGTAATAGCATTTGGGTTGGGGATTGGTATATTTCCGGTTGTACGAAGGATAGTTGTATTATGTTAGGCATAATTATGACCTTATTATTGTCCTTATTTGAACATTATGTATGATCTCAGGAGATGTGTATTGACAAGGGGTGGACTTGTGATGGTTAATACTGAGTGTCAACTTGATTGGATTGAGTGATGCAAAGTATTGATCCTGGGTGTGTCTGTGAGGGTGCTGCCAAAGGAGATTAATATTTGAGTCAGTGGGCTGGGAAAGACAGACCACCCTTAATCTGGCTGAGTACCATCTAATCAGCTGCCAGTGCGCCCAGAATATATAAAGCAGGCAGAAAAATGTGAAAAGGTAAACTGGCTTAGCCTCCCAGCCTACGTCTTTCTCCCATGCTGGATGCTTCCTGTCCTTGAACATCGGACTCCAAGTTCTTCAGTTTTGTGACTCAGACTGGCTTCCTTGCTCCTCAGCCTGCAGACAGACTATTGTGGAGCCTTGTGACTGTGTGAGTTAATACCACTTAAGAAACTCCCCTTTATAGATATCTATCCTATTAGTTCTGTCCCTCTAGAGAACCCTGACTAATACATTCTTAAATGAAAAGGGAAATACAACATACCAAAATCTATGGATACTGCAAAACCAGTACTAACCAAGAAGTTTATAGCAATAAACACATACATCAAAAAAGTAGCAGCCAGGCGTGGTGGCTCACACCTGTAATTCCAGCACTTTGGGAGGCCGAGGTGGGCAGATCACCAGAGGTCGGAGTTTGAGACCAGCCTGACCAACATGGAGAAACCCCATCTCTACTAAAAATACAAAATTAGCAGGGCATGGTGGTGCATGCCTATAATCCCAGCTACTTGGGAGGCTGAGGCAGGAGAATCGCTTGAACCCGGGAGGCAGAGGTTGTAGTGAGCCGAGATCACACCATTGCACTCCAGCCTGGGCGACAAGTGCAAAAATCCATCTCAAAAAAAAAAAAAAAAAAAGTAACAAGCCTTCAAATAACCCAATGATGCACCTCGAACAACCAGAAAAGGAAGAACAAATCTAAACCAAAATTAATAGAAGGAAATAAATAAAGATCATAACAAAAATAAATGAAAGTGAGACTAAAAACATACAAAAGATCAAAGAATCAAAAAGTTGGCTTTTTGAAATTATAAAATTGAGAAGACATTAGATAAACTAGGAAAAAAAAAGAGGATCCAAATAAATGAAATTAGAACTTAAGAATGAGAAATAACAACTGATACCACAGAAATACAAGGGATTATTAGAGATTATTATGAAAAACTACATGCCAACAAATTGGATAACATAGAAGTGGATAAATTGCCGGACACATTCAACCTACTGAGATTGAACTATGGAAAAATAAAATACCTGAACAGGCCAATAATGAGTAAGGAGATCAAAGCACTAATATAAAGTCTCCCATTAAAGAAAATATTAGGACCTGATGGCTTCACTATGGAATTCTACCAAACATTTAAAAAACAAATACTAATTCAACTCAAACGATCCCAAAAAGTAAAGAGAAGGAAACACTTCCAAACTCATTTTACAAAACTGGCATTAATCTGACACCGAAACTAGTCAGGAATACAATGATAAAACTACAGGCCAATATCCCTCATGAACATAGATGCAAAAATCTTCAACAAAATGCTAGCAAAACTGAATCTAACAACCTATTAAAAAGTTCATTCACCATGATCAGTAGGATTCATCCCAGGGATGCAAGGATGGTTCAACATACACAAATCAATATATGAGCCCATAAGATTAATAGTATCAAGGACAAAACCATATGATCATTTAAATAGACGTTGAAAAAACTTTTGATAAAATTCAACATCTCTTTATGACAAAAACTCTCAACAAATTGGATTAAAAGAACCATACCTCAAACAATAAAGGCTAAATAAATGACAAAACCATGGCTAATATACTAATATTATACTGGTGGAGCTAATATACTGAATGGAGAAAAACTAAAAGCCTTTCCTCTAAACCTGGATCAAGACAAGGATGTTCATTTTCACCACTTTTACTCAAAAACAATACTAGAAGTTCCAGCCAGAGCAATTAGGCAAGAAAAATGAAGGTCATCAGTATTGGAAAGAAATAACTCAAATTATCCTTGTTTGCAGATGACATGTTCTTATATTTAGAAAAACCTGAAGACTCTACCAAAAATACTGTTAGAACTGATAAAGAGATTCAGTTAAGTTTCAGGATACAAAAGTCCACATATAAAAATCAGTAGCATTTATATACACCAAGAACAAACAATCTGAAAATGAAATCAAGAAAGTAATCCCATATATAATAGCTATAAAAAATATAAAATACTTAAGAATAAATCCAACCAAAGATCTCTACAATTAAAACTATAAAATATTGATAAAAGAAATTGAAGAGGACACAAAAACATGAAAAGCTATTCTATCTATGCTCATGGATTAAAAGAATTATCACAGTTAAAATATCTATACCACCCGAAGAGATTAACAGAGTCAATGCAATCCCTATCAAAATACCAATAACATTCACAGAAATATAAAAAGAATCCTAAAATTTATATGAAACCATAAAAGACCCCAAATAGCCAAAATAATCCTGAACAAAAAGTACAAAGTTGGAGGTACCACACTATCTGACTTCAAACTATACTACAAAGCCATGATAACCAAAACAGCATAGTTTTGGCATAAACACACACACACAGACCAACAGAAGAGAACAGAGAAGCCAGAAATAAATCCATGTATTTACATCCAACTCATTTTCCAAAAAGACATCCAAGAACATACATTGGGAAAAGGATAGTCTTATGATGCTGGAACACTGGATAAACACATGTAGAAGACTGAAACTAGACCCCTATCTCCCACCATATACAAAAGTCAACTAAAAATGGATTAAAGACTTAAATCTAAGACCCAAAACTATCAAAGTACTAGGAGAAAACACAGGGAAAATGCTTCAGGACACTGATTTGGGCAGTAAGACCTCAGAAGCACATGTAACAAAAGCAAAAATAGACAAATTGGACTATATCAAGCTACAAAGCTTCTACACAGCAAAGGAAACAATCAACAAAGTGAAGAGATAATCTACAGAATTACAGAAAATATTTACATAATATCCACTCAACAAAGGATTAATAACCAGAATACAGAAGGAACTCAATTCAGTAGCAAGGAAAAACAAAACACAAAAAATCTGACTAAAAAAATGGGTAAAAGATCTGAATAGACATTTCTCAAAAGAATATAGACAAATGGCCAACAGGCATATGAAAAAAATGCTCATCATTATTCATCAGGAAAATATATATCAAACTACAATGAGATATTATTTCACCCCAGTTAAAATTGCCTTTATCAAAAAAGGCAAAAAAATAATGAATGCTGGTGAAGATGTAGAAAAGGGGGAACTCTCGTAGATTGTTGGTGGGAATGCAAATTAGTGTAGCCACTATGGAAAACAGTATAGTGTTTCCGCATGAAACTAAAAATAGAACTCCCATAAGATCCAGCAATCCCACTGTGGGAATATATCCAAAAAAATGGAAATCAATGTATCAAAGAGATACCTGCACTCCCAAGTTTATAGCACCACTATTCACAATAGCCAAGATATGGAATACACTTTTGTCCATCAATGGATGTATGGATAATGAAAATTTGGTACATATACACAATGAAATATTATTCAGCCATAAAAAAGACTGAAATCCTGTCATTTGCAGCAATATGGAGAGAACTGAAGGTCATTAAGTTAAGTGAAATAAGCCAGGTCCAGAAAGACAAGTATCACATGTTCTCACTTGTTTGTGGGATCTGAAAAAGTAGATCTCATAGAGACATAGAGTAGGTGGTTACCAGAGGCTGGGAAGGGTAGGGCGGAGAGAGGGGTGGAGAGAGGTTCATTAATAGGTATAAAAATACAGTTAGATAAAGGAATAAGACTTAGTGTTTGATAATTCAGTAGAGTGACTATAGTCAACAATAATTTACTGGATATTTCAAAATAGCCAGAAAAGAAGAATTAGAATGTTCTGAACATACAAAAAAGATAAATTTTTGAGGTGATGGATATCCCAGTGACTCTGATTTATTATGCATTGTATGCATGTATCAAACTATCACATGTAACCCCTAAATTTGTATCAATAAAAAATGATATAAAAACTGGATGATGTGACAATAAAGATTGGTAGTGGAATAAAGATTGAAATTTTTGAAAAAGGTATATAGAGTCTATCTCTAAAAAAATGACAGCTAAGACTAGATTCTTGAAAAAAGCGATCAGATTAAAATGTCCTCCCTCTCTCCCTATTCTAAAATGCCAGCAACCTCAGTACATTAACAATAAATAAACATAAAGATAGCTTAATATGAAAAACTAGTTTGTGTCCAGGAAAGAACTACTTACCTAGAAACTGATTTTATCCACAAAAATGAGACAATTTTACTATAAAATGAGATGGGCACTATTTTTTTGCAAGGCATTTCCTATCACAGCATTGTACATTTCTGTACTTATTTTATTTAATTCCTTAAAAATAATGTTCTAGTAGTGGATGTAAGCTTACAAGAGACTCTTCTTGAGCTTGGTGTAGGAAGGGAGCAAGTGTTGTATCTACATCTATAACTGAGTGACAGAGGTTTGAAACCCCTCAAGAAGTCCCATTTCAAGTGGCTCCTTGGCTGTTACCATTACCATAAAAAAAAGAAAAAAAAGCAAAGCCAATCACTTTTCTCTGGACCTGGAGGTCAGTTTTTCTGATAAGGCAGGAGAGTTGTCCAAACATAAAGGCTCAGGAATTGGTGCCAGAAATTAGGAAAGCCCTATTAGATAGGCTTTCTTTATATGCAGCAGACTTTAACTTTAACTTATACATCACATGTTAAATGTGCTAGCTTTATATATTTTTCAGTTATTACAATATGTCCATACACTTGTTGCTTAAAATCATCTTGCTTACTATTACTAATATGCATACTATACTTTCAAAAATTGTCTAATTATCCATAGAACCTATAAAAATGTTTCACCTTTCTCTGTTTTGCTCCTCCTGTAAGGAGGAAACTAAAAAGAAGGCAATGACATTTAAAGTAAACTCAGTAAATCTGTGAAGAACTTTTGAAAGAAAAGACATTTGAAAATAATATTCCAGTTTAATAATTAAAATTTACTGTGTAAAATATACTGCAAATTATGGCTGAGGATACTTAAAGGTACTGAAAGGTTAACAGAATATCTTAATGTGATTATATGCGGTTTTAACGTCATATAACATAATTCTGCACATTAATTTTCTTTAGTAGCAGAAAATACATAAAGCATCTAACAAAGATACTTACATTTGAAGGTTTAAGTTTGTTAATGATCGTCGTTTTGCCACTATTATCTAGCCCAAGGCACAAAACATGAACCTCCTTCTTCTTCAGGCCAAGCAAGACTGAAAGTCTGTCTAGCAATCCCATAATGTGATTCAAATATTTACAAACCAGCTGCAATTAAGAAAAAATAAAATATTACCCAAAGGCACCTTAAGTTATGGAAAATATTGGTAGGTGTATTAAAAAAAGGTAATAATTTAAATACACATAATAATAGTGTGAAAACTATGTCAATGTAGCTTTGCACTTAGTAAACACAGTGTAAGCTGATTACCAGAAAGGAGCCTTAACTGACACGCAGATTTGCAGCTTATAACAGGTGGCAACACAGAACAATGCCTTGGAAATAACAACATTTCTCTCTGTAATTTATCATATTTAAGAATAAAACATGGTCAGCCTCAGTATCATTTGGAGTCTGCGAATTGTGATACTTGAAAATATGGAAGAATTAGGCCGTAGCCTTTCCAGAAAATCTGAAACAATGAATGGGCAATGGGGTTCATGTAGAAGGCAGAAAGTAGAAGGCAGATCTGAAAAGCAGACAGATTTTGAGATTTTGGTGATATCATTTAAGCCACTGTTAAATCTTTATCAGAAGCCAGCCCCATTGTTATATTTTGTAATAATATGAAGTTACAATAAATTCACTTTTTTTTTGCTTGCTTGGTTATTTCCAGTTTAAGTAGGGTTTTCTCTCAGTAGAAGCAAAGAATCCTGAAATACTTATCCTTATTTCCCCTTATCCTATACATACATCTTTGTAAGTCACCACAAATCCCTTTGTGAAGAAGGTTATGCATAAATACATACACACATTCAATTTATTGAACCTTACTAAATATCTGTTTTTTAACTGTAACTTATCTGAAACATCCTCCTAAGTGCTATTTTAAAAGGACTTTATCGTATTAGTATAGAATAAGGAAGTAAATACTGATTGTAGATTTTAATTTAGTTTTTTAAGTATCTTAAAAATTTCTTTGTTAACTTGTCCCTAAAGTGTTCATTTCTCTTGTTCAATTGTATTGATTCTTTGAAAAAAAAATTCTTTCTAATGCAAACTTAAAAAAAAACTATCAGCAATCCAAAAATAGAAGTATTTGGAAGTCAAATAAAACTGCTGTGTACATAAAACTTGCTATGTGGTAACTTTATGGCTGTTTATATTCATCTAAGGTACTGTTAAATTTACACTTCAGGTCTCCAAACTAAACTTTTCAAAGGAGCTCACTTTGGGTCCATTGCTCCCCAAACCATTACTTTGTGGTAGAAGGACAGGGAGATAGATCCCTTTTTCCAGCCCCCAACTGCTGCAGGAACTGCTACAATATATCTATGTACCAAATATTTCTCATTACTCACCAACATTAGTTCTCTAATGTTTTTATTCTCATTAAATTGACTTATTCTCATCTCCATCTAAGGTTGCATAAGCAACCTGTCATATTACAGTTTCTTCAATACTTTTTATTCCATACAATTTCAGGCAAGGCCATACCTTGAAGGATGTGAGGCTGCAGCAACTTTATCAATAACAGGCTTCCAAGACAACTGTATCTAAAAGGAGGTTGCATAGTCAACATTTTGCTTAGGCCTTTTGGGATATGATTATGGGTAGAAATTTCAAAACTAAATTTCAGTGATGTGCAGAGAAGAGATGGAACAGTGCCATGCCAAAAGGTGAGGCCTATTACAGAACCACGTTTGTCTTTCCCCAAGGATGAGTTTGACCTCAGGTACTTCCATTTGTGCCACTTCAATCTGCTTTTCTCCTTGTATCAGAGATTCAAATCTTATTCAGTCCATTTCTTTAAATTACAGCTTAAGGACCAGCATTTGTAAAATCTATTTTAAATTAACCTTCTGATGTCATGAAGCAATTCACACATACCATTTGATTTCAAAGTAAATTTGCTATTACTCACTTTATTTACTGCATAAACATATTGATATAAATGCTTATATCTTGTTCTCCATTTCATAATTTAGAACTTATGTTTTAAAAACGACAACTTCTCACATTTTCCCCCCTTTAAGCATCTACTATAAAGCACTGAGTGTTTAAAGCCTGATGCTTGAATATTCGTTTTTCACAGTACCTTGTATTGTGACTTTCCATCACTTTTCCATGGATTATCACTTGATACTTGTTAATGAAATATTTTGGGACACACAATTTAGAAGAGCAGGCAGTTTTTCTAAAAGAGGTAATCACATTTATTGAAATTGCTTTATAAACAACTATCATAGAGCCTTTAAACTTCTACGTTTCAAGTAGTTATAATTTTCCTTCCATAAGTTGACTTTCTGCATGCATAAATAAAAGATAATTGAAGCCAGTCAATATTTGTTAATCGTGTCTTAAGTGTGCAGCGAGAGACACAACTGTTTTCTGCAGCTTCCTACTCTGATAGCCATGATTCTCAACCCTGGCTGCACTCTGAAATCAATTGCTGAATCCGAATTTTTGAAAATAAGATCAGGGCATCTGTAGTTTTAAAAGCTACCCAGTGTTTCTGATGTGAAGTTACTATTGAGAACTACTGGCTTTCAGAATAAAGCCAGTAGTTTCAAACTTCCAAGCACAGCTTTTAAGGTTGTCCACAATCTGGCTCCAATCTTCCTTTCTTGTTTCTTATCTTACTGTAACCCTCTCTTTGCACACCAGCCAAATTCTCTTGGTTATTGTCTGACAGACTGTTTCCTAAAGGATTACATATTGCCAGAGAAGTCCAGAAGAATTAGGATGTTATCCACAGTTAACAGCTTAGAGGGTAAGCTGCAGAGACAGAGTGGTAGCCCAGAGAAAACACCACGAATGATACTTAGTAAACTCTGTAAAGTGTTTGTTGATTGAAATGTTGCCTACTTTTATTACCCCAAATAAACATTCTTATTCGGCTTTCAGTTTTTTATGATATAATTTAAATTACACTTACACACACACACACACACACACACACACACACACACACACCCCCAATACACGGGTCTAAGTTGAGCATTGTTAAAACCCATCAACCAAACATACGTCCAAACCAGTTTAGTAAGTTTTCTAGGGCCTCTATAACTCACCTTCTTTTCTACTTCTCATACATTAGCAACAACTACACGCGTGGAGTGAAAAACATGGGAAAGACCAAAGAGGAATTCTAAAACTGACGGGGACAGAGGGTGGCGCTGGCTTTAAAAACCGGCGTTGAGGAGATACCTGGTTTTTGAGGTTAGTCCGGAGGGCGCAGGAGCTGGCAACAGGAATGGACGCACTCGTATCGGTCTCCGGGATGGAAATCTGGTGCGAGGGTCCCTCAGCCTTCTTCTCGATGCCTACATGGGAAGGATGCCTGGTAATGAGCAAAGCCGTCTCTAGAAGTTGGGAAAACCGGCAGCCTCTGCAGCAGTCTGTGCATCAGTCGCTGAGCAGGCGCCTTGGCAGGCACCGTTCCCTTGGCAACAGGAGCTTCTTCCGGTCCTGAAGCCACGCCTCCCCGGGGGTCCTGGCGATTCAGCCGTTGTGCTATAGCTTCTGGGATTGAAGAGCTCCGGGAAAAGGTCAGAGGCGCGCCGAGGAACTATACATTGAAGAAAAATGTGTGCACAGGTGGCAGGGTGAGCTGCCTATTTCCTGCGAGGAGCCGGGCAGTTCCCGGCGTAGCATCATGGGAGTTGTAGGCTCGCGCACAGCTTTCTGGGAAGCGTTTGGCGTTCGCGTGTGCTGCGTGTTTGTCGCTCGGCCCTGGTCTTCCTGGGGATCCAAGAGGCTGGCGCTGGGTGTGGCGCGGAGAGTGTCGTTACCGGGCACCAGCGTAGCGTTGTGGCAACGACTGCAAGACGATACTGTCCCCCCTGGGGCAAGATGTGCGCCGGAGTTCCCCAGTTGCCCATCGCACCGACTCTTCTCTGGGTTCTGATAGGCCTCCCACCCTGAGTCCCTGTAGAGGTAAAACTGTTAATACAGGAAGGTAGAGGGGAGAACTGGTGTAAAAAGTCAAAAGGTGTTATTCGGCTAATAAAGTATGCCTGTACCCCTGCTTCTTAGTTGTGTGGTCTCCCGAAGAGATTTCTACCAGGCATAATCTCCTGTGAGTAGATTACAGTCTCCAGAATCAAATCGGCAGGTGGTCAGGAAAGGTATTAATAGTCAATACTTAAAGTTGACCACCTTCTTAAATTGCACTTGGATTTTATAGTCATAGTCACAAATGGTCTTCAAATAGAAAATATTTAGGCATACCCTTCCCCACATCTTTTATTACTGCGTTTTCCAACGGACACATTACAGATGCAGTCATTTTAAAGATCTAGCCTTTCAATCTGCCCAACTCCACTAACCTCACCCCCAGCGAATGGCCTCATTCTTCAAATAGGGGTTTGTATCTCTTCATTTTTTTTGTTTGCATGGGTGTAGGATTTCCGACCCCCTGCCCCCCACCGCGCGACCCTTTTCAACTAGCTAGTGTATGTTTACTGCACTGCCTGTTCTTTGGCCTGTCAATTCATTTGGCCTATTAAATGGACTAGGAGGGTGCAAAAAGAGACTAGAAGGAATTATTTCAAAGTAATATGGTAGGGGGGACGGTTGTAAGCGTGTGATTATGGGGTGATTTATCTTTTGTCACTTCTCCAAATTTCCAAATGTAATTGTCATTTTTACAGCGAAAAAACAAAAGCGGCTCTGGATTAGTGATTCTTGTTGAAAGACAAAAACAAAACAAAGACCCTATGGATGCATATCAACATATAAATGTCCTTGTAAAAATGGAGTATGGAAATACATTCTTTCTTACTGTGTGGTCTTAGCCCAATTTACCCTTCTCCGTGCTTCTATCCTCACCTTCAAAAATATAGTATTTATCTTATCTGGTAGTTCTGAGTATTAAAGATAACAGAAATACAGATGTTTGGCACATATTTATTGTTCAATAAATAATGTCCTGTCTTCTTTTGTCTTGAGCTTTTTATTGTGTAAACAAAATTGACCCAAACCGTAACTATGGTGGTTCTTTAACTTCTGAACTTCTAATCGTGAATGCATTGACAGGGAGGTGTTGAACACTTTTCTGTGTGCCTGGGTGTTGTGACTTACTTGTAAGAGATGGAAGCTAATGTGCTTGCGGCCAAAATATAACATTTTTTTTTCTTAGCGATCGGCAGAAATGTTATATTTCAGAAAACTTTCATGGACAGACTCAATTTTTCCTGCTAAAAGTTGATATTTTCTGCCTCTAGGTTGAGTTCATCTCTTTTGGCTTAATATAAAACATTTGGTGAAAACTGGAAATAAAATGGACATATTGAGCATCCAACTTTTCAGGAAAACAAGGCAGATAGATAATTCTTCTACAAAAATGTAGCTAGTCAAATCGTTATCTTAGATAAGTATAGTTGATAGATGGCTTATTACTAGAGATAAATGTTATGAAATAAAGCAGTAAAATAATCTAGAAAAAAATGTTAGCCTTGAAAATATTAAACTTAAAAAAACATAAAGGCTGCCAGGCCCGGTGTCTCACGCCTGTAATCCCAGCACTTTGGGAGGCTGAAGCAGGTGGATCACCAGGTCAGGAATTCAAGACCAGCCTGGCCAACATGGTGAAACCCCATCTCCACTAAAGATACAAAAATTAGCCGGGTGTGGTGGCACGTTCCTGGAATCCCAGCTACTCAAGCGGCTGAGGCAGGAGAATCGCTTGAACCGGGGAGGCAGAGGTTGCGGTGAGCTGAGATTGTGCCATTGCACTCTGGCCTGGGCAAAAGGGTGAGACCCTGCACTCAAAAACAAAACAAAACAAAAAACATAAAGGCTGGGCACACTGGCTCACACTGTAATCCCACCACTTTGGGAGGCTAAGTAAGGCAGGAGGATCTCCGGAGGCCAGAAGTTGGAGACCCCATCTCTATTAAAAATAAATACATATAAATATTTCATATGGTTGATTCTGCTGTTTTGGTGCTTTGTCAACTGAAACTCCTCTCACGAGTACATTCAGAGGCTGAGATACAATTGTTTCGCTTGATTTAAGAAGTTAGTTTGACTCTTTTTTATTATGACAATAACAAGCTTTAAAAATGCTACGTGATTTTCTTAAAGCCACTTAACCATAACAGAAGATAATTTTAGGTACCTTCTCACCAGTTTTAATTTCATACTGGCTTTTAGAACTGTAGTAAGAAAATTATAAAAAAGAAAAGAGTCAGATATAATGAACACAGCACTGTTCTGATTAATTCAGGATACTTTAGCGTTATTTTCTCACCAGCAACTTTTAAAAGAATATAGATAATCCCTGATTTATAACTTACTGCAACTTTTTGGTGTAAACTTTGGTCTAAAGCTGTGTTTCAACAGTTGATGTTATGTGTACCCTTTTTTCATCTGCAATTTCTGTGCAGTACTGCCTCTGCAATGAACACTTTAATTTACTTGAATCTCACAAAATATTTTCCAATATAAAATCGCTACAAAAATATTTACTAGTTTTTTATAGTGATTTCTGTGAATTTATGTCTAAACCTAATGACATTATTTAAAAAATTTACAACTATGATTTTGCATCCAGAATTACTAAATTATCTAAACAGCATCTAGATTTATTAGACCAAAAAATAAATTGCATTAGATCTGCATAAATACAACAATACAAAAAAGTCACAAATTCAACCACCAAAGCTGTAACTTTTATTTGCCAATAGATATTTTAATAAACAGGCTTACTCCATCTGTAAGACCCTGATAATGCCTCTTAGGAAATCATAGAAAAATAAAATACAATAATTAGTAATTTGTACCTTGTACAAAAATCTTATTATGTTGCTCAGCAGGTAGTTTGCTAAACAGCATATTCTTTCAGCAAATAGATGACATATGTTATGCAATTCACCACAAACAACCCCTCATATTGAGAGCTGAGCATTCTATAACACTATTAACTTGTAAGCATGCCAGCACATGAAAATTTACATGGAAAGTTATTAATATTATAGTAGATTTTTGTAAGATAAAAATAGTACCACCTTCAAATAAGTCTGGACTACTTCACTGCTATAGTAAAGTAGATAATAGGTAGGATTGCAGTTCAATTGTTAACACCTTTTTACCTTGTTTATAGCTCTACCATATTGTGATTATAACCAGAAAAGAGAATGTAGGCTGTGTCAGGAACCTGAGTGGAAGGCATATATTGAAGCTTTAAATGGTGACAGAATACTAAAGAGAAAAACATAAAACAGTGCTATACTTCCCTATTCTCATAGATAAATCTTTTTCCCCTTTTGTAAGAGCAGATGGGTACAGAGTTAAATCCTTAATTAATAATAAATAGCTTCATGACAAGTTACAATGATGCTTTAAAAATCATATTTGTACTTATAGGGAGGGAAATTATTTTTAGCTGTCGTTTTTTATTAGTCAAATATAGCTCTATGAGGGATTAAATATCTCAACCTAGACATGTTATCTAGGTATTTTATATAAATATGCTATTTAGTTTGCATATACTTCAGGATTTGTGCTACAAAGATTTTATAACATTTTGAGTGCACTGCAATTGTTGATATCATCTACCATTTAAAATTTGATGCGGCCATTTAAAATTTAAAGTGTTTAATCAAATACATATGTATATGTACATCTATATCTTTATATTTTTGGCTATGCTAGAACAGCAAAAAATGGAGAGCAATCTCCATTATTCACAATCTAATTTCACATCAAATCCAAATAATAATGCATCTTTAAATTCCAACATATTGAATTACATACAACCTAGAGAGATATATATACACACATACACACATACATATGTATATATACATATGGTATATATACATATATATAATATATATATATATATCTCCAGAAACAAAGCACCAAGCACAATTAAAAGATCACATTCTTCCTATAGGATAGAGGGGCACAATGAACAACCAACCATATTGCCCATGTGTTTTCCGTAAATGACAGAAGGCATTGTTTTCCTATATGAAAACAAAATAATTTTTACTAAAAGATTAGTTCCTGTTTGTCTTTTATTTTAAAATTTACATGGGACCTCAATACCCTCCCAAATCGTGTTTGAAAAAAGTGACAGGTTGATTATGCAATATACATCTTTCAGGATTAAGCTAATTTTAAGTTTGATAGGCTTTGCATTATAACAGATTAGCTACAAAATGTTTCTGCCTTTTAATCTGTAATAGATGAAAATAAGGAAAACAGTATTTATGGCATTGAGAAGTTCTCAATCTCTACATTATGGAAAGGACTCTTACCAGAGTCCTTGGAAACCACAGAATTCAAAGTTTCGGGTCTTCCAATAAGATGTCTCAAAAATATTTAGTAAAGATGCCTTTAAAATATTTCATCAAATATATATTCACTTTCCTACTATCCAACTACTTACATATGTCTCTTCCAACCTATACGTCCTTCCCATCCTGCATATTGGCTTTTATCTCATTCTTGGTAAAATTAAAAAAAAACTTACGTAGTGACATCCTTCCCTTTCTACCACAAATATACCAACCTATTTGCACATTACACATTCTGCCTTCCTTTCATTGGAGTTCTATATTCCGGCACCTATCAAAAATTAACCTCCCTACTTATGCTTTAAATCGCAACCCCTCTATCTCTCAAGGCCTTTGTTACAATTATCATCTCTCTTGCATAATCAGTTTTCCCCTGTCTGCCAAGTCATTTTCATTAGTAGATAAATATGCTGTAGCATCCTTAAAAAACAAGACAATTCCTTGACTTCCTTTCTCCAGCTATTATCCTATTTCTCTTGCTCCCTTTACATCAAAGCTTTTTGAGAGAGTTGTTTATAGATAGTGATTTCACCTCCTTCCTTTACATCTCGCCTTAATCCATGTCAGTTGGGATTTGACTCCACTATTTCATAGTTGATAGTTGACTCCACTATTTTCATAGTTGATGACCTTGTGAAGGTCATCAACAACAACAACTTCCATGTTGCTAATTCCCATGGACATGTCTTTGTTCTAATCTTGACTTCTTAAAAGCATTTAATCCAGATGAGCAACTGCATTTCCTTTTTCTCTAGCTTACTTTATACTCCATTTCTTCTGTTTAATTCTAATTATCTGCCTATTAAACATTGGAATAGCATATAGTGCAATCCTAGGCCTACCTCCACAGGCTTTTCCTAGGTGATTTCCAAACTTTAAATAGCATATATATACTGATGCCTTCCAAATCTTGAAGTAGTGAATCCACCACGTTTTTGCTGGAATTACTCCAGTAGCCTCATGCGTATACCTTCTCCTCTTTTTGCCTCATTTCAGTGTACCAAGAACACTGTTCTCTACTCTCCAACACTCCAAATTTTCATTCATTAACTATCCCCCTCTGCTTGTAATTTCATTCATTAAATTTTCCCTCTGCTTGTAATGCTCTTCCCCCATATCTTCTCATGGATGCTTCCTTCATGCTTTTCAGATATCAGTTTAAATGGCATGTCCTTGGGGGAAGATTTCCTCTACCGCTTAAAGGAGCCACAGTCATGCTATGTAACATTTTTAATTATAAGCACAGCACATCACTATTTCTTCATTGTGTGTCTTTATCACTAGAAGGTCAATTCCATGAGACAGGGACTTTGCTTGTCTTGGTCACCATGTATCCTCAGTGCTTCGAACAGGACAATGGTACATGGTAGTGTTCAATAAACAGTTGAATGGAGTGAATGGACTTACAGATAAATATATTTTAAAGGTATGTCAGTATATGTATATATATGAAAATTTAGGAATTATACAATTTTGGACCAGTAAGGAGACATGATCTCCTTTAATTTGTTGTTGCTACGGTTATATTTGTTATATAGTTTAAAGAGGTAAACACTAAGCTTTGACTGATATTTTTGATTGTTATATTATAGATACCTTATTATTGCATTTAATGGTAGAGTGATCAAGGTTGTAAGGTAGGGAAAACGATTATTTTGTTTTCTCAAAGGTTTTTGGAAACTCTGAAGAAAATAAGCAGATTACACGTAAATGGAGTAGCTTTTCACTCTTGTTTGAAGTATCCTACTTGGTAAGATTTTACAAACTGAATAAGCAGTAAGTAGTGAGAAGTAACTATAAAAAATATATGTTCTTTTTTTGAATTTATAACATCCAGTGGAGAATTTTCATTTTGTATTTCCATTCATGAGAAGAGTTTGCTTTCTCTAGCAAATTTTAGGGGATATCAGACTAATATTAAATAAAAGAAGAATAACTTCAAAAAGAATAACTTCTAGCCACTGTGCTATGACACTTGGTTTCAACTTATTTGAGAGTTGGAAACTTTCAAGCATAATGAGACTGAATGGAAATATAAAAAATACAATGGCTCTTTTTTAAAATACTTAAAACAACTGGAAAGAGAAGGCAATCTTCTTGAAAGAATGTAAGCATTTAGAGATCAAAACATATTATATCACATAAAATTAATATGTAAGTACTATGTTTTTAAGCATTTAAGAGTATGTGTAAAATTAATATAACTGCTTAACAAGATAAATTGATGCTAAAAGACGGTATCAAGTAAGTTCCTTTTTTATGCATCTTTATATATACTATTTTTATATTTAATGATGGCTGGAAAAAAATCTCTTTATTATCCATGGGATAATTTATTAATATGTTTAAAGTGCTATGGCAGTCCAATATTCAATGTATTATTATTTGAATTTTTTGGCAAATTCTTTGATTATATATGTCTTGGAAAACAAAGGATTAATAATATGGAAATGTTAAGAATTTTGATGACTTGTTCCATTACAAAACATTTTTAAAATGAACTTTTTCCTATTTTTGATATTTTGATGACATTTCTTTCTAATTGTATGTATCAATACATATTTTAACAACTATTAGTGTACTCATTTATATTAGAGATTCCCATCCTTGAAATGCACTTTAGTTTCAAAATTACCAGTAAGAGTACTGTGACATACTTTTTATTCACTCTTTTCTAACAGTTTTTAAAATGAGGTAAGTAACAATTTTAAAACAAACTCCTCTTTGTACTGTATTACCTTTTAGTGTTTTCCTTAATTTTAGTGGAACTTAGTCTGTTGCCATGTTCTGCATTCTTGCTTTGCCTCTGATTTTTTTAAAAAATGAGGTTACTATAGCACGTATACCATAATTAACATTTTAAGAAACAAAGACTGTTAAAAATTATTCCTTCAAAATTCAAAATTAAACTGTCAAAGTTTTCACTGTACACAAAATTAAAAATAAGTATGATTATGTAAAATATCCCAAAGATATTTATATCCTGTATATATTCAATGTTTTTCAATGTCACAATCCAAGGTGGAATGTGACTAACAAAATGAATAATAATGTATCCAAAATCAAGCACACACCATAATCTTTACATCAAATGTTACTCATGTTCATATTTGTTAACACTGCTCAGATATTGTGTCCTGCTCGCTCCCCAAAATGCTCCCATTTCACATTTTGATTTTTTTTACTCTAAGAGGCCTAAAAACCATAAAATTTTATCAAAGCTACATTTTTTTGGTAAGAATAAAATGATATTTTTGCATAGTATGAATATATTAATACATTTTTCTTTGAAGACATATCTAGCATGGGAAGAAAGAGTACATTAAAATAAATTCCAAACTTCAATGACAAACATTTATACACATTAAACCTTACTTTCCATGCAGAGCAGCAATTTTGAAAAGCTCCAATCATTGTTTATTAACTATGTATGATATTCAGCATTGTCTTAAAGATACTTTGAGGTTATTGCAGTAATAGCTCTTGATAATATACCAATGGATATTTAAACAAGTTAAATTTAACAATGAGCATATCAATCACATTGACAGAAAAAAATAGCTTGTTCAGTTACAAGTTTGTTAGCAAGTTATTGGCCATTGATTTTTGTTATAGAGCTTCTAAAGGCTACAATTTTGAGCAGACTTATTCTGAAGACAAAAACAATATGGTAATAAATAAAGCATGCACAGTCAAAGAAAAACTTCCTCATGACTTTAATAATTATATTACTGGGTAGATGAGAATTCTAAAGATAGCAAAAGTTACTACTTTGAAAAATAAACTAATATGAAGAATTATATTATGGCTTCTCTAAGTGAATGAAGATGTGTTTAAATGTAAATTTAACAAAAGCAATTTCTATCTAAATGCATACAGTTCATCCTACAAATTACTAAAGGTAGGAAAGAGATTTTTAATTATAAAAGCAGTGGAAGAGGACATTTTACTTACGGTAAAAATCTTAAAAGTGTAGTGTTTGCCTATCTTTACAAATTAGCATTCTTCTCCCTATCATGATTTTGAAAAATTAAATGATATTGAGTCTTTATAGAACAGAGCCAAATTAAGACTGTTCTAAGGATGAGCTACAAATGTGGAAAAACTTGTAGAGAAATGTTCACATCAATTTGCTTCTCATGTAAGCTCATATTGAACTCATGAAACAAAGATATCTATCCTCAGTTACTAATACCTAAATATACAAATTGAATGGAATATATGAAAAATGATTCTTATATCCTTGGAATTTTTTCTATAATAATGTATTATTTTGGGATAAAGATAGTTCTCACTTCAGCGAGGGATAATGAGATGGAGACCCTGTTACTAACTAAATAGGAATCCTGAATTAGAGTTGTCCTCCTTTTATTATTTTGTAGAGCACCCTATCTATACTTGTATCTCAGTTGTTCTGATTTGTTGAGATTATAACTTATTATCTAACCAGAAATGAGTTTATTATGACAAATTAAAAATGGCCAGAGGTCACAAATAATGCAGAAAATACAAGTAAGAACAGTTTTACTTAAGGGAAGATTTTCACTAATTCTGATACTTTTCTAGTTTACAACTCCTGAGAAGATTGTGTTGTTAATTTATACCTTATTTTTTAATTAAATATAGAAGCCACATCTTTATTTAACATTTAAGAGCTACTTTTCCTCCTCATCTGTCAAGTGATTTTTCTTTAATACCTTTGTTATTCTGAGGAATGAATTAGTTGTGTCTAAGGGTAATGGAATTCTTTGAGACTTTCTCTATAATGAAACAAATCAAAAGTTCTCTTAATGATGTAGAGATTTGTTACTTTGATTAATCAGTGTGAAAGTTCAAGCAAGAACTTTTCCATGTTTTGTTTAAAAGAAAACTTTGTGGCCGGGCGCGGTGGCTCACGCCTGTAATCCCACCACTTTGGGAGGCCGAGGCGGTTGGATCACCAGGTCAGGAGATCGAGACCATCCTGGCTAACACGGTGAAACTCCGTCTCTACTAAAAATACAAAAAATTAGCCGGGCGTGGTGACGGACGCCTGTAGTTCCAGCTACTCTGGAGACTGAGGCAGGAGAATGGCGTGAACCCGGGAGGCGGAGTTAGCAGTGAGCCGAGATCTCGCCACTGCACTCCAGCCTAGGCGACAGAGCGAGACTCCGTCTCAAAAATAAATGAATAAATAAATAAATAAAGGAAACTTTGCTTTCAATGGGACAGTGCAAAAATCACTTGATGTCACTGAGATATACAAACTTTGCAGTTGACAGATTCCTTTTTAAAAGGTAAAGTTTATTCATTTCCTAGTGCTTTGCCTGCCTTAGTAATTGAAAAGTTTTCTCTTTTTTTCATTTTAAAATGTAATTTTGGATTGCCACTGGCTACCTAAAGAAGTTCCAAATATATTGTAAAATCTCAAAAAGTAAATGCTAATAAAACAAAAACTCTTTTGAATTAAGAGCAAAGAATCCAAGTCTTTCCATTAAGCTATAAATCTTCTCACTGGGCACAGTGGCTCACGCCTGTAATCCCAGCACTTTGGGAGGCTGAGGCGGGCAGATCACCTGAGGTCGGGAGTTCGAGACCAGCCTAACCAACATGGAGAAATCCCGTCTCTACTAAAAATACAAAATTAGCTGGGCGTGGTGGCGCATGCCTGTAATCCTAGCTACTCGGGAGGCTGAGGCAGGAGAATTGCTTGAACCTGGGAGGCGGAGGTTGTGGTGAGCCAAGATTGCACCATTGCACTCCAGCCTGGGCAACAAGAGGGAAACTCCATCTCAAAAAAAAAAAAAAAAAAAAAGATATAAATGTTATTTTTTATACATTTTATACAAACTCATTGTTAATTTGAAGCTAATTTATTACTCAGAAAAAGATGATTTGTTAAAACTACATTTTGATGACCTGTATCTTTTTCTGGATCTTTTAATTTTTTTCCAAGAATACATGTACATTATGCCACATCCACTTATAACAAAAAAAGTTAATTTTTATCCTGAGAAATCTTTGCTACATCTCATCAGTACTTTTTTTTTAACAGTAAGAAATAGATGGAGTGTTTACTTTTACACAATATAAGATGTTTCTATCATTTCACTTAGTAATATGTTATAGTCAGGAGTAATCATCTATTTCCCCTGTTAAATGGATGGAATTTAAAAGGATTTTATGCCACCATTGCAGTTCATACCTATTATTATGTTTACTAGAACAAGTGAATAAGCTTGAACAAGAGATTACTCCAGAATTGCTCTTGAAAAAAAGCTAATGTTTTCTAACAGGAGGCACCTTTGAGGTAGTGAATCCATATACGAACTGATAGCTATGCTATCAGACAATAAAAATCTGTGACTCCTGAAGAGGATCAACTGTTAATGAGAGAAACTGTTTTAGAGAACCCAGGAAGTATGCTTCCCCTCCGCCAGAGGGGTTATGGAGTGTTTCGGAAGAATACTATGAGAATTTGAGGTCCAAAATATTTCTTTCCATTTGAATTAGAATTGCAAATCCAATTCACACTGGACGAAGATCCTATTTATTTCTTTATATTCTATGGAAAGTGCTATCCCCCGGTGACATGGCAACCATAGCAAACATAGCAAATAAAGCTCTAAATTTTAATAATGAGAGTTACTTGAAAGCAATGACAGCACAGCCAAACGTATCTTTGTAGTAAAATTTTGTGCATATAGGAGATATTCCATAGATATTTGTTAAGCTGAACTAGATAAAATCTATACTGTCTTTGTGGAACATTATAAAGATTGAAAAATTGTTGAAAATGTTGCTTATAAAAACCAAAAGTTAGGTGACTTAAGTATCTTATATTCTGGTGGAAGAATACCATCCATTTAACCCAGTGTACTCCTCTACCTTTTGGAGTCTTCATATTAAAAAATATTAAAATATTTGTTGATTGAATGTAAAGTAATATGAGTCTCTTCTACTTCACAGAATTTGAGATTGGAAAAGTTAAGATGCTCATACTAAAAGAAGTGATACATATGCTTCAAATCTCTTTGATATATAGAGACATGGACACCAACTGTGAGTTTATAATAACAGATATTGATCTTAAAATACTAATTTTTAAAATATTAATAATAAACTTCCTTAGTTAAAGCAATTAAAAAGGATCATCATCATCCATTTCAAAATTACTTTCCAAAAACTTGATTTCAAGTTAAGGAAAAGCCAGAACCCATATCCTCTGTGAGTACAAATGTTCTCAATTATGTGATAGAACCCAAAATATTATAGCTTTTGCAACATCCCCCTGCCCCAAGCCTCTTCTAAAAAAGTCTATACAATCTTTTTAGATTTGTTGTGCTACCTTTTTTATGCTGATTGAGATAATGTGTGGCGTGATAGAAGCTGAGAAAGGAATAAAGAGAGAGGATGGGGGAATTAAAAACAGGGCTGAGAAAGTTTTAGAAAATTTATTAAAAGAGGAGAAAAGAAAGAACTAGCACAGTGAAAATTATGAAATGAGAGATTTAACTGACTGCCTTGTAGAGCAGAAATTTGGTAGGAAAAGACACCAAAACACATTTTTAAGAAATGTGGTTGGGTGATAAGTAAAAGAATTCATTCTTTACCGTCTCTTCTGAAGAGCTTCTTTAGAGCCTTTGCTTTTCAAGGATCGGATTTGGATTTGTTTTCCATTCATGGGCTGAGATAGGTTTTAAAGCTGTTGCTGGAAGGCAGTTTTATTCAGGTTATACTTTGATAGATTTTAAAGACCAATGCAGAGTGAAATAAGATGTCTTATTTTGATATGGAATGTAGAACATTTATCACCAGTTATAACTCATTGCAAAAGTGCTATAATTCTTGATTCGTGTTAAACCACCAAAATTTTGCAATTTGATTGCTTTTTAAAATGATTTAAATACTTTATCTCTCTCCTTGATTGTACATTGTTTTCACATTTTTTCCAAATATGCCTTCTACTATGAGATAATGAGTTCACCATAGACAAAATTGACCATCTAGAAATAAAATGAAAATGATTTTTTAACTGTCTGGTTTTAAAATCCAAAACACCCCCTCAGTAGCATAGATCAAGACATTTAAAATAAAGTAGGTATGTGAGTCTATATGCATATTTTAGGTATCAAAGATTATTCCTGAAGACTTGTGATTTATGGAAGTTACTTATTTTCTTTTTATAATTAAGTTTTATGCTTTGCATATTAAACAGATTTAATTACCTAAAATTTACACTAGTAAGTCTCAAAATGTTTCATGTAAAATTTTCAGATGAATTTGGCATTTTAACTGTTTATATTCCTGAATATTGTAATATTCCTGGGATCATGGGGTCCATGATTGGTAGGCAGTAAATCCTTATAGTAAATCCTTATATTTTAATGTTTCTGTTTAATCTTGCACACATGTTTCAATGTTGCCATAACCATAATGAAGTTCAAAGTTACATTTAAGATTATCATGCTTACCATTCTGAAAAATAAAATTATAATTTAAAAGGAATTTTGAAGGAGACATGGGATGAGAGACAAAGCAAAAAGTAGTTTTATGATACTATCAAAAGATGTTAGAGAAAGAAAAAATAAGTACAAATTAACCAGATGTAGAATAGGATCATCAGACATTTTAAAAGAAAGAATTCTTAATAGGCAACTTTAATCTTGTAATCACTGAATGCTCATCCCATAGAAATTTAAATAACTTAATAGAATTTATTTCAAGGTACACAGATGGTGCCGACAGAGTCCTGTGGAAGACCATATTATTCTATTCCTTATTTTCCTAAATACCTTTTTTGTATTATAAAAATAAATATATGATTAATAAATTTAATCTGTTTTATATCTGTTCTTATTTAATATATATTTGAAGATAGGTAAATATGGAAATTTTATATTTCTTCTAAGTGTATCCAGATTTGTGTAAATGTATCAAGCAAACTGCAGATAGTCTATGAGTGATGCACAACCATGCAGGTTGATGGCTGGAAAATGTGGCTAGCTATATCTGGCACACTTACTTGAAAAGTGATGATTTTCCCATCACCCCCTACCTTTTTTTGTATATTTTAAGAAACATCTAAAGACTCTTCCTTCTAGCTTTGCTTTACACATTTGTTTTGAAATGAGAAGGATTAAGCTGTGGTAGGGAAAAATCAGGAGACAAGTCAGCAAAAGAAAATATGTAGAAGGGTCTAGTATAATGGGACGATCAACAAAATCTAAATATAAGAAAAAAATGGCCAGGCGCGGTGGCTCACGCCTGTAATCTCAGCACTTTGAGAGGCTGAGGCGGGCAGATCATCTGAGGTCAGGAGTTCGAGCAGCCTGGCCAACATGGTGAAACCCCGTCTCTACTAAAAATACAAAAATTAGCCGGGAGTGGTGGCAGGCGCCTGTAATCCCAGCTACTCGGGTGGCTGAGGCAGGAGAATCGCTTGAACCCGGGAGGCAGAGGTTGCCGTGAGCCAAGATCTCACCATTGCACTCCAGCCTGGGCAACAAGAGCAAAACGCCTCCGTCTCAAAAACAAACAAACGAACAACAAAAACAAAAACAAAAAACAAAAACAGGGTCCTTTATTTAAAAAAAAAAAACCACTACTATGACAAAAAATGAATTTAGATAGGAATTTGAGAATTAGGGTAGGTAGGGCACCATTATCACTGAGATCCAACAAAAGCTAATTTATTAAATCAGCATCTTTAGACAACCTACTCTGTTTTTTTCTCTCAACACATTTTACTTACTCTTTCACCTAAAACAGTCGTCATTTTTTTAGTTTTACAGGGAGCAGCTGATTTTATAATTTAATTTGTTCATAAGATATAGCACAATTTTGATAAGCCAACTCAGCTTAAATCACTTAAAATATATATTTACCTTTGTTTTTTAAGCCTCTCAGAAGATTATGACAACACAGCTGTGTTCTCATTTTTATGTAACTGTACGTTGGACCCAGGTTGACACACTATGCTCATGTGTAAGATCTGTTTATATGCTCTTTGGAGTATTCATACTTATTTCTTAGAAGGTTTCGAAAAGAGCTCAGCATGTTCATGTAACTATTTTTGCAAAGAAAACATAAGAACGCTTCAACTTGCAAAATGTGCCAATACCAAATGATCAGCTAAGTCTGTTTATTTTCTTGGGCCACCATGTATCTATCATAAAGTTCTGTTTAAATTAAATTAATAATTTTACATTAAATCTAAGGGTATAATCTAACGTATTTTATTCAAAGCAATTCTACTGAGAATGACCAATTTTCTCAGTGCTTTGATAATTGCTTTTGCAAACTTGTGACAATGCACAAAGGAAATAGTCATGGATTTATCCCAAGCTTTTCTCTATGAAAGCCATTAGATCAATGAAGTCACCCTTGGTCTTTCCAGGAGCGGTCTTCATAAGGTAGTAGAGAAATATACTACGGTTAGTAAAAATAAATAAATAAATAAATAAAATTAGAGGTGAAAAGCCTTTAAACTACCACCTACTATGAAATATGTATGACATTATAAAGTTAATTTTTAAAAAATTGACAAACCCAGCCTCAGAAGATTTATAAACACAGTATTTTTTTCTCCCTCCCTAATAACCCCCTTCTCACCATAGTCATACCTCACAAAAATTCATTACATGATATCACTGGTCATTTCTGCAAATAATTCTAACAATATCAGGCACCAACAGTTAAAGTATTAAAAAATAAAGTAATAATACAACCAATAGAGCTGAATATAATTATCTAAAAATGAAACATTTCTGTCAGTTTGGAAGCTACTTGATCACAAAACATGAAAGAAAGGTCAACTAGTTCTTTCTCATCTACCATCACACTCTACATACATCACTAAGGAAGCCCCACCTGGATAAATTTTTTTAGGTTAAGTCCGTGAACACTTCCCATATACGGCTTATACAAAATTACACATCCATGCTGAGTTATTTACCATTGCGTAGCAATAATCTGCAGTGGGCCAGGGTTTTAGTTGCAGGTTATTCAGAACGGATTTATGTAGCATGATTTTAAAATCCTGGTTGGAAGCATAAACATAAGGTGTGTGCCTATAGTCTGAACAGAAGACTGCAGTTTGTGAAGTGATGTTTGGAGAATCAGAAGAGAGAGTAGTAGAGAGGATATCGTTCATTTTAGAAATGCTGAGGCACAAAACACAGGTGCTTGTGGTACTTTCATACATGAAATCCCTTCTCCTGTATGTGCATCATGTGTAAACGTAAAGTCTGTATGCTGCTGACTATTCGTCTCTGGTGTCCAATAAGTATGACTCCAATTCTTCTAATGTCACTGAAAGAAAGGAGAGAGCAAGAGTGAGAGCGAGAGTGAGAGCAAGAAAGAGAGAGAGAGAGAGAGAGATACAGAATATGAACATTCAGATCTAATAAGCATGCAAGATAAAGTGAATATTTAAATATATTAAATAAGCACTCTGCCACAGTTACCAAAAATAGTGTAGCTTACTTGTTAAACAGAGATTTAAATGAGCAGCAAAAGTTTGTTTCTTTTTTTCCTTTTCTCTGGATCCACAGAATACATAAAGTTAATCTCAGATGTAATAATATATATATTTCAATTTTATACACAGGTACTTATGTAATACTCAGATATTTCATAGGCGTAAATGCTATATAATTTAGGTAATGATATACATTTGCAACAGTATTAGCAAAATGGTGATTATGTAGGATGGAAGGTATAATATGAACTCCGTTTGATTTCTCATGGATTTTTGATATCTAGAAAAAATGCCCTTAGGTTGTACTGTATGAAATTGCCATTACTGTCTTAAAACAATGGCAATTTAATATGATTCAAACTAACCATTTAGTCTTTTAAGCACATGTTAAATATTTTCATTGCATGTAGGCAAAAGACAATCTTTGAGAATAGTGGAAAATGGTTGACCATTATAATATCTAGAAGGAGCTCTGAAAATGACATGATAATATTGCATTATTTGATGAAGGTAATAGAAACTGATTATGCAATATTAATATATGTGAGTAATAATTTGCCAAGGTAAAATTAAGTTGACATAAAGTCTATGATTTGGATGAGAGTAACATGCATTTTAGAAAACATTTAAAATATTTTAAATAGCTATTTGAATTAAATATATTCTTTCAAAGAATAATAGCTAAAAGTGTAATGTCCAACTTCCACTAGAATGATAGTCAGAAATGGTGAGCAAAGACTTGGAAATTACCCACTAGCCTAAGGAAAGGTGTTCTTGATACAGCATTTGAACTTATAATCCCCAGCAGGACATCTCGTTACAGTAATAAACCTAGTATCACTTACTCAATGCTCATTCTTGAAATCAGGTCAAATGTTGTAAACCCTGCTGCCACGAAGTTATTCTTGTATTGCCCCATCTTTATAGAATCTAGCCAGTCACCAACTGTGACAAACAAAGGATATTCCGGAACTTCACCAGGGGACTCTGGCATTCTGTAAGAAAACAAAACAAAACAAAACATGGAGAGCATTTAAAAGCCAAATAAAGCACAAATCACGGAACTTTATTTTTACTTTTACAATATTCTTACATCTAATGTTTTTATTCTCCATTTGAAAGCCTCTGATTTTCTATCTTATTCAAATCAGTCACTTTAAAAAATTATTTATCAAATCAGTGACTTATCTGGTGGAACACTTTTGTCTTTTTGTGTTTTTTGCTATGACTGGGACTTACATTGATCTTTTTTTTCTTTTTAATTTCTTTATGATGGATGTTGAGAGAACTCACATCTTGCTATCCCCCTTCTTCTTATACTTTTTTCTCTTGCATAAAATTTTGTTTTGAAACTTAAGGAATAGCCCATCCCTTATCCCCACAAGGAGAGTAGCCACAGGATGTTCATTCTTCCCCTGTCTGACCTACCCCTGAATCCATGTCCTTTTCTACATTTGCTGTGATAGTTCTTCTCCTTCTTATGGTGAATTCATTGATCAAACTTCCATTTGTCTGTTCTCAAACATTCAATAATAATTTATCATTTCTTAAAATGTAATTTTTATTGTCACAGAGTTCAGTTGCATGAATAAGATTTACACACATACAAGCTAGGGTAATGTCCCCAAAGCACAGATATTAATAAGGCACAAAACAACACAAAATCAATGTTAGGTTGGGTTAACAAGAAAATGGATCTTAAAGGCAATGATATAGCAATCTTTATTTTTGTTTCTCAGATCTGATGCAAGGGGAAGTATAAAAGTATTACTTTGGAAAGGCTAGGGTATACATGTGCTTATATATACATTACATACACATATTTATATGCAATATATATGAAATAGTTATATATAATAGCTTAAGTCAGAGAGAATAAAAACAGAATTAATCTTATAAATTCTGGTAAAAGTAACTCAGAATTGTGTATTTAAGCCATTCTGACAATAAATTGTATTAGTTTCTTTACATACTTACATAAAAATACACATTAAAATATTTTGCATGTTTTAAAAAATACTTGGTGGTAAAAGTGCTTTTATAGTAATAAATGTGTCACAAAAGCTCTATGGTAATAAATATATCATTTAAAGAATTTTTAGATCTGTAATTTATATTAACTAGTAAAGCAGTAACAATCTTTAAAAAAAATTTAGTGTTTGAGTGAAATCGATATGTTGTAAGTAATGAAAAACTTCCTTATTAGAAGTGAATCACTGAGTTATTTTTATTGGAATATTGAAGTTAGTTCAACTTTCATTTACTTTGTTTTTTAAGTTTTATAAAGTTAAAGAATGAAAGAATCTACAAAGACAATTAGAGCCATAGATTTTAATGTTCATATTTCGACTGTTTTATCAAAGTGTTTTTACCATTCACATTTGAACTACTTCAGCTTTAACTAGCAATTGATAAGCTACGAGCACAAATGATTACACCATGTGAAGTAAGAATTCCCCTACTGTGAAGCAGAAGGGCATATACATGCTATATAACCCTGGTATTGTTCTACTAATAATATGGGAATTAGGTCCTAAGGTTAATACTTAAGGTAAAAACTGAAATTCCCTAACCATCAAAATTACCCTTAAAAATCCTTTAAGTCACCCTAAAGTCACCAGGACCCGAGTCTTTTAGGAGCACAAGTTGTATATGGTACAACTCCTGAAGATTCTGAAAGGTGCCCTTGGAAGGCCTAGAATTCATTTATTTGGTTTTCCTTTTATTACTACATTGACCTACCTTTTTCTAAACTGAGGTCTAGCTGAAGGTGGAGGTGGGGTGAAGAGAGATTACAGGGTGGGGTTGTATTCTTTATATATGATTGGAATTAACATAAATTAAATGCATATACCTTGTGATTGATTACACTGTAGTCAATATTGGGTCTGGTTATCCATACAGTGACTTCTGTCCTTTTTAACACTACTCAATTCTATTGCATTTCCTATTTGGAGGCTGTTAAGCTGCATTCTTTTTTCCTGTACTACATATTGCAACGTTATTTTGATTGTGGGCTGTTTCATTTTAATTAACATCAAAATGATTCATGATTTGACCTAAAACAAAGATCAGTCATATTCAAAGATTGGAAAGCTATCATAGCATCTACCAACAAATACTTGAATTGTTGCTGTATTTATTCAAAGTTTCCTAGAGGTGTTTATGTTAATCAATATTGTAAAATAAAATTTCATATGTAAAATACAAAATAATAAAGGTCTTCATGGCAAAAATTGTGAAGCAGATTTTTAAGTTGTAGCATTTCTCAGAGTTTTCACTGCTCTAATGTGCATTGTAAATATGTAAGATAATTCAGAATAGCTTCTACATTATTTTTCTAAATTATTTGACCAGTTTCAGGGGATATACCATACTTCACTAACCAAGTTTAAATATCAAAATGACCAGGATATCCTTGTTGCTTGTTAACATAAATAAAACCACATGTTAGAAAATTGAGTGTCCTATTTCAAAACGTGACTCTCCTGTCTTTTAAATACTTGTCAAAGTAGTTCGTTAAAACTGAAGAAAATTAAAAGAATGTATTAAAGTGACTTTCCCTTCATACTCCTATGCCATTCTCGATGCACCGACATAGTCAGATGACTTCTACTTCTTTCTCCTGAGATAACACTGGAATCACTCTTGAAATTTCACAATTTCATATATTTGGTGAGTGGAAATGTAAATTGCTAATTTTATGTCCTTAGTATAAAAGGTCATGGAAGGACATTCTGTATGTTAAATGACTTAAATAGCCTATTTCCCTTGTTGAAAAGCATCTGCTATTTGCTTCCAGAATGCTTTAATACCATAATTCCCTTTCTCTCCACGCATCTTCAGTGACCTAGTTACTCTTTGGCCTTTATACGACTGCCTTGGCAGTTGATTTAGTAAGGTCAGGGTCCCCTCATTGTTCACAGACACTGTGCAATAACTTTTCTTTCACCTTATCTTCTAAGGAAGTTGAAAAATGTTGCTATTTTCTGGCTTCGAGGGCTTGGTACTATTATCCTCACATGAATTCTCTGGAATATTACCTAATAAACAATAAATGCCCTTTCTTATCAAACATGTACAATGATAAATTTAGTCTGCTATTTGCTAAGCATGTAGAAATTTGTGCTATTTGGTGATTAGTGAGTACTGCCCACCTGAGAAATATCTTTACAGCAAAACCTGCAGCTCACATTTTAAAAAATACTTATTGTAGAATAGAAGGTCAAGGATCAACTTTTTCCTCAGAAAAATGAGAATGGGGCTAGAATTAGGATATTTCAGGTAAAATTATGGTTAATTTAGATTATAGAAAGGGCTGGAGTATAGGTATTACAGGTAATGTTACAGTTTAGTAATAAATATAAAATTTCAATACAATAAAATATGTTTAAAAATGAGTAGCTCTGGTAAGAGTCCAGAAGTTTTTACTCTAATGAGCCCTTTGAGTTCACAATAGTACTAGCGTTTTAACTTAGAAATTCCTTAGATAGGTCATCAATATATATCAATACTACCATTAAAAAGCAAGAAGTGTTTTATCCTCAAAGTTTTCCATGTTTTATATTCATCATATAAATATATAATAGTAATAGACATACTAAAATGATTCAAGAAAGGTTATATTTTGAGAAACACTATTGCAAGCTAAGATTCTGTTTTAACATGACACCCTCATAATGCTTAAAGGCTTTTCTTCTCTTGCACTCTAACACAACTTCTTGTTTCCTAGCTAATACATGTATATGTGATTAGCAGAAATGTACAGATAGGGTCCATTTTATTTTACATTGCCTTCATTTCACATATTCATGAATGTATCCCATGTTTCAGCAGTTTTCATATTCAAATGGGTGCATACTATTCTATATGTGGATGCTTAATAATTTGTTAATTCTCTAAAGTTAGACTCTTAGGTTGCTAACAACATTCTTTTAGTAGACATGAGTATGTAGTCTTACAGCATGTTTCTTTTTGTTTCAATTGAATAACTTCTTTGGGAAAAATTCATAAGACAGATTTTTTTAAAAGAATAAGTGAAAACTCCCCGAGGGCAGGAACACATCTCTCTGTTTTTGTGTAGGCACTCACATAATGCTGAAAACATTATAGGAGTTCATTAAATACGTGATGACTCAGACTTGAATATTAAATTATCTACAGAACAGTTTGGTCCATAACATGATGGCTGATTCATGATGAATATTTTCATTTAATTCCAATAAATAAAGAACCTAGAAGAGTAAGTACCTGTTGATATAGTGGTCAACTTATTAAATAATATGCTGTTTATTCAAATTATTCCTTGTATTGCGAAAATGTTTATTCTGTCTTTATAGGTTTCAGAGTGGAGAAAGAGGCAGTGATAGGTGGAGTTGGGTAGCTTAGGGTTAAGGGTTCACCTGCAATTATAACCAGACCTAGAGCAACAACAGCACATTGACTTAATGCAATATGGCTGCTTTTACATGAGTTCCTCATCTCGTGACTCAGGGACTGCACTTCACACTATTCACTTAATCCATGAAATAATTTTGTCATGCATACACTATGTACATACCCTTGGAAGAAGAATTTACATAATCATATATTTTTAAAAAGTCCTGTCTGCAATTAAGCCTAACATTCAATGTGAACACATTAAATTAATGAAATAATTTTGATATTTAAAACATTTTTAAAGTGTAATTTTACTCAAAGGGCTATGAAACCTCAAATGCGTAGACATATACTATATAGATATAGATACAGATATTTTGTGCTTGTGGGTAATATATATTTGTTTCAAACAGTCTAACTCCACAGTGTTAAGGACATTAATTATCTTTTGTCAGTCTTTTATTTTCAGTAAGTCTTCAATTGTTTTTTATTGATATGATTATTTAAACATAATAAGGCTGATAACTAGTGAAAAATATGAAGGAATGAAAATTAAAATTTCAAAGTAAAATTTAAAGTTGTAGATATGTTTGAACATTAAGAGGAACAGATGCAGAGCAGGGATAATACTTATAAAGAATTTCCCATAATTCCCAGTAGTGTACCCAGCACATGGTTCCTACGGCCAGAGTAATAGACCCCTGAACCTTAAGAAAAGCCTGCTTTTGTGAGGAAGTAATCCAGGATCAGAAAATAGGTCTCATGTCACATGCCAACTGCAATTCATTGGCAGTGGTTGTCAAAATGTTGTCATGAGAAGGATGCTAAGGCAGAATCTGGACTCAGCAGGAGAGTGTTGTGATGATTAGTAATATCTGCCATAGTGAGAAAAAGAAGCAAAACGTATTTATGCCAGCACCAGAAAAATTCAATCTACAGAAATGCCTGAGGACGTAATTCTGGAATTATGTGATGTTACTGCCATATTTTCCTCATTTCTCTATATTGTTGCTATTACTACTTTCCTTTTTCAAGTAATGTTCTTCAAGTGGCTGGGCATTGTGGGAGGGTGTTTGGGGGATATATGGACTATGTATTTTCTATTTATTCCCATGACTAAGGTCATATTCTCTACATTCTAGTATTTGCCTACTGGGACATAAAATAACAGGCTGCTCTCCAGTAAGAATTGTTTTTTGAATTTTAATAGACTCCATCTATGAAGTTTGACTAGTCCAGATAAAATCTATCTGGAAATGTGAAAATGTACCCCCTTTTCTTAGAATCATATTTTTGAAGCAGTGTTGTACTAGCAAACATCTTGCCTTTCTGTGTGATTCTATGTTGTATACTGGAAAGAGCAAGGACTTGGAGTCAGTGGCCTTCAAATTCCTGATCTACTCATTATTGCTGTGTACTCTTGGGAAAGTTAGCCTCTTTATGTCTCTGTTTCCGTGTCTAAGGGATGGGAATAATAACAGTGAGGATTAAGTGACATAACCAATAAAAGCCCCTAGTACCACAACTGGCACATAGTAGGCTCTCAACAAATGGCAGTCATAGTTATTGTTGATAATATATATTAAGAGTTTGTATCAGTATTAATATGGATATTGACATTATATTATAAAGATCTTGTGCCAGAAGTTTATGGGAATTTTCTATTTTTCTTTTCTCTTTTTTTTAGATACGGAGTCTCACTCTGTTGCCCAGGCTGGAGTGTAGTGTCATGATCATAGTGCACAGCAGACTTGAAGTCCTGGGCTCAAGTGATCCTCCCACCTTGCTCTCTCGAGTAGCTGGGACCACAGGCATGTGCCACCATGCCTGGCTAATTTTAGTTTTTAATTTTTTGTAGAGATGGGGTCTCACTTTGTTGCTCAGGCTGGTGAACTCCTGGCTTCAAGTGATCCTGCCACCTTGGCCTCTCAAAGGGTCAGGATTACAGGTGTGAGCCACTGAGCCTGGCTGAATTTAGATTTTTCTAATGGGCAAATAGAAGTTTCAAATCTCCTGATCCATCTTTCATATTCTGTCTTCCTTCCACAAAAGTTTGCTTATTATTCAATTTCAACACTGGTTTTGGCCAGCCAGTTATTTCTCTGTCATGAAAAGCATATTTAAAAGTGCTAGCAACAAGAATCAAAAAAAAAAAGTTGTCTATGACTTGGTGTATAGAGATAAACAATTTAGCAAATGCTGATTATGTATTGCCTATGTGGCATTGAACAAAATCTTCTCAAAATAAGTAGAAAATTTTATATCAAAATGTTGGAAGTTATTGTATTCAGAAGATAGCAGTATTGGTGCATAATTCGCTAAATGGAGAGAGATAGTACTATTCAGTCTTACAGCATTATTCACAGTTTTTTAAAGAAGAGGTTCTAAATAATGGTATTGGTATGGGCTTTTCCCTACCTTCATGATTCACATATTACTGGAAACTAAGTGCTTTAAAGTTACAAGATAGACTAATATGTACTACAGAAGCTGGTAGTTGCAGTTGCTAAAGTCTTATAAGATCCCTAATTATGGCCCAGTGGGTAGTAACAATATACAGTACATAAGGTGTCTTGGCCTAGGCAAAGCATTATTTCTGAGGTAGCCAACATCTGGACAACTGCTGCCCGTCCTGGGATGCCACATTTGAGCTGATAGTCAAGAAGCCCCTAATGTGTCAAGTTCTTTGTCAGTGACATGCTGGGGACCTGGAGCAGGGATTAGAAGAAAGCATTATTTTCCCATTACATTGAAACTCTGTCCTAAAGGATACTGACCAGCTGACTACAGCCTGGTGCACTCAGTAGACTTCCATGTGTGGAGTAATCAGGGGCGAGGGTTGAAGACAATGCAGAATAAATGTGTAGGACAATGTGGGTGAGGGTGGGGGAGGTAGGACTGGGTGAAGGGTCACCATGTAGCTATCAAGCTACAAAGTGGGAAAATACTTGGGGTTGGGAGCAGCTACAAGGCTAGTCCTGAGGGTTAGTGGAGAGGGAGAAAAAGGTGTTTTAAAGTGCATGGCCAGGCACTGCTCCAGATGCTGTTCTACACACAACCTTGGCCTTAAGCTGGGTCCTTTCTCCCAAGGGCTGTGCATGACATGACAGCTACAAATAATTATTTGAAAGGCAGTTATAAGGCATTATTGTAAAGTGAATGAATGTGAGGGTAGTTTGAAATTCACATTTATGAAAGGATAACTGCCTATATTAATACAGTGGTTCTGCAAATTAGTTTTTTACTGTTAGTTGGATTTAGGGTTATACTTATAATACTGCCACATTCACTTATATGGTATATCTACACTTTCTTGAGTAGGAGAGAAAGCAAGCATGTTGGGAACTGCACAGAGCTCTGAATATTCCCATGGGAGTGTGTCAGGCACAAGAATATTTGCTGCACCAAATAATGAAAGCCTTCTATGACCAACATGTTTTCAATTTAGGTACTCTGACCTTTGAGAGGAACAATTGCAGATATAGGTTTATGAAATTTCCAATATGTTAGTATAAAATTATTACATTTTCAATATGTTAGTATAAAATTATTAAACTGTGGATTTCATGGCCTTCCTCATCCCTTTGTCACTTTAATTTCTTCCCCTCTTACTACTCTGTCAAGAGAAAGGATAACAGCTTCTCAGGTGAGTCTTGAGAAAAAAGCAATTAGAATGGAATAAAAACCATGGGGACCTAGCAGATGAGAGAGTAATATCAGCATATAAGTGTGAGAGAAATCTGGGGGTTGGGGATGCTACACAAAAGGAAAGTGCAGGAGAATTTAAGAAGAGTTGCAGTGGATTATACACCTGGACTCCTTTTCAGGTTTGAGAGATACAGGAGAAAAGATGGAAATTCTACATATGTCATGTTTCCTTAATCCAGCATCACTCTGGGGCAGACAACTGGGCTCTGCAATTTGGGAGATAGAGAAGCAGTGTCACAGTTTTATGAGCATAAAACAGGCATTCTTTAGGTAATATTGCTATCTTTTAATCTACTGTGTCTCTTCTCCCTAAACAGTCTCAGTTCTCTGGAATCAGGAACAGAGTGGGTGGGTGGTATTGCAAGTAAGAGGGTGGAGCAGGAGAACCCATCCAGGCTGCTGTGAAAATGAGAACGCTGATAAAGGTTCAGGCATGTGAACCTTAGAACACTGATTCTTTTTGTTTCTCAAACAAAAGTATATTAATGGCAAAAGCAGTATCACATATGTCTTTGTCAGAAATGAGGATAGCAAATCAGTCACAAAAACTTCAATTTGGTTTCCCAGAGATCAGACTTTAGAATTGAATCAAGATGCCAAGTTTATATAAAGCACCCAACTTTTGGCCTGCGTGCTGCAGTGCTGTCTCAGAGCTTGCCACTCATGGGGCTCTTCTGCTGGATTGCTGAACAGCCCACTAAATCACAGATCTCTGGCCCTCAGATACACCCTCTCATCTTGACTTGACCTCTGGATCCCTGTTACTTTTTGACACTTTCTCATCTTACATTCTTCATCAATATTTTCCAAATATGATGATCATTCATAATCTTGAAAAAGCAGAGAGGAAATTGTTTTATCTGCTTTTCTTCAAAAAGAAGGTTTTTACATCCTGCTTCTATAGCTATAGCACAGTCAGACAGCTTTGTTGATGGGCACTGATTGTGGATTCTGTTAACTCTATACCACAACAAGGGGCCCAGATTAAAGGATTTCAGTTTATAGATGCCAGTATCCTCTTCCATTAATGCAGACTCACTACTAGCTCTTTCTCCTCAATACTACAGCATGACCAAGTCACCTCAATAACTCATATAAAAACAAAAACCAAGAAACATTTCCTCTAACTACTTTTCTTTCTCATCAGAGACAGGTTTCTTGAAAAAAAAAAATTGGTATTATGTATTGCTCCTTTCTCTGAGCTTATATTCACTCTTCCTCTATTGTAATCTGTCTTATGCAACTGTATTGAAAATGCTGTACCAAAGGTTGTGTATGCACACCTGAATGTCTGCTTGCTGAATCCAGTGGAGACATTTCATGTTTTATTTTACTGCAATTTTGTGAAGGCTTGGACATTATACTCCTTGAAACTCTCTCCTCTTTTGGCTTCTATGATACTGCTCTTCCCTCTTTTCCTGATTACTTGTCTGGCTTCTCTTTTTCAGTTTCCTTTGGGTACTTTTTGTTCAGTTCATGTCTTAAATTAGAGGGTTTCATCCTTTCCACTATTTATATGCATTCTTTATACTCTCTGTGGGCTATCTTAACTACAGTTAAAGCTTCAGCTATAATCTATATGCTGATGATCTTCAAATCTACATCTCTAGTCCAGATCTTTTTACCTGAGGTTCAACCTATAAATATAACTGTCTAGATGTCCCACAGGCATCTGCAACTCAGCATGTTCAAATGGTCTCATTTCTATTCCAAAAACTTGTCCCTCTCCCTCTCTCTGGGGTAATACCATCAGCCAACTTGTATAAGAAAGAAACTTGACAAACATCTTTGATTCTTTTTCTCCTCCCTCCCTCCATATTCAAACAGTGACTAAGATGCATTGGTTTTCCTAATAATAAACGTTATTATTACTTATTATTAGGAAATGATAATAATAATAAAATTCTCTTATCTTCTGACCCCCAACCTCATTCCCATTTCAGAAGTCAAGCCCTGATCTTTTCTAGCTTTAGTTACTGAAAACATAAAACTGTCTCTGTTTCCAGTCTTGTTCCTTGTTTTGCACTCACAGTGTAAATCATCCCTAGAGTGATCTTTCAGAAATGCAAACGTAATCATGCTGTTCCCTTGCTTAAAATCCTTCCATGGCTGTCCATTGTTTTCATGATAAAATCCAAAGTGCCTTTCCTTCCTTTACTGCTTCCTGTGCTGGACTTCTTTAGGGAAGATGGGCCGGAGTAATAGTTTAATCTCTAGCTATTTCATGCTTGGCTTCACTTTATTGAGGCTGCCAATTAGTGATTTAGAGGTGAACTCTTAAGTGCTCTGCTGTGAACTGAGGTCTGTTTCAAATAGTCCTTGAAGAGCCTCGGCCTTACTGTCACTAAAAACCTGCACTGGCTTGAACCTGTGATCTGAAGGTGAATGTCTGAAGAGCCCCAGCCATCCCCTGAGTGAAGAAGGTGAGCTTTGGATATGCACTGGTTATTTCTAAGTCCAACTTTTTCTAAATAAAGAAATATGTTTTTAACTTAATGATATTTAAAATGTAATATTTTCAGACATAGATGATAGTCTTTTTTTTTCTACTCTTCCTCTTATAATTGCTCTTCACCGGGAGGTGAGTAGATCTTCTCAAGTCTACTGACTTTTACAAAATGGTGTATGAGTGCCTCCATTTTCTTGTCTTGTTATCTGTTCTTTTCTGGTTTTAGGAATGGAGAGTAACAACAACTAGATGTGATCATATCAGCAGGAAATATTCTTCCTCTGGGCTGATTCACAAATTGCCCCTGTCTGGCTTGCCATTTCAAATTCAGGAACAGAACATAGAATAGGCAAGAAAATTAAAGGGGCTGCACACACACACACACACACACACACACACACACACACACACTCTCTCTCTCTCTCTCTCTCTCTACTTCTAAAGGTAAGGAAGGATCAATCAATTTTAAAAGGCTATGTAAATATCAAAGACCCAAACAGGAAAAGATAAAAACAAAGTAATTCAGAAAGATTGGAGAGAGAGAAAAGGAAGGGGAATCTGTTATCTTTTTTTAAAAGAGTCCATTTTTACTTTAATGTTAATAATTCTTTTTTTCAGCTGATAAATGAAATATGGTTTCCACAAAGTCAACAACTAGATGGTTATCAAGGCATTTTTTTCCTTTCTACCTGTTATTATTATCTATAGCCTGAAAGAAACCATAATTGTCAAGAAGAAAAAAACTCAACATTATGCCTCTTACACAAGGATGTCCTCCACCAGGGTGTGAAGGGCACTGGGATTTCGGATCAGTTTGTCAAGGAAGCTGACAATGTCAGTAAATTTTGGTCTGTGATTTCTCTCCTTCTGCCAGCAGTGGAGCATCAGCTGGTGTAGAGATGCTGGACAGCCCATGGGAGCTGGAAGTCTGTACCCTTCTTCAATGGACAGAATGACCTAAATGCAAACATATACAGATTACTCTCTTATTTTTAGGCAGTAATACATATGCTATAATTTCTTTTTTTACAAGCAGAAGAAGCCAAAATAATGGTAAGCATGAAAACTACTTGTGAGTACAAGGACCTAAATAAGGATAAATACAAAAGCTGTGAACAAAAATTGCAAGTAGCTCCAAAGCATCTGCTCACCCTACGAGAGGAAAATATGTTTTAAACATGTGCTACCAGTATAGAGGAGGTTAAGTTCCCTACAACCTTAAGAAATAATTTTTTGTGTGACTTAGCTGGAACATCTCAAAACCCAAATAAACATCAGAAAGTCAGCATTGTGATTGATGCATTTAGTGCAAATAACATATAACAAATGTCTTAAGTAAAAATTTTAAGAAAAATTCTGTTGAAGCACTGATTTCTTGAGTCATTTTTTATCCTTTTATGATAATGTCAATGTGTACCCTGTTTCTAACCATCATCCCTTCTTTCTTCATCATTAATTTAGTTTCTATTCTCTTACATTTAGCTTTCCCTTAGTCTGACACTGACCTGATTATGAAGTCATACTCCTATACCTCCTAAGGTCATTTAATTCTTAAAATGCTATCACTGGCTAGCTTAAGGCTATAGGGCAATAGGAGCATTAGCTTGAGTGTCCTCTGAGCTAGTGTGCTTCAGCAGAACTTCTGTGATGACAGAAATGTTCCCTTTCTACAACATGGTAGCACACAGTCACATGTGGTTAGTGAGCACTTGAAATACAGCTACTAGAATGAAGAAACTGAATTTTCAACTTCAGTTACTTTTAATTAATTTAAATTTAAATGTATATAGCCACATGTGTCTAATGGCTACTCTATGGAACAGTGCAGCTCTCGGGAAATGTATCTGTATAAGATCCCAAAGTTAAGAGTAACAAGATAACAACTATTTTTCTTGGTACTTAAGGAAATCACAAGATAAGGCAGGAAATTCATCTGTTTAGTGTATGATCCACCTTCCTAGCAATATGATAATACTGACCCTGAATTTATGTAGCCTAGGTTTTCATAAAATGTTCAAAAGTATCCGTGTGAACATTTATTCTTATCTCCAGGGAAAAGACAAAAGAAAGTGTTTATTGTCACCATTGTTGAGTTTGGAAAACGGAGGAACAGACTAATATTTAAAGACAGGCAAAATTTAACTTCCCCCTCCTCTGTCCCTCTCAAAAATACAGAAATATAAAAATGCAATTTGATTTATTTTAAAATTTACACTATTGGACATGACTAACACATTCTTAATTTATGTTAGAGGCTGTTTGTAAAAAAGGAAGAATATGTCTTCACGAACCTCTTTACTGCTAAGTTTTAGCTTTTTTAGTAATAGGGAATTTCTCATAATCCCATCATTGTCTTTTTGACCAGACCACTTTAGCCTGTCAGGATGCTAGCATTTTTCTATTCACTTTATATTTTATTACTGAACAGGATTTTTCTCATCTGCTTTCTGACTACTTTCACTAGCAACTAGGCTTGGGTTTTAAGATTTTGTTACATGTTTTATTAAGGCAGGATGTGTGTAAAACACTTGCAATGCATTAAAACTATTGTGGATAGCTCAGAGAAGCAACTAAGAGAAATAGCATAGAATTCCATTTTAAAACAACATTGAAATCCCACTCTAGGAGTGCTTGATAGTCAATTTTCCAGTTATCTAATTATAAATGCATGGAATAAAATAGGTGACAAGTGAGGTTATATTCTTAGAAAGAAATAGCTTCCTTTATTATCTACCATGTGCTATGCACTTTGCATATTTTTATTCATTTACTGCTTAAAATAGCTCAATATGGTAGATATTATTATCTCCATTTCTTAAATGAGACAATTTAGACTCAGAGGAATAAGGAAACTTGCCTAAATTCACATAGCTAGTAAGTGGCAGGGTTGAAATTTGAACTAAATTCCTTTTAACTTACAACATTCTCCTCTGACCACTCCCCAGAAATGCTTTTTAGTTCTCATGATAAAACATCTTCCTCTCCAATTTCTTATCACCCAATACAATTTTAGTAGTGATTACCATGCTATCTTTTGTCATGGCATCTGCTATTTGGACTTCAATGTTTTTACTTGGATCCTAAGTTTAATATTCTGGGTAAATAAAAATTATTTATTTCATAGTTTGCACAATATACTCTCAAACTGAACAGAGTCATTTCTTAATGCCTCTGAGTCTTGTGCATGTATGTATGATTGCATCCATAACATTGTACTGTAATTTTTTCATCTGCCTTTCCTCTAAGGCTGTACATACCTGAAAGCAGGAATTATACTTCTAAATTTTCTATGCTTATCGTTTAGTACATTGCCTGACACATTAATAAATATTATTGACCTAAACAAATGCTATTAGAAGAAATTTTTGGATTTGTCTTGATAGAGGAGCAGATTCTTGGAAAACTTAGTGTCTCAACCTATTAAAAATAGATTCAAAGTATAAGCATGATGGCATTTGAAGTCCTCTCTGAAGAAGGTGTTGATTTAAAAACTGCTGCATCAAGCAACCTTGTCCAAAAATGATCTCATAAACTCACTCTGGCTTTCCTGGACAAGGAGCCAGATGAAACTGGAAGCTTGCTCTTCTCTAAGAGGTAGGTACTTGACCAAAACCCAGCTTCTTGTAAGACTTGTGGCTTCTGCCTCCTGTCCACAGGGTTACTATTTTCCATTGGCCCCAGGTCCTTAGCTTCAGACAACTCCTGTAGACAGTTGGCATCCAAATCTAGAATGCTTAGCATTAAGCAGGTTGCTTATGCCTCTTGACAAAGTTGCTCTCATGCATGCCTTGTAAGAGTGATGAGCGGGTAGGTTCCCTTGCCTGGAAATTTTACCCACAATGCATCCAGTAGAGCATGTGGTCCCGGCCTCTCTGTGGGGACAGTGGGAGGATCAGAAGACTCATGACTTTTTCTTGCTGACCTCTGGCTTATAAATTTCCTCAATTCTTTAATTTACAGCCTTGCGAAATCTGTCTTGAGCCAGGGACAGGTGCCAAACACAAAGGGACCCATCTTACAGGAAAAGAGTAGCAATAACAGCAAGAGTGACAGTGATAAAAACAGATTATTAGCAATTATTGAGAGCTCTTGAGTACTTTCAAGGCCAGTTCTAAGCGATGTTCATGTGTTAACTCTTTTAATCTTCACAATAACTTTATGAGGTAGGTATAATTGTTATCTCCATTTTACAGACAAATAATCATAACAAGAGGTTTAACCTGCCCAAGATCACACATCTGAAAATTGTCTTCAAAGGTAGTCAAAGAAGAAACTTATATTTTTTAAGCAATTCACAAAATTGCTTAAAAGATATATGTTTCTAACAGATTTTTAAATTTATTCATCCAAACGGATAGATATTAAACACTTAATATGTACTATTGACCATTCTGTGTTCAAGGGATAACATAACAAGTCAGGTATATCTCTGTCTTTAAGAAATGTATTAACTATTGAGAGTGACCAGGGACTATGAATATGGGAAGTGCCACATAGAACAGGCTGTTATGGGAGCATGTGGGAGAGGTACCTAACCCAGCCTCAGGAAGGCTTCTTCCAGGAGGTGACTGAACCTTAAGGGTTATGTGAAAGGGTGCAGGGCCAAGTGCGTGGGTTGAGGAAAGGAGATGTGATCTAGAATGCAAGTAGATTTAGGTGGCTAGAATAGTCTTCAAAGAGAGGAATGGTGAGTTTTGAGGTTGGGAGGTTACGTAAAATTATGTTTCTTGAGATCACGAATGATTTGGCATGATATAAACTTAGATTTTATGCAAAGGGGAAAAGGATTTTAGAAAGTAAATTATATTAGATTTCCCATTTAGAAAAGCTCACTGTGGCTGCAGTGCGGAGAGTGCACTGGGGAGTCAAAGGATCCAGGAAGGAGCTTTGCAGTGGTCCAGGCCTTAGTGGAGGCAATGGCTGTGGTGTTCAAGAAGTGAACTGTTTTGACAGGACTGGGCTGAGATTAGATGTGCCAAGTAGAGGGAGGAGATAAACAACTTCTAGGATTTTGGCTTCGTCAGCTGGTAAAGAGAGAGGACAGAGGAGAAGAAGCAATTCTCGGGTTGGAGTGATGATGAGTTCAATTTTCTATCAACTTTCTGGTTTCAGATTCAACATATATACCTTTGAGAGTTTATTATGTGTCAAGTTCTGAGCTAGGTGTTTTAACACAGTTTACCTAATTTAGGTCTCAAAATACTTTATTATTTGAGTATGATTATACACATAGGTAAGAAAGCCAAACCTCAAACTGATTAAAAGATTGGGTCAATATCACATAGCAAGTAGTTTCATGAATAATAGATTAATATTATCATCATGGTAGCCTCTCGATCACAGTAATGGTAGAGAAATCTGTCCTGAGTCTTGCACCACATCTTGACGCATTCCCCCAGAATTAGATCTTGAGATCTCTTTGTGTGACTTATATACTCCGTGCTTTCACTGTCACCTATCTGCTTATGGCCTCCATGTCTGCAGCTCTAGCTCAGCTTTCTCTCCAGATTTCTATATTTATCACCTATAGGATATATCACTTCATAAAGGTATCTTGGATTTCTTTTGTGCAAAACTAAACCCGCTCCTCCTTTGGGATTTTTGTCCTTTAGGAAGGGTACTGCCATTCTTCCAGTGATTCAAGTTAGCGGTCAGGGAGTCATCTGGGCCTCTGCCTTTCCTGTTGCTCAAAATTAACTCATCATGCTGATTCTACTGCCTTCATAAAATTTAAATCTTTTTTCATTCTGTCTTCAAATGATTTATTTCCCATTTTGATCACTGCAAAGGCCCCCCATTAGTCTCCTTGCTTCTCCTTTTCCTCCACCAATCATCCCCCACGATACAATGAAAGCAATCCTACTGAAGTGGAACTGTGATCATGTTCCTCCCACATCTGAAATTCTGCAATGGCTCACCATGTGCCTGGCTCTCAGTCCTCACCTTTGCTGTGTTCCGTTTTACCCTTGGCTCCAGCCAATACAAAACATTTGTAGTCTCTTAGCTTGGGTGAACTGAGCTCCTCCAGAGCAGCGACTGTTTCTTTGTTCCACGTGTTCCCAGCATGTAGCACAATGCCTTGTCAAGTCAAAGAATGGAGTGCCAATTGTCAGATATGTGATTTATGAAAGCTGAATTTTCAGAGAAGCTTGAGAAATCCTATATTAACCTTTATCTTCATAAACATTTTCTTTGTGGAAAGTTTTGATTTAGAGGTATATTCTGATTCCCTAATTAAGGACTGACAGGGAGCAGCATATGGGGTGCTTTGTCTAAAGGACTAATTGAGGTTTGTTGTCTTAGGATACGAAGGGGTGATAATTAACTAGAGAGAATTTTTTAACAGTTTGGTTTTATGATATTTGTAGGCTGTCATCCTTTGGAAGAAGAGTTATACAAGGTTATAATGTAAGAAGAAAATTAAAATAATGTGAAAAATATGAAAATGACTGCAATGATAATTTTTATGAAAAGTTAGAAGGAATTACATTCTGTCAGAAATTATTATCTTAAACCTGGCTGCTTATTCTAAATAGATCATACTGGTTTCTTGACATTGACATCACAATTTTTAACAACCTAGAATCAACAGAAGGCTCAGTTGGGGCACGTAGCAGGCTGTTCTGCTCTTGCTGAATCTGATGAGTTTTCCAATTTTCTTGATGGTTTCTGAATCAAAGAAGGCAATGCACATCTTATATTAAGGAAAACAAGTATTAGACAGTCAATAAGAAGATATTGAGACATCTCTGAACAATACTATTGAGCAAGGACTGCTTAGACTGTGCAGGGTATCACATTTTTATGTTATAAGGCTGCTAGGTATCTCCAAAAGAGAGGCACGTTGAATTTAGTTATTTATACAGTCTTTTAAAAAGAAACTGTCTCAAAATTTAACAAGGGCTGAAATGTACACTAGAAAATGGAATGTGAAATGGTTTTATTTTTATCTTCCTTCTAAATATTCTTCACATCTTTGTGGAAAACCTATAATTTCAGGTAGAAGGGGGATTGCAAAGCAGAGAGTCACAGTCTATACTTACTTTTTGTGGTAACGATTATTTATACAGATTAGGATATTTATATTCATAATACAATAACACTGAAAACACTGGTAATGTATTTTCCTGGTGTGCAATATAAAGATTGTGTCTACATGAGCAAAAAAAAAGAAAAAGAAAAAATAAGGCAGAAGGAAAGTGGTTCTAAGTAAATAACACTTGTAATTTTATACTTTCTGATATGGCTTGGCCGTGTCCCCACCCAAATCTCATCTTGTACTGTAGCTCCGACAATCCCCACATGTCGTGGGAGGAACCCAGTGGCAGGTAATTGAATCATGGGGGTGTGTCTTTCCCGTGCTGTTCTCATGATCGTGAATAAGTCCCATGAGATCTGATGGTTTTACAAAGGGCAGTCCCCCTGCACATATTCTCTTGCCTGCCACCACGTAAGACATGCCTTCACTCCTTTTTGTCTTCTACCATGATTGTGAGGCCTCCCCAGCCATGAGGAACTGTGAGTCCATTAAGCCTTTTTCCTTTATAAATTACCCAGTCTCTGGTTATTTCTTCATAGCAGTGTGAAAATGGACTAATATACTTTCTCATTCAATATTTTTCAACATTCAGAATGTATAACTCAATTAAAAGCAATCAAATGCCAAATGAAATTAGGTATACTAATAAAAAGAATTATAGAAAAAAGGCGTTACAGTGATGAAATATTTAGACAGAGAAAACACTTTTTTCAGAGACTAATTTGTTGTTTAGCCTAAGATTTTCTTTTTCAGATTTTCTTCTTAGCTTTAAGATTAAAAAAAAACTTTCTTAAAATCCTACACCTAAGACAATTCTCCATCCTTTCTTTTTGGAAGTCACAATAGCATGTCAAGGACCTATATAAAATAGAAAGTGTTGGTCCTTCAGGAGGTCTCCTTTTTACGGATTGTTAAATGAGTGGACAAAATGAGGAACAACATGTAGGACTCTCATATGTTAAAAAGTTGTTGATGACATGATTTATCATTTAAAAAATCTTTGTTGCTAACAGTTTAAAGTCTCATTCAGTTTGTAAGTCATGGAAACAACATTAGAGAAGGAGTTGCCTGAAACCGCACTGAAGTCCTAAGTTGTCACTAACCAAGCTCTGCCTTTGGGCAAGTCTCTGACTCTTCATTGATAAAGGAAAGAGGACTGGACTCTGTCTGCAATAGTACCTTTCACCTCAAAAAATCTATGATTCTGGTCATTGAAACCAAAGATTTAGTCTGTAGGAACTTTGGTAACATCTCTAGATCTGGTGTTTCTGTAAATTTAATTCTGGATTTGGCCTCCATTCTAAGGAATATTTCTCACAGAGTTCCAAGTGCTTAGATGGACCTCTATACTGAGACAAAAATACAGACAGAACCAGAGTATATCCTTGTAAAGTAAAGCTAGGAAGATTTGGGGCACCATGGTATTTCTTACTATGCCAGTTCCTGGACAACAAATTACATTTTTGAAAATACAAGGACACATTCCAAATCTACTTTTCTGAGACTATTTTTTTTTCTTTAAGAAGCTGATGTTCTTAAGACTTAGTGCCATTTCCCAAGCACTCTCTGGGAAAAAATGAAATTTCTTCACTGGTGGATCATTTTGATTTTAGAAAGATAGTAGACAACTCTAAATAATACATTTCCTGGCTCCACTAAAAATATCTAAAAGCTATGGAAAAATAGATTATGACTACAAAGAAAAAGGGAATTTGAAAATGCTCTCTTTGTAAAGGCTCCAAAGAGCATGAAAATGAATAAAAATCATAAGTTCTAAAGCTAGTAAATATATTTCTTCCAAATAGAAATTAAAGGTATAATTAATTTTTTATGAAAATATTGCTGGCATGTACACATTTTCCAGTTTTGTGGTCATTCAGTTAAAAAAATTTTCCCTTAAAAGTTATACTGTGGTAGTACCGCATTGTTTACTGGTTTCTTCTCCTTGAAACTTATTTGAATTATGATTGATTACATCTTGTAATATTCCCTATTATTCTTGCCTCTGTAGCAGATGTACATCATACTCATGTAATTAGTATGTATTTAATTAAAATACTGCGATAGCCTATTTACCAACAGTAAGAATTACTGAAAAGTTAGGAAAACGAAGGCCTTTTTGAAAATTCCTTTGGTAGAATACATATTCAAATAAATGTAAAAATTCCTCTGTATTATAGAAGGTGGAAATAATAGAAATGGGCTTTTAGCAATTTGCTGTAGTGTCTTACACAGATCATTACACAAGGACCATTACATAATAAAGTAGAGTTTGGAAAATCTAATCAGAGACAAAAATTGGAAATGACTGGGATCTCTGAGTCATAAAATCATGCTGCATTTCAGGTAAGTGGATTCTACATATCCACTATTCTTGGCTGAAAGACTGACCCATAACTGAGAAAGGTTATAGAATTATGAGGACAAACAGGAAGTACAGTAAAAGGTTATTTTCTTCCTTCTTAAATTTGGAAAAAACAAATCAATTCAGCTAAGATCAAAAGTTTATTTCTGACCACATCACCTATAAAAATAAAATTCTAATGATAAACTCCATATTTTCCCCCTCAGGTGAGTTTCAGAAAGCAATCTAAAGCAAAACTCATTATTATTTAAAAGCATTTGAAAAGCAAGGAGGGAAAAATAAATGAAAACAAAAACACCAAGGAAGCATCCTGTTTTCTAGTAAACCTCAAATGAAATGCTCCCTGATAGCAGTTCTCTTTTTGGGAAACTGAACTAGTTAGCTAGCTAGCATATGCCTAAATGATACCATACCCAGGAGGCATTTGGGCTTCAAAGTGCTTCAAGGTGATTTTTATTTTTTAACAGCATCATGTCAGGGGAAAGAAACAAAACGAAACAAAACCCAAGACTGCAATCTTACATTTAGATCATTAGCTTGAGCTAAGTCACCTCTCATTTAAGTGTCGCTACTTTTTTCCCTACATATGAGCTCTGTGGGGATTTGGTTATTTAATGTTGCCTGCTGTTCGTGTTTTGCTTCCATTTTCTTCTGTTAACTACATTACATGGTATAAGTGTTGGAGGGAAGAACCACGGTGCCCTTGGTATCATCTTTGGAGCATGTGTAGTTCCAGCATTACAATACACTTCCATTATGTAGTAAATAATAACTATTTCGAACTTGGATGAAAATAACATAAAACATTACCCTGAAATACCTTATAAAAAAGAAGAAAAATCTTCATACGCTAGAAAACAGCAAGGGGCTATACACTTTCAAGGTACTTGTGAAATGTTTCTGGCAATAGGCTAAATATGTCAATCTTTAAAATTTGATTTTAAGCTACTGCCTTAAATATTTTTAAGAAATATAGTAACGGTATGGTACATTTTATAAATTTTTAACATCAAGACAAAAATCCTGCAGAAAATATTTATATTTCCAAACAACTGGGAGTCAATCCACATTATTTTGCGAATAGGAAACAATAAAAATACTACTCTTGTGATAGAGGAGCATGCATAATTAAATGTGCTTTGATCTCATTTTGTAGAACTGTGGTGTGAAGACTCCTTTGAAAATTGGACTTCCACAGTAGAGCTTAACGGGTAAAAGCATGCATTTAGGAGTAAGCAGGGGGCCTGAACTTTGGTGTTATCAGTAACCAGCTATGTAACCATGGGTAAGCTACTTGTACTTTATAAGCCTCAGTTATCTTATCTAGAAATGGGAATAATAATGGTTACCTACAACAGAAAATAATCTTGAAAATTAAATGAGCTAATAATATAAAATACTTGGCTCATAGTAAGACCAGAAAATGTAAGCTATTATTACCATTGATTAAACACCTATGTACCAGGTACTTTACATATATTATCTCTAATTCTTTCAAATTCCAGAGCTGGGTATTTTGAACCTCAGTATACCCAGTATCTCAGAAAGCTTAAACAACTTGCCTAAGATTATATGGCTAGTGAATTGTGGATCTGGGATTCGATCCCAGATCTTTCTAGCTAGAAAGCGGTGGCTCTTAACTGGGGGTGATTTTCCCCTCCATCTTATGTTGATGACGGGACAACATCTGGGATATTTTTGGTTGTCACAGTGTGGGAGGGTTTTACTGGCATCTGCTTCTTAGTGGCTGAGTATGCTGCTAAATGTGCTGCAAAGCATGTAACATATTTATCTGCAAAGAATTTTTTGGCCCCAAATGTCAATAGTGCTAAGGTTGAGAGATCTTGTTCTAAAGCCCGACTGGTCTTTTCAATAACATCTGCTGCCTCATTAGAATACAGTGATGCACAATGTTAATATTTTGCTGTTATTTGATACTGCAGTAAATAAAGTTGCTCTTGAAAACGATATATACCAAAAAAGTAATATACACCTTCTGATAGCACAACTGCATTGCTTTGGGGAATTCCTCCCTCACTAGAGGTAATTATGGGGAAACTGCCAGTTACAATGCTCTGACCACCTCTAAGTGCACAGACTGGCATATAAACCTAGCTGGGTCAATCATAGTGTCCATTTCCCTGGCATGGTTTTTGTTTAGTGTGGGGCAAGGTCCTAACAAAGCCAGCCAGAATCTCCTCTGGGATTTGTGTACGAATTTGCACAGAAAGAAGGTCTCGTTTTGCTGGGGTTGCAAAGCTGGAATACTGAGCCCTGGAATGTAAAGAAGCAGACAGCGAAGAACTTAGCAGTAGGAGAGAATGAGGTCAATGCACCTAGTGAAGCACTAAAAATCCTGCACGAGCCTCTGGATTGAGCAATGCTGGACCACCTTCTTAGTTTCATGATGAAAAAATTTCCTACTTTTTGCTTATGTTACTTTGGGTTACATTTCTTTCATTTGTAATCAAAAGAACCCTGAAAAATAGGGCCTGCAAGCTTTCTTGGCATATATATTTATTAAACAATAACTGTGTTTTCACACAGTATTGTTTCCATTTAAAAAACAAGTAGAAGGCACAGAATCTACCCTTGATGAGTCTACATTCTATTTGGGGGTGGGGATAACACTTAAAAATACCAGAATTTTATCTCATTACCTACATAGTGGGTTCTTTGAGAGTGAAAACTGCATTTTCTTTTACTTTATTTCCCTTAAAAAAAAAAGATACCGGACTTCACTCTGTCACCAGGCTGGAGTACAGTGACACATCATCATGGCTCACTGTCACCTGGAACTCTTGGGCTCAAGCCTTCTGAGTAACTGTGACTGTAGGTGTGCGCCACCACACCCAGCTAATTTTTTCTATATTTTGTAGAGACAAGGTCTCGCTATATTCCCCACATTGGTCTGGAACTCCTGGGAAGTGATCTTCCTGCCTCAGCCTCCCAAAGCATTGATTATATGTGTGAGCTACTATGCTTGGCCTACTGAGAACTGGATTTTCTAATTCCCCATCCCCACCCCACATACACATTTGGTCTAATGACTGGCGCATGCTTAACTGCTGAATGGCTAAGCAGATGGTACCTGCTATTATATTTTGTTAGGTCTTTTATGGACTAGTTCTGTGTACTCTTTTTTTCTCATTTCCTTTCCCTAAAGTATAATACCACTGACCTTTGGGAAACTCATTATATTATTCACTAAAACAGATTCTGCAGATTCAGAATTGTTCATTGTAATAAAATATACAACAGTCTGCAGAACGGAGAAACTCATAAAAACAATCTGAAATTTCTTAAACTAATTTAAAATCATAAAACATGGTAACATTCCATTTGATCTGTATGAATAGCCTTGTTAAACTCACCAAATTGTAGTAAAAATATAAAATATTCTCACAGAACATAGTCAAATTTGTATTGTCTATCACATTTTCATTTAAAAGAGGCCTTGCTTGGTAAAAGTCAAATGTAATACTGTATTTTGATCAAATAAATGAGAAATGCAGGACAGATAGGGAATAGCCAGTATTTGGAAAGAGCAGCTGGGAAGTTTTTGATTAAGCTATTTCTGCTTCCAAACAAAATCCTGGTTATAGGATCTGTCACAGTTATGCTGACTTCCAATATGTGAAGCTAAACAGAATTTCAACTCTCTTTACTGCAGCAGCAAAAATATTCACAAGATACATAAAAGATTTTAGCTCCTACTATTTTCCTGTAGTCTTGAATTGATGTGAGGACCTCAAGGTTTGGGTTTTTTTTCACCCCCCAGGCCTCCATCCTCTTTTTTCCCCTTTTCCCAGATTCTTGCTTGAATATTCTTTGGTAATGCACGTCAAGACCATGACAATACAACAGCTTAAACCCTACCTAGTGGAAAAACAATCAAGCTCTGGGTGGAGGAAGAGTTCAGCCTTGTGCTGTGAGCATTGGCAATCCTGAACGAATGAGAATGAGCTTAATGTTGGAACTCTATTCCTGGCTGCAGCATCTTCTCCAGGTTCCAGATAGAGCCTCTGTGGCCAAATGAGGTTTAATAGACAAAAATCACTCTCTAAATGGTCGTCTTGGACACAGATCACCAATATACATGGCCAGAATGGCTGGGCAACCTTTTGGGCAAGATCCAGGAAAAGATGATGGACAACAGGGTTTGGACTGCTTTAGGCTACAATTATTAAGAACAATTTACATGGTGGACTATGTTGAAAACTACACATTTGGGCAAAAGCTGCTCTCCTAAAAAATCTGTCTTGTGGTCTGGCATCTTCATTTGTCCTTCTGCTCTGTGGACATCCTATCTAATTCTTGGCACCTCTGCAGAGATTCAGAAAAGTCCTAAACATCAGAAAAGAATATTATGAATCATTCCTTATTCCATTTGCTGAGAAAAATATAATAAATATTTCTTCAGAGATTATAAAATCATAGCATGTTACTGTTAAAGTGGATATTAAAAATCATCTCACCCCTTTCTTGTACTTATTGAAAGTGAGGCACTTTTAAAGTTAAGTGTCTTTCATGGTTGAGTTATAGTCCACATAACTGTGGCCATGGTTACTAAATGGGTGGTGCCATAATCTGGGGGGCAGGAAAAATCATGGAACTGCTTTTTATATTTATTTGTATCCTCCTATTATAAGAATGATTATTTATGAATGTCTAATTAGAATGATTATTACTTTTATGACCATAAATGACTTTTATGAATATATTTTGCAATATATATATATATTTAAATCAACAACCCAATATCTCTTATCCTCTTCTCTTGCTTTTTTCCCCCATAGCAGTGATTATCATGTTATATACTATGTCTCTTATCGATTTTGTTTATAGTCTATCTCCCTCCCATTAGAAAGTAAGCTCCATGAGGGCAAGAAACCACTGGCCCTACGTGAGGAGCTACATGGACTGTAAACAAAACCACCATGAAAGATACAATTATTCCTCTTCTCCTTGCCCATGACCTAGTCTAGAAGTTTATTGGAATTATTTTCTAAGAGCATTAATAAGTCACCACTATGAGAGTTTAAGGAAATATGTCACTTCTCTATGCCTCAGTTTCATGACCAATAAAGGGATTGGCCTAGATAATCTTTACAGTCCCTTCCAAATGTAATATGTGTTCTCTGGTGAAAGCCTAGTTCCTAGAATGGAGAAGGCATTCACTAAATAGTTTTAAATGAATATATTAGTACAGTAGTACTTGTATATAATCTGCAAATAAATATACATATGCCATCTATGGATGCTCAAGAACTTCTTACTGATACCAGTATATTAGTAAAGTTTTGGGCCCTCTGATTTAAGTCTGCTGGGAACTGGTTAAGACAAGAACCAAATAGAATACCAATTAGGGAGGGTACTTGAAGACTCTTCTGTGCAGTGAAGACTATAACTCATCTGGAGGAGAAGGACTTTTTATTCTGGGCATTTGCTTGAATGGCCTATTTTGGTTGTGTTAAAATAGGACAAGCAGGCAAGCATTATCTTGAGTTTAGGGCAGAAGAGGAATTATGGTGACTGAAACCAGGGCTTTTACTACCTAAGGTAACTGGTTAAAACAAACAAACAAACAAAATCCCCAAATATGGGTTCCTTTTGAAAGTGAAGGAACAAATTTATGCCTCTGGAATTCAGTTTTAGGAAAAACTGGAAAAGCAGCCAGGAACTGCCCCAAACAAAGCCCAATGGCAGGGAAGAGCAAAGGAGTCCTTCAAATATGATTCCCTGATGAATAGCAGACTGTAGGCAAATGGCCCAGATCCAAAAAGTCTAAGTGTTGCGGGGGTGGAGCAAAGGTTGCTGGTTATGATGCACTTTGTCCTTAAGGCCAAATGCTCTGTAGGGCCCAGCCACACTGGCTTTGCAGTTTGATGTTGTGCTTTGGAGAACAATGACTGAGCAGTGTGTTTGGCCTCAAACCTGCTGCTACGTTAACTTCTGGACCTAGCATTTTCCACAGAGTCAGTAGACACCCACAGTACTAAGGAGTCAGCTTCAAAAGCAGTACTGTATGGCAGGGAGAAACACTAGCCATGGCCAGCCAACCAAAATCCAATCTTATCTATGCCTGACATTAGAAAAGGATAAATTTTCTCTGTGATTAAGTCCTTAAGATACTTGGACAACTTGAGATTGGGATAGTATGAGGTGTGGAGGTGTGTGTGGGTTGCTTAAGTTGTGTTAAAACTGGCAAAAATAAATGAGATGTGGCAATAGTGTTTAGGGATTATCTATAGTTACGTAGCCTTTGTTTTCACCTATGAACATTCAGAATCACATTATAGGTGATTTCTTATTACCATTGTATCAGAAACCATCTTATAGTTTGAGAAGAACAGGTGAGTAGACAAAGCCTGAATTTCGAGATGAGGAAGTGGGAACTTAAAATATAATGTCAGCTCTGACAGCACACTTATTTGCATTGTCAGAGTATCTGCATCTTCTGAATACTGTCTCTATCACTGTGGATAGGTCACAGGGGTTCAATGTGTGAATTCTCCTGTTCTATAATATTATAGTATCAACCACCAAGGTAGTTTTATAGATAAAATAGAAACAAAACAGTTTGCATTAGGGGTCATGCATATCAAAAGAACCGTACTAGATGGCACATATTGATAATGCATTGCCTGAAAGCATTCACTTTTTTCCCTCTAAGTGATATCTAGTCTAAATTGATTTGCTCTTTACAGTGCTGCATTGAATTGCCCTAAGGAAGAAACGAAAAGTAAACATTACTCTTTCTTTTGTCTTACTTGTAGGTCAAGGCTATTGCACAAACACAGTCAGACTTCATTAGAACAAGCATGGAAATCTGAGATGTAACATGTGCATCAGGCACTCACATGGCACAGCCTGGCAGCTGTCCCTGAGGACATCAAATACAGCTCAGAGTGAAAGGTTACTCAGCTTCTCAAACTCAGCCATAGACCATGAGAAGTTCTCAGGAAGATAAAGGCCAATCTGAGTGAGGACAAAAGGCATAATTCCCCCTCAAGCTAATGTGTTTACATTCACAAAATGGCAGTTTAACTATCGGTAGCACTTACATCTTGGTTAGACATTTCCCAATAAGGTCTCTCTCCATAGGACATGACCTCCCACATGACAATGCCATAGCTCCATGCATCGCTTGCTGAGGAGAATTTTCTGTAGGCGATGGCTTCTGGGGCTGTCCACCTTATGGGGATTTTTCCACCCTGGAAAACAAATTGGAGATTTCTTAGCTGGCTTATCGTTGTATTAAAAACAAAATGGTATTCCAATTAAATATTTTTTATTAGAAAGATCTAAATACTTCATAATAGCACTGGCATTTTAAATTAAAATCAAAAGAAAGCCAGAATAATGTTAAAATGTCAGAAACATTTCCTATAATTATTCAGTAAAAATAGCTTTAATGGGAAATAAGTCACACTTCAGAAATATTTTATTTCATTCATTAGAGAAATTTATTTTTACTTTAGATTCACACAATTAACCCCTCTATAATGCCATTTGAAGAAAGTTCCAGATTATAGGACATTAAAACTAAATATCGTTCAACACTCATTAAACATTGTATTGCATTTATAAATAATAATGAGAATAATCTCTAACTTAATTGAAGACAAGTGCTTAAATACAGAACGGAAACATTCTCTACCAATTCAATACTTACCAGAATTTTATTTGTTCCCTTTGTTTGCTTTACATCTGCTATGATTACATTTATTTTATATGAAAACATTCTTAACCAGTATATAAGCGCACCTTGAAAGGATAATCTTTCTTTCAAAAACTTTAATATAGTTTATATTTTTATTCTTCAATTTCAACTTAACATTTTAACATATTAAAGGAATTAAATTGTATGAATTTAAAGGTTCAAGAATTAAAGTCTGCCATTGTATTACACTTAAATTTTATTAACATTTATTACCTTTTATCTCTTGAAACACTCTATAAATCCCTTTTTACTGTAATGACAAGAATAAAACAATTCATCCATTTGATTTACAATTTTAAAATCCCTGCAGCTCCAAAGTGCGAGTTGAAGGGACGAAAGCAGCCCTAGCGCCACTAGATGGCGGAAGAGAACAATGAGCGGCTCCCAGATTGCTGTCTTAAACCGTGGAGGTGGCTTAGGTTCATAACAAAAATTATTTTTGACAGTCAGAGCTCACCACAAAGGGATTGTTTCAACATTGTCCATGATCATGATCACATAATCTGATCACCCACTGTGTGCAAAGCCTGGTGCAAGTAGGGGTGGAAAGAAAAGTGTGTTCTTTGGCCCTTAAGGAATTTAAGTTAAATATCTTTAAAGGTGAAACTATTAATTGAGTAATCTAAACACTACTTACCGCGGCGGGGGGGGTGGGGGGGGGGGTGGGGGGGGCGGGAACGGATTCATCCAAAATGGGAACAATTTAGGTTTTACAAGGCAAATGAGAGCATTAATGGAACACTCATTTCAAAGACTAGTAGCATGGAATTGTTAGAAGAAACCTTGGGGAAAACACCTTGAATCCACTCCCTTGATTTTATAAGTGAGCAAACTGAGCCCAGGGCTTGGAAATTTCAAGGTTTAGAAATTTCTCACCATATTATTGAGTACCTTATGTATATTAATGCTGTCATATGATGTAAAGATGTAATACTTAAGCACAGGGATTCTGTAACCACATATCAAAGCAGCCCAATAGAAGGAAGCCTGAAGCCCGAGGTTTTCATGCATTGGGGCAGAGGTTAAAGGCAGCACCAAATTAAGACTAGGGAATTAAATTTACAAAGTTGGTGACAGTAGCTTAAGAGTGTTGGGGGGCAGGGAGTTGCAAGGGGAGAAAATTCATTCTTGAACCCAAAGTAGGGTAGCCAGATAAAATAAGGGACTCATGGTTAAATTTGTATTTCAGATAAATAACAAATAATTTTTCATTATAAGTATGTTCCACAAGGGAATTTTTTGGTATAAGTACATCCCAAATATTATATGAGACATATTTATACTTAAAAAAAACCAAATCATTGTTTATCTGCAATTCAAACTTAACTGGGCACTCTATATTTTTATTTACTAAATCTATCTACCCTAATCCAAAGCACTAAAAAAATTCAGAAATGAGAACACTGCAAGTGATCCAATTGGACATAAAGTCATGTTCTAAAAAATGGGTGTGATCTTCACAAGGGGGTAAGGATACCTCTACTTGTATTTGTGCACCAATACTAGAGTATTCTTGTTTTATTGTATGTTTGTGACTAAAGTGCCTCAGTCTTGTGGCTCTGCATATTGAGCTATTTAAGTAAGATTCAGGTTTGTTTCCAATATGGAAGCCACATTTCCAGAGAACAAAGTCCAAATTTGTCAATTTGACCCGAGAACATATACAAGGGCAAGGGCAGCAGTCCCATCTGGCATTTCTCATGCTGGATCTTTCTTTGTTCCAGAAAACAATATGTAAGAGTGTGACTTGCTAGCCTGCCTGGCTGTTCCTTTGCTAAATCTTTGTGGGTTCTATTAAGATAGGTCAAAAAGCAGAGTTAATGGTTATTTTATGTTCATTTACTCATTCACCTATAAATGATATTTCATATAAATTATTCACATATAAATTTATATTTTGAATAATTTGATATCACATATAAGTGACAACGTTATCACTTTCCTTCATACGGTTTTATTTTTTTCTGTAAGGGGAAGGTATTACAGAATATTTGATTAATGGCATTGCTCCCTGTTATGAACTCAATTGTGTTCCCCTAAAATTCATACATTGAAGCCTTAACCCCCACTGTGACTATATTTTGAGATAGGGTCTTTAAAGAAGTAATTAAGGTCAAATAAAATTATAAGGGTATGGCCCTCATCTAATATGACTTTGTTCTTTCCTTATAAGAAGATGAAAAGGTATCAGAGGCATGCAGGCACAGAGAAAAAGCCATTTGAGGCCATCCTCAAGAAGAAGCCATCTGTAAGCCACAGAGTGGGGCCTTAGGAGAAGCCAAGCTGTCAGCACCTTGATCTTGGACTTCCAGCCTCTAGAACTGTGAGAAATAAATTCCTATTGTTTAAACCACCCAGTCTGTGGTGTTTTGTTATGGCAGCCCTAGCAGACTAATACACTACCACTATAAAATTTTTTTTTTCAAAACACTTTGTTAAAATGAACAACATTACAAAATGGACAGTGCAACTTTATTTCCAATTTTATTTCAACTGTTGTCTTTTTTTTTTTTTTTTTTTGAGATGGAGTTTCACTCTTGTTGCCCAGGCTGGAGTGCAATGGCGCGATCCTGGCTCACAGCAACTTCTGCCTCCTGGGTTCAAGAAATTCTCCTGCCTCAGCCTCCCGAGTAGCTGGGATTACAGTCACCTGCCACCACGCCCAGCTAATTTTTTTGTATTTTAGTAGAGACAGGGTTTCACCATGTCGGCCAGGCTGACCAACATGGTGATGGTCCATATTGAACTCCTGACCTCAAGTGATCCACCCACCTTGGCCTCCCAAAGTGCTGGGATTACAGGCCCACCACACCTGGCCAACAACTGCTGTCTTTAAATGGAAAGTATGAACTGGAATAAATCTTAAAATAAAACAAGAAAAAATGGGACATAAGTTTAATGTAGGAAATAGAATTTGAATTAACAAAATGCATGATAATATGAACCTGATGGTATGCACAAACTGGAATAATTCTGAGCATACATGGAATAGGGATAGGGAAGCAGTCACATCTTTTGTTCCAATGGGAGGATATATACGGGATACAGTTTATATCTAATTGCAAGATGAGGCAGAAAGGAAGAAGTCCTTCAGGCACTGCATAGTCTCCGTTCCTTACATTAGAGGAAACACAGAAGCACCTGGGTCTTTTCTTTTTTTTTTTTTTTTTTTTTTTTGAGACGGAGTCTCGCTCTGTCGCCCGGGCCGGACTGCGGACTGCAGTGGCGCAATCTCGGCTCACTGCAAGCTCCGCTTCCCGGGTTCACGCCATTCTCCTGCCTCAGCCTCCCGAGTAGCTGGGACTACAGGCGCCCGCCACCGCGCCCGGCTAATTTTTTGTATTTTTAGTAGAGACGGGGTTTCACCTTGTTAGCCAGGATGGTCTCGATCTCCTGACCTCATGATCCACCCGCCTCGGCCTCCCAAAGTGCTGGGATTACAGGCGTGAGCCACCGCGCCCGGCCCATCTTTTCTTTTTCCTTTTTTAATTGAATGGATCAACTTAAACTTTTGTGGCTTGATCTCATCTACATATTTTTGCCCATGATCTTGAATCATATACAGAGGTAATGCACTAAGGTACTTTTTTTCTTAAAGCATTAACCACCAGATGTTTGCTTCAGGTTTCGGGAATGAACAAATAGTACTTTAGATTTGAAATCACAATTATTGGAACATTACATGTTGCTTTACCATATGTTTATGAGAGAGAAAAAAATTACCAAAGATGCTAATCAAAGTGACTGAATGTAACTCAAATGGCTTCTCATTTACTAATACTTCTCTTACAGAGCAAACTTAATAACTTAGGGAACAAAAGAAAAACAGGAAATAAGTAAACTGGAGGGGTACTAAAATGTTTATTAGTAAAACTTTTGTGTTTTTGTTTTCCAAGTCATATTCAGAGATTGTTGTCTGATAAATAGGTAGGTAGTTGTAGCTGAAAAAGTGCTAATGAGGGAACAAGAAGTACTGTATATTTGTGTATCTTTGTCTGCCCTATATCCCCAGAGTGGAGTTGTATTATAGGTGCATTTAACACCTGAGTATTACTATATAAGCCTCTAATCTGCAGAGGAGAGACCAATCAATTGAAATGTAGTAAGGATACAGAGGCTTAATACTGGAACCAAATGGAAAAATTCTGTAGAGAAGCAAGAACACTTAAAATGTCTCTCTCTGTTTCTCATTTACTAGATTTGATGGTTATCTTGAAGGTGAACGGTTTGAATAGACAGTAATCTGTCTGTAGACTTTTGCTCTGTTCTCAATCTATCTCTATAGTACTCAATTAATGAGTATATATTATACTAAAGCATAATTTAAAAAATCCTTAAGAGCAATTTTGACTAAACAATATTTTTCTTTCTGAAATACAAATTGTAAGATGCAACTTTACTATAGTTCACTGTGTGACCTTGGGCAAGGCTTAATCCTCGGAGTCTTAGATTTCAGAACTGCAAAATGAAGGGATTTGAATTAATGACCATAAAATAGTAAACTATAATGAGTTTTGACATTTGCCCACAATTTCTCAGCTCTCATTAAATTGTAAAGAGATAGGCCATACGAGTGGGTACCAAGACCGTGTGAGCAGACAGCCTGATGGCAGACAGAAAAGGAGGCAAGCACACTTTAGGTTACATCCCTGGCCAATAATTCATGGTTACAGTGGTGATCGTGAGTGGTAAGCAAGAGGGAAAGTAACTTAAACACTTTGTTTAAGAAGACAACAGCATGAATAATATATATTGGAAAGGTTTGAAACCAAGGTTTGACTTTTTCTTTCTTTTTATTTTTTAACTCTTAATGGGTAACCATTGGTTATTTGGAAAGCTTATCATATGGAGTCTTACTGATGTCAGACAAAGAAGGCATTAATGTGCTTACTGGAGGATGACTTTAAGTTATAATTTCTTGTTGGTGGGATTATGTGTGGCAGAGGTGGTCTCGTTTCAGCAGCTTTTGTGGAGAGGTCAGCATTCTGGGGCCTTCTGCCTTAATTCACTATGGTGTCCCAAAAAGTCACAGCAAGTCACAGAATGATCTCAAATTCACTAGTTAGAACAGACAACCCTAACTAGGGGGATAGTCCTCTTACTCTTGAGAATCACTGATCTTGAGAAAGAAATCCATCTCTCGTGCATCACTTCCTAGTTTGTATTCCCAAATCAACAAATTATTTTATAGTGTAAAACGATATTATATTGTGCATGTGTTTTAAAACTATGTGCCCAGCCTCTTTCAGAGAGGCATGTGTATTCCTCCTTTATTGAGATTTACAAATTTAGGGAAACTTTGGTACTCTGGAAAGTTTTGTCCTTTTCTGAAATATGGAAATAATATCTGTCTTTACTTGAAGAAAGTTTGAAGGCTAATAGTGGAATGAATTCATTTATAGCTACAAAGGAGAAACTTCTCATATTTTGGCTTCTAGATAACATTTGTTAAGTGGATTAAATGAGATGGTACACATAAAGCACCTCTTAGCAGCCAGCACCCAGTGTACACTCAGTAAATGTTATCTGTTTCCTTAATTATGTATCCAAAGTTTGTCTTTTTTTGGACTCATTTGGCTTCCAGCCCAGATCAGCATCTCAATTCCTTCATGTGGAATCACTGAACTCACCCCTACCATGCCCAGGCTTAGGGATGATCTTCTCAAACAGCAGATTTTAGGAGTCAGAGGTGCAAAGTCAATTCTGCTGATGGACAGTCTCTGACACAGTTCTAGTAATTTAGACCTTGTCTTGCCCAGTTCAAGGAAATCTGTGTGTCTTGGTCCAGTGAGTTTAGTCCCATGCTTAAACCCCTGCCATTGTCCTCCCAGTGCCCTTCCAAGACTGGAGACAAATTGCATTCATCTTAATATTTCACAGGTAGAATTCTGTCATCATATAATATCATTTATGGTTGAGTGCTGGCAGGCCAGACTTCTGTCTGCAGCTTGACCAGCCTGATAAGGATTGTGTCTGGATTGCTTGCTTTTCCTGTGTGTTTCTATTCTCTTTCTGAGGTCATGGCACACTAGGTAAGCTATGAAACGCTTGTCCTTGAAATACACATGTAGACACAGTCATATGTGTACAGACATGCATGCATGCACATGGGATTGTGCAGGGGCACACAATTTCGTATCAATGTCTCAAGATTCACAGATGCCAGATTAAAAACACTCTTACCCTAAGCAAAAGAACCTTTTTTTGGCACAGTATTTTTAAAATATTGGTTCTTAATAACCAATTTTTATAAGCTGATAAGCACTGCAGAAATCGATGGTAAACAGCATTGTTTTAGGTAACAAACATATGAAACTAAATTTTTAAAAAATCTTATATGAGATTTTTTCTCCCTTGTTTGAGGTTTTCATTATGTGTGCTGAGGATCTTCATGAGGGTGTTCACTGAGGTCTCAGGGTTTTATATTTCATGAACCCAGAGCTCACCAACTATTGGTCCTTGGGTTGAAAAAGGTCTGAATTTAGGCTTTTCATGGCTAAGTTATTTTTATTTTGTTTCCTTAAACTGAAACTAAATGTCTTTAGACAGGGCATGGGCTCTCTAGAGCGTCTGCTCCACCCTCTCACCAAGTCTTTCATCAGACACACTTGACCTATTTCCATTATCTTCCTGGCCCTGTCGGTGTTGCTGCCCTATCCCTCCCCCACCCTAACTCTAAGCCTACGCTTCCATCTGATTATGAAATACACAATTATCTCCTTTTGAAATTTGTTTTACAGTGTATTTTTCATAGAGAATAGGGGCAGATGAGAAACAATTTCAAATAAACATGAATAGCTAAATCATCAGCTTTGTTTTCTACTTGCTAAAAAAATTCTTAACTATGGAAAGACTCTCCTCCTCCTCTCCTCATTTGCAATACTTAGAACTACACTACATTTTTATTCATTGTTTAAATGTATAAGCAGCTCAGTGAATGCTAATTTTTTGTTGTTCCTGTAATAAAACACTGCTTATCGTGCTATTCAAACCCTGAAGAATTAGGATCCTTTTCACCTGCTTCCTCTTAAATTGCTCCTGAAAATAATTCATTGCCATCTATTTCTCAGTATTCTCTTTCACTGAGAACATAGGTGCTACATCATTAAGTGAGTAACACTATTCTGGGGGACATCTGTAAAAGTGGATTTTCTATTTCATCCTATAAGGTAGATAATGTAGGACACAATGCTACTTTAGTGTGGGAGAATAAATATGTACTTTATTATGAGAACTGCCATTGTATCTGAGTTTAGATAACTTAAACACTACTGACAGTACAGGCAATTTTTTCAAAACAACCTATCACTTCTTATGGTTTTGAAAACATACTGCATGGTAAAGACTCAGGGGGATAGCTGATAATATGTTAAAATGAGTTAAGAAATACTATTCCCACTCTTATCTGGATAGCAGTACTCTTCTCTAACATCTCTCTTGAGGTATTCTCTCTCTCACTTTTTTAAACCCAGCTGTACAGAAGACTACCTACCCCAGCCTACCCTCCCCAGTGTATTTTAAATAATGATTTTTAAAGTTTCTTATTTGTAGTATTTATTGCAAAGAACTATGGAAATTAACACAAAAGTAATGGATTTTATTTTTAAAAAATGTACAACATAAATCATAAAGGGGAGTGAAAGATTAATTATTCCAGGCCATTGGCAATTGTTAATATTGAGATATTTAATACATTAAATTTTTAATGAAAATATAACTCTTCAGATATATAACATTTGACAGTTTTATAAAGCATTTTTATATCAGTGGTATCAATTTGATGTGTAACATTAAAGAGTGGGTACTTTGCTTTCTTATCAGGTTGCACTGTGAGAATAATACTAATACAAAGCAATGATTAATCCCTGTAGCATCTGTGATGATTAATTTTATGTGTCAACTTGACTGGCCTGAGGGATGACCAGATAGCTGGTAAAACATTATTTCTAGTGTGGTTGTGAGAGTGTTTCTGGAGGAAAACATTAGCATTTGAATCAGTAGATTAAGTACAGAAGCTTTCCTTGAGGACAGGTATCATCCAATCTACTGAGGGCCCAGATAGAACAAAAGAGTGGAGGAAGAGTGAGTTTGCTTTCTCTTCTGGAGCTGGGACATCCATCTTCTGCTGCTCTTGAACATCAGAACTCTAGGTTCTTAGACCTTTGGACTTTGGGACCTATACAAGTTCTCCCCTGCCCCTGCCCTTTTCTTAGCCTTTGGGTTAAAACTGCATTATATCATCATCTTTCCTGGTTCTCCAGCTTGCAGATGGCGTATCCTGGGACTTTTCAGCCTCCATAATCACGGGAATGAATTCCCATAATTATATATATATATATATATCCTAATGGTTCTGTTTCTCTGGAGAATCCTGACTGTATTAGTCCATTTTCTTGCTTCTGATAAAGACATACCCGAGACTGGGCAATTTACAAAAGAAAGAGGTTTAGTGGACTCATGGTTCCACATGGCTGGGGAGGCCTCACAATCATGGTGGAAGGCAAGGAGGAGCAAGTTACGTCTTACATGGATGGCAGCAGCTAAAGAGACAGAGAGAGAGCTTGTGAAGGGAAACTCCCATTTTTAAAACCATCAGATCTTGTGAAGCCAATTCACCATCACAAGAACAGCACGGGAAAGACTTACTCCCACGATTCAACCACCTCCCACCAGCTCCCTCCCACAACACGTGGGAATTCAAGATGAAATTTGGGTGGAGACACAGCCAAACCATATCGCTGACTGATACACCATCTATCTCTATCCATGGTTGGATGATAATTATTTGAGGAAAAGATTTAGATCCTGTCATTAGGAAAATAAATTACATAAAGTGAAGCATACCTATATTTATACTAGTAGTATTTGCAAACTCTGCTTAAAAACAAATATCCAAAAAGAATGGAAAACTTGAATAGTACTCCAAAGTATACACAAGGGTGATTCTCATAAATCCTGGGGTGCTTGTTTTGGACAAGCAGCATGCAATGTAGAGAGACAAAACAACAGTAGAGCTGAATCCTGGCTTCTTGGCCCTCTTTCTTCTCTAATCTGTTTTGTGATCTTAGGCAAGTTACAGATTTTTCTGTAAATAGAGGGAACTGGACTTGTATCTTGTAGTTCATATGAAGGTCTAATATTCTATGATTTTTTAATATATGTAATACCCCAGTGAATTAAAACAGAGGGAACAACCTTCACTTCTGTCTAAGGAAACAGACAGGAAGTGTTAGTGCAGAGCTCAGTTGCTTCCTGTGCCATTGTTATGCCCACAGGCTCTTTATACATTAAGTTAGACTGTTCCTGACAGATCCACAGTGCTTGGAACATATCTGAGCAGCAGGTCTTCTTTTGCAGCTATTGCATGTAGTGTTGTGATATATTGGTTTAGAATGGAACAGTGACCTTAAATTACCATTGTCAGAAAGGCTAGCTCTGACTATCATCTGAGGAGGAGAGAAAAGATGAAGAATGACATCTTTAGAGGCAGTCTGTTTGGGGTCAGCTACTCAGTCAGAAGTACACTCAATAGGAAAGAGGGCACAGTCATCTGAAAGACTGAAGAACATCACTCTAGGGAAAGGATGGGGCTGAAGGGCTCACCCCCAAAGGTGGAGAAGAACTTGGAAAAATGTCTGGAAGTACCTAGAGCTGGAAATACCAAAATATGTTTAATACAAATAAATCTATTTTAAAGGTAGACTTTCGCTGAAAGAATTATTAAAATGCTCATATTTTCTGTATTAGTCTGTTTTCACATTGCTATAAAGAACTACTTCAGACTGGGTAATTTATAAACAAAAGGGGTTGAATTGACTCACAGTTCCACATGGCTGGAAAGGCCTCAGGAAACTTAACAATTATAGCGGTAGGTGAGGGGGAAGCAAGGCATGTCTTACATGGTGGCAGAAGAGAGTAAGAGTGAGGGAGCATCTGCCAAATACTTTTAAACCATCATATTTCATGAGAACTCACTATCACAAGAAGTGAAGCATGGGGGGAGACTGCCCCCAAGATCCAATCACCTCCCACCAAATCCCTCCCTTGACATGTGGGGATTACAATTTGAGATGAAATTCATATGTGGACACAGAGCCAAACCATATCAATCCACCCTGGCCCCTCCCAAATCTCATGTCCTTTTCACATTTCAAAAGCAACCATGCCTTCCCAATAGTCACTCGAAGTTGTAACTCATTCCAGCATTAACTGAAAAGTCCAAATCCAAAGTCTCATCTGGGACAGCAAGTCCCTTCCACCTATGAACCTATAAAATCAAAAACAAGCTAGTTACTTCCAAGATACAATGGAGGTACAGGCATTGAGTAAATCTTCCAGTTCTGAATGGGAGAAATTAGCCAAAACAAAGGGGCCACAGGCCCCATGCAAGTCTGAAACCCAACAGGGCAGTCATTAAATTTAAAGTTCCAAAATAATCTCCTTTGACTCCATGTCTCACATCCAGGCCACACTGATGCAAGAAGTGGGCTCCCAAGGCCTTTGGCAGCTCTGCCCCTGTGACTCTGCAGGGTACAGCCCCATTGGCTGCTTTCACAGGCTGGCGTTGAGTGCCTGTGGCTTTTTTTTTTTTTTTTTGACTTGCATGGGGCCAGGTGTATGTAACACTCTGGGGTCTTGAGGATAGTGTCCCTCTTCTCACAGCTCCACCAGGCAGTGCCCCAGTAGGGACTATGGGTGGGGGCTCCAACCCCACATTTTCCCTCTACATTGCACTAGTAGAGGTTCTCCATGAAGGCTCTGCTCCTGCAACAGACTTCTGCCTGGACATCCAGGCATTTCCATACGTCCTCTGAAATCTAGGTAGATGCCCCCAAAGCTCAATTCTTGTCTTCTGCACACCTGCAGGCCCAATATCACATGGAAGCCACCAAGGCCTGACGCTTGCACCCTCTGAAGCAATGGCCCGAGCTGTACCTTGGCCTCTTTTAGCCATGACTGGAGCTGGCACAGCTGGGACACTGGGCACCAAGTCCTCAGGCTGTACAGAGCAGTGGGGCCCTGGGCCCAGCCAATGAAACCACTTTTCACTCCTAGGCCTCCAGGCCTGTGTTGGGAAGAACTGCCATGAAGATCTCTGAAATGCCCTGGAGACATTTTCCCCATTGTCTTGGCGATTAACATTTGACCTCTCTTTACTTAAGCACATTTCTGCAGCTGGTAGCTTGAATTTCTTCCCCCAAAATGGGATTTTCTTTTCTACCAAAAGGTCAGGCTTCAAATTTTCCAAACTTTTACACTCTGCTTCCCTTTTAAACATAAGTTCCAATTTCAGACCATCTCTTTGTGTACACATATAACTGTATTTGTTCAGAAAAAGCCAGGTCACATCTTTAATTCTCTGCTGCTTAGAAATTTCTTCTGCCAGGTACCCTAAATCATCTCTCTCAAGTTCAAAGTTTCACAGATCTCTAGGGTAGGGGCAAAATGTCAGTGGTCTCTTTGCTAAAACATAGCAAGTGACTTCAGTTCCCAATAAGTTCCTCATCTCCATCTGAGACCACCTAAGCTTGGATATCATTGTCCATATCACTATCAGCATTTTGGTCAAAACCATTCAACAAGTCTTGAGGAAGTTCCAAACTTTCCCACATCTTTCTGTCTCCTTCTGAGCCCTCCAAAATGTTCCAACCTCTGCCCATTATTCAGTTCCAAAGTTGCTTTCACATTTTTAGGTATCTTTATAGCAGTACCCCACTCTTGGCACCAATTTTCTGTATTAGTCCATTTTCATTCTGCTATAAAGAACTACCTCAGACTGGGTAAAAACAAAAGAGGTTTAATTGACTTACAGTTCTACATGGCTGAGGAGGCCTCAGGCAACTTACAATCATGGCAGAAGGAGAAGAGAAAGCAAGGCACATCTTACATGGTGGCAGGAGAGAGAGAGAGGAACTGCCAAACACTTTTAAACCATCAGATCTCATGAGAACTCACTCACTATCATGAGAACAACATGGGGGAAACTGGTCCCATGATCCAATCACCTCCCACCAGGTCCCTCCCTCGACGTGTGGGGATAACAATTGGAGGTGGATTTGGGTGGGGACATATAGCCAAATCATATTATATTTTAAGTAGGTTTTAAAGCTGGGGTAAATTGATTAAAAAATGGAAGACAGTCTACTCATCCTCAGGTTCATAGTTGAGAAAATTTATACAAACCTTTATTCTTCATTCCATTATTCCAACACAATATGCTGTATTTTCAACTTTTCTCATTTCTAAAACCAATGGAACTTTCAGATCCTTACTGGTTTATGATCAAAGTGATTATTCCTCTTATGCCTGCCTATAACACTTACTGTCTGCCTCACTCATTTTGCACCTAGCATCATGTAACCTCTACGTACTATTATTTGAATTTTTAAAAGGTGAATGTACTGTCCTCCCAGAAAGTTTATAAGAGTTTTGGAGGATCTTTCATTCTTCTTTTTACTAAATGCTACTTCACAGTATTTAGTATGGTGCTATGATTATAATGTAAATTTATTGATTATTTGCTGGGAGGATGACTTGGGATGAATTAGGAAAGTGGTGTAAAATGAAAGGCACAGTCTCAGAACTATACTATATAAGTAGAAATCACATTTTGACTTTCAGTTCCTTTTTAGTCATCATTATGACTTTGATTAATGATAAGGAAAAAAAGAAAGCAGGGATTTCTCAGTCTAAATTTTCAATTTAAAAAGGGTACCACTAGAGAGGCACTGAAGGTCACTGGTGGCATTCATTCATTCATTCCCTTAGTCTTGAGTTTCTTGAACACATCTCACATGCCAGGTGCTAGAGTCACAAGGAAGACATGCTTCTTGTCCTCAGGGAGCTCATGTTACAGTAAGAGAAACATTGATGTAAATAAATAAATAAATAATAACAGCACAGAGGGTAAGGGGTCTAACAGAAGTTTGTACCAGATTCAATTGGCAGCAAAAAAAAAAAAACAACAAAACAAAGGAGGGATCAGTTCTTTGGGATGGCTGTGTGAGGAGGCAAAAACCTTCAGAATAGAGGTAATCTTTTAGGTAGAGCTGACAAGAAAAGTCAGAATTTGACTAGTAAGACAAAAAGACTAGGACACCCCTTCAGAGAAAACAAAGTTCACAGTAAGAGGCACAGAAGGGCGACACAGCGTCTCATGTCCAAGAAATTGCAAGTTGTCTGAAATTGCTGCCACTAAGAGTCTAAGAAAAACTGATGATTGTGAAGTTGGAGACAGCAGCAATAGCCATGACAGCGAAGACTTGGTTAGACAACTGGAATAGCAGGCAGTGAGATTTCACAATGTTACCATCACTAGAAACGCATTCCTACAAAACAGAATTTTATAATTTGGGTTGCATCTGTCACTTTTTTATGTGCAAAATTATACAAAATTTGGTTTGATTTCTTTTTTGTTTGTTATTGTCCTTTGTTTGTTGTGGCTTAAAGATTTGTATCTTGTGATCCAAAGTGGTGTAAATGAGTGTTTTTTTTCCTAAAATAAAAGGATGACAGGGATCCTAAATCTCTCTTTTGACCTTTTGCACTAAATGTCTCATAAAAAGAATAAAATCACTTTAAATCTGGCAGAATCAACTACAGTAAATGTGTGCAATCATGCATCATACCAAGCAGGTTGAAAGGTCTAATTTTACTTGCATAATATATTCACTGTTTTATAGCAGATTTTTCCAGTGAATACATTTTGGCAAAGCAATGCCTTTTTAAACAAGCTTCCAGCTTGTTTTGCTCAGGTTTAAGTATATCATTTGGGTTCTGAAGCCTTGTTCATTGTGGACAGCAGATGGCTCTTGGAGGACATCACTGGAGCACTGCGTGGCATAACATGACAGAATCTGGATGTACTTGGCTGCAAGTAGAAAGAAGCGACAAATAATTTATATCATCTTCAAATGATATCACAAGCCAGTGGCAAAAGATGATTTAAAATAAAAGAGGGCTTATCCAATTGTGGAGTGAGGTCTTTTAAAAGGTCAATCCAGATTTCTAAGAGCCCTTTCCATTTTTATCTTGAATGTCTCTTGGCTTTTTCTTATTTTAATCTATACGCTTCTTGATCTGTTCTTTTTCTTTTGTTCTCTACTGTCCTGTTTTCTTTCACTCAGTTCTTGCTGCCAAATATTCAGTGTGTGTACAGATTATAAATTCCCTGAGGCAGAGACTGTTTGCTTGGTTCTTTGATGTTTTCTCAGTGCTTAGAAATGAGCCCAAGCATAATAAGTGCTCAATTAATATTGGTTAAATGAATGTTAGAGATGTAGTGTACAATCACAACAGTGCTAATCATGTAACAGGTTTTTCTAAATGATGCCATGAGATGTGAGAGGCGCCATGAAATGTGAGAGGCGCCATGATAGTGGAGAGTCAGGAGAGCCTTCCAGAGAAAATGAAGACTAGGCTGGAACCTTATGAAAGATGAATAGAGTTAGATGAATGAAAGAGGTGTGAGAGAGGAGGGGATGGGAAATGTGGGAGGGAAGACTAATCCAGGTAGAGAGGAGAATGTAAGATTTAGAGATACTGAGAGAAGTTGAGTTCAATTGGAGAAAAGAGGTGAGATAAAGGAGGGGGAGAGATGAGGCTAGAGAAGTAAGCAGGGGAGAGATCATGAAGAGATTCCTTGGGCATTAAATACATTTGGACCTTCTTTTGTGGCAATGGAACACCATTGAAAGGCTTTAAGCAAGGGGATGATAAAATTTTCATTTTTGTTTGGTTTTGTTATTTTTATTTTACATCACTTTGGCTGCTCTGTGGATTGCTGAAGGGGAAATAGAAGGAAAATAGGAGAGTAGATAAGAAAATCTTGCCATGTCTAGAAAGTTAGTAACATTACTTCATAATTCTGTAATATTCACATGACACCACATTTTTATACATTAAATATATCTATTTCAGTCATGATTTAATATTTCCCATATTACAGATAAAAACGGGATGCCATTTACTCTGCTTTAAATAATCTAAATAGAGAGTCAAAGTTAGTCATGTAAAAATTACAAGGAACATAATAAAAAAATTTAGAAAAATTGTCTTTTTGAAGACCATCACATACTATAGAAGCACCATTTACATTCACTTTAAATTTATGTATTAGGGAAAATACTCTGTATCAGTCAAGTTCTTCAGAGAAAGAGAACCAATAGGATATGGACAGATATATGAGGATATTTATTATGAGAAATGGCTCACATAATTATGGAGGCCTAGAAGTCCCATGATAGGTCATCGGCAAGAGGGAAAACCAGGAAAGCTGATGGTACAATTCAGTCAGAGTTTGAAGGCCTGAGAATCAGGAGCTCTGTTGTCTGAGGAGGAAAAGATGGATATCCCAGGTCCAGAAGAGAAAGAGAATTCACCGTTCCTCTGCCTTTTTGTTCTATCCAAGGTCTCAATGGATTGGGTGATACCCACCCATCACCCATGTTGATGAGGGCAGATCTTCTTTGCTGTCTGCTGATTCAAATGCTAATTTCTTCCTGCAACATCCTCATGGTTGCACCCAGAAATAATGTTTTACCAGATGTCCAGGCATCCCTTAGGCCAGTCAAGTTTACACATAAAATTAATCATCACATCCTCTAAGGACTTGCTAATTAGACTAGAAAGATTTTCTATAGATATTTAAAATTAATAATGCCATATTTAAAAAGCAATCCACTTTTTCCTATTTAATTCATATGTTTTATATAATTTAGTCTATATTAAAAATTCTAGTGTAAGTAGTTTACCTGAAGGGCAAGAAGGAAAAGTATTCAACTTTTGTTTTTGTTTTGTTTTGTTCATTTTGCTTTCTCACATATATATATATGTACTGGGAATGAGAAAGAAAGAAATTTCACTCAGAAAGGTTGTTTTTTAGTGCTCTCAGTTATGAAATTCTATACGAACAATTTTTACTTTTTTCCCCCTGAAAACAAATTTGCTCAGGGCAAAGGACTTCACATGTGCTCAATGTTAAATGGACCCAAGGTCAAGTTGCTGAACCAATTCAAGGAATCAAAAACAGCAGTTACTGTTACCATGAACTTCATCCATTATTGAGGCACAAAACAAGATAATATATGTGATTGTGCTTTTGATAAGGTGGTTTTCATCTATATCCTTCAGCCTGATTTTTGTATTTTGTTTTGTTTTCTAGTTCACTGGTGATTTTACAGCCAATGTTGGCTGGAAAACTTTATATGATGTGTAAGTTGCTATTTATTCAGTTCTGTTTGTCATATTATTGCTCTAAGTAAACAACTTTTACAGCATTAAACTTGTTCTTATACTTTTCTGGTAAACAAAATTGAACTTTAAGCAGAGCCCTGAGAATTCAAGAAGAAAAAAACTACCTACTTGTAGGAAAATACCTGAGATGTTAAATCCAATATGCTGTTTTTAAAAATAACATCCTAATTTGTGGGAAAGCTCCTTTCATTTGAGGATAGCTATACTCATATTTTTCATTTGAAACATGAGGTCAGTCATTTCCCGTTAGTCTTGGGTAGACTTTTGCTAGCAGTCCACAACCAGAACCGTTTGGCCCAGTTTTGCATTATCAACAGGCTCTTCCCAAATGGCTTCTTTTAGGAATCTAGAGGAAGTTTCACGTCAGCTCTGTAGTGCATTAGCGTAGCTGTCAGAAATGCTTCCCGAGGGCTGACTGCTTTCTGCCTGACTTCAGCCAGTGCTGTCAATCTTTCTTTCTCATGAGCCCTAAAATGATCTCACCCTCCCTTCCCTGAGTATCTCTTAAAAAGAAAATATTAACTTGTATAATTTAAGGAAACGGAGACTTCTTACATTTAGTACAGTGGGTGTTCATGCTATTGATGATAAAATGGGGTCAATAGTCTAACTCTGTTCAAGTTGGGTTTCTTTATTTATGATTTTTGTTTGTTTTAAGATAACATCCTAGACATTTTAATAGTTCATTCTGTTAAATGATGGAGTTTACAATCTAACCTGTAAAAAAAATAAATAAATAAAAGTGATTCAATGAATCCATGGGTTGAAGCCAGAATGACCTACATGCTACCTGCTAAAAGTACCAGTGGTTACGCTGGTATGATGATAATAAGAGAAATAGTGATTGAATTGCAGTACTGTTATATAACAGAAAAATGCAAACATCCATCATCATTAGGCATTATAATAAGCACAATTATATTTAAAATGAATGGGGAAAAAGTTTCTCTCTGTGCTACATTTATGTCAGAAGTTTTAGTTTCTGTTTTTGCTGAAGAAGCATCAGGTTTCTAAGAAAATTCAAAGTTCCATATTTTTTATCCCTTTTCTAAGTGCTCATCTATTTTGACCAGGTGCTTAGTTTCCAAAAGCATTATGGAATTTAAAGATTGCATCCATCCTTTACATAAAACTTTCTCATTTTGTCAAATGGGAACTTTCAATAAGTAATATAATGGCTCATTAGTATTTCCCTTATACCAAATCACTTTGGCATTAAAGGAGAAAAAAGTTCTTTATTCTAACACATTGATCTTCACAAAAGTTGAAAGATAATAAAACACCTGATAAAAATGCATAGTTTTGACCCTCAAAATCCATGTAAGTGAAAGGGGAGTGAATATTTCTGAATGCTAAAATTTGTACTACAATCATATTTTCTTGGCAGGCTGATTCAAAGAGCTTTATATGACAGGCAAGTTACACTAGCCTTGACAGTACAACTGGGTGAAAGATTCAGATCTGTTTTTATATTTAATGGGAGTGTAAGGGTCAGACTGTCAGAGCAGGATACTCTTGCCAGTTGTCAGGAATGGCCACCTTTGAGAACATTTAAATGGAAATGTAGATACCTGATATTATTTTCAACTTGGCACTCAATTTATAAATTTGAGGAAATGGCTTGGAATCACTATACATTGTTCCTATCACCCATGATTTAAGGAATTGATTGCATTATAGTTGAGGGGTTATGGAAAAGAAGAAAGAAAGGATTAGAGATAAATCTGAATGTGAAACAACAAGTATAAATTATACTATACAATAGTCAAGAAGGTAGGTATATATAAAAAAAGAAGGTAGGTATATCATTGTCAGACAAATGCAAATAGTACTCATATTACAATTTACTATTTGAAATGATATTATATATATATATATACATATATATGACCCATAATCCATGATGAAGATAAATATGTTAGACTATCAAAATATACGAGAGTATAGAATTTTTATTAGTTGTTAATGCAAAATATGTATTAGATATCAGATATAATAAGTGCTTAATACATTTTTTGCTGAAAGGATATAACTGTTAATGCACTCCAATTCAGGAAACTTAGTAATTAAATGATGCATCTGTCCCTTTAATCTGACTCCTTGCCCCCAAAACCCTCTGATCCTCCCAAGATGGAACATTCAGCCAATACTGAGCTCTTTCTTAGGCTTTGGGACCCCTACTATCTCCACACAGGGAGCTTGTAAAGCTGTAAGACTTAACACTGAATCACCATGTGGGTATCCTTTTGTCTATTAGCTCCTGCTTGGTTCTTTCAGACCAATCTCTGTCCATTTCTCATATATGGACATTTGTCCTCCTCTATTTGGTTTATAGGTTCCATTAGAATAAACTCATACTGGAATCCTTCACACTAAAATACTTAGACTATGCCTAGTACAAAAATTGTTTGCATTCCTGAACAACCACTTATTACCCACTGACAGATGCTCTGGATACTGTGCTCTTCTCACCAACAGGGACATCCTTCTCTTCACTCTCTGACACAACCTACCTGCCTCCTGGACTTTGGCCTGTGTGGAGTTGCCTAATATTCTATTCCTTCCTAATGTCTTTCCCATTCTTTTCCCTGCTGTGTCAGGGTTGGCCTGCACTGGTCTACCAGTGATGGGAACGCTGGCTCTGAAAAACCACATCTAATTTGCAGAGAAAATTACATCTTTGTACATCTATTGATTGTGATTAGATTATAATATGCAGAACTGAATATTTTGTAATATCAAAGGCAATTTTACATAATATACATATATGCATATATTTTATATGTGTACTGTATGTGTGTGTGGTGTATTTCTTTTTCCTCCATATCCCACACCCTAGGTGGTGTTGTACCTTAAAAGAGATAGTTCTTTGTTAGCAGCCTTGACTTTAGATATTCTGTTCAGCTAAGCTAAAGTTGATTTCCTAAAAGTTACACAAATATTACGGAATAATGGGTCAGCTTACATTAGCTTTATCTGCTTCTTAGATAATACTTCCACCCTTGAGAGCTGATGGGCACTTGTCTTAGGAGTGCCAGGTTCACCTCTACCCAGCCAGGTCCAGCAGCTCAGAATTTGTGACTTCTACCACTTCTGGACTTCAGTGACACAGCCCTGAAGAATGTGGTATCTGGCATCCCACATGGTCATCGAAGGAGACACTTCATTCAACTTGGAAGCGCGGGGGAATTAATTCATAATATGGCGAACTTTGGTCACTGGAGAACAGGAGACAGAAAAGAGTTCTACAGCAACATCTTTCTTGCTTCTTTCCATGAGTGGTTTTGAAGCACATTTTCTTCATACATGAATGGTTTTGAAGCGTGTTTTCTCCATACAGCTCATTTGGAGAAGTTCTTCATGGTTAGCGAACACATCTCTTAATTGCTGTGCTTTTTGTGGTCCACATGAAGAAGTAGCAAACACAGTAATATGTTGTGGTATTGCTTCACATTCTTTCTTGCTAAACTTCCATTTTCCCTCCATCCAGTTGCCCTGGTTTTGTACTTCCAAAATAAAGCATCATCATTTAAAATTCTGAAGTTCTGTTTTCCAGGGAACTTGGGCTGAGGCAATTGCCAAATAATCAATATTTCTGCCATCCCTTAAAAATTCAGGGAACTTATTCTAGTCATTAGGCAAGTTCAGACAAAGTACATTTTGTTAAATGCTTATATGAACATGTGTTATAGAAAATGGTGGCATAAGGGAAGTAGTGGTTAAAAAGGAGTTAATTTTCATAAGTTTTCTAGACGTTTCTTGGTCATTCTGTGAACATAGCTTATTCGTACAGGCCTTATATTCTTGCTCAGTTTTAAGTTTTAATTTCTATGTTGGACTTGGGAACTGTTTATCAGATTCCCGTTATTGTGTCCTATGTTTCTCTACCCACCACACGGTGCAGTAAAGTACAGAAGTTAAGAGTTAAGATTCTTGAACCACACTGCTTACATCCGAATCCTAGCTCCACAACTTATGGGCTCTGAGGTTTTTAGCAAATTTCTTTACCTCTCAATACTTCAATTTTCTCATCTATGAAGTGAAGATAATGACAGTACCTTATAGGATTGTTGGGTGGATTAAAGGAGAGAATGCACCCAAAGTGCTTGCAACAGTGTTGTGCTCATGTAAGAATAATTATTAGTATTATTTCTTTTTCATATTAGTGTCTCTGCTGAACACTATGTAGAATATACTCATGAAAACATTTTTGAATTTCAAAATGAGAAACTATATATTATACCTGTCCTATATTCTTTATCACCAAGAGGGGCTGCATCATAGTACTTGTTACTAATTGTCAGTATCTGCAGGAAGTGAAGAGGAGCAAACTAGTTATCACAATGGAACAACCAGAAGTATGTGTTTCTGAACCCTGCTCGTCTATATGCATCTGGATATTCTCTTTTACAGTGATTAATGCTTCTGCTTTGGACTCCACATATGTCACAATTTCCAGAATTTGATCCTGTTCTCACAACTGACCATAGCATTTTCCTTACTGGTTGTGTAACACTGGGCCATTTAAACATCTTAAGCTTCAATCTGCTAATCTGTAAATGAGAGATAATAATTCTTCACAGACATATTTACTTGTCATGACAAATTTATTGGCAGGAACCGTTTGGCAGGCACCGTGCGAGGACTTGTGGATACAAAAATAAATAAGGCAGAGATCCTATACTCAGTTTACTTATGGTTAATAAAATGATTGTCACCATTTTCAGACAAGGAAAATGAAGGTCAGAAAGAGCAGGAAAATTGTCGAGGGCCACATGCCCGATAATTGCCATATTCAAGATTTAGATGCAGGCTTCAGAGTTCAAACCAGTACTTTTTCTTTATATAATACTGCTCTCCTTTTGTCAAAATGCAATAAAATACCGTGAATAAAAATGTCCTATAAATGTACAGAGCTTTACACATTAACTCTATTGTGTTATCCTGAAATTTATTGTGTCACATTTTTAAGCACTAGAATTTCCTTTTTCAGCCTTCAGAGACAGAAGACAAGTTTAGGTAAACTTCCTTCCCACAAGGAAGAGGAATTTGTAGTTGGCAAAATACGGTTTTACAAAAAAAAAAAACCTTTAATTCAAGAAATAGATTGTGAAGCAGTTTGATTATCATGCATTTTTTTCTTCTGAAGAAAATGTCTATTTCTTTATTAGTAAGTAGATGAAGAAAACATATATTGGCTGCCGGTCACGACGGCTCACAACTGTAATCCCAGCACTTTGGGAGGCCAAGGCAGGCAGACCTGAGGTCAGGAGTTCCAGACCAGCCTGACCAACATGGAGAAACCCCATCACTACTAAAAATACAAAATTAGCCGGGCATGGTGGTGCATGCCTCTAATCCCAGGTACTCGGGAGGCTGAGGCAGGAGAATTGCTTGAACCCGGGAGGCGGAGGTTGTGGTGAGTCAAGATTGTGCCACTGCACTCCAGCCTGGGCAACAAGAGTGAAACTCCGTCTCAAAAACAAACAAACAAACAAAAAACATGCATTGGCTATCTACTTTTAATGCTTTGTTTTTGTCTTTAAAAATCATTAATATTTTACTTCACTTCTCTTAACATGCCAATAAAACTAGGGCCAGGCGCTGAGTATAAAACAGGTGTGAATAGTCAACCTATTTTGGGAGTCAACTTGGGAAGTTTTAGGTGGAAGCAGTTTGGGGAGGAAAGCCAGCAGCACCCTAACCTATGGGACAGATTGACATAAAATGATTGCTGGGACCCACAATGTGCCACATCCTGTCAGCTCAGTCGAGTATATTAGATGCTTCAGAAATTGATAACACACCTCCAAGCCAAATTGAACAGTGACAGTTTGATGCCACCTTCATCATGATCTAACCAGTGGATCCCTGGAAGCACTCTAGCACAGGCTGCCCTACTGAAATTGCACGCATAAATCAACTGAAGTAAAAATGCCTTTCATGACCCTGAAACATTTCTTGAGGTCTGTGACACATTCATCTTTTAAGGTTTTCATGACGGACTAAGAAGCATCCCACTTGTTCCTAGAAGCCATACATTCTCATTTCCTTGCCTTTTGGGTTACAGAAAATGTCCTTTATTTTTATTAAAGGATGTTAAAATAGTACTCTTTCTGTCTCAATTTTGGCTGAGGCTCCAAAAGGCCAAGGAGAGAAAAACTAATAATAAGCAAGTATTCTAAATTATAAACCTATCCTACATTATTCCAAGGCTTGAAAAGGAAATTTAAAAACAATGAAACTAATACACTGGTTTTGTTACCCATTGCTCCATACCCAGATCACTGTGGTAGAAAAGGCTGGGATACAAATAACTATTTTTGGAGAACACAGCTTGAGTGTTGTGGCGCCCCTCATTTCAAATTCAGTGAGGAGCTGTAATAGGACCACGGGGAGAAATTTCATTCACTGATGAGGTTTAGGAAAATACAACGAACTTGTTTTGAGTCTATGCCTGGAAAAGCTTAAAGGTGAGGCACTGACTGATTAATACCTGTTCTAATGATGAACAACCATATTTTGCTAGTTTTAAAACTAAATTTAGTATTGAGTGCTAATACTAAATTTACAATTATGTATCGCAAAGAGCCTGCACACTGACACTGTGGCCAGCAATGGTTGAGGCTTGGCTTTCCCAACAGTGGGTCTTGTCACAGTGGGTAAATTAGTTTCTTTATGCCTCAGTTTCTTCATCTGTAAAATGAGGATAATAATACTACCCTCCTCTTTTGAGGAAGTTTAATAAGTTAACACATGTAGCAACGCTTGGACCATAGTACACACTCAGTAAAATTTAGTTATTATAATTATTATTATGTTAGGATCTAGCTGTGTTTTTGCTAGAAGAATACATTCTTCTGTGCCAGAAGAATCTATTTTCTGTGAATCAGATATGGTTCTTATGAGGTGGGGCCAGCTTAGAGGTTTTCTTCAAAGGGATTTTGTCCAAAAGTATAAGATGCCTATTAGGGTAAGTTGGTGCCAATACAGAAGGGAATGATAGCTAGAAAACAGAGATTAATGAGGTAAACGTAAGTCATAAGCACTAAAAGGTACAGAATGTTAAGACATCTTGAGGAAAAACTTGCATAATGAGTGAAAGGAGGTCCTCAAAGAACCTGTGAAAGAATTCCATGAGAGAAAAAGTCAGTTTTAATTACTCAGCAAGCTCAGAGGGCATCAATGCCAGATCAAGAGAGCACCAATGGAGTAAGATCTATCCTGCTCTCTGTTCTCCCTCTCATAGCCCCTCACACTATGAATGGGTCTGAGACCTTAGCTAGAAAGCAGTGGCAAGATACAGAATGACTAGCTCATGAGACCGTGATGGAACAAGCAGTGTTGGGGAAAAATGAAGTTGTTTTCTATTTGCAATCCATGGTGTCTGGCTATTCTAATTTAAGTTTGGTGTCAGACTTGTGATTTCTGTGATTTTGAATATAGAAAGTTATGTGAAAAATCATCGATTCAACTTGGTAAATATCTTTTCAGTGCCTAATGTGTACAAGGTTCTGTGCAAAAGAAGATTCTATAAGAAAAGTGATCAGTTTATATCCTGAATAAATTAGCTGTCACTCAACAACAAAGTTTAGTGATATGTCTGGTTTGGTTCAGTGATTTTGGGCATTAATGCATATCGTTATAAAGTGTCACCTGGGCTGGGCATGATGGCTCATGCCTGTAATCCCAGCACTTTGGGAGGCCGAAGCATGTGGATCACGAGGTCAAGAGATCGAGACTATCCTGGCCAACATGATAAAACCCCATCTCTACTAAAAATACAAAAATTAGCTGGGCATGGTGGCACTTGCCTGTAGTCCCAGACACTCGGGAAGCTGAGGCAGGAGAATCTCTTGAACCTGGGAGGCAGAAATTGCAGTGAGCTGAGATGGCGCCACTGCATTCGGGCCTGGTGACAGAGCGAGACTCCGTCTTAAATAAATAAAGTGTCACCTGTAGACTGTAGATTTATAGCATAACCGGTGGTCTTACAATAGATAGCTTCTTGAAAGAAGTTATCAGGCTTACAGATAATTAAGTAGAACTAAATCACTGTCAAATGTTTGAATAAAAGACAAGGGTGACTTTTGGTTTATACTTAACTGTACACTCTGTCTACAGTAATAGTATTCAAATTGACAGTGCTTTTACAACCTCACCTCATGGACTCATCTTTCTTTAACTTGTTTTCAGCTTCAAAGGACATTTTAATATACCACCATACATGAGTTCTGGCACTGGAATATCACTAACCCTATTAATCAAATGAACAGGCTTGTGGTTTTCCATGATGGTGTCATTTTTTGAGTAATACAAAATCAGATATTCACTCACTGATGATGTATCTCACTAAATCATTCTCTGAGTGCTGATAACATAATGACAATAACATATTATCATAATTCATCATCACATGTACCTTTGCTCTGGGGATGTTTTATTGTAATATGTAATACACTAGCTGTCATGCTGATGATGTATTACAGCAAGACTTCCTCAGGAAAAAAACACATTTTGATGGAATACCACTCATATCAGATGGTACTGCCCAGGGATAAACAGTTAAAAAAAGTTGACTCTATTTGCTGTGGAATTCGCATGAAGGTCAAAGGCACTACAAATAGTAAAATCTAGTTTGAAGACAACAACTATCTATGTCTTGGTTATAGAATAGCTTCTTAAAGTTCAATTTTAGTTCCAAGTAGGTTAAGCCACGTTTTTAATCCTGAGTAAATGTTTGATATCCACAACTCTGACACTATACAATGGAAGTTTCTGCAGCCTGCAATGCTACCCTTAAATGACATCCTCAAACAAGATGTGGGTCTTGCTTGAGGCAGAAGTGAAGTGACTTCCAAGGACAGATTAAAAGTGAATGCAATATATTATAATGCTTTTTTCCTGAAATTTTGCCCCTTGAGCTACCCCATAGAATATTAGATATGAAAGGGACTCACAGGCTGGGCGCAGTGCCTCACGCCTGTAATCCCAGCACTCTGGGAGGCCAAGGCGGGTGGATCACCTGAGGTCAGGAGTTTGAGACAAGCCTGGCCAACATGGTGAAACCCCATCTCTACCAAAAATACAAAAATTAGCCGGCCATGGTGGCTGGTGCCTGTAATCTCAGCTACTCGGGAGGCTGAGGCAGGAGAATTGCTGGAACCTGGGAGGCAAAGGTTGCAGTGAGCCGAGATCACGCCATTGCATTCCAGCCCACGCCAACAACTGGGAGACTCCATCTCAAAAAAAAAAAAGAAAAAGAAATAAAAGAAAAGGGCTCATAGACATCTATTCTAACTGTGGCCCAGAAATAATAAGATTCTCTCTAGGTCACACAATAGTGAGTGGCAGAATAGAACTAGAAACTAGGTTTTCTGATGACTGTTCAAGTGTTTGCTATAAAATAATCAAAGTTAATAGGGGACCATTTGTGATTTAAATAGCTAAAATAAAGGGCAAGTATGGGGACAATATGCTGGATACAAAGGAGTTCTTTATTTCTATTACCTTTAATGAAGAGCTTCATGCGAATCAATGTAAACTTGACCAAGCACAATTATAACCATCAGGTGGAAGAAAACAATAATAATGATGATGATGATGATTATAATAATAGCTAACATTTATTGAGTGCTTACTGAAACCTTGCTAAACAATAGTCTTTTTTTATTTTTTATTTTTTATTTTGAGACAGAGTCTCGCTCTGTCACCCAGGCTGGAGTGCAGTGGCGCGATCTCGGCTCACTGCAAGCTCCGCCTCCCGGGTTCAGGCCATTCTCCTGCCTCAGTCTCCCGAGTAGCTGGGACTACAGGCGCCCGCCACCATGCCCGGCTAATTTTTTTGTATTTTTAGTAGAGATGGGGTTTCACCGTGTTAGCCAGGATGGTCTCGATCTCCCAACCTCGTGATCTGCCTGCCTCGGCCTCCCAAAGTGCTGGGATTACATCATTTCTTCTTCCACACAAAATCCCAATTCGATAGTGAAACATACAAGGTTCATATGTTCTTGATGCAATCACTTTTGCTGATAATTACATTCATGAAATCATCCTAATTATATTCTTCAAATACTAGAAACAATTGTCCTTCAGAAGAAGACTAAATATGATTTAATTTAATTAATTTATTTCAGGCTTCTGATTAGAAAACTGTTTTATTTAAATATATACTGGCTCTGCTTAACCCACACATCTAAATTCCTCTGCCAACAATGTATGTGCCTCTTCCTGTTCAGGTGATGATCCTCAGTGTTTTCCCTGGTTGCCTAATTTAAATGATGAGGTACCCATCCTGCCAGGCCCTCTGCATCTCCTTATGTTCTTTGCAGGGCACAGTACTTCATATGTGCTCAATCTTCTTTACAGATGCCTATCTCACTGAACCAGACAGCATTTTCCTCATTTACTTTCTTTATTATTATCAGACCATCATGAGGACTTGACAAGGGCCACTTACCAACCACACGTGTCCTTCTCCGAGACACCAGCATAGCTGCAATGTAAACATTACAGCTGACCCTAAGAAATGCTAATAATATTACAGCTTATAATATCTCAATAGATGCTCATAATGCTCTCCTTAATTCTAAAGGTCAGGTAACCATTGGTAATGGCAGAGTGCACACAGGATAATGATCTATGGGTAATGTTATTTAATGTGTGACTTTGTCAAGAAACTGCCCATATGTATTTTTTAATTTGAAAAACAACAGAGCAGAAAATTGAGGTCACTGAAAACTGAGCCACAGTGATGTGAGTATGAATGAAAAACATAATGTTTCAGAAAAGTTTTTCAGCAAGTTTCCACTACTACGAAAAGATGTCACTATAAATTAAAAGCAAACGAGTCACACAGAGAGATGTTTCAGTGCTTTTTACAAGGCACTGTAAATCACATAAATTATTCAGAAAATGGCAGTGAGGTCCAGTAGGACTCCTGAGGTAGCTGAGGATTCGGCGCTGAAGGGTCAATTGGTTCAGGACAAGAATGGCCTTTTTGAGATTTATGACATTTCTGGCAACTGTACCATAAAAAGGCCTGAGTCAGAAAAAATAAAACAAAACCTTGTTTTTCAAATGCCCTCCAAGGATCGTCTTTAAAAATTCTGATCAAAGACTGATTATTTGCAAAAGGTTTATTACATATTCCAGAAGTCCTTCTAAAAAAATCTGTAATTGAAAAAGACTTACATAAGATTAGAGGAATTAATTATATTCACCCAGACAAACTTTGCATACCTATTAAGAACAGAAAAAGAAAAGACAGATGAAAATAACCTGGCTTAACATATATGCAGTAGGACACAATCTAAATAAAAAACAAATTATACAACAAAAGAGATACTGAAAATAAATTCCATATTTTATAGTGTAAATTCTCTAACTTTAAATCTATAAATATAAGTTTTTTAATTTCTTAGGGCCATGATCACTATGAAAGCTTCTCCATAGCACTTCTGTGCCAAAATAAACTCAGATCCAAGGGAAGACCATGATTGTTGGTCAAAGCATGAAAATAAGCAACTATTTCCCTAGTTTTGTGAATCCTTTCATGACTGCTCTTCTCTGGTTTTAGGAGAATGGTTGCTTTTGTTAACAAAATAAGTTTTTGTATTTAAAAGTTCAAGGCAAGAATACTGGAAGGGGCCGAAAGAGAATTTTCTCCTTTTTCTGCTCAGGATGTCATGTGGTTTATGCTCTTCCAAACTTAATCATGTTTACATCAATGTTAATTTACAACTATTGTTTCAGTGGATATTTTAGTACAATCAGATAAATAAGTTGCTATATGAATTGGGTGTTAGGGTTATTAGAGTATGAAATTCAAAAATATACTTTTCCTTAAGCAAGAATTTTATGATAATATCTAAAGCTTGGAGGCTTGGAGATGTTTTAGTATGCAAATACATGTATATTTATAGAAGTCAGTAACCCTTTCCCTAACCACACTCGTTCAACTTATGAAATCATTTACTAGGCTATATGTAATTCAGGCAAAAAAACCAACAACAGAAAAAAGGGGCTAAAAATAATTGTGTATTTTGATTTAAAAGTTAAGTGAAGATACAAGGGGCCCACAACAGCTGAAACAATCTTTAAAGAGAATAAAGCTAGTGAGCTCATATTAACAGACTTTAAAACTTGCTACAAAGACACAATAATCAAGACACTGTGGGACTGCATAAGAAAAGTCATACAAGTCAATGGAATAGAATTGAGAGTCTAAAACTAAATGGATACAAATATTTATGGTCAATTGATTTTAGACAAAGGGGCCAAGATAATTCAATGGAGGAAATATAGTCTTTCAACAAATGGTGTGGGCCAACTGAATATCCATATGCAATAGAAGAAAATTAGACTCCTAACTTATACCATATGCAAGAATTAATTCAAAATGGATCATGGATCTAAACGTAAGAGCTAAAAACCATAAAAATCTTACATGAAAACACAATAGTTAATTTTCTTGACCTTGGATTAGACAATTGTTTCTTAGACACAACACCAAAAGCACAAGTGGTAAAAGAAAAAATAAAATTGACTTTATAATAATTAAAACTGCTGTGTTTCAAGTGGAACTGTCAAGAAAATAATAACCAATAGAATGGAAGATAATATTTACAAATCATATACTATCTGATAAGAGACTTGTATCCAGAACATATAAAGAACTCTTACAACTCAGTCATAAAAAGACAAATAGCTCAATTTAAAAAATGGGCAAGGCTGGGCATGGTGGCTCACACCTGTAATCCCAGCACTTTGGGAAATGGAGGTGGGTGGATCACCTGAGGTCAGGAGTTCGAGACCGGCCTGGTCAACATGGCGAAACCTCGTCTCTACTAAAAATACAAAAATTAGCCAGGCATGGTGGTGTGAGCCTGTAATCCCAGCTACTTAAGAGGCTGAGGTAGGAGAATCGTTTGAACCCAGGAGGTGGAGGTTGCAGTGAGCCTCGATTGTGCCACTACGCTCCAGCCTGGGCAACAAGAGTGAAACTCTGTCTCCAAAAAAAAAAAAAAGGGCGAAAAGTAGACATTGTTCCAAAGAAGACAGATGAATGGCTAATAAGCACATATAATGTTCAACATCATTAGTAATTAGGGAAATGCAAGTCAATATCATAATGAAATACCATTTCACATCCATTAGAAATGGCTATAATGAAAAAGATAGACAACAACAGGTGTTAGCCAGGATGTCCTGAAATTAGAACCCTCATTCCTTACCAGTGGGATGATAAAAATAGTGCAGCCACTTTGGAAAACAATTTAGCAGCTTTTCAAAAAGTTAAACACAGAGTTATCCTGTTTAACTCCACCATGACTCAGCAATTTCACTTCTAGGGATATACCCAAGATAAATAAAAACATGTGTCCACACAAAAATTTGCAAATGAAGATCAATAGCAAAATTATCCATAACAGCCAAAAAACAGAAACAACCCAAATGTTCATCACTGATGAATGAATAAACAAAATGTGGTATATTCATACAATGGAAGATTACTAGGCAAGAAAGAGGAATGAAGTATTGATACATGCTACAATACAGACAAACTTTGAAAACATTATGCTTAGCGAAAGAAGCAAGTCACAAAAGACCATGTGTTGGGTGATCCCATTTGTCCACCATCAGAAAACACAGAAAGATTTGTAGTTGCCTAGGGCTGGGAAAGAGCGGGAAGGGGATGGGGAATGACTGCTAATGGGTATGAGATTTTTAGGGGGGGTGTGACAATGTTCTAAAATTAGAGTACAGTCATAGTTGCACAACTCTATAAATATACAAAAAAAATCATCAAATGGTAACACTTTAAATGATCGACATTTCTGTTATGTAAATAATATCTTAATTGTCGTTAAAAACAAAATGCAGCAATGAGGAAGGTGGGCTCACTCAGCTTCTGGAGCTAGATCCTGGGTTCCTGGCCACTCAGCCATTGCAGGGAGTGGGAGCTAGGAAGCGCTAAAGAGGCTTCACTTTCAGGGCCATAGAGAGGCCTGCCTACCGCATTACAGGCAAGCCCACCCCGCCAAAAAATTACCCTTCTAAATAAAATTAATTTTTATATATCTAGCCAAAATCAAACAACATTTTTTTCCAGCACATTATCCATTTTGATGGAGTTGAACACACATGTTACTCTTATACTCTATTACACTGGAAGGACAAATTATTGGCAGTACCACATCTCCTGGGACTCGTGAATGAGCTGAACATCACAGATGTTTGAATGAACACAAATTATTAGGCTGATCTCTAATATGAACATCGAAGTTTACTTATTATTCTGTGAACTTCCATATGACTTCACATATTTCCTTAGGTGCAGATGGTATTATCTGGCAAAATGCATTTACTTCACATAATATCTGATATCTATAACATCTTTATAGCTGATATAATTCCATCAAAATTGACAATGTGCTTGAAATATAGCAAATAGGAGGCATGTCAAAGTTTATAGAGAGGAGAATTTTGAAGAAAGGTAAAACTATATTGAGCATTTTAATGATAGGCATAATCTATACATTTGGTTTACTCAATGAATAATAAAAAACTTAAAAATACAAAGATATTTAAAAGGATTGGGGGTATAGCTCTTTTATGAATGAAAGGGGCTTTACTTTTTTAATGAAATAATTATTTCTTTCCTATATTTGGAAGTAGGCTAAGCACAAGTTAGTTTTTAAAAAAGTGTAATCCCATTTAGAAACAAAGTGGGTAGAAGTACGTTACTTTTTTTTCTAGTTCTTTTTTTTTTTATTATACTTTAAGTTCTAGGGTACATGTGCACAAGGTGCAGTTTGTTACATATGTATACATGTGCCATGTTGGTGTGCTACACCTGTTAACTCATCATTTACATTAGGTATATCTCCTAATGCTATCCCTCCCCCCTCCCCCCACCCCATGACAGGCCCCAGTGTGTGATGTTCCCCATCCTGTGTCCATGTGTTCTCATTGTTCAGTTCCCACCTATGAGTGAGAACATGCGGTGTTTGGTTTTCTGCGATAGTTTGCTTAGAATGATGGCTTCTAGCTTCATCCATGTCCCTACAAAGGACATGAACAAGTACATGTTACTTTTAACAAAAGTGATAATCTCATTTAGAAAGAATCATATTACTGGGTAGTTTTATATCAATTCTATTAAACTGTGGTAGAAACACATACTATTCTTTGATCTAGGTTGAAGGCATGAAAGACTAGCAGAAGTAGAAAATTACATACCAAATAACAGAAGAAATATACTCGAAGAAATAAATGTAGTTTTCTGGACATACATTGAAAGACACAATCAGAAATTTCCACTGGCAATGATCATATCAGGGAAGACAGAGTCATAACTGATATTATGGTAGGTTGTATTATACACAATAATACACAATAATACTATCTACCTTTCTTCCCTGACTTGGCCATTGCTGCCTGGGAATGAAGCATATTTCCCCGCCTCACTGACTTTGAGCTTGGCAGGAGACTTGGTTGGCCAATGGAATGTAAGGGAAGCAACATGTGTCACTTCCAACCAGGGCTTTAACGTGCTTGCATTGTTTGGCTAATCACTCTGGCATTCTTGCCCTGTACCTCCAGACAGGCATGCTCCAGATACCTGCTGCTCCTGCAACCTGGGTCCCAGGATGAGAAATGTGGAGCAAACCTGAACCTAAGTGACATTTTAAGTAGAGCTGCCACAGTGGACCTGCAGACTCACACATGAGAAGTAAAGGTTTTGTATTTTCAGCCTCTGAGGATTTTGGGAGGTGGCCTGTTATGCAGCATTATCACACCAATAGCTTTAACAAATTATCTGTTTTGTTTACATTAATCATTTCAACAAAATTATATAGCATCTGTTGGAAAAGAAACTATGTGGAAAGTTGTACTTCATGCCCAGAAAGGAAAATACAGTATAAAAATAACTTAATTGATCCTTGATCTTTTGTCATAACTCCTCAGCGTCTCATTCTGAAATAGAGACTATGCTTATTATATTTCATCGCGTTACGATCTCTGACAATTTCCAATGAAAAAAAACACCTTGCTTCCAGTTTGAACTTCTTGCAAAATGCTAGCATTTTTAATATGACATTATAGCCATGATGTCCAATAGTATGTTAAAAAATATATAACTACTTGTACTTCTATAGAAAAAACTGAAGACACAGATTGAGATAAAATAGACTCTAGACAGTTGCTGTAACATAGCACAAATGTTATCTTTGTTTTTTTTATAGTGAAGGATCTACGGCAGACTAAAATATATAAAGCACTCGAAAAAGATGTAATTGGAAAAGAAACCAAAATAAGACTTCTGACACTGAGAATGAAGATAGGCTATCATGCCAGTAATTAAAGTTTGGAAAAGTAACTTTCATGAGCAGGAAAGATATTGCAGGGGAAAGGACTTTCATTTGTCCTCTTCATGCACCATAAGAGACAAAAAGCCTGACACACAAATCATTGCAGGTGAAGTGCAAGTAAGACTTTCTACCAGCTGGCTGTAAACAACTCTCAGAACTGTGAGAGCCAGAAAGAATTTCCCCCCACAAAATATGGGAGATATTTTTTGCTGTGCCACTGGTAAACAATGTATACCCTAAAGCTGGTGAGGGTAGTAAGATATTTACTAACAGATGCCAAAGAACACAGACTCCAAGATTCAGTGTTCCCTGATGGTTATAAATGCATCTCTTTACAATAATTCTGAGCGATTTCAGCAAAAACACTTGAAGTCTTATCTAGGCATCAAGCTATAGTACCATGTGTCAGTGTAAACAAATGTGGGCACAAAAGCCAGGAAAGATAGTGCATGTCAGCTGTAAACATACCAGTGAATGAAACCAAAAGGTGTTATGCAGTAGAGAAGATGTTAATAAATTCACAGGCTGAGAACTGTAATAAACATATCTTGGCAAATTACAGTCTGGTCCTGCACTATAAAATCAGGCATATATGTAGAGTTTGAATTTCACAAGGTTTTGAGAGTGTCTCATTGACTCTTATATTGCATTTATGCATCTGATTTACTGCTGTGATTGTGAGTTCCCTAGGGATAGATCTTATTTCTGTTTATCTCTCCAATTCTTAATACCTGCCATCTACCAGGAATGCAATAAATTTTTGTGAAAGAGAAGATGGGAAGAAGTATGGGAAGAGGGAGAGAAGGAAGGAAGGAAAGGCAGACTATTGATCATTTGCAGTGAGTCATTCTAGCTTCTAGATGTCCAATAGCTGACCCTTTAATCTCCAGATAATTCCTAACTCCAGTTAGTATTAGAGAGTTCCTTTCTCTTATCTTTCTCCATGAAATTGATGTAATAATGCATCACAAATGAATAGTTATATTCATTTATAATTTCTAAATGTGCTTTAGAAATGTTTGATGAATGAATATAATGAATGAGAGTTTAAGCTATATTGTTCACTAAACTAGAAGATGTACAGATCTTGCTTGAGTTACTCATCATAATTTCTCACCAAGAATATAATGCTTAGTGTAATGCCATTTGCCATTCCAGGGCTCAGAGATTTACCAAAAAATTTACATCAAAGGAGGTAGAATAATAGTAAGATGTGGACTTGATCCTAGATATGAATCTTAGATTTGCATTTGATTATTGTGTAATCTTTGGCTAGTTACTTGGTTTTCTCCATGGTTCAGTTCTCCTATATATTACCATGTGTTAAAAGTACCTGTAGTAATCATCGTTCGCCGTTTACAAATATATGTTCTTCTCTTTCTGAGTAAATGGAGGGATTGTTTTTGTCCACTACTTTGAAGTTAGGCATGGCCATGTGACTTGTGTTGGTCGACAAAATATAGGTGAAAATGATGGGTGTCACTTCCAGTCAAAGTTTTTAAGAGTCAGTGTGCTATTTGTCATTCACTTTCCTCCTGTTACAGTGACTGGAGATATTTCAGATGGTGGAGGCCTCTGTCATACTAAGTCTCTACATTATGTCCATGTACAGCACAATTTCTAGCTACAAGATCTGAAGAATGAGCAAGAAATAAACCTTTACAAATATAGTGACTAAGGTTTGGGAGGTTATATGACACTGTAGTGTAATCTAGCTCATCCTGCTGATACAGTGACTTCTTCATGGAGTTGTGATAAATGCATTTAAAGAAATAAATAAATGCAAAGTCTTTAGAAAGCATTCAACAGGAATTAACTCTTATTCTTATCTTAGGTTCTTGCACTGAGACTACATTTTTGGATGCATACAGTTTGCTCACCTGTTCATTTGACAACAGTTTTATAATATCATTTTCTATAACAAAATTGTTAGTCAAAATTTGGTTTATTAATAGTAGTCTAGACAAATTTATTTCTGTTTTATAACTTTTTATGAGTGACATCATATAAATTTTTCTTGTGGTTGCTAAATTTGGGAAAACCTATCAAATTTCTTTATCAGCTGTCATAGGCAAACTTACTATAGCACTATTGTTATAGATTTGTGTCCTACACATAGAGGAATTCTGAGAAATTCCATTTCATACAACACCTAGTTTCGTGCAATACCCGTTAAAGGTGACAACAAAGGTATGGGGTTTTTAAAATTGTACACGCTGTATTATCACATTATCAAAAATATTTTTCACAGGAGAGATCTTCTGTTTTGACTGGATCTGTAATGAACTGAATCCTCTGCTTACAATTTTACGTATCTGATGATTGAAAGAATTTTGTACAGACTGGTTTCTGATTCCCTCCCTTTCAATCTTTCTCTTTCACTATTAACATTCTTTAAGGGCTAGGTACTCTATGGCATGCTCAAACACAACACCTCTGGCTCTGCACCTTTCTTAAAAATCGCTTTGCAGTGATTCAGCATGGAGGGCAGATGGGTGTTTCTGGAAACCCTTCCTATACCAAGTGGTAGCGATAACATTATTAGACGTGGAAGTGACTGAGAAATACACAAAAATGTCCCACTGAATTCCAAATAAATGTATCTCTAGCTCAGCTTTCTGATCACTGAATTTCCAAAATGGTCACTTCGACACTTACAGAAATGTGGTGGAGGGTAAGTCAATCAGCATAGAGTCAGCAAATTTAGCCAGTTGTAGTTAAAATGTCTTATTTTTGTAAAATTTTTAACAGTAGATTATCATATGAACACATTTCTAAAGCTTTTCCTAGGTCTTTCCAAAGGCCTTTAAATCTTAAGCTTTGTTAACTTCACTGTAAATTTGCTTCTTTTCTTATGATTATTTATTCTTATATTCATTAATTTACCCATTCATTAATTGAAAAATATTTGCTAAATATGAAACGTGCTGAGTACGAAAAAGAATTAAGCACATACTAATGTGGATATAAAGTAGCATCCATTCTCAGTGAACATATATTTTCATGGGGAGGTAGACATGTATATAACAAGCAGTACCTAAAGGGAGTAGCAGTTACTGTTTAATATCCATCTAATGAACATTCACCTATTATTTCTTCTTTTCAAGCAGCACCTAAGTGTGTTGAGTAATCACCCTATTCCATACAGCCATATTCACAAAATCCTTTGTGGTAATCCCATTCTCTTTGCCTATGATTGATTTAGGAATGGGCTTCAGCTAATGCAGCATGAGAAGTCAGCTGGGGTGCTTCTGGGACAGCTTAATGAACAATTCCTTTTCTTCCTCTGGAAATGTTAAGTCTGGGTGAGATGACTAGAAATGCAACGGTCATCTTGCAGCCAGAAAGAGAGCTAAACCGAATACAGAAGGGCAAAGGAGAAATATAGAAAGAAGTACGTGGGCCTTGTGTGGGGTTGGTGAGCAGCCGAATTTATCAACCCTCAAGCCACCCTGCCCCAAGACTTGCCATGCTTCAGGGAATTTAAAATTCAAAAAGAAAATTTTTAGTAAGCTAGAAAACTTCAAATTAAACCATGACAAGCTTATTTTTGCCAGCCACTCTCCTCTCTGTAAAATTGTAAGGTTTCATTTTTCGTTACTTTAATTCTATTCCAAATATGAAAAGCAATTGAATACCTCAGAGGGTGATTTGATTATCCTTTTTATAGTTACTACATCTGTACTAATGTATAAGGGGTTATTATGCTGTTTATTTTCTGTAATTTTTCCCAATTAACAGTTATTACTAGAAACTATTTTTGTTAAATGAGTGGTACTGCATATATAAGAGGATGTGTAATGATATAAGGCAGACAACTACAGAAAAGACAACTCTTTTTTAATATAATGGTCAGGAAACTAAAATATCACTGTAATTCAATTAAAATTATACATATTCACAGGAGCATGAAGCCAATGAAATCTGAGTTATCTGAAATTAGAAGAATTTAGCTTAATTAAAAATTATAATTCAAAAGCATTTTAAGACCTCTTTTTATTCTCAAAGGAGAAACAAAGTTTTCTAGAGGTTTCTGACTGACAAATGCAGGTACATACAATAAAAATGATATCTAATAAAGCATTATAAAATTTTCTGTAAATCTTAGAATGAACTCAAAATAGGAAGGTTTTCGTTGTAGCTGGTATTTGTTATTAAGCTGTAGTCAGGTTACAGCAAATTACTGACATTTGTTACATTTCAGCTGTAACTAGATGGGTCATCTCTCTGTTTATCAATTCTTGTAGTCTAATACGGGAGAATGAATTTTGTTTTGAACAATTGAATAGTGACAGACAAGTTGTCCATAGAGTATACAGATGACAGATCAAGAGGAAAATAAGCTCTTAGCTAGTTTTTCAGTGCCCTTCACTGGAAAAATAGCCATGTGACATATATACTGTGCACGGTGGGCTTCTGTGTTAGTGTTCACACTGCTGGAAAATGTATTGCTTGAACTAAACGCACCCTCAATTGAGCACAAATGATTCAACCACAATGTAATAGGGAGATCATTACTTCTGCAAAAGGATTTTCAAGATGAGCAATGAGGGATCATAGTCTATGGAGGAAATTGAGACATGACTTGCTCAGCATTGTAAAATTGTATGGCCTGATAGATATTGGTCTGTTCTTTACGTCAATAGGTAGAAGGGTCAATTATATATAGAAAAAAAGGAATGTTTCAGGTGGGTTGTCAATACTAACAATTCTAGATATCCTTATTAATCTCTAGGAATTATTTACTTCATTTAAATCATTTCATTTTTAGCTTCCAAGGGTGATTTGAAAAATGATCTATTGAGGGATCAGAGTTCTCTACTCATCTTCAACCTGTTTAAAGACATGATGGTTTTCATCACATCATTCACTTTCCACTGATGATCAGAGTTTTACATGAAGTTTGGGTACTGCCTCATAGCTTAACAGGTGATCCAAGCCACAGACTAGGCAAGAGGGAAAGAAGTAGACTTAATTAATTTTAATTACTTAATTAGATGGGCTTTCCATTCTTAAGGAACAATTTGGCTGCTTTTAGCTTCTAAAAGTCACTGTGTGATGCTGCTTATATCTCTTTAATCAGTTATAAACTTTCAGCTTGGCATATAAATATTAAGCTGAGCAGGCTTATATAATGGCTATAAGAAGCCTTCTGGTTACTAGTAGCAGATATCTTTCTAAAATTACATATGTAATATATTTTTGTTAACAGATTCAGATTATACAGAACTAAGTAGAGTAAAACATGTTAGCTCCCCTTCATCCCTCTCCCAATCAGTAGGAACTGTTGAGTTTAGTGAGTATCATGCCAGCTTCAGCATATCATGCTTCAGGATATGTAATGCTGCCTTTTTAAGGTACCATTTCTTCATTTATAATGAAGTATTTTATTAAAAAAGGATCAATGCACCACATATTTTGGTAGCTTAAAGAGCCTTTCTAAGTCACAGATTCGTTTATTCAATAAACATACATACATTTATATAAGTGGTATTATTCTCAAATTTTTAATTTCCAATATGCTTTTAATTTTTTCATTAAATAATATGTTTGGGAGATCTTTTAAAGTCATCCCACTGAAGCCTGCACTGTCCTTAATGGCTGCATAGTATCCATGCTATGAATGTATAATAATGAATTTAATATTCCTGATAGGAAGATATTTAATTTCCTTTCGATTTTTCTCTATCATAAATAATGCTTCTATCAATATCTGGTACATAAGTCTTTATTCTCATGTGAAAGTATTTCTGTAGAAGAGAGTCCTTGTTGGCTAAAAGTTGCAAATTGAAAATTTGAGATACTGCCAGGTGTTCTTCAAAACAGGTTTATCAATTTATATTCTTACCAACAGTGTATGAAAGTGCTTATTTCCATTTATCCCTGCCAGCTCTGGATATTATAAATCTTTTTAATTTCTGCCAGTTTGATGATTGAAAACACAGTTTTGTTTTAGTTTGCATTTTTCTGATTACTAGCAGGTTTGAACAGTTTTCATATATTTATTGTCATTTGTATTTCCTCTTCTGTAAATTCCTCTTCCTATTTTTCACTATTTGACTACTTGCTTTTTTCTTATTGTTCCAAAAATCTAATGTCTTATCATTTTTGTCTTTACTTATTTGCCTTTTGTTAACCCTGATGTTAATTTTGTATATTTTCCTATGCTTGTGTGTGATAGAGCAGTTATAAAAACTGCTTGATAGATTTTCATTACAAAAGTGAAACTCATGAAAGTACAAAGACTTTTTACTTGTTCACTTTTGTAAAAAGTACTTTTAATTTCATGTCCACTTTCATTTAAACACCTTGTGTGCTAAATATTTGAATGGCAAAGAGAGAATTTCCAAGTCCCAACATTCATTTGTTCTTCATTCATTTATTTAAAAAATGTTTGTGCCACAAGCTGGGTTTGACACTGGGGATATGATCTCTGCCATTAGTTTGGTCTTAGACAAAGGGACACTGATATGTAAAGAAACCATGACAATACAGTAAAAGTCATGTCTTGCCATTTTTATGTCAAATGTCTAAATCTGAAATTACTGAGAGGTTGGCAAACTCAACTGTTTTTCACTTTTCACATTTGTTGAGTGATTCATTCATTTAGTCACACTTGAGTATCTATATTGCAAATAGTAGAGAAATACAAATAAAAGTGACATTAGATGTCTCCCTCAAGGAACTGAGAGTCTAATCAGAGAGACAGTCATGTACACACTTGTAGTGAGGTCCTAAATAACATCAGCAATGGCTGGTGGCATGCTTGTGGGCTGGGCCTGATGAAAGTGTGTTTCTACATGGGAATCTCTCAGAGAGAGCATAGTAAGCCATGAGAGAATGAACATTAGGAGCCTGGCATGTTACCAAATCCTTAGCTATCAGAGAAGAAGAGTGATTCTGAGCACACATGCTGTGGCTCCAATTTCTCAGTCCATTCCTACCACTACGTTTGTATTTGAGTTGTTTGCAGATCTGAGCAGGATAGAAGGAAAGGGAAATCAAAGTCAAAATTGACAGAGATTTTCATTAAAACTCTATAAGACCTCAAAGACATAAGAAGTACTTTGGGAGCCCTGTAATAAAATGTAACTCTAAAGATGGGAAAGTGATTCCTTTAACTATTTTACAACAGAACACCGTGTAGCAGCATTTCCCAAAATATGTTCCACTGAAAATAAATTGCCCATGTAAGGCAAGCAAAAGGTTGCCTGGTCAAATCACTTTGGGTCACAAAGGGTTAAACAGGTTTCTTCATGCTGGATCTTCTGAGAACCTTTAATAAGTTAATGTGTCTTTGTGAATCACCAAGAGTGTAATACTGAACAATTTAAATTCAAAACCCTTTCTAGGGTGTCCCAGGGAAGAATTTTTCCGGGAAATGTATTTTGGTATATTGAAGTGTCTGATCCTGCTATGTACATGCCACAGGTTTCCATTTATTCACATTCAGGACAAGATGAAGGCAAAACCCAAAATATCTGAGGTTGTTTACTCTTAGGTGTATTTAAAAACAAACGATTGACTAGGGACTGAATTAAACATCTAATTATATTCCCGTTAATGATTCTTTCATTAAGCATGTGCCATATTATAGTACATTAATCAGGCATGAGATATTTAAAGATGCTTTTAAACAGCTTCCTGCAACCTTGTTTTCATGCCTAGCAGTACCACAGAATGTACTTCACATATTATAAATAGAGATTTATCAGTTTAGGCACTTTGGAGGAACCCACACACTTCAAATGCTACTCATAATTTTCCATGATTATCTTCCAGCTGAGGGAAACTACCTGACTGTGTGTGGGGACGCCCTCTGGGTTCCAAGTTCCCACTGAAATGAGGAAAGAGATTGAATAGATTCCAGATTATTTGCTAAACTCTTAGCAACTATGGGGAAAGAGAAGTAAAACCTGGGCAAATTCCATTCTCAGAGTGGGTAGAGATCAAAAATTCATCTAAAGAGCAATTGGAAGGAAATCATTAGTAGAAAAATTGCAATGTATAACTTAAGAATCACTAATAAATAATAAACAAGCAGAATTATTTTGACTAATATAACAAAACCAGGAACATAAAAACAAGAATTTGGAAAACTAAGATGGCAGAAATAACACTAAGCATATAGTTATCACAATAAATAGAGATGGGTTGAAATCTTTATTAAAAGATAGAGTTTCAGATTGGGTCTCATGCACACACAAAGGTACACACTGACTTAATTATGTTATTTGTAAGACATATATCTAGAACAACATGACTCATGCAGCATAAATATACAAACACATATAAAACTATTTCAGGACAATCAAAACAAAAGTGAAATCAGGGCTTGTATTATTCATATAAAAGTAATAATCATAATTTTTGTATATCAAATAGCCAATATCAAAATATATAAAGCAAAACTATTAGAGTTCTGACAGAAATTACAAAAACACAATCATACAGAAGACTTTACCTCTCTAGATTTAGATTCTAAACTTTCAGGTCAAGAGGCTAATAAAGTTATAATTAAATCACCTTTCTAGGATTCTCTGCTTTCACAGCAGGGGTGAAGAAGGGCTTCAGATACCCTTAATATTCACAGCCTTGCCTCCACAATATGCATTAAGAATAGCAGGAACAGATCTTATTGGCCCTTTATCCCTGCTCTGTCATTCACCACAGGAAGCGCTCGTCTTCTGGGTCCATCCTCAACTTCTACTTTGTAGTCTTCAAAACTGAGAGCCTTCCAACTGCACCCTCTGAACCTCATGGCCCATCATCAATCTTTTCCCTAAAGTTTTGTTCAACTTACTGTTAACCAAAAATGAAGTTTTCTTTGAGAACACATCTTCCTCTGCACAATTTTCATGTCATGGCTGTTTTCTTTAGTCCTATATGCCATATACACTAGGCTGGGAGAGGTATTTCCCACATCCTATCTTAAAACACACTACTTTGAACCTCAAGGCACCAGATTTCCAGTCACCACCCTCTCTGTAATAGTCACCTATCAATACTCCAAGTCACCACCCCTCATTTCTTGAAGACTTTGTTTCTGACTACAGTCCCTCCCTTCAGGAACTGAATACAGTTCCTCCCTCCAGGAATACAGTCCCTAAGAGTAAATAACCTCAGGTATTTTGGGTTTTGCCTTCATCTTGTCCTGAATGTGAACATTAATACGAATTAATGTCCCCTTAATTCATATTGACATTATAATCTGTGTAATAACATTCCTGTTTAATTACAGTTCTTTTAACTCCTCTTCTTTTCTGCCTTATATTAGTCATTCACTTCCATGGTTATACTCTGGACCTTGTCATTACCAAACTGCTTTGCCTCCATAACCTCAATTTCAAGAAGCCTACTCTTCAACAACCACATCTTTTTTTTTTTTTTTTTTTTTTTTAAGATGGAGTTTCGTTCTTGTTGTCCAGGCTGGAGTGCAATGGCGCAGTCTTGGCTCACTGCAACCTCCACCTCCCAGATTCATGCAATCCTCCTGCCTCAACCACCCAAATAGCTGGGATTACAGGCGCCTGCCACCATGCCTGGCTAATTTTTGTATTTTTAGTAGAGACAAGGTTTCGCCATGTTGGCTAGTCTGGTCTTGAACTCCTGAACTCAGGTGATCCGCCCACCTTGGCCTCCCAAAATGCTAGGATTGCAGGCTTGAGCCACCATGCCTGGCCTCACATTTTGTCTTTATCTCTTATTCTAGTAGGATGTCTCCAATAATCCTTTAGCTCCACCAAATCCAGGAATCCATTGATCCTGTCAATTTTCTAGCAAGCACATTAAAAACAGAAAAAGGTAAAATTAAAATCAATGTTAACTTAATATGATATATTTAAATATTATCATTTCAACATATAATGTAAATGTTAATCTGGTGTGTATTTTACACATGTAGCACTTCTTAATTTGGATACTAAATTTTCATTTAAAATGCTTGATCTGTATTTAGATTTTATAAAATTTGCAATTAAAAAACCAGAGTTACACACTGAAGCTTTTCCAAACATTCCTAAAGTTTTTTAAAAATGAAGAATGAGTATCAATTTTAAAATCAAAATTAATTAAACTTAAATTAAAAAATCAGTTCCTCAGTTGCTCAAGTCACATTTCCAAGTGTTCAATAGATATATGTGGCTCATGGCTGCCACATTGTACAGCAAAATCCTAGATCACTTATTTTCCCAGTCTTCTAGATGATTCCGTATCTTATCCTTTCTTCTAAACTGCAAACCTCTCCTTCTTCATCCTCGATTTTAGCTGATTACATCTCCAACATGATGGAGAAAATAAAAGCTATCTGAAGAGACCTTCAACAAAATGGTATGACTACATCTCGACCCAGGGACTCTATTTCCTTCCAGTACTAGAGATAAACAGTTCATACTCCCATCTAAATCCAATCATTCCAACTGTGCACTATGCTCCAGTCTCTCTTCTCTACTCAAGGATATAATTTCAGTAAGATTGTCTTTCTTTTTCTGTGTCATCTATTTTTCCTTCCCCTGGACACAAGCCTTTAAAAAAGTTTTGCTGATCTCATTTTTCACTGTGACCAGTGCTCCATCTCTCTGCTTACTTTTATAACAAAATTCTTTGAAAGAGTTATTTATACTTCCTAGTTTCAGGGTGAATACACTCATTTTTCCATTCCAATTAAACCTTTGTCTCTATTACTTCACCAAATCTATGCCTTCAAATACATCAATGACGTTCTTGTTGCTAAATCAAATGGTCAGTTCTCAGTCCCCATCTTCCTCAATAACTCATTCCTCTTTGAAATACTTCCTTCACTTGGATCCCATGACACCATTCATTTCTGGCTCTTTTTCTACCTCTTTGGTAATTCCTTCTCAGTATCCTCCTCCTCATATTCTCAGCCTCTCAGCTTGGTGTGCCCCAGCACTACTCTCCTCATTCTCTTGGCAATATCATTCAGTCTCATGGCTTTAAATATCACTGATGTGCCAGTGACTTCCAAATTCATATCTCTAGTGTGGATCCCTTCCTTGAACTCCAGCCTTTCTGCTCAATATTTTCACTTGGCACATCAAACTTAACATATCCAAAATTTAGCAATTTTTTCCCCCTCTACGACTGCTCCTCCCTGCATTCTTCCATTTCAGATTGCCCAGGAAGCCTTGGAATTTTCTGTCATGCCTATTTTCTCTCACATCCAATGCAATAGGAATGCTGTTAGCTGTACCTTAAGAATATACCGAACATCATGTCACTTTTAATTCCTCCACTTTTTTTAAACTCCTGCATACATTTTAGAATTTGCAAAAGGCAATCATTCTTTTACTTTTTAAAAGACTACAGGCTGACATCTATGATAGTCTATTTTTTGATGTAAGATTCAATTTATCTATGTAATTATTTCTGAAGTTAAATTAAAAGATCTGATGGAAAAATTAATGTTATTCTTATAAGATATATAAATATATATTCAGAGTTTATGGGTAACGACTGTTTCAGATCAAAGATTATTGCCACATGTATCATATAAGCAATTATAAAGTTAGGCTGATGAAGTTAGGTATTGGTCTTTTAAAGTTCAAAACAAGAATTATATTATGTAGATTCTTTGGGATGTCACTTTCTGTTTGGTTTTTATTTATTTACTTTTTTATATTAAGGTGGAGTCTCACTCTGTTGCCCAGGCTGGAGTGCAGTGTCAAGATCTCTGCTCACTGCAACCTCCACCTCCCAGGCTCAAGTGATTCTCCTGCCTCAGCCTCCTGAGTAGCTGGGATTACAGGCACCCACCACCCCGCCTGGCTAATTTTTTGTATTTTTAGTAGACACGGGGTTTCACCATGGTGGCCAGGTTGGTTTTGAGCTCCTGACCTTAAGTGATCCACCTGCCTCAGCCTCCCAAGTGCTGGAATTACAGGCATGAGCTACCGCACCTGACACTGTTTGGTTTCTGATACTCTTTAAATCTTCATTCAAGTTCTGCATGTTTTGTTTAACGATGAAACCAGAATTGATGCAGGTCTCTAATTGCTTTCTACACGTTTTGTTAGGTGTACACAGAATAATAATGTGCTGTTGTTTCTTAGTTTGTTTCCCGCAAAGCATAGGCCCCTTAGATGTTATTTTCATCTGTTTGGGAGCAAAAATCCCCCTAAGGCTGTGTGTCTTGATGTATTAGAATCTTGTACTGTTCAAATTGCTCATGTAACTTCACCCCAAATTCAGATGCCCACTCCACATCCTGGCTGAGAATTCCCGATGAAGTAAGTCAAAAATGGCTATTTGTGCCACAGCCTCCAAATAGACAGAGAAGGGGAAAGATGTAGAGCCATTGGCTTACAAAGTTGTGATTTCAGAGATGCGCTTTAGATGATAGCAGTGAATAACAAGCACAATGCTTGCCTTAGCAAATGGTTTTCCTGTCTCCTTTAATTGAATCAGTCAGCTATTAGGCTCAAATAACCGTTTCCTAAAGTGGTTGCAATAAGCAGAAGCCACTGTACTGTACTTTCAAAGACTTGATTCAAACTCAGTAATTGAATTGTCCTGATTCCTCTAAGTCACAGGGCTACAACACTGGCAGAAACCAGCAGAAGCTAGTACTGTCTAGAGAATATTTGTTTTCATCTCCTTTAGTCTGAAAAGGCAGACTATAGGTATAATTAATTAATAAAACAATTAGGTAAATTGTCCTATTTCCTAAATAGGAAAATTATTTTGTATGGCAAGAAGTACCCAAATATTCTTTAAAGAATATATGTTCACGTGGATAAAACTGAATTGCTGAAAATAAGTACTTTGCAACTGTTCTTGCCTGAGTGTTTTATGAAGCATTAGAAAATGAGCAGGTGTAACCAATGTAGCCTTATTAAAATCCTTAGGTGGGTAGTAGAATTCAGATAATATGTTCACTTGGTCAGAATGTATTCCAGGTACTTAAAAAGGAAACACAAGTACAGCATTGTTAACATGTTTCCATAACCATTCACATAGATATTATTTCTGGGGCAATGAATCACTACCTAATCATTTCAGTTTTTATTTTTCTTGGTATAGTGTTGTGCTTAGCTTTTAGGTTTCTTTCTGTCGTTCTGCACATACATCATTTTAAGTACAGCTCTATCTTACAAAATGCATCTTTTTCCTCTGGAATCTTTTTAAAAGAGTTTTCCAGAAAATCTTTAATGCCATACTACTACAGAAGTTATGTCATCCAAATCAAGGATAAAATATAGTCCTGCTAATAGTAGCTACAACTAAAAAATTATTGCGAAAGCAAGAGGCAGTTTTTGTTAGACATTCAGATACATCACAGGCTAAAGCTGGCTAAGAAGGCCTTGGCCTGCTATACTGGGGCATGAGTCCTCCATTCCTCAATGCCCTCAGAAGCGCATTGAGTCCTGGACAAATAGGTTCTGACAAAGATGGACTTGGTCAATGGCCCAGTTTATAGTGGTCTTTGGAATAAAGTTTACCCTGATAGAGAGGGCTTCTTTTGGGGAAAGCTTGTTCGCTGTCCTCAAATTACAGTAAATCTGCTCTTACATATGACTCAGAGTAGAGTTAATAGCCTCATCTTACCCTTTTGGGCCTCTTCCACCACATCAGGTTAGGCTGCTGGCAGGAAACCTGAACCTTTGGCTGGATAATCACAAAGGAGGTTCATATTCTAATAATTGTGAATTCACCTCATCTTCCACAAATGAAAAGTGAATGGGGATATATCCACTCAAAGCAATTATTTTATTTCCTCTTCTCATCTGTATTATGTCAGGAATTTGCTGGAATGTTCATGCCATCCCATTCCCGAGTAACACCAGTTGCCTCTGCTTCTTCCTTTTTTAGTTTACCCTTTCCCATCTCTATGCCTTCCTTCTTTAAACTCTTTCACACAGACGTTATCAAAATAATATCTCAGAATTGAATTTTTGCAAGCCAAATACATTCAACTCTGACTTCAAGGAAAGGAAACAGAAACTGCTGGTGGGAAAGTAATGTGAGGATAATTATTCTTTAAAGAGGTTTCTTCATTTAAAAAGAGAATTCTCTACAGAGTTCTATTAATAGGCAGCCCTCCTAGGGATTTTAGGGCCAGATATACAGGCATTTGGCTTTAAAGAGGCTCAGTTCTACACACTTCTACTATGAGGTATGGGGAAATTTTACCTGGTGAAGTTTCCATTTCCTTCTCACTACTGGAGAACATTTTCACTTTGGAGTGCTAATAAATCAAAACTGAGATTTCAATATGAAAAACCTATTTCAGCAAAGTCAATTTTAAGAAAAAATACATAGTTCAACTTTTTAGAGCAAGGAATAAATTTCTGCTCTCACATGATCTTGTGAGTAGTCATTTATGCAAAATGGTAACAATAAAATCCATCTCAAGAGCGTTTAAGAAGAACTCATTCCAATATGTTCAAAGGGATTATTTCCTCTCCTTCCCTTCATTCCTCCCTCTCCCTTCTCTCTTTTTTTCTTTCCTTCTTCTCTGTCCTTCCATTTTGCCTTTATTTTAGAACTAAAGAAGAGTAGGGTAGAAATACAACAGGACACTTCCACTCTTCATCATGCATTTTGCTATTTTGACTCCACATGACCTTCACTGTTGTTCATTAATAGTGCAATTCTCCTTTTCACCTGAAGTTCCCCTAACTCCTCTCCCCACCTTCACCACCCCCCACTCCCACCAACAAGTAAAAATAAACTCTTGGTCTTAAAAGCCAACAAAACCACTAATTTTTCAGAACTAATAATAGTTTGGAAAAAGGACTGGTCATAACAAAACACTTCAAAGAGAAGACAAAAGAAAGATAAGCATGGGATTATCATGATGAAGGCAAGAAATATGCAGCAGAAAGCAGCATTCTTTAGAGTTAAAAGCTGGAATATTATTTGGTAGCCCTGTAAAAGCACTTTGGGTGATTTAATAGGTAAGAACCAGATCTTGAAATTGGAATTGAAAAAGACTTATTATATAATTTAGTCCCTTTGGGCAGGAAATGAATGATATAATTTTGGATCTAAATTTATTTGGGATTTAACTAGATTCTTTGAAACTTTTTTGTTTTTCATCTGGAAAGCACAAAGTACTCATCCTTTCAGGAACAGTGATGGACTGCGCAATCCAGGAATGTATAGTGTATCCTAAATCAGGTTCTCGGCAGCCACAGTGGGGCAGTCAAAGGTGTCAGACTGAAATGAGAATCTAAACAACTTTGCAGTGTACATAGAGAAGTAGGTTAAACCTTTTGGCTAGAAAATGATCAAAATCATAGCTTCTATTTCTGCTTTTTTTTTTCTTTTTGACATTGAAAATCTATACTGGAATTTCATCTTTTGTCCCAAAACTTCTGCAGCTGTTTCTTAACAATTCTTGCTTACAAACAACACTTAAACAAACAAACAAGGAGCATTAAATTATTTTGCCCTGAGTCTATCCAAGGCCACAGGTTTTTAAAAGTACCATTTTCCATGCAAACAATAGCAAGATTATAGCAAGGAGATTTGATATTAAAGAATAATAAGGTAATATGTGAATTAAGCATATTATGTTTGACTTCTATCAAGGACTATGCTATTTGCATAATCTAATTGAATATGCTCTCACAAACCCATATTTTCCAACACACAGCTCTCATATGCTACTCTGCAACCAAACAAAAGACCCAACCAGGCTTGATTAAAAAGTATTACAGTGACTGGATAAGAATTTATCTCAATTACTACTTCCTTATGAACAGATTATAGAAGTCCTACGTCTTGTCATCTGTCATTATTCCCCTTCCCTGTCCCCCACCCTTCATGAACTTGCTCCAGCCTTCCTGGGAATATAGAATTAAGAGAGAGAGAGGAGCAGGAGATGATTGGATAAAGTGACTGCTTGTGAACTTGTCATTATATCTCAAATCTCATGGTCTGAGCCAATGTTATTTATGCTCACAGGGAGCTATTTGTGATACAGACCGGCCAAGTTTAGCACAAACCTCATCAGTGAGATGAAGGGTACAGTTACATTTTTACAGAAGGGATAACCGAGACTCTAGGAGATACACTAAAATACGTGTGGTCAGTGACTGACTTGACACCACATAGGAGCCACCAAGGATCCTGACAGAAGCTAATCTAGATTCTCTAGAAGATCCTCTATGATATTTTAAATATGATTGTTCGTGGAGGTCCTTAGCCATTCCACAGCTCCTAGATCCGATGAGTGAAATTCTCCTTTGTGGAAGGCCTTGGTGTCCTGTACAGATAATAGCAGCAGTCTAGTGGAAAAATTAGAGAAGCTAACACAATATCTGTTTCAAAGAAAGAAATATAAATAGAAGTGTGTGTGATGACGGTGATTTACAAAGGACCTATATGGATAGTGAACAAACTAGAGTGGAGTGCTATGCTGCCTGCAGAAAATTCATTAAAATATCAGACATCTTTCAAATCAGATTTTTGTTTCTGTTTGAAGGCATTATGAATCCCATGCTTTGTCCCTAATTACTTGACAGTGAGTGATCTGGGCCCTATGTGTTGCACAACCAGACAGCTGCAGCTATACAAGAGTCTTCCACTGAGTAAGAATAGTCCTAAAACATTAGTTCTATTGCATAAATTCAACAGGTTAGCCTGGGTTTGGCAATAATATCCTAGGAGACCTGAGAAAACTCTATGGAAAGAAAGATGTCAGAAGACATAAAAGAAAAAAAGTGGCAAAGTCTTTTTTGACCTGAGTACTAGAGACGGGCAAATATTATATTTTCTACAACTGAGAAGAAAGGGTTGCTTTTGTCTATTTTTGTCAAATTTCTTCCCAATTTTGACTACGGATACCAGTCAATGCTATTTTCAAACTCTTGTGGGAAGCCATTTTTTATCCTGTATTTAATCACTCCATAATCTAGCTGTATTTATGGTGTTTTATGTGGACATTTAGAAACATGCCTTGTAACTTAAAAAGCTAACTTTGAGGTCTTTTATTTCCCAGCAAATGGGTCAGGTCAGTCTTTTCTGCCCTTGTTTGGTTGGTGGATATTATAGCTAAGTCTTCATTATCTATAGAAGAAATAATTTTTTTAGGTGGGGTATTTATTGAAGAGAAAATCCTCCAACCACATTTTAATATGCCTAGAATCTGATCTGGGCCTTTCATCAAACTTGCTAATAGGTTGCAAAAGATGAGTGATTTGTCCTCCAGAGAAATAGGCAAATGCATTAAGGAAAAGGCAGAAGAGGCTGAGGGCCTGGATTATCCATCAGCTGTTAATTCACACCTGAATAATTGAGAGTTTCCTTTACAGTTGCTGAATATTTATGAAGGTTCCACAATGTGCTGAAAAGTAGATGTAACAAGTAAAAATACTAAATACAACTAACCTGAACAATTTATGTTTAATAGGGTTCTTACTACTAGACTGGAACAAGCAAAATATAATTTGGTTTCAAACTTAAATGTGTATAAAAATCATGGAGTGGGGGGTGTCTGTTAAAAATTGCAGATTTCTAGATCAACCTCAGAAGTCTACTTCTTCTTTTTTTTTTTTTTTTAAGATGGGATATCACTATGTTGCCCAGGCTGGACCTGAACTCCTGAGCTCAAGCAATCCTCCTCTCTCAGCCTAAGCTAGGACTCTAGGTGAGTGCCACTGTGCCTGGCCATGGTCTGCATTTTTAAAAATGTACCCTGGATTTTTTCTAAACAGGTGGTCTAGAGACTACTCTTGGAGAAAATATGATTCTAGATCATGACAAAAAAGCTTATTTCCTGGGAGATGCAAGATAATTACTGATACACTGATCTACACAATGAAAAAAGAGAAGCCAAACGAGAATGCAAGGTAACATAAAGGATAACATGGGTATATATATTAGAAAAAAAAAACAAAACAGAAAGTAAAAGAGGAGGTCAACAATAGAATAATGGACACATATGAAAGATCTTAGTATTTTAGAGACTTGCTACAATGCTATGATGCCTGTAATTTACTGAAAGTTACTTCAGAGCCTACAGTTAGTGTACCTTTGGGATCTCGCAACTCAGGGATGACTCACTAACATTCTAAAAGGAAGCCCAGACCTTAGAAGGGACTGATACAACTGAGTTGGCTATTTATACTGGATCAATACCAGAAGCTTTAATAATTAGCATAATGAATGTCAGAATGTTAGAAAAGGATTTTCATTGGCTGACTTAGTGGATTTTTTTTTTTTTTTTTTTTTTTTTTTTTTTTTGAGACAGAGTCTCACTCTGTCACACAGGCTGGAGTGCAGTGGCACCATCTGGCTCACTGCAACCTTTACCTCCCAGGTTCAAGCGACTCTCCTGCCTCAGCCTCCCGAGAGCTGGGACTACAGGCACTCTCCACCATGCCCAGCTAATTTTTGTATTTTTAGTAGAGACAGGTTTTTGCCATGTTGCCCAGGCTGGTCTCAAACTCCTGACCTCAAGTGATCTGCCCACCTCGGCCTCCCAAAGTGCTGGGATTACAGGTGTTAGCCATAAGGCCCAGCCAATTAGTGGATACTTAATCAGCATAATGGGTATTAGAAGTGGGCCTTCATTGGTGGAATTAGTGGTATTCAAGACAACTGGCTAAAATATTTCAGAGATACTTCTTCCTCTTGCATAATCAGGTTAGAGAAATCCAGAAAAGCCTATGGTTAGCTGGTCATCTGAAGGAGGGATCCTGATCCCCAAATAATAACCAACGGTTCAAGCAGTGAATCTGAGGATTTCTGACATCTTGGACAATAAGTCTACAGAATCTTGGCACTGGGATGTTGTTTTGGCTTCTTTGACGCTTTTTCAGGCAAGATGTTTGAGGATCCCCTATAAAAAAATCTGGGAGTCATAGATTTTATTGAACAAATTATATGAAGGTTTTGTACTTGTTTGTTAATATTCATTTAATACATGTTGACATATGAGGCAGAATAGGTCTGATTTGCTCTCATTATACTTTGAAGCAAGATTATGAGGGCAGTTGGTAACTCTCAGCCATCTCAAGCATTTTGATGGCTATAGTTACCTACCACAAAGACGTTTTGTGAGTTGTCATAGACCAATTCCAAAAGCAAATGCAAAAAAATATAAAATAACACAAATTGAGGGAGAAATTTGGTGACCATTCTCTTGGTGATCTTTCTCTTGTGAGAAAAATTAACAAAGGAATTTATAGTTTATTTAGCGCTCTCTCTGTAAGGCAAGGGTATTTACTGTCTTGCTCTTTTAGTTCCAAGAAGTTACGAGCGAGTCAACACAGACTTGAACAGAAATAGCTTCCAAAGTAGCATCCAAAGGCAGGATGCTTCTGCTGGGTAACTCACTAGTCTAATTTGCTCCATGAAAAAGAGCAAATATGAGAAATGGGGATAGAATTTTGATCTGTCAGGCACTGGTCTGCTGCACTTTCCAATGGGCCATGGTTTCCAGGTTATTTAAGAGTTTGCCCATGTTGTTCTCTACAAAGTATACTTTTTCTTATTTACATAAAGGCACTTAGATATAAAGATGTTCAAATGTATTGTATGATAATTTATTTTTCTACAGTTTAAATTAAATTGTAAATGGAAAAATGGAAATGTGTCTATGTCTTTTTAGCAACATCTTTCCTGAGGTGATATTGTATAACATAAATTCCTAATGTGGAACCAAACACCCTTCCATGCTGAATGGTAAAAATATCTGTGAAGTCATTTCAAAATATTAAAGAATCAAATTATAGAGCATCAGATTAATTAAAACCATAGACACTGTAAATGTTTAAGAATCTTATTCTATAATGTCACATTTTCAACAAAAGTAACAGATTTAATCTGGGTATTCAGTCACTTTTACAGTTATATGATTTATTAGACAATGTTAATATGCAGAGAGAAAGTGGGAGATATCTATAAATAAATTTGTATATGTTTGCTATAACTTGCCAGCTAATTATCATCTTGAGATATGATGGTTCTGATTAATAAACCACAAGGGAAACTCAATTATGAATGCATGCAATCAAACTTCATATGTAAGCCAAAATAAACCTGGCATTTGTAAGTCAAAAGAACCCATTAGGGAAACTAATATGGTGGTGTCCCAAGGCTACATTATGTAGAAAATAATGCTCTCCAGTTTAATAAAAAGAGGTAGATGAGAAAGTACTTAAAACACAAACTACTTAGAATAGGGCATATGACAACAGTACACTAATGGAAATACAGGGCTCAAGTCCAAAGAGAAATGACAGTTCTTCAGTTGAGCTGAAGAAGAAATATTTATTGAATTAAAAAACTAAAGCCTCTTCTCCAGAGGGCTGTGTTTAGATCAAGGAAAGACAACCTCTCATTGGTTCTGATCTCAGACATAGGGGGTTGTTATGGATTGAATTTTGTCCTCTCAAATTCTTATGTTAAAGTCCTTAACTCTTAGTGCCTCCAAATATGATTTGATTTAGAAATAGGGTCATTGTAGAAGTAATTTGCTAAAATGAGGTCATACTGAAGTAGGGTGGGCTTCTAATCCAATATCCCTGGTGTCCTTATGAAATGGGAAAATTTGGACAAAGAGACATGCACACAGGAGAATGCCATATAAAAGCACACACACATAAAGGCAGAGATAGAGGTGATGCTTCTACTAGCCAAGGAACATCAAGGATTGCCAACAAACCACCAGAAACTAGGAGAGAGACAGAAAACAGATTATCTTTCACAACTTTCAGAAGAAACCAAGCCTGTAGAGGCCTTGATCTCAGACTTCTAGCCCTAAAACTTTGAGACAATAAATTCTGTTGATTAAGCCACTCAGTTTGTGCTGCTTTGTTATGGCAGCCTTAGCAAACTAACACAGTGATAGAAATAACAATAAAAGCACAATCTCTCTCCTCAAAGTGCTTACAAACAGTAATCCTATTGTACAAGTTTGTAGATAATTCAAATTCATAGAGTTTTGCTACATAAACAGCAACATTCAGGAGGCTGGAAACAGAATCGGAAACAAGGGGGGAAAATGTGTTATCTAGGGCTGAATTTGGACAAAATTCAAGGCAAGGCGTCAGATGATTCAAGGCATTCATGTGTATTCTTTTTTTTTTTTTTTTGAGATGGAGTCTCACACTGTCTCCCCAGCTGGAGTGTAACGGCGATATCTCAGCTCACTGCAACCTCCGCCTCCCTGGTTCAAGTGATTCTGCTGCCTCAGCCTCCTGAGTAGCTGGGATTACAGGCACACACTCTCACACCTGGCTAATTTTTTGTGTTTTTCTTAGAGATGGGGTTTCACTATGTTGGCCAGATTGGTGTCGAACCCCTGATCTCGTGATCTGCCCGCCTTGGCCTCCCAAAGTGCCGGGATTACAGGCGTGACCCACCGCGCCTGGCCAATGTGTATTCTTTAAATGGTGGACCATGTGACCCAGGCTGGGAAGACAGGTGAAGAAAGACATGTGGAAGATGTGTGTATTGATGAGTTAGATAAAAACCAGGAAAAGTGAGGTCCGTGGGAGAAGTGGAATAATTGGTAGTTATGGAATTGTGTTTTAAGGGCTTCTCTTCTTTTGGCTCTAAATTTGGATACATGACCCTTCTATAAAGAAGAATTGTGACCAGGCTGGATCTTTTTTTTAACATTTTTAATATGCTGATAACATGTCTGAACTTTTAGTGACAAGCATGTTGTTGTTGCCTTATCAATCTTTCTAAATATTTATTTTAAAAAATATAAACTATTTTGACATGAAGTCCTTGCCCAGGCCTATGTCCTGAATGGTATTGCCTAGGTTTTCTTCTAGGGTTTTTATGGTTTTAGGTCTAACATTTAAGTCTTTAATCCATCTTGAATTACTTTTTTGTATAAGGTGCAAGGAAGGGATCCAGTTTCAGCTTTCTACGTATGGCTAGCCAGTTTTCCCAGCACCATTTGTTAAATAGGGAATCCTTTCCCCATTTCTTGTTTTTGTCAGGTTTGTCAAAGATCAGATAGTTGTAGATGTGTGGTATTATTTCTGAGGGCTCTGTTCTGTTCCATTGGTCTGTATCTCTGTTTTGGTACCAGTACCATGCTGTTTTGGTTACTGTAGCCTTGTAGTAGAGTTTGAAGTCAGGTAGCATAATGCCTCCAGCTTTGTTCTTTTGACTTAGGATTGACTTGGCAATGCAGGCTCTTTTTTGGTTCCATATGAACTTTAAATTAGTTTTTTCCAATTATGTGAAGAAAGTCATTGGTAGCTTGATGGGGTTGGCATTGAATCTATAAATTACCTTGGGCAGTATGGCCATGTTCACGATATTGATTCTTCCTATCCATCAGCATGGAATGTTCTTTTTGTTTGTATCCTCTTTTATTTCGTTGAGCAGTGGTTTGTAGTTCTCCTTGAAGAGGTCCTTCACATCCCTTGTAAGTTGGATTCCTAGGTATTTTATTCTCTTTGAAGCAATTGTGAATGGGAGTTCACTCATGATTTGGCTCTTTGTTTATCTGTTATTGGTGTATAAGAATGATTGTGATTTATGCACATTGATTTTGTATCCTGAGAATTTGCTCAAGTTGCTTATCAGCTTAAGGAGATTTTGGGCTGAGACAATGGGGTTTTCTAGATATACAATCATGTCATCTGCAAACAGGGACAATCTGACTTCCTCTTTTCCTAATTGAATACCCTTTATTTCTTTCTCCTGCCTGATTGCCCTGGCCAGAACTTCCAACACTATGTTGAATAGGAGTGGTGAGGGAGGGCATCCCTGTCTTGTACCAGTTTTCAAAGGGAATGCTTCCAGTTTCAATGGCAACAAAAGCCAAAACTGACAAATGGGATCTAATTAAACTAAAGAGCTTCTGCACAGCAAAAGAAACTACCATCAGAGTGAACAGGCATCCTACAGAATGGGAGAAAATTTTTGCCATCTACTCATCTGACAAAGGGCTAATAGCCAGAATCTACAAAGAACTCAAACAAATTTACAAGAAAAAAACAAACAACCCCATCAAAAAGTGGGCAAAGGATATGAACAGACACTTCTCAAAAGAAGACATTTATGCAGCCAAAACACACATGAAAAAATGCTCATCATCACTGGTCATCAGAGAAATGCAAATCAAAACCACAATGAGACACCATCTCACACCAGTTAGAATGGTGATCATTAAAAAGTCAGGAAACAACAGGTGCTGGAGAGGATGTGGAGAAATAGGAACACTTTTACACTGTTGCTGGAACTGTAAACTAGTTCAACCATTGTGGAAGACGGTGTGGCAATTCCTCGGGGATCTAGAACTAGAAATACCATTTGACCCAGCCATCCCATTACTGGGGATATACCAAAAGGATTATAAATCATGCTGCTATAAAGACACATACACACGTATATTTATTGTGACACTATTCACAATAGCAAAGACTTGGAACCAACCCAAATGTCCAGCAATGATAGACTGGATTAAGAAAATGTGGCACATATACACCATGGAATACTATGCAGCCATAAAAAATGATGAGTTCATGTCCTTTGTAGGGACATGGATGAAGCTGGAAACCATCATTCTCAGCAAACTACTGCAAGGACAAAAAACCAAACACCACATGTTCTTACTCATAGGCAGGAATTGAACAATGAGAACACTTGGATAGAGGAAGGGGAACATCATACACCGGGGCCTGTTGTGGGGTGGGGGGAGGGGGGAGCGATAGCATTAGGAGATATGCCTAATGTAAATGACGAGTTAATGGGTGCAGCACACCAACATGGCACATGTATACATATGTAACAAACCTGCACGTTGTGCACATGTACCCTAAAACTTAAAGTATAATAAAAAAAGTATATATAAAAAAAGAAAAAAAAAGGCTCCACAAAAAATAAAATATTATAAACTATTTCAAACACACAAAAGTCACATAAACACCAATCTGATGCTAACTATGTCTCCAACTCTTGGCTTTAAAAATATATATTTCTAATATAGCTGAAGCCCCAGGGGTTCCTTCTCCAGATCTCTTTCCTTCCCCTTTGTCCTACCCCATGATACTTCCTACACTGAAGTTAGTCTTTGTCATTCTCATGTATTTCTTTTTGCATTTCCCCTCAGAGTTGTTCAGAGGCAAGAGGGCTAAAGCCTTTGTACCTCATATCCTTAGTAGTCATTGATCAAAGACTGACCCTGGTGGGATGTAAATTCCAAGTTGCTTCCCAGATCTTGTTGCCTGCAGGGAAAGTGAGTTCCAGCAGGCTTTAGGGTGGCCTCGACAAGGCCCTGAGTGCTGACTGTTGCAGTACATGCATATTGGAAGCCTGTGTACACAGAAATGGTAAAGAGATATGAAAAGCCCCAGGCAGCATACTGCCAGTGCCTGCTACATAGCTCGTCACTTGGATACAGCGTACTTTATTTATCTGTTTTTTTGTTGGTGGATATTTAGTTCAAGTAAATATTTGTTCCACTTGTTAACAGTAGATGCTAGGGGTATGCCATAAAAATAGGCATCTTTAAATATTCCCTAAAGATTATTTTATTTTGTGATTAAAGAAATAGTTCAAGTCTCCCACAAAATTCTTCTCTAAGGGAAATTAGCTGAAGGAGGAGCGGAGAATATTTATTTTGGATTGTCAGAGATGAATTGAGCTGGGAGATGAACTGGGATGCATTCTCTCAGAGGGTGGCTTGTTTTGTCGCCTTCAGTCTGAACGCTGCAGGTGAGAGGTCCTTACTGCAGTATGGGACAGGGTCTGTGACTGGGCCTACGATATTTTCACTAAAGAAGAATCCCTTTCTTAGGGCACCTCCAAGCCCTTTTTAATCTTCCAGTTTATACCTTGCTTAATCCTTAGTTATTCTGCATATTGTTTTAAAACGTGTTTCATCTTCATTGTCTTTTTCACATGTTAAATTAACATTTACTAAAAATTTTAAAAGTGGGAATCAGGAGATATTCACATAAAGGGACAGGCTGATTACCTAAGCCTAAAGCAAAGGAGGCTTAGTATTTATTCCTCCTTCCTCTTCCACCTTTTCTCTTTTCTCTTTTTTCCCTCAGCTGTTAGTTTTGACATACTGCTAAAAAGACCTCAATCTCTTATTTGAGCTACAAAGGGTCACTAGGACCTATAAGGAAGCCCTATCAGATAGTTGGTGGCCAAAATCATACATAAACAATGCTTTTGACATTTCAGTATATACTGGGGGAAGAGGGATACTTTTTCACCAAGACAGTGAAGCACTTTTTGCAAATTTGCTGAGCAGCAGTCTCAGAGCTGTGCAGATTTTGTATATGCCAATCATGCACTTTGTATACAAGGACTACCAGGACATCCATAAGAGGAAATTCAAAGATATAACCCTCAAGCTTGTATACATTTGTGTAAGCACCAAAGAGATATTCAGAAAGTTCTGACTGGGAAGGAATGCTTAAGGAGGACCACTGAAATGAAAATAAACCTCACTACAACTTTAATATCAGGATTCCTTCACTCAAGTAGGATTTTCCTTTTAATGATCTGGTTTAAGAATAACCAGCTAAGATTCAATAATTACCATTGAAAGTAGAAACTGGTTTCACTTCAAGGCAGAATTTTACAATTCTCCCAGTTTTGTGTTCTTAAAAAGTTGCCTAGGTTAATGTAATTTCTACTGGGATTTTTAGTCTGAATGTCTGCAAAACCTGATTATTTTACTTAAAAATAGAAGAATTTGCATCTTGAGAACCATGATGTTTTATGAATTATAAGATGTCTCAGTAATAGGGCCCCACCCACATAAACGCTAATGTTCTATAAGATTTCTGCAGTGTTCAAAGCTAGTAGAGGGGCTGTTGAACTACATTAATTTCTTTCTTAAGATAAACACAGGGACTTGAGACAACTCCAAGTAAGCTGACCAGCGTTAGGGAGTACAATCTTAGCTACAATTCTTTTCACTCTGAAATTGTCTTGATAATGTAATACCAAAAATCCTTCTCAATATTTTCCATTTATATGAAAAGTGCAGTGTATAATATGAGGACTCAGAAAGATACTGGAGGTGCTACAGCACCACACAAAGAGATGTTATTTCTGGATTTACAAAAAGAGCAGGGAACTAATATTTTCCACTTTATTATAGGAAGTAATTCACCTTAGAAATTTCACCTTAGAAATTCAGTGGAAAATACTGTAACTGAAGTGTACTTTGAGCAAATGTATTGATAAAAATGACAAACTACAGAAAAGAGACATTGAAAACTGGAAGAATTCAGATTAGAACAAAACAAGACTACTGTCTTAGATACATTTTACTAATTTTAATTAGAAGAAATAGGGATTTAATATTAGGATGTCATTTTTTTTGTATGTTGAGTAGGCCTATGGTTAATTTAATACATGGCAAAATGTTATTTCATTTTATTTTCATAACATAGGTTTAGGCTATTTTAAGTAATCCCTTTGTCATCACAATGAATCCAGAATTAAAGAATACTCTCCAGATATTGTCACCTGTCAATGTCTGTACTGGTGGGCCCTCTCTGGCTATGGCAGCTGAGATTCTGGGCACAATACAGGCAAATCAAGCGAGCTCACAGAATGATGTTTTAATGAGGCATATTTCTGTCAGAATGTGCCACATTTGTATTCCATTCTTGTTTGTCTCTTGTAAATTGTGCCCCGCCTCACTTATCCTCTCTTTTATCTTGGATTGTTCCAGGCAAGCTAAATTCAAGCTACATACACTGAGGGACAGGAACTTTGCAATCTGGTCTCAACACCTTTCAAATTACACAGTTTAGATTCCTCTGCACTTCATTTCTTTCCAATGTGAATGGCAGGATGGCTACAATCTAGGGAGTAGCAAGACATGATGAGTTTTTAAAAACTTTCATTAGAAACTATATTGATGAAAATGTGACCTAGATTAATCTCACAAATTGAAAGTTAGATAGCTAGTGAAAATGAATATACAGTGATATTAAAAAATCAAGAGAACAGTGCAAAATACTGAAGGGAGCATAATGAATGCTATTATATATGGTTGTTACAATCCTCTTTCTGTCAATGTTTTATAGGGTTTCAAGAGTAAAAATTAAAAAAATGCACATAAGAATATGTAGCCAGAAACAGAATTTAAACGATCACAGAAAAGGTAATGTTCTGTTCTTGAGATTTCCTTATATTTCTCTATTTCAGAATAAGAACAATACCCATCTACGAATAGTTTCCTGTATGATACTACTAGGTGCTAAAATGCCTTATATCTTTCTGTGCCATTTCTAGTACTTAAATAAACTGTAATGGTGGTGATAGAATGGGAGGCTCTTACTTGAACAAATGTGTTCTAAACTCTGTGATGATATATATTAAAGCATAATCTGTGGTAGTGCAGGAAAATAATTTATAATCATTTTATTCAAAATTCATTAATATATAAGCATAATAAGTACCACTTATTTTTCAAAGTAGTGCCTGCAATTGCTATTATGACCTCTGGTAACTTTCCCAATACAAAAGAAAATTACTGTGTTACGTTATATTTCAATATTCTCTTCAGGTTTAACCTTTTACTGTTTTTCTCTTCCTTAATTAGAGTTCAATCAGGTTGTTGGGTTTGTATCTCTCTGTTTTTTCCCCCATGTGTATCAATTAGATTATGAAGTATAGGACATTTGATACAAGCTACTGAACCAATATGTAGAAACTCTCACTGCCTCACACCTTGCTCTGAAATCATAGTTGCCCTCTTGCCCTGTGGGACATTTTCATCATCTCTTCAATGTTCTCAAAAGCATAAATTTCATTCATATGCAAGATAACTTAGCATTGGCATTTAAAAATGTCACCGAAAAGCCTGCATGTTTTATTCTCTTTTCCATGTAAGTTTCTCTCTACTCCTTTCTTTCTTCTACCTGATTTGTTCTAAACACAAACTTTTTCACTTTAATAATTCCTTTTTCTAATTTTACATTTGATCTTTTTACTGGGATTTTGTTTCTAATTATATCTTAAATTTTATAGATGGAAACACTGACTAAATCAGATTAAAGTCCACTATGGGAATCCCAATTTAAGTCTGGGAAACTTCGCAGTTAAATACTAGCAGACAATTTCATTTGCTCCTTCCTCTCTGGGTAAATAGTTCAGAGTTATTAAGCTTTAATAAATATACATACTAAGTAAAATCCTTTTTTATCATGGCTTATTAATATGTACATTTTCTATCTCAGGCAATATTAAACTAAGAAAGAAAAACAAAAATCAAAATTGCTCTTCCCTGATTTTCAGAACGCTTTCCAAATGTCCTGGGTTCCATTCATTCACCACAAGAGGGCACACCTATACAAATGTATCATGACCCTTTGGTAGCATGGTTTGATGCTTTTACAAAGGTGTTGTTTTATCATGCTTTTATGTCTTTTTCCCCCTCAGCATGTGCAGTTTTAATAAAGTGATCTGGAGATTACTGTAGTTTCTAATGTTGAATGTGGAATATGAATTTCACCTTCGAACAAGGGGGATATTCTAGGTCAAAACTCTTGAAACTGCAATTCCCACGGTTTCTTCTATTTCCCGTAAGGTATATTGGAGTTCAAGCAAAACCTAATCGTTTCCAAGTGCCTTAAAACCCCATTGACTTTAGAGATATTAAAGTTTCATGGCATAATCTGAAATAATATGTAATTGTTTTAAGACTCTGAGATAAAATTAAGCACCTGAGGCAACTGAATGACATTACTGTCTAAGAAAAGTTGTCTATGTTCTGGCCATAGGTTATAGTTATATCATAGTTTAAAGTATTTTCACAAAATTTTAAGGTCTTCAGTAAGTGCCATGGAAGGGACATACATTTTTACATTGGTCTATATTGGAGACAAATAATTGTCATGGATACATTAAAGAGAAGAAAATGCAAGAAAAAGGTAGCAAAAGGGAAAATACTAAATTCAACAAAAGGAGCACCAGAGAAAAAAATCAGGGCTCATAGTCTCACTCTTCATTATAAAGCATGTTTTACATGAAAAACTATCTTATAATAGAAACTAAAAGTGTGTGGGTGAGATAGAAAAGCATAATGCTAAGAATAATGCCAGGGAAATTATTAATTTATGTTGTACAGTATGCTTAGTGTAACCAGAACAGCTCTAATTTCCCATTATTCACTCCTTTTCCTTCCTATTTCCTCCCCCTTTCCACTGTATTGACAATTCTTTTACCTGCTTGTGACTTCTGTCCTATCTAATGATGTGTAAGGCTGGAGGAGGAAATAATTGGATATGTGTCTAGATTGTAGTAGGGCAGTTAATCAAGATGGAACTCTTAGATAACCTGTTTCACAATCACCTGGGTGTTTATTAAAAATCTGAATTTCCAGATTGGAAATTCTTGCTATTCTTCCCTCAGACATACTGAATAAAAATGAATTTCAGGGGCTGAAACTGGAAATCTGCATTTTTCAATAAGTGTCTCTGGTGACTCCTAGGCTGTTAGTCTCAATAGTGGCTAGGATCTATAATTTAGCTTATTTATTATCCTGTTCGTTCTTATAACATTCTGTAAAATAGAGTGGTCAGTTTTATTAATTCTGTTCAAGATGTGGAAACCGAGGTACAAGGATTTCAAATTAATGATTCGTGTCTGTTCACTGAATTATGGCCAAGCTGAGATTAAAATCACAGCTCCAAGTTTATAACCTACTGTTTACTCTACCATATTATGTCTGTAGTATTTCCATTTCTTAATGACTCCATATCCATATTGGGCTACTGAAATGCCTTGATTATGGAACCTATAGAGGGTAGGGTGGAGATGAAGGTATAATAGTTTATTCCTTGACTTCTTTGTTAGTTTTTACTTTATATAAGAAAACAACTTGGTTCTATCAAATTTATGCTTTTCCTTTAGTGGCAGTTATTTTTAAAAGTAAACATAGTTTCATCTTAACTAAGAAACACAGCCTGAAAATTTTCCTTAAAAAAAGAGCCTTTAGAAAAATACATGCTATAAACACAAATTTAAAATGTTGACTTCTCTTAAAAAGTTTACTTTTATAGCATACAGGAAAAACAAACATTTGGACTACTAAAAGAACAAGGTAATGATTCAGCTTCCATAAAAAGAAAATTAAGGACCAGGCCTAAATTATGCAATATATACAGGCAGGAGTAATCTAGAAAGCATTACCTTTATGTATAATTCATTTAGCAGCTGCCTTTTTGTGACACATATTATACACTGATTAAGAGGATGGTTAAACAACTGAGTAATGTGTATGTTTCATATGATAATACCCTGTTCTTATTGCAAGTTTAAAGAAGCAAAACTAGGTACAGTGAAACTTTGTGTGTTTATGTTAATGTGAACAGGGAATGATATGAATATATGAAAATATTGATGGATCATAGATGCATTCAGAGCTGTTACTTGAAGAGACAGAGAGGCCCAAGGGAGAGTTTGAGGAAAGCTCTTTGCAGTCATTTTTTCAGTGCTTTCTTTTGCTTTCCTGCAATAAATCATGACTGCAAAGGTTTGACCTATATAAGCCTGATCAGTAAGTAGCTAGCACAGACCAATCAATGGATAGCCAGGTAGGAAAATACAGTAAATGAAAAAGAAAAAAAGGTATTTATTTCTTAATAAGGATATGGATACATTTTTATAATATTTAAAATTTTTTATCTTTAAACACACACTTTAAGATTCTGTAGCATTTTCTCTAGCTTCAGATCTCCTAATCATTATTTATAGGTTCGGAAAAGTTGATTCTGGGGCTTATGGTAGGCCCTATGGTGACACTGAGGAATAGGTATTAGATTTTAAACTCTGGGGAAGAATCTGAAGTTTCTTGGAATATTGACCAGAATTCCATTTAAAAAATCAGTAGTAGTAATATTTATTTCCTTAATCTCTTTATCTTTCATTTAAAAATAAATGTTGCCTAGTGAAGTGACCTCCAGCCAACTTTTTGATTAAAGAAGTAGCATTAAAACAAACATGTTGTTTAGCAACTAATACCAGAGAGAAGAAATTTTAATATACCAAACAGAAGGCTACCTTGGAACTCTGCCAGGAGCTATTTCTTTCTATAGTTTTATAACATATATTGTTCTCTTTCCTTTACCATAAAAGTACAATACTCACTGTAGAATACTTTCGTTTACCATAAAAGTACAATACTCACTGTAGAATAATTTGAAAAGACTGGTAAGAAAAATAAAAAAAAAACATTTTGAGGTGTGTTTGCATTTGTAACATCTATCGCCAAAGACTAAGAGATCTTTCTCTTCTTTTTTTATTATACTTTAAGTTTTAGGGTACATGTGCACAACGTGCAGGTTTGTTACATATGTATACATGTGCCATGTTGGTGTGCTGCACCCATTAACTCGTCATTTAACATTAGGTATATCTCCTAATGCTATCCCTCCCCCCTCCCCCCACTCCACAACAGGCCCCCCAGTGTGTGATGTTCCACTTCCTGTGTCCATGTGTTCTCATTGTTCAATTTCTCAGGGATCTAGAACTAGAAATACCATTTGACCCAGCCATCCCATTACTGGGTATATACCCAAAGGACTATAAATCATGCTGCTACAAAGACACATGCACACGTATGTTTATTGCGGCACTATTCACAATAGCAAAGACTTGGAAGCAACCCAAATGTCCAACGATGATAGACTGGATTAAGAAAATGTGGCACATATACACCATGGAATACTATGCACCCATAAAAAATGATGAGATCTTTCTCTTTTTTTCTCAACCTTCAAAGACTTTCAACTGCCGATATCCATTGTCTTCTGCAAGAGTCTCAGAGGTAAGAGATTGAAGGGAGTTTGCATATGACAGAAAAGAATTTGCAGTGGAAACTACTGGGGAAGAAGGAGGATTTGATTGTGGGACAGGCACTTTCCCCAAACATTGTTATTGCAATGGCTAACTGACATAGTCTCCCATGGAATAGCCGTGTGACTTGTGTAAATCATTTCTTTGGGCCTCAATTTCCTCATCTAGAGAAACAAAAAACCCCAAAACATACACAAAAAACATATATATGTATGTGTATATATATATAAAATATATAATATATAATATATAACATATAATATATATATTTTCTCCAAGCTGATCTACTGCCACAAGATATCCCAAATATCTTCACCACTCTTCATTTTCTTCTTTACCGGCATAAACTAAGGCACCATCATTTCCTGTCTAGGGTTGTGCAAATGGATCTCTTTGCTATCTCTCTCCCCTCCTCTCTGTAAATCAATCTCAATATACAGCCAGAATGAGCTCTTTAGAACACAAATCATATGTCACCCTTTGCTTAAAATTTTCCAGTGGCTTCCTTTTGTAGATAGAATATAATTTCTACTCTTTTCCATGCCCTTTGAGTTCCTACAGCATCTGGCTCTTCTTTCTTTGTTTCCTTAACACTCTCCCCTACCTCTCAGGGTATCAACCATCCTGGCTTTATTACTAGTTTTAAAATACACCAAGCTTGTTCTCATCTTAGGAGCTATATTTGTTTTTTTCTCATCTTTGAAGATTCTGACTTCAAATCTTTTCCTGGCTGGTACCTTTACAATTTTCAGGTCTTACTTCAAAGGTGACAACCTTATTAAAGAAATATTTACTGGCCATGTCTTTCAAGGTAGCTACTCACTTTTATTTTTGTTGTATATCCAATATTTATCACTATCTGAGATTATCTTTTAAAAATTATTTTTTATTTCTGCCATCCTCAAGACTGTAAACTGTATGAAGAAAGCTTACTTATTGGAATATGTCCAGTGACCAGAACAGTACCTACCAAAACAGTAGGTACTCACAGATTTGTTGTACAGAATCTCAGATTGTAATTACTTATCCAATAGCATGATTATTTAATGTTTTCTCCCCAGCGCTTTTTCAGCTTTACTGAATATGACTGACAAAAAATTATCTATATATAAGGTATAAAATTTGATGTTTTTAATATACATTGTGAAATCATAACCACAATCAAGCTAGGTAACATATTTATCACCTCACATATTTACCTTTCTTTTTTAAAATTTCTGGTGAGAACACTTAAGATCTACCCTTTTAACAAATTTCTAGCATACAATATAGTATTGTTAAATTTAGTATTGTGTATTAGCTCTCCAGAAATATTCATCCTAACTAAAACTTAGTACCCTTTGGCCAACATCTTCCCATTTCCCTCTCCCTGCAGCTCTTGGTAACAACCATTCTACTCTGCTTCTATGAGACTATTTTAGATTCTACATGTAAATGAGATCATGTTGTATTTGTCTCTCTGATTCTGGATTATGTCATTTAGCATAATGTCCTCTACGTTCATCTATGTTTTGCAAATGGCAGGATTTTCTTTTTGGGGGCTGAATGATAATTCGCACACCACATTTTCTTTATCCATTCATTCAAAAAGAAATATTTAGGTTGTTTTTATATCTTGGCTATTTTGAATAATGATGCAGCACACACAGGAGTGCAGAATCTCTTCAAGATACTGATTTCATTTCCTTTGATTATATACCTAGAAGTGGGATTGCTGAATCATATGGTAATTCTATCGTTAATTTTCTGAGGAACTTCTAGACTGTTTTCCATGATAGCTGTACCAATTTACATTACCATGCACAATGTGCAAAAGTTCACTTTTCCCTGTATCTTCACCACCACTTGCTATTTTTTGTCTTTTTGATAATCACCATTCTAATAGGTATGAGGTGATATCTTATTGCGTTTTTATTTGCATTTCCATGACGATTAGTGATGTTGACTGCCTTTTCATATACCTGTTGGCCATTTGTATGTCTTCTTCTGAGAAATACCTATTCAGGTCTTTTGCCCATGTTTAACCAGGTTATTATTATTATTGAGTTGTATGAGTTCCTTACATATTTTGCATATTAATTCCTTATCAGAAAACTATGGTTTGCAAGTGTTTTCTCTCATTCTGTAGGTTGTTTTTCATTTTGTTGATTGTTTCCTTTGTTATTCAGAAGCTTTTTAGTTTGATGCAATCATACTTGTCTATTTTTCCTTTTGAGACCCTAAGCACTTTTATCCCCACTACCTAACATAGTGACTTATAATATTAAGAATATATGTAAAATGTATGATTATTGGGGCCCCAAACTAACTGTATGTTTATAGTATCCTTATACCTAGTTAGTTTGTGTGATTGTGGGGACACAATACTTAAACTCCTCATTTTATTATTTCTCTATTTATGTTATCTATTAATATGGAAGTTTTCATATTTGTTGATTACTATATCAGGTAGAATGTCTTCAGATACAAGTCATAGAGTCATAATACCCAACACTCAGATGCTTAAGCAAATAAAACACTTAATTAAATTAGAAATAAAAAACAGGAGTAAGTTTCTGTTTTGATGCAGAAATTCAGCAATTTCATCTGAGATCCAGGCTCTTTAGATCTTCCTACTTGGCCATACTCAGCATTGGGTTTAACTCCTTAGGCTTGCTGCCTCATGTCTGCAAGAGGGCTGTCACAGCTCCAAGCATTATGTCCTCCCAAAACCATATTCAAAGCAATAAAGAAAGTGAAAGGGCCAGTACTAGAAAGCTCCCCACTCAAACCTATTTTTGATAGATTTCAACTAGAAATTTTCCAATAAATTCCTCATCTCACTTCTATTATATTTAAGTGTAAAACTTAAGTGTCCAAGGATAGTGGTATAACTATAACTGACATATAAATCCTGATTTATTTCTTGGATCTGAGCTCATTGAAAACATCCAAATTTCAAGGTTTCATTAGCCAGGAAGAAATAACAAGAGAGGTTGAATGGGCAGCCAATAGGGTCTGTTGCAAACAGCATAAATAACCGGTAATGTTTTCACTTTATTTGCCATTGATGTGAAGCTTTTTACACTGGGAATAAGTAAGCTTTCCCATAAAGATTTCATGTGGTTTGTCTGGTATTTATCATGTTTTCCTTCTTAGCTGTTTACTGTTGAAGGACAAAAGCATTCTTTTCACATCAGAGATGAAACTAGCGATTAAGCATTAGTTATGACTTTATTTCCTCTGTTGGTATCTTTGAAACTCTAGATTTAATGTCAGCAGGTATGTTATTTTAAGTGGGAGCAAAACATGGAGTATGCATTGACATAAAGAAAGGAAGAATAGACACTCGGGACTACTAGACAGAGGTGGGGTTAGGGTTGAAAACTACCTATTGGGTTCTATGCTCACTACCTGGGTGGTGGGATCATTTATACACCAAACTTTAGTGACACTAGTGACACACAATTTACCCATGCAACAAACCTGCACATAAACCTCTGAACCTAAAAAAAAAAGTTACAAAAAAAATAAAGTCAGCATGTTTGTGTATAGTTTTACTTTGTCTTTTTTTCTGTACAAGCAAGATGGGCCAATGACATTTTACTCTCTGCTTGCTGGACATGTGCTGATTGATCTTTCTCAGTAAATCAATATAGTCTGGGTTTGTTCTAAAATCATGGGAAAAGGGAGAGTTTCTCTGAATTAGACAATGCTGAATGTTGCTAACACACGAACAAACAGCACTTGGCATTTCATGAGATTCTTAATCATCAAACTGTACGGAAAATATCTTGAGAACTGTGACTGGCATTTGATTATTCCTCACTGATTAGCACTTAGGTTAGAAGGACTAGATGTATTGCAGATATTTATAAATATTAAAATATTATGTATTCTGTGATTTTATAAATCATTTTTATTGGATCTTATCCAGGCTATAGATATCCTTTTGTGTTCAATATGCTTTTAGAGACTTTCCCCCTCTGCTTGTGAATTTTCTTGTCTGCTTGTGAATATCCTAACCCATCATTGTAAGTGCTTTAACATTTGCTACATTTGCTTCTTTCTATTGCAGATTTTTCATTGCTTTTGCAATATATTGAAGATTGTTTTAGGTTTACAGATTGGTGGGTTGTGATTAACAGTGATATCAGAGAAGAAATGAATGTAATTGTACTAAAGACAATGTTCTTATAATTTCAATCACTTTCTTTCTACTTATTTCCTATTGGTTTTATTATCAGCAATTAATAAATAAGCCATTAAGTAGTATATTACTGTAGGTGTTGAGAAGCTTTCAAAAATGTAAAACATAAAATTTCTTGCTTGCCACAAATCTATAGCAAATGTTATCTTAGGACAAAATCGAAACAAAATAACCACTTGCAAGTGACACACCAAATCTTGAGTGCTGAAAAGAAAGTTGGAGTTTCTCAGTATTCTCTTGTGTTAAATAATGATGACTTCCAAGGTCTATTTCTTAGAGTCCTCTCCTTTTTTTTTTTTTTTTTTTGAGATGGAGTCTTGAACTGTTGCCCAGGCTGGAATGCAGTGGCGCAATCTCAGCTCACTGCAACCTCTGCCTCCCAGGTTCAAGCAATTCTCCTGCCTCAGCCTCTTAAAGAAGAGTAGAGTCCTCTTCTTTAAAACACATATTGAAGAGACAAAAGGCTTATTACATGTAACAAGGACTTCTTGTTTTTGTTTTTTAGGTTCTTTTTTGTGTGTGATTTGTACAAATAAAATATAGAGGTTTTCTCAAAGTTTGGCTTGCCTTCTTAATAGTATATATGACTGAGCCAGATGGATCTATTTTCAAAATTTTTGATGAAGCTACCATTTTATCAATCATTTTTTCCTTTGTGTATGATAATCTTAAAATCTTTTTCATTTGTTTTACTAAAAATCACTCTGTAATGACCGCAAACTGTTGTTTCCTAAGCTTCATAGATGAGGGCTTTTCAGGAAATAATTCTTTATGCAGTAATTTCCTTTGGTATTGCATTAATCCCCACTTTCCATCATATGCTTAACATCTGCCATTGTCAGTTCACCTAAGCAGTATATTTCATAAGAGTTTCATGCCCTTCTGAAACTACCATCCCAGACAAGTACCATTAAGATTCTGGGTCTCTATGCCTATGATCCAAGCTGATGTTTATGGTGTTCACACCTCAAACAGTTATTGGAGAAGACTTTTACCATGCATTTAGCACATATTCTCTCCCGTTTGTTATGTGTGTTGCTCCTCCATCTCCATTGTTGTGGATTTGCTTTCTGACAAATGGGCTCAAGATGTGGAGACTACTAATTTTTAAGAATATATCTTTTGTATTAGATGATTAGAGTATCCTTTACAAAAAGTTTATATTGAAGAAAGTATATAAAAACTGTCAGATTTTCTCTTCATGAATTAATCTATCAAACATTTGCTGGATCAAGAGTACTGTTTTCCTGTGAATTTAGGAAACCTAGTATTAGCGCATCGATTTCTTCCTCATCAGCGAATTATAATGGTCAATACATTTGACTGGTTTTGATTGACTACTAGCATAGCATCTATCATAGAACTATTGTTGTGTGTGTGTGTGTGTGTGTGTGTGTGAATAGTGATTTTGTTGTTTTTTCCCAAGTGGCATAGCTCTTTTCTTAATAGATGAATTTGGTTTATCCAGCTTGGATTTTTGTTGTTTTTCACTTTTCCAAGGTTTATTTACTTATCACCTTTTTTACTGAAAAATAAGTTATTTAAATCTTCACATCATAGCATTCTGATAATGCTGCTATTTTTCTCACTTTTCTTTATTCTTATGTGGCTGAATTTAGGTTTGCCTAAAAAAAGTGCCATTTCCTTTATTTGAATTTCCCAGTGAATTCTCTGAAGGAGCTTGTTCTTATATTCTATATATGCTGCTATATGTAGCTTTTTCTATGTTAGTAGATTATATGGTTTGGCTGTGTCCCCACCCAAATCTCACCCTGAGTTGTAATAATCCCCACGTGTCAAGGGTGGGGCCAGGTGGAGATAATTGAATCATGGGGTGGTTTCCCCCATACTGTTGTCGTGGTAGTGACCATCACAAGGTGTGATGGTTTTATAAATGGGAGTTCCCCTGCAAATGCTCTCACTTGCCTGTCACCATGTAAGACGTGACTTTCCTTCTCCTTCACTTCTGCCATGATTGTGAGGCCTCCCCAGCCATACGGAACTGTGAGTCAATTAAACCTCTATCCTTTATAAATCACCCAGTCTCAGATATGTCTTTATTAGCAGCGAGAAAACAGACTAACACGGTTGGTTTCATGATTTTCTACCTAAGTGCCTGTTTTGTGCCTAAAGCAGTCAAACCCCCTCCATTTTTAGCTTGGTCAAGTCTTAAAGAAAAATTGAGTGTAAGTAATTTTTCGGCTTAGACCCAGTTGAACTAGGGTAGAGTTAGAGTAAAATGCATTTTACCACGTATTGTATCTTAGCACAGTGTCAGCTCCACCAGCAGTGACTTGATGACAGAGAATCCTGTGGTAGAATTTCAATGGATAAAGTTTTATTCTTTAGAATCCGAGAAATCAGTAACATTTTTCAGTGTGAGTCCTTTTATTCAGTGCATTGGTTATTATATAATTGTAATTGAAACCTTTAATCTTTTTTCTCGCTGCAAACTTTTTACACCAACTCTTTAATTTAAGAGACAAAGTGAGTGAAAGTTCTGAGTATGTTTTACTAAAAGGTTAAGCATGATCTCCAGACGAATCCCATTTACTCATGTTAATGAAAGTACTTAAAGGCAGATCTCACTTGTGTTAAAATATTTATTCTTAAAGTTCTTAAAGTTGGACATGTTCAAGGCTTAAAAATTAACTTCAAAAAGTCAAGCCAATTCACAAACACCTAAATTAGGTGAAGGAGAATCTCTCCCAACTTTAAAATACACATTAAATACCTTCCCCTCATGCTGCTTCATTATTTTTTATAATTATCTCCAGTTGGGTGTAGGCTATGTCTTCTTAGACCGACAGAAAATTTGGCTTTTCTCAGAATTTATGCAGAATAGCAGAGGTTAAGTGTTAGAGTTTGGAAGAGGTCCTATGAATGCAAAGTAAACAGAATTAAGATGTTAACAGAACTGTAATTATGCAGATTATATATTGTCAATAATGAGGCTCTGTATTTCAACAAAGTATTTCGACTGAATTGCTGCTGTCAGACAAACAAAACCAAAATTTGCCATGGATAACACAAAATCGATGCAATTAGAAGTTAAAATCAAGGACTCATAAAATTTTTAACGAGTATTGCAATAAATGATTCTTCTATTTTGCTTTGATCTTCAAAATATAATAAAAGAAGTTTACTCATGAGAATTTTTTTAAAAATCTGAACATTTACTGCCATTATATTTTAAATGAAACCTATCTCTTAAAATGGATGAGTGTGCACCATAATATATCTTTTAATGTTCTTTTTAGGTAAATAGGATCTCATTTCCATAATTGAGAGCCAAGAGGCTTAGCATTTTCAATGTAAGTTTAAGACTGGGTTGCCTAGCAATATTCAAATGAGAGAGTCCCTCCTCTGGAACTGGTTATAAAACAGTTGTCCATGTGAATGTGTGTCAAACTCAGAAAAGGCAGTGATTTCTTAGCACCTAAATTATAACCAGACAGGAGACCATGTAATCAGATGGAAACAATGTGAACTGTCAGTAACTTTTATGCAGATTAATTTAGCCACATAACACTAATTATATATGTATTGTTAGGTGCGGACCCTAATCATTCACTAATCTCTCATAAGTGCTTTGTAATCTCATCATAGAATTGGCATGTAAAAACAAGGCCTCAGTTCTCATCTAAATCCTATTTTTGTGCATTTATTTCCTTCTATCTTGGCCCACAATACACATTTCTTGGTTTTCATGCCATTATCAGATCTTAAAGTTTCTTTGAAAAAGCTTGATGTATTTTAGTTCAGGGCTTACATACTATACCAGAAAAACCTTCTGCTACAACTCTTGTTGCCTTTCATGCTGTGCTGTCGACTCTTGGTGTCTGTACAATATATGAGTTTTACTATATGCCTTATTTGGTTACCCTTGGTCTTATTCCTGTGTAGCCATTTATCTGTTCTCAATAATCCCTTTGTTTTTGGTTGGTGGTGCAGTAGAGTTCTTTGAGTGGCCTTGGACCAACCCAGCTCTCTTTGCTTTCTTGCTTGTAGTTCTGAAGAATAACAGTACAATGTGCTGGGAATGCAATATCCTCAGATAGGGAGAAACTGCCTGAAACCTGTCCCTCCTAGGAAATTGAATAGCTTGAGTTACGAAGGAACTGCATGGGACAGACTGAGTTTTGTTCCTCTCTTCCCTGGAAGCTGGATGTCCTTTACAGCTTTGCCCAGTATGTCATGTGGCCCCTGAAGTACATAATCCAGAGTGGACTGCCTTTCAGGGTCCCTCAGCTGTGAAAGTGGAGCATTCATATCAAGACTACATCTTTCCTGTTCAGCTTTCTTCAGCCTTGGAGGAACCACACACAATGGATCCAAGACTTCTGTCCCTTGCTAATTATCTATAAGAAGTAAACCCATTTCACATAACTTGTGAATATGTTTTCTTTCACTGGATTTTGGCAAATAGGTACCCAGTGCATGGTGGACCTACACAGTAGCTCAGGATGCAGTGGGCATAAGTACATATGGACTCCTGTTTCTGGTGGCTGGCATAGTGATGATTGATCTTTTGCTGTTTTCCTCATGGAATGGGAGTCCTTTTTTGGGACTGATAATTAGCGAAGCTGTTTCACAATTGGCCCTCCAAAGAATAGTGCCTGAAATATGGTCGCTCTATAATAAACTGTGTAAAGTACACAGTGAATGAATATGTCAGACCTAGAGCACGGCATGCAAAACACTCAAGTTGAAGAAGAAAATATTAGAATTTCTACTTATATTTAGGTGTAAATCTCATTCTTCATTTACTTTAGTGTATTTTGAAATGTGGACAATACTGTCTTATATATTACATGTATAGGATTTTTAAACGGGGCTCTGAAAGACTCACTGTTGGAGGGTTATCTCTCTTGTCACATTGCTTTCTGGTCTGGCCACTGGCTCCCATGGCCCTTCTGTTTCTCTTCCACATGAGGACCAGTCCAGTACCATAACCAGAGCTGGACTCGCACTGCTCACACAAGCTTTCCAGACCATCTTCTTTAACCAGTTCTGATTGCTCTTTGTTGTGATTTGTGGGTCTCTGAATTGGCAAAGTCATTTTAATGGAAAATGCCTATTCTGTCCGTATTTTGATTAGAAAAGGATAGCTTCCATGTAGCATACTGTTCTAAAGATATTTTTTTCTTGAAGATTACAAACCTCTCCCCAACAACTGCCCCACAAAACCCAACCTTTATCTATCATGTCTTCTTATTTTTAAGCCCTCGCAGCCTCTCTTTCCTCCAAATCCTTCCTGACACAGATTATAAAAAACATTTACAAATAATGAGCAAATAGCAATTATAGTTACACAGCAAGAGAAAAAGTCAAAATCATCTGAGGTAAAATATACGTTCAAAGAAAGTTATATATAGATACAACTTAAAAAAACTGAATTATACGTAAAATATATACGTATCAAGGGAATTTTCTCTTTAAAGCTATTTTCATGCAGATGTTCTTATAAAACAAAGAATCCTTTTCTTTTTTTTTTATTATACTTTAAGTTTTAGGGTACATGTGCACAACGTGCAGGTTAGTTACATATGTATACATGTGCCATGCTGGTGCACTGCACCCACTAACTCGTCATCTAGCATTATGTATATCTCCCAATGCTATCCCTCCCCCCTCCCCCCACCCCACCACAGTCCCCAGAGTGTGATATTCCCCTTCCTGTGTCCATGTGATCTCATTGTTCAATTCCCACCTATGAGTGAGAATATGCGGTGTTTGGTTTTTTGTTCTTGTGATAGTTTACTGAGAATGATGATTTCCAATGTCATCCATGTCCCTACAAAGGACATGAACTCATCATTTTTTATGGCTGCATAGTATTCCATGGTGTATATGTGCCACATTTTCTTAATCCAGTCTATCATTGTTGGACATTTGGGTTGGTTCCAAGTCTTTGCTATTGTGAATAATGCCGCAATAAACATACGTGTGCATGTGTCTTTATAGCAGCATGATTTATAGTCCTTTGGGTATATACCTAGTAATGGGATGGCTGGGTCAAATGGTATTTCTAGTTGTAGATCCCTGAGGAATCGCCACATTGACTTTCACATGGTGGATAAGCTTTTTGATATGCTGCTGGATTCGTTTTGCCAGTATTTTATTGAGGATTTTTGCATCAATGTTCATCAAGGATATTGGTCTAAAATTCTCTTTTTTGGTTGTGTCTCTGCCCGGCTTTGGTATCAGAATGATGCTGGCCTCATAAAATGAGTTAGGGAGGATTCCCTCTTTTTTACTGATTGGAATAGTTTCAGAAGGAATGGTACCAGTTCCTCCTTGTACCTCTGGTAGAATTCGGCTGTGAATCCATCTGGTCCTGGACTCTTTTTGGTTGGTAAACTATTGATTATTGCCACAATTTCAGCTCCTGTTATTGGTCTGTTCAGAGATTCAACTTCTTCCTGGTTTAGTCTTGGGAGAGTGTATGTGTCAAGGAATTTATCCATTTCTTCTAGATTTTCTAGTTTATTTGCGTAGAGGTGTTTGTAGTATTCTCTGATGGTAGTTTGTATTTCTGTGGGATCGTTGGTGATATCCCCTTTATCATTTTTTATTGTGTCTATTTGATTCTTCCCTCTTTTATCTTTATTAGTCTTGCTAGTGGTCTATCAATTTTGTTGATCCTTTCAAAAAACCAGCTCCTGGATTCATTAATTTTTTGAAGGGTTTTTTGTGTCTCTATTTCCTTCAGTTCTGCTCTGATCTTAGTTATTTCTTGCCTTCTGCTAGCTTTTGAATGTGTTTGCTCTTGCTTTTCTAGTTCTTTTAATTGTGATGTTAGGGTGTCAATTTTGGATCTTTCCTGCTTTCTCTTGTGGGCATTTAGTGCTATAAATTTCCCTCTACACACTGCTTTGAATGCGTCCCAGAGATTCTGGTATGTTGTGTCTTTGTTCTCGTTGGTTTCAAAGAACATCTTTATTTCTGCCTTAATTTCGTTATGTATCCAGTAGTCATTCAGGAGCAGGTTGTTCAGTTTCCATGTAGTTGAGCGGTTTTGAGTGAGATTCTTAATCCTGAGCTCTAGTTTGATTGCACTGTGGTCTGAGAGATAGTTTGTTATAATCTCTGTTCTTTTACATTTGCTGAGGAGAGCTTTACTTCCAAGTATGTGGTCAAGTTTGGAATAGGTGTGGTGTGGTGCTGAAAAAAATGTATATTCTGTTGATTTGGGGTGGAGAGTTCTGTAGATGTCTATTAGGTCTGCTTGGTGCAGAGCTGAGTTCAATTCCTGGGTATCCTTGTTGACTTTCTGTCTCATTGATCTGTCTAATGTTGACAGTGGGGTGTTAAAGTCTCCCATTATTAATGTGTGGGAGTCTAAGTCTCTTTGCAGGTCACTCAGGACTTGCTTTATGAATCTGGGTGCTCCTGTATTGGGTGCATATATATTTAGGATAGTTAGCTCTTCTTGTTGAATTGATCCCTTTACCATTATGTATTGGCCTTGTCTCTTTTGATCTTTGTTGGTTTAAAGTCTGTTTTATCAGAGACTAGGATTGCAACGCCTGCTTTTTTTTGTTTTCCATTTGCTTGGTAGATCTTCCTCCATCCTTTTATTTTGAGCCTATGTGTGTCTCTGCACGTGAGATGGGTTTCCTGAATACAGCACACTGATGGGTCTTGACTCTTTATCCAATTTGCCAGTCTGTGTCTTTTAATTGGAGCATTTAGTCCATTTACATTTAAAGTTAATATTGTTATGTGTGAATTTGATCCTATCATTATGATGTTAGCTGGTGATTTTGCTCATTAGTTGATGCAGTTTCTTCCTAGTCTGGATGGTCATTACATTTTGGCATGATTTTGCAGTGGCTGGTACCGGTTGTTCCTTTCCATGTTTAGCGCTTCCTTCAGGAGCTCTTTTAGGGCAGGCCTGGTGGTGACAAAATCTCTCAGCATTTGCTTGTCTGTAAAGTATTTTATTTCTCCTTCACTTATGAAGCTTAGTTTGGCTGGATATGAAATTCTGGGTTGAAAATTCTTTTCTTTAAGAATGTTGAATATTGGCCCCCACTCTCTTCTGGCTTGCAGGGTTTCTGCCGAGAGATCCACTGTTAGTCGGATGGGCTTCCCTTTGAGGGTAACCCGACCTTTCTCTCTGGCTGCCCTTAACATTTTTTCCTTCATTTCAACTTTGGTGAATCTGACAATTATGTGTCTTGGGGTTGCTCTTCTCGAGGAGTATCTTTGTGGCGTTCTCTGTATTTCCTGAATCTGAACGTTGGCCTGCCTTGCTAGATTGGGGAGAGTTCTCCTGGATAATATCCTGCAGAGTGTTTTCCAACTTGGTTCCATTCTCCCCAACACTTTCAGGTACACCAATCAGACGTAGATTTGGTCTTTTCACATAGTCCCATATTTCTTGGAGGATTTGCTCATTTCTTTTTATTCTTTTTTCTCTAAACTTCCCTTCTCGCTTCATTTCATTCATTTCATCTTCCATTGCTGATACCCTTTCTTCCAGTTGATCGCATCGGCTCCTAAGACTTCTGCATTCTTCACGTAGTTCTCGAGCCTTGGTTTTCAGCCCCATCAGCTCCTTTAAGCACTTCTCTGTATTGGTTATTCTAGTTATACATTCTTCTAAATTTTTTTCAAAGTTTTCAACTTCTTTGCCTTTGGTTTGAATGTCCTCCCGTAGCTCCGAGTAATTTGATCGTCTGAAGCCTTCTTCTCTCAGCTCGTCAAAGTCATTCTCCATCCAGCTTTGTTCCGTTGCTGGTGAGGAACTGCGTTCCTTTGGAGGAGGAGAGGCGCTCTGCTTTTTAGAGTTTCCAGTTTTTCTGTTCTGTTTTTTCCCCATCTTTGTGGTTTTATCTACTTTTGGTCTTTGATGATGGTGATGTACAGATGGGTTTTTGGTGTGGATGTCCTTTCTGTTTGTTAGTTTTCCTTCTAACAGACAGTACCCTCAGCTGCAGGTCTGTTGGAATACCCTGCCGTGTGAGGTGTCAGTGTGCCCCTGCTGGGGGGTGCCTCCCAGTTAGGCTGCTCGGGGGTCAGGGGTCAGGTACCCACTTGTGGAGGCAGTCTGCCCGTTCTCAGATCTCCAGCTGCGTGCTGGGAGAACCACTGCTCTCTGCAAAGCTGTCAGACAGGGACATTTAAGTCTGCAGAGGTTACTGCTGTCTTTTTGTTTGTCTGTGCCCTGACACCAGAGGTGGAGCCTACAGAGGCAGGCAGGCCTCCTTGAGCTGTGGTGGGCTCCACCCAGTTCGAGCTTCCTGGCTGCTTTGTTTACCTAAGCAAGCCTGGGCAATGGCGGGCGCCCCTCCCCCAGCCTCGCTGCCGCCTTGCAGTTTGATCTCAGACTGCTGTGCTAGCAATCAGCGAGACTCCGTGGGCATAGGACCCTCTGAGCCAGGTGTGGGATATAATCTCGTGGTGCGCTGTTTTTTAAGCCGGTCTGAAAAGCGCAATATTCGGGTGGGAGTGACCCGATTTTCCAGGTGCGTCCGTCACCCCTTTCTTTGACTCAGAAAGGGAACTCCGACCCCTTGCGCTTCCCAAGGGAGGCAATGCCTCGCTCTGCTTCGGCTCGCGCATGGTGCGCTGCACCCACTATCCTGCGCCCACTGTCTGGCACTCCCTAGTGAGATGAACCCGGTACCTCAGATGGAAATGCAGAAATCACCCGTCTTCTGCGTCGCTCACGCTGGGAGCTGTAGACCGGAGCTATTCCTATTCAGCCATCTTGGCTCCTCCCCCACCCTTTTCATATAAATGACCATTCTTCCTCTGTATTTTATTATACAGGGTTTGCTTGAATTGACTTGTATCTTCAGTAGGCAGGTTTCTAACTATTTCATTCTTTTTAAGAGGAAATGTGAAAAGTATTTGGGGGCTAAGTACATTCATAGAATGCTCTAAAATTTATAAACAAAGTTTTGACAGAATGCCAATGATCATTTGGCATTATCTTGCCTTTGAGACAGAATATCTGTCTATTATAATTTTGTTATAATAGAATATCTTCTTTTATAATTTTGCTTTGTAATCTAATACCATTAGCCAGGTCATCTCTAATAGGGATTCTCTGTCTTGATTAACAGCATCTCCATTTAACCAGTTGTTCAATCTAGAAATATTAGTGCCATCTTTAAATCCTCCTTCTTCCTTACAATTAATATCCAATTAATTATTGAATCATAATGAACATATAATGAACATGTTAATTTATGTTATTTCTCTCTCCTCCTCTTTATTCCAACTGTCATTGCCCTAATTAAAGTCATATAACCATTCTGGTTTATTGCAATAATGCCTAACTGGTCTGTCTGCTACTAGTCCTCCTGTCCTTCAAACTCTCCTTCCTTTCTTTACACTGTTTCAATAATATCTTTTGTTTTTTTTTTGAAATGGAGTTTCACTCTTGTTGACCAGGCTGGAGTTCAATGGCATGATCTCAGTTCATCGCAACCTCCGCCTCCTGGGTTCAAGCGGTTCTCCTGCCTCAGCCTGCCGAGTAGCCAGGATTACAGGCATGCGCCACCACGCCTGGCTAATTTTTTTTTTTTTTGTATTTTTAGTAGAGATGGGGTTTCTCCATATTGGTCGGGCTGGTCTCTAGCTTCCGACCTCAGGTGATCCGCTCCCCTCGGCTTCCCAAAGTGCTGGGATGGGATAACAGGCGCGAGCCACCGTGCCCGGCCCCAATAATATCTTCTAAGACATGCGTCTATGTTTGTTATTTCCTGTTTAAATAAATCAGTGCCTGTCTCCTAGTTGCTATACAAAAACCTTCAAATTTCTTGGAGTGCCACTCAGGTACCTTTACATTTATTCCAGGAAAATTGGCCCCTCCATTGCCTATGGCCCCAAATTTTCATCGATAGGCCCATTCACTTTTTTGCATTTCCATGTCTTTTTTCTTTCTTCTTCTCCATCTGGACTACCTTTCCTCCAACTGTCAGCGTAATAAATTCTCCTAAGATTTGGTTCACATTTTGACTTTTTGTGACGCCTTCTTCAGCCTCTGCTTTTTGGTACTTCTGTAGTTCTTTTTAAGACCCCCATGACCACACTTACTGTATTGAATTGCAAGGCAGCATGAACCTTCTAACCTGTGAAAGTATAAAGTCTTTAAAGGCAAGAGCTTTACTATTTTAAGTGCTGAATGTCCATGTTCATTATAAAGTCAGTCCTCTGAACAGTAAGTAGTTCTGAGACTTAAAAAAAAAAAACTTGATTATATTATTTGCCATTTAATTGATACCTTCTAAATTCAGAGACTTATTTCTTAATCAAGACATAATCTACAGCTTTTCAAAGGCAGTTTTTAGAGTGTTAATATTCTGGTTACCTAATTTGCTATTTAAGTCTGGGGTCCAATCTAAATTTTAAAAAGCACTGTCCTAGGCCTCTTAGTCTTTAGAATCACATAAGACAGAAAATGCCAAGAGTCTGGTTGTTAAATTTGATGTAACAAAACTTACGTATGCATAAAAATTTCAGTTATCTGCCAATTTCATGAGTATATTACATTTAGTTATAAGCTTACCATTTTAAAAAGCAGTTAAAATATTATTTTATTAAATTTCAAGTCTATTTATATAGGCTTACTGCCACAAAGAGTGTAGTAATTTCCCATCATATTTTATTTTTTAGTAGATTGTATTTGTTGCAATTTTTATAAATATTACATTTGGAATATTTGTATAACACTTTTCAACATTATTCTTCAGCATTAGAAATAATGTGCTTAATGGAAAAATTTTATATTCGTTGTTCTATAACTTCAAAAGTTGTTTTAAGTTATAAATTTGTAAAGATAAAAGAAAATAAAGGCCTTGAGAAAAATGAAAATAATTATGATATTTTCCAATTTAAAAATGGAGTTGAAAATACTGCTTTTTCTAAACTGCACAAATTGTTTTCAGAACTGATAGACTTTTATTTTTATGAAGCTTTTTGGTTAAATTAAAAGATCAGTAGATACTCCTACACTGCTACTTTATATATCAGACAATGAAAGGTTAATTTATTTTCCTTAGAACTATATTTCTTTGTTGAAGAAACTGTGAAAAATATCATTGATAAATTAATAGATAACATTTCTACAAAGCAAATATAGCAAGGCATAAAATATTCCTTTCACAATATTAAACTTGCATTTTATTCTGGAGTAACTGAATACAGCAAAGTTTCAAAAAAACTCATAGAGCATGAAATAAAAAAGGACTCAATAATGAAGTTGCATCTTTTAAAATAATGTGTAAAGTGAGAAAATAAGAATATAATAAAAATCTTTTGAGTAGCTTTAATAACTTATTTTTCATTGAAACTGACTGCCAAATGAGTTAGTGGTGAAGGTTTGTTTAAAAAAATAACAGAATATAACTTTATGAATTAGTAGCTTGAAGATAGCACAACAGAGACTTTGAGACCAAATTTCTCAAAACAATAACCAAGGAGATCAGTGAAATGAATTGGTTTAGGACAGTCAGAAATATTTACACTATCCATAGGACAAATTGAACTGATATAATTTGTGGATGACGGTTTGGTTCTAAAGTTTTAAATTTGCATTTCAGCTCACATTTTCTCCAAGTATCATTTAGGAAAAGGTTTAGAGTGTACTTATATATCTCCAAAGAAACCCATATTGTTCTTTATAAGTATGATCAGATCATTCAAAACCATTTGGAAATAAAGTCATTTCAGAATCACTGGTTCCTCATATTACTGAGGTAGTAATTAATTCTACCATTTAGATACACAGAACTCTATTTAAATAAAATTATTAAATCATCAAAGATACTTCAGCCCATGTTATAACATCCAGTCATGACATGGACGTTAAGCATGATGTTAAAGTCCCAGGACAATGAAAGAAAGAAAACAGTCAGGTATGAAAGTTTTTGTTTTCTTTTTTGTTGTTGTTGTTATAAACTAGACACTCAAAGCAAATACTTCTCAATTAAATAATGATATCAAATTAGCAAAGTAATAAATACAAGCAGAAAATTAGGAAGGCAGAAACAGAATTACTCTAATGACATTAAAAACAATAAAAGTAAACAGACTATATTAGGAAAGGGCATATAAACTTACAGTTGTTGTATAAGCAGCTTCTGGATCATCTTCCAGCACTCTGGAGAGACCAAAATCAGAAACTTTGCATACTAAGTTGCTATTGACCAGTATATTCCGAGCCGCTAGGTCTCGATGAACATAACCCATATCAGAAAGATACTTCATGCCTGATGCAATGCCTCGGAGCATTCCGACCAACTGGATGACTGTGAAGTGGCCATCATGCTTCTGCAAGAGAATCACAATTGTGTAAATTGATTTATTTTAATGCAGTGTGTGCGTGTGTGTATTAAATAAGATCCTTATATTTATTTTATTGGATCAAATGAAGATAAGCATCAACTTTGGTGATCACTGACTATATTCATAAGGAAAAGTAATAATTTGTTTGACATTTAAAGAAAAGGGAAAATTTAACTGGAAGTAGTGAAGGACAACTAAACAAAGGACAGAAGGAAACCAACCAAATTAACTCTCAGAACAAAATTATTTCAAAAGCTTAGGTAATAGGAGAGAACTAAAGTGAAATAAAGTAAGAGCAAAGTCTGCCAAAAAAAAGGCTACCAAACAAATAGAATCCACTTTCCATAGCTGTGAGCTTTGAACCAGCTGTACAGCTGGGTAGAAGGGCAGCAAAACCTAGGACTGGATAAAACCCGTGTGATAACTGGAGATACTGTGAAAAATAGTAGTCAGGACAGGTGACTCAGGAAAAAAAAAGTGATGGTATAAACAAGAAACAAGTATAGGAAAGCAGCAGAATGAAAAAAAGCACAAGCAAACAGAAAAGAAATAGAGTTTTCCATTTTTTTCATTATACAGGGAAGACAGAAAAGTTGTTAGCAATTGACAGAAAAATGAGACAATTTTAGCTCCTGATTGGAAGGATTAAATTAAATGATGTGGAGAATGAGTCAGGCATGGTATCAGTATCAATCCCATTTAACTAATCAATCCCATCTTATTCCCTCCACCTTGATTTTAAAATAATGTTTTCATTTTAAAGAGTTAAAAAATACCCAATTGTTATCTGAGCAAAATGTATGCACCAACAAGACCAGATACAAATAGTAAACAAATAGTACCCTTGAAATTAGAGGAAATAAAAATAAAAATATTTTAAGTGTGAAAAATAATGCATATTATTCTACCTAGTTATTCGGAGATTGTTGTCTTTAATGGAGTTATAGAGCAACATGAAAAATTCTTTTTTTTATACATCATGCAACATTTATTTATGAATGATATTAAAAATGAATATCTAGCAGTAGATTGTAGGGCTATATTACTTTATGTTATACATTAGAAGCACAAATAAGAGAAACTTATAAATTTTAAAAGTTAAAGCAGATTTTATGAATACATATCTGATTTCAAACCATAGTGCAGCTTCAGGACAGAGATGATCTTACCCTAGCTGTCATGGTGACACAGTCTCTTATACAATGATGATTCATTGTTCAGGTAAATGAATAAGCTTATACTACAAATGAAATAAACTTTGTCTTGCTCTATCAACTTATCTCTCTGATAGCTCTCTGATAATATCTCCCAACTCAAGTGCAGAGTAAGGGAAAGAACCCTCTCTTAAAAAAACACTCTTAGAGCAAGAATATCCATTTAAGCCGGCACTTCTGTATAATTAATGTATAAAGGATGACCTAGCAAAGAAAATCTTTGATGTTATTAGCTCTTTCTGTTTCAAATCCATCTTCTTAGACAGTACACTATTAGATGAAATCTGCCTCTTCTATCATGTACACTACCTACCACTCTTCTATTAGGAATCTTGAAACCTTTGAGTGGAATTGAAAGTATAAGTTCTTTCGACCTAAAATGAAGTACACTGAAGTTTAAAAGTTGGCTTTTTTACCTATTCAAAAATGGAGTTGCCTCCTATCATAATTCTTGTCAAGCAGAATTTTAAAGTAGTAGTGAATGTTAATGGGGCACCTGAAAACTCGAGTGTCTGTTTCCTTATCTACACGATGAGAATAGAGTCATCTAACTTGGAATTGCAGGGAGAATCACATATAAAGCAGACAGCACAGCTCCTCACTTAATTTAATAATAGTTAGTCCTTGTTATTACTGTTATTATATGTGTTTTTTTTTGCAATTTTAATGAGTCAGAAAATTCCCTTCTCACTTTTCTGAAAAATCACTTCTCAACATATGCTCCTACATATATGATGAGAAATAGTTACTTAAGACCAGGTTGAAATTTAATGTTCTATCTATGCCGAGTGTGTCACAAAGCACCAATTTGTTTTTTAATACTTTTATTGAAATATAATTTGTGTACCATACAATGTATCTTTTAAAGTATACAATTGAGTTTTTACCTTATTCACGGAGTTGTACAACTATCACCAAAATCAACTCTAGAACATTTTCGTCATCCCCTCTGAAAAGGCCCATCTTTACTAGCAATAACTCCTCACTTCTCCTAACTCCTCCCACCACCCCGGGCAACCAGTAGTCTACTTTCTAGCTCTATATATTTGCCTATTCTGGATATCTCTTGAATGGAATCATACAATATGTGGTCTTTTGTGACTGTCTTCTTTCACCTAGTATGTTTCCAAGGTTCATCCACATTGTAGCATGTATCAGTAATTTATTCATTTTATTGCTGGATAATTTCTACTCTTTTTGTGTATTCATCAGTTGATGGATATTTGACTTATTTCTACTTTTTGGCTATTATGCAAGTTATTTTAAAAATTAACCTTAAAATATTTTTGTCACCAACATTTGAAGATTTAGATTAACTGCTTTCATTTCAATCATCATGGTAATAACGGTTCTAATAATGGTAAGTGGTATCATTTTAAAAATAAGATTTTGGTGTATTAAAAGAATCTAAACTACTTTCTTTATGTTCTTTTATAGGACTATAAATGTAGGATATTTACTTCTAATCCATTGGCCAAGACATTTTCAGGGGTCCATGAGGTCAAAATTATTTTCATAATAGCACTAAGTACATGTTTTTGCCTTTTTTCACTAGGTTGATATTTGCACAAATGGTACAAAACTCTGATGGGTAAAACTGCAGGAGTCTTATCAGGAATCAAGTCAGCACCAAACCAAGCTATACTAGTATTCTCATATTCTTCTCTGACACAGGCACTCACAGAAAGATTAAAAAAAAAAAAAGCTAGGTTTTCTTAAGAATGTCCTTGGTGAAGCAGTAAATCTTATGAGTTTCATTAAATCATGATTTTTGATTAGACACTCTCAGCATCAATACCTCTGAGGAAGAGAAGAAAGCAGGATTGGGCAGCAGCAGGTTACAGTTCAGTGCCTTCACCCAAAGGCCTTCATCTATTTTATGGGATGTTCTGGATAACTCCTCAGAGTTGGCTCAAACTGAGGAAAGAAAGACTGGGCCCCTGTCCTACCTCAATCACTGGATTCAGGCTGCTCGTGTAAAGGGGTCATGGCCTTGGGTGAGGTAGCTTTCTTTAGCCAAGAGCATTCCCTAGGGAGTGATTCGGTTAAGGGCTATCAGCTTCCAAAACTCTGGAAGCTATAGGAATAAGGAAGCTGGTCCTGTGAGCCCTCCCAACAAAGTTCCTGCGTGCACATCTTTTTACAATCTTTCCCAGGGAACCCCACCTGTGTTATTTTATCTCTCTATCACTACAATCTTCTGTCTATTTATCCACGATCCAATTGGTCTATCTACTGTTTATAAAATGTGGGCTTGACGAAAAGAAAAAAGCTCTACAAATAGTTCTATATGCTTTTGGGAATGCATCTGATAATTTCTTCCACATTATTATAGGAGAAAAATAGCTAACATTCATTGAACACGATAAGCCAGTCCCAGACTAAGGTTTTTACAGGTCTTATTTTATTTCATTCTCTCAATATTGATGTGATGTAAACGTAGTGATTATCTTCATCTTGTAGATGGTGAAACTGGAGGACAAAGAGATCTAATAACCTAGTGAGTGGTGGAGTCCGGATTTGAATCCAGGCAATGACAGAGCCTGTATTCTTATCTATTGGAGTTTTTGGAAAAACAACTGAACCAAATTTTACCTAATTCTGGGCTAGGTTGGGTAGCATAATTTGGCAAAATAAAGCAACATATAAAGACTTCTAAGGTCATTTAACCAAAAGCAAACAAACAAAAACACTCCAGATAAATCAATAAATGAGGATCTATTCACCTCTGTCTGGCTGAGAGGAACAGCCCCATTTATTCATACATGAGGTATAGCACAAATCTATTTCTCTACAAATGACACAGTTCTCTTATTCAAACAAAATCTATATTCCTTTTTCTGGTCTTCCTCAACATAGCCTCCTCAAGTTTGGTTTAGGACATATTGGTTTCCTTGAATATGGTAGATGGTTAATAAATGGTGACAGAATTAAATAACTTTTGATCCTATCTTGTGGTGCAATGGTTGTTATTGCTATATTGTTCCTATTGTCTCGTATAAAACAGACTGTTTCCTTTTCTTAAAGTAGGACATGAGTATTATCCCTTTATGTAGCAGTTCTATTACAGCATCCACTATATTGCCATGCATTTTGTTAGCACTCGATAAATATTAATTCAAATTGAATCGAATTGTTTATGAGGGGAGAAGAAAAATGTGAGAGCACTGAGATTTAATATTTTGGGGCTTCTTACTGAAGATTAATCTAAAAGAAACTATGAATTTTTTTATGACATATGGTCTCTTCCCAGGAAGGCAGATTCAAATGAAAGAGAGTGAATATGGCATATTTATATACTGCATCTCAGAGATTAGTAGCTGGAATTCAGTTTGTCTTCATCCCTCTTTTTTTTTGCTCTCTCAACCTGACTGCTAAGAAACATGGATTTTACCCTCTAACTGACAGAAAGGGTGAGCCTGATTGGAAGGGGTTTCTGAAAGCTATATATAATAATGCCTGCTGTTTCTAAAAGCTGCAGAGCTCCATCAGACTCTCTCAGACACCAGAACACAGCATCCCCAGATCTGAGCAGTAAATGACATGTCGCATTGTCTATGTGGTAACCCAATCACTTCACGATGGTTGTCAAGGCGCTGCTTCATGGACTGTATCTACATACACTTCAAGCCTCTCAGTGTCCATTCATCTTAGGCTGAGCTCAAGTACTTAGACCGAGGTTATGACAAACATAGGATCTGAGTGCCAGGCTGTCCTGAAGCCAACACATTACTTTCTAACAAAATTTTCTGTGAAAACACAAATCTTACCCTGTGACTTGTTTTAAACACTTCAATGATTTTCAATGACAGAATAAAGTGCACTGTCTTAGTCATGAATACAAAGACCTGACCCTTGCTCATATCTTCAGTTGCATACCCTTATTCTGCTTTATTTATTTATTTTTTGCATGTGCTCAATTCACCCCTAGAACATGCTGTTTTATATCTAATGTGTTTTGCTTATACAGTTTCCTCTTCCAGGAAGGTCATTCTAGTCTTTGTCACCTGAGTTTTTTTGTGACTCGTATTATCTCTTCCAGGAGGCCCTTGCTGAATCCTCAAGTTTATTCCTTCTAACAACACTCCCTGAGTATCCTATGGGCCAGTTACTGTAATTCTAGGTGCTAGGAGTCAATGTGGGAAGCAAAAAAGGGTGATTTGAGAGCAATAGAGAGAAGAACTTGGTCCAACTTGGCTTTGTCTCTAAAATAGATCTCAAACCTTGGCTAAAACCAAATATGTATGTGTTTTTCTCTCCCACTGGATTGAACATGATCTCGAGAACAATGAGCATATCTTGTCTTGTTCACCCTTGTAATCCCAGGGTCTAGCACCTTGCCTGGCACAGTGGATATTTAATAGATATTCACTAAATTGAACTAAACTGAATTCATTTATTTTTCTCTTAGAGGAGTGAAGCTTTTCAAACTTTCAGTATGCGGTAAGATATTCTCTTGATGTATTTTTAATGAAAAGTCATATTTACTATAGGAGATTCTCTGCAAAGATCACGAATGAACAAGAAGTACTGAAGTGTTGACTACACTTGCAGCCGTCTCCACTTTTGAGGACAAGACTCTGATTATGACTACTACAAAATTTTTATATTTTTGCTGAAGAGTGAGGAAAAGGGAACTAAATATCTTATATAGATATCTGCTATATTTCTTTCTAGATCTTCAATGGAGAATCACTGATGTCAAGCCCACCAACCGAATAGCTTAGAAACTGTCAAAGATCTATGGACCATAATATAAATCACTGCCCTCAAACTTTCTTGCCGAAAAATGTGCATTATTAAAGCAGATAACTCTGGCGATTCAGTGTCCTTAAAAGGTTAAATATGATGGTAGATGACACTATAACTGGTAGATGATAAGCTGCTATTCTTGAGGAGAATTAACAAAAATTGCATGTCACTGATTCTACAAACATTTAGAGGATACCCTTCACAATGTGGTGTCATGGGTACCTACAATAAACAAATTTCACAGATTCCTCACAAATCTGGTTCAATAAATACTATTGGATAATGACAATTTAAGCTAAAAAAAGAAGTAATGGAAATTTGGTCCATATGTATATCAAAAGCCTTTTTGGTTCACTAACTATGAATTATAAGAAATGACACTAGCCTTTCAAAACAAAATGACAAAAAAAGAAGGCTAAGTGGAAGCCTTGTAAAATTATTAATTCCAAACCTTTGACTTGAGCTATAAAATGGCTACACAGGACATTTACCTTACTAGATGGTTTACAAAAGACCAAGGTATGCAAACACTGGACACTTCAAGCCTCTCGTTCCCATTTTTGTGTTGCTAGAGGTCATTCTCAAAAAACTGGATGTCAGAAATGCAAAGGGTTCATAAGAGACAAAAGATGGGCATCTCTGAAGAGCCAGAACAACACAGAGGATCTGACTTTTGGGGTACTGATCGTCCTTTGGTACAAAAATATCCTCACCCATATTATCTGCCTCTTTCCACTTACTTTTGTTTTGCTCTCTGAAATTCCTCTATTAAAATATTTTTGGGGTTTACAAATGCAGTAAAAGATGAAAAATCATCTGGAGGAATTAGAATAGTATTTGTGAGTCACATACTCGCATAAATCAATCTAACCTTATATCCAGCTAAGATTTGTGCCAATGAGAAAATGGAAACTGAGATTAGGATGGGATGACAGTCCAGGTCACAGGTGGTTTTATAAGGTGGAAAAAGACCTAAACTCAGGCAAGAGGGGATGAAGAAGTGCTACCACATGTGATTTGTCACAATAAAAGTTTTATATTTGAGGACTTGGAAGGAAGACATGACGAAATAGGTAGATACATAGAAAAATTGCCTTAAAATTTTTGCCCGGGGCAAGTCATGTAAAGGGAAGGAAAACACACTTTCCCCATTTTGAAGGAAACTTCCAGGCCTCTTTCTTATTGGACGTTTCATCTTTTAGCTGTAGTCTGTGTTAAAGAGGCTTCTATAAGTCTGCCCAGGGACTTCAGAAATGTCTTTAAAAGAAATATTTATGGAAAAATGCATTTTAAGTTCTGAACAATTGATTTATAAATGACTTTGCAGAAAACAGTCCTTGGAGGATTACTTCTATAACTTAAGTTTAAAGTTAAATTTCAGTTTTTATATGTTTCTAAATCAAAAAGGTGACTACACTATGACTTTTTAAAATGATGTTGAATTTGAAAAAGAAATGTTTGGGATTATTTATAGATTTCAAAACACCAAATCACTCTTGTTTTTAAAATAACCACCAAATAAATAAGTAACTATCTCCTTTTTATTGAAAATTGTCTGAGTTCTTGTGGTCTTCCCAGTTGAAAATCTTATTATAATTTAACTTAATAAATCCTTCAAAGATCTTTCTCTTGTAGTCATCATACATTTTGAACTTAAGCTAGGCACAGTTATATTTTTAGTTGTAGTTGAGAGAGGCCACCAAGAGTGAAATCAGTAATTTCAATAATAAGAAAACTAAAAATGTCATTTCTAATACACCTAAAAACCTAGGAAGAACATAAGTAGATATGGATTTGTGAAACATGGTGGTTGGATTTCAGAATTACATGTTAAGAGCTAAAAATGAATCTGAATATAATATAGCTTTAGCTTACAAAGGTTACTACTGAATTTGCTTTGTTCAAAATAACTTCTGCTTAGATTTATATGAAAGTAATATATACTAGTTACTGTGTACTATATTTATACAAAGTCAAAATTAAATTTAAAGTTATTATTTGGGGTAGGGTGTCACAAAGTGCCATCATCTTGATGAAGCATCATTAGAGCATATCAGAATAATCCAGGGAAGTTTTTGCAGACCATATCTGTGTGTGTCTGCATATGTATCTGGTGAAGTCTCTCTAAGATGGTGATTCTGGTTATTGAGCATGGTTAAATTATAAATTTAGGGTTTAATATTCAGTTCTGTAAATCCAATATCTCATAAATGGTACAAACAAAGGGATAGGAGTGACCATAGAGGAGTTCAGGAAAAATACATAGAATTTCTTTATATATAATTTTACATTATATACAATCAAAAGATCAATGTCAAGTTTTGTATGCAAAAGAAGAATTAATGAGAATTATAAATTATAATTTCATGGTATCAGTTAATACAGTGTTTAAAGAGGTATACTCATGCTATTGAATATTGCTGCTTAAACTCCTAATTTACAAAAAAGTTCACTCATCCATACCATATGCTTGGTTCTAAGCACACCATGCTCTCATATATGTGCATGTCTGATGTCACATTATTTTTAGAATAGTATTTAGCATTAAGCTGACACAGGTATAGTAAAAGATAACATTCTACTGCATGAAGTTTAACCTATTTTTCTCTTAAAAATGTAATTAAGGTGTGTTTCAACTATAGTTTTTATGGCTTAAAAACAGTTGGCCAGGCATGGTGGCTCACATCTCTAATCCCAGCATTTTGGGAGGCTGAAGCAGGAGGATCATTTGAGGCCAGGAGATTGAGACAAGCCTGGGCAACAGAGTAAGACCCCATCTCTACAAAAATAAAAAATTAGCTAGCGCGGTGGTGTATGCCTGTGGTCCCAGCTATTCAAGAGGCTGAGTTGGGAGAATTTCAAGCCCAGAAGTTTGAGGTTGCGGTGAACTATAATCACGCCACTACACTCCAGCCCGGGCAATAAAGGCTCCAAATAAATAAATAAACAAACAAACAAATAGTTATTGGTGGGTAAATGCAATTTTCTTCTTTTCCACTGCTGAATATAAAATGAGTGTTATTTAGATTAATTTCACTTTTCTACCTCAGCACAAATATAACCACATGCACACAATTTACAAGAAAAGTGTGCTAATAAAATACAGCTCTCATTATTAATAAATAACTAGTATAAGGTGAAATGCCATCTTTACTAGATTTATAATTTGAGTACATAAATATTTAAAAGATCTCTTTAATTTTTAAATTAATATTTGCTTCACATTTGCTCAAGGAAACTCTTCAAATGTCTCACATTGCTGTTGAAATGCTGATATGCACTTAGATATGTTATTTCAATAGTCATATTCCTGAAGTATATCTACATTTTTTAATGGTAAAAATTGAAACTATTTTTAGCCACCTGAAAAAACAGATCAGGAAGTAACAGACAATTTTATGACTCTTAGTGATATCTTCTGAAATATAATATAATAATAATAGATGACCTTATGAATACCTGATTATGTGGCAGACACTGTTCTAGGAGTTTTATGTATATTAGCCATTTAATACTGTAGTGCAATAACCTTAGGAAACAGTTATTGCCTATCATTGAACTTATTTTGTACGTAAATGTTGTCCTTGATTTTCTCTTTCTTTTATGCACTTTATCCAATCCATCAGCAAATCCTATTGGCTGTACTTTTAACATACATCATAGACTTTGACCATTTCCCATAAACTCTACTGCAACGATCCTAGTTTAGAGCATCATTATCTCTTACCTGGATTATGGCAAAAGCCTCCTAATTTCCCTGCATCTATTTGTGCCTCACTGTAGTCTCTTCTTAATACAGCAAACAGAGTGATCCTTATAAAATATAGTAATTAGGTCATCATGCTATGCCTCTATTCCAAAGACTACAGTGGCTTCCCATATTACTCAGAGAAGAGTCAAAGTCATTATAATGGCCTACTAGGCCTCATTTCAGTAGTTTTCCAACTTGGCTGCATATTGGACTCAACTGGGGGAACTTTTGACAAATATTGATGCATATGTCCCATCCCAAGAGATTTTGATTTCATTGGTCTGGGGTAAAGCCTGGAACTTGAGATTTTTAAAAGGTCTTCAAATTTAAATTATTATAATATATAGCCAAATATGAGAATCATTGCTGTCCAAGAGATGTTTCCCTTTCTGTCTCCATCTGCTCTGATTTTATCTTTTACTATTCTTCTTACATAATCTTCTCTAGCCATAGTGATAGGGTGACTATATATTTTATTATTCTAACTGCAGAGTAAAAGGCTCATGCTAATAATTGTGAAGGGATAACATGCATAATTTGGCATTGTTTTAGGAAAAACAGGCATTATGTTCATCAAGCATAAATACTTATTTGCCATTCTGTAGAAATAAAATGCTCCTACTTCAGAGAACTGGCACTTGCTATTACTATTCCCTGGAATATTTTCTCTCAGGTATCCACTTTATTTGCTCCCTTACCTTCTTCTAATCTTTACTCAAATGCCATGTTTCAGTGAGACCTTCTCTGCCACTCAATGTAATCCTGAAACCCACTCTCAACTCCACTTGCCTTTTCCCTGCTTTATTTTTCTCCACAGCAATAATAACATCTGACTTACCATATATTTTGCTGAATTCTTTTTTCTCTACCCACTAAATTTTTTAATTCTCTTTTGCTTACTTCTGTATTCCAGGATCCAGAAAAGTACCTGGCCTACTGTAGTCTGTCAATACATATTTGCATAACAAATGAATAAATGATTTATCAGCTGTTTGACATTGGGCAAGCCACCTAACTTGCCTTGCCTCAGTTTGGTCACTGGTAAAATGAGGATAGTGGTAATAACTACTTCACAGTGCTGTTGTAAACAGTAAGTGAGCTAATGCATGGGACTGGAATAATGACTGACCCATAGAAAGCACATGTAAATGTTAGTTACATTAGTTTATTAAGTATATTAATCTCATCTTTATTTCAGCCACAGACTCCCAAATGGACATCTGGAAGTTGTCATTTCTAAAACTGCCTCACTTTAGAAATCTTAAACATCAACCTAGTATTATGGTGGTAAACCTGCTCTCCAGAGAAAAATAAGACAGAAAGCCCTGATTTGTAGCATTTGCCAATTCCTGTGGTGTAACTACTCCCAACATAGCAAATTTTAAGCTACTAATAGTTTATCAACCAGCTCTTGCAAACTGGTATGATCTGGCTTTAGCACACTACTGCCAGTACCCTACTTTCTGGCCACATTCTTCTTTCCCTTCCTCTCTTACCCTCATACAAAACTATACTTTCTCATCTATGCAATAAAGACTTCTAGCCCATATACTCTCGATTCTTTCTAGTCTATTAGACTCTTTATTTCCTTCTTTATCTAGCATGGACTCACGGTCTGTTACCTGAATGATCCCTTCACTACCATCCTCAGTCCCCTTTTGGCATCCTTGTTTTTCTTTTGTACATGCTCTACAAACCATAGTTTCTATTATCTTCACTCTTACATTTGGGGAGTTGAGTGTTCATGTAGAAAATCACATAAGCATGCACATCACTGCCATAACACATTTATGTTCTTCAGCATCAGCTGAATGTTCAGCATTATTAGTTAATTATTTTTCTCCAGGACCAAGATGAGGGCTGGCAAGTTTGGGGAACAAATGTATACAACTAGCACATATAACTGGGCCAACAGGCCAAAAGATCATCTCTCCTGGATACTTACATTGCATACAATTAATAACTTTGATGAAGATTTTTGGTTGGTTGCACCTGCTGGGGCCTTAAAAAAACAGTAGTAGAACTTGCTCTTCATGGTCCAGCATTTTCATGATCTGCTACTTTTCTTTTTAATTTCAATAATTATTCCAAACATTCACCTTAAAGGAAAGTTTGTCCTCAAAATTCCCATAAAAACTCTTCTACTACTTTGTATAGAAATGCAATAGAATCAGGCATCATTTCCTTCAATTTATGCATGTTCCTCATAAAGCTATCTAGATTCCCAACACTCCAGTCTTGGGAGATGTGGCGGCTTCTACTCTCCAAAGTCAATCCTCCACTAGGTTCCTTGATTTTGTACCTTTTCATCTCCTTAAATCTTTTGTTTTATCAAGTTTTTAAATGGTCCCTTCTTCTTTTTCAGTGTATACATAGTCCAAATTGTCATCTATTTTAAAAATATCCTTGATTTTAAGATACAACAATTACAAACATTAACATAAGTAACAACAGACCATCAAAATATATGAAACAAAAATTGACAGAATTGAAGGGAGAAACAGACAGACAAACATTTCAAAATCCCACTCTGAAAAATGGACAGAACAACCAGAGAGAAGATAAGAATATAAAGGACTTGAATGACACAATAAACCAACTAGATCTAACAGAAGTACACACTATACCCAAGAAAAATAGAACAAAATTTCATGTGGAATATTTTCTTTGATAAGCCATATGTTAGACAATAAATTTAAGTATCAAGAGATTTCAAATAGTAGATTTCATACAAAGTATGTTCTCTGACTACAACAGATAAAGTAAGAAGTAAATAACAGAAGAAAAACGGAAAAATCCACAAATTTGTGTATAAACAATAAACTCTTAGACAACCAATGGATCAAAGAAGAAATCACAAAGAGAATTAGAAAATACTTAGTGACTACTGAAAATGAAAGTACCTCATATTACAATTTGTAGGACACACGTCCAAAGCAGAGCCAAGGAGGAAATTTGTGGCTATAAATGTCTGTATTGAGAAAGAGGAAGATCTCCAAACCACAACCTACCTTAACAACGTAAGGAACAAGAGAAGAACAAACTAAAACCAAGGGTAACAAAAATAAGGAAATAAATATTAGAAGAAAGATAAATAAAATAGAGAATAGAAAAACAATAAAGAAAATCCACAAAACCAAAAGTTGGTTCTTCCAAAAGAACAACAAAATCAACAAACTTTTATCTAGATTGACCAAGAAAATGAAGAGAAGACTGAAATTACTAAAACCAGAATGAAGGTGTAATATTACTACCAATTCTACAGAAATAAAAAGGATTATGACAGTACTATAAATGATTGTATGTGAACAATTAGATAACCTGGATAAAATGGAAAAATTCCTAGGAACACAAAACCTATCAAGACTAGATGATGAAGAAATAAAAAACCTGAATAGACCTATAACTAGTAATAAGATTAAATTAGTAATAAAAAATCTCTTGATAAAGAAAATCCTTGGACCTGATGATGATGGCTTTATTGGTGAAGTCTACCAAACATTTAAAGAATGAACACAAATCCTCCTCAAACTTCATCCTGAAAAATTGAAGAGGAGAGAGACATTTTGATTCATTCCATGAACATTACCTTGATACTAAAGCCAGACAAAGACACTACAAAAAACCCCCACATTACTATAGACCAATATCCCTTAACCATTTATGAAAAAATCCCCAAGAAAATACTAGCAGATGGAATTCAGCAGCATGTTAAAAGTATTATACATCATGGCCAAATTGAATTAATTCAAATTAATAATTTGAATGTCAGGATGGTTCAAATATGAAAGTCAGTCAATGTAACACACCACATTAACTGAATGAAGGGGGAAGATCTCCACAATGATCTAAATTGGTGAAGAAGAAAACATTTGACAAAACTCATCACAGTTTCACGATAAAAACACTCAACAAGCTAGGAATAAAAGAAAATTACTTTGACATAATAAAAGCTATATGTATGTTTATATAACCCACAGTGAACATCATACTCGACCGTTATAAATTGAAAGTTTTTCCTCTAAGATAATGAAGAGGGCCAGGATGGCACTTTCACAACTTCGATTCAACATAACTAACAGAATTCCAACAACAACTTTTTTTTTTGGCAGAAACACAGAAGTCCACCCTAGAATTCACATTCACGTTATATTTCAAGGGACCTTAGATAACCAACAGAGAAGAGCAAAGCTGGAGGATTCACATTTCCTGATTTCAAAACTTAGTATAAAGCTACAATAATCAAAATATTGTGGTATTTGCATAAAGACACACATATTGACCAATGGAATAGATTAGAGAGCCCAGAAATAAACCTTTTCATGTATGATTGCTATGGCTTGGATGTATGTGTCCTTTCCAAATTCATATGCTGGAATCTAATACTTAATGTGATAGTATTAAGAGTTGGGCTTTTGGTAAATGATTAACTCATGAACACTCAATCCTCATGAATGGGATTAATGCTATTGTAAAAGAGGGTGAAAAGAGCGTCCTAGCTCCTTTTTGCCCTTTTTGCTCTTCTGCTCTTCCACCATGTAAGCACACAGCTTTTGTCCCTTCTGTCATATAGAATGCATCAAGAAAATGCCATCTTAGAAGGATAGTAAGCCATTACCCTTGGGCTTGGACTTCTCAGCTTCCAGAACTGTGAGAAATAAATTTCTATTATTTATTAATTATCCAATCTGTGTTATATTGTTATACAAGCAGGAAGGGACTAATACAATGGTCACATAATTTTTGAAAAGGGTGCCAAGATTATTAAATTTGGAAAGTACAGTCTTTTCAATAAATGATGCTAGGAAAGCTGAATATCAACATGCAAAATGATGAAGTTCAATCTTTACCTAAAACATATGTAAAAATTAACTCAAAATGCATCAAAGACCTAAATGTAAGACCTCAAGTTATAAAACTCTTAGAAGAAAACACAGTGCAAAACCTTCATAACATTAGATTTGGCAATGATTTCTTAGATATGATACCAAAGCCACAGGCAACAAAAGAAAAAACTGACAAACTGTGCCACATGAAACTTAAAAACTTTTGTGCCTCAAAAAACACTATCTGCAGAGTAGAAAGGCAACGCACAGAATGGGAGAAAATGCTTGTAAATCATATATCTCCTAAGGGAATAGTATCCATCCTATATAGAGAACTCCTAAAATTCAACAAAAAAAAATCAAGCAACCTGATTCAAAAATGGAAAATGGACTTGAATAGATACTTTTATAAAGTAGATATACAAATGGCCAATAAGCACTGAAAAGATCCTGAAAACCACAAATCATTACAGAAATTAAAACTTCGTTGAGACACCACTTCACATCCATCAGGATAGCCATTATAACAACAAACATAAAACAAACAAAAACATCAGAAAATAACATGTGTTAGTGAGAATACAGAGAAATTGAAACCCTTGTACTCTGTTGGTAGGAATGTAAAATGACATAGCCACTATAGAAAACAGTATGGTGGTTTCCCTAAAAGTTAAAAATAGAATTAAAGTATTATCCAGTAATCCCACTTCTGGATATATACTCAAATGAATGGAAAGTAGGGTGTCAAAGTGCATCTATTCTCACAGTAGCATTCTTCGCAATAGCTAAAACATGAAAGCAATACAAATATCCACCAGGAGATGAATGGATAAGCAAAATGTGGCATATACATACAAGGGAATATCATTTATCCTTAAAAAGAAAGGAGATTCTGACATACACTTCAACATGACTGAACTTTGAGGACATTATGCTAAGTGAAATAAGCCAATCACAAAAGACAAATACTATATGATTTCACTTACATGAGATACTAAGAGTAGTCAAACTCATAGAGACAGACAGCGGAATGCTGTTTGCCAGGGGCTGGGGGAAGGGAGAAGTGGGGAGTTTAATGATTTTAAAGAAGTGGGAAAGTTTAATTACCTAATGAGTACAGCATTTCAGTTTTGCCAGATAAATAGAGTTCTGCAGATGGATACTGGTGATATTTGCACAATGATATGAATGTACTTAATACCACTGAATTGTGCACTTAAAAATGGTTAAGATGGTAAATTTTATGTTATGTGTATTTTATCAAAATAAAAAAATTGAAAAGAAATCCTTGATTTTTCTTATATTTTGGTCTACTAGCATACTAGCATTTGATTTATTGCTTGCCTTGACATCTCATCCACCTGTTCCCAAAGGAATCATCTCCACCTACAAATTCCTGTTAGTTGTTCATTCTCATTTTTGCTCTCTGCAATCTGGCTTCTGCCTGGGACCAAGCCATTGAAAGTGCTCTTGTTGAGAACACTGAGTCCCTCTTATTTGCTAAATCCTATAGATGTTTCTCTGTTTCTGTCTTTCAGAATTCCTCTCCTGAATTTGTCACAATCGGTTATATGCTTCTGACTTAAAAGCTATATTCCCCTGGGTCTGGGGACTTCATGTTTTTCTCTCCTTCCTTGTTCCTCTTTGCCCACTCTTGCCTAGTTACCTTTGGGTATTCCATCCATGGGGCCCTTCAGATTGGTATGGCACAAAGTTCCACCCTGGTTCAACTTTCTTCTTAGGAAATATCCTGGTTTGCATTTAGTAACTACCTTTATGCTACCAAGACCCAGATGTTCAACTTTAGCCAAGATTTTTCCACTGAGCATCAGATTTGTATTTTAAATTGCTGTCTGGACATTTCCTTTTTTAAAAAAGAAATTCAAAACTTTTATTTTAAGTTCAGGGGTACATGTGCAGGATGTGCAGATTTCTTAAATGGTTGTGTCATGGGGGCTTGTTGTACAGATTATTTCACCCTTCAGGTATTAAGTCTAGCATCCATTAGTTATTTTTCCTGATCCTCTCCCTCCTCCCACCCTCCACTCTCTGAGAGGCCCCAGTGTGTGTTGTTCCCTTCTATGTGTTGTCCATGTGTTCTCATCATTTAGTTCTCACTTATAAATGATAACATGCAGTGCTTGGTTTCTGTTCCTGTGTTAGTTTGCTAAGGATAACAGCCTCTAGTTCCATCCTTGTGCCTGCAAAGGATGTGATCTCATTATTTTTCACGACTGCATAGTATTCCATGGTGTATATGTACCATATTTTCTTCATCCAGTCTATCATTGATGGGCATTTGGGTTGATTCCACATCTTTGCAATTTTGTATAGTGCTGCAATGAATATATGCATGCGTGTGTGTTTATAATAGAACGATTTCTATTCCTTTGGGTATATACTCAGTAATGGGGTTGCTGGGTCAAATGTTATTTCTGTCTTTAGGTCTCTGAGGAATTGCCACACTGTCTGTTACAATGATTGAACTAATTTACACTGCCACCAACAGTGTATAGCCATTGCTTTTTCTCCACCACCTTGCCTGCATCTATTAATGTTTGATTTTTTAATAATAGCCATTCTGACTGGTGTGAGATGGTAACTCATTGTGGTTTTGATTTGCATTTCTCTAACGATCAGTGATACTGAGTTTTTTCATATACTTCTTGGCCACATGTATGTCTCCTTTTACATGTCTGTTCATGTCCTTTGACCAGTTTTTAATGGGGTTGTTTGCTTTTTTCTTGTAAATTTGTTTAAGTTCCTTATATATGCTGGATATTAGAACTCTGTCAGATGCATAGTTTGCAGAAGTTTTCTCCCATTCTGTAGGTTGTCCATTTACTCTGATAATAGTTTCTTTTGCTATGTGGAAGCTCTTTAGTTTGATTAGATTCTATTTGTCCATTTTTACTTTTGTTGCAATTATTTTGGTGTCTTCATCATAAAATTTTTGGCCGTGCCTATCTCCTGAATGGTATTACCTAGGTTGTCTTCCAGGGTTTTTATATTTTTAGGTTTTACACTTAACTCTTTAATCCTTCTTGAGTTAATTTCTGTATATGGTGTAAGAAAAGGGTCCAGTTTCAATTTTCTGCATATGGCTAGCCAGTTATACCAGTACCCTTTATTGAATAAAGAAATCTTTTCCTCATTGCTTGTTTTTGTCAGGTTTGTCAAGGATTAGATAGCTGTAGGTGTGTAGTCTTATTTCTGTGTTCTCTCTTCTCTTCCACTGGTCTATGTGTCTGTTCTTGTACCAGTACCATGCTATTTTGCTCACTGTAGTCCTATGGTATAGTTTGAAGTTGAGTAGCATGATGCCTCCAGCTTTGTTCTTTTAGCTTAGGACTGCCTTGACTACTTGGGTTCTTTGTTGGTTCCATACGAATGTTAAAATAGTTTTTTCTAGTTCTGTGAAGAACACCAATGGTAGTTTTATGGAAATAGCTTTGAATCTGTAAATTGCTTTGGGCAGTATGGCCACTTTAACAATATTGATTCTTCCTATCCATAGTCATGGAAAGTTTTTCCATTTGTTTGTGTCAGCTCTGATTTCTTTGAGTAGTGGTTTATAGTTTTCCTTGTAGAGATCTTTCACTTCCCTTGTTAGATGTATTCCTAGGTGTTTTATTCTTTTTGTGGCAATTGTGAATTTGGTTCCTTTGTGATTTGGCTATTGGCCTGACTGTTGTTGGTGTATAGGAATGCTCGTAATGATTCCACATTGATTTTGTATCCTGAGAGTTTGCTGAAGTTGCTTATCAGCTTAAGAAGATTTTGGGCTGAGACAATGGGCTTTTGTAGATATAGGATCATGTAATCTACAAACAGGGATAAGTTTGACTTCCTCTCTTCCTATTTGGATGCCCCCCCCCCCCTTTTTCTATTGTCTGATTGCTCTGTATAGAATTTCCATACTATGTTGAATAGGAGTGGTGAGATAGGGCATCCTTGTCTTGTGCCCTTTTTCAAGGGCAATGTTTCCAGCTTTTGCCCATTCAGTATGATGTTGGCTGTCAGTTTGTCATAAATGGCTCTTGTTATTTTGAGGCATATTCCTTCAATACCTAGTTTATTGAGAGTTTTTAACATGAAGGAGTTGAATTTCATCAAAAGCCTTTTCTGCATCTATTGAGACAATCATGTGGTTTTTGTTTTTAGTTCTGTTTATGTTATGAATCACATTTATTGATTTACATATGTTGAACCAATCTTGCACCCTGGGGATGATCACAACTACTTGATCATGGTGGATAAGCTCTTTGATGTGCTGCTGGATTCAGTTTGCCAGTATTTTGTTGAGGATTTTTGCATTGATGTTTAGCAAGGATATTGGCCTGAAGTTTTCTTTTTTGTTGTATTGCTGCCAGGTTTTGGTATCAGGAAGATGCTGGCCTCATAGAATGAGTTATGGTGGAGTCCTTCCTTTTCAATTTTTTTAGTATTGTTTCAGTAGGAATGGTACCAGCTTTTCTTAGTACATCTGGTAGAATTCAGCTGTGAATCCATCTGGTCCTGGGCTTTTTTGGGTTGGAAAGCTATTTATTATTTCCTCAATTTCAGAACCTGTTATTGATGTGTTAAGGGATTCAATTTCTTCCTGGTTCAGTCTTGGGAGGGTGCATGTGTCCAGGAACTTATCAATTTCTTCTAGATTTTCTAATTTATGTGAATAGAGGTGTTTATAGTATTCTCTGATCGTTGCTTGTATTTCTGTGGGGTAATATCTCCCTTATCATTTCTGATTGTGTTATTTGAATCTTCTCTCTTTTCTTCTTTATTAGTCTAGCTAGCAGTCTAGATATTTTATCAATTTTTAAATAAACTAGCACCTGGATTTGTTGAGCTTTTCAATGGTTTTTCATTTCTCTGTAGCCCAGCTCTGATCTTAGTTATTTCTCATCCTCTGCTAGCTTTGGGATTTGTTTGCTCCTGGTTCTGTCATTCTTTTAGTTTTGATGTTAGGTTGATGACTTGAGTTCCTTCCAGATTTTTGAGGTGGGTATTTAGTGCTAAATATTTCCGTCTTAACATTGCCTTGGCTGTATCCCAGAGATTCTGGCACATTGTATATTTATTCTCATTAGTTTCAAGGAACTTCTTGATTTCTGCCTTAAGTTCATTATTTACCCAAAAGTCATTCAGGAGCAGGTTATACAATTTCCATGTAATTGTGTGGTTTTGAGTGTATTTCTTAGTCTTGAGTTCCAATTTGATTGTGCTGTGGTCTGAGAGAATGTTATGATATCAGTTCTTTCACATTTGCTGAGGAGTGATTTACTTCCAATTATGTGATCAATTTTAGAGTAAGTGCCATGTGGTGACGAGAAAAATGTATATGCTGTTGCATTGGAGTGGAGAGGTCTTTAGATATCTATCAAGTCCATTCAATCCAGAGCTGAGTTCAGGTCCTGAATATCTTTGTGAATTTTCTATCTTGATGATCTGTCTAATATTCACAGTGGGGTTTTAAAGTCTTCCACTATTATTGTGTGGGAGTCTAAGTCTCTTTCAAGGTCTCTGATAACTTGCTTTATGAATCTGAGCGCTCCTGTGTTGGTGCATATATATTTAGGATAGCCAGCTCATCTTGTTGAATTGAACCCTTTACCATTATGTAATACCTTTCTTTGTCTTTTTTGATCTTTGTTGGTTTAAAGTCTGTTTTGTCAAAAACTGGGATGGCAACCCTGGTTTTTTCTGTTGTCCATTTGCTTGGTAAATTTTCCTGCATCACTTTATTTTGAGCCTACCTGTGTTACTGCATGTGAGTGAGATGGGTCTCTTGAAGACAGCATATTGATAGGTCTTAGTTCTTTATCCAGCTTGCCATTTTTTTATCTTTTAATTGAGGCACTTAGCCCATTTACATTTCAGGTTAGTATTGTTATGTGTGGATTTGATCCTGACATCGTGATGCTAGCTAATTATTTTGCAGACTTGTTTATGTGGTTAATTTATAGTGTCACTGTTCTGTGTACTTCATTGTGTTTTTTGTTGTGGCTGGTAATAGTTTTTCCTTTCTGCATTTAGGCTTCCTTCAGGAGCTCTTATAAGACAGGTCTGGTGGTGATGAATTCCCTCAGCATTTACTTGTCTGAAAAGGACCTTATTTCCCTTTTCTTATGAAGCTTAGTTTGAATGGATATGAAATTCTGGGTTGGAATCTCTTTCCTTTAACAATGTTGAATGCCCCCAATGTCTTGTGGCTTATAAGGTTTCTGCTAAAAGGTTCTCTGTTAGTCTGATGGGCTCCCCTTTGTAGGTGATCTGGCCCTTCTCTCTGACTGCCATTAACATTTTTTCCTGTATTTTGACCTTGGAGAATCTGATGATTATGTGTCCTGAGGATAATCTTCTCATTGAGTATTTTACTGGGGTTCTCTGCATTTCCTGAATTTGAATGTTGGCCTGTCTAGCTTGGTTGGGTAAGTTCTCATGGATGATATTCTGAAATATGTTTTCTACATTGGTTCCATTCTCCCCATCTCTTTCAGGTACACCAATCAGTTGTAGATTTGATCTTTTTACATAATCCTATATTTCTTGGAGGTTTTGTTTATTCATTTTCATTTTTTTTCTCTATTCTTGTCTACCAGTGTTATTTCAGAAACCCAAACTTTAAGTTCTGAGATTCTTCCCTCTATTTGGTCTATTCTGCTATTAATACTTGTGATTACATTATGAAATTCTTTTATTGTGTTTTTTAGCTCTGTCAATCAGTTCAGTTATGTTCTCTATACTGGCTATTTTGACTGTCAGCTCCTGCAATGTTTTATCATGATTTTTAGCTTCCTTGTGTTGAGTTAGAACATGTCCCTTTAGCTCAGTGAAGATTTTCTTAGACACATTTGGAAGCCTACTTCTGTCGTCTCAGCCATCTCAGCCTCAGTCCAGTTCTGAACCCTTGCTGGAGAGGTAATGTGGTCATTTGGAGGAAAGAGGACACTCTGGCTTTTTGAGTTTTCAGTGTTCTTGCACTGATTCTTTCTCATCATTGTGGGCTTCTCCATTTTCAATCTTTGAGGTTGCTGACCTTTGGATTTATTTATTTTTTTCCTTTTAATGGTCCGGCCACTTTTCTATAGGGCTGCTATAATTTTCTGGGGGTCTGCTCCAGTGCCTGGTTGCCTTGGATTTTCCAGTACCTGAAGGTATCACCAGTGAAGGCTCTGAAACCGCAAAGATGGCCCTTCCTCTGTGAGCTCTGTCCCAGGAGGTATGGATCTGTTGCCAGTTCCAACACACTTGTAGAAGGCGGCTGGAGACCCTGCTTGGGAGATCTCACCCAGTCAGGAGGATTAGGATTAGATACACTCTTCAAGAAGCAGTCTAGTCACTTTTTTGTAGAGTAGCTGTGTCCTGCTGGGGTACTGCTTCTGCTCCTGGTCAGCTTGGGCTCTCCAAAGCCCGGAAGCTGTAACCACTAAGTTGCAGGACAGCAAAGATGGCAGCCCACCCCTTTCTGGGCTCTCCATACCAGGGAGAATTCAAATCTCTGTTGGGCTGGAGAACACAGGAGGGGGTGGCTGGAGGGCCCAGTTGGGATGCCCCACCAGTGAGGAGGAATACATTGGTTAAAGAGGCAATCTGGACATGTTTTGGTAGAGCAGATGTGCTGTGTTGGGGGATCCCTTCTATCCCTGGTCAATTTGGACTCTCCAAAGCCCAGAGACTGAAATGGCTAAGTTGTCCAAACAATAAAGATGGAGGCCTGCCCCTCCCCCCAGGAACTCTATCCTGTCCCAGGTAGGTACAACAATGTCACCAGGGGCTGGCTGGAATTTCAAGCCAGTAGGTCTTATCCCGTAGGCTACTGTGGAGGTGGGGCCTGCAGACCGATGCTGCTCTGCCCCCTGGATTCAGCTCCCTTTTCAGGGCTATGTATGGAGGTCCAACTTTTCACCTTGCCTGAGTCACTGTCACATTTGCCGGGGACCCCAGAGCCCACGTATATAAAGCTCCCAGGACTCTGTGAATCGGCAAAGCTTCTCTGCCAGGACTTCACACAGTTCTGTGTGTCAGACTGAAAACCCTGGTGGAGTGGGTTCGCAAGGGCATCTCCTGACCCAAGAGTTGCAAAAATCCATGGGAGAAGTGTGGTTTCCGGGGGTCACACATTCACTAACTGCTTCCCAGGGTAGGGGAGGTTCCCGTTGCTCTGTGTTGCTCCTGGGTGGGTCATTGACCTTCTTTTCTCCATTCTCTGTAGGTCAAACTGTTTCCCTGATCAGTCCCAGTGCAAGTACTGGATGTTTCAGTTGAAGGTTCTGTATTATTCACCTCTTTCATTCCTCTCTGTAAGAGCCACACACCATAGCTGCTTCTAGTCAGCCATCTTGGTCCCCACCCACTGAACATTTTCAGTGGATGTTTCACAGACATCTCAAATGCAACATGACCAAAATTAAACTTACCATTTCTTTCCAACTACCAGTCCATCCTGTTCCTCCTCTGTATCTTTATTTCAATTGATAGCACCACCTTCCACTCACTTTTCTTGCTCCCAGCCATCTTTCCCTGAGCATATTTTGAGCTGATTTCCTTACTTAATTAAATCCTTCTTGCTTTCTTTATTAATTTCTCCTAGATTTTTGGTTTATAGATGACCCCCTTTCTTATTTGCCTAAGTGATTTGCACTGTAAAAAATGTAAGTATAGGCCAGGGACAGTGGCTCACGCCTGTAATCCCAGCACTTTGGAAGGCCAAGGCAGGCGGATCATGAGATAAGGAAATTGAAATCATCCTGGCCAATGTGGTGAAACCCCGTCTCTTCTAAAATACAAAAAAAAAAAAAAAAAAAAAAAAATTAGCTGGGTGTGGTGGTGCACACCTGTAGTTCCAGTTACTTGGGAGGCTGAGGCAGGAGAATCACTTGAACCCGGGAGGCGGAGGTTGCAGTGAGCCAAGATCGTGCCACTACACTCCAGCCTGGTGACAGAGCAAGACTCTGTCTCAAAAAAAAAAAAAAAAAAAGTAAGTATACCTTTTCTCTCATGAACACACCATCTTGCACTGAAACCAGTAGTAAATTTAGTATTATATTTTGGTATAACTGAATTTTGCAATATGATAAATTAACATTCAACAAATGTTATAAAACAAAGGAATTTTTTTGTGGTTGACATGTGGCATTTCAAAGTTAAAGTATTCTATAAGCACATGTACCCTAAAACTTAAAGTATAATAAAAACAAAAAACAAAAAACAATGTTAAAGTATTCTATAGCTATACTTAGTTTAGATTCTAGTTAATATTGTTATAAAAAATGGGAAGTTCTAAGTGGAATGTTCTGAAATGGGAATTTCTAAAATTTAGAGGTAGGTGGTTTGCAGGTAAGTGCCACAAAAAGTATTTATGAAATCCAAATGTGTAGCTGGAAAAAGCCTGTATGGGGATAATGGTCAAGGTTACATTTAATTCGCACTAGTGAATTTTAGTGAAATTAGAGAAAATACATTAGTGTGAATTAAGTGTAACCTTGACCACTATCCCCAAATGGGCTTAGAAAAGTTAAAAATTCTGCACATTGGTGAAGTTGTGCCTTCTGGGCAGCCAGGCTGCTGATGATTTGCTTGCTAAGTCAGAATGTATTCAACTTTAAAATTAAAAATACACACGGTTACACACACATCCCTTCTCTACACACATGTATATTTTCACACACAAGCCCACACACACACTTGACTACACTGCCCCTCTGCCGATATATATCTGGAAGAATGTCCCCAAGGATCCCAAATGGTATGAGATTGATGAATCCAGTGCAATATGACAGCCAGCCAGCAACCAGCACTGACACTAGATGTAATCTTGTACTTAGTAGTGCTACCACTCCTTCATAATAAAATAACAAATTGAAGCAGTTTTCAAATAGTGTGGGAGACCAAAGGGAAATCATTTCTGCTTCCAGTAAGCACAGAAGGCTATTATGAGCCACGGATGGCTCCCCTACTACACAGTGCACTTAGCCACTTCCTCCTTCCTGTGCTCACATAAGCTGTGATTATGTTCTAAAGCTGTAGTTTGAAAAATGACTTTGCTTTTGAGAATGTATGGGCTATATATATTTATATATTTTATTTCCGCTTGTCATGGGGAGTTGAGTATCTGCTATTAACACAAAGTTTATAAAGCACTTTGAGCTTCTAAGAAGAGAGATGATTACAAAGAAGGGTAAGAACATTAAAGAAGAGTAAGATGGAAGTATTGACCCTATTTTTCCATTCATTTGATTTTTTTTTTGCATTATAATAATGTGACTTTTAGAAACTCTACGTGCAAAGGGGACACACACCATGAGGAGATGGTAGTGGACTTATAAGGAAAAGTAGTAAGCAATTTAATAAAATGAATTCATAACGCATGAGAGCATGGCTTTTTGAGTCATAGAGACTTGAGTTTGAATCCTTGCTCTGCCACCTGCAATATGTCAGGCACTATTCTGCAAGCTTTACAACAATCAATCTTTATAATAATTGTATGAGGTGGATGAGTAAACAGAGGTACAGAGAATTTTATAGATGAGTAAACAGAGGTACAGAGAATTTGATACCATGCCCAAGGTCACATAGTCCATGAGTAGAGCCAAAATTAGCTGAGATAGGTATTCAGAATCTCTGATAATGTCTTACATACACAGTACATAATAAGAGCTGAAAAATATTAGTTTTTAAAATTTAAAGCATAAAATACACTACTTCTAAACATGTAGTAAGATGTTTAGAAGTAAATCTTTTATTTGTAACATATTATTGTTTCTTTAAAACATTTAATGGATTCATTATTCCACAGAATAAAATATATAAATTAGGGGAGAAGCTAATATTTCCCACCTTATTTGCTTGTGGTAGTCATTTGATCCATTTTTAGCAGCAATTTAGATTGAATATCTGCTACACTGTTTGCCATTATATTCTGCTTTAGGATACAGCTGATACAAAAATAAAAAGAAGAAAATAAAAAGAAAACCAACCTAACCCAAGCATCATTAGATGATGAGTCATTTTGATATGTATCTGATAAGAATGAGTTTTTGAAGAAACATAATGGAAGGACATTAAGTATACAGCATTTCAAGTACTAAGTACACAGCATTTCAAGTACCATAGGTGGTCCTGTAAATTATTCTAAAATAATTTAGAACAGGTTAAATGAACACAAGCTATAAAATAACACATTTTTAGAATGGCTACAGAAAAGAACAAACAGTTCATGTCCCCAAACACCTCTGAATTTCATTTTACCTTACAGAGCACACTTGGTTGAGAGTATACACTGCACGAGCAGCATTGCTCTATAATAACTTGATGATTTTGCTGAATTCAGCTTCTAGGATTGAATCTGGACATCAAGCCCAGTCAGAGTATAAATATATCATCACTGCTAGCATTCAGAGCAGTTGGAAGAAGAGGGCCCAGAACCAAGAAAAATAAATGAAAATGAGATCAAGAGAGAAAGATGAGATGCAAACAGAACTTATTCACATAACATGGGGCAAAAAACGAAGTGAAGTGAATGCTTTATTTTCACATGAAAATAAAGAAGAAAAATAATGTAACATCCCAAGTGGCAAAGTCCAGCCATTTTGTAAGTGAGAAAAATAGTTATATATATATAGATAGATAGACAGATAGACAGATAGATAGATATTAAAAATACAGTGACATGCAAATATATGACCTTTGCTGGGGATGAAAAATATTTACTATAGCATTTATTTTTTATATTTCACTTTTTTCACTATCAATGAATATTTTCATAGCACATGATGCTTTTTCAAATCTTAAATGTATTATAAATATACCTTGAAATCTAACTTCCTGGTGCCTTCTCAGTTTATGTTTGTATCACTATCTATAATAAATTACTTTTCGTATATACTATACTTTTAAAGATAAATCACTTTAAAAATAATGTTTTTGTAAAAGAAATCTCTGCTAAAGGAGTTTTATTCCTCCTCCCTTTGTTTTCTGAATAGTCAGCCAAATGAACTGAAGAAGGACAAAGTTGATAGAACATTTTCTGAAATGAACTTGAGTCATTGTTGGTAAATACAGATCAGTTAAGGAGTTCAGCATTATAGATAATGCATACAATATCATACTACATAGTTAAATGTGATAAAGCAAAATTAATGACTGTGAGGCAATTGAGTTTCATTTAATCTTTCTTCATGATAACATTATTTGGTATACACACACACACATATATATACACACACATATAGCAAGTGAATTTAGAGGAGAAATCAATTACGTTATTGAGTGTACATCCTCCCCCCTTAGTAACACTCTAATGTATCACAGTATCAGGGAAATGCACCCTAGAGAAAACACTGCTATTCTTCACAGAAAATCCATGAATAACATTATGCAAAAATTAATTTATGATAAATGATTTAAATATAGAACTGAGAATAGCTTATTTAAATGCCATCAGAAAAGAACACCTCACCCGCAAAAAGGAGTCTAGGGATCCATTCTCCATATATTCCACCACAATCATTACTGGTCTGCCTGCAAAAGAGCAAGAGAATACACATGGATTAGAGCAATTACAGAAATATGTGCTGCAGTTAAGAGATACCCAGCTGTGGCAACTAAATTATTTGTATTTTATTAATAGGAATTTCATTTTCCAGCCTGCTTCTATAAACGTATTCATATTATACATAGGCACCTCTATATTTCTTTATAGCATTATTTCCTTTTGAGTTCATAAAAGGGACATGAATTACAATATAAATTACAAAGGAATTAGGTACTTCTTTTCCTAAAGCCCTGCAATCACTTGTTTAGATTATGTTCTTTTTGTCCTCTAGTTTTTCCTTAGAAAACAATCAACAAGCTGAAGTCAGGATTTAAGCAGTTATTATAGCTGCTTTTGCAGTTGTGGTACAACTTCTAAGGCAGTGCAGCAATTTTGCCTGACTTATATTACAGTGGGCATTTCTGAAATATTCCTAAGGCAAAGCAGAAAGGAGAAACTCATAAATTCTCTCAAAGAAATTATAAACCATCGGTCATAGTCTGATTTTAAGGGCCTTTAAGCAGAAAAATTTTAGATTGATGAATGCTACAGAGCTTGTAGGATTTGTAATAGTTCCTGATTATGTCTTCATTGGACATAGATTTAATCAACAGAGCAATGATGGCAGTACATGAAAAATAAGTAACTCTGATTTTGTAGTCTGGTATAGAAGATAAGATCAGAAACTGAACATATTTTCTTTCCTTTTTTATCATATCAATTGGTACACTGTTATAGTTCCCAATACACCTCTATTAGGTAGAATATTCGACATAAATAACTGCTTTATTTCAAAGAAGTGAATGCATTTGTTCTGCCCAATTGCCCAAGTTTAAAAGATAAACTCATTTCAGATGCAGGGGAAATGGTATTCACCTGAAATAAGCATGTATGACATATTTAGTTTTTACTTCTGTATTTCTCACTTCTTGTTGGAATTTTTAACTTTTCAATCTGCACTATGCACAGTTTTTCCTTACAAACACAAAGGAGATCTAGAAAGAACTGATGTGTACCAATGATGGAAATATTACATATTGTAATTCATGTTCCTTTTATGAACTCAAAGCCTTGTGGGTTAGAAAGGGTGATGGTGACTATTACGAATTAGTACAATGTATGTAAATGCTAGACTTTACATTTGAATCTATATTTTAAATAAAGATGTGCTAAAGGTTAAATGTATTAATAAAGCTCCCAATTTATCATGCATAAAATTAGAACCCAAGGAAGTTTTCCATTTGTAGTGAATATTAACTTATATTCTATAATGTTCCTCAAAGTCATTAATTTTACCCAAATATGAATAAAGAACTTTATCGTCAATTATTGAGGTCAACTGAACTGTCAGCACTCTTGTGGGCAGGGATCTAGAAAATTCAGGTTTTAAACCTTAAAGTTAATCATGAAATCTTTTATTTGGCTATAGTTTCAGAGAGGTTGGAGGTAGGAGACTGATAGAAACACTGAGGTAGCAAGGTGGGGAAAATAAAAGGTCGTTTTTGTACTTAAATATAAAAATTCTGAGACCAATATTCCATTTTGAATGATGATGGATTCTGAATGTTAATGGGAAAAGTTGGGTTATTACAATGACTGCCTGATGTCTTCTTCCCCTGCCTGCAGAGTCACAGCTTTTTAATCTGTCTTGACTGTTGCTGTCAGAGGAATACTTTTAGTTTTTATTTTCTTTAACAAACATTTATCCTTCCCTTAAGAATACCAGTCTTACTAGAATAAAAAGAGCTTGCAAGCATTCCACTTGTATTGCTACATGCCATAATTATTTTTCTTATGCAGATGTGGAAATTGAGGGATAGAAAATTAAACTGCTTGTCTAAAGTCAAATAGCTGGTAAGTGGCAGTATCAAGTAGTCTGTCTCAGAGTTTGAGATCTTAACCTTTATGCTATAGGTGCCTTTCAGACAGCATTTATAGATAAAAGCTCCAAGTCTCACCCTGTTAGTCAATTCTTTCCAGTGATGCACCTCATCTTTCCTAACTAGCCTTTGTATCCACGGCTTTACCAGTTGTTATTAGTACTTGTATTTATTTAATCCTGTCTCCTTCTTCCTTTACTTTTGTAGTCACCTGCCAGGATAATCTCCCAATTTGCTTCTCTCTCTAATCTTACCGTCTCTCCCCACTCCCTTAGAATTTATACAACACACCTCTTCCCTAAAAGTCTCTCACAGTGATATTTCTCATAGTTGCATTTCCATCACATCTGTTGTGTACACTATGAAATGTTGTGCCTGTTTTTATATTAAGTTGTTTTTCTTTCTTATTTTCCCATAATGCTTTGTATCCTCATTCACTGGGTTTCTCAAGGTCACTTGCCATAGAGCTAATCATAGTAGGTGCTTCATAAAAACAAGTTAACTTTTCTTGATTTCATAGTTCCTAAGAAACTCACTCTGGAGTATTTCAACAAGATCTGATCTATGTGAATATACAGTACTTCGAAATTAGTTCTACCTATAACTCTTTGGGAGATACTTTAGGTAATCTTAAAATTCATCAGTAACAAGTTCTATCTTCTCATTAAGAATAATAAAAAATCAAATGAAGGCTTCCCTGGTTTCCTGTGAATTAGAAGTTTCACATTTGAACTCTTAATCTTTTGTATTTTGTGCAGTAGCATCAACTGAGAACAGCTGTTAATTGAACTAAGGAATTTTTTTTTTTTTTACTATTGCTCCATCTAGCCTGTAATTTGTCTTGGTTTTCAACAGAGAAGAAACTAGTCATACTGTGAAGATTATAAGCAACTTTACAATCCATGATTACATTTTATAATCAAGAAAATAGATAAGTACAGGGGAAACTATGAAAATTAGGATGTTAATCTTTAAATCTGTTTTAGGTGAGAGAAGTCTATTGGCAACAGTGTTTTTTGGTCTTTTCCAGTACGTAAAAATTACATATTGCATTATTGCTCTTGGAAGATATATTGGGAAGTAATTTATTATCTCTTTCTAAATTTTCAAAATGTTACACCTTATTTCTTTTTGTACAATTTTAGCCAGTCACCCCTTCTGCCTCATATCACAGAATCATCTTAGTATTTGCATCATACTAAAGTCAGTGGACAAACCAGGCTTCTTGAATTAGTCAATTCTTGAAATCCCCAGATCATTTTCAAGTCTCATGTATTTGATTTAAGAGACTTTCAAAGATACTTCTACAAGTCACACAAGGTGAATTTCTTAGGTTTTCCTTCATAAATATCCCAGAAATGCTTATGAATATTTTAAACTGCATTTGAATGAAGATCCTCTAAGAAATCAGTTACTGATATTCTGGAGACGATGGATTGCAAAAACCCCTTATCATCCTTTTCTGTTATAGAAAAGAAAAATTATTTTCTTACATTAAGACTTTAAGGGAATATTGACCAATATATATTTTTCAAATGTTCCCTAATACTTATGATGATTTTGATAAAGGTGATGTGGATAAACTATATAATCATAAGACTACACTTTTCTCATGCTGTTGTTAAAGAAAACAAAATAATTCTTTAAATGTTCCATAGATACCCTGGTTAAAGTATTTTGCCAGTGAAATCTTTTTGTGTTTTTTTTTTTTTTTTGCCTCAGACAATATTTGTGAAAAAAAGAGGATAACAGAGACTTAACATTTTCATGTAATGAAATGAGTTTGTACTGGATGTAGTATTCTCTATTAGTTTGGCAATTTCTAATGTGCAGTCAGTAAAATGAAGAATCAAAACAAATCTCAACAACCTCAAAACTCTATTACAGATTTAAGTCATTCAGTTATTTAACATACTATCAAGTTTATATTTTGTCTACCAGGCAATAAAATGTGTGGTGATAACTTAGATTATCACTGTAAAAAATACAGTTAGAGTGCCTGTATTTTTTTCCCCCAGTTGCAACTCAGGACTCTTTGGACCAGTTATTTAATCTATTTCTACCTTCCATGTTTCTGTTGTAGAGATAGTGAATTACAATTATAATCTCAAATTGGTTTGATAATAAATGAAATATTCTTATGCCTCTAAGGCACTCAGAAGATATGGATGATGCCATTTGAACACAGTTATACTATATTAAATCATTGTTTTTATTCACATAAGTACTCAAATTAAAGAACTGTTTTCTTCTTATGGTGTTGCCTGATGATTATCAGATCACGTTCAAAACACATCTCATCCTCATTCAGTTCAAATCCAAACTTTTAACATTTCCTTTGAACTTTCTTTTCCTGTTATAATCCTGTGTTGTTAAAACATCACCATCCATCTAGTTATCCAGGTTTGAAACCCTTTTGTGACATTGGACTCCTCACTTTATTAAACCCTTTCTAGTTCATAAGTTATGAAGTTCTATTGATTCTACATAAAATCTGTTGCCACTGCCCATATTCTGCCTTTGCTTTCTCTTGCTCAGTAATATTTTACTGGTTTCTTTGCTCCTATCTGGTTTCCCATTGTAAGCTAACTCTTGAAAAATCATTATTTTTGAACATTCAGTGATACAAAAAATTTTCTTAAAATGCCTACTAGGTAGCAAGTACTCTTCTGAGTTCTGGAGACATATCGTCAATCAATACAAGATCTCTGCTCTCATGGGGTGTATAGTAGGAAGGGCACTAGAAATAATTAAACAGTCAATTAGTATAAAGCGCTAATGCCTCATTCCGCTATTTTGAGACTGCATTGTTTATTGCAGAATTAACGTCTAAATTGCTTGGTAATTAAGTTCATTTACAATCTCTTCTTTACCTTAATTTCTAGTTTTATCTTTTACTTCACCCTATTCCCATATCTCCTGTTTTTCAACTAATCAAGGAAGTGAAAGATGTTTACAAAGAGAACTACAAAACACTGCTGAAATAAATCAGAAATGAAATGAATAAATGGAAAAACATTCCAAGCTCACAAATTGGAAGGACTGATATCATTTAAATGGCCATACTGCCCAAAGCAAGGTACAGATTCAATGTTATTCCCATCAAATTACCAACCTCATTTTTCACAGAATTAAACTATTCTAAAATTCATATGGAACCATAAAGAACCCAGATAGCCAAGGCAATTGTAAGCAAAGAGAACAAAGCTGGAGGTATATCATTACCCAACTTCAAACTATACTATAAAGCAACAGTAACCAAAACAGCAGGGTACTGGTACAAAAACAGGCACATAGACCAATGGAAAAGAATAGAGAATCCAGAAACAGCCACACACCCTAACCATCTGATCTCCAACAAAATTGACAAAAACAAGCAATAGTGAAAGGACTTCCTAGTCAACAAATGGTGCTGGGATAACTGGCTAGCCATATGTAGAAGAATGAAACTGGACTCCTACTTTTCACCATACACAAAAATTAACCTAAGGTGGATTAAAGATTTAAATGTAAGAACTCAAACTATAAAAATCCTAGAAGAAAACCTAGGAAATACCCTTCTTGACTTTAGCCTTGGCAAAGAGTTTATGGCTCCTTTACAATTTCTCTCAGTGACTCATAATTTCCTGAATATTACTTTACTTGCACCTTCCTCTCTTCTTTGGAAGACTGCCTTCTTGTTATCTCTACTTGACAAAAATCATATACTTTAAAAAAAAAGCAGCTTAAATATCATCTCCATTGTAAACTCTCCTATGAATTTCTCTGTTTTAGGAAGTCTTGACAGTTTACTTTCTCCTCCCTTTATATCTCAATCAATTTTAGAACACTTACGGTACAGTATTAATGTTAACAACATAGGTGTCTGTCTCCCATTCTAAAGTGGCTTTGACCTCAGGACTAAATGCCCAATTCTTCTCTATAAGGTCACTATCTAAGCACAGAGCTAGGCACAGAGTAGGTATTCAATTTCATATTTTTTGAGTTGAATGTCAGAAGAAACACACACATAAGAATGTTCTCCAAGAACAATTGCAGACCTACAAAAGATTTACTGAAATAACAGAATGGCAAATCAATAATTTTTAATCCTAAATTAGTTATATTATCAAAACTATTGTTTTGAAGACAGAAAAATTCAAATTTCAGCTCCTCTAACTAGTAGTTGCATGATCTTAGGGAAGTTATTTTAGCTCTTTCAGTTTTTGCATCTATAAAATGAGAATAATATCATGTTCTACATAAACTTTTTGAAATAATCGGATGAGAAAATATATAATTAGCACAATGTTTGTCACTAAAATGTTGATGTCCATCTACTTTCCTTTCCTTTTGTGCATAGGTATCTGCTTCTGTATTATTATGTTTGCACACTATGTCACAAAAAGTTTTAAAAAAATAGAAAATTTTTATTTTTTATTGCAGATTGGTATTGACATGAAAATTATTTTTTCATCTTTGGCTAAGTGAAAGTAAAATTATTGCTAGTTAGATGTTTCATATGATGCAGTAAACTTCCAGTTTTAGCACTAAAATTCTTGTGTCCCAGGCAAACTAGGATGATTGGTTACTCTATATTTTGCTCACCCAGCACAGTACAGTTGAAGTTGTAAGATTAGAGTCACATAGCCTGATATTGGAGATGTTTTCCCCTTTGGACAAGTAACCTTTTTTAACTCACTTTTCAACTCACTGTCTCTGTTTCCTCATTTGAATATTATATATTTCTCATTGGCATATTTAATTTCCTCATTTGTATCTTATTATTGATTTTATTATATATAGGTATATTATTATAGCCTCCTCCTTAGGGTGGTGAGATGAAAAGGATAATGTGTTTAAAACAGAGAATAGAACCAAATACTGAATATTGAGTCACCCAATAACAGCTAATTAAATGAATGGCTATATGTTGAGTATTATATGCTACCTTACTGACTAGATGTTGAATCCTAAGCTAAGAAGTGGTTTGCAGAGCTAATAAGGTTCATTAGTAAAATGACTAGTGTCAGTAAATTTAGGAGCTCTCTGATGGTCTCAAAGGTCCATTTAAATCATATATGCCTGAAATTGACAGGTTTGAAATTGCTTCAATGAACAAGATGGTTTCTCTTAGGGTAGAGTAAAACAATTTATATGAGTATTTTCCTATTTTAAATAACATACTATAACATATAATTTCTTAACAATAACATCTGCTAAAAGTAGGTTCTTATTCCCATTAACAATCTATGTTGTATCTTCTGCACTCTGTTTACAGATTTTTGCCTGTAACATGTTTTATGGTTAATCTAGAATTGACGGTTTTAATCTTAGAGTGATTTGAAAACCCTCAGTTTATATAGTCACTATGATGATTCGATTCCATTTTCCCCCTTAATTTATTTCATTTCCTTTTTAAAATTTAGTGGTAAGCCAAATACCCTTGGAAAAATGCTGAAAAAATACTTTCTCTAGTGATAAAAGAGCTGAGCAAAAATTAGGAAAGGTGATCTGCATTTATGAAAATAGTAACATTTCTTAATCTAGATTTGTTAGAGTAAATGGAAGGTGTGAGGCTAGAGAAACAAAACATGATTTTCCTGCCGGTTCCAGAGAGCAGTGGCATGCCATCTGCATCAGTTGACCTCAGTAATATTCAGTGATGTCCTCCTTCCTGCTAGAAATTATCATATAGGAAAAAAGGTTTCTTCTTAACTAAAAGTGTCTTGTTAACAATGAAAGTTACTGACAAATTTGCCTCATGTTGGATTGTTTTTACTATAAGATACTAACCATATTGAAAAATTTTAATAACAAATGAGTTTTTAAGAATGTCTTTCTTGATTTTGTATTACATTCACATTTAGAAAAGTAATGGTGATATACAAATTAAAAGCATATCTTTTGAAATTATTTGTGATTTTTGCTTCCCCAAAATTATGAAGGAAGTGGTTATGTAATAATTAATAGTTGAATTACTATTAGGAAGCAATAAAAAAACACAGCAAGGAATTTTCATATCTTGAAATACTATATAATGTCGAAGTTCAAAACTAAATTAAATTACATGTCAAATAAATAATTATATGCTGCTTTAGTTCTTGGTTTTCTTCTTTAAAATCTGTTTGTATAATTTAAAAATAGATACTACTCTAAATCAGCAGGTAGGTAAGAATAATTTTTTATAAGTTCTTCAATGTGCTAGGCACTGTTCTATGAGCTTTACATGTTTAAACTCATTTAATCCTCATATTGACCCTTGTGGCAAGTGTAATTATTAGCTCAATTTAACAGGTAAGGTTACTGATGCACTGAGAGTTTAAGCAACTTGCCTAAGGACACACAGTGAGCAATTGGCAGCTCAGGGGCTTAAAGCCAGGCAATCTGGTTCCAGAGTCTGAATGCTTGGCCATCTCCTTATACCCCAAAGTAAAGCTTGTCTCCACTAGTAATTTGAGGAGCATAAAGCATTACCCCAAATCTCTGTGTCTTATCCTAGAAATATCCTGGAAGGGTATTATGAACTAGGCACTGTGTTGCTCCCTGGGATATTTTATTGAGAAATTCCAGGATTTTAAAGGCCTACAAAGCTGTAAAACGTTCTATACAAACAGGAAATATGTACTAAGGACACTGATTGGAAAAACCTTCAGATTTTGCTTTCTCAAACATCAGTTTATATTAATAATCTTAAGGTTCCATTAAAAATAAATTTGTTTTATATTATATTAATATTCTCAAATTTGGCTTAAAAAGACAAGGCTTAGCAGTTGAAATTTCAGTTGTAAGAGGCATATATGAGAACATTAAAGAGCAGCAATGTTATATGCTTTTGCAAAAACTCTGGGGAAGACACTAGAGAAAGTGTTACATCCTGAATATTTTAAGAGAGTCTCTAAGCTTTTGGTAGAAAGCATCATATTTTCCAGTGGTATTTCAAATGCTACGCTTTACTTCTGGCTTGAAAAATGTCTTATTATTAAATAAATGTTCAAATATTTTGCTTTCGGCTTTTCTGTATCATTCACTGTCAAAAGAAAATTATCAGAAAATTTAAAAATAAAATAAACCCCAAACAGAATATATTTCATGTATTCTAACTACGTAGGTAATTTACAGAGTGATTTTAATTATAATGGCAAAAATATTTGTTAAATAGTCATACATATGACATAATTAAACCACTGACTACTTTCCTTCCCCCCACCCCCAATGCACCAGGCAAGTAACTATTTATTTCTTAATCTTTTCTGCAACTCTTCCAAATGTTTAATTTTTAAAAAGTTCTGCTTTGATAAATGCACTCGCTGTTAAGACCTCTGTGAACATAAATATGAAAAGCCAACATGGTGTCATAGGGCAGCTTCCACTGTGATTTGTCCTACAAAGCAAAACAATGAAGGCTGAGCCAACACATGTTTTACAGCAGGGCTGGTCTGTCTCCATGTTAGTTATATTTTTAAGTGGTCCAGCATCCCATGAGGGCATGTATGCTATCCTGTGCGGCTCAACATGGCTCTCTGGAGAGGAATAGACAGCTGAGCAGCCTAGTTTCTTATTATGTTCCCAATTAAGGTGAAACCTCCCTTACAAAAAAATACTAATCAGCACAAATAGTAAATACTGATTTACATGAAGACTCAGCTAACTTAGCAAGCCATGGAAAGATTTTCAGAATTTTTCTTTGTAAGAAGAAAATGATTTTGAATGCATCTTTTGAAAGTGCTGATAGTTTCTTTGAATAAGACCAAAATAAATGGCACAATCTGTAATAATAAAACATGAAGATATCTAGGGAGTAGGTATGCTCTCAATGGAGAATTTAAATAGCCATATATATATCATATTTATTTTTAACATTCAAACTTATTCAAATGACATTAAGATAAAAGAAACATTTATGCTAATAAGAAGGCTTAGTTAAGGCCAAAGGCTAGAACTATTTAAAAATTCTGAAAATAGAGAAGTAAAAAAGAACTACTAAAAAAATCTAGAGATTACTTAAAGGCTCTTTTAAGATTTTTCATGTCTTTCTGGAAGGAGAAAAATAGAAATTCTCTTTGTAATGCTCAAGAGCTTGATATCAAATGCATCACGTAGCTTTTTTTTTTTAATGCACTGCTAGTCTTACATAAAGATGATGCTCACTTATGTCAGTTCAGCATAACTTTATATATAGAACATTGAATTCTTTAGAACCAGGGGTTCTTTGTGTGCAAACTTTAGGATGTCCAGAGACTTCCTAAAATTGTATGTAAACACTTACATACATGATCACATGTCCATTTTCTTGGGGAAGAGAGTAGAGCCTTGGCTTTTCAAAATCAGGGTTGGGGAGGAAGGTTAAATAATGGCTGAGTTTTCACCTGGTTTATAATGAGGAGTCTTATTTTTGGCCAAGAAACAAAGCAGAAAAAGCCTTTGACAAAATTCAACAACCCTTCATGCTAAAAACTCTCAATAAATTAGGTATTGATGGGACGTATTTCAAAATAATAAGAGCTATCTATGACAAACCCACAGCCAATATCATACTGAATGGGCAAAAACTGGAAGCATTCCCTTTGAAAACAGGCACAAGACAGGGATGCCCTCTCTCACCACTCCTATTCAACATAGTGTTGGAAGTTCTGGCCAGGGCAATTAGGCAGGAGAAGGAAATAAAGGGTATTCAATTAGGAAAAGAGGAAGTCAAATTGTCCCTGTTTGCAGACGACATGATTGTATATCTAGAAAACCCCATTGTCTCAGCCCAAAATCTCCTTCAGCTGATAAGCAACTTCAGCAAAGTCTCAGGATACAAAATCAATGTACAAAAATCACAAGCATTCTTATACACCAACAACAGACAAACAGAGAGCCAAATCATGAGTGAACTCCCATTCACAATTGCTTCAAAGAGAATAAAATACCTAGGAATCCAACTTAAAGGGATGTGAAGGACCTCTTCAAGGAGAACTACAAACCACTGCTCAAGGAAATAAAAGAGGATACAAACAAATGGAAGAACATTCCATGCTCATGGGTAGGAAGAATCAATATCATGAACATGGCCATACTGCTCAAGGTAATTTACAGATTCAATGCCATCCCCATCAAGCTACCAATGACTTTCTTCACAGAATTGGAAAAAACTACTTTAAAGTTCATATGGAACCAAAAAGGAGCCCGCATCACCAAGTCAATCCTAAGCCAAAAGAACAAAGCTGGAGGCATCACACTATCTGACTTCAAACTATACTACAAGGCTACAGTAACCAAAACAGCATGGTACTGGTACCAAAACAGAGATATAGATCAATGGAACAGAACAGAGCCCTCAGAAATAACGCCGCATACCTACAACTGTCTGATCTTTGACAAACCTGAGAAAAACAAGAAATGGGGAAAGGATTCCCTATTTAATAAATGGTGCTGGGAAAACTGGCTAGCCATATGTAGAAAGCTGAAACTGGATCCCTTCCTTACACCTTATACAAAAATCAATTCAAGATGGATTAAAGATTTAAACGTTAGACCTAAAACCATAAAAACCCTAGAAGAAAACCTAGGCATTACCATTCAGGACATAGGCATGGGCAAGGATTTCATGTCCAAAACACCAAAAGCAATGGCAACAAAAGACAAAATTGACAAATGGGATCTAATTAAACTAAAGAGCTTCTGCACAGCAAAAGAAACTACCATCAGAGTGAACAGGCAACCTACAAAATGGGAGAAAATTTTCGCAACCTACTCGTCTGACAAAGGGCTAATATCCAGAATCTACAATGAACTCAAACAAATTTACAAGAAAAAATCAAACAACCCCATCAAAAAGTGGGCAAAGGACATGAACAGACACTTCTCAAAAGAAGACATTTATGCAGCCAAAAAACACATGAAAAAATGCTCATCATCACTGGTCATCAGAGAAATGCAAATCAAAACCACAATGAGATACCATCTCACACCAGTTAGAATGGCAATCATTAAAAAGTCAGGAAACAACAGGTGCTGGAGAGGATGTGGAGAAATAGGAACACTTTTACACTGTTGGTGGGACTGTAAACTAGTTCAACCATTGTGGAAGTCAGTGTGGCGATTCTTCAGGGATCTAGAACTAGAAATACCATTTGACCCAGCCATCCCATTACTGGGTATATACCCAAATGACTATAAATCATGCTGCTATAAAGACACATGCACACGTATGTTTATTGCGGCATTATTCACAATAGCAAAGACTCGGAACCAACCCAAATGTCCAACAATGATAGACTGGATTAAGAAAATGTGGCACATATACACCATGGAATACTATGCAGCCAGAAAAATTGATGAGTTCATGTCCTTTGTAGGGACATGGATGAAATTGGAAATCATCATTCTCAGTAAACTATCACAAGAACAAAAAACCAAACACCGCATATTCTCACTCATAGGTGGGAATTGAACAATGAGATCACATGGACACAGGAAGGGGAATATCACACTCTGGGGACTGTGGTGGGGTGGGGGGAGGGGGGAGGGATAGCATTGGGAGATATACCTAATGCTAGATGACGAGTTAGTGGGTGCAGCGCACCAGCATGGCACATGTATACATATGTAATTAACCTGCACAATGTGCACATGTACCCTAAAACTTAAAGTATAATAATAAAAAAAAAACTTAACTAAATGACCTGAAAGATGGATTTAATCATCTCTTGTTTTTAAATAACGTATAATGATTAGTGGCAAAAATAAACAAACAGGTGTCTCCAAAAAAAATAAATAAATAAAAAATAAAAAAAATAAAAAATAAAAATGGGTACTAACTTTTTAAAGAATGTCTGAAAATATGAAGAAATAAAATGATCTACTTTGATTTTTCTGAAGTGCAATTTGATCATATTTAAAATGCATATACTTTTCCACTGTTGACTTTCCTTGGCATATTGAGTTTATGCCAATTTTCCTTAGCTTAGTGTACATTTCTCCAAAGTCTGCCACCTAGTCTTATATATTTGCATTACTACTTTTCTACAGTCCTCTATATGCATCAAAACTTGATAATATTATATCCACCAGATCCTAGATTTTCTAGAGCTTCAAATTTATTTATCATTCCTGGCTTACTTACATTCCATTTGTAACATCTAAGCCATATACTTTCTGAATAAAAATATTTTTGACTGTATAATAGTGAATACAATATTTTCCCTGACTTCAGCCCAGACAAGATTTCACATGAAATGTGGAAAGGAAAATATTGATAAACATTGTTAGTGTACTGTAAAGACATTTTAATGTTGGCTGAGGACTGTATGTCCTTTGCTATAGAAATGACATTATTGGATATGTGGTTTATAGAAATCTGGGTTGTTAAACCATTTTCTAACATGGCTACTCAGAGAATAGCAGTGAGGATGTCAAAATGCTTGGTATTTGAGTATAAGGCTCATCCAAATCTCTTTCCAAAGGATAAATAAATAAACAATATTAAACATTATTCTTAATTATATACTCAGTAATCGCAAATATAGTTTTTGAATACCCATGTGTTCATAATTCTCCTGTTATTTGATTCAGAGCAGCAGACAGGAAGTCTCACGCTATCTTTGCCATTTCCTTTGAACCTAACACAAGTCATAGAATGGAGAGAAGCTCAGGTAAAAATGTCAAAAGAGGTATTATACATATAGCATTGTACTTAAAGCACAGGCAGGCAAACAGAGAGGGTACCTCAGAAGAATATTCCTTCAATAACTAAAGAGCTTCTACGATTAACCACAAAGGAAATATTAGGGAGATATTCAACACTGATTTTATTCCCTCACAGCTTGTCTATTTCCAAGTCCCACATGCTGCCTGTTTCCTAGTTCTCTCTTTCATAGACTTCTCTTATAATTGATATCTTAAACTTGTTAGTTTAAGATATATTTGAGTTTGGTCACCCACCTATTCCATATATATATATTCCATATTTATCTATCTCTCTGTATATATCTCTATATATCTATAATCCAATCTGGCATATATACATACATATATATATATATATATATATATATATATTCCATAGATATATATGGAATTGTTGCTAGACCAAACTCAAATGTATACCTTAAACTAACATAACCCATATATATATATATATATATATATATATATATGTATATGAGTTACTTCATTAGTAAAAAATATTATCAAGTCTCACAACTGATAGAAAAGGGACAAAAAAGTAAGCTAAAATTTTGTAGATATGAACACATTCAACCTTAAGATATGATTTGCTGAGTAATTAGCAGATAATAAACATGCCTTTACATCTTATAGGTTGGTCTAATTTTTGAGACACATTGTAATGGTTGCATTTTATGTAGATTTAAGATACCATATGATGTCAGATAGTTATTGCTGAGAAGTGACAGAGAAAGTGAATTCATGAAATTTCTATATGTTACTCCATCACTATTAATGTAGAATTTTATTTTTAATGCTTTATTATTCTCCTATCGTTTGTGTATGGCAAACATCAAACTGCCAAAAATATAGAGGATTTGAGTAGAGGTGAAATCTGTCATAATGTGATCCACTAGTCTAAGACTATGTATACTCAATACTCTATGGCATATAAAAAATTCTAAACCACTTTCAAATACTGTTTGACAACATAATTAAGTTAAAGAAATAACTACATGGAGCAAAGAGAGCAAGCTTATTATTTTAGAGACTATGTCTGATATGGCCGGGCGCGGTGGCTCACGCCTGTAATCCCAGCACTTTGGGAGGCAGAGGCGGGCGGATCATGAGGTCAGTAGATCGAGACCATCCTGGCTAACACAGTGAAACCCCGCCTCTACTAAAAATACAAAAAATTAGCCGGGAGCGGTGGCGGGCGCCTGTAGTCCCAGCTACTCGTGAGGCTGAGGCAGGAGAATGGCGTGAACCCGGGAGGCGAAGCTTGCAGTGAGCCGAGATCGTGCCACTGCACTCCAGCCTGGGCGACAGAGAGAGACTCCGTCTCAAAAAAAAAAAAAAAAAAAAAGAGAATATGTCTGATAACATATTTAAAAGAGGGACACATTCTTTTCAAGGTGGTAGAATTTGATTTAAACAGTAATAAATATAGTGGAGGAAGACTTTCCTTTAAAAAATAAAATTTTAGAGTTACGTCATTTCTAATTTCTCTTCTCCTTCCCCATTCTCTTATTTCGTTTATTCTCCCCTCTCTTTTCTCCTTCGCTTCCTCTCCTCTCCTCTCCTCTCCTCTTCTCTCCTGTGATTTCCTTTTTTTTCTTTTTTGAGATGAAGTTTCGCTTTTATTGCCCAGGCTGGAGTGCAGTGGCACCATCTCGGCTCACTGCAACTTCCACGTACCGGGATAAAGCAATTCCTCTGCCTCAGCCTCCCAAGTAGCTGAGATTACAGGTGCCCGCCACCATGCCCAGCTAATTTTTTGTATTTTTAGTAGAGATGGCGACTCACCATGTTGGCCAGGCTGGTCTCTAACTCCTGACCTCAGGTGATCTACCTGCCTTGGCCTCCCAAAGTGCTGGGATTACAGGCCTGAGCCACCGCGCCTGGCCTTCTGTGATTTCTTCCTGTATCGGTGACTACTACACAAATGCATTCTGTTAATCGTATTGATAAACTTGCTATTCAATTTTCAGCTAATACTTCCTGGTGTTTTTCTCCATCTGAAACTAAGAATAATAACCCTTTACTATGACCTTTTTAGAAATGAGAAACATAAACAGTTGACAACTGTTGCATAAATACTAATTTCAGGCTTGTCTGCTTTCTAGGTCTCATGATTCAATGAATCTGTGATTATGATAGTTACTGTAAAAGTAAGTACTATAGAAATACTGCTTTTTAATAGCACAGTGTGACGTGAAGCACAAACTATTATATATAAGACATAGTCACGTATCTCTTTTAAATTTGATTATGATAAGTAATTGAGAACTAAATTAGCAATAGAACAGGTTTTTAAATTTCTTGACTGATACAGAAAATGTCTTATGTGACCCTTAAAATACTGTGACCGATAATCAATTGGCAGAAAGTGAGTTTACTGCTGCCCAGTGGGCATCAACCTTCAGCTGAGTGTTTAAAGTGTCATAGTATGGGCCATGGGAGAAAACACTTGCTGCCCTCAAATTGATGTCTGAAATCTGAAGGGTATTAATTCAGCTATTAGATGGCAAAGAAATACTTTAGTTTTTTTAAAAAATATAAAATAATAAAAACTTCTCATGATTACTGCTTCATTCCTCTTTACACAAAATATAAAAAAAATCTTGGGAAATAAGCTATAGTTGAACAAGAAAGGATAAAAAAATTCTTTGAAATAGTAGCAGTCATTACCAAAAAGTATCACACAAAATGTACAGAGATGACTTATCAAAATGATATAAGCCAGGAAAAGTGTGTTGAGTTAATTTCAGTTTGTGGAAACAGGGACAAGTTTAGATCTATACATTTTTTAAGAAGCAATTTTTTTACACCTGATTTGTATGTAAGTCATGAAAACTGAACTGAGTTTTCTCTCCTATGAAAGCTTGAGGCAAATTTGGCTTAAAGCCTAGAAGAATAGAGTGCTAGAATGTTCTTTTAGATCCCTCTCTGGAAAGTTGTTTCTGTATGTGTTATAGAACAATCATCTTCCTTCTGTCATTCTCAGTAGCTAAATGACAAAGGTTTTTTGTTTTCTAACAGTGATGTTGAATAATTCAAGTCAGTCTTAAACTTCATAATGTTATTTCTGCCAAACATATCTGACTTGACCAAGATTTGTCATTAAGAGTTAAGGGTGAGGCCATTAAACTCTACACAATCTGCTCATCTTCTAAATTCCAATCACTGGGATATTAATTATACATGAAAGCTACATGTTTATATTTGCAGTTAACTCGGAGAGCTTGGCTTATATAGTTTTTCTTTCTAATCCTTTGCAACAACATCATCAACAACAAAATTTCTGTACAATTGGTATCATTTCTTTCTCTAAGGAGAAAAAGGGCTATATAACACCCAATAAAGTGAAAATTTACAATCTTTTAACTCGTGTAATTTTGGTTTCTGCTCTTTCAGTGGTATTCTTGGCCACAAAGTATCTAACCACATCAATAAATTATCCAGTGATGAAGCTAAATGACTTCAAAGCATATTTATATGTTTCAATTAAGTAGAAAAGAGTAATTGAAAAGCAAAGGAAAAATATCAGTGTAGAATAGTCTTAAGATTTGTTGGTATAATTATGCTAACAAGGACAAGAAATGTACATTGCTGGGATTTTTGTTTTTATTGGATTTCCCAGTCTTTTGAAGTGTTCCCATTACATTGCAGGCTGGGCCAGCTCTCCTGAATACATTGATGTCATAACAATAATTTTTTAGCATTATTATTAGTTATAATAAAAATCACAAGAATTATGATTTCAAAACTCCAAGAATCAATATTTGAATTCTGTTTTGCTAAGACACATATAAAATGTAAAGTAAGATTGCATCCTTTAGGTACAATGAAGGAAGGCAGCTGGATATTTTACTAAATGTCAGGGAAGAAACAAATTGTAATTACAATCATGCCATGGATAACCTGCAAAGTGTTTTAGTAAATTTGAAATTGCATTTTTAAATGTTCAATATCCTATATTTTGTTTCTCTCAATAAAATATGGCTTTGGTCAGATTGGCATTTTTAGGGAAAAATGCATATTAATTTTTATTCTAAAATATGTCTTTCAGGTTGCTACTTTCTGGTTTCTTCAAATCATTTTTTTTTCTGTAATGAAAGGATACTTTAATTCTCTATCAACTCTATGAAATTACTCTTTCTGCCAAGAACACTTAGTTTTTAATTCACTTTTCTGGCCAATTCCAAGTGGCAAAGTGTCTGAAGTCCATCTTTGTTTATTCTTGAGTTACATATTTTGGATCTGAAGCTCTAATTCTTACTTAAGTAAAAATTTTCTCAGGAGAGGAGGCAGCACTATGCGAATTAGGTGCGCAGAGTCCTTTCACTTCCTTTGTGCCATTTTGACAGCATTCAGTATTATAAATATGGTTTCTGAATTTAAGCAGTCACTTACATTTCTTTTCCACAATATATTTAAGCAATATTCATTTTGTATTTGGGGCCTATCAACTATGAGCACAATCCTACTGCTGTATATGGTGGCAGAAAACTTCACCTGAAATACCTACCAGCAGGAATCCTGGGGGGCAAAGATCCTCCCCCTGGCACTGGATGCGGGGCCTGGATGCTATTTAAAAACCCTGCCCTCAGGAAGCTGGGGCAAAACGCCTCCACCCCAATGGCCGGGAAGGATCCTTTTAAGAGATAAAAATTGACATTAATCAAAGTCTTCTTTATGGAAAAGCATTGATCATTTACATGGAATAAAACCTAAAATCAACAAAGACATCAAATTTTACGAAGAAGTTATAAAATTAAAGGGATGGAATGCATTTTTTACTCCATAAATTTATAAAATCAACTTAGTTTCTTGAAAAGAAAGCTACTCAACTAGTTACAATTAAAGAGGGTTAGAAGCATCAGAGTGCTAGATACAATTTCCAAACCTACATTTAGAACATAAAGCTGTGCATGGAATAATAAAATGGATATAAATGCTAGTCATTGATGTTGTTTATTTGCAGAATTCATGCCTACATGAGTTACAGGCATGCAGAAAATAGCCACGATAAGATCTGATATATGCTATAACAACAGGAGCAGTACTTTACTTTAGGTCTATCTCTATTAGTGCTTAAAATAAGGAAAACTTTTACATCATGCAGTAATTACATATTTTTGCAACAGGGACAAGAAAATTGATGTACACAATTATTAATTTGTTATACTTTTCCATTAGGGACAAGACATGAGAGTTTGCAAAGGTAAAACCACATGCTTTTTCATTTTTAAGAAGGATATTGTAAAGAAAAAGTAAGTGGCTTGGAAATTTATCCATAAAATTATATAATGAATCATAGAATAAAAGAGTGTCAGAACGAAATAACAGTGTAGAGATCATCTAGTTAAAACCACTCATTTTAGACCAACAAACTGAGACCTAAGGAGGGGAGTCACTGCCACGTGGTTGGTAGACTACCAGGACAAACTCTTCCCACACTAGAATAAAAATAAATCACGAATACATTCTTATTTGGGAGATTGCTATCCTCTGAATATGAGTTAGAAACTCTGCACTTTGGAATAGTAACATCATAATTTGGTGTCTTAATAACTTTAAGATCCTAAACTCACTCAGATGAAAATTTAATACACTTGCAGTATTAGTGAATGGGCATCACTGGTAACTGATACGGCCAATCAAAGGCAAAAATTGCACTAGAACCCTCCCCCACCCACCAACAAAACAAAACAAAACAAGTTACACTGATGATTGTAAGGACTGTATTTCGTTCAGCCACTCTGAAATGCCTCAGGCTGCATAGCTTCACATTTTGAATCCTGGGGTCTTTCCTTTCATGCTCAGATTTAGCAAGTTCTGTGTTTGCGAAGAGACCTCACTTTGTATCTTGACACAAATTCTCCACCAAAAATAAGTTAAAATTTGAGGCTTCTTTGAACTTGGGTCAGAATTAAAGGAACTGGGCACACTATATATATCTTGTTTCCATGGAGAACGTTATTGGTAAAGAAAAGTTCACATCTCTCAGATCTTTAGAAATGTTTTCATGAAAGAGCAAAGTTACAATGTGTATTTTAACAGGTGAGGCCAATACAGTGTGCACTGGATTAAAGAAAGCTTAGAAAAAAAATTAAATACAGTGAATAAACTAGTTTTGTTGTTGATTTTATGGGGCCTTAGTGTAGGGTTCTGTCATGAAGAGCTGGAGTCCCTTAAACATTAAGAGACAGGGCAAGAATGCCAAGTGGTAAGTCAGAAAGTACTCCGAGGTAACTTACAAGGAGTAGTGCAACAAACTTCCTTGTGAATGCATGGAATATCTATCATTGAACACAAAGTTAATATGTGTCTGTGTGCAATGTTTCCCACACAAGGCATTTTCCACATTGCAATGTTTCATCATTTTCTGAGATAACACTTGTAATGAAGGTGCATCATTGAATACCAAGTGGGGTGATCATATATTTATACAGCAGTCTTACTTAAAGTTGCAAGAGTAATGATATTGTTACAATAGGGAAAATAATGACAACAAATGCAGATTTTATTATATGCTGTGAAAAGCTAAAATAATGCAATTTTAGCTGATTATGGATTTATTGAAGCCAAGTAATAGGAAACTCAGTTCAAGAATATTAGATCATAAAGAAACATAATAACATAGTCATGAAGAGCAAAGAAAAAATGATATAAATGAAATTAAAGGCAATTTGAAGAAAAACAAAAATATGTAAAGTAGTGACTCTAGATAATGTTAATATGTTACACATTGAGATTTTTATCTGAGTTTTTCCTGTTTTTGCCAACATTATCCAAACTGTCAACTCATAAAAGATACCCATTATTTTAACTTTTTGAAAGAAACTAATACAAATATTATCTTATTGCTATGATTGCATTGATTACTGTTTTTGTTGTTGTGACAGCCTGTCATAGTTAATAGCAGCTTTCATTTTCCTAAGCTTCCTGCATCATTCATAATGTCTCTGCTATGTTTCTTTACCATGGGTAAAAAGGTCTTTCATCTATTGTGGCATCTCTTCCTTAAGGAACTGTCATTTTTCACAGCTGAAAAAACAGACAAACAAAATAGAAGGACTGGTGTACATGAATATATATTCAGGTGAGATATTACGTGATAGTAATGCCTTATCATTTTTCTCCTTAAGGTCAGTTATATCAACAGAGATTGCATGAAACACTAAAGTAAGCTTTCACAATTTATTCAGGAGAAACAGCAATTCTTTGTTATAATTTCCTTGTTTCTTCATCCACTAGGTGTTAAGTTTTGGGGTTTGATATAAATTAGTTTTAGTCTGGCTTTCCCAATTGCTTAAGTTGCTAACTCTGTCTGTCTGTTTTCTTTCAATTAATTGTGGAATTTATTATTCAATGATATTGTAGCTAAAAAGTAAATGAAATCTAAAATGTGTAGCAGGAGCAATATCTGCTTCCACGAATATTTTGTTTTTAGTTACATTCCGTGGAGTATTTGTTAATATAAATTAGATTTTATATGTAATAAGAGTATTCCTCTAGCCGTTACAAGTTCAAGATACAAAATGTGTCATTTCACATACAATATTCTAAAACTCTGATTTCGATTCTCTCCTTAGTGCAGTGGTTCTCCACTTTCATGATAACTTTCCCAGTAGGGAGAGTCGCAAATTAGGACTGAGGAAAGGCATTCCTAGTATTTAGTGAGTGGAAGACTAAAGTTGTTGAAATAAGTTGTATAATCTCTGAAAAAAAATTATTTCTCAAAATGCTAGTAGTACCCACTGAGAAATACTGTACGTTAGTAAAGAATTATTATTATTATTATCTTAAAAAGTTGCTAGTTAATAGGTCATGTAACGAGACAGTGGGAAAAAAGCAGAAGCTGACATGGCCTGCATGCTTCCTTCTGGCTTGATCAACTGAGGAAGCATTCTGATTACAGTAAACTGGCCCCTACAGCATAATCAGTTTTCAAATCATCCTAAAAAATATATATTTAATCCGTAACAAGGGGTGTCCAATCTTTTGGCTACTATGGGGCACATTAGAAGAAGAATTGTCTTGGGCCACACATAAAATACACTAACACTAACGAGAGATCATGAGCTAAAAAAAAAAAAGAGAAGAAAAGAAAAAATCGCAATACAACCTCATAATATTTTAAGAAACTTTAGGAACTTGTGTTGGGTCACATTCAAAGCCATCCTGGGCCACATGAGGCTCCCAGGCCACAGGTTGGACAAGCTTGACTTAAACTCTGGGAAACAAAATATCTTTTTAAATTTGATATTGTAGCAATCTCCCTTAAATATCTCTATGTTGTAAATTAAGGATCATTAAACATTTGCATATGTAACAAACCCGCACATGTATTCCTTAATCTAAAATAAAAGTTGAAATTATAAAAAAGGAAAGAAATTTTCACATGTGCTTAACAAATCAGCTCTGAAGGCAAATTGTCAAAAAACATTTGTGTAAAAGATAACAGACTAACAATGAGCTTAAACTGTGCTTCAATTTCATCATCTGTAAATTGAAAATTATAACTGACTCTAGTGGGCTGTTCATGAGAATTAAATGTAGCAAATGATTATAAATATAAACCATTGCTATTATTTAGCAGTCTTAGTGTTTCTTTAAAAATAAGCCTTTAAGCATAAAATTGAAATAAATTGATAAAATTTCCTAATGCAGATTCCCCCACATACATATACAAACTCCTCATAGAAAAGATTCCCTTCTTTGAAGATGACATGTTAATAATTTACTTTTGATGGCAAAAAGTTTAATAGTAAGGATAATATCTCTGTAATATAAATGAGATATGACTTCTTCAAATTGTTTTCATTAGGTTGCATTTTTGCAAATACACATTAAGATCTATAAGTAGACAATAGATACACTGACTTAATAAAAGACAGAAAATTTAGAATTGGAAATTTGAAATACATGCACACATATGTGTTTGACGTGGTGCAGGAAGATTACTTGTTACTGTGTTTGGTCCTCTTCTGTTACACCTTGTTCAGTAATAAGTTTACTTCATACTAGTGTTTTCCAAAATTGGGCAGGGGGGTATACCAACAGAGTGCATGGAAGATGGGCGGTAGAAAGAAAATACTGAAAATTCCATTTATATTTATGCTTTTCCTCATCCTTTAGTAATTGCTATGTTTATTTTTTTATAAATATATACAATATCATACTAGTTGATACAAATAAATTATAAATAAAATATACTGATAATATCCCCTGTAAAACTTGCTCAAACATTTTTATTGTTAGATGTGTGTGATCAGAGAATTTTGGTGATCACTTATCTAAGTAATAAAACAGTGAGAAAAATGCCAAAGTAAGAATGAAGTAAATAATTTACTTCAAGGGCTTGAACAATCAGGGCAAAGCTTTAATTTTACCTGGCCCAACACAGTGATCCTAGAAGACCATGTTGTTTCTTACATAGTGGTGTCCAACCTTGGATATTCATTAGAAAATTCATAATAAAGGCCCAAGTAAGCAAATAGAATATGGAAAATCAATTTCTTCAACTCCTAAAATGTGTTATTCACCAACCACATTATGAAAATAAGGATGGTATCTAAAAAGAGGAGGCCACAAAAAACCACCAGGAGCACTATTGAAAGTACAGATTCCACCCATATCATAGCAAACCTGGCCATAAATATGTAGCATTTTATGTATGTTGTGCCTGTTTGTAGTGTGATTATTACGTGAAATCAAATATTGAAATAAAATGAACTTCCAGTCAGACCTAAATTGTTAAATTTTGTACCAATAATATGTAAAGTGAATATTATTTTGAAATATTTTTATTTTGTCCTTATTTTATATTTTGTATGTTTTATAATAAGCATAAAACAATAATAAGTAAGGCAGAACATATATATGATTTACAAATGAGTATTTATACAGTGGAGAGTTTGGGCCCAAAATATTTAATGATAGGAACATGAACAATAATTTGAAGAGCTGAGAATAGAGTGTCTGCATTCAGAAGTAAGATAGTTTCTTTTTTTTTTTTTGAGACGGAGTCTCATTCTGTTGCCCAGGCTAAGGGGTGATCTTGGCTCACTGGATTCTGCCATTCTGCCTCCCGGGTTCAAGCGATTCTCCTGCCTCAGCCTCCCGAGTAGCTGGGATTACAGGTGCCCGCCGCCATGTCCGGCTAATTTTTGTATTTTTAGTAGAGACAGGGTTTTACTATGTTGGCCAGGCTGGTCTCCAACTCCTGACCTCAGGTGATCCGCCCACCTCGGCTTTCCAAAGTGCTGGGATTGCAGGCATGTGCCACCACACCCTGCCCTTTCTTTATACTTGAGTATCCAGTATTGAGTTCTGTAACTGGCACATAGTAGCCATTCCCTTACTGGTTTTGGATGAACTCTGGTACCTCTGAGCTACAGTAAGAATAACTTCAAAGCGCAAAGATAAACTAGTCTATTGAACCTAATGCAATGCCAAGGGCTACTTTCCCTGAAGAAGGCTCATTCCTGAAACTTCAAACCTTATCTGTCTGTCTGTCTGTCTGTCTGTCTATCCATCCATCCATCCATCCATCATCTATCCATCCATCTATCTAAGTACTGACCTACCTACCATCTTTCTATCTTCTGTCTCCTATCTAATTTCATTTATCCTTACTTTGTCAGACTGTGTATTTCCCTCCATTCCTTGTGTAACTCATATTTTGTTTCCTACATGCCTCTCTCTTTTTTTTTTAGTTATAGTAATTTATAACATTATACATTATTTCCTTCACTAACAGAAGTAAGACCATAAACCTCTTTTGTTTGAGCAAATACTTCTTTGTTTTCTGTGATGGTGGATGAGGCTAGAGATTCAATAAGTTTATGTCACCAGTGAGGAAGACCAATGACAATAAGAAACATTTAATGTAAAGCATTGGAAAAATGCATCTTTTACTCCATGGAGATCTTTATTTCGCGTATCCTTAACTGAAAACATGCAGTCTTGGGCAGACTACGCTGCTCTGCCTACTTTGGTAAAGAAAGGATTATTACTGCCTCATTGTGATGCATGAGGTGGGATGGCTGGGAGTTCGCTGTGGTCTCCTCTAATGTGACCAGAAGATGCACAGATCTGGGTTTCAATAAATGCAAGTTGAGTGAGTGGATACAAAAATGATCAAATGAAAAGTGACAAATTACTTAAGCAAATATTTTGCTAGGATCTAAGGAAGTACTCTGCCTGCTCAATTGCTTCCTAGGCCAAGAGCAACTTTCTATAGCTGGAAGGGAGCTAATTTTCAATTTGGCTTAGAATGGGAAAATATAACTATTCATGAATAACTTACTAATTTATGCTTTTATCCATTCACTGACTTAATTTATTCCATAAATATTTATTGCCACATCTATTTTTTAACCTATGACATACATTTTTAATACAAAAATAGAAAATCAAATAATTTTTGATATGACAATATTATTTTCAGGGACTGAGTCTGACTAAACTAATCCAAAGATGCAATCACATAACTTTGTCCATTATCTAAATTCTTGTAACTTGACATGCCCCTACAACTAAATTAGTATTTTCCTCTTTACCTGCACACTAACCCCAACCCACAGTGTTCAGCACTAAATACAATTAAAAATAATATGACCATTACTGTTTTATTTTTAACTTAAAAAAATCCTTCAGGTAACTGTAATATGAATCCTATAGATATTTCATCCCCTTGTTAAATAGGACACAATAAATGTATTGAAGCAAAAAGTGCAGTTTCATGGCTAGATTTTTATGAGGTATTTCTTTAGTGCTTTTACAAATAAATGTTCATTTTTTCCCTGAGTTATTTTTAAAACTTTGGACTTGTAGAACGCGTATCACAAAATTATGGTTGCTGTAAATTATATTTTAAAACTATAGCACTAGCAAGGAGAATTAAAATATTTTGGAGTTGATTAAGACTAAGACATATTGAAAGGTAGGTTTTAATTTGTATTTAAAATAGAAGTTCTTCGACTTTTTAAAAGCAAATATTTTAAATGCCTGAATTTTCTCACCTGCAAAATGCTGAACGTGGACTGTAACTTTCCTAAGTTTCCTTTAAGCTCTAAAAGTCTATTTACATAATTTTTATTCCATTCGCTACACTGAATGAAGCATGTATTTTCCCTAAGTGGAGGCTGGGACCAGTGGTTTTGCCTCTGCTTATATTCAGTGGAACTTGGACTTTTAATTACTGAAAAAGTGTCCTGAATAAATCTACAATCTGCTAATACGTCCATCATGTTTAGTAATAAAAATGTCTAGGTTTGAGGTCAGGCAGAACTTTGAATTCTGACTCTACCATTCACTAACTGATTAATCTTGGATAAGTTATTTATCTTCTCTTTCATTCAGTTTTCTCATTTGAAAAGTGGAGCTAATAATAAACATATTGGTTTATCATGAATCACATGAGGACTGCCTATTAGCGGTTGGCAATAAATGTTCAATACATGGGGATAAATATTTTCCTCCTTCTCCTTCATGGAGACCATTTCATGTCTCCATGCCTTCATGATCTTTCCTCTGTCTGGAAGTCCCTTCTGGTTTTGGCAGGTATCATCTCCCATGTCAAAACGTGCTTGACATAGCTGGAGAGAACTTACTTGCTATTCTCTTCTCTGTTCTTCCATATAATTTTAGGTATTATAATACAGGCAGAAGTCAATCATAGTGGCAATATTTGTGTGTCTACAATTTCATGGTACCAAACTCAAATGCCTTGAAGGGTCCATTGGGTGCAATAAGTGATTATATCCAGTTGATGACAAAGCGATTCTGTTGTACTGAAAGGTGAAAGCTCTGACTAATAGCAATGAACTCAAATGTTTTTTAAAAACACTGCAGATATCAAATAAAATACATCTCTTGGATGATTTTAGCCTGTGGGCTGCCAGCTGGTGACTTTTAGCTTATACATTCGTCTTTCTCACTAGGCTGTGAACTCTTAAGCATAAGGAATGAGTTGTGTATGTCTTATTCTCCTTGACATGCTCAGTCCCAGATCTTGTGCATGGTAGGAGCTCAAGGTAATATTTATTGAGTTGAATTAAAATCATCTTTATATGAACAATACAAAGGTAGTTTGACTTTGTAAAATAACAGATTGAGTTTTCTCAATGTCAGTACTTTCAAAACAATGTACACTCAAATAGTATAAATAGCATCAAAAATATATATAATTATTAATGTTCAGTGAAATTGAGAACTTTCCACTTTATATGCTTATGATGACCCAGTGTTCAGGGATCGGGGCAGACTAAATTTCCAAAACTTTTAAAATTCTAAAGTTCTTTTATCTAAGAAGTGATGGAAGGGTCGAGTGAACTTGAAAAAACATGTCCTTCCAATTAGCCACCGTACAGGCTACCTTGGTTGGCAGATTCCTACCTAGCTGTTTTTTCCCTGAGGTCAGACTTTTAAACTATATGTTCTTTATAAACTTTCTCTATAAACTTTCTAGTCAGTTTGTTGATATCCACAAAGTAACTTGCTGGGATTTTGATTGACATTGCATTGAATCTGTTGATCAACTTATGAAGAAGTGACATCTGAATAATATTGAGTCTTCTTATCCATGAACATGGAATATTTTTCTGTTTATTTGGTTCTTTGATTTCTTTCATCAGAGTTTTGTAGCTTTCCTCATACAGTTCTTGTACATATTTTGTTAGAGTTACACCAAAGTATTTCTTTCTTTTTTTTTTTTTGAGACAGAGTCTTGCTCTGTCACCCAGGCTGGAGTGCAGTGGCACGATCTCAGCTCACTGCAAGCTCTGCCTCCCGGGTTCACACCATTCTCCTGCCTCAGCCTCCAGAGTAGCTGGGACTACAGGCGCCCACCACCACGCTCAGCTAATTTTTTGTATTTTTAGTAGAGACGGGGTTTCACCGTGTTAGCCAGGATGGTCTCGATCTCCTGACTTTGTGATACACCCGCCTCGGCTTCCCAAAGTGCTGGGATTACAGGCATGAGCCACCGCGCCCTGCCAACTATATGTTCTTCTAAAAAACCATTTTACACCTCAGGTGCCAAGGAGTCAGCTAAGGCGTTGTTAAGCAGCATTTATCAACATGTATGAGAGCTAGATCTATTTAGCTCTGCAGCCAAAGTGTGCTATGTATTTAATATTTATGAACTGTGGGTATATCTGTCACATTATTAAAGTGAGGTCTGCACTTTTAGCACACTAGATAAAGAGGTCATGAGGCAGGCTGCATCTGCCTGTTTGTAGTTTTCCAAAGCTGCCTATAGACCAGACTGGCCATTCATTGCTAGTGTGAGTCTTGCTGTCACCTATATCACATTGTCGCTTTCTCATAAACAAAGTTTAAAAGAGAATGTTCTGGATTTAGTTTTACTCACAGATACAATAACATCCTTGGCAGCACTATCTACGAACAAATGTTTTAATACATATCAAACATTTTTCATTTAAGGCTAAGATACCAGCTTTTTCAGGTCAAAATGGCATCTATATGGTGTGGATGAGATGGCAGGATAATTTGGTTAATTTCCATGTTACTATTTAATAATTACTACTTGATTGGTTTTGTAGATAATCAGGGAACACAATCAGTCTTGAAACAATTGAAAGCAGCCAAAGAAAATGAAACTAAACAAGGCCCTAATATGACTTTATATCCACTCTCATATGATAAATGTATGACATGTATGCAATGGTACTGGTGGTAGGGTGTTGGTGGCAAGATATGTCCACTTTTCCAGGTAGCTATTTTTTGCATGAGGTAAGACATGGGATTTCCTTCCATGTCTCTACCTGCAAATGTGCATGGTGTAAACACTTCAGTGGATGCCTCCCCGAGTCCTCCCAGTTTAGATTATGTCACTCTTCAGTTAAAAAATTCCAAAATCTCCCTACCGGTGAGTATAAAACCAAGACATAAGAGTGGCTTTATGGCCAGGCGTGGTGGCTCACACCTGCAATGCTAGCACTTTGGGAAGCCGAGGTGGGCAGATCACCTCAGGTCAGGGGTTTGAGACCTGCCTGACCACTATGGAGAAACCCCATCTCTACTGAAAATACAAAATTATCCGGGTGTGGTGGCACATGCCTGCAATCCCAGCTATTCAGGAGGCTGAGGCAGGAGAATTGCTTGATCCTGGGAGGTGGAGGTTGCAGTAAGCTGAGATTGGGCCATTGCACTCCAGCCTCAGCCTGGGCAACAAGAGCAAAACTCTGTCTCAAAAAAAAAATAAAATGAAATAAAAATAAAAATAAAAAAGAACAGCTTCAGAATCCTTCACATTTTCCTGCAAACATACAGGAAGATTCATTGTTATTTGAATGTGTTGTTCACTCCTTCTAGCACAAAGAAAGAATACCCCATATTGGCCTGACTCATTCTAAATACGCTGCTCAAATGCCACCTCTTCTAAGAGGCTTTTTATTTGTCTGCTGCTGGAATCATCTTGCCCTCATCTGTGCTCCCTCAGGAGGCAGCAAAGCTGCAATGGGAAGAGCACAGGTGTGGAGCCAGAGGGATCCAGCTTCAAAACTTTGCTGTGCATAGCTTGCTGCATGACCTTATGCAAGTCACTTAAACTCCCCGAGCCTCAGTTCTCATTTTGGTAATGTGTGGGAAATTTGATGTTATGAGGACAATTATACAAAATAGTGTTTATAAAGTGCCTGGCACAAAATAGACCTTTCTCTGTGGCTCTTTTCTCTCTATCATGTGTAAAATTATCACATTTTTAACTTGCAGTATAGGTATTTCTTTTCATGTATCTTACAATAAATTATTTGAAGAAGCTTCTCATTTTAATACGTGCAATAGAACTTGGCATGGCATGTTGCATATAGGGGTTAATTGTAAAGGTAACATTTAAAAATGGGAGTTACAACATGTACCCATGTTTTGCTTCTAAACTTCCTTTAAACTTCTAAAAGTAAAATGACAACATTCATGCAAGATAGTGAAAATATCACTTGAGTCCTAAAAATGTTCTGACCTGTCAAGTCCCTCTTGATATCTCATATAGTCTTTCTCTCCCAGACAGATTGGTGAACACTGAATAATACAAACAGCCAGACATGGGCCACATATATCCTTCCCAACATTTATCCCAGGGTTGCATATGTGCCTTCTCATTTATGTATTTAAGAGACAGACAGAGAGACGATCTTGAGGGTGGAGCAATTTGGACTGCTTATGTGAGCATGAAAGACAAGGGAGGCACATAGCTAGGGATGCTATTCCATGAGGGGAGAGACTGACTTAGCATTCATTCTCTGCAGGCCTAACTCTCCTGTATAGGAGCCAGCCAATTTCACCTCAACTATGGCCTCGAAGCAAAGTAATAACAGTGTGTTGGGCTCTATTTTCAAATAAGATCATAAGTGTGAAATGGGTTTGAAAGAGGCAGGCATTATACAGTTTCAAGTAACTTCTAACTTTTAGTGAGGCTATTCCTTTTTGTAAGCTGGATGCCACTGAGGCGTATATTCACCTAATTCTCAAGTCTGATATGAGACAACACTCATTCCTGATAATAGGGAGAAAACGGAAACAGACTCAAAGAAGCCTGACTTTATGACTGTTTAGTCACATTAAAACTGGGCATGTTGAGACTGCCTGGAATAATATCTCCATTCACATCTTCCAGCCCCTTGCTGTGCCACCATTTTCAACTCTGTTTATCATCAGGCTATCCTTGAAAGGCCATTAAACTGAGTTCAAAATGAGGACCCAAATACATCCCGTCCCATAAGAATATTGAAGGAGAGTCAAGAGAAAAAGTGAGGGATAAAAAGCAAGCAGGTGTTGTTCACTGTTGAAAATGCCCCTCCTAATGTATTCTTCAGAGCTAGTTCCAAGGCAATTTCAGACCCCTGTATCATTAGATTATTGGTTCACTTAACATACATGCTTTTAATTTAATTTTAAACATTGGCTTGGATGTAAATTTGAGTAGTTTGCTAAAATGTTCCACTAGGGGTGGTGAATGATTATAGCTTCTTAGATATAGTGACAGTGTGAGAGAAACAGCAGCTTCTGATGTGATATATGTGGAGAGGAAAACATTTGGAAGCAGTTTGAGTGCATTTTATTTCTGCATGAACTCTTTGGGCACCCAGCCACTTTCAAAGTATTATTTAACAAATTATGGCACCACAAAAACTACTTTATGCCCTAGATGTTAGTTTCCAAAACAGGATCCAATAAATGTCTAAAGTTTTAATATCTAAGAGAATAGGACTGAGTTAAAATTAAAAGAACATTTGTATTTGCAAGTGAAAAATAAAAACTTATCGCTTTCAAAGTATTATATTCAATTTTACTGCTATTTAAATAGGCTTGTTTTATGTACATACTGTTGTGTTAATAGTTTTTTTTAAAAGATGCTTGTTTATTGATATTTTTAAGGGGCTAAGCCATTTTACTATATGATGGTAAATTTACACTTGATCTTAGCCAAAAGGCCGAGAAGCAATATATGACAGTATATTTTACAGTTTCAGAATCTAGAGGATAGTGATGCTCTTTTGTTTATATTTGACTTACAAAAAATCCAAACAAAATAACTTTCTCGTTTACCCTTTACATACTGGCGCATGTGTTCTGCAGTGGTGTAAATAATGGTGCAGTCTTATTGTCTGAGGCTGTGGGTAAATACTGAGTCATATGAATCACCCTATGACATCAATAAGGTAGGGTCAATGGAGAATGAGGGGGAGGAAAGTACACCCTGGAAGGAAGCTGTTCACCCATGCGAGGCACATTTAGTGTGCTGGATGATGTAATTTACTAAATGGCACACTGGTGCCCTAGAAGACTTAATTCACCTCAGCTGAATGAGCAGTTGGCTCAATCTCAATCATTAAGAGGTGCCCATTTATACTCAAAGTCATATAGATTTCAGATCGAATGTGTCTTAACTGAGTATATATACCTTCCAGGTAATCTGGGTATAAGGCTGGGAATATAAAAATAAGTGCAGCCTAATTGAAAGAACGGTTTAAACTTACTTTTCAAATCACATCTTTACAGCACTAAGGGGCAGATACCTAAGGAGATTAGGTACTTTCAAGAAAGAAAAAAGCAAGTGACAATATTATTGCTTAATTATAATCACAAACCTTGAGTTTGGAGAAAGTGCCAGAGAGTTTGTATTTAAGTATAGATTTAGCTATAATCTAGCAAACTGTATTTATAGAAAAGAATTGCTGGCAAACATAAATACTGGATAGTGGAACAGGCTTGTCGAGAAATAAACATGAAATAAAAATGAAGAGGAGATTAATTTTTAGGTTAATGGCATATATTGATAGACCAAAGAAAAATGGTTGCATAAGGGCAAGCATTCATGTGTGTATGTGTGATTGTATTTAAAAGTATTGACTGACCAAATTTTTAACACATTCATACACAATAGATAAGTGTATAAGACTGTTATAAAAATTCAGTTGAATGAAACAGAAGTTTTAGTTCCCTGAAATTTTTTAAATTTATGATGCATATCTAGTTAAAAAAGTAAGAATAATCTCTACTATTTGAAAATCTTCGGTCTGAAAAAATCTTTTTAAAAGGCCAAATCAGCCCCCAAAGTACATGGCAAGGTATCCTCCAAAAGGAACAACCTCAGTTCATACTTGATGATTGAGGAAAGTCCTATACCTCTAGTCATGATCTGAGCTCATGGTGGCAGAGACTGACAGTGGCCTTTCCATACCTGTTTCTTTCATCCCAGTTTCAAAACCCCTGTCGTTAAGGGCCATATGGCTGGCCAGAATAAAGACCATATTTTTCCAGCTTTCTTACTCATCCAGATGAAGCTATGTGATCAGTGAGTGGAAATGGAAGTAGTGTTTGCAATTTCCAGGAAGTATCCCTGAAAGGAGGAAATGGGACTATATGTGCCCCTTCCTCCTTCTTGAAAAATGCAACTTACACAACCATCCTGGACAGTGTGCTGAAGACAGCTGTTCAGTATGTCGAAGGATCTTGGGTCTCGGAGGTTCACGAAGCTATCCTACTAGCTGTTGATTGCTTACCTCTGGATGTTGCTTATTTGTGAAAGGAATAATTTTTCTACTTTTTATTTGGGGTTTTCTGTCACTTACAACAGAATCTGACTCTATGCTGATAGTCTGGCTTTTCCTTTTTTAGCATTCCTGGTCCCTAAATTAACTGTGTCAATATCCTCTGATGACTCTATCTCATACTCAGATTTTGAAACAGACTTCATGGATGTAATTTTGGCTGTTCTAGCCTATTCTTCTTACTCTATCTGGGCAATTATTTCTGAGTCTATCCACCAACCCAGATGCCACTCATCTGCCTGGATTGTTCTCAGTCTGTCACTGCATCAGAAAATGAATGAGAAATGAAGTCACATTGAAACATAACTTCCAAAGACCCAAATATTACTCTACTTCCTTCTCTTCCACTACAAAAAAAACCAAGAAAAACAAAAACAAAAACAAAAAACCGGAAAAGATAAGATTAAGAGTGATATTTATATACAACTTCTTAATTTGCTTTTAAGAGAATTTGTACTTGATTTTTGCTTTTCCTATTATCTAGAAGTGAATAGCTAGAGATAAAAATTTTAACTGGTTATGTCATGAGGTACCTTGACAGTTAAGAGCATTGCCTTAATAGGTAATGAGTCCTGGAGAGTCACTGCCTCTAACTCCCTGGAGATAACACTAAAGAGCATAAAAATTGGAAACAATTTTTTGTGAGCTCTCTCAAGACAGGGGATTTTTTTTTTAATTCATAAGCTTAGCTCAATGCCTGATGCTTAGATGTATGATGAAAAGAAAGAGAAAGAGAAAGGAAGGAAAGAAAGTTTCACAAATCAATGGCTTGTGTTCCTTCACTATTAAAAGAAAATTTCATCTTCAATAGTGAATAAATTTTTACTGTAGAAAACATTTCTCTCTGTTTTTCTCTCAATATCTTTAGATTTGTTTACTTTGGATAAGTCTTATGCAAATTTTCTTTTCTTCCTTTGCAATTTTATTTTCCAGTTCCAGAACTTCCAACTCTACGTTTACAATTTCACTTTCAATCAAATTTTAAGAGTTTTAAAAGAAAAAAGCAGGCTGGATGCAGTGGCTTTCAGCTGTAGTCCCAGCATTTTGGGAGGCTGAGGCAGGAGGATTGCTTGAGCCCAGAGTCTGCAGTAGGCCATGATTGTACCACTGCACTCCAGCCTGGGAGACACAGTGAGATCTTGTCTCTAAATAAATAAATGGAAAAGAAAAACAAAAGAGTCCCCTCAATCTTGTCATCCTTCTACCAATGTGGGTGCCTTTGAGATGTGCTTCCACATTAGCCCACACTTTTGCTATCACAACCTCACCATTATTATAATTTCCACAAAGGCAAATGTCATGTTATCTTGTTCATTGTACCTTTCACACTTAAAAACTGATGAGTGACTGAGTTCATTTTTTTTTGTCTTATACATTCTACCATTATGTAATAGAAATCTTTTTCTTTTTTCAAGGTTGAATTGTGATTAATAAGTGCAAACATTCCACGGGTCATCTCTAATCTAATTTTAATGTCACAGTTTTATACACGAAAGAGGTTTAATTTTCATCTTTTAACAGTAAAACAAAGTCTATAGATTAAATAAAGATAGTATGGTTTGAACTTAGAAAAACAACTGGCATGCCTGGATGGAATCCTTCTTTCACTTAAGTTCTACAACCTTGAGACAACTTAAGGACAAAAAATAATCACTAACCCCCAAAATACAAGCTTGTCAAGATTTACATGCCAGTGTGCACTTAGACCTTCCTGACAGAAAATATTCTCCCAGCTTTTGAGTGTCTGCCAGCGCAGTTGATGAGTGGGATGTAAGGGAGGTGGCAAGGGTGTAACTCTTTAGTGGATGACATTGATAAACCCTTTCTTTCACGATGGTAATATACCCATGACAAGTAGAAGTAGTTGCTCCCTGGACTGATCAAGGAAAAAAAATGAATAAACAACTTTTTACAAAATCTGGAAATTTCTTGAAGCTTTATAGGATGTTTAGATAGAACTCACTTGCCATTAACCTCTTCTATAGAGAAGAGGTAATTTTTCTTGGAAAAAAATATTTCACAGAAAAATTTTGAGATAACTTTCCTATTCAAAATCCCAAATTCCTTAGGGTAGCAAAGATCTAAGAATCCCATTTCCCTTAGCCTACCCCTTCACTCCCCACACTGTGTTCCTTATCTTCATGAAAAGACTTGACCATTTAGCTAGTTGCTAAATTGGAAACTCGAGGTTCATTTAGACCACTTCCTCAGAGTCGTCTTCTAATCTCAACTGGTGGTGTCCTGTGGTTTCTATGTAGTGAAAACCTGTCTTTCTTAGTCACCCTCTTTCTTCTATCTTCACTACAATTACACAGCTTTATATAAGTCTACCTATATTTTTTACTCTGGATTATTGCCATCACTTTTTATTGACTTCCCTGTCTCCAATTTAATTTCCGTGCTTATATTTCCCCCTTATATTCAGCTGGCAGATAAATATTTCTAAAATGCGAATGTGCCTATGTGATTTCCCTGCTTAAAACCTTTCAAAGGCTCCCCACAGATTTAAAAATAATACTTATGATTTATATCACACTATAATACACAAACTATCGTTATTAACATTTAAACAACTTAGAACAATGACAATTCCCTTTATCATTCATCTAATCCCAGCCCTCTGCTGTCATCATTTTGATGTGTAACCTCTCAGATGTTTTTTTATGCCAGGAATGGTTGTATACGTAGATATGAAATGAGTAGTTTTACTTTGTGAATTTTTAAGGTAAATGAGATTACTCTCTATATACTGCACTTAACTTGCTTTTGAATGTTTAAATTTGATTACATGTTTTGGAGACCTCTCATGATGTTAATCTACCTCCTTCTTTTCACTGCATCATAATGTTCACCAGTACATATATAACCACAAATTTATCCAACCATTTTCTTCCTGATGAGTATTAGGTTATTGCATATATATCTAGAATAGTTATATAGATATGGAGTTCCTGAGTTAAACAATATGTGCATTTAAAAACATACTTCCAAATAGTGTACCACAAGTCTATATCAATTTAAATTATTATCAAGAGTAAATGACAATGTTCTAATTTCCTATGCTCTTATTAACACAGATAGTATCACTCTCTTCAGTTTTTACTAGATAGGTTAAAAAAGTAATCTAGTTTTGTTTTTTGTGTTTTATTTATTCATTAAATTAAATTTTAGATTCAGGGGGTACATGTGAAGGTTGGTTAAATGGGTATATTGCATAATGTAGAGGTTTGGGCTTGCAGTGACCCCATCACCCAAATAGTGAATATAGTACCCAATAGGTAGCTTTTCAACCCTCTTCCCCTTCCCACCCTCCAGTTTTTGGAGTCCCTAGTGTCTATTATTTCCAAAACTTCGTTTAATTTTGGTTTTAATTAACATATCACTGGCTACTAGTGAAATTAAATATATATTTTCTTATTTTCATTAATCATTATATTTGTTTTAAGAAAATTAGCTGCTCATATTTTTGTCTCATTTTTACATAGTAGGGTCTTTAAAAATGATTTGTAAGAATTCATTATATAATTTCATAGTAGTCTTTGTTTAACAAATATTGCAGTATTTTTCCCTACCTTTTGCCCTTTCTCTATTGCTTGCTTTTCATTTATCAGTCTCTCTGGTCACATCTCTGAAAACTGGCTTCACACAGCTTTGACATCCACAATAAGAAAATGCTAATAGGTCTATAAGCCTTTTCCCTTTCACATCTGTGTAGCTTTTTCTTATATGTGTTTCCTGCTAATAATACACAGTTTCTTTGCCTTTCTAACCCACATTTTACTCATCCTTCAAGACTCTGCTTAAGTGTTACTCCCTGTAAGAAACTTTCTTTTATTCAAATAGATCCAGTGAGACTGCCCTAAGCCTCTTTCATTCAACTACCACATATTACAGCACTTATGGTATTAGCATTCTATTAGCTGCTCAATATATGTTTGCTGACTGAATGACTTTATAAATTCAGCCTTTAGGATAGGGTATTAAAACCATTTCTCTATTTGATAATAAAATTTAGATTTCTCCAAGAAGAAATTACAATTTTTTCTCAAACCAATGAAATAAAAACTTTCTTTTGAGTTGCTTAAATAAAGAGAAAGAAGGTGAAAAGTGACTGGGTCCACATTACATGATAACAGATACATGTTAATAGATAAAATGAAAGAAGAATATCATAGCTATCATTCAAGCAAGGGATCTTAGAATTGGGAGGAGCCTGAACATCCTGGACATTCTGGAACTATTCTATTTGCATCCCTGTGACTAAGTTCTGTGCCTATCTGTTTTATTCTGGGCTTTCTTGATTAATATTAAATCAATACAAAATTTGTCTTCAGGAAACATTAATTTATCTTTCATTCATTTGGTCTTAATTTTGCCCTCTGAATTTGCATGTGGCAATACAAATGATAAATGAAGAGACCTATTTTTTCCTTTCCATTTTCTGCCTAAATTTTTGACTGTAGGCTAAACATATCTTGATCTATCAGACACTTATTTTAAAAATCTCTGGCACATGTATACATATGTAACTAACCTGCACAATGTGCACATGTACCCTAAAACTTAAAGTATAATAAAAAATAAAATTTAAAAAAATAAAAAATAAATAAAAATCTCATCATACTGGTTACCTTACTTTTGGACAAATTATACCTTAATAAAGCTGACCTTAAAATGTATAATCTGGAACTGATCATTGTATACCAGATGTAAACTGCCCAGAGTAGACTATAAAAGAACTCTTTAATTTTGTAAAAATGGTCTTCTTGTCAAATTATAGCAACCTAAAATGCAGTTAGCTTTTTTGTATTAGCCAGGTCACCACCTTTACTCGACTTCATATAATCTAAAGGCACATTGCTTTGTATTTATTTTTTTGGGTTCCTTTTGCTAACAGGCCTTCATCAGGCATAATGAACTCTTTGTACACAAATAAGAAGCAGATTGAGAAACTCATTAACACCATACTTTAAATAATCCAACAATTATCAAATCAAGTCATTTGGAGACATAGTTATTCAACGCAGACACAGTTGTTACCAAAAAGCTGCAATAAGAGTTTAGCATTATTCTTTACTAAGAAACTTGACTGTTTTCTTGCCTTTTGCTTAATTCAAGAGTGTCATACATATAGTGATAAAATATGTTTTATATGGATTTTGTTAAGACGTATGTAGGCAGAAAGTCAAAAATTCAACCAAATGTAATCAAAGAGCATGAGCTTTGGAGTCAGACAGACATGAATCCGCCTCATGACTTTGCCACCTACAAGCTGTTTGATATTGAATAAGTTACTTAATATTTCTGATTTAAATTTCCTTATTTGGAGAATGAAAAAATTATAACAATTAGCCTGTAGTTTTTATGAGGATTAATAAAACTACATATAAGAAAGGTATAACATACTATCTGGCACATAGTAGGCATACAATGGGGAAACAAGGAAGACATCACCTCAGGAAAGTTGGTCTCTTCTGAGCCAGCTATACGACAGCACAGAGGAGTCCTAAAATAAAAATATGTTATACTTGTATACTTTTCTGAGACTTAAAATCTAAGAATCAGAAGGCCAAGAACCATGTGGAGTATCATTTACTATGATTATACTCTATTACCAAACCAAGGGCTCATATTACCAAGAGTGACTTATAATCCAATAAACATGTTAAAATATCAGCATAAAACAAAGACAAAAAAGCAGGAAAAAGGAGTAACTAAGAGATCAGTGTTTTGCCAGGCGCGGTGTCTCACGCCTGTAATCCTAGCACTTTGGGAGGCTGAGGCAGGTGGATCATGAGGTCAGGAGATCGAGACGATCCTGGCTAACACCATGAAACCCTGTATCTACTAAAAATACAAAAAATTAGCTGGGTGTGGTGGCGGGCGCCTGTAGTCCTAGCTACTTGGGAGGCTGAGGCGGGAGAATGGCATGAACCTGGGAGGCAGAGCTTGCAGTGAGCCGAGATAGTGCCATTGCACTCCAGCCTGGGCGACAGAGCGAGACTCCGTCTCAAAAAAAAAAAAAAAAAAAAAGGAAAAGAGATCAGTGTTTTAGTTGACACTGGCATTAATCAGAACAACATAGATTTTTGGTCCAAGAAAACTTCTACTTTAGATAGATAAATTGCCAAGATGAAGATAGCTTGCATTATATACATAGAATGCTGACTGAGGGAAAAAAGTAAAAATGGATCAAAATAACCTTATGGTTTTATAAACAGAAAGTGGCAGTAGAGGTATATGGAAAAGCTGATGGTGTGCTATACATTGCAATGATGGTTCTTTGCCAGCAAGTTTCATTGACCTTCCACATTTCACATTGACCTTGATGTTTATAAATGCTGCAAGCTTGGCAATTAGTCTTTTGTGAACTGAGAATTTGCTCTTTTGTAGGTTCTTATTGTTTGATCTCAGTTAAAAGCTATTTAATAGCAAATTCATGTTGAGTCTAATACGGAAGAATTCAGGTCTAACGTGTGTCTGCTGTGTGGCATTTAACAGGAAAGAGTTTCATTATGAGTTTCAAGGAAGATTTTCTTTTGGTCTTAGGGAAATAAGATTTATGACTTACATGTAATTTTGTCCTTTGAAGGTGACAATGTAATGAAACAGTAAGAAAAAAATGGCATTTGAGATGATAATGCAGCAACCAGGTCACTGAGAGAATGACTTTTCTAAGGGTACAAGAACTTCCTTGCAAGACAGCTTCAGAATCTATCAATTAGCACTTAAATTTTGGAGAAATTGCCTAACATATGCAATTGCTTCAAATGAAAGGGTTTTAACTTTAAAACTTTTTTTTTTTTTAAGGAGGGTTTTTCTCCTGAATCTTCTTTGTGTCAACCCCTATAGTCTTTTTTCTACCATGCCACCTCTGGCCCTTATTACACTTAATTTTGACTACTGCAAGAGTCTGCTAATTGGTCCCTCTGCTTCTACTCTTTCCTGATTAGGGCTTATTGAGTTTCCAGGCCATCCTGGCAGCAGTATTTTTTAACAAGTGATATTACTGCCCTAAATGCTGACTCCTTGCCGTGACATAGGTGATATGTTTATATGCAATAACAGCACTATATGCCCTCTTCTGTCCATCCCAGAATCCATTCCTGAATTTAGGCTTCCAGTTTCAGACTCCTCTTTTTCCTGACTCTTAATGTGAACTATTTTATTTTGACCTTTCTCTTGCTGACCCTTTCATTCTCAACACACTCTGAAGATGACTTCCTATTGCTACATTCTGGTATCTAGACTCTACAGTGCTGGTGGAAGGGGATTATTTCCTTGAAGTCAGGCCTGAATTTAACCTCTAGCTTATCCAAGCAATTCTGCACACCACCTGCTTCAGGCAGCATTATTATCTTAAAAATCTTCAAAACTTTCTATTTCTTTTTGTGTAGAGTTGTAATGTCATGGTTTAACATTTAAAGCTTCCATAATACTTTTTTTTTTTTTGAAACAGAGTCTCACTCTGTCACCCTGGCTGGAGTACAGTGGTGTGATCTCTGCTTACTGCAACCTCTGCCTCCTGGGTTCAAGCAATTATCTGCCTCAGCCTCCAGAGTAGCTGGGATTACAGGTGCCTGCCACCATGCCCAGCTAATTTTTGTATTTTTAGTAGAGATGGGGTTTCACCATCTTGGCCAGGCTGGTGTTCAACTCCCGACCTCGTGATCCACCTGCCTCAGCCTCCCAAAGTACTGGGATTACAGGCGTGAGCCACCGCGCCCAGCCCCATAGTAATTTTTAAATTTATATTCTGATTCCTCCCCCATATAAACCTAATGTTTAAGGCAGATTGAGGTGTTATCCACCTCCAAAATACAGGAATGCCTCTGCCCTTAGACTTGCTGACACCACTTCTCCGGCCTGGAGTGCCTTCCATACTGTCTTCTAGCCTGTTCCAATTTCCAGCATCTTCTGAATCCCAACTCATGTCTCTTTTTCTCCATAAAGTTTTCCTGGCCACTTGCTTCTATGAATCCCTCATATTTGGAATATTTTATTTTAATTATTTTTATTCTACTTACTGTAAAACAAAATTGTATGTAGTTAGGATACAAAATCTCTGGTGGCAGCTGGGTAGTATAAAAATAAATATTCTTAGGGCAATAAAATTAAAAATAAAAATTAGTAGTACAACCTGGCAACAGTGTGAGTCGATTCTACACGTGAGAAATTTGTTTTTAGGTAAAATTCAACAAGGTTTGAATCAATAAGAACTATGGTGACTTACATAACCCCTCTCTGGGTCTTCATCCTATACACAGAGAGAAAAGCCATGGGTGTTAAAACTGACTGCAGCAGGCATTTGACCAACATGAACCAGGAAAAAAAGCACTTTGTTATTTTCAACAAACAGATGCATTTTTATGTGTATCCTAGAAACTGAAGTACCAGAAACTACACAAATACTGTTCATAATTTAAGCTCAGAGTTTTCAATATATGCAGACACAAAGAATAAGAATCCCTTTCAATTAAAACAATAGTTTTGCCTCTAATCTTTTGTCATTGAAAGTATTTTTTTGAAAATGTATATAGTAATTACAATATTCTCATTTACTCTTCACAATACAATTTTCATAATATAAATATATGTTCAGTTAGTTTTCCTAACAACCCAAATGAAGAAGGAACTATTATATCCTGAGTTTTGCAGAGAAGTAATAATTTCCCAAAGTCACCTAAATAAGTAATTTAAGCTAGGAATCCAAGCAGCTTGACCCTAGAGTCTGTTCTTTTAATCACTGCCAATGAATACAAAATCAAGCATTTCTTAACTTTTAAGTAAAATACTTCATTGGGAGACTGTTGGGCTCATTCACTATTTATTTTTAACATTTGATTATTCATTTATTACTTTATCTTTTTATTATTCATTAATTTAATAGGCTTTTATTGAACACTTATGTGCTATATGTTGAGATACATCATGGAGAATCTCTGCCTTTATGTGTACTTGGGAAGACAAATGCATATAAAATAATAATAGCAACACAGTGCCTTTAGGAGCTATGGTGGTAACAAAGACTCACTCATTTGACCAGAACTTTAGTAGGCTCCCAAGCCCTTTCTGACCTGACTTGATTTGGGGCCTTCATATCTATTCTTATAGAATGCAGTCTGAGCAAAAATCCTACTGGCCAGTTTAGCAAAAATCTCCTACCCTTGGTGTCTGACTGTTTTCAATATCTTATTACCCTGGTCTGTCTTCAGCAACAATCCTATCAAGTCAGTTTATCCAGAAACTTCTTAGCCTTGATGTTTCCTATTAATAGTTTCCATCCGATGACATCCACTCTGCTCCTTGGTTATATACATCCCCACTTGTCCTTGTTGGAGTTAAGTCAAATTTCTCTCCCCCACTGCAAGACCCCTGTGGAACTGGTCCCTATACCTACATTCATAGCCCTCCTTGAATAAAATCTGCCTCACCATCTTTAACAAGTGTCATGAATAACTTTTCTTGTAACAGTAGATATTTGAGTAGACTACAGTGGGGAAAAAAGGGAGCTCATGATTCTACATAGAGGAGAAAAGTCTTGATTAAACCTAAAAAGGGCAATAGTTTACCACTGGGAAAGAAAAAAGGGGCATTGTAGGCATAAGGAGCTGCTCTGAAGAGCATGGTGCTCTCTGAGAGCTGTAGATGGTTTAATAGAACTGAAGCAGGCACAGCAATTAGCAAAAACGATCCTAGAAAGGAAGCAAGTGCCAGATCAATGGGGGCCTTGAATATTCTGCCAAAGAACTTGGACTCGTTCCATCAATCTGTGGGGAACCTTGAAGTTTTATAAGCCAGGGTGTCATGTTATCTGTTCTGCATTTTATAAAGATCACTCCTACGGCAGTGCATAGGATGAACTGGAGGATAACAAAAATGGAGGTAGGAATACAGTGTGATTCTCTGTAATTCTGGAAAGAAATGATGATTGATGTAATTTATTTAGCATATTATAAGTATTTTTTAAATTTTTTGCATGTTATGATGATTTCACATGTTAAAAATCATTCTCGCTATTAAGAGACTTATCCTCCAGGGCCTAGCCAAAACCTGGAGCTAGCAAAGGGCCCAGGCTTACAGCAAGTCTTTGATACGTAAACTAACCAATCCAGAGCCAAACCTCCTCTACCTAGATTATACACCCCAAATGATGACTTTTCTCCTCTTAATCATTCCAGGGCCAGGTGCCAGGCAACAAGGGACCACCCTTATAACCCAAAGCCCACCAAAATTATTAAAAATACCAATCCTAAACTGTTCACTGCTCTGCCATGACTTTCCCACTCTGGCCTAAACCTTCTCCTTGCTCCTGTCTTCTGCCTCCTGAGCACCCTGGTGAGTTTCCCAGGAGGCCTTGCATAGCTTGCTGTGCCTCCTGTCTTCAGGACCTGTGAGTATAATAAAGTTTGTTTTCCTGAGCTGCCTCTTGTGGCTGCACGTTCATGGGTAAGAGGTAGTCCTTAGTGTTCCTTGTATTGTGGATAATTCAGTCCAATCTCTGCCTCGATCTCTACCCTGTGTTTCTCCTGGTGCTCTCCTCCATATGTGTCTCTCTCTTTTATTCTTATTTGTACGCCAGTTATATTAGATTAATGTCCCACCTTACTCCAGTAGGACTTCATTGGTCATATTCTGGGGTATTGGGGAGGACATCAACATAACTTTTGGGGGCACACAATTAAATCCATAACAGTGGCCAACACTGTGCTTGACACTCTCAAAATGTTTTCAGGCTAAATCTTTGTAAAAGAGCTATTATTAGCCCATTTTATAGATAACATTGATTTTTTTTTCCATTGTATTCTATGCCAATGATGTCCCCCAAAGTTGTGCAATGTGGCAGGCCTGGATTTATTTTTTGGCACACAAGCCTTTATTTGCCAAGTTTTTTTTGTTCTTCAAATCATTCATAGGATTGCAATGATGAATATATTTTTAAAATGATTTACATATGAGGAAAATAGACTCAGAAAGGCTTAGCAACTTACTCAAGGCCATACAATTAGATCTTCTTGTTTCCATTCCCAATGCTCTTTCTACACTACAACAATAAGTGTGCCAGATGTGAAATCATTTGTAGAATAAAACATGAATGAACCGAAAATACTAGACATCTGCTTTTGCTGTGGTCTTGGAAGAGCACATTGATTTTCCTTAAAAATCACCTTTTCCCTTCTGTCAGTTCATGTGGTTTCTATTTGGTAGGGATGGAGTTTAAATCTACTCCTCCATTCCTGTTGAGTTCCAGAGGTGGACCTATGACATGCCAGGCCAATAAGGTTCAATTCTAGGACTTCCTTTCAACTATTAGGGAACAAAGACTATTACTCATTGGAATTGAATAGGGTAGATGTTTAGCCTCAAGATACAGAAGGTGTCCATATAGAAAAAGCTCACCGGATAGTAAAGCCATTATTGAAGAAAGCAGAGCCAATAGACTGAAAGCAACAAAGTCTTTTCAAAGAATCCTAGATCCAGCCATACCTGCAGCTAAATGATCCTGGATTTTGAGTGACAAGAGCCAAAACACTCTCTTTGAATTAAGAGAGCATGACTTGGGTTTCTAACATTTCTCACTAACAGAGCCCTGACAAAATTATTTTGTAAATAAACCTGGATAATAAATACATAAAGTTGACTTCAAGTCAATATTTTCCAAGATTGGATCCCAAAGCAGCACTACTCATACAATCCTAGCATTAGCAACAAGTATATGATTTTTAGCAGAAACATTCTTTAGAGTCTCAGTTTTCTCAATGAAATTGAGGGATTTGACCAGATAGGTTGAGTACTGATATAGTTTGGATATTTGTTCCCTCCAAATCTCATGCCAAAATGTGATTCCCAATGTTGGAGGTGGGGCCTGATGGGAGAAGACTGGGTAATGGGGGCACGTCCCTTGTGAATGGCTTACCACCACCCCCTTGGTGATAACTGTGTTCTTGTTCAGTTAGTTCATGCAAGATCTGGTTGCTTAAAATTGTGGCACCTCCCCCATCTGTTGCTACCACTCTTGCCACATGATGCACTTGCTACCTTCCACCACGATTGTAAGTTTCCTGGCACTCTCACCAGAAGCCAAACAGATGTTGGTGCCATGCTTGTACAGTCGCAGAACTGTGAGCCAATTAAATCTCTTTCCTTTTTTTTTTTTTTTTTGAGACGGTGTCTCGCTCTGTTGCCGGCCTGGAGTGCAGTGGCATGATCTCGGCTCACTGCAACCTCCACCTCCTCCCGAGTTCAAGCAATTCTCCTGCCTCAGCCTCCCATGTAGCTGGGACTACAGGCAGGCGCCACCACACCCAGCTAATTTTTGTATTTTTAGTAGAGACGGGGTTTCACCATGTTGCTCAGGATGGTCTTGATCTCTTGACCTTGTGATCCACCTGCCTCAGCCTCCCAAAGTGCTGGGATTACAGGTGTGAGCCACCACGCCCGGCCTAAATCTCTTTTCTTTATCAATTACCTGTCTCAGATATTCCTTTATAATAATGCAAAAAGCTGACTAATACAAGAGCTAAAATTATCTTCCAGTATTTACTTGGTAGATTCTATCAAGACTCTTCCTGTCTTTGTGAGGTCTTTCAGTGGCAAGAACTTGAAATTTTAAAATGTTAATACATTTGAGAAAATATATATTTGTATTTTTAATTTGTGAATTCCAATATTTTATTATACTAATATTTAATCCACTCAAGGTACATTTTGATATTCAGTTACCATTAGTGCTTCTTGACTATGATGTGTCACAGATTTAGAAAGCAGAATTTTAAAACTTTTTCTTCAGAATTTGTCATACACATAGTTATTCTAACATAGATTCCTCTTTACAAAAACTGTAATCATAGATCATAATTATCATCTGTAATAATAGGGCTGTTATTACTACAAATGCATAATTGCTTTTTTTTTTCTTGGGGCTAATTTTCCTTGAATATTTATAGCATGTGATTTATAAATCATGACATCTGGTTAATGTAGGAGCCTTGAAGGTGCTGTTCTGATGGCTCAGATTCTTTTGATATTTATTCTGTTCTTTCTGTGCTTGTGAAACTAAATTCTCTTGTTTTTATTTATTTTGGCAGAAAACTCCCTAGACTCGATTCTGATCTTTATTACTTCCCTGTAAAAAATTTTCCCCTTGGTATATGGATTGAATATTGTGGATATCATCTCTGTGCTGGCGAGAGTTACTTCCATCCTTCATTTTCTATTCCCTTTTCTGACATTGGGAATAGAATGGTATATTTTTAAGTTTTTTCTGCTACCGAGGTGCCATATATGCCAGATATTTACTTGAAACATGCCTAAGCTTTCATTCTCTTACGACCTCTGATTATGTAGCAATTGGCCTTAGAGTGTATAATAGCTGCTGACAACTTGTTTTTCAATTTAACATTAGCCTCAGAGATTTTGCATGTTTAATAATAAATCTCCATATGTATCAAACCCAACAAAATGTTGCAATTCACATCTTCTTTTCTTTTCCCATGTATACAATCCATTTGTATATGTTGTTTACCTTTTAGGAAAAAAAAATGTTGGATGGCAATTTGTGTCATGATCTGTCATGGTTTTTAATACTCTGTGATTTCTAAATTTTGGTTATTTGTTGTTTCTTTAAAAGTCGACCCTTAATAAAGTTGACCCTTTAATTTAGCATCTAAAATGTGTATTTTGTCAATCAATTTAAATTTGATTGTGAGAAAAAAATAAGTGTAATGTTTACAATAGGATATCAACAATACAACATATTTTCTGTTTACAAGTTTTACATAACAGAATTATTATGACTATTATAAAATATGGCAAGCACATACTTGTAAATGCAATACTTCAGAATGGTATTAAACAACAATGAAAAGGTCTACCAGCCCATGCAAACTTCTTGCTCCTTAAAGGTAAACTTTTTTTGTACACTTATGATTTGTGCTTGTGAGAATTATTATAATAATAAATAATGTTTTTACAAGTATTTCTTAATTTATCAGATTTAGATAGAATCAAATGACTCCCTATTAAGTTACTGACTTCTTCCTGAGTCTTATTAGTTTTATTAATTATTTTTAGTTTTCCCCCTAATTAACTTAACGCTTTTCATATTCACACTTCTATTAATTGCTCCATCAACATTTCACTATGTGAGATGAAAACATTTCATGTCCCTTTATTAGCCTCCATCTTCTGAATTATCAGCTATGTAATTACTTTTAAATGTGTATAAACTCATATTTGTAACTATTAAGTTGATTTTGTTTCATTCTTTGCTTACAGTGTGATTCTAAACACTTGATACTAATAAACAGAATTTGTAATAGTTGGCTTAAATAAACATTATTTGTTGAAAAACATTATTATAATTAATTTGTAGAGAAGGAAGTACAAGTCTATCTCTAAACATGTCCATTAAAGGAGAATGTTTTGGACCTCAAGGTTAAATAATGCTTAATTCTTATACTCCATTCACTGTAAGTTTCAGTTTGTTTCATATTGGGACCAGGAACTTTCTGGTAAATATATTTACCTTTTCTAAAGCTTTTAAAGATAAATTTTACTTTGCTCTTGCACTCCTAAGATTAATTTGCCACAAAAACTGCTAAAGTGATGGTTTGAACGTATACATCTGATAATGTCACTCTCCATTCAAAAATTTCCCATCACCCCTGGGATAAAATTTTACATCCTAACTCTTGCTGATATGTCCCTATGAGATCTACCTCCTGTTTACGTCTCTGACCTTATCTTCTGCAATGCTCCTTATTGGCTGTTTCAGCCACAGTAGCCTTCTTGAAGTTCTGTGGGACATTCAACATTTTTCCACCTCAGGGATGTTTTTACTTGACTTTCTGTTTACATGGAGTATACTTCCCACAGATTTTCACAGGACATTCTACGTCCCTCCAACATCAAATTCTCCAATAAGCCTTTCCTCACATCCGACTTCAAATAGTCTCCAGCCCTCACCTTCAACATAACTTTATACTTCTTTGTTTTTCCTTTTGGCAGCTGTCAATCCATTATATTATATTACGCATTACAAGAATACCTCAGAGATACTGTGGGTTTGGTTTCAGACCACTGCAATAAAGTAAATATTGCAATAAAGCAAGTCGAATGAATTTTTTTTGGTTTCCAAGTGCATATAAAAGTTATGCTTGCAATATACTGTAGTTTATTAAGTGTGCAACAGCATTATGCCTAAAAATACAAAATACATATTTTGTATTTGGTTTAATTAAAAACACTTTATTGCTAAAAACTGCTAATGATCATATGAGCCCTCAGCAAGTAGTAATCTTTTTACTGGTGGAGGGTGTTGCCTTGATGTTGATGGCTGCTGATGTATCCGAACGTTGGGGTGGCTGTGGCAATTTCTGAAAATAAGACAACAATAAAGCTAGCCACACTGATTGACTCTTCCTTTCATGACAGATTTCTTTGAACCATCAATGCTGTTTGACAGCATTTTACCCACAGCAACAAGAACTTCTTTCAAAACGGGAGTCATTCCTCTCAAACTCTGCCACTGTGTTAACAACTAAGTTGATGTTTGTTGCACTGTCAACAATGTGCGTAGCATCTTCACTAGGAGTAGATTTCATCCTCAAGAAACCACTTTCTTTGCTCATCCATAGAAGTAACTCCTTGTCCATTAAAGTTCTATCATGAGATTACAATAATTCAGCCCCATCTTCAGGCTCCACTTCTAATTCTAGTTCTCCTGCGACTTCCACCACATCTGCAGTTACTTTTTCCACTGAAGTCTTGAACCCCTCAAAAGCATCCATGAGAGCTGGAATTAACTTCTTCCAAACTCCTGTTAACATTGAAATTTTGACCTCCTCCCATGAAATACAGATGTTCCTAATGGCATCTAAAAATAGTGAGTCATTTCCAGAAGATTTTCAATTTACTTTATCCAGATCCATCAGAGAAATTACTACCTAAGGCAGCTATAGCTTTATGAAATGTAGTTTTCCGAAATAATAACATTGAAAGTCAAAACTTCCTTCTTGATCTATGGGCTGCAGAATGGATGTTTTCTAAGCAGGCACGAAAATAACATTAATCTCCTTGTATGTCTCCATCAGAGCTCTTGGGTGACTAAGTGCATTGTCAATGAGCAGTATTATTTTGAAAAGAATCTTTTTTTCTGACCAGTAGGTCTCAATAGTAGCCTCAAAATATTTAGTAAACCAGGCTATAAACAGATGTGCTGTCATGCAAGCTTTGTTGCTTCATTTAAAGAGCAAAGGCAAAGTAGATTTAGCATAATTCTCAAGGGCCCTAGGATTTTCAGAATGGTAAATGAGAATTGGCTTCCTTTTAAAGTCACCAGCTGCATTAGCCCCTACAGAAAAGTCAGCTTGTCCTTGGAAGGTTTGAAGCCAGACACTAACTTCTCTCTACTTATGAAATTTCTAGAAGAATCTTCTTCCAATAGAAGTATGTTCCAACTACATTGAAAATGTGTTGTTTAGTTTAGCTACCTTCATCAATTATCCTAGCTAGATCTTCTGGATAACTTGCAACAGTTCTATATCAACACTTGCTGCTTTGCCTTGCACTTTTATGTTACAGAGATGGTTTCATTCTTTAAACTTCATAAAGCAATCTCTGGTAGCTTTAAAATTTTTGACTGCAGTTTCTTCAACTCTCTCAGCCCTCATAGAATTGAAGAGAGGGCCTTGCTCTCCATCAGACTTTGGCTTAAGGGAATGTTGTGGTTTGATCTATCCAGACCACTAAAACTTTATCCCTATCAGTAATAAGGCTGCTTCACTTTCTTCTCATTGTAGAGTTCAATGGAGTAGCACTTTTATTTTTCTTCAAAATACTCCCTTTGCATTTACAACTGGGCTGTTTGGCACAAGAGGCTTAGTTTACAGTCAATCTCAGCTTTTTACACGCTTTCCTCACTGAGTTTTATGAGCTAAATCATTTCTAGCTTTGATTTAAACGCCAGAGATATGCGACTCTTCCTTTCATTTGAACACTTAGAGACCATTGTAAGGTTATTAATTGGCCTAACTTCAATCTTATTGTGCCTTAGGGAATAGTGAGACCTGAGGAGAGAGAAATGGAGGAATGGCTGATTGGTGGAACAGTCAGAAAACACACAACATTGATCAATTAAGTTTACCATCTTACATGGGCATTGTTCATGGCATCCCAAAACTGTTATAATAGTAACATCAGAGATCATCAATCACAGATCAATATCAAAATGTAATAATAATAAAAAATTAAATATTGCCAGAATTACCAAAATGTGACACAGAGATATGAAGTAAGTGCATACTGTTGAAAAAATGGCACTGATAGATTTGCTCAATGCAATGTTGCCAAAAACCTTCAGTTTGTAAAAAACGCAATACCTGTGAAGAGCAGTAAAGAAGCATGCAATAAAAATGAGTATCCCTGTATTTGTTTATTGTCTTTCTCTTAGATGCTACGTCCATAGAAGGACAAGGCCTTTACTCACTCATTATAGATGCTATATTCTCAGTTTGTCCTTTTCTTCAAAATGAATCTACTCAATGAATATTCTTTGAAGAATGAATGAAAGCAATAAGCTCACCATATCACCAAGATCAAAGCTGTTCACTCCAATTTTCAGCAATGATGAAAATATTCTATGTTTGTGTTGTCCAATACAGTAGCCACCAGCCATATGTGGCTATTGAGCACTGGAAATGTGGCTAGTGTGCCTGAGGAACCAAATTATAAATTGTATTTAAGTTTCATTAATTTCAATTTAAATCTCAGTAAGCACATGTACCTAGTAGCTACCTTTAGATGCTCTAGTTTCACAATCACACTATCTGTTGAACAAAACCCATACTGTTCTTATATTTAAATACACTCTTGTGAAGGCCTAAGACTATATTTCTGATTTAAATCAATCGTTCTCAGGGCACTTTGCATGATTATTCTCCTGGAATTTCTTTTCTTTGTGCTTATATATCACTTTTCTGAAAATCCACAACTTTCTATTCCATGGATTCTTTTTTTTTTATTTCAATCATGATTTCAGGAAAACAGAGTTTCTTATTCCTGCACATGTTTAAACAGTTCTTCTTTGGTTTTTATTTTTTGACTCTCACTCTAGATAGTTTGGCTGGGATTTTTTTCTTTTTTTTCTTTTTAATGGCAACCTGTTCTTATTTTATGGATGCAGTATCTTTCCCCCTCTCTTTGAGAACATCAAATAGAATTTTTTAAAGGGGTTTTCTTACATTTTCTGAATAAATTTTATGGTGATTAGTTTTGTTTTTACTCCTTGTTACTTCTCTTTTGTGGCCTTTTAATCAAAATATGGTAAACTTTATTGTCTCTTCACCATCTCTAGAGCTGCATCCCTTAATGAGATAGCTGACTAAGGGCTGTTGGCTGGCAGTTTTAACTTTAGGGTGCATTAATGGATTTGCACAAGCAAGTCTATCCATGCAAAAAATAAGGAAGCTTCACTCTTGTGTGACAGCATACACATTAGCTCTATTGCTTTTCAGGTACCTTGATTTACTTCTTTAGAAAGCCTGCTTCCCCTTTTGCCCTGAGGATATATGTCATCATTTCCAGTGGCTCTGAAATATGAGAAAGAAGTGAGTAGGGTAGGCAACACAGGTTTGGTAGAAATTCCTCCACTCAGTCACTCTGATTTCTTTGTGCCTTCTTAGTTCCATTCTGTCTGCTGATTCAGAATTTCTTTGTTTCTAGAAGAGTGGCTCCCAACTGTTTTTCTTGTGGATTTTTTGAGCTGTATGTCCTGCCTTTCTGGTTCATCAACCCATTCAAAACAATTCACTTTCTATTTGCACATATTCACCAAAATCTCTAGAGTTCTCTCCTGTTATTATCAATGCCAATTCATATGCATTGCATTTTGTGCACTGCCACTATGATTTCAGTAGAATTATGGGAGTGAGGTAAGTTTTTGTCTTGCCCTTATTAATGGTTATGTATAGTTTGTAATGCTGGTTATGTGTATTGTGAAAATTGGTAATACTAGCAGTTTGTTTTAATTCTACCTGTTTTGGAAAAGTTCCTTTTGTCATCATTATACTACTTACTCTGAAGTCCTCAAAGTTTCTTATTCATCTTTATGCATGCTATGCACTCATTGAAAATAAATTGTTATTTCCAATACTTTTTAAATGATGACACATATTTTGTTCTTAACTGCATGCATGTCTCACACATATTGGTTACTTTACTGGCAATTTATATAAGTTATCAATAAGCACTATTTTAATTCTGTAAAACAAATGTTTTAAAGTGTATAAATAATATATTTTGGCTTATCATTAGTATGTGTAGAAATGTTCAATATAACAAAGACATTCATGTTCTAACTCTGGATTTTCTTTGTAAGTCCAGGGATACAGTGGACCATGACACTTATTTTTATTTAACATATATCAAATATTACATGCAGATTGTCCATATATATTGACACCTTGTACTGCTTCCTAAAAGCACTTGAGTTTAAAGGCCTGGACATATTTTATCACACACTTTTCAAGTATTGCTTTACTTCTATTTTATTTTCTGAAACACATTAATATTTCCTTATACATGTGTATGCATGCATAGAGACAATTATATATGTAGAAGGTGGAGGTGTAGCAGAAAGTATAGAGAATGGGGGAAAGGGGGAAAGACAAAACACTCATAGCATTGGGAGAGATAGGAAATAACCATGAAGGGAAAACAGTAAATAATGTCTCAGAAGATTTACTCATTGACTGAATGGAAAGTAGCTAGGGGCCTGGTAGAAGGTTGACTCTTTAGGTAGAAACTGAGATGAAAACTGTCAATCCTGAGACTGTCTTTGGAAGCCCAGTAGCTGAGTATATGACCATATCACAAGAGGGGAAGTTCTGTTTCAGCTAGATGCCTGTGGATATGGGAAAGCCTGACATTTCTGCTACAGACAAATATGCCTTCAGCTGGAAAAGGATCTTCCATCCACCTCACATGTGCAGAACCTAGGAATCAAATGGCCTGTCTTCCTCTACCCATGCCTATGTTTCAGTAGAAAGGTTCAACACTAGAAAAGAAAATCTTATTAATATGTTAGATTTATTAATCTTATTTATATTGATTGCCGGATCTACTTTACTTGTCCTGCCCCTGTGCTTAGGGAACCCTCCATCTTGTGTCTACAAAGAAAAGTTAAGTGGAGTTGATCAAAGGAGACTGAGCTGAACCACCAGAGCAGGTGGCTCCTTGAAAGCAAATATAGCTAAAGAATAGATGAGTCATGAAAAATGTGTGATGAGAATTCTTAAGGGATTATAATGAGATATTAAGAAAGAAAAAGGAAAACATCCTAAAGAAAATTTTTTAAAACTCAATGCTCATTTTAAAACATATGCACAAGCTATCTTAAAATCACAGGAGAATGGAAACTCCTGTGTGAAGGTATGAAATATAAAGGGGATAGATTCAGCATATCTAGCATGCACACTCTGAGTTTCGGCAGGAGAGAAATAAAAATGAGGAGGAGTAATGTTCAAAGAAATAACTGAAGAAAACTACCCTGAAGTGGAGAAAAAGTGAGTTTTCTATTCTCAGGGATACATGGCAAGCTGGTCAGAATTAATATTAAAAAGACATATTCTTAGACATATATCGGGAACATATAAGATAAAAGAGACCATCTTATACATTTCCAGATAGAGATGGTAGGGTAATATTAATGTCCCTGGTTAATAATAGGTTCTATATCCCAGGCCAATAAAGAGCTAGGGACACAAGCAGGCAATTGTCAGAAAAAGAGATGAAAATGGCTAATGAACATATAAAATAATGCCAGGCATCTCACATAGTCAAGTTATAAAAATTAAAACAATAATCAGGTGCTTTTACAAATAATTGTATTGGAAAATATTAAAATGATACCCAGCAGATACAGCTAAGTAAAATCAATGGGCACTCTTATTCGTTCAGAAGAATTCTAAATTGCTACAACACTTTGGAAAGTAATTTTCAGTATTTAAAAAAAATCACATGACCTTTGTGATGTGAAATCACAAACTGATGTCAAATTCTTTGACTCATGAATTACACTTCTATGAATCTATCCTATGATAATAAAAGTATGACCTGGATATAAATTATAGCATAGTTTCAATAGATTGAAAGGTTAAGTAAAAGAGAATACACTCATATAATAGAGGGCAGACACAAAAATAAAAGAGAAATATTTGTATGTACTATACTAATCTGGAAAATAACACAGTTTTAGCAGAGGTTATCACCCCATAATATCCATTATTTAATTTTTATACTTTAAGAGAAATAATCGTTTTATTTAAAAATTTTAATTGAGATATAAATTCACACACCATAAACTTCCACTGTTTTAAAGGATTTTCAGTTCTGTGATTTTTAGTAGATTTACAAAGTTATGCAATGATCACTACCTAGTAATGTTTTAAAATGCACTCAGGATTTGCTTTGAACCTGTATAGTAAGACACACTGATATTGTTTGGCTCTGTCCCCACCCAAATCTCATCTTGAATTGTAGTTCCCATAATCCCCATGTGTCCTGGGAGGGACCTGGTGGAGGTAATTGAATCATGGAGGCAGTTACCCTCATGCTGTTCTCAAGATAGTGAGTGAGTTCTTAAAAGATCTGATGGTTTTATAATGGGCTTTTCCATACTGCTTCACTCTGCACTTCTCCTTGCTGTGCCATGTGAAGAAGGACATGCTTGCTTCCCCTTCCTGTCATGACTGTAAGTTTCCTGAGGACCCCCCAGCCATGCTGAGCTGTGAATTAAACCTCTTTCCTATGTAAATTACCCAGTCTCAGGTATGTATTTATTAGCAGCATGGTAATAGACTAATGCACATACATACTTGAAAATGACAGTCATGAAGGAAGTTTTCATATTCACAGATCTTTAGAAACAAAAGGGTCACACGAGGAAGCACCAGGATTGATCAGAAGGCAGAGAGTGTGGGGAAAACTTGGACAAAATCCTCTCTTGTGGTTTTTTCAGGAAGGAATGGGTGAAGCAGGGTGTAAGCAGGCTAAGTAGGTTTAAGGTTGGATAATTTGAATAATTTCAGTGGGCTTCAGAATGTAGGGGCTGGCCCTAGTTTTCCTATACCTGGGGTGATTAGGACAGGGTAATATTAGCTTGGTGTATTAGAGCTCAGTAAAGGAGGTGGTTTGGGACCTATGAGCTTTGGCGTGGGTGGTTTGCATATGAAAGGCACACTCGATTTAATTAAACTAAAGAGCTTCTGCACAGCAAAAGAAACTACCATCAGAGTGAACAGGCAACCTACAAAATGGGAGAAAATTTTCGCAACCTACTCGTCTGACAAAGGGCTAATATCCAGAATCTACAATGAACCCAAACAAATTTACAAGAAAAAAACAAACAACCCCATCAAAAAGTGGGTGAAGGATATGAACAGACACTTCTCAAAAGAAGACACTTATGCAGCCAAAAAACACATGAAAAAATGCTCACCATCACTGGCCATCAGAGAAATGCAAATCAAAACCACAATGAGATACAATCTCACACCAGTTAGAATGGCAATCATTAAAAAGTCAGGAAACAACAGGTGCTGGAGAGGATGTGGAGAAATAAGAACACTTTTACACTGTTGGGACTGTAAACTAGTTCAACCATTGTGGAAGTCAGTGTGGCGATTCCTCAGGGATCTAGAACTAGAAATACCATTTGACCCAGCTATCCCATTACTAGGTATATACCCAAAGGACTATAAATCATGCTGCTATAAAGACACATGCACACGTATGTTTATTGCGGCACTATTCACAATAGCAAAGACTTAGAACCAACCCAAATGTCCAACAATGATAGACTGGATTAAGAAAATGTGGCACATATACACCATGGAATACTATGCAGCCATAAAAATGATGAGTTCATGTCCTTTGTAGGGACATGGATGAAATTGGAAATCATCATTCTCAGTAAAGTATCACAAGGACAAAAAACCAAACACCGCATGTTCTCACTCATAGATGGGAATTGAACAATGAGAGCACATGGACACAGGAAGGGGAACATCACACTCTGGGGACTGTTGTGGGGTGGGGGGAAGGGGGAGGGATTCCATTAGGAGATATACCTAATGCTAAATGACGAGTTAATGGGTGCAGCACACCAGCATGGCACATGTATACATATGTAACCAACCAGCACATTGTACACATGTAACCTAAAACTTAAGGTATAATAATAATTAAAAAAAAAAAGGCACACTCACAGGTGAGCCCTTTGTTATCTCTGGAATTGGGCAGCCCTGGTAGGGGCAGTCACTCCAAGTTTAGCAAGTCTTAGATGTCAAAACATCAGAACATACAAAAAGGCAAGAAACAGAAAACATGACCACCATGATACAGACTACATTTCCCAGCCTCCCTTGTGTCTGTTCTCAAGTACAGACACAAGGAACTGTTCTTAATGTAACCTGCAAGCAGTGTTCTACCTCCTGAGGCTGGAGGTTGGGCGGACGGGATAGATGGAACTATGACAACATGTTGGACTATGAGTTTGAAGTTCTATGTTGAAAAGAGTGGAAAAATGACATAGAAGGAACCTGGCCACCCCCTGATTATGGACCCACCAAAAAGCTTTGTATTGCCATTTAGACTTTTATGTGAGCAAGAAACAAGTTTCTTTCTTATTTTAAGCCAGGATTCTAGTTGTTCAGTTACTCATAGTCAAACCTAAAAGAAATAGCTGTTAAATTAAAAAAAATTGCAACTAACTTGCATAGCATGATTCCATTTTTGTTCATAAAACAATATATAAGTGTAGATATAAATGTGTCTACAAACCTTTATGGAAAATTTAGGAAGTCCATCTCTGAATTATTAACAAGGGTTAGCTCTAGAGAATACAACTGGATGGCAGAAGGATAATCAGATTTTACCTTTAATAATAATTTTAACAGCAGGTTTATGATGTATTTTCACTTCTTATACTTTTTGTTTTGTTCAAATAGAAGTTAAGAAAAAGAAAAAAAAATCCATTCATTTTCATAGCCCCATTTATAAGCAACTATTGAAAAAGAACTAAATTGCAGTTAATGAACAACACAACCATGGCTACACTAAGTTGTTGCTGTTAATAATGTACTTTCTTTCATAAAATATTTGACTTTTTCCCATCCTCTTAGTTATTTCATGAATCATAAACAAGGCTGATAGTTTATATTATTGTTATATATAGATGATGCATACAAACACAGAAATAGTTATAAGTATCAAAACCAAAGAAATTATGTTTCTAGAGATTTTTATGAAAGCCATACAGTAGACATCAATTACCTTCCTTTTGGGAAATGCCACATGATGATTCCAAGCTAGTCTTGTCAGTCTCTCCTTCCTTAGGGAGAGCAATGTGACATCCTGACCAGAGTATCCCATCCATCAGGATACAATGTGATATGGTTTGACTCTATGTCCCCACCCAAATCTCATCTTAAATTGTAATCCCCACATGTTGAGGGAGGAACCTGATGGGAGGTGATTGGATCACGGGGGCGGTTTCCCCCATGCTGTTCTCTTGATAGTGAAGCGTTCTCATGAGAGCTGATGGTTTTAAAGTGTGGCACTTCCTCACTCTCTCTCTCTCTCTCCTGCAGCCATGTAAGATGTGCCTTGCTTACTCTTAGCCTTCTGCCATGGTTGTAAGTTTCCTGAGCCCTCCCCAGTGATGCAGAACTGTGAGTCAATTAAATCTCTTTTCTTCATAAATTATCCAAAACATATAAAATAAGTAGTATCTGGGGTTGGGGAGGGCTACTTTAGATTTAGGTAGGTTTTTGAAAGACAGCCTTGTGAGGACATGAGGGAAGGTCAGGGCAATCAACAAGAACACAGGAAAGCCCCAAAGCAACAGAGAGATTGGCTTGTAGAAGGCACAAAGCTGGTCTGGGGCATTGTGGATTAGCAGGGGTGAAGGGGAGATCACATCTGAAAGGTAAGCAGGATACAGATCATCTCATATGCCAAAGTGAAGACTGGATTTTTGTTGTTGTTTTTCCTAAGAATTTTGCAAAACTTTTTGTATAAAGATTAATCCGGCTGCAAAAGTGAAGAATGGGTTGTGGTAGGGGCAAGACTGAAGGCAGGATGAGCAATTATGAGGTAGTTGCATTTGTCTAGGAAATATTTCTTTAATCCAAGACACTAGTGAATCACAAAGTAGACATTAATATGTTCTCTAATCAGTTCATGTAATTGTATCTAATCTGACCATTATGAGCAATGTTTTGTAAGACAAGGCTCAATTCAGAGAAGAAAAATATTGTTATGAAACATTTTCAAAAACTAATAAGTTATTACTTTACAAAATCAGAGTATACACAATTTAAAACTAGATATTTGTATTTTATTATTTCTGTGTCATTGAAGAGGTGCTTTATGGACAAAATTTGGAAATTACAAAACTAGTATTTACTGCAATTCCTTTCTTTAATGCTAACCACTGAGGTTACCATTTGAAGTAGGTTTGTTTTGTTTTTCCATGATTGGCTTATCAAGGTTCTAAACTGCAGCATGACTTTTCTCATAATGTCCCTGGATAATATGTCCTTTTTTAAAAGAGAGATGTTGCCTATTTTAAGAGAGATATCTTTAACACATACAAAATACACTCCTCATTCCATTATATTTGGAACTAGATTCTTTCTAAGTCATTGATGGGATTCAAACTTGATTTAGCAAGAGGTTTTCTCCCTTCAGGCCAACTTCCCTGCCAACCTGTGTTTCCTTTCTGCTTTCTTGGCTAGTTCTCAATTTCTTAATTAGGAAAAGAAGTAGATGCCTGTAATTAGACTGAAGGCTGGGCCTCCTTAGCAATTAAGATTTTTTCTGTAGCAAAGATATGGAGACTACACCAAAGAACCAGTAGCATTATTTTGTTTTATCTTATAAAAATAGTACATTTACATGTTATGTAATTAAAACTTTCATCATTTGATAAACACAGTCTTCCACATTTTCTGCGTGGAGGTAGCTTGTGTGAAATATTTTCTGAGTCTGTTAGCAATCAACTCTATGACCTAGGAACATTGTTTCATTTAAGAAGAATAATTTGAAACATTACAGTTAACATGAGGAAAGCTTTTGTTTTTGTTTTAGCAACTTTATTTAGCTGACATATAAGAAGTAATTATATTAATTATATATCCTCTTTTAGGGAAATAACTAGTTTCTCCATTTGGGGAACAAGCTAAGAAATCTCAGTATATTCTCTCTTGATTCTTATTCTCTTTAAGCAGCCTTTTTCTTTGCTCAAGTCCCTCCAGTAGCTTTGTATTTCCTTTCCAGACTTGTATTCCCCAGAGAATGTCCTGGAATTTCTTGCAATGAGATATACTCTATATTAAATAAATCATTAAATCACAGAAACTGTAGCTAATGGAAGACATGTTTGTGTACTATCATTTCAGTGTAATGGAATAGTTCAGCCATTAGGTATATAAAATAGTGACAAAGTCACAGAGGTGCTATAGCTCGTTGTATTTATGGAGAGCCATACTAAACACAACAGCATGTTATATATAATATATGGCTATGCTAGAATAAAAACTAAACCTATTTCAAAAGAATCATGCTTGTTAATGTGCAGGAGAAAGGTCAACACATTATTTTCAGGGCTAAGAATCCCAAAACAGCAATTGCATGTAAATGAAAGGAGAAAAAAAATCACTGATGTCTTTGTTTGACAATTGTGATGAGAGAAAAATGAATAAATATACCAACAGTGATTGATATAACCCAATGAAAATGTCAATGAATTTACATCATTCTGTTGCTTTATCTCAATCACAAGTGGACTAAGGTGTGCCTACTTTTACTTCTCAGGCCCAGAAAACAGAAGACTGTGCTCTATTTCTGTATTCATTTCACAACTAGGATTGAATGCCATAAAATACAAGATACAGACTAGATAATGTGGGGGAATATAAAGATGAATTTGCTGTGGTCTTACTTTCAAGTTGATTCTGGTCTATGTAGAAAGGCATGTACCTAAATAATTATAATATAGAGAGTTAAAAGTTCAGAGGAGAAACACAGCTAAAATATGATTGCTGCACAAAGGTAGGAGAAATTGCAAAAGTATAGAGAAGCACAATTATGAGAAGAGCTTCTAATTTTATATAAATGTGACTGACATTAGAAAGTGTTAAAATTTAGAATTGAGCTTGAAGTCCTTGAAAAATTAGGTTCCTTCTTTCCTTTCCTTTCTCATTTCTTTCCTTTCTTTTCACTCTTTTCCTCTCCTTTCCTTCCTTTTTGTCTTTTATTGACATTTTCCTTCATCTATATGTACTTACTGCTTAATGTGTGTTTAGCAATATGGTAGGGACCAAGATAAATAAAATAAAGTAGGTCCTCAACAGATCATGGTCTCACCATCTTAATATACCCCCATCTTAATATCACACAGGATTTCCCCCTCTATTTCTTGAATGTATTCTTCCTGGTACCATTCATATACTTCTTGGTGACATCATTCCAAGCCCAAGCAAGGCTCTCGATGCAGTCAGAGATGTTTTAATTCTTGCAGAATTGCATCAGTGTCTTCCCAGTGTTTTCCTTGGTTGCTGCAATAGCCTGAACAAAGATCCTTCTCAGGTCATAGGCCTTAAAAGCTATTAACTCCTTGATTCATTAGTTGGGTTAAAGATTTGGTGTTTGGACGAAGAGACACCACTTTAATATGGGGATGAAGATCACAAATAAAAAAAAGGATGTGTGGGAGCATTATCAACAATAAGCAACATCTTGAAAGATACATTATTTCCACACAGCATTTCTCCATTTTGCTGGCATAGCAATTCAAGAGGGCATCTTGGAAGAGGGACTGGGTCATCCACATATTCTTATTGTCCCTGCAGTAAAATGGATGTCTGTGCTTACTGATATGCTCAAGACTTTAGGGTTCTTACTGTGAGAGATCATAAAATGTTTTGATTTTTAGCCTGCAACATTTCCCCCAAGCAAGACTGTTATCCTGTCATTAAAAGCCTTGAAACCTGGAATTGACTTGGCCTCCTACAGATGAAAGTCCTTTCTGGTATCTGTTTCCAGAATAGGGAGGTTTCATCCATACTGGAGATTTGCTTTGGCAAATAATTTTCCTTCACAATCAGCTTATCTAGAGTTTTCAAAAATTCTTCAGCTGCTTTTACATGAACACTCACAGACTCACCACTCACTCTCATTTTCACATATGTAATGAATAATGATTATTGAATTTTTAAGCCCCCAGAGCTAGCAGGAAATTCAACATAGATGGGTCCAGACTTTTATTTTATTTTATTTATTTTATTTTATTTTATTTTATTATTTTGGAGACAGAGTCTCGCCTTGTCGCCCAGGCTGGAGTGCAGTAGCATGATGCTCGGCTCACTGCTACCTCTGCCTCCTGAGTTCCAGTTTTTCTCCTGCCTCAGCCTCCTGAGTAGCTGGGACTACAGGTGTGTGCCACAATGCCCACCAGCCTTTTATTTCAACATTGTAAACAAACTTTTTGCTTTGGCCAAGATGATCAGGGTTCTGAGAGAGCTACATTTCTGTGTCTGGTGTTCAATCCAGAGTCATTCGAGGTTTCTTCACATCTGATATAGGCCCTTCTTCAAGTTTTGTTAGTCTTGCTGCCTCCAATGAAGCAGATCCTTTAACAGATTCTGACATTTTGTTCTTATTCTTCAAGATCATAGCTATGGTGGAATGGGACATGCCTGACTGGTGAGCAACAATTATCAGTGATTTTCCAATTTTCTCATCTTTAATCACCTTTAGTGTTTGCAAGTCAATCACTTAATGTAGCCTCTTCCTGGCAACATTAGCAGTGGATTTTGCACATTTAGGGGCCACAAAACCACACAAGATTAAATCAAGCACAAGAGAATACGATGTAAACAAGAGGCAGTAAACACATGATGCCTGAGGCTGCTGCTGGCATAAACCACATAGTGTTTTATAGTAAACATTTTTTAATAAATAGGAGTACACTCTGAAATTAATGATAAAATGTATAGTTAGCTAATACACAAACCAGTAACATAGTCATTTATTATCAAGCATTATGTACAGTGTATAATTGTATATGCTAGACTTTTACATGCCTAGCAGTGCAGTATGTTTGTTTATGCCAGCATCATCACCCACAAGTGAGTAATACTTTGCACTATATTAGGATGGCTAGGATGTCACTGGGTGATAGGAGTTTTCCAGCTCCATTATAATCCGATGGCTTCACCTTCGTATGTGCAATCCACCATTGACATAAAATAGTTATGGGGTGCATGATTGTATATGTTTACATAAAAACCTGTATGTGATTGTTTATACAAGTTTTATCAATAATCACTCAAACTGGAAACATCCCAGGTGTCCTTCAACCACTGGATACAAAAACCAACTAGGGTGCTTGCGTACAAAGGAATATTACACAACAACAAAAAATATGGATGAATTTCACATGCATTCTGCTAAGAGAATGAAGCCAAATCCAAAGGCTACATATTGCATAATTCTATGTATAGAACAATCTGAAATAGAGCTCTTCTGTAGAGAAGAATTCTAATTGACAAATACAGAAGGCAAGAGAGAAATAGGAAAATCAACATTCAAATACAAAAGAAAATTATGGATGGATGATAAAATTAGTGCACAAAAGTTTGAGAAGAAATAGGATATTTGCAAAGCCTAAATTATCCCTCCCCAAAATATATATTTTTTACAAAAAGGGAAAAATAACTTTATAGTGTAGTAATCTAGAAGATACTCTCTTAATCAAGTGCTCCATGCTAACATCCTCACGAATAAAGCATGTGGGCATCATGTGCCCCCTGATACAATGCACTGAGAACGGTGTATAATTTCTGTGATGCCACTGCCAAAAATGCATAACCATAATCTAATCATTAGAAAACAAGACACACCCAGGAGGAGCCAAGATGGCCGAATACGAACAGCTCCGGTCTACAGCTCCCAGTGTGAGCCACACAGAAGACGGGTGATTTTGCATTTCCAACTGAGGAACCGGGTTCATCTCACTGGGGAGTGCCAGACAGTAGGTGCAGGACAGTGGGTACAGCGCACCGTGCATGAGCCAAAGCAGGGCGAGGCGTCACCTCACCCGGGAAGCACAAGGGGTCAGGGAATTCCCTTTCCTAGTCAAAGAAAGGGGTGACAAACGGCACCTGGAAAATTGGGTCACTCCCACCCTAATACTGTGCTTTTCCAATGGGCTTAAAAAATGGCACACCAGGAGATTATATCCCACACATGGCTTGGAGGGTCCTACGCCCACAGAGTCTCGCTCATTGCTAGCACAGCAGTCTAAGATCCAGCTGCAAGGCGGCAGTGAGGCTGGGGGAGGGGCGCCACCATTGCTGAGTTAGTTGTTTGATTAGGTAAACAAAGCAGCTGGGAAGCTCGAACTGGGTGGAGCCCACCACAGCTCAAGGAGTCCTGCCTGCCTCTGTAGGCTCCACCTCTGGGGGCAGGGCACAGACAAAAAGACAGCAGTAACCTCTGCAGACTTAAATGTCCCTCTCTGACAGCTTTGAAGAGAGTAGTGGTTCTCCCAGCACGCAGCTTGAGATCTGAGAACAGGCAGACTGCCTCCTCAACTGGGTCCCTGACCCCCAAGTAGCCTAACTGGGAGGCACCCCCCAGTATGGGCGGACTGACACCTCACACAGCCGGGTACTCCTCTGAGACAAAACTTTCAGAGGAACAATCAGGCAGCAGCATTTGCGGTTCACCCACATCTGCTGTTCGGTAGCCACCGCTGCTGAAACCCAGGGAGACAGGGTCTGGAGTGGACCTCTAGCAAACTCCAACAGACCTGCATCTAAGGGTCCTCTCTGTTAGAAGGAAAACTAAAAAACAGAAAGGACATCCACACCAAAAACCCATCTGTACATCACCATCATCAAAGACCAAAGGTAGATAAAACCACAAAGATGGGAAAACAACAGAGCAGAAAAACTGGAAACTCTAAAAAGCAGAGCACCTCTCCTCTTCCAGAGGAATGCAGCTCCTCACCACCAATGGAACAAAGATGGACGGAGAATGACTTTGATGAGCTGACAGAAGAAGGCTTCAGACGATAAAAGTACTCCGAGCTACAGGATGAAATTCGAACCAATGGCAAAGAAGTTAAAAGCTTTGAAAAAAAAGTAGACGAATGGATAACTAGAATAACCAATGCAGAGAAGTCCTTAAAGGACCTGATGGAGCTGAAAACCAAGGCATGAGAGCTACGTGACGAATGCAGATGCTTCAGTAGCCGCTGTGATCAACTGGAAGAAAGGGTATCAGTGATGGAAGAGGAAATGAACAAAATAAAGTGAGAAGAGAAGTTTAGAGAAAAAAGAATAAAAAGAAATGAACAAAGCTTCCAAGAAATATGGGACTATGTGAAAAGACGAAATCTACGTCTGATTGGTGTACCTGAAAGTGATGGGGAGAATGGAACCAAGTTGGAAAACACTCTGCAGGATATTATCCAGGAGAACTTCCCAAATATAGCAAGGCAGGCCAACATTCAAATTCAGGAAATACAGAGAACTCCACAAAGATACTCTTCGAGAAGAGCAACCCCAAGACACATAATTGTCAGATTTACCAAAGTTGAAATGAAGGAAAAAATGTTAAGGGCAGCCAGAGAGAAAGGTCGGGTTACCCTCAAAGGGAAGCCCATCAGACTAACAGCTGATCTCTCTGCAGAAACTCTACAAGCCAGAAGAGAGTGGGGACCAATATTCAACATTCTTAAAGAAAAGAATTTTCAACCCAGAATTTCATATCCAGCCAAACTAAGCTTCATAAGTGAAGGAGAAATAAAATCCTTTACAGACAAGCAAATGCTGAGAGATTTTGTCACCACCAGGCCTGCCCTAAAAGAGCTCCCGAAGGAAGCACTAAACATGGAAAGGAACAACCAGTACCAGCCAATGCAAAAACATGCCAAATTGTAAAGACCATCAAGGCTAGGAAGAAACTGCATCAACTAATGAGCAAAATAACCAGCTAACATCATAATGATAGGATCAAATTCACACATAACAATATTAACTTTAAATGTAAATGGGCTAAATGCTCCAATTAAAAGCACAGACTGGCAAATTGGATAAAGAGTCAAGACCCATCAGTGTGCTGTATTCAGGAAACCCATCTTATGTGCAGAGACACACATAGGCTCAAAATAAAGGGATGGAGGAAGATCTACCAAGCAAATGGAAAACAAAAAAAGGCAGGGGTTGCAATCCTAGTCTCTGATAAAACAGACTTTAAACCAACAAAGATCAAAGGAGAAAAAGAAGGCCATTACATAATGGTAAAGGGATTAATTCAGCAAGAAGAGCTAACTATCCTAAATATATATGCACCCAATACAGGAGCACCCAGATTCATAAAGCAAGTCCCTAGTGACCTACAAAGAGACTTAGACTCCCACACAATAATAATGAGAGACTTTAACACCCCACTGTCAACATTAGACAGATAAACGAGACAGAAAGTTAGCAAGGATACCCAGGAATTGAACTCAGCTCTGCACCAAGTGGACCTAATAGACATCTACAGAACTCTCCACCCCAAATCAACAGAGTATACATTCTTTTCAGCACCACACGACACCTATTCCAAAATTGACCACACAGTTGGAAGTAAAGCACTCCTCAGCAAATGTAAAAGAATAGAAATTACAACAAACTGTCTCTCAGACCACAGTACAATCAAACTAGAGCTCAGGATTAAGAAACTCACTCAAAACCCTAAACTACATGGAAACTGAACAACCTGCTCCTGAATGACCTACTGGGTAAATAATGAAATGAAGGCAGAAATAAAGATGTTCTTTGAAACCAACGAGAACAAAGACACAACATACCAGAATCTCTGGGACACATTCAAAGCAGTGTGTTGAGGGAAATTTATAGCACTAAATGCCCACAAGAGAAAGCAGGAAAGATCTAAAATTGACACCCTAACATCACAATTAAAAGAACTAGAAAAGCAAGAGCAAACAAATTCAAAAGCTAGCAGAAGGCAAGAAATAACTAAGATCAGAGCAGAACTGAAAGAAATAGAGACACAAAAAAACCCTTCAAAAAATTAATGAATCCAGGAGCTGGTTTTTTGAAAGGATCAACAAAATTGATAGACCACTAGCAAGCCTAATAAAGAAGAAAAGAGAGAAGAATCAAATAGACGCAAATTTCCCACAGAAATACAAACTACCATCAGAGAATACTATAAACACCTCTATGCAAATAAACTAGAAAATCTAGAAGAAATGGATAAATTCCTCGACACATACATCCTCCCAAGACTAAACCAGGAAGAAGTTGAATCTCTGAATAGACCAATAACAGGCTCTGAAATTGAGGCAATAATCAATAGCTTACCAACCAACAAAAGTCCAGGACCAGATGGATTCACAGCCGAATTCTACCAGAGGTACAAAGAGGAGCTGGTACCATTCCTTCTGAAACTATTCTAATCAATAGAAAAAGAGTGAATCCTCCCTAACTCATTTTATGGGCCAGCATCATCCTGATACCAAAGCCTGGCAGAGACACAACAAAAAAAGAGAATTTTAGACCAATGTCCTTGATGAACATCGATGCAAAAATCCTCAGTAAAATACTGGCAAACCGAATCCAGCAGCACATCAGAAAGCTTATCCACCATGATCAAGTGGGCTTCATCCGTGGGATGCAAGGCTGGTTCAACATACGCAAATCAATAAATGTAATCCAGCATATAAACAGAACCAAAGACAAAAACCACATGATTATCTCAATAGATGCAGAAAAGGCCTTTGACAAAATTCAACAACCCTTCATGCTAAAAACTCTCAATAAATTAGGTATTGATGGGACGTATCTCAAAATAATAAGAGCTATCTATGACAAACCCACAGCCAATATCATACTGAATGGGCAAAAACTGGAAGCATTCCCTTTGAAAATGGGCACAAGACAGGGATGCCTTCTCTCACCACTCCTATTCAATATAGTGTTGGAAGTTCTGGCTAGGACAATCAGGCAGGAGAAGGAAATAAAGGGTATTCAATTAGGAAAAGAGGAAGTCAAATTGTCCCTGTTGGCAGATGACATGATTGTATATCCAGAAAACCCCATCATCTGAGCCCAAAATCTCCACAAGCTGATAAGCAACTTCAGCAAAGTCTCAGGATACAAAATCAATGTACAAAAATCACAAGCATTCTTATACACCAATAACAGACAGAGAGCCAAATCATGAGTGAACTCCCATTCACAATTGCTTCAAAGAGAATAAAATACCTAGGAATCCAACTCACAAGGGATGTGAAGGACCTCTTCAAGGAGAACTACAAACCACTGCTCAAGGAAATAAAAGAGGAGACAAACAAATGGAAGAACATTCCATGCTCATGGGTAGGAAGAATCAATATCGTGAAAATGGCCATACTGCCCAAGGTAATTTATAGATTCAATGCCATCCCCATCAAGCTACCAACGACTTTCTTCACAGAATTGGAAAAAACTACTTTAAAGTTCATATGGAACCAAAAAAGAGCCCACATAGCCAAGTCAATCCTAAGCCAAAAGAACAAAGCTGGAGGCAGCACGCTACCTGACTTCAAACTATACTACAAGGCTACAGTAACCAAAACAGCATGGTACTGGTACCAAAACAGAGATATAGACCAATGGAACAGAACAGAGCCCTCAGAAATAATGCTGCATATCTACAGCTATCTGATCTTTGACAAACCTGAGAAAAACAAGCAATGGGGAAAGGATTCCCTATTTAATAAATGGTGCTGGGAAAACTGGCTAGCCATATGTAGAAAGCTGAAACTGGATCCCTTCCTTACACCTTATACAAAAATCAATTCAAGATGGATTAAAGGCTTAAATGGTAGACCTAAAACCATAAAAACCCTAGAAGAAAACCTAGGCAATACCATTCAGGACATAGGCATGGGCAAGGACTTCATGTCTAAAACACCAAAAGCATGGCAACAAAAGACAAAATTGACAAATGGGATCTAGTTAAACTAAAGAGCTTCTGCACAGCAAAAGAAACTACCATTAGACTGAACAGGCAACCTACAAAGTGGGAGAAAATTTTTGCAATCTATTCATCTGACAAAAGGCTAATATCCAGAATCTACAATGAACTCAAACAAATTTACAAGAAAAAATCAAACAACCCCATCAAAAAGTGGGCAAAGGATATGAACAGACACTTCTCACAAGAAGACATTTATGCAGCCAAAAAACACACGAAAAAATGCTCATCATCACTGGCCATCAGAGAAATGCAAATCAAAACCACAATGGGATACCATCTCACACCAGTTAGAATGGCGATCATTAAAAAGTCAGGAAACAACAGGTGCTGGAGAGGATGTGGAGAAATAGGAATACTTTTTCACTGTTGGTGGGACTGTAAACTAGTTCAACCATTGTGGAAGTCAGTGTGGTGATTCTTCAGGGATCTAGAACTAGAAATACCATTTGACCCACGAATCCCATTACTGGGTATATACCCAAAGGATTATAAATCATGCTGCTATAAAGACACATGCACACGTATGTTTATAGCAGCACTATTCACAATAGCAAAGACTTGGAACCAACCTAAATGTCCAACAATGATAGACTGGATTAAGAAAATGTGGCACATATACACCATGGAATACTATGCAGCCATAAAAAATGATGAGTTCATGTCCTTTGTAGGGACATGGATGAAACTGGAAACCATCATTCTCAGCAAAATATCAGAAGGACAAAAAACCAAACACCGCATGCTCTCGCTCATAGGTGGGAATTGAACAATGAGAACACATGGACACAGGAAGGGAAACATCACACACACTGGGTACTGTAGTGGGGTGCGGGGAGAGGGGAGGGATAGCATTAGGAGATATACCTAATGCTAAATGATGAGTTAATGGGTGCAGCACACCAACATGGCACATGTATACGTATGTAACAAAGGTGCACATTGTGCACATGTACCCTAAAACGTAAAGTATAAAAAAAAAAAAACAAAAAAACATGAAGCGACAAGACAGGCCTAGCCTCCCAGTCTACATCTTTGTCCTGTGCTGGATGCTTCCTGCCCTCGAACATCGGACTCCAAGTTCTTCAGTTTGCCACTCAGATTGGCTCTCCTTGCTCCTCAGCTTGCAGATGGCCTATTGTGGGACCTTCTAATCATGTGAGTTAATACTTAATATTAACTCCCCTTTATATATATATATCCTATTAGTTCTGTCCTTCTAAGAGAACCCTGACTAATACAGCACACCTGTACAGGGACCTTCTGAATCTAACATAAAAGTTGAAATTATTTTTAAAAATTAAAAACAACAACAACAAACTTCTTTAAAACAAACAAACAAAAAAAAAAAAACAAAAAAAAGAAAACAAGACACACCCGAACTGAGGGACAGTCTACAAAATAACTGATTAGTGCACATGAAAGGTTTCAAGGTCATAAAAGACAAGGAAAGGTTGAAGAATTGTCACAGATTTGAAAATACTAATGAGACGTGATAACAAAATGCAGTGTGGGATCCTGGACTGGATCCTGGAGCAGCGAAAAGGACATTAGTGAAAAACCTGACAAAACCTGAATGAAAGTCTATAGTTTAGTATTAGGTTGATGCAAAAGTCTTTTAAGTTTTAATGGCAAAGTCATGATGACTTTTGCACCAACCTAATTAATACTACCATACTAATATTTATTTTTTGGTTTTGAAAATAATCTTATGATTATGCAAAATACTAAAATTACAGGGGAAAGTTAGTGAAGGTTATATGAGAACTGTAATATTTTTACAACTTTTTCTATAAGACTGAAATTATACCAAAATGAAAATTTGAAAAATGGCACGGTAACATATTCTGACAACAGCAGCAGCAACCACAAGAAAACTAGCATTAAAATGTCATCATTGGATTAAATGAGGACCTTACCAGATTTTCATTTGTTAATTTCATGGATTTTTTTTAACTAGAAATTGCATTAAAAGGGGGTCTGTTAAATTTTCAGTGATGAAGATTTTTACCGGTTTTTATCCAGCCCTACATAAGACCATTAGAAACTTGGTGAAGATTTCTCAGTGATGATTGATTGCCTTATCCTGCAGCCTGGCAGGTTGGTTCTTACTCTCCTGAATTCCTGGATGCGAATTCATGCCTGTAATATGGGTTTATCTACAGCCCTTCCCAATTTGGATTTATCACACTCTTTATCTAGAACAAATCATATCATGAATGATTTGGGAGAGATTTTTTATTCTTTGAAAGTCAATAAGATTTCATCCTTTAGATGGCTTTATTCAATTTTATTTAGCAGTATAAAAGAAAACATTATGTATGCATAAAAGTGCATTTATATTCTCTTCTTTTTTTGGCTCTTACTGTTTACAATGATACCTTCACACTGAGAAACTTGTTACTAGATGTTTTTACAGCTGTTACTACATAGTGTAGTCTACCCGACAATTAGCAGCATAGTTTAGGGGCAGGAGAAAACCACAGAACTAGGGAATAGGTTAGAGGTAATTCTAGGGAGGTGATTTGAATGAATGACCTTGAGAAAACCCAGATATTTAAACACTAGAAGGACAACCAATAAATTATTCCTGCATACAGAAAGAGTTTATTCTTTTCTTATAAGAAGGGAAGTGTGCTCTGGAAGAGAGAAAATAAGCCAGTGATTCCAATTATCCCTAGACCTGCTTGAACAGAGTGTGATACACAGGGTCATCAGGCTATGTCATCTAGTCACTGTTACAGTCACACTTAGTTCGTTTTCTGTTTATCAATATGTGTACATTATAATTCCACATGGCAAATAGTTCCCAGTAAATGTCCTGAGAATCCATCAAGCCTCTAGAAATTGCACAAGAATAATTTATTTTCTTGAACAACAGCAAAAAGTATTAAGGTTGGTAGAAGAGAGAAAGCACAGTAAATCACCATTTATTTTTTGAACAACAGCAAAAAGTACTAAGGTTGGTAGAAGAACAGAGAAAGTACAGAAAATTACCATTTCTTCTCTTGCTGCTGCCTCCCAGTTTTCCCTTTTCCCTTGGATTTAATCTCTTCTCATCTTCATCCTATAACTCTTTCCCTAATTAATAACAGTGCTTTTTGGGGCAGCAGCTTCTGTCATGATCTCCAGGTTCCTGAATCCTCAGTGATGTCCTCAATCTTTCTATTATTTCCTGGTCAGCTTTCTTTCACATTCTTCATGGGAGCTACTTCAAGCATTCACAAGCATCTCAATCCTCAGTCTTGCTGTCCACCTCAGCAAATGATCCTGCTTCTCACATCATTGAAATAAAGGAAGACTGCTAACTCCAGTCTTGAAAGGAAGTTGAGTGTTATAGATACCACAATCCTTTTCATATCACAGTTATTTACTTTTGTACCCATTTAGGATCAGCCTGGGCCATTGTCTTCTAGCTCCTTGCAGATTTAGAAAAAGAAGAGAAACCTGGGAGAAATGAGGAGCAAGTTTGGAGACACCATTGTCATTCATCATGAATGCAATCTAGGATTCAAGAAGAATGGTGGACAATGAAACCAGAGGAGGTAGACTCAGGGACCTGACCCAGGACGACAGGCACATTGGCTTTCTTATTCATTACTGAACACCTAATGCTTAGAAAAGTGCCTGGAACGGCAGGTGTGATGGCTCATGCCTGTAATCCTAGCACTTCCCGTGGCCAAGACAGGTAGATCACTTGAGGTCAGGAGTTTGAGACCAGTCTGGCCAACACGGCGAAACCCCATCTCTACGAAAAATACAAAAATTAGCCAGGCATGGTGGTATGTGCCTGTAGTCCCAGCTACTCAGGAGGCTGCCGCAGGAGAATTGCTTGAACCAGGGAGGCAAAGGTTGCAGTGAGCCCAGATCTTGCGACTGCACTCCAGCCTAGGCAACAGAGGGAGGCTGTGTCTCAAAAAAAAAAAAGAAAGAAGAAAGAAAGAAAGAAAGAAAAAGAAAGAAAGAAAGAAAGAAAGGAAGGAAGGAAGGAAGGAAGGAAGGAAGGAAGGAAGGGAAGAAAGAGAAAAAGAAAGAAAGAAAGCAAGAAAGAAAGAAAGAAAGAAAGAAAGAAAGAAAGAAAGAAAGAAAGAAAGAAAGAGAGAGAAAGTGTCCAGTATGTAGTAGCTAGGCAGTTCATAAATATTACTAGATTAATGATTAACTGAAAAATGCTGAACATTTGGAATTTAAGTAAGGAATCAACACAATCTAATTTGCATTTTAACATCTTTGAATCTGATTGCAGTGTGCACATATCTCACTCTAAATCCATTGCCATCTGGCCTCCATTCCCATGATATGCTTCATGAGCTGTGCCCTCTGCCCTATCCAATGGACGCTTCTCAATCCATCTAAGTTGGTTTCTCAGCTCATTTTATTCTATTGACCTCTCTCTCACTCTTAGAAACCTGTCCTTTGCTTTTCAGGTTGCTCCTCTGTCTTTTTCATACACTTCTCTTCTTCAGTTGGCCTCTTAATGCTAGTTCTCCTCAATCTTCTGGGTAATCTCATCCTCCCTATGACTTCAACTACCAACCATCAGCCATCTATCGAGTTCTCCTTCTTTTGAACCTGCAGCCCACTCAGGCTCCAGGGACATTCTGGAAGTCTTTAACTAAATGTCACAGACACCTTAAACTTAGCATGTCCAAATAAGAATTCACTATTTTCCCTCTAGATCTGTTATTTCTCCAGAATTCCCTCTCCATCTTTTTACTTATGGAAACCATTCACTTGGAAGTCATTTGAAACTGTTCCATCGTCCTCATTCCCCCTATACAATCAAGAAGTCACTGAAGTGTCTTAATTTCACCTAGGAAGTAGATCTAGAATCTATCCCTTTCTTTTTCTCTTGACTTCTTTACTCTATTTTCTCCTTATTTTTTACTTGGAATACTACACTAGCCTCCTTATATTTTGTCTGCCCCTAGTTTCTCCTTTCACTATGTAATCCACACTATTATTACTTTGCTTATTAGGTGCTCCTCTAACATGCCAAATTCTTTCTTAAAACAAAAGTATGTAACTAGTGGTTTCCTCTCTCTAGAATACTCTTCTATCACACCTAGGCATGGTTTGCTCCCTCCCTGCATTCAGGTTTTTGCTCTTTACCTAAAGTTACATTTAAATATTTAGATTTCTTTTTGTCTCCTCTAGCAGTTAGTTCTGTCTTTTTTCATTACTGTATTAACAGTGACTAGAGGCCAGGTGCTGTGGCTCATGCCTATAATCCCAGCACTTTGGGAGGCCGAGGTAGGTGGATCACTTGAGGTTGGGAGTTCGAGACCAGCCTGGCCAACATGGTGAAACCCTGTCTCTACTAAAAATACAAAAATTAGCTGGACTTGGTGGCGTACACCTGTGATCCCAGCTACTTGGGAGGTTGAGGGAGGATAATCACTTGAACCTGGGAGGTGGAGGTTGCAGTGAGTCAAGATCGTGCCACTGCACTCCAGCCTGGGTGACAGAGTGAAACTCCGTCTCAAACAAACAAACAAAAGTTGACTAGAAAAATGGACACTAAATAAATATTTGCTGAATGAATAAATTTAAAAATTATTGAATAATTATAACGAAAACAGCACACACCACACCATATTGGGAAATAATGACACACTTATTTGTTGCTCCCAGTGGACTGGCACCAACAAATGGGCTTCTCAAGAGCACTGAGCCTTCTTTTCTCTATCACTAGGTTTTAATCAGCAATAGGGCCTAATACCTGGTCAAACTCACTAAATATTTCTTGGGTTTGGGGGAAGAACAAAAACCAATAGACTCTTAACCTACCTTAACTAGGAGCTGAACCTCAGGGGTAAAAAAAATCTAATGTATATCAGTAAAATCAGACATACAGAATATTTTACCCCATACAATGTATATTATACATATCCCAACCTTGATTTTACTTACAGAAAAATTTTACCTATAACTTTTCTACTTTACAAATTATAAGTTGAAAACTTTATCAAAGGCACTGTTTTTTTCTTTGCTTATTTCTTCCTGAACTTTTCTATTTTCTTATTGGGTCATCAATATGCACCTGAAGTTATAATAAAGTTGGAGGTGGAGTGGTAAGTTATCACTGGCACAAATTTTAAACCTCACCAACATCTCATGACTCTTCTTTTAAAAACAAAATGGAATCACAAAATATTAAAGGTAAATGTGACCTTTAATGTTTTCTAGTCTAATTTACTTACACTTTTCGTTTTTTTGTGTGTGGTGGTGAAAATTAAGGCCCAAAGTGGTTATGGGACTGTCCCAAATATAACCAGGTAGAGCAGCAGATGTCATAGCTAATACAGTAATACAGTAGCAGAAATTTTGGGGAATGCCTATTACTTAACAAGCAGAACAAAATTCTGGAACCAGAGAAGCAGTTTTTGTGCAAGTACTAAAATGTATTTGGCTGGCTTGAATCTACTCTCTTACCCAGATCCCATGTGGACCCACTCTGCCTCTCCAGAAGGAACCCACAATATTCTTGAGTATTAAAGGGGGTTTTGAGCAAGCGCAGCACTTTCTGTTATAACTTCAATACTGTCTCATGGAATATTTAGGGAATATTTTTATGAAATGAAATTATGTTTGGGAATTTGTTTGCTACCCTGATTGGTTTCTATTGCTCTTTACTGGATTTAGGATTTATTTTAGATACAGTTGGCATATCTAAATTTAGTTGTTGCTGTCTAAGCTGGGAGGTAGGCACTTCATTTTTCTCTTTTTGGTTCTTCCATCATCATAAATTCAAACTGCAGAGCCCAGTATTCTGAAGTGTGGTTACTGCACAGTATTTCTTCATCATTAAACCATAGTTCTTGCTTTTTTGTAGAACCGTAGCTCTTTCTCTGTTGGTTATATAGTTAATGACACCGGTGTATATGTTATCTGTTACAAATTGCTATTATCTGTGCTATTAATGGCTACAAGTCTGTCCTCTAACTTATGGCTTCTATTTGCTTCTTGGAGAAAAAGTATGTACTAAGCATATGGTTATGGGTCAATTAATCTCTTTTTATATCACTTGTATCTTAATAGGTTAATGAAATTGTGATGCATATCAAACAAATAGGTTCAACTCTTATCAAACACAGTTTTTTGGATAATACAGCTTTTAATCATTTAACTTTTAAGTTTAAAATAATGCCCAAATATGAAAGAGAGCCAAAGTGTTCCCAAGAACTTTATAACACTTGTCTTTCAGAGATAAATCCTATATGAGATAAAAAAAAATGCATATTAAGAATTTGTAAAAGAATCTGATGAAGATTTTGATCTAGATTTTGAATTACTTTCAACTGAGAGTCTATGAATTTATTTCTCAGAATCCCAGGATACTCTACAAACATGCCCTTATAAGCCTATACTGCATCTTTATCTTGATCAGTATTATCTTTTATGCAATGGGTAGTCCTTTGGGAGCATTAATTGCTAGCTATCTCTTAGCTACTTAAGGGTAATCTTGGAATAATTACTATGAATTTATGGGAATGAGGCACTCATTTATTTATTGGCTTTCTTCTAACAGTCCCATAGCACTTGAGTCAAGATGATAACAATATAAACCTGCCCATTTATCTTTACGAGGATTATTCCCTTCTCCATCTCTACAACCCACCTTGGTAGCTCCACACCACCCTATACGGGGCTCACTCTAACAAGTTAATGCTACAATGGTGATTGTCACTCAACAGTATACTGAATCTATCCTTTCTCAATCCGTTTTCCTATAACAGATATGAGATTTTTATTTTATTTCTTTTTTTTAAGAAGTGGAACAAAAACCTTGACTTGTAAATCATATAAATGTGGCTAAGTAGAGGTCACTGGTCTCATTTCTAGATGAGATTCTTAGAGTTGTAAAGCAATCACTATGTTGGATGCTTATGTGAAATAAACTATTTCAAACTGGCAGGCAAGTACCACATAATACCTTATTAAACATATTTAGTTGATGTAGGATAAATGATTCCCACTATTTCACAGGGATATACATCTTTTTTCCTTTTCGTGTGTGTGTGTGTGTGTCTGTGATTGAGAAAGGATAGATGTGTAATTCACATATAAGGAGAAAGGCATAATTTGATTTATTAAAGTAAGAAAATAAAGATATGACGCTTTTTAAACCTTTTAATTTATTGTTGGATGCTCATTTCCAGATGTTTCATGCATAAACACACATCAGAGGACTTCAACATCATGCTTAAATTGTGATTTAAAATGCTCTGCAAAGGTTCATAACCCAACTTGAAAATTATCTTTTGCCTGCCAGAGATATATAATACAGAAGGAATAACTTGAAATGTTCATGTTAAATTAATAACAAGGAAGTCAGAAAATATGAAAGAAATAATTAACATCTATTTCTTCTGTCTCTCTGTTTCTCTCTTTTAGGTCATAATCTTTACCAGGTGTTATGGCATAGCTGGCTCTTTCCAAATTTTATATCTTAGGGGCAATTAACATCACTCTACCTGAATATTTTTTTCCTATTCTGAAAGGCAGAATTATGTTATTTAATTCAGATTGTTATTTATTTAATGTTGTTCAATTCAAATAAGATAATTAAAGTATAAAACTCATTCAAAGGGATATAGCAAAAGCAAAAAAAAAAAAAGGGGGGGGTGGGTTTTAAAGTGAGACAGACTTCATTTTGAACACTAGTCATGCCACATACTGTAGGTTAAAGGTCCTTATGTGGGTTAGTTAACCTGCCTGGGCCTTCGTTTCTCATACATAAAATGTAGATAATGATATCAATTAGGGTTGCTGTGAGAATGAAATGGTAACGTATACGTATAAAGTGCTAGCACATATAGTCCCAATAAAGAATATTATTGAATGTGGTTTACAATGATGCACAAAGGGTGCTAAATGTATTACACATTGACAAATTTAATTCTTACAGCATTCCTGTCCCATTTTACAGATGTGGAAGTAAAGGATACAGATGTTAAGTAATTTACCCATAGCTGCATAATTCTTAAGTGGCAGGAGCAGAATTCTAACTGGGGTCCATCTGTTTGGTTATCTATTGCTGTGCAACAAACCATCTGAAACTTAGTGGCTTAAAACAACAACCATTTAATCATCTTTTGTGATTTATGGGTTGATGGGATGGAGGTGCATGGTTCCTTTCCTGCACAAGATGTCAACCACAGCTATAGCTATCTAATAGCAGTTGTAGTGGAGTTGTAACATCAGAGATGGTTCACTCACAAGGCTGCATTCAGTGCTGACATTCCGCTTGGAGTTCAGATGTGGATATTGGCTGAATCACCTCAGTTCTCTTCTTTGGAGTACTGCATGTGGCCTCATCTTATGGATTGCCTTTATTAGGCATAGAGACTCGTTCCAGGAAAGAGTGTGGCAAGAGGACAAGCTCCAACGTACAAACATGTAAGATGCCTTTACTTGCATCACACTTGCTAATGTCCCATTGGCCAAGGTTTGTTACATAGAAAAGCCCAGAATCAATATGGGAAAAAACTACACAACGACATGAACACTGAAATGCCCCATTAAGGCCACTAAAGTAATAGTCCACTGCAACATCTGTCATCAGAAGCATTCTTTTCTGTCTTCCAAACTTTCATAGCTGTCAGGAATCTATTCATTTTGGGTAGCATGTTGGACAATGCCTTGTGAGAAGGACTTAGGTGTTTCAGACACAGAGTCAATTGCACCTCTTTAGTAAGCTTTTATACTTTCCTGCTTCCAAATATGACATAAAGTTACAATTTTATTTAAAAGATTTTAAAATAAATGTTATTTTTATGAAAGAAAAATGCCTCTTTCAAGGATTGAAGTTATTTTTAAAAGGCCAAATCTGTATTGGATTTTATATATAATAATTCTTAGTGAATAAAGTAATGAGAAATATTGTCATATTTTATGCCCTATCATTTTTCAAATGAAAGTGAATATATAGCAATCTATTTCTTAGAGGATATTGCTAATTTTGGATTTTTGAAAACATTTCTTTTCAAAGGAATAAACTTTGTTCCATTATTTCTGTGAAAGAAGAATTTTTACTTGAGGAATTGTAAACTTTTTTCATTTTATATAAATTATAATAATTTACTCCTAATGCCATTTATATAGGTTCCATGCCGAATTTTTGTTTATAAGTTTTACTCCAGGTAAAGCATTTTATATTTGTATATGACATTTATTTCTAAACAGAAATATTTTACCTTAATGACCCAAAACACTGAAAGTGTTTGTTCTGTTACTATTGACATTTCAAAACACAAAACAAAACAAAGCAAAAACACATAACCCTTTACTCTTGATTCATTACTTTAAGTTATGTTAGGAATGATTTGCAGGTAATACCATGTCAAAGCTGTTTGGTGACCAATGCAAACTCTGATAATGTCACAGCCTAGGATCAAGTCTCTGAGGGGGTGATGATATCTGAACTAAGTTATTCCTTTAATGACTGTGGTATTATTATGAAGATTTTTCCTTTTCTTAAAAAAAAACTGAGATAGGTGTGTGAAAGAAGTAATGAAGAAACTCAGTAACTTACTTTTGGTGACAACCCCTTCTAGGCGAATGATGTTTGGATGGTCAAACTGGCCCATGATACTAGCTTCTCTTAGAAAATCTCTTCTTTGCCGATCCATGTGGCCACCTTTCAAAGTTTTAATGGCAACTGGGATCTCTCTTTTCCCTGGTGTCTTCAAACGCCCACTACAGACTTCTCCAAATTCACCTTAAAATATGAACAAAAGCAGTTATTTGATTAAACCGAACACTTACATTTCAGAAGAGTCAAACTGTCATACAGTGACATACTTTTTTCACATAATGACTCTTAAGTATGTTATTTTCATATAAACATTTCTTTCTTAAAGAGTAAGTTTATAAGGATAATATACTTGATCAGCAACACTTCTAATGAATAATGGAATGCATTTTCATGTGCTATATCACAGGAAATACTATTGATAGATATCCCTGATCTGCTGAGAAATTATGACTAGCAGAATGGGTAATGCTAATGTAATTCTATAGAAATGCAATCACAGCATAATGTCTTCTGTTCCTGTTCTCAATGCTGAAATATGGCCCAAATGTTTACTCTATTCAGGGAATCCATCAGGAATGTGTAGTTAATTCGATCCCCTAGGTCATATGACTGGGCGTCATTGACAGTTAGAAATTAATGTTAGGGTCAATTGATGTATGAACGTATTGAAAAAACCCACACTGAACTCTACCATAGTAAGTGATTATACAGGCTACATTACAAGCCACATGGATGGAAATGCAGATAAGGAAGATGAGATATGTTTCAGCATTGTCTCCATTGGGTAATTAAACAATAACCAAATATTTAGCAAGCATTTATTATATCTATATCCAGTGCTAGAATGTTGTGAGTTTCAAAGAAGTATAAGACTTGGTCTCTGTTCTCAGGTGCTTATAATCTGGTAGGAGAATTTAGATGCACATAAATTAAACATTTAAGAACTTAATAAATTCCTGTAAGTGCTATATTTGTTAAGTAAGAACAGTGGGGGCTGGAAGACTTCCTGGAGGGGATGAAACTTATGCTAGACCTTGAGAGATGAGCAGGATTTAGGTATTTGAGAGAAGCAGGGACATTCAAGACAGTGTGCATAAAAGGAGTAAGGGAAGTGAAGAAAAACATTCAAAGTTCCAGAAACAGTAGAGAGAATGACATGGACACAGGGCAGCAAGGAGACAGAAGGGGTTATTGTGGATAAAAGGTAATGGGTTTTCTCAGTGCAATGTAATGCATTCAACAAACTTTGAAATTCTAGACTTTTAATTTTTCTAGAGCTGATTACCTGCATTTCCTTAAGAACATGATGACTGTTTCCCAATTTATTAATATATAAAGTGAGAATAATAAAATCTTCCATAATCCTATAATCTCTCATTCCCATAAGGATATTGGGAAGATCAAAAGTGACAATTTATGTCAAAATGCTTACAAACTGTAAAGTACTATTCATACAAGTTTTAAGTTATCAAAATCTTTGGAAGGATGAAAGAAATTAAAATTAAAATATCTTCAGTTGGTCTATTAGCACTTATGGCCAACTGTAAGACACAATATAAGTTTAAGCATAGAATATCGAATTAGATTTGGCAGTACAATAGATTTCAATTATCCTTTCTTTTGACAATTTATCACAGTCAACTAAATGCTGACTATGCATGAATATTAACTACCTTTTGGTGTAGGTACTAAGATTTTTTAGGCAAAATAAATAACCAGGAAGGAAACAAGGCGTAACTTTGCTTCCAAAAAATTATGTGTACACATGTCCATTAGAAATAGAAAGCAGTCTAACAAGATAATTTATTCTATATATGTTAAACAAACAGGCAAAGAAGCAAGCAAACAAAAAACACTGAAAATTCAGTGCATATGATATTGGCGTTTTATAAATCTTGTATAAATTTGGCAACAAACACAAGAATAATCCTGTTTTTTTTTTCTTAGTGATTCTCTCAACCTGTTGGAGGATGAATTTCCTGACTTCACTGAAAAAAAAAAGAAGTTGTAGTTTTTCAGTTGTGCTTGTAATAATGCAATGATTTAGGTAATACCATGTCAAAGCTGTTTGGTGACCAATGCAAACTGATAATGTCACAGCCTAGAATCAAGGCTCTGAGGGGTGATTATCAGAAGATGGTATCTGCGCTAAGTTATTCCTTTAATGACTGTTGTATTATTATTACTAAGATTTTTCCTTTTCTTAAACAACTAAAGTAGGTTTGTGAAAGTAAAAGATTTTCTCTTATGCATAAAAGTGCCAATTGATAGGAACTTTCAACATATTTCTATTGAGACCCTGAAACTTAAGAGAAGTGGGTATGTGTGTTTACACTAATGTCCAATACATCCAGGCCTATTAAGATACTTGAAATTGATTCTCAGATCACTCTGGTTTGTTCTAATGAATATCCAGAACAAAACAAATATTTATTTTTTCCTTATTTTTTCTTTTACTTTGTCTTAATAAATCTGATAGTATGGATAAAAATCCAGTAATATTTTAAAAACCCTCACCCACCAGGAGCCCATAATCCATATGATTTTTTTCTGTTCACATTTCATAGAAATTCAAATAAACTTCTGAATGTCATGAAAATAATGAGAATTCTGTTGGTATTTTACCAAGATAGACAAAGTGGTAATTTTCTTTGTTTTCTGTTGTCTGAAATTCATGTATCTTATTAACACCAGGCAGGTGTTTTCTTCATGTCAAGCTTTGCATGATCAAGCTGTTTTCACACTTATTTCAGTGGTACTAAATACGGTTGCCTCAATTAAAGATCTGAGACTCTTAGTGTGTTCTCTAGGCAAAGTCCAAAAAGCTCAGTAACAGAATGTATTAAAACTGTTATCTACAGTAGGCTTGAATGAATCAGACATACGAGGCAGAAAGGAAAAAAAAATTTTAAATTAAATGCATAGTTTCAGATTTTGCTAAAAACTGATTATGTGATTGACATTGTAGAAAGAGGAGAGGCCCTGTATAGAACCATAAGTGATAGGAATTATTCCTCAATAAGATCTGTGAACATTTATATATACTGGTTAGTACATAATTAACTCATCAACTATAGGAATACTGTATTAATTACCTTTTTTTTCTTTTCCAATACATAGTTGTAATCATCATTACAAAGGTAGGTCTTACATAGTGTTATCCTGTGTCAGGTCTAAGAAATTACTATATATTTTATTCTTCCCAGTAAACCTTTGAGGTAGGTACTAGTATTATCCCAATTTGTTGGTGAGAAAATTGAGGCATGTAAGCTAAGTAAAGTACCTAACAGGGATACAACTAGAAAGTGGTAGTGTTGTCATTTGAACCTAGGCTGTCTGGTTTCAGAGTCCATGCTTGTAACCATTATTCTCTGCTGTCTGAGCTGTTTATCATCGTTAATATTTTCCTGTGTTGGCATATTAAATTCCCAGTTGGTAGCAATGGTGTCTTCAAACCAACTATTGTAATAGTGTTCAAATGCATGAACTGGATATGAACAGATGATTGGAATGATAAAACTCACATCCTAGGAATGCTTCACTATTAAATGGAAATGCAGACCTTGCTCAAATATATGTTAGATGGTCTAGAAAAATCACCACAGTCTAGTTTCTGAGAAAAAACAAAATTATATATAGGATAATTGATCTTCTGCCACTGACAGCACATTCACTAGCTAATAACCCCATCTATCTCCCTGGATGTTGGTAAAACATTCCTGGACAAGCAATTTTGTTGTATGTTATACAGGGTCATATTAAAGTATCAATTAGTATTGGGATTTTCATATAAAGTCTATATAATTGAACTAAATCTGTGAGGGAAGCATACAGGCAGTAAGAGACAATCTGTCTTGGAGGACCACTGTATCAGGATCACTTTGAGGCTTTCCAAAGTTTACTTCCCATGTTCTGAGATTCTGGTACTTCCTCCATATCCAACCCTAGAGAGCATTGAAGCAAAGAGCCACGGTCCCAATGGTTTTTCTCACACCTCTTGGGTGTGATGAAATGTTTCTTTGCTCATACTTGCCATTTCCCTCAGACAGGAATGCTCTCCCACAGGTTGTCTCCCTTCCTCTCCTGTCTCTACTCTCCTCAGTTCTTCTCTATGTGTATGGCTCCTTATTAGTGATAAAGGCTGAGCTTTGACATCCCTCTCTCAGAAAACTTTCCTTGACCAACCCATCTAATTTAGCCTCCCAGCACCAACAGGCCCTTTTAACTGTAAAAAGAAAATAAATAGCAGCCTCTGAGATTTGGAAGTTGGCCCAGCTCTCAGAGCTATGCTATTTTATTCCCCTATTGGAAATAATACGAACCTCAGGCTACTTTGAGACCATGATAAAATGAGACAAAGTAGGGTCACTTAATAATTTTGTCTAAGTACAGACAAAGGCAAGGTCATTGTGCCACCCCAAAACACCAGAAATCCTGTCTCTTGTCTAAAATGAGTGCAATTTTTAAGAAACCAATTATAGCTTTATTCTCATATCTTTCCTTCCCTTTCTATAGCTAAGATTCATTAATATACTATGGTGCGAGTCCTAAGATTAAGGCCCAATATTATTGGCTTCTGTGATAGCTGAGGGCATCTGAAAGGGGCATAAATAGCCTTACAGGAAACATTCTTCCTTACTCTGCTCCTGTAAATAAGATTTCCTAGCCAAAGAACCTGCCTTATCAAATAGATCAGGTCAAGTTCTTCTTCATCACTGAGAAGTAAGTTTCAGTTCCATGCCAGCCTGTGGAGCTACTCAAACAAGCCAATCACATCCTCCTGAGTATCGACGAGTACCCTGCCCTCTTGATGTTACCAAACTGCATCCCATACACATGGTTGTTCACTTTTTTTCCCAAATGCAACCCCTATGTGGCCCTGCATGGTGTGTGGTATCTCCCTCCTCTGGGCTGTAAGTGTATGTGATTAATAAATATGCATCAATCTCATCTGTCCAATATAGGGTCTGTGTGTTTGGCTGTCTCCATAGGTATCTCTTGAGGTACAAAATCCTTCCCTCACCAACAGGGTAAAGAGGAAGCAATTAAAACAGATATCTAGGGGATGAGATAAGATGGCAGAATAGGTGGTCACGCACTTGTATTACTCCACAAAAAAAAAATAATTCTGCACCCATTCATGATAAAAAATTTCTTTGTGGGAGCCCTTGGATTGGGGTATGAGGTTGTGAAACCAGAGTGGAGCCCAAGATCTAGGATTATTGTTTTGAGAGTACAGACCTGCACCTAGGTGGCAGACCCAGTAATTGTGGACCCAGCTTCAGACCCATAAATAACCCCATTTTCCAAAGGGTTTAGTTACAGCTCCGTTTGTGCTTGAGCCTGCTTCCAAAAGCATCCACCAAAGGGCTGGGAGGAATCATGCACATTAGTGCTTCACAGACAGACCCATCTGCTTCTTGCCATCAGTTTTGTCCGTGAACCCAAAAGCTATCCTGTAACAGCTTTTGGCTCCAGCCCCCTTTAGCTGTAATTCTAGCCTAGTACTTCTCACACAGGGACCTAGAGAGAGACTCACCCATCTATACTACCAGGACAGACTTGCAGCCTCTGTCCCACAGCAGATCATGAAGGGGCCCTATCTCAGCTCTAGCCCCTCTCTGCCATAGTCTGGGAGTAATCCCATCCATAATAAGACATGCTGGTAGACTCATCCATCTGTGCCATTAGACTGTCAGCCTCCATCCCACAGCAGGTCCTGAAGGGGCCCTGAATCTTGATGGTAGCCCTGCTTAAATGCAGCCTGGGAATAATCCCAATGGCACAGGGTGACTAGCCCATCAGTGCTAATGGGCTTGACAACTTCCATCCCATAACAGATCCTGAAGGGACCTTTCTAGGCACCAGCCCTTCTGTCACAGCCCTGAAGTTATTCCACCATGCAAGGAACTGCTAGAGATGCACTTGGACAGTCTTGCTGGCCTTCATCCCATAGAAGACCATAACTGGGCCCCAAATCTCAGCTCTAGCCCCTCTCAGATGCAGTCTATGAGCAATCCTGACCACATAGGGATCTATTGGGGTTCTCACCCCCCCACTGCCACTGGGTCAGGCTTGCCAACATCAGTTCCACAGCAGATTTAAAAATAGCCCTGAAGATTGGTTTCAGTCCCTCCCAGCTGTGGTCTTGAAGCAATTCTGCCCAGCTGGAATCCCACCAGGAGACATGCCTGTCTGTTTCCCTGACACGCTTTGCCAACCTCTGTTCCACAGTGGATCCTCAAATGGCACTGGATTTAGGTCCAGACCCCTTTTGTCTTCAGACTGAGAGAAGCTTGGCCTGCTTGGGCACAAGAAGGCATGTCCCACAGTGCCCATTCAGGCTGAATCCCTCACCTCTGTCCCATTGTGGATCTTTAAATGGCCCTATAAATTGGCCCCCACCTTTTTAAACTGCAGTCTGAAAGCAGGCTTGCTCATCCAGGAAACCACTGTACACATACCTATTCGTGGGGGCTAAAGATCTCAGCCTTGGTTGTATATCCTGAAACAATCTTATGTCTCAGTTTAAGCCCATCTCAGCCACCAATTTGTACAGTATGGCTAGGACAGGTACTCATTTAGTTATCCAACAGGAGTCCTGCCAGTGACCCAGCGGAAGCCATATCCATCATTGCACGTGGAAAAAGACCTGCAATCTGTGAATCCTGAAGCAGACCTTCATCATCCCAGATCCAGACCCAAAGATCTGGAGACAGTTCAGTCTGCCCAGAAACCAAATGGGACCCACACCAACTACAGCTTCTGGTAACAACACTGCCAACTGCAGTTTCCACTGTAGACCCAGTATCAGGCACAAGACCTGCATCCAATGCCACTCAATCATGAGCCCAGAGGTAATCTCATCAACCTGCAGACCTATTAGGAGAAAATTTTAGTTTGTCAAATCTATTCTATAAAGAGTGAAAGAGGAGTTAGCTCCTTCAAATGCAGACAGAAATGCAAGCCTACATGAATAACAAAGAATGAAGCAAACATGACACCATCAAAATAACTAAGGCTTTACTAACCAACCCCACCAAAAAAGAGATGTACAAATTACTGGAAAAAGGATTCAAAATGCTCATCTTCAAGAAGCTCAAAGAAATTCAACAAATAGAGATAGACAACTAAAAGAAATAAGGAGAACAATGCATGAATGAAATGAGAAGTTTGATAAAATATAGAAACCGTGGAAAAGAACCAAACAGAAATCCTAGTGCTGAAGGATACAATGGCAGAATTGAAAAACTCAATAGTTTGAATAGCTGAGGCAATCATGCAAAAAAATTAGAAATTGTGAATTTGAAGAAAGATTATTTGAAATTAGCTAATTAGAGGAATTAAAAAAAGATCAAAAAAGAGTGAAGAAAGTGTAGGGATATATGGGACACCATCAAATGTACAAATATAAAATTTATGAGAGTATCCAAAGGAGAAGCGAGACAGAGATACATTATTTAAAGAAATACTGTTTGAAAAAATCCCAAATCTTGGGAGGGATATGAACATACAGATTCAGGAACCTCAAAGGACCCCAAGAAAGATAAACTCAATAGAGATAAACTCAAAATTCTTGCTGCCTTAAATCTCATTGGTTTCTGATTTTAACATTGTAATCAAATTAAAGCCAAAAACAAAGAAGCTTTATGGCAGCAAAAGAGAAGAAACTTATTACATAAAAATGATCTCCCATAGGACTATACATGACTTCTCAACAGAAACCTTGCAAGCCAGGAGGGAGTGGCATGACATATTGAAAGTGCTAAAAAATAAGTTAACAAAACATACTACACCCAGCAACACAGTCCTTCAGAAATGAAAAATGAGATCAAGACATTCTAAGACAAACAAAAGCTGAGGAAATCCATCATCATGGGACTGGCCTTATAAGAAATGCTTAAGGGAATTGTTTGAGTTGAAATAAAAGGAAAATAAGTAAAATATAAAAACATATGGAAGTATAAAGCTTACTACTAAAGGTAAACATATACTCAAATTGAGAATATACTAAAACCGTAAAGGGGTTATGTAAATCACTCATTAGTATAATAGTTAAAAAAACAAATGTATTTAAACAATTATAGCTATAAACAATGGGTTAGCATACACAATATAAGTAGATATAAATTATTGCATCAATAGCATAAAATGTGTGAGGGAGGAGAAATATAAGCATAGAGTCTTTGTATGCAATTGTAGTTAAGGTATTTTCAGCTTAAATTAGAATACTTTAACTATAAGATATTTTATGCAAGCCTCATGATAACTATAATGAAAAACCTCTGGCAGATATACAAAATATGAAGAGAAAGGAATCAAAGCATATTACTACAAAAATACACAAATCACAAAGAAAGACTGTAAGATTGGAAGAAAGACAAAATAACTACAAAAGTCAGTAAAAAATTAATAAAATGCCTATAGTAAGTCCATATCTATCCATACTAATTTTAAATGTAAAGAGATTACAGTCTACAGTTAAAATAATGTCTAAATAGATTAAAAAACAAGATCCAATAATATTTTCCCTCCAAAAATCTTATTTTAGCTTTAGGGACACACATAGACTAACAGCAAAGGTATGGAATAAGAGGCAGATGGTAACCAATAGAGCATGGGAGTGATTATGCTTGTATTAGATTAGATCAATACAGAGTGAGGTGATTATGCTTATATAATTGTTATATTAGAATGACCTCCTTTTAGTCAAGATTGGGAAAAAGAGAAAAAGCAGGTCATTATATAATAACAAAAGGGTCAGTTCATTAAAAAGATAAGCATTTAAAATATACATGCATCTAACATTGGAGCACCTAGATACATAAAGCAAACATTAATAAATCTGAAGAGATAGACTATAATACAGTAATAGACTATAATATAGTAATAGTAATAGTATAATACAGTAATAGTAAATACTGCACTTTCAACGATGGATAGTTCATTCAGACAAGAAATCAGTAGAAAAAGAATGGGCTTCAACAACCCTTTACCCCAAATGGACCTAACAGGTATATACAGAACATTTCATCCAACAGCACCATTATACACATTTTTCTCAAGTGCACACAGAACATTCTACAGGATAGATAATAGGCCACAAAACAATTCTTAATAAATTTAAGAAAGCTGAAATAATATCAAGTATATTTTCTGACCATAATGGAATTAAACTAGAAAGTAATAAAGGAGAAATTCTGGAAAATTCACAAATATGTGGAAATTAAACATCACACTCCTGTACAACTAATGGATCAAGGAAGGAATTAAAAATGAAAGTTAAAAATATCCTCGGACAAATGAAAATGAAAATACAACATACTAAACTTATGGGATGCACCAAAGGCAGTTCTAAGAGGGAAGTTTATAGCAATAAATGCCTGCATTACAAAAGAGAAAAGTTCTTAAGTAAGCAACTTAATGTTATCTCAAGAAACTAAAAAAGGAAGAACAAACAAAGCATGAAGTTAGCAGAAGGAAGGAAATAATACAGATCAGAATAGAAGTAAATAAAGTAGAGATTAGAAAGAATAGAAAAGATCAACTAAATAAGTTTTCTTTTGAAAAGATAAGGAAAATTGACAAACCCTTTGCCAGACCAGACCAACTAAGAAAAAAAGAGATAAGACTCAAATCACAAATGAAAGAGGAGATATTCCAACAGATACCACAGAAACACAAAGGATCATAAGTGAATATTATGAACAACTTTACGCTTATAAATTGGATAATTTAGAAGAAATTGATAAATTCCTAGAAACATGGAATCTACGAGGACAAAGTTAAGAAAAATAAAAGAAAATTTGAACAGACCAAGAATAAAACTGAATCAACACTAAAAAATCTCCCATCAAAGAAAAGCCCAGACTTTATTACTTCACAGCAGAATTTTATCTAACATGTAAATAAGAAATAAATACCAATCTTTTTTAAAATCTCCCCTTGAAGAAGAGAGAATACTTCTAAACTCATTTTACAAGGCCAGCATTACCCTGATACTGAAGCCAGACAAGAACAATATAAAAAAACAGAACTACAAGCCTATATCCTTGATGAAGGTAGATGAAAAAATACTCAACAAAATACTAGCAAATCAGATTCAACAGCACATAAAAATAGTCAGTCACCATGATCAACTGGAATTTATCCCTGGGATGCAAAGATGGTTCAACTTACCAAAACCAATAAATGTGACACACTGTATTAACTGAATAAAGAAACAGAAATCATCATCATCTCAATAGATACAGAAAAAGCATTTGACAAAATTCAGCATCCTTTCCACTACAGAAACTTTTGATCTTGGAGCAACAATTAACACTTCCCAGCTGGGCATGGTGTCTCATGCCTGTAATCCTAGCTAATTGAGAGGCTGAGGTGGGAGGATCACTTGAGGAAAGGATGTGGAGACCAGACTGAGCAACATAGTAAGACCATTTTAAAAACAAAAAATAACTGGGTGTAGTGGCAAAGGTAGTCCCAGCTACTCAGAAGGCTGAGGTGGGAGGATCACTTGAGCCCAGGAGTTTGAGGCTGCAGTGAGCTATGATCATGTCACTGCACTCCAGACCAGGGAACAGAGCAAAACCTTGTCTTTTTTTTTTTTTTTTTTTTGAAAAAGGCTCTCCAGAAGACAGTTTGGTAGTCACTATCCTACACTTTTGCAGATCATATTGACCATTTCAGCTTTCAACTCCTTGTATTCAGGGGCATGAGACCTAAACTCACATCACCCAACCCTCTGAATTTGGGTGCACTGTCATGCCCCATGGGGGAACGTGAGTACAAGCTTACCCAACCTAATTCCGCCACCACAGGGCCAGAGCTTGCCATCTGGTTTGCTATGTCCCCATCCAAATCTCATCTTGAATTGTAGTTCCCATAATCCCCATGTGTCATGGGAGGGACCCAGTGGGAGGTAATTGAATAATGGGGGTGGTTTTCCCCATGCTGTTCTCATGATAGACAGTAAGTTCTCATGTTCTCATGAGATCTGATGGTTTTACAAGAGGCTTCCCTTTTGGCTTGGTTCTCATTATTCTCTGTCCTGCTGCCTTGAGAAGAAGGACATATTTACTTCCTCTTCCACCATAATTGTAAGTTTCCTGAGGCCTCCCCAGTCATGCTGAACTATGAGTCAATTAAACCACTTTCCTTTATGAATTACCCAGTCTCAGGTATGTCTTTATTAGCAGCATGATAATGAACTAATACAAGTGGCTTTTATACAAGATGCACACATATAAATGTAAAGACACAAGAAACATGAAAAAGCAAAGAAATATGACACCTCCAAAGGAACACAATAATTCTCTAGCAACAAATTCCAAAAAAAAAAAGAAATTTATAAAATCAGAGAAAAATAATGATGTTAAAGAAGCTCAATGAGATACAATAGAACACAGATAAGTAATACAAAGAAATCAGAAAAACAATTCAGGATATGAAAAAGAAATTTACCAAAGAGATAGATATTATAAAAAAAGAACCAAGCAGAAATCCTGGAATTAAAAAAGTAATTGAATGAAATAAAAAGATACATTCAAAAGGTTCAAGAATAGACTAGATCAAGAAGAAGAATTTTAGAACTTGAATATAGGTCTTTTCACAAAAACCAGTCTACAAAAATAAAGATAAAACAATAAAAAATAATAAAGGCTATGTGACATATGGGACACCATATAGTGACCAAATATTCAAATTTTCAATGTTCCAGAAGGTGAAGACAATACCGAAAGGAGAGAAAACTATGTAATGAAATAATAACTTAATCCCAAGTTTAGCAAGAGATTTAGACATCCAGACATGGGAGGCTTAGAGATCCCCAAACAGATGTAATGAAAAGGGTCTTCTCCACGGCACATTACAGTCAAACTCTCAAAAGTCAAAGCAAAGAAGAAATTCTGAAAACAGCAAAAGAAAAGTGTCCAGTCACTTATAAGGGAAATCCCATCATACTAACAGCAGATTTCCAGCAGAAGCCTTACAGGCCAGAAGATAATAGGATGATATATTCAAAGTTCTGAAACATAAAACTAGCAGCCAAAGATGCCACACCTAGCAAAGTTATCCTTCATAAATGAAGGTGAAATACATTGTTTTCTCAGAGAAAGAAAAGCAGAGGGAATTAATTACTATTACACGGGCCCTAGAAGCAATAGTTAAGGAAGGTCTACACCTGGAAACAAAAGGATGATATCTACCATCAGAAAAACACATGAACGTATAAAACCCACTGGTAGAAGAGAAAGGTCTCAATTACTACCACTACAGCTGGGTGCGGTGGTTCACACCTGTAATCCCAGCACTTTGGGAGGCTGAGGTAGGTGAATCACGAGGTCAGGAGATCGAGACCATCCTGGCTAACACAGTGAAACCCCATCTCTACTAAGAACACACAACATTAGCTGGGCGTGGTGGCGGGTGCCTGTAGTCCCAGCTACTCAGGAGGCTGAGGCAGGAGAATGGCATGAACCCGGGAGGCAGAGCTTGCAGTGAGCCGAGATCATACCACTGCACTCCAGCCTGGGCAACAGAGCAAGACTCTGTCTCAAAAAAAAAAAAAAAAAATTGCATCCAAACTAGAAAAAAGGAAATCAGATTGTCTCTTTTTGCATATGATATAATCTTATATCCAAAAATACCCCAACCAAGATTTCATCAAAAACTCTTAGATCACATAAATAAATTAATAAAATTACAGGATACAAAATCAACATATAAAAATCAGCAGTGTTTCTACACACCAATAATAAACTACCTGAAAAAAAATCAACAAGGAAATGTAATTTCAAAAGCTAAAATGTATAAAATAAAATATCTAGGTATAAATTTAACCAAGGAGATAAAAGATCTCTATGAGGAAAATCATAAAACACTGACGAATGAAATTTAGGAAGACAAAAACAAATGAAAAGACATCCCATGCTCATGGATTGTAATGACTAATATTGTTAAAATGACCGTACTACCCAAAGCAATCTACAGATTTATTGCAATTACTATCAAAATGTAATTTGCCACAGAAATAGAAAAAACAGCTTTACAATTAGTGTGGAATTAAAGAAGAGCTCAAATAGCCAAAGCAATCCTGAGCAAAAGAATAAAGCTGAAGGCATCATGCTACCTGACTTCAAAAGATATAACACTATTTTAAGCCAAACATTATAGTATTGCTATAAAAACAGACCAATGGAACAGAATAGAGAATGCAGAAATATATACACATATCTACAGCTGACGGAGTTTTGACAGATGTGCCAAGAGCATACATTGGGGAAAAGATATCCTCTTCAATAAACAAGGCTGTAAAAATCGGACATCCATATGCAGAAGAAAGAAATTGGACCCCTATCTCTCACCATATACAAAAGTCAACTCTAGAGATATTAAAGATTTAAATGCAGGACCCAAAGCCATAAAGCTAATAGAAGAAAACATAGGGAACACACTTCAGGATCCCGGGCTATGCAAAGTTTGTATGGCTTAGTACTTAAACGCACAGGCATCAAAAAGAAAAGTAGACAAATGGTACTATTTAAAATAAAAAGCTCTGCACAGCAAAGGAAACAATCAACAGAGTGAAGAGAAAACCTGTTGAATGGGAGAAAATATCTGAAAATTATTTACTTGACATGGGACCTATAGCCAGAATATACAAGGAACTCAAACAACCCAAAAAACAAAACAAAACAAACAAAAAAACAAATAATTTTATTAAAAAGTGGGCAAAGGATATGCATATACATTTTGCAAAGAAGACATAAAAATGGCCAACAGCTATCAGAAAAATTGCTCAATGTCACTAATTATCAGGAAAATGCAAATTAGAACCCCCAAAGAGATATCATCTTACTTCTGTTAGAATGGTTTTTATTATAAATACAAAAATAATAGGTGTTGGTGAGGATGCAGAAAAACGGTTACACTTATACACTGTTGATGGGAATATAAATTAGTATAGCCACTATGGAAAACAGTATGGAGGATCTCTCAAAAAGAAAAAAAAAGGCAAACAAACAAAAGAACGACCACATGATCCAGCAATCACACTGCTGGATATTTATCCAAAGGAAAAAAAAAAATCAGTATGTCTAAAGATACCTGAACCGCCATGTTTATTGCAGCACTATTTACAATAGGCACTTCTCAAAAGAAGACATACAAATGGCAGTAGATATATGAATAAAAAATGCTCACTATAACTAATTATCAGGAAAATGCAATTTAAAACCACACGGAGATGTTACCTGATATAATGGCCATTGTCAAAAACACAAAAGATAACAAATGTTCATGAGAGCGTGCAGAAAGGGAAAACCTTGTGCACTGTTGGCAGGAATGTACACGAATACAGCAATTATGGAAAATGATATGGAGGTTCCTCAAGATAAATAGAATTACTATATGATCCATCAATCCCACTTCTGGGTATATACCCAAAGAAAGAGAAATCAATATGCTGATGAGCTATCTGCACTCCAATGTTCACTGTAGCATTATTCACAATAGCCAAGATATGGAAGCAACATAGGTGTCTATTATTGGATGAATGGATCAATAAAACCTGGTGTATATACACACATTGGAGTACTATTCTCCTTAAGAAAAAGGAAATTCTGTTACTTGTGCAACAGGGATGGAATGGAGGACATTATGGAAAGTGAAATAAGCCAGAAACAGTAAGACAAATAGCACATGATCTCCGATGTGGAATTTAAAAATATTGAACTAATAGAAGAAGGGAGGAGAATGGTGGTTACCAGATTCAGTGTGGGGTGGGGGCACCGGTGGGGAAAGGGAAGGTGTTGATCAAAGTATATAAAATTTCAGTTAGACAGTAGAAATAAGCTTTAATGATCTTATTGCCCAGAATGGTAACTGTAATAAATAATATGATTGTATATTTTTTAATTGCTGAGAGAGTAGATTTTAAATGTTTTCACCACAAAAATAAGCATGTGAAGTAACAAATTTTTTAATTAGCTTGATTTAGTTATTCTACAATATGCACATCTATTACATCACACTGCATCCCATTAATATATAAAATTATTGTTAATTAAAAATAACATTTATGAAAAAGAAAAAAAAACCCAGACGTCTAATCATAGAATTGCCTTTACTTTCTGATAGCATTCAATCTAGAGCAAACCCCTGCTTCTTTGGTCCCTCTCCCAAATTACCCATCAAAAGCCCAAATTCTATAATTGGTTCTTTCTAACACCCTCTTACTGACACACACTATAGTTCTTCCTGGTGTGTATTTTCTCCTGCTTCAATAAGTGATAAACCCAATTTGTTCAACTGTAGTGTGTTCCTAGTGGACTCTGGCTTGAGAGTATTAATATACTTACTACACAACACTTTTTGGTTATTTGAAATTACTTTTGAATATCATTTTGAACTTGTCTATTTATTTATTAACTGTCTTCACATTTCAACACTTCCGCCGATCCCATCATGTCTCCTATAATCTAAGTCATGAAGACATGATTAACCAAGAAGACCATCTAACCATGAAGACATGGTTTGTTCTGCCTTGAATGTCTTTATTTTCTGTTGTTTCCACAGCACCTAGTACATAATAAATATCTTTTTAATATTTGTTGCATGAATGAAATAAATGAATGAGGGGGGAAAACAACCTAGACCCAAAGCTGGGATATTCTAGGGTAGATGTAGAAGTCAAGAAATTTTCCAATATGTTAACATTTTTAAAATTTGCATAGTATCTTTTGCATTCCTGTCTTCAGTTTCATCTTTTTTATTTAATTTAACTGCATAAAATCCATTTTCCTATTGTGTAAAGGCAACAGAAAAAATATTTTAAAATGTCATATAAAGGAGTTATAAAAGAAGAGACATAGAGAAAAAAACATACAACATTAGATTTTTAATTCAGTTCTAGACGGATGTGTATTCGTCTCTTGAAGTCTTAAAGTAAATTCCGTTATTATTAATGTTATCTGGATAGTCACCCATCTGACTGTATTCAGTGCTTGTCATTCAAGGATGAAATGCCAGTATTCTCATGATGAATTCTGTCTGATTTCTTCCTGATATATAGCATACCTTCTACATATGAAAGTGAACATTTTAAAGAAAACTTACAAGTTTCAAACATCAGCTGAATTGATATTTTAATGCTTCTGATTCAACTTCACAGAGAGGTTCAATATTATGCAAGATTTCTCATGCTTAACAAGGCTTGTTAGTAGGAGGAGTAGACCAACGCATTTGTCAGGACACGATCTTAGAAGTTAGGGCTTCCATTTCTGGTGTCACCCCTAACTGTTTTGTGGCATTAGAGGAAGTCGCTTTACTTTTTCTTGCTTTAGTATCATTGTTAGTTGGTTAAATACCTACCACCTATCTACTTCTTGAGAGATACAGATTAATGTGTAAATATTTGTAAAGCTATGTGAGTCTTAGAAAAGTTCCTTGTAACCACTAAGTCTTTTAAAATTATACCGATACCATAGAGAACATGTTAAATATGCCACTCTGAATATCCTTCATTGCTAGGTCCGTAAGGTCTAGGCCAGGAAGCAGGATTTCTTTAAGACCTGAGAATGAGGTGTTTTTTTTTTTTTAACTTTCTTATCATACAGTGGTTAAGGATTTCTTCAGTGAGTGAGTTAAGAAAAAAACATCATTTTTTTTCAAATCACACATATTTCAAACATTAGATAGCTTATTTTTCCTTTTGAACAAGTTTTTATTCTTTTCCACTAAAGCATGCCTCTAAATATAGCACTGTCCTCAAGGAGATTAAATTTTTCTCTTCACCTGAAATCATGAAGTCCAGTACATTACTCACTTACTGAATACTGTTATTCATAGTTTCAACTTTTCAAACTCACTGATACATCTACCCCTAGAATGTTTTTGTGACCTAGTGTATCAGTCTCTACCAGATGGCCTCTCATACTACCTGATTTCTTCCCTTGAGGTACATTGAAAGAGCTTCACTTTAGAGTAAAAAACATTTGCAATTCAAAACTAGCTCTGCTTAATGCACTATTGAAATTGATTTTCCATTTCTTCCATCAGAAGAATCCTGTTAGAAATCAAATGTAATAAAAAAAATTTTTGTGACCCTGGGAAACTTACTCAATGTCTTCGAATCTCAGTTTCCTTTATCTATAAAATATGACTATCTGATTAACAGAATGATAGGAAGTAAAGGCACATAAAACACCCAGCACTGTCTCTGGCAGCTTATGTTATTGCTACCACCCACTTTCACTTGCCCTTTGGCCACACACACCCTGCAATTGAAACCTAAAACAAATTCAACCATCTGCTAGTCATTCCTCCCACAATCAGGCTACTGAGCACATTTGGAGAATTGGATAGTAGTGTTATTAGTAATGTATGGTTCTGTTCTCAGCTATATTCTATTTTCAATCTACATACTATCTCAGGTTAATGTCTTTCATCACCACCAACTATCGTCTTTAGGCTGTGATATCCCAAATCTACATTTGTAGCTCAGACTTCTTCCTTGAATCCTGGAAGTCTTGTAAGGACCATCTCATTGTCATCTGCTGTATTAGTCTGCTCAGGCTGCCATAACAAAATACAACAGACTAGGTGGTTTAAACAACAGACATTTATTTTCTCAAGGTTCCGATGATTGGGAAGTGCTAGATGGAGGTGCTGGCCAGTTCGGCTCCTGATAAGAGCTCTCTTCCCGGCTGGTAGGCAGCTGCCTTCTCACTGTGTCCTCACATGGTCTTTCCTAGGTGCATGAGTGTGGAGAGAGAGGGATCTCTCTCTTTCTCTTCTATGAGGCTAACAATCCTATCACCAGATTAGGACCATACCCTTAGGATCTCAGTTAACTTTAATTACTTCCTCAAAATCCTATCTCCAAACATAGTCATACTATAAGTTAGAGCTTCAAAATATGAATTCTGGGGGGACACAATTCAGTCCAGAGAATCTCCTAAAACCCATTTTTCCTTCTTTATCCCTTAATTCATTATGGAGCTGTGGTTGGTTGGATAATGGCTTCCCCTAAGATGACTACATTGTAATCCACTAAATCTGTGAATATGTTACCATGTTTAGCAAAAAAGACTTTACAGATGTATTAATAATCCTGAAATATGAAGATTATCATTAATTATCCAAGTAGGTTCAGCGTACTCACAAGGGTACATATGAAAGGGAGGCAAGAAACACAGAGAAGGAGGTGGGAGGAGGAAAATAGAGGTAAGAGAGTCAGAGGGAAATTTGAAGATACTATACTGATGACTTCAAAGACAGAGAAGGGCCATGAGCCAAGGAATGAAGGCCATCTTTAGAGGCTGGAAAAGAGGAGGAAACAGATTCTTGCCTGAGAACTTTGGAAGATATCAGTTCTGCCAACACCCTGATTTTAGCCAGTGAATCTGATTTTGGATTTCTGACTTTGAGAAATGCAAAATAATAAACTGTGTGTTTTTTAAGGCCACTAACTTGTGGTAATTCATGGATGGCATAGGTCTTGGTGCAGAGTAAATTCTCAATATTAGTTTCCATTTAGGCTGAATTATATCATTCTTTTAAGCACAATTTCTCAACACCCTCTGAAGCTCTCTTTTGCATTCTTCTGTTAACGGCATTCTCTTAGCTGTAATTTTCTGTTCATTTTTCTCTCTCAGTGCATTGTGAAATTTAAAGCTTTTTTATCTAATTGCTACATAATAATTGTACAAATTTATGGGGCATAGTGTGATGTTTATATATATATATAGTGTAGTGATCAAGTCAGGGTAATTGACATATGCACCATTCTCAACTTATTCCTCCTGTGTAACTGTAACATTGTACCCATTGACCAACCTCACCCCCTACCCCACTCCCACCCCCACTCTCCCCAGTCTCTAGTAACCACTATTCTATGCTCTATTTCTAAGAGATCAACTTTTTTAATTCTACATATGAGTGAGATCATGTGGTATGTGTCCTTCTGTGCTTGGCTTATTTCACTTAACATAGTGTCCTCTAGATTCATCAATCTTGTCACAAATGACAGGATTTCCTTCTTTCTATGGCTGAATAGTATTCTATTGTGTACATATACCACATCACATTTTAAAAAATCCATTTATCTGTTGGTGGACACTTAGGTTGATTCAATATCTTGGTTGTTGTGAATAGTGAATAAACTATTGTGAATGGTGCTGTAATAAACATGAGAGTGCAGATATCTCTTTGACATACTGAATTCATTTCCTTTGGATATATACCCAGTGGTGGGATTGATGGATCATATGGTAGTGCTATTTTTCATTTTTTGAGGAACTTCCACACTGTTGTCTACCATGGCTGCACTGATTTACATTCCTACCAACATACACTGTGAAATTTTTGAGGACAAGGATTTTGTCTTCTTTTTAATTCCCTAGTGTTCACAATATTGAACACCATGAGTAAATAATGTTACTTAATGAAAATATGTAACATTAGTAAAATATGGATTGATTGGAAATATGTCCTCATGATAGACACCTGCATCGGTATTTAACTCTCTATGTGAAAGTACACACTAAACATTTTCAATAGTTAATTGAGAAGGCAACCATGGGAGAATATCATTTACCCCAGTATGGGAGAATGTCTGCACTAGCAAAAAAAAGACATTTTGGAATTTAGTCAGGAAATAAAAACAATCAGTATTGGGCCAGACGCGGCAGCTCACATCTGTAACCCCAGCACTTTCGGAGGCCGAGGTGGGCAGATCACCGGAAGTCAGGAGTTTGAGACCAGCCTGGCCTACATGGTGAAACCCCTTCTCTACTAAAAATACAAAAATTAGCCGGGTGTGGTGGTGCAATGACTGTAATCCCAGCTACTCCGGAGATTGAGACAGGAGACTCGCTTGAACCCGGAGGCACAGGTTGCAGTGAGCTGAGATAGTGCCACTGCATTCTAGCCTGGGTGACAGAATGAGACTCTGCCTCAAAACAATAATAATAATCAGTATTTTCATTGGAGGGCTTGTGTTTAGATAGCCACGTCTAAGAGGAGCTAGTGGACTGTCAGATGTACTGTTCAAAATGCTTTAAAAAAATAAGAGAAAAGGCATCTTTCCAAAAATATTCAAATAATTATTTTGATTTTAAAAAAGTGTCCTGAATTACTATTTATTATAAAATGATACTATGCTAGTCCTTAACAGCAACAAATACTTTGCATAGTTTTAATATACTGAAAGTTTACAAATAAAACTATATTATTAGATCATTTTATCTTAAATGAAAAATACTCATAGATAATTACTAATACCTCTGTAAATTAAACCATGATTGAGAATTGTTGACATTTTAATGTGATCTTATTTATTCTCCAAGGACCATAACAGGCAGATGTCCTACTAGAAAAATAAATATGAAAAAGTTTGTTTTGATGTTAAAGCTCCGTTGTCACTAATGTAAACCTTATTATTTTAGGTAAAATCTCAGTTTGTTTGTCACAAGATATTCATCATACTTAAAAAAAGTTTATGCTTCATTATTTTATTTATTAAGAATATTGTGTTTCACCTAGTCCTAGATTGCGATGTATATCTTGAACTATTATTATATATCCTTCTAGGAAGGAAATAATTCCACAAATTAAACTAAAAATGCTGGCAATTATAAGAAGCAATCCAAATTCAATGATGTTAAATGAAAAAAAAATATGTTAGGACTAATGAAATATGTGCTGGGCATTTTTGTTAGGTTGGATATATCATTGAACACAATCATTTCTTCACTTCTTTTGGTTTTGTTTCAATAAGAACAATGAAAGTGCTTATTGTTCATTACTATAACTGATTAAAATTTTAACAAATTTTAAGTTGTAAAAATGTTATACCATAATGACTCATATGGCATTCAATGCTAAAAGCAGGTTATAGGGCTAGCAAGATGGCCTAATAGGAACAGCTCCGGTCTGCAGCTCCCAGCGAGATCAACATAGAAGGTGGGTGATTTCTGCATTTCCAACTGAGGTACCCGACTCATCTAATTGGGACTGGTTAGACAGTGGGTACAGCCCATGGAGGGTGAGCCGAAGCAGGGTGGGGTGTTGCCTCACTAGGGAAGTGCAAGGGGTCGAGGAACCCCCTCCTCTAGCCAAGAGAAGCTGTGAAGGACTGTGATGTGAGGAACAGTGCATTGCATCCCAGACACTACACTTTTCCCACAGTCTTCACAACCCGCAGAACAGGAGATTCCCTTGGGTGCATACACCACCAGAGCCCTGGATTTCAAGCACAAAACTGGGCAGCTGTCTGGGCAGACACCGAGCTAGCTGCAGAAGTTTTTTTTTTTTCATACCCCAGTGGCACCTGGAATGCCAGTGACACAGAACCATTCACTCCCCTGGAAAGGGGGCTGAAGCCATGGAGCCAAGTGGTCTAGCTTAGTGGATCCCACCCGCAAAGAGCCCAGAAAGCTAAGATCCACCGGCTTGAAATTCTTGCTGCCAGGACAGCAGTCTGATGCTCCAGCTTGGTGGGGGGGAGGGGCTTCCACCATTACTAAGGCTTGAGTAGGCAGTTTTACCCTCACAGTGTAAACAAAGCTGCTGGGAAGTGTAAACTGGGCGGAGCCCACCACAACTCCGCAAAGCTGCTGTAGCCAGACTGCCTCTCAAGATTCCTCTTCTCTGGGCAGGGCATCTCTGAAAGAAAGGAAGCAGTCCCAGTCAGGGGCTTATAGATAAAAGTCCCTATCTCCCTGGGACAGAGCACCTGGGAGAAGGGGCAGCTATGGGTGCAGCTTCAGCAGACTTAAACATCCCTGCCTGCTGGCTCTGAAGAGAGCAGTGGATCTCCTAACACAGAGCTCAAGCTTTGCTAAGGGACAGACTGCCTCCTGAAGTGGATCCCTGACTCCTGTACCTCCTGACTGGGATACACCTCCCAGGAGGTGTCAACAGACACCCCATATAACAGAGCTCCACTGGCATCTGGTGGGTGCCCCTCTGGGATGAAGCTTCCAGAGGAAGGAAGAGGCAGCAATATTTGCTGTTCTGCAGCCTCCGCTGGTGATACTCAGGCAAACAGGGTCTGAGTGGACCTCCAGCAAACCCCAGCAGACCTGCAGCAGAGGGGCCTGACTGCTAGAAGGAAAACTAACAAACAGAAAGGAGTAGCATCAACACCAACAAAAAGGATGTCCACACAGAAACCCCATCCTAAGGTCACCAACATCAAAGACCAAAGGTAGATAAATCCATGATGAGGAAAAACCAGCACAAAAAGGCTGAAAATTCCAAAAACTAGAGTGAGAATTCTCCTCCAAAGGATCACAGCTCCTCACAAGCAAGGGAACAAAACTGGATGCAGAATAAGTTTGACAAATAGGCAGAAGCAGGCTTCAGAAGGTGGGTAATAACAAACTCCTCTGAGCTAAAGGAGCATGTTCTAACCCAATGTAAAGAAGCTAAGAACCTTGAGAAAAGGTTAGAGGAATTGCTAACTAGAATAATCAGTTTAGAGAAGAACATAAATGACCTGATGGAGCTGAAAAACATAGCACAAGAAGTTCATGAAGTGTACACAAGTATGAATAGCTGAATTGATCAAGTGGAAGAAAAGATATCAGAGATTAAAGATCAATTTAATGAAATAAAGCATGAAGACAAGATTAGAGAAAAAATAATGAAAAGGAATGAACAAAGCCTCCAAGAAATATGAGACTATGTGAAAAGACCAAACCTATGTTTAATTTGTGTACCTGAAAGTGATGGGGAGAATGGAACCAAGCTTGAAAACACTCTTCAGGATATTATCCAGGAGAACTTCCCCAACCTAATAAGACAGGACAAAATTCAAATTCAGGAAATACAAAAAATACTACAAAGATACTCCTTGAGAAGAGCAACCCCAAGACACATAATCGTCAGATTCACTAAGGTTGAAATGAAGGAAAAAATGTTAAGGGCAGCCAGAGAGAAAGGTCGGGCTACCCACAAAGGGAAGCCCATCAGACTAACAGCTGATCTCTCTGCAGAAACCCTACAAGCCAGAAGAGCATGAGGGCCAATATTCAACATTCTTAAATAAATGAATTTTCAACGAAGAATTTCATATCCAGCCAAACTAAGCTTCACAAGCAAAGGAGAAATAAAATCCTTTACAGACAAGCAAACGCTGAGAGATTTTGTCACCACCAGGCCTGCCTTACAAGAGCTCCTGAAGGAAGCACTAAACATGCAATGGAACAACCGGTACCGGCCACTGCAAAAACATGCCAAATTGTAAAGACCATTGACACTATGAAGAAACTGCATCAACTAATGGACAAAATAACCAGCTAACATCATAATGACAGGATCAAATTCACGCATAGCAATATTACCCTTAAATGTAAATGGTCTAAATGCCCCAATTAAAAGACGCAGACAGGCAAACAGAATAAAGAATCAAGACCCATCAGTGTGCTGTATTCAGGAGACTCATCTCATGTGCAAAGACACACACAGGCTCAAAGTAAAGGGATGAGGAATATCTCCCAAGCAAATGGAAAGCAAAAAAAAAAAAAAAAAAAAAAAAAAAAAAAAAAAAAAGCCAGGGATGCAATCCTAGTCTCTGATAAAACAGACTTTAAAGCAACAAAAATCAAAAAAGACAAAGCAGGGCATTAAATAATGATAAAGGGATCAATGCAATAAGAAGAGCTAACTATCCTAAATATATATGCACCTAATACAGAAGCTCCCAGGTTCATAAAACAAGTTCTTAGAGACCTACGAAGAGACTTAGACTCCCACACAATAATAGAGGGAGATTTAACACCCCACTGTCAATGTTAGACAAATCAATTAGACAGAAAATTAACAAGGATATTCAGGACTTGAACTCAGCTCTGGACCAAGTGGACCTAATAGACATCTATAGAACTCTCCACCCCAAATCAACAGAATATACATTCTTCTCAGCACCACATCGCACTTACTCTAAAATTGACCACATAATTGGAAGTAAAACACTCCTCAGCAAATGCAAAAAATGGAAATTATAACAGTCTCTCAGACCACAGTGCAATCAAATTAGAACTCAGGATTAAGAAACTCACGCAAAACTGCACAACTACATGGAAACTCAACAACCTGCTCCTGGATGACTACTGGGTAAATAATGAATTAAGGCAGAAATAAATAAGTTCTTTGAAACAAATTAGAACAAAGACACAATGTACCAGAATCTCTAGTACACAGCTAAAGCAGTGTTTAGAGGGGAATTTATAGCACTAAATGCCCACAGGAGACAGCAGGAAAAATCTAAACTGACACCCTAACATCACAATTAAAAGAACTAGAGAAGCAAGAGCAAACAAATTCAAAAGCTAGCAGAAGACAAGAAATAACTAAGATCAGAGCAGAAGTGAAGGAGATAGAGACACAAAAAATACTTCAAAAAAAAATCAATGAATCCAGGGGACAGTTTTTTGAAATGATTAACAAAATAGATAGACTGCTAGCCAGACTAATAAAGAAGAAAAGAGAAAAGAATCAAATAGACACACCCAAAAAATGATAAAGTAGATATCACCACTGAGCCCACAGAATACAAACTACCATCAGAGAATACTATAAATGCCTCTACACCAATAAACTAGAAAACCTAGAAGAAATGGATAAATTCCTGGACACGTACACCCTCCCAAGGCTAAACCAGGAAGAAGTCGAATCCCTGAATAGATCAATAACAAGTTCTGAAATTCAGGCAGTAATTAATAGCCTATCAAAAAAAAAGCCCAGGACCAGACAGATTCACAGCCAAATTCTACCAGAGGTACAAAGAGGAGCTGGTACCATTCCTTCTAAAGCTGTTCCAAACAACAGAAAAAAGAGGGACTCCTCCCTAAGTCATTTTAAGAGGCCAGCATCATCCTGATACCCAAACCAGGCAGACACAACAAAAAAAGAAAATTTCAGACCAATATCCCTGATGAACATCAATGCAAAAATCCTCAATAAAATACTGGCAAAACGATCTGCCAGCATATCAAAAAGCTTATCCACCACGATTAAGTCAGCTTCACCCCTGGGATGCAAGGCTGGTTTAATATATGCAAATCAAAAAATATAATCCATCACATAAACAAAACCAATGACAAAAACCACAAGAATATCTTAATAGATGCAGAAAAGGCCTTCGATAAAATTCGACACTCCTTCATGCTAAAAACTCTGAATAAACTAGGTATTGATGGAACATATCTCAAAATAATAAGAGCTATTTATGACAAACCCACAGCCAATATCATAGTGAATGGGCAAAAGCTGGAAGCACTCCCATTGATAATTGGTACAAGACAAGTATGCCCTCTCTCACCACTCCTATTCAACAAAGTATTGGAAGTTCTGGCCAGGTCATTCAGGCAAGAGAAAAAATAAAGGGTATTCAATAGGAAGAGAGGAAGTCAAACTGTCTCTGTTTGCAGATGACATGATTGTATATTTAGAAAACCCCATCATCTCAGCTCAAAATCTCCTTAAGATGATAAGCAACTTCAGCAAAGTCCCAGGATACAAAATCAATGTGCAAAAATCACAAGCATTCCTCTACACCAATAATAGACAGAGAGAAAAATCATGAGTGAACTTCCACTCGCATGACTACAAAGGGAATAAAATACCTAGGAATACAACTTACAAGGGATGTGAAGGACTTCTTCAAGGAGAACTACAAACCACTGATCAAGGAAATAAGAGAGGACACAAACAAATGGAAAAACATTCCATGCTCATGAATAGGAAGAATCAATATCGTGAAAATGGCCATACTGCCCAAAGTAATTTATAGATTCAATGTTATCCCCATCAATCTACCATTGACTTTCTTCACAGAATTAGAAACAACTACGTGGAATTAAAAAAGAGCCTGTAGAGCCAAGACAATCCTAACCAAAAAGAACAAAGCTGGAGGCATCATGCTACCTGACTTCAAACTATACTACAAGGCTACAGTAACCAAAACAGCATGGTACTGGTACCAAAACAGATATATAGACCAACTGAAGAGAACAGAGGTCTCAGAACTAACTCCACCAATCTCAGCCATCTGTTCTTTGACAAGCCTTACAAAAACAAGCAATGGGGAAAGGATTTCCTATTTAATAAATGGTGTTGGGAAAACTGGCTAGCCATATGCAGAAAACTGAAACTGGACCCCTTCCTTACACTTTATACAAAAATTAACTCAAGATGGACTAAAGACTTAAATGTAAGACCTAAAACCATAAAAACTCTAGAAGAAAACCTAGGCAATACCATTCAGGACGTGGGCATGCACAAAGACTTCATGACGAAAACACCAAAAGCAATGGCAACAAAAGCCAAAATAGACAAATGGGATCTAATTAAACTAAAGAGTGTGTGCACAGCAAAGAAACTATCATCAGAGTGAACAGGCAACCTATGGAATGGGAGAAAATTTTTGCAATCTATCCATCTGACAAAGAGCTAATATCCAGAATCTACAAAGAACTTAAACAAATTTACGAGAAAAAAACAACCCCATCAAAACGTGGGCAAAGGATATGAACAGACACTTCTCAAAAGAAGACATTTATGTGGCCAAACAAACACATGAAAAAAAGTTCATCACCACTGGCCATCAGAGAAATGCAAATCAAAACCACAATGAAATATTATCTCATGCCAGTTAGAATGGCGATCATTAAAAAGTCAGGAAACAACAGATGCTGGAGAGGATGTGGAGAAATAGGAACACTTTTACACTGTTGATGGTGTAAATTAGTTCAACCATTGTGGAAGACAGTGTGGTGATTCCTCAAGGATCTAGAACCAGAAATACCATTTGACCCAGCAATCCCATTACTGGGTATATGCCCAACGGACTATAAATCATTCTACTATAAAGACACCTGCACACATATGTTTATTGCAGCACTGTTCACAATAGCAAAGACTTAGAACCAACCCAAATGCCCATCAATGACAGACTGGATAAAGAAAACATGGCACATATACACCATGAAATACTATGCATCCATAAAAAAGGATGAGTTCATGTCCTTTGCAGGGACATGGATGAAGCTGGAAACCATCATTCTCAGCAAACTAACACAGGAACAGACAACCAAACACCACATGTTCTCACTCATAAGTGGGAGTTGAACAATGAGATCACAAGGACACAGGGAGGCAAACATCACACATCAGGGCCTGTCGGGGGTGGGGGGCTAGGGGAGGGATAGCATTAGAAGAAATACCTAATGTAGATGACGGGTTGATGGGTGCAGCAAACCACCACAGCACATGTATACATATGTAGCAAACTTGCATGTTCTGCACATGTATCCCAGAACTTAAAGTATAATAATAATAAAACAAAAGAAATGAGAAACCTGAATTTCAAAGAGATTATACAACTTATCTAAAGTCACTGATTTAGCAAGTCTACGCCCTTGCCACTCTACTTGGTGGACACACCTATGAGGACACTGCCATTCAGACTGAATTGAACTTCCTCTATAAAATTCTGGGGATGACAAAGGTAACCTCATGTAACCAGATCAAATAAAATAATGTATGCATTAAAAAAAGAAAATATTTTTAAAAAGCAGGTTTATAAATAATAAAAAAATTGGGATTGATTTCAAGTTTTTACAAACAGATTTGTTCAGATAACTTATACTACATGTAATAACATGGAAAATGTACATGTTATATTAGAAAGTGAATATAAAAGTATGTTAAGTATATACGTAAAAATACTATAGGGTATAATTTCAACTTTATGAAAATAAAAAATAAACTTTGTGCTTAGGAAATAGATTAGAAGGATATACACCAAAATGAGATTGTGAGAGAGGAGGAAGAAAAATATACCATCGGGCAGGCAGTTTAGGTGGGTCCTCAGTTGAATCCTTTCAAACAAAAGAACAGCCTGAAAGCACAGATGAGAGAACTTGCACAGTGTGGCTTGGCTAAAGAAGGGCTACACAGGTGACTTGCTCAGACATGCCTGCAATGGAAAACTCTGTCCCCTGACACATATACAGTAAGGGAAACAAAGCTATATAAAGTAACTCAAGCTAAGGGCCCACATGCACACTAGGAGGATGGGGTGGAGCTGACAGAAATTTGCTCCTTATGCAAATGAGATGCTAGGCCTCATCATTTTCTTATAAAAGCCTTTGCATTCAACTGTAAAAACGGCAACCACTTCCACTTCCGGGCCCCCTACCCACTGCAGAGCTCTTTCTTCTCTCACTTATTAAAACTTTTGCTCCAACCTTAGCCTTTGTGTCCAGGCTCCTTAATTCTCTTGGTCCTGAGATAAAGAACTCCAGCCTGACACTTCACAATGAGAGACTGCTACATTGTGGTGCATTGGCAAGACTGTAACAATTGTATTAATTATTTGGCCAGCAAGTGAGATCTCTTCATTCTAGTTTTTGCTATTGTGAATTTTCTTTGCTATGTTAGAAAAAGATTAATCTTCTACTGTTTTAATAGCTTATGAAAAGTAAATAACACATTTTGGAAACAACTGTATAAAATACTTAAAATCCTGGAAATTGAAAGAATAACCCTAAATGCTCCACAGCATAGAATTGTTTTAGAGTTTTCATTTCCCAGCATTCTGGAGGTTGAAATTTTCCTTTACTTATCAAATTTAAGTCTTCCAATTGTTATAAAAAAGCAGTAATAACTAAAGAAGTAAAATTTTATAAAATTTAGAAATATATATGTAAACATAATGAAACTTTTGAATTTTTAAATAAGTATTTCCTAAAAGGACATGTTTTAAAATTCATACTTAACATAAAATGAGAATTTGGACAGTCATTAATGCCATCAGACTGTAAAACTCTAATATAGGGGAATGGCGACAAAATTAGTGACTTATCTCAGTGTTTGAATGTGAAAGTGAAATATCTCCCAAATATGTCTCCAGTTTACTATGACACACTGAAATCTCATCATTACAGGTTGATTTCCAGCAATAACAGCATTCTGACTGTTTAGTACCAGTTATTTTCCAAAGTGACTTCAAGCTTTGGTGCATGCTTTGTGTTTTGGTGCAGGGTAGAAGGAAAGGACTAGTTCCTAACTGAGCAGAAAAAGAGGCTTAGGTAATATTAGGTAAATAGTTTATGCTTTAGGAGGGAGAATGGTAAGTCAAACAAACTTTTTCAGCTCACAGTTTTACCTAGGGAGCAAAATTTTAATATTATTTGAATTTGTGTAAAATTGGATTTATCTGTTTTTTGGAACTATGTGTTCCGTAAAACTTTCAAAAAAACTCAAAATCTGGATCTGAAATTTCCTTTGCAGGGAAAAACACTGACACAATTTATGTAATGAATATAGGACAATTTAGTTTCCTATTTATCCTGAGGTCAGTTTTTGTAATATATAATTTTCCAAAAACTTGTCTCTTTTATCTAATTTTTACATTTATTGTAACAAAGCTGTTTATAGTATTTTCCTATTGATTTTTAAATATTTTTATCAGCAGTTATATCTTCTTTTCCTTTTTCATCTGTAATATTGTTCACTTATACCTTATATTTTTCTTGATTTGTTTTGTCAGAGTTAGTTTGAAAATTTTATTAGTATTTTAAGGAAACAAATTTTAGTTTTCTTGTTATTTTGTTTTCTATTTGTGAAGACTAAAGCAAATCCATCCTGCATAATAATCCACTATGTTGACTTTTTTTTTTTTTTTTTTTTTTTTTTTTGAGACAGAGTCTTGCTCTTTTACCAGCCTGGAGCGTAATGACACAATCTCGGCTCACTGCAACCTCCACCTCGCTGGTTCAAGTGATTCCCCTCCCTCAGCCTCCCAAGTGGCTGGGACTACAGGTGCATGCCACCATGCCCAGCTAATTTTTTTGTATTTTAGTAGAGACGGGGTTTCACCATGTTGGCCAGGATGGTCTCGATCTCCTGACCTCGTGATCCTCCCATCTTGGTCTCCCAAAGTGCTAGGATTACAGGCGTGAGCCACCACACCCAGCCCATATTGACTTTTGATTAATGTGTATTCTGGGAAGGCCACTAAAATTTCCAGTTTTATTGTTTCTTGTATAAGAGCAGGTACTTGCCCGGGCACGGTGGCTCACATGTATAATCCCAGCACTTTAGGAGGCCGAGGTGGGTGGATCATCTGAGGTCAGGAGTTTGAGACCAGCCTGCCCAACGTGGTGAAACCCCATCTCTACTAAAAATACAAAAATTAACCAGATGTGATGGTGTGCACCTGTAGTCCCAGCTACTTGGGAGGCTGAGGCAGGAGAAACACTTGAACCTAGGAGGCAGAGGTTGCAGTGAGCCGAGATTGCACCATTGCACTCCAGCGTGGGCGATAGAGCAAGATTCTGTCAAAAAAAAAAAAAAAAAAAAAGCAGGTAGTTACTGTAAATCTTGCTCTTAGGTCAAAACAGCCTCAATGTTATCATGCTCCAATTGTCCTACATATCTCTTCTGAATCGCAAATACTCTTTCTCTGTGGTACGTAAGCCCTGGGTATAGGGGGTAATGTCGTGAGGATCCATCATCTTGTCTTGTCTCCATGGAAGGCACAGACATGGCCTCTACTTGTAAGTCTCCATTAAATATTCCTTTCTGAGAAACTGGACTTGCCAGCCTCTTTCTTCAGCCTCTCATCTCTCTCAGAATTTGGGGGTGGGTTTGCATAAGCCTGTGCACCCTTGACCACCATTTACTGTTTTTGATCTTATCTTTACCATTTCTTTCCTTCTACTTTCTTTTATTCCCTTTCTCTTTTTCTAAATTGTTAAGCTGGATTCTTAGCTCTTTAATATTCATCATTTCTTTGTTTCTAAAATAAGCATTTTAAGGCTAGATACATTTACTTCTAAAGTATCACATTAGTTGTGCCCTGTAAGTTTTAAGATGTAGTTTTTTTCACTATTATTTAGGTCTAGAAATTTTCTAAATTATATTAAAATAACCCATGAGTTATTTAAGTGAGTTATTTAATTACTTTGAAAACAATTCATGTGTTATTTTAAAATATTTTAAATTCTCTGTTTTTTAAAGTTACTGTTCTATTATTTATTTCTAACTTAATTTTGTTTAGAAATGTATTCTATAAAAATCTCAGCCTTTAAAATTTGTTACAAATTTCTTTATGACCTGGAACATGATCAATTATATTTTTTTGTCTGCTTAAAGGGAATATTATTCTGCAAATTTGAGTTTATTATTGTTTCTATATATTCATAAGATAGAATTTTTAAATTGTATCATTCAGATCTTCCAGCTTTACTCAATCTCTATATATTCATCAGATAGAATTTTTTAAGTTGTATCATTCAGATCCTCCAGCTTTACTCAATTTATTCCTTGGGTAATAGAAGTTATTAAAGAAAGCACATCAAAACTTCTGCCTTATTGGCAGATTTCTCAATTTCTGGTTGTACTGTGACCATCAAGTTTTATTTTACATTTTTTGAATATGTTCTTATATACCTCATTTTTGAGAGGTACAGGAAACTAAAGTCCAGAACTGTTATCCCAAATAGTAAGTGTTGGTTTCAAAATTATGAAAATATTACGAAGAGTAGGTAACCCTTTGAGCTTGGGCATAGTACTTTAGAACTAGAAAAAAAATTGCTATTTGTTGTATACTTTTACTTATGGCTTCCTATTATATGAAGATAATAGTAGCCAAGAATTAGCTACCATTTTAAAGGTTTTACAGAAATTAATTTAACTATACTCCTTATTGAACTGATTAATTATGAAACTAAAAAAGATACTAGGGGTTTCAAGCTTGTTTAAATGAGCCATTGATAATAATAGAATTAATTAATTCAGGTATATCCAGAAGATAGCTGTCATTTTGGAACCTTAGCAGGAGACAAACACACTCTTCTTCATAATATCTACTACCATGATATGGTTTGGATCTGTCTCTCCATCCAGATCTCATGGTGAATTATAATCCCCAGTGTTGTAGGCCGGGCCTGATGGAAAATGATTGGGTTATGTGGGTGGATTTCTCATGAATGGTTTAGCACTATCCCCCTGGTGCTGTTCTCATAATAGCGAGATCTGGTCGTTTACAAGTATGTAGCACCTGCCCCTCCACTCTCTATTTTGCTCCTCTCCTGCCATGTGACATGCCTGCTCCCCCTTCACCTTCCACCATTACTATATATTTCCTGAGTCTTCCCCAGAAGCTGAGCAGGTGTCAGCATCGTGCTTCCTGTACAACCTGTCGAATTTTAACCCAATTAAACCTCTTTTTTTAAAAAAAAAATAAAATTATCCAGTCTCAGGTATTTCTAGGAATGTCAGAATGAACTTACACATACCACATCCCAAAAGACCTTCCAGTGTGACAAAAGATGTGGAGGTGGAAGACAGCAATATTTGTGATCCTGATCTTGTGTAGACCTAAGCTCATGTGTATGTTTGTGTTTTAGTTTGTAACAAAACAATTTAAAAATTAAAAACAAAATTTACACAGGAAAAAGCTTATAGAATAAGAATATAAATAAGGATAATCTTTTATACAGCTGTACAATGTGTTCGTGCTTTATTCTGAGTGTTATTATAGTCAAGAAGTTAAAAAAGTTAAAAAGTTTATAAAATAAAATTTATTATTGAAGAAAAAATATTTGTATTTTATACATTTAGTGTAGTCTAAGTGTACAGTGTTTATAAAGTTTACATACAGTAGTGTACAGGAATGTACTAGGCCTTCACATTCACACCTTACTCACTCACTGACTTATCCAGAGCAACTTCTAGTCCTTCAAGCTTCATTCACGATAAGTGCCCTACACAGGTAGGGCACTTTTATACCACATTTTTATGCTGCATTTTTACTATACCTTTTTGATGTTATGTTTAGATACACAAATACTTGCCATTGTGTTACAATTGCCTAAGGTATTCAGTGCAGTATGCTTTACAGCTTTGTAGCCTAGAAGGAATAGGCTATACCATATAGCTTCAGCGTACAATAGATGCTGCCATCTAGGTTTGGGTTAAGTGCACTCTATGATGTTTGTACCACAATGAAATAATCTAATAATGCATTTCTCAGAGCATATCCTTGTTCTTAAGTGGCACAAGACTGTATAATAATTTGAAAATATGCTGTTTGTATGTTTTGTATCTTGATTATAGGTAAGAAACTACCAAAGTATAAAACATAGTGACTATATTTGTGGGAAGAAGATATACAGATCTTAATGTTTAAGTTATGAAGGTATCATCAGTTATAAAGGCAACAATTATATTGAGAGGAAAGGAGATGTGGGTGCTGTAAGGAAGCTATATCTTTATCCATGATAACAGAAAGTCAATAAGTAACGTTTAATTCATAATTAAAAAACAGAATCAGGTAAAAATCATTGCCACAGATGAACAAGAATCGAGGTTGGATGGGGAGTAAAGAGAAGGCATGGCATCCTTGTGCTTTTCATTATATGCCCTTCTAGTTTGTATATCTTTTCTAAAGATATATGTGTACATTATTTTGACTTAAAGCTTAAAAGTTTTAAAAAGACAGAAATAAATTAAAAGTTTCTATAATCGTAATGGAAATCTGTCATCCTTCAATTCTTTTGATTATTGCTTTTGCAAAGTGCAGTTAGATCTTATAGAGTGGAGGTCCCCAACCTTTTTGGCATGAGCAACTGGTTTCATGGAAGACAATTTTTCCGCAGATGAAGGGTTGGGGGAGGATAGCTTCAGGATGAATCTGTTCTATTTCAGATCATCAGGCATTAGATTCTCATAAGGAGCACGCAACCTAGGTCCCTCACATGCACATTCACAATAGGGTTTGTTCTCCTATGAGAGTCTAATGTCACCACTGATCTGACAGGAGGTGGGTGAAGCCCACAGCCTGGGGGTTGAGGACCACTGTTATAGAGTAAAGGAAAAAGGAACCACTGATCTCCAGTACTATAAACATTTGTTCCATCAACCAACAAGTGACCCTTACCAGGCCAATACATCAAATATAAGACAACATTCACACTAATTGTACTTTCAAATTTACTGTTTTAAAAATAAAATTTAACTCTCTTCCCTACCCCTTTATTTTTTTCTCCTTAGTCAGGTAATGGCCCATTATTTCACTGGGCCCATGACCCAACAACGAGCTGAAAAAAGCCTCCTGGACTTGACGTACAACTCTGGCAAGCAAGACATTCCTGCCTGCTTTGGGACAGACTCCATTTTTTTTTTTTTTTTTTTTGCTATTTTCTTTTGGCTTTTCTTTGGCTATGCACATTTAGAAACTGGACAATTGTGTCTCTTGGATTTGCTTCTCACTAGGCAGAGCTCTACGTTACAACCAATCAGTTATAATCTAAGTTCATTCCTTGTCTTCATAGGAATTATAGATAACGGGGTAAAGAAGGGTTATTTAATACATCAAGAGCATAGTGATTTTCGTCAAACAAGAACATAGACCAGATTTTCATTCTTGGCTTGAAAACACTTGATTCTTCCACATTATCTCAACATGTCAAATATCCCAATATTCCTGTGTTTTTTTGTTTGTTTGTTTGTTTTAACCTCAGTCATTCTGGTAAAAAACCTGAGACTTGTTCTGTTGCCTTGTTCTCATGAATCCCTGAATTCTTATGGGTTTATCTGCTGTCAATCACTGCTTATCTAAATCCTTCCTCCACACTGACATTATAGTGATCATTTTAATTGCAATCTATGTAATTCTCCTAAAATTCAATTAGACTTGCCTGCTTTTTTTTTTCTGAGAGTCTGATGCATTCTTTTCAGCATTCCATCACAGCAATTAACCCCGCACATGCATAAGAAGAATTATGATCCTGCTCCCTTCTCCTCAACCCTACACTAGGTTTTTGAGAATAAAGTCATTTAATAGATAAATAAACACTTGTAAATTCTATATCCATTAATTAAAATTTATATAGTGCCTACCACATGCCAAGTAGTGTTTAAAGGGCTGAGGGTACAGCAGTGAATTAGAAAGAGAAAGGGAAGACAGACAATAGGAAAAACAAAACACATGTACATGTTAGTTGGTAATAATTACTGTGGAATAAAGGCAGGGTGAGAGGGAAGGAGAGTAAGAAAGGAGAATTGCTAGTTTATGAAGGACCTGAAAGGTCTCTGATAAATTTGCATTGTCATAGAAGTTGGAGGAAGTGAGGGAGTGGGGACAGAGCCATGATGTTACTGGAGCTAAGAGCTTCCTAGTTAGACAGAATACCAGGTGCAAAGGTCTTGAGATAGGAGTGCATGTAGAAAGTTGAGGAAGAATGACACCATTGTTGCCAGAGCAATGCGTGAAGGAAAGGTTGGTGGAGATGCAATTGAAGAGGCAGCTAAGTAGGTGGCCAGGCTTTTACTTTGACCAGAACAGATCATGATTGGCAGGTTTTGAGCAGAGAGGGACACAATCTGGTTTACATTTCCAAGGGATCTTTCCATTCTAGGGTTCCATGTTAGGAGAACATACCACGGAGTGGTAGAAGAAGGGAGGCTAGGAGAGGTGTTGGTGGGTTGGCCAGGGAGGCTGTTGCAAAGTGGTAAAACGAGGTTGGATCCTGGGATATATTTGAAGGCAGAGCTGACAGGGAATGATGATAAATTGACATGCCACACAGAACATGCAAATCTCACTACAAATGAGGGAAATTTGTAATCCTATCCTAAATAATGATTTCATGACAATAATCAATATTCACATTACTGTTGGTTCTGCTGAGGCAGTTGGTTTTTTTTTTGTGTGTGTGCATCAATGCACTTAGGTAATGGTAATTCACTTTCAGCCTACAAATCACAGAGACTCAATCAGCAGCTAAAACACAGTCTATACGTCATAGAGTTGGAAAGTGACTACAGACAGAAAGACTGACAGATGGCCAGAATGAAAGCAAGGAACACAGCCAAATTCACCTAAGATAGGTGAAGATGGTTTCAGAATTATCAGTTGTACAAGTGCCAGAAGAAGATATTCTTATAGAAGTATGGCTTCATAAATATAAAGGGTTATTTGTAATGAAGTTGTGGTTAATAAAAGCATGAGCTATAACATAAGATTACTCTGGCTTCACTATTACAAGCTGGTTCACTTTGACCAAATAACTTAATCTCTTTAAATCTTAGCTTTCGTATCTGTAAAATAGACATATGTGATCCTTGTGATTTATAGGTTTGTGATGATAAAAGAAATAATAATGCATGTAAAGCTCATCCCAAGCAGATGAACATTTAATAATTCTTGCCTACTATTAATGGTAAAGACAGACTTTTTTTTCCTGATAGGCTGAAGCGAGGAGGAAACCACGGACAAAGATTTTGGCAGGAAGAGAATATCAGAGCTTTCCATGTGAACAAGGAACTGCATTAGACCACATGGAAAGTCCATGTGCTTCACACTTCAATCAATCCTCACAAAACACACTTTCCCATGCTGTGAATTCATTTAGTCCACCATGAAAGCAATAAGAGAGAAGCTATAAAATCATAATTGCCTGCCTCGCTGCTGTGTCCGTCTTTCAAAAAGTCAACAGAGCTGTTATTTTGATTTAGTTCTGAATAAAGACTGATGAAATGCAAGGGGTGGGGAAACCTGGGAAAAAACTGACCATTTTCACTTTAAGATATTTACAGTCCAGGGAAAAAGTACGGCCATAACTGTAGACATTAAACTTCAGAGTGGCAGTTAAAAAATGCACATGGATTGGGTACAATTTCTTGATCAGAGATTCTATAAAGAGTGAGAGATAGGCAACTACAAAATACAGAATTCCAATAATGAAAAAACAATTGTACCAATGAAGAAGAAAATTAGAGAGTATACTAAATGATTGCTGCACAGGGAGTGCTGAGCTCTTATGATAAGAGTACACAGCTAAATTGCAAGGCAGAACAAATCACAGATGTTACTGAGAAGGACAATAATTGTACCAGCTGATGTAATTGAGATGGAAAAAGACATGGACAGGTTGAGAAATTTTACTTACAGAAACACAATGAAATTGAATAGGAATATTTATGAAATGGGAATATGAAAAGTACATAATGTTTGTATAGAGATGTAAAGTACATATACCATATATTCCATATCATATATTCTATATATACTAGAATTTGTATAGACATGTAAAGAATATATCATATATTCTAGTATATATTTCTAGAATATACATTCTTTACCTATCTATACAAATTTATATAGGTATTACATATCTAGACCATTTTCAACATATCTATATCTATTCATATTTTTATATATGAATTATATGATATATATGGTTCATATTTATATATATGATTTACATATATATATAGTGTAGACCTATAAAAATATAATATTGCACTCAAAAGTAATAAAGTCAATTGACAAGTATAGAAATAGGCCTGGCTTAATAGAAACTCCTCTGAGAAAGACCGCTGGGGATAAGCTGGTAGTAAGCTCTCCCTATGCCAACAGCGCGTGGCAGCTGTTCAAAAAGCAAATGCAAACTCAGGATGCATTAATCGAGGCACAGCAGGAAACGTGCTATCCCTGTGTTCTCACATTGATTAGAAAACATTTGGAGTATTGGGTTCAATTCTGGAAAAGACTTAGAGAAAAACTCTAGATCTCCAGAGGAAGGTGGCCAGAATGATGACGTATCTAGACATCATGTCGGATGGAAATGGTTGAAAAGATTTAGACAATTTAGGCTGAACAAAGAAGATTTATGAGGTTTACATGTTGTTCTTTAACTATTTGAAGGGTAATGGTGTGGTGTGGAAGTAGGATTAGGTTTACTTTGTATAAGTTCAATTTTGCAGAACGAGTACCAGTAGGCAGTGTTGTAAGATCATGTACGGAGTTATAAGGAAGCACTTTTTTTTTTTACTCACAAATATCCTGGATTTATTGGAACTGTTCCCAAGGGAATGGGCTATCTTGGAGGTAGTGAACACTTTCATTGGTGGTGTTCTGATAAATGCTGGATGGTCAGATAGAATCTACTTTATCTCATTTTCTTCTCACAACAATCATGAAGGAGTAAAGGTATTTTACTTTTATTTCACGGATAGGGAAATTACAGCTCACGAAGGTAAATTGGCTAGTTCTTGTTCTCAAAATTTAAATTGAATTTTCTCCCCCAGTGGATGAGATGTTTGAAGAACAAATATAAAATGACTCCAAATTTTAGGGACAAGATCAGGAAAAGACGAGACAGGTTAGAAAGTGTCACTTACTGCGAGGAAAGTTTATAAGATTCTAACCAGAGATAGATTAACTGGTTATAAAAGGCGGAAATAACTTTTGGGGAAGAAACCCTATTTATGACACAAATATTATTTCCGGATAAAATTAAGGTACTTTTCCATTATAATCAGGGAACAGTGGATACACAAGTTACATTGATGTTAATAAAAGTTGTGATAAAATGTCAAATACCTGATTTTAGAAAAGGTTCTAACATCTGTTGGAAGAACCTACTACAAAGATAACCCATAATAGGTACATCCTGGTCAAAGCACTTAGGCTTCAATTGCACATTGAACAGTTTGATTTTTAGCATTCATATTGATTTTTTGAAATCTTTCTTATAGTCTTAACAGCAATCACATCAGCATATTATCTGAAAAGTAACTGAAATTGTACCATCTTTATAGATTTTACTCTGGGAGACCTATTGCTCCTCTCTCTGTTTCCCTGTGCCTCCACCACTCTCTGGACACGTGGTAACCACGAGATAGTTTGCTTTAGCTCTCAGCCTAAACTCAGCTCTAAGTTCAGACAGAGCTCTCCCAGTAAGTCAAACCTAGCAGGCATATCCTTTATGAATTTACAATTTTTATTCTTTCATTCAAAATTTACTCATGAAGACACTTGGATAACAGTGAGTAAATCTTTCATCAGGTAATATCTTGCTTTCTTCCTCACCCACTACACACACACACACACACAGAGGACTAAATTGTGTCCCCCCAAAATTTATACATTGATACTCTAACTCAATGTGACAGCATCTGGACATATGGTCTTTTGGAAGAAATTAAGGCTAAATGAGGTTTTCAGAGCGGGACCCTAATCTGATAAAGACTGTGATCTTATACGAAGAGGAAGATATATCTCTTCTCTGCCATGTGAGGACAAGGAGGTGGATCTCTGCGATCCAGAAGACAGCTTCTCCAGAACCTGACCATGTAGGCACCCCATCTAAAACTCCAGCCTCCAGAACTGTGAGAAAATAAATTTGTGCCTTTTAAGCCACCCAATCTGTGATATTTTGTTATGACAGTGAAGCTGACTAATACACACATACACACACACACATACAAACACAAACACATTTACATGTACGTATGTATACACACACACACACATACAAACACAAACACATTTACATGTACGTATGTATACATACACACACACATACAGATCCATACTCTTTTTTACTTTTCTTTGCCCAATAAAAGTAAAACATCTTTCCTCTTTTCTTTAATCACTTTAAACTTTGTCATTAAAAAGTCAACAAACTAAAAAGTCACTAGCCATTATTCATAGCCAAAAAGCAGGGCTAGAGTTACATTCACATCAAAAAAAAAAAAAAAAAGGAAAAGCTTATGTTTTGAAGAGAAATTAGATATAATAAAGATCCAGTGTCATCAAGCTCTAAATACTTGAAAACGTCCTAAATTCCTCTTAATCTCCACACCATTTATTCTACCACTTCTAATGCTTTTCCCATCTAAAATACCTTTTCTACAGCTTGACAATCCTTATCTTTAACAGTATATCTAAATGCCTAATTCAGTCTTTCTAATGCGATCTGATCTCCCAGTATACAGTGATCTTTACATTCTTTGAACAACAATTTATTTGCATGTTTTCTTCACTTATTATCTATCTTGTCCTTTCTTTCCTCCTTTCTACCTTATATATTATACTTTCCTTAGCTTCCCGCTTGAGTCTGAGATGCTACATTATCCACGGTTTTTTTTTTTTTTTTTTTTTTTTTTTTTTTTTTTTTTTTTTTTTTTGAGACTGAGTCTCACTCTCGCTCTGTCACCCAGGATGGAGTGCAGTGGCACTATCTCGGTTCACTACAATCTCCGCCTCCCTGGTTCTAGAGATTCTCCTGCCTCAGCCTTCTGAGTAGTTGGGATTACAGGTGCCCACCACCATGCCTGGCTAATTTTTGTATTTTAGTAGAGACTGGGTTTTACCACGTTGGCCAGGCTGGTCTCAAACTCCTGACTTCAAATGATCTGCACGCCTCGGCCTCCCAAAGTGCTGGGATTACAGGTGTGAGCCACCATGCCCAGCTCATTATTCCTTTTTGTAAGCCTTTTAATACCTAACCCAAGGCTGATTAACTAAGAGTATTAAGAAAACATTAATATCATTCATTAGGGGGTGCAAAGCAAAAATAGTCTTAGAGACAAAATAGCAAATGAATTCATAATCTGTTATTCACTTTAAGCTTGAAAAAATAATGATTCACTTAAAAAAAATCTATCAGCTATGTGGTAGATTGTAAAAAAATGGCCATGAATTCCTCCCTATCCTACATGTATGCCACTTTGCAATGTAATTTTGCTGTTCCCATTGACCAGTAAAATCTATTTTTCTACCTTGTTAAATATGGTCTGGCTTTGTGACTTGCTTTGATCAACTGTATGTGTCAGAATTAAGTTCAGAGACAAGACCTCAAGTGGCCTTACAACTCTTGCTCTCTGCTTGAAACACTGCCTACAAACACATGGTGGCTGTGGGATTAATGACAGCCCTATGGCCTACTCAAACAACTCACAGGGCCGACATTATGTGTCCTTAGGGGTATGATGCAAGTAGGCCTGGGGATGACTGGGTCTCTATGACAATGAGACCTAAAAACCCTGGATACCCTATACACAAGGCCATCTCAGCACAGATTCAACTCTCATAAACCTTAAAAAAAAAAAAAAAAGCATACCCTTACAAGGAGAGACTACACTCCCTTTATGAAAGAAACACCTAATAATTGACCCACACTGAATACAGGTATAAGAAAGTGGGAGGAACTTCCTAAACTCTGAGAATGGTCTCCAGACAGAGACCCTCCTGGTCAGTTGATCATCTGACCCCCCGACTGTACCTGGCCCATGCCACTGGCCTGCTCCCCACTATCCATCTTACAAGAGCACTGCCAGAATAAACTGCTTGAGTATCAGAGAGTGTCTAAGACTCATCTTTGATATCTTTGATGTGAATTGGACTGAAGGGGAGAAATCACTCCTGGTAATGCTGGCTAATTAGGACCACCTTAGAGCCCCAAACATAATGAAACAATACTATTTGTAGTAGGCAAACTTTTAAGATGGCCTGCAATGATCCCTGCATCCTGGTATTCCTGTCCTTGTGTGATCCCTTCCCTTCAGTGTGGGGAGGGTCTAGTATCATATTTATGGTCAATAGAATGTGCAAAGGTAATTTGCTGTCACTTCCATGATTAGGTTATAAAACACTGTGACTTCTGTCTTACTAGCAGACTCTGTTGCTGGCTTTGATGAAGCAAGCTGCCACGTTGGAGATGCCCACATGGTAAGAATCTGAGGATGTTCTCCAGCCAACAGCAGTGAGGAATTAAAACTGTCTGTGCAACAACCCTCAAAGGACTGTATCCTGACAGCAGCTATATAAATAAGTTTGGATGTGGATCCTTGCCCAGCTGACCTTCAGTTGAGACCACAGTCCCAGCTGACACCAGGACTGCAACCTTGTGAGCAACTGTGCAGGAGCTAAGCCATTCCTGAATCCTGAGCCACTGACACTGTGAGATAGTAATGTTCCTGTTTTAAGTTTTAGGGTAATTTGTTGTGCAGCAAGAGATAACTAATATACTCTAGAAATATAAGGGCTAAAAGTTGTTGCTGTCGATATGTGGGTCTTTCTCATCTATTGTTTCTTAGCCATAAGAAAGAACATCATTCTAAGATGTACCCAGTCTTGCTAACATCCTTGGAGAACTCTTTTGAAAATAGGGATCAAATTTCCTTCATTTCACCTAATATTTTAGCAATACACAAACTAGAAGAAAAAAATAAAAACAAATTTGAAAAATAACTTCTTTGTAAGTTATAAACAACTCTTCAAAATTACTTCCCCTGTTACATAAACTCAATTCAAAATAAAATATCAATGTAATATTTTCTGTATAATTCTGTATTTTACTATATAAGTGCAAAGGCATATAATAAATTCTATAATTTTGGTCTATCAAGTAAATTGTTAATATAAAGCAATGTAACAATTGTAATTCCCAAATGTCCTCTATGAATTTTTCTTATTTTTATTTGCACATATTATGCAATTAATTTTATATTGTCATACTTCATTAAGATTTTTGTTGGCAACCAGATAAACATAGTCACGTAAAATCATTACTTAGAATAATTCTATATCCTTTTGTCATTCATTTATTTACTCATTATTTTTTTAAATTAGTTTAAGAATTTTATTTATTTATTAAACAAGCATTTATCAAACAATGACTATGATGAGGCAACTTGCAAGTTTTGGAAATCTGTATATAAGATAGAAAATGTGTACTAAATGGTTCCAAATAAGATGTACGGTGTTGAAATGCAGGTAAACACTCATGAAATTAACAAAAATTAATTGAAAGTCTATTAAATTGATATACAGTCCTGCTCCTGACAGTAAATCTACTAATTCCTTAGATGTACCAAGAATAAATTGATAGACTACTGTAGAATAGTTTTACGTTATTTAAATAATTTTTCCTTTGATTCTCATCTTAAGACTTGTTGAGTTTTTTAACAAAAAATAAACATTCCCTGACAAATATAACCTCCTAAATATAAAAAAATAAGTTTTGAGTTTCTTTTTTTTTTTTTTTTAAGACGGAGTCTCGCTTTTTCGCCCAGGCTGGAGTGCAGTGGTGCGATCTCGGCTCACTGCAAGCTCTGCCTCCCGGGTTCATGCCATTCTCTTGCCTCAGCCTCCGGAGTAGCTGGGACTACAGGCACCCGCCACAACGCCCTGCTAATTTTTTGTGTTTTTTAGTAGAGACAGGGTTTCACCGTGTTAGCCAAGATTGTCTTGATCTCCTGACCTCGTGATCCACCCGCCTGGGCCTCCCAACATGCTGGGATTACAGGCGTGAGTCACCGTGCCCTGCCTTGAGTTTCTTTAATTAAAAAGAAAAAGAGTTTGTTGACATGGATATAACTCAATGTAGTAACAAAAATAAAATTTCATTTCAATTACTAATTTTCAACTAACTCTGAAAATCATAAATATTATTCCAGTTACCTAAGGCATTGACTGTTGAATTCTGCATGGGCAGATATTCATATCACAAAGTATATTGAGGGTTGGGCAATAAGTGTTATTCATCTCAGCAGTCAAAACTGAATGTAGAAACTGTATTTATTTTTTAATCTAATAGTCATTTCTAATCCTTTTATTAATCCTGTAAGATAGCTGTTATTATAAATCTACTTTATACATGGAGTGACCCAAATTTCTGAACGATAACTAAATTGTTAAAGTTTACAGAATGAGCTAGTAGCAAAGCTGTGATTCATATCTGAGTCTGTCTTGCTTCATTCTTTGCTTTTTCATTCATATCATAATATAGATGGAGAATGGGTAAAGCTGATCTTTTATTACATCATTTGATTTAGAAAGCTCTGAAATTATTGAGTAAAAGCACAAAGGCCTTGCCAAAATCTGTTGTTGATCTTATTCTCAGTCTACTCAACATGCAAAGTTTTCAAGAATACACAAGAAAATGAATGTGACCTCTACCATAAATCCTTTAAGTTGATGGACAAGAATGAATCTCATTTCTAAGGAAGTCATCTCATCTAAATATAGAGAAAATGAGCCATAAACACAAGGTTTTAAAATATATATATAAAGAGAATTGTGAAACCACATCTGGAATATTGCCTACATTTGTCATTGTCATGCTACAAGAATATATAACACAAGTGTAAAAGACAAACAAAAATACAGTTTCTTTAAGATAACTAAAAAATAATATATTCTAGAGTAGAAAATAGAGGCCTGCTGGGTTGAGGGTGGCAGGGGAATTAGGAGAGGCACATGAAGTGAACATTAGGCCTTGTATAGCATCAAGGGGAAATGTGATTTCAAACAAGACGGAATAACAGAATCGAAATATTAGGCTTGACACTCACTTTTATATCCTTCTTGTTGTCCTTTTGACATTCTTTTACCTGCAGATAACTGCTGAGAAACCAACAGTTAAAACTTCCTGGACTATTCTAGAAAGAGAAAAAATTTGGTGACTCTAAGCCAGAAGAGAAGGCTGATAGTGGAGGCCATAATGAGTTTCATATAGATAAAGGGAAAGAATATGTATGACAGGAAGATATTATGTATTTCCATTGAGACAAGGGAAACAGGGAAGGTCAAATTTAAGAAGGGTGCCCTATGGGCTTAGCGACACAAGAATCATTTTTTCAATGGAATAATGTTTCAAAATTATACTCTGCCAGGCAAGTTGTTCTTATACTGGTTTAGGTTTAGTAGTACCCTGAAAGAGGGACAACCTTTCAATGACTTTTTCAGACCATGATTAAAATTGTTTACCGTTTTCTCATATCTTGCAAGATATGTATAAAATAATGATTCTCCCCTAATCTGACCTGGCTGTTTTAGCCTGGGAGTTTCTGTTTTACAGTCCTCTGTCCACAGAATTTCATTTTATAGTGCAAAAAAGCCAAAGGAGATAGATGATCTTGATAGTCTCCTATGCAACAGAGCTGCTCACTTCATTTAAATGGAAATGTGCATTTTCATGGAAATTCAGGCCAATATTGATGAACAAAGATAAGCTGCCAGTATTAAATAGAACAGTGATACACACACAAAAAAAGTACCCTAGAAAACTTATAAAAAACCAGTGAAATTTATAGGGAAAGAAGGAGAATGTTAAGAATATATGTACAGAAAAATTAAATTTTTATGGTTCAGTTGCACAGTATTTTGATGGTTAGTAGTTGAAAATCTCAGGACAAAGATTGAGGAAGACAGCCTGAATACATGTATCTCTAATGAGCATAGTGATTTAATATGAAATGATTAAGTGGCACATTATCTTTTACAAGTAAATATTAGCCATCTAACAAACATTGTTCAGTGAATGTGGTAAGAAATGTCACAGGTCAGGTGTGATATCATGCTTTTTGTGAAAATGTTAATGTGGCTGTTTTACATTTATTTCTGATAACTCATTTAAGAAAGATTTAATGATTGTATATTGTGCTTTTCCAACTAGAAATCTGAAAAGTAATCTTAACTGTTGCTTTGCATGCATGTCTTGCATCTATAAGAGACAGAGGTCTCGTACATTTTTCCTCAGAAATGAACTGTGAATCTAAGTACTCCTTGCCATTCCTACTGTCAATGCCTTAATTCTGCCTGAATATCCTGCACTTGACAATTGTCACAACCTGATATCTGGCCTCTCTCATCTTCTCTACCTCACTTCACCTCTGTCTAGCATCTAGACTACCACTTAAGTCACTTAATTTACATTTCCAAGGGGACTACCTAACAGACAAAGATGATGAAGAAATAGAGTCCCAGAAGAAACAATCAATAGCTGGGGAAAGAAAATAAAGGATACAAAACAATGTAAGAAAATATTTATAGTTACAAATTGGGAAAGTAACCAGTGGTACACAGATGTTACACGACTGGTTCTTCTTCAATTTGAGCAATGTTTTGTCCACACTGCTGCTATGGAATACGTTCACACTTCACACAGTCACAAAAGTAAAGTTTTAGAAACATGACTGCTATGGTTTGAATGTGTCCCCTCAAGTGCACACACTGGAAACTTAATCCTTAATACAACTGTGTTTAGAGGTGGGACCTTAAAGAGGTAATTAGATCATGAGGGCTCAGCCCTCATGACTGGATTAATGCAGCAGCCTCATAAAAGGGAGAGGTCAGCCCCCTTTTTCTCTCCCTCACCCATGTGATGCCTTCCACCATGTTATGATGCAGCAGGAAGACCCTCAGCAGATGTGGCCCCTCAATCTTGACTTCAGCCGCCAGGACCTTGAGCCTAAAAACTCTGTTCATTATAAACTACCCCATGTGAGGCATTCTATTAGAGCAGCATAAAAAGGGCTATAACAATGATCTAAAGGAATAAATTAACAGAGCAGTACGGCCAGGGGCGCAAGTTAGGTTATAATACTTTTGTCTCACATACCAGTTTTATTTTTGTTATTTTTCTGAATATGGACAGTAAAAGGACCCTTAGCATATTGTTTGAAAGCTGAAACAATCAAAGATGAATAAAGATTTAAAAAGAGACCCCAATCTATAGGAATAACTACATGGTTTAGATAATCTGTCTTTGCCAAATGAGATAAACGCCATTATGACTTATTAGAGTTCAGGGACAGCAGGTGGAAAAATGAAATTAAAATAATCTCTTTAGTAGTTATTTTTTGCTTTTGCAGTATCAATTATACTTTTTTAAGAGAACAATTTATATTTTACTTGAAAAAATATCTAAAAATAAAAGAAACATTTTATTTCTTCTTATTGTTTATACTTCAGATACTTGATTTTATCTCTCAACATTATGATTTCAGACACTGGCATTTTGTTATGCTGTAGCACAAAGGGCTAAAACAGAAAATGCTTCTCCTGTATCTATGTGAGTATTGGACAAGGCAGTATAAAAAGACATATCAGTTTTTCACAGGTGCAAGAAGAAGAAAGCCAAACATCGTGTGCAATGGAGATTATCCAACCTCCTCTCTTCTCTATCCCTTTGCTGTCTTAAGAAAACAAACTCCAAAGCTAAATGAATATAATTCAATCACTCTTCTCAATTATGCCTGCTGATGTGCTCTTTGTTCAGTGGAAGAAGACAGAGAATCTGGTTCCATTTCAGGTCCTTAATCTTTCTGATAAGGCAGCTTCTTTGGCTGAGAACATAAAGATTATGAACATAAAGGCCCTTGTGGCAGCTTTCAGAGGGAGACCCAGCCATGCAGGAGATGAGGTGATCTATGGTACCTAGGGAATGGAGTGAAATCAGGAAGAACTCTCTGCAAATGTGCCTGGAATTCTTGAGGTAGTTCTACTTCTCTGTGTACCCGGGAAACAGGATTAGCTTCATGAGTATGTAACTTGTGCAGTCACGTACAGCCTTGAGTTTAGGTGTGCCCTGTAGTTGGTTTAGTTCTCTGTTGTCACCGTCTTGAAATAACTAATAAATTTTTAACAAGGGACTCTGTATATTTCAGGGTATACTGGGCCCTGCAAATTATGTAGCTTGTCCTTCTGGAGGAAAAAGGACTTTGAAAGAAACAGAGGATCATCAGCTGCTTTCTTTTGGCCTTTGTAAAGACATGACACCTGGCTGGAATGGCCATGCTTGCATCTGTTCTGCTCTTTCCAAAGGATTAAACAAATCTCCAGCATCTAGAGGAGACCTATGTTCCCCATCAAGATCCAATATCCCTTGTCTATTTTAGGAAAACAGCCCCCCTGCATAAATGTATGCATTTTAGCTGCATGCATGGCAGCTGTCGGCAATTCCGTTTCCAAACTCTCTAGCAATTAAGTATGTCCATGTTATTGTTATTTGGACCATTGAGATGTGAATACTGTGTTTGGAAGTTTCAGGTGATTGCCTTAAAAGCAAAACCAGAGAGACAGAACTATTTCCTTTTCCTTCTCACAGTCAGGAAGGCAGATGTACTGGTGACCCAGCTTTGGTCATTTACAGGAGGATGGCATGCTAGGGGAAGGAAGAGCCAAGAACAGAAGGAACTTGGGCCTTGCAAGTCCCCCTGAATGACAGCTCCTCTGCCAGCATGGACTATTCACCTTGGGTCAAGCATCTGAAAGAGGAATAAATCTGTATTCTGGAGTCTGTTTGTTACATTGGCTTAGCCTCTGCCTTAACTAATGTACAGCATAAATTCCTGTGGGGTGATTTACAAGAAATTTGTATTTATTCAGGATAGTTGAATAATAAAATGTTCTAAGATTGGAAAATTCTACATAGGGAGAAATATTAATTTGCATTAAAATGACCTAAAACTACATTGAACCAAATTTTATCTTTGGTGATTCTCAGAACTTTTCTGTGTCTTGCAGAGGCTCATGGTCATCATTTTAAATACTATTATAATTATAGTGTATGTCTATACATGTTGGCGCTCAAGTAAATCTATAACCTTATGACAAACCCCTAAAAATTATAGTTTCATTGTAATTTATCTCTACTATAAAAAAAGACTATAGAATGTTAAAAGTAACTTTTGTGAATGTTGTCATTGTTTGGAAACAAATGGACACTAAATATACTTAAAAAAAATAACATATACAAGATCACTTTACTTCTCACTTGTTAAAACTTTTCAATGACCAAAACTGCCAAGATTTAAGATAGTATGTTGATAAACCAGTTACAAAGAAATTAAGGAATGTTTTGTTCAAAAGTGTAGATTTGACATTTACCTGCCCCAATGACTCTCTCAATACGAATTCTTGAGGGATCAATCTCCTTTGCAAATTCATGGACTGCTAGGGATGGGTCTTCATATGTATCTGGATCAATGTAAGTTTTAATTCCCGGGAAGCGCACTGCAACAACAATAACAAAACGATTGATTTAGTTTGAGTATCTCAGTGGTCTATATCTTGTGAACATTTAAAACCGGAAATGACATACTGAAGTAGTCAGTCTTGATAATGATTTAAAGTCTCTCTTTTCTTCCTGTCCCATATTAAAGCTTTGACTACGAGGGTCAAAAATTTATTTACCTCACTGTTAATGTAGAATGACCTGGTGGATTTCTAGAAAGTGAGCTGACAGGTTCCAGAAAACACATGTCTCATATTTCTATAAAATGTTTAATCAGCTCACTCATTCACTATGCTTCCAAAACATTCCACATCTGCTCTAGCTTGGGGAATGGGGAAAATGAGGCATAAGCCTCCCTCCAAAGCAAGGAAGCCCACTAGGTTCCTCCTGGACTCTTTGTACTCTACGGCACTAGGTTTCATGAACTCATGCCCTATTCCTGTGGTCTCCCCCTTTTCCAGAAAACCTCAAGCAGTAAAGAACTGACTTCATGGCATAGAAACAAGAAAGGCCAGTAGGGATAATGGCCATTTTTTGTATTCATGTAGTGGCTTCCATGGACTGACTGCATATAGTCCTGAATAGGATCAGCTTGTCTATCCTGGTGGGAAGGATGGAAATCAAAGGCCAAAATCTGGTCATTGGTTGTGTATCTGCTGAGCTTCATTGGTGAGAATGGAGGGCTCACAGCCTACAGGCAGTTAGGATGATGAGAAAGGATGGCTAGAAAACATTAATGTGTGGTTGTATGTCCATTTGTGAGTATCCGAAGAAGTCATAGACTGCCTCTGCCCATGAATATCCCTCTGTTTTGATCATTTATTTATTTCTCTGCTTTTTTTAGAGAAATGGCAGTCTTGCTATGTTGTCCAGGCTGGCCTTGAATTCTTGAGCTCAAGTGATCCTCCTGCCTCGGCCTCCTGAGTAGCTGGGAGTACAGGCACAAGCCACCAAGCTGGCTCATTAATTTCCATTTTCCATTTTAGATCTCTAGACAGGAGGTCATTTCTTATATATCTTTCTATCGTTCCGAATATCTTAGGTATGGTTTTACAGGCAATAATCACACAGAGAGCCTTTATTGAATACAAACTAGTAGGGATTAAAAGACCAATGTGAAATTTGTGGCAGAGTGGATGGTATTTGGTTTTGTTGCTTCTTAGATTTTGAAAGTCTTATAATACCCAGCGTTAACTGTTGTTTGACTCTCCTTGCAAAACATATAAACAAAAAAATCAAAAACAAACAAACAAAAGGTAATAAAGTTTAGAGGAGGTGCTGAAATGCCCAATATTAGCAGCAATTTGCTTCCTTAGTCCTTCTATGCCCATTGCCTTCATTTACACATTTTGTCTTCTGTCTTCTTAGTGCTGCATATGGACCGTGAGAAAATTAATATTTCTCAAATTAGCACCAGAAAAGCATATTTCCAGGTATACCCAGACCTGACACTAATTTTAACATGTCATGCTTTCCTTGACTTCTCAAAGCATCCATTGAAGAAAATGAGAACAGATAGTTTGTACCTCTATTTTATATTCCATATGATATTTTCATAACAACTTAGTAGAATTTGTGATTTCAGACTGAGTTCTATAACCTCAAACCTAGTAGCCACTACTAATTATTAGTGATATCTAATCAGATCTGTGGTCATGTTGATAATATTATGCTAGGCACAGATAACAAGCATCATTTATTAACTCATATGTGGTTTTAACTATTAAACTATTCAATTATTTAAGGTGGTACACATTTCTATAGAATAAGATCAGTAAATATCACATTTTTTTCTTATAAACATATGTGTAGTAAAGAGGAAAATAAACAACCAAACTGAATTCCAATTTTGAATACCTGGTTACTAATTTAAACTTATCAACGTCTTCTTAAACATCAGTTGGTTAACTTTCTTCTACCTCCTTGGCTGTCTCGAGTTATTTTCATCGCTTCATGCTGGGCCCATCTGGTTTGGTTTATGCTAACCTACCTCTTGGAAAACAGATAATAAATGCCTCAGGAGCACCTTTTCCCTCTGCATAGCAGTACTAAATGCCCTGCAGTGAATCTTAAGGTTGCCCTGCGTTAAGTCATCAGCCCAGGTGTCTGGATCCAGGTTTCTGCAATCTGTTTACAGCCTTTCCATGTTATCCCATGCCAGATATCAGTTCTCTCAGCTCTGCCAGTGCAGTAAGAGTCAGACTTACTGTATAAAAGTTCCTCACAGGGGGCGGGGCCGGGGCGGTGCGGGGCGGGGCCGGGCGGCCGTTGAAGGCAGGGGGCGGGGCGTCTCCAAGCGGCGGGCCTAGGGAGGGCGCAACAGCTGCTCCCTGAAGACTTTCTGACCCAACAGTCCCCCAGCGCCGGACGCGCCGCGCCCCGGCGGCTCTAGGGACCCCCGGGCCTGCACTTAGCCCCGCGCCGGAGGAAGAACCGGAACTATGGTTTGTGCCTTCCTTATTGCCTCTGAAATATTTTTAACTGCAAAGGAAAGCCTGTATTATTTTGGAGAAAGGCGAACAGATAAAACCCACAGCAAAAAATTTCAGGGAGTAGAAACTCCTTCTCAGAATAGCTATGTTGGATATTTTGCACAAGTGAAACATCTCTACAACTGGAATCTCCCTCCAAGACGGATACTCTTTATGAAAACATTCATTATTTATTCAATTCCTGGTTATGTACGTGATCTAAAAGTCCAAATAGTAATGGAGAAAAAGGTTGTCTTTTCCAGTACTTCATGAGGAAATTGTTCGGCTGGAGTGCAGTGGCGTGATCTCGGCTCTCTACAACCTCCACCTCCCAGCCACCTGCCTTGGCCTCCCAAAGTGTCGAGATTGCAGCCTCTGCCCCGCTGCCACCCCGTCTGGGAAGTGAGGAGCCTCTCTGCCTGGCCGCCCATCATCTGGGATGTGAGGAGCCCCTCTGCCCAGCCACCCAGTCTGGGAAGTGAGGAGCGCCTCTTCCCGGCCGCCATCCCGTCTAGGAAGTGAGGAGCGTCTTTGCCCGGCCGCCCATTGTCTGAGATGTGGGGAGCGCCTCTGCTCTGCCACCCCGTCTGGGATATGAGGAGCGCCTCTGCCCGGCCGCCCCATCTGAGAAGTGAGGAGTCCCTCCGCTCGGCAGCCGCCCCATCTGGGAAGTGAGGAGCCCCTCTGCCCGGCCGCCACCCCGTCTGGGAGGTGTACCCAACAGCTCATTGAGAACGGGCCATGATGACGATGGCGGTTTTGTCAAATAGAAAAGGGGGAAATGTGGGGAAAAGAAAGAGAGATCAGATTGTTACTGTGTCTGTGTAGAAAGAATTAGACATAGGAGACTCCATTTTGTTCTGTACTAAGAAAAATTCTTCTGCCTTGGGATGCTGTTAATCTATAACCTTACCCCCAACCCCTTGCTCTCTGAAACATGTGCTGTGTCCACTCAGGGTTAAATGGATTAAGGGCGGTGCAAGATGTGCTTTGTTAAACAGATGCTTGAAGGCAGCATGCTGGTTAAGAGTCATCACCACTCCCTAATCTCAAGTACCCAGGGACACAAACACTGCGGAAGGCCGCAGGGTCCTCTGCCTAGGAAAACCAGAGAACCCTTGTTCACATGTTTATCTGCTGACCTTCCCTCCACTATTGTCCTATGACCCTGCCAAATCCCCCTCTCCGAGAAACAGCCAAGAATGATCAATAAATACTAAAAAAAATAAATAAATAAAAAGAAAGAAAAAAAAGAAAAATTCTAATTATACTTAAAAAATAATAATAAAAAATAAAAGTTCCTCACTTAAATCCTTTCCCTTTCCTGGAGGGTGGTATAGATTGAAATGTCCTTTATTATCTTTTGCTCAATTTGAAATAAAAGATAAAACAGTTAAGTTGCCTTGCATATTATCTCTACACTGTGGTTAATTAGAGAACATCCCTTTCTTGTTAATTCAGTGTCTCACAATAGAAAAACTGTCTTGCTGAAGTAGTTTGCAATTTGGAGGTGGAGGTGGAGGTGGATGTTGAGGAGGAGAAGTTGTCAGTTATCAAACCAGCTATAGTGGTAATTATAGGTTGCTTGGGAATAGATCTCTCAAATGAATATAACCTTGTAGTCAGCCCAAGGATTTCATACATATTCTAAGAGTTAAAGAGCTGATATTCTTTTTTAGTATTAATGAATTGTAAATTGATTTGTTATATATTTAAAAGACAGTCCCTACAAGAAGGAATAAAGATTCCCTAATATTTATTTCTATGTCTAATGTTCCACTAGATAAAATCAACTCATGTTTTAGAGCCATTGTGAGTGGTAAATAACTTGATAAAATCAGTCAACTATTATTTTTAGCAAATTCAGTCTGTTGTGTTTTCCAGCAAGCAGAATTGGGAACAAGGTAATGTTATTTAATGAGAAGCAGGTGCAACTTTCACCAACAAACCTGGAAACCAGATGAAAATTCTTAATGCTGAAAGGTTGGAAGTGATTTTTTTTTTCTTTTTTTCTCAACTCAATAGATACAGTTTGAATGAACTCCTGAAGTGCTGGAACAGTACAAAATAATGAAAGAAAGTCCCTGCGCTACTTACAATGCCCATTCTGTAAGTGGTTTCTTCTCTTCTCTTCTGACTTCATCTTGGCTTTTATGTACCACTGACATCTTTTAAAAAGATTAAAAAAAAAAACTTGTTTTAAGAAGTATGATGCATACAATGCAAAACCAATTAAAATACATATAATCTATGAACAAATTTCTTGTCATAAAGACCACTTTTAAAATATCTTTATAACGTGAAAATATTCTATAGTAGGTTTTTTATGTACACTGAAATTAGCCCTAGAATAAAATGCTGTTAAGTAGATGGATTCGAAAGATAGGAGTCTTAGAAAATATTTAATAATCTGCCATAACCATCCCTTACATGACTACTAATAGCTAGAGTTGGTAAAAAGAAAATTAAAAGTCAAAATAAAAAAAGCATTTTGAGTCAGAATTTCAGAAATGTATACAACTGTCTTCCATTTTCACTGCTAAACAGCAGGATGGTTCAGCAGTTTTATTTTTTAATATTTGGAATTTGGTAGAGGCATGTTCTAGTCTCCCTCTGGATAACCATGCTCTCAAGATTTCTTCAATATGAGTAAATTCTTCAACATCCATATGATTTGATGGTTTATCAAATTTCTAATGGCTAAACAAAGTACGTCTGTGTTACATAATTCAGTCTTTCAATGGGAATTTTGCCTCGAATTCTATGGCAAGTTGAGCATTTATTCAGAAATGTCTTACAGTTTTCATAGAATATTTTCCAATGACTGCTCCCCTACCAAAGTGCTTAAGCAATACTTCAAAATATTTTTTTTTCTATTTTATGTAATTGAAATTGTTCTCTTCATTGCATGGAATGTTAAAGCAATTTCTAATGAAATATAAATTGGCAAACATAGAAACTGAAAGCTGAAAATAATTTAGCACAAATTTTTCTTCATCATTAAATTCTCCTTTGAAGTGGTATATCTATTCTGCTCCAGGAATCCCAAATAAAGATAATATTTGAGCCCAACTCTCAAGTTTATTAGGCAATACTTATTTAGCCTGCAAAGATTGAAATGTTTTCTTTTGTGTTTGTCATATTTATGTGTTAAGGAAATATTTTCTGATGCCTTAATGAAATGCTTTGCCACATGTGTATGTGCTATTTAAATCACTGTTTACTGAAATACTCTATGAAAAAATAAGGCCTTAACTTATGTTCTACAAGATACATATAACTGTATCCAATTTTGCAATATAGTGAATCATTATTAAATTTCTTTTAAACGTCCAGAGGATTTTTTTCTATTGTAAATAATGTAATACTGATGTTAAATAAAATCACATTTAAGAAATTACTCCCTCCATAAACATATGTGTGCACATGTACCCTAGAACTTAAAGTATAATAATAAGAAAAGGAGATTACTCCCTCCTTCAAAGAAACTTTGAAAATGGAAAACAAAAATATTTCTGAATCAAAATCAACCATCATACCTATTTTTTCACAGTATAGTTACATGATAAATTTGTGTCTTTGTAGTTAAGAGCTCCTTAAAGTACAATGGAATGCCATTGTACTTTAAAAACTAAATAAACTTTCTGGGCTCCAAAGCAGATTGTCCTTCATGATAATTAGAGTATTATAAAGATATCAGTGACCCCAGTTCAAAATGCATGGGCAGCATTAATGTTATAGAGGGTAAGGAATATACAGTAAGGTTTATTCTTCTATTTAACATTTTCCTAATAAAGTTTACTAAACACGTAGCAATGCTAAAGTAGTGGCAATTTGATTTTCTTAACCAAATTGTCATTGTGACTTTACATACAACAAAATACTTTTATTTTCTTTTTTCCTTTCTTTTTTAAACTTGCGCCATTAACCCTCACTGAAACTTCCTCTCTCTCTTTCTCTCCTTCCTTTCCTCCCTCCCTTCCTTCCCTTCCTCCCCTCCCCTCCCCTCCCCTTCCCTTCCCTTCCTCTCTCTTTCTCTTTCTCTTTCTCTAACCATAACTGTCTTGTAATCCCTCTCTTTGCCAGAGTCCAAAATAGTATGGGAATAATTTTAATCTTTCTCAGAAAACTTAGACCTCCACCAGGATGTTTAGGGGTTTTGTTTATTTTTTATAATCACTTTATTCTGGCTAGTGATTCAAGTTTTTGTAGGCCATGTTTGATAAGCTGCAGTGTTGAACATTTAATCTACAACCTAATGGTTAATTGGTTTAGAGATTCCAAAATTTGCTTTCTGTCCTCTATAAAAGATGAGCTATATCAAAGCTCTGATGATGGCAGTTAGCTGTCAGAGGTTTGCCCTAAAAATAAAGGAAAAGGGTCCTAAGAGGATGCTGGACAACAGTGCCTGATGGTGGCAACATGTTGTGCCCAAATTAGTACTTGTATTAAGATGAATTTATCATTATTTCCTGCATTCTTTCATGTCTGTTTTTTTCCTTGTTACTGTAGCTGGCATTATTCTATCAGCTAATCACCCCCCAAAACTAGAGACCCCCAAATACTCCCTCTTAATTCTAAGACCATTACTATATCTGTTTATATACATGAAAAACTTAAGTAAACATAGTTGTAAAGTGCCTTCTTTCCACTTAATTTCACAAATAAGTCATCATTTTTAACTCAACCACATTAGAATATTCATGCTGCTTTTTTCCTCGGTAAATTCTATAAAAGGAGGTTTGTTACAACTATATCTAATACACTGTTACTGAATAGCAGTTGTATATTTGTCAGGGACCCACATTTGATACATGCAAAGTACTTGTCAAGTTCTATACTTTTTGGTGTGCTGTCAAAATTGTAGACAATTTTTCATATGTGTATTAAAATTACCTCTGTAATTTTAAGTAGATTAAATTTTAATAAAATGTTGGTCCCTAAGCAGAGTTTTAAAAACAAATAGTGTTTTCGGTTCACTGAAGGTGCTGTTTATTATTTCTGCTCTTTCTGACGTACCAATGTTTTCTGGCAGGGTTGGTGTACTTTAGCTGGAGTCAACATTGGTGTGTACTGTTTGGCTGACATTCTTTTTGCAGTTTTAAATCATGATAGTGAAATATTGCAGTAGATGTGTGTTTCTGATTATAAAAAATCTGTTGAGGTATTCTTTTGTGCCTCTTTTGATATCTAGATAGACTATTTTATCTTCTTGTTAGAATGATCTGAGAATAAAATATTGTGATTTCTGGAAAAAGTCCTGGCCAAATACCATGGATTAAATAAGAAATAACATTTATTCTTTGATATAATTTTATACATATTATCTTCATTCACGTCTGTATTATCAGCACCTGGATTATGGTATTCATACTATTTATTTAAAAGTCATTAAATGGTTTTAATATACTTTTGTATCAAACCTGTATAAAAATAGAAAGCTAAGGTTCTGATGGGTGAAGCACTTGGACCAGTTAGTCAGGATTCAAATTTAGGTCTTTTGCTATGTTAAATTTACTGTTAGTTTATATTTTATTCAAATTACTTTGAAGTATAGAAATATTGGATTTATAAAACCAATTAATATAATTCTAACATAGACAGTTTCAATATTTAATTGACAAAATATTATATTTCTATAACACTAGGTTTATAAAGAGTTTTTCTATAAATTGTTCTGACTTTCCATTAAAATATTTTTTAAGAAAATTATTTTTTATGATGTAATTTGATTATAGTAAAGGAAAAATATGGAGTAACTTATTGACTATAAATTCATCATTCATAGCTTTCAAACAGCTTTAGTCATCTTCGGATCTTTCCATATTCAGGGACCTGTTGAAACAGAGAACTAATGATGGTTCACTGTCAGAGTGGATTCTTATGGGATCCCTCTCGACCTCAGGTGTGCTTTGTTATATCTAAAAGCATTTGAATACACAATGTATAAAAAGAGTGGTTATTCATAAATCTCGGAAATAGTATGGTATGTTTCAGTTACCTCCCAGTGATCAAGAAGAATAAAGTGAGGATGACGAGGAGAGTGAATCCGCCAACAGCGGCGGTGGCTATCACGAGAATCTGTCCTTGTTCTGCTGCCATGTCAGAAGCTGAAACAGAGATACAATATTAAAATTTCCCTGGGTGACATTTCACTATTAAAACCATTTTACAATTTAGTTTACACTAGAAAATACAATAACGGATGCCAAGCTCAGTATATTTGGCCTTTATTTCAGTATTTGACACGTATGAAGCAAACCCAAAATAAATGAGTTTTGACTCAGGGCTGAAGAGTTGGGGCCATAACCCACAACATAAACCTGTCCTCTTTCTTCAAAAAAGATCAATAAAGTAGATGAATTCTTAGTACCCCTTATTTTAAGATTAAGTATGTGCTGTAAAACTAAATCAGCAGATAGGCTAAAGAATTGTTTTATGTAATTGCTCACTGTATTTCCTCTTAAACACTGGCCAATAGACCAGGCTTTATAGACTGTTTTGATATCTGTTTTCACAAAGTAGAAAGACTACTGTATAATTCCTTTTAAGAATGATGTTCTTTATACTTCATAGAACTTAATTCAAACACTAAAATTGTGGATTCTCACCTCCACAGCACGAGGATATACATAATGGGTGCTTAGATGTTTAATCAGCAATAATTGGAAAAATGATGTTTAAAAGCTTCCTTTTTTGAAGAAAAGACCAGATTATATATGGTAGCAACATGTTCCTTCTTTCATTCATAAAACTGTCTCTTAAAAGCACATGAGCTGCATGTTTTACTAATCTTCTGGGAATCTTTTAACATATATCATTTAAATTAATTTATTAGCACTTCTAATTTTTTATATTAATAATGCTTTAATCAAATATAATTTTCAATGAGTGGAATAGGCAATTCCTCAATAATAGAGGTAAGAAAACAGAAGCACAGAAAAATTAAAGAAATTGCCCAAGCCCACATAAAACTATGACCAGAATTCAGTCTTTCAGGGTTTTGTCTCATTTCTCCATTTTTGTTACTATAACTTGTAGTAATAATTGAGTTAATCATCAATAATATAAAAAACCAAATCAATCAGTCTCTTAATGTTCCTTAACTTAAATTAAACTTGTTTTTTATTTTGACTACTGAAAATAAATAATATCTATTAATCTTATCAGCTATTGGAGAAAATTGGATCAAATAAAGTATATAACTGAGAAGCAAACTGCAGAAGTCTCTAACATAATAATTTATTAAACTTGAGTATTTTACAGCTTCCACAGAAGTAGATCTTTTTCTGGGAATTGAGTATGCAGTATATTATGTGCAAATTCATATCCAGAGTAATAGCATTCTCATAAAAATGACATATCTACAACAGAATGTCTAAGCCTTCAACACTATTGTCAAGTCAGTAAGAAACCAGTCACAGCACTTTAGAGACTTTTAAAAAAATCTGAATGTAAATAAAAACAAAAGAGTTGAAGTCATTTATGTTCAGTTTTCAGTAAGAGAAATGTATTAAATCTTAGAATTAGAACTTAGTCACTATGATTTAATCAAGACATTTTCAAGCAATGTACTACAATGTTAAGTTTTCACTCATAATCTGTGCAGAGACAAGTTAAATAGTTGCATCTTATCCAATAAATAATGTACTGAAGGTTTTTTATTAGGTCTTCACTGAATTTCCTAATCTTCAAAATAGCACCGATATCATGGGAATGAATGTTGTGCTCTAAAATGTCATATTTTCTCACTGAAAGTTATTGAATAACAAAAATGTAAGAAATAGTTGTTCTAGAAAGCATTATCTTTTTGAAGATAAAGCAGATGGCATTTACCCAAAAAACATTATTTACTTAAAAACTGTTGTATCTGTAAAATAAATAGCATAATTCAAGAATTTTGAATCAGGGGCATATAGTTTCATAGTAGTTAGGTAGCTATAATTTGTTGAGTCCAAAATTCAGAGGGAGATTTTGTAATTGGGTGCCTTTTGAAAATCAGATTACTTTGTTATAAAAAATGGTGTTGTTTTACATACATAATTACTGACTAAACTGCTAATTCTACAAATATGTCTCCTTCTGCACACTTGTTATTACATTTATAAACTTTGTTTTAATTAAAATTTTAATTGGATAACAATCTTAAGTTATGACCCTTTGAAAAATGCATATTCCTGCATAATTGTTTCTTAAACTTAGGAACTGTAAACACTCCTCTGTGGAGAATAAAATGTGTTAAATACTCTTATTAGAAAATAAATATGTTAAATACTCTTATTTCCTAATAAGAGTATTTAATGAAACACTATTATACTGGGAGTAAAATGCTATAGATTGTGAGGCTGGGATGATTATAAAAACCTCATCAACATTATCATCTTCAACAAGAACAACAGTCATTATTTATTTAATAGGAAACTATGAGCGTCAATTCATTATCAAAATTATCTTCACAATGGTCTTGATAGGTAGGTACTATTATCATTCCTAGTTTAAACAGTTACTTTCTCAAGGTTACATATCTTGTCAAGGGAAAGCCGGCAATCCAACTTCTTTTTGCCGATCTCCAAGCCCAAGCAATTGCCAGTACTTTAAACCACCATTTTTCCTAACAGAAGAACTAACTAGATCTAGCGGTTTTGGTTACCCTACAACAATCATAGCCTTGCTTGAACTTGATTTCATGTCTGTAAAATGATAATGTTGAATTAAACATTCTTGTCACAATCTTTCAGAGCAATTGTACTATGATATTGTGTTATCCATGCAGGCTGCAACAAAATAGTGGAAAGAACAAGATTTGCCATATGGAAATAAAAACACTCAGGAGCTTGGTCCTGATGGGGATAATTTTTGCGTTTTATCATATTAGTGTTGGTCCATCACAGAGCTCTGACTTCATCTCAGGATAAACTACAAGGCCCTTAACTTTGTTATCAAAGCTGTCTACAAATGGCTCTAGCGTATGTCTTCAGATACATCTTATCATTCTTTAAGCATACTGAATTTCTTCCAAGTCCTTGAATGAGCCAAACTCTTAATATCTGGTCAATTTCTAATCACTCCTCCATGAATATCTTATCATTTGGGAAGCACTTTTTTTTCTGGTTGTTTAGATTTGGGTAGGTCCCCAGACAGATGTTCCCCAAGACCCTTAAAAGATTTCTACCAATAAAACCATCACATTTTATTGAAATTACTTTTTATAATCTGTCTTTCTCATTTGATTTCAAATTCAATGAGAGCAGGAACTATATTCACTATGATATCCATAGTGGGGTGAATGGTGACAGCCTTTCCCCCTCCCCTCAAAAAAGGAATTTGCAGGTGTAATTAAGAAACTTGATTATCCTGGATTAAACAGGTTGTCCCATATCCAATGACAAGTGTCCTTATGAGAGAGAAAAGTGGAGAAGACAAAGACGAGAAGGCCATGTAAAGACACATGTAAAGACAAAGGCAGAGATGAGTTATGCAACCCACAAGCCAAAGAATAAGACACCAGAAGCAAGAAGAGAAAAGGAAGAAGTCTCTCTTAGAAACTTTGGAGGGAGCATGCTTTTGGTCTCCAGAGCTGTGATATATTGTTTTAAGCCATTGACTTAGTGACAATTTGTTTCAACAGTCCTAGGAAACCAATACAGTGTCCAGCCTACATGGTAATAAATATTCCTTTGAGTGAGTGGGTTGAATAATTATTTGCACTGGATGGTTCTGGTAAGAAAAGTTCAGGAGTAATCCACATTCCCACCCTTCCCTTGATATGTGGGGAAGATTTACCATCAGTGTAGCTATACAATGTACGTGAAGAGAGTGTACCCAACACTAATCAGAAAAATCCAATTACTCTGTGTGCTTGGAGACAATGCTTTCTGGGAGGTAGAAGCTACTAGGGAATTCAGACTGCTACATTTTACCAAGTTGAGTGGACCAAAGCTCAGAAATATGAGTCTAAGGTTAAGAATTTATTAGTTCATTCAATTAATATTTATTGAGCAACTAGTTTATGCTAGGCACTAACATAGACACAGGGTATACAGTGATGAACAAAACACAGTTACTGTGCTCATGGATTTTCAGTTCAGTGGGGAAGACAGACACTGAATAAGAAATTACAGAAGTAATTATTGTTACAAAAGGGAAACTGAATGGTGTTGGAAAAGAATAAGCAGCCTCTGGCAGTGAGTGAGCTGACAGGGAATTTGGGAAAATGTAATGTGTTGGAAGAAGTAAGAGGAGGAACAGGATGATCACCTCCTTGGCTAGAGATCTCATTAGTTTGGTTTATTTAAATAGACACTTAAAGAAACAAATAAGCAAACCATGAAGTTACCTGCCAAATGGATTCCACTAAAATACAGTAGAGCTACAAATGTCTCTGTTATGAAAACTTGTCTATAGCATTATCCATTCAGTTTTTTCAATCCTGAGCAGAACCTTCTCATTAGTTTTGTAGGAGAAAAATGTATCGTTTACTCATATAAGTGGCATCTGTTGAAAGCAAACTTGTCCCTAAAAAGAACCACTCTGAAATCCATAGTGTAAAATAAAATTTATTTGTGACTCACTGATTGGAAATGATCCTTTGTTTAATTGTTAGCTTGTATTCTTGGACAAAGATAAAAATATTAAAATGATATATTTCATTCTATGATTTGGGAAGAAGTATACTTCCTTAAGAGGAAGCAATTATCCAAAAAGAATTGCAAAATTGTAACTGAGCAACAGCGTTTGGCATAAGTTGTGATGACATTATTAAGTGTGGTTTGTTTCCATCTAAAGAAAAAAAAAGTGAAATGCTTTACTTGGAATCTAAATACTTAAAAAAGAGATTTCATATCTTTAGGAAAGTGTCGGAGAAAGGCAATTTGGCTATTTTTAACCAAAGAATTTTCTTCTATGGAGGCATATGATTTTGTCTCCCTGTAATCAAGATTATTCTAGTTTATATTTACATTTCAAAGTAAAATCTGTTATTTGTATTCTGTGTCATTTTCTGTGGAATAGATTTTTAAAGTTAACTCTTTTCTGTTATGAACATATTTTTAAAGTTATTGAAGACAGTAGTTAATATGAATTTTTAAATAAAGCATCTCACAAAAAATGCTGCTCAGTGAAATAAATTGTCTTCATCATTTCAACAGAATGATTTCTTTAAACATAGCACAAATCTCAACAAAGCCATGAATTGATGATACCCAGTAAATTAGTTTTAAAGTTTATGGACAACCAATACAGGAAAATTCTCCTCTCAGATCATGTATAGAAATCAGAATTGGCTTAACTTTATAAGCATTTAGCAACACATAATGGAGATTAATTAATCTTCACATTTTCAACACCACATTCTCATGCAGACAGAAGAGTATGAGATACAAATGAAAGCTGAGGAAACATATCTTCTAGATGAACATAAACTTGTGACTTTGTAGATGATATTGTTATCATTTGGGCCACGTGGGTTTAAAAGCATAGGGTTATCCTTGATTTTGCATTTTCCTACAACTCCAAGTCCAGAGTCAAGTTTTTCATCCTGCCTCTATTACCAGTGACACAGCCTACTGTGAGGCTTCAGCCCCACAGGAGTAGACTAGTTTCATCATTTGCTATTAGGTTGCCTTTCCACAGTATCTCTTCACAATACATCCACGTTATATGGATGTAATTATTCTTCATAATAACATTTTAAAATATTGAGAACATTTCCCATTGCCTAGAAAGTAAAATCATCCCTTTCCCATGTCCCATTCTCAGAGATGTTCAGGCAAGAAACCTTGGACTCAGCCCTCAACCAATTCTCTCCTTCGCCTTCCAAGTTGATCAGTCCTGTCCCTTATAATTTTAAAGTATTTCTTAGATTCTTTCTCATTCTCTCCAACTCCCACTGTATTTTCTTAGTTCAGGTACCCATATTATCACATGTATTTGAAATCAGCTAGACAGCAGTCTCAATTATGTGATTTAGTTGAACGATAGAAAGCAAGACAAAAACAAATAAAAAAGATTCTCTAGAAAGGCATCTGACTGAGGTCCACATACTATAAAACAGCTTTGATACCTCACAGTTTTACTTCACATATATTTATTGATTTCCAAGTTCATAAAATAGTGTAGTAGGCAACAGATTAGAAGATAGGTTGGGGAGGCATCTACAAAGAGAGAGTTGAAAATAATTGCACACTGCTAGTCAGACTGATGGAAGAGGTGGAAAAACTGAAAATCTGACACAAGATTCCAAAGTGTACACTAGTCAGGAGCCAGGAGTTTAGGATCAAATAGCCCTACAAAATTCAAGGAGCATCAAATAATTCACTATGTTTTATAACTCGATACCTTCATATGATCATTCGATATTAATTAGAAAATACTGAGATAAGTCCAATATATTTTATTTGAAAGGACAAGAGTTTGGGGATGCATGATTAAAAAACGTTTGCCTCCAAACTATTCTAAAGTTATAAAAATAATACTTCTAAGATTAAACCCTGGCCAAAAACTTAAATTATCAAAATGATTCATTTCCTGAGAGTTTCAGTTTTTTGACTCATCTCTACTACAAGCCTCTTGAGGGCAGAATAATATGTTTCAACTTTCTATATAACAAGGGATTAGTATAAGCCATACATAGTATAGGTATTAATATATGTGTATTGTTTGTGAAAAAGAGATAAAAATCACATTCTAAATATAAGGATAAAATGCCCTTGGCTAAAGAACAGTTTTCTTACTTGATTTGTGTGTCAACAGTAATGCTTAAACACGTTGTAATTTTACATTACATTCCCTTACATATTTGTATTTTGTAAATCAGTATGTACAGAGGTAAATTAATAGAAAATAATGTGGGTAAATTTATTTTTCCTAAATATCCCTGCCTAGGCTTTGAAAAAAAGTAAAAATAGTCAACTTAGTATTATACTGATATCTTTCTTTTACATTCATTCAATATTTGATGCTATCTACTCAAAGGAAAATATATATAAGATTAGAAATAATAATTTATTCAGAAATAAATTAATAGAAAATAATGTGGGTCATTTTTTTTCCTAAATATCCCTGCCTAGGCTTTGAAAAAAAGTAAATATAGTCAACATAGTATTATACTGATATTTTTCTTTTACATTCATTCAATATTTGATGCTATCTACCCAAAGGAAAAGTATCTCTAAGATTAGAAATAAAAGAGAATAGCAAGAGTTTCTTTTTTCCATTCAAGTAAGCTGATTACTGATTTCTCAGCTGAATGGAAACAAACCTCATGGATCATTTCTGTTGAAGCAGAGACCCTTAGCAGGGATCATACTTTTTTTTTTTTTTTCAGAAAGTGATTTCATAGCTGTGCCTTCTTCTACTCCTCTGCCACTTCTCCAGAAACAATACAATTCAGTATATCAAACTGTGGCTACACTGAAACAACAGAGATTTTGAGATTCACTCTTCCTGATGACCTCAATTTACTTGTCAGGTAAAAATGCCAAATGACACAGGAATAATTGGAAAATGTGATTTTGGTACAATTTAATGGAGAAGCAGAAGCAGAGGCAAATAGCGCAGCATAATGAAGTATTTTCTGACTTTTTTTTATTTTAAGAGATTCTTGTGTTCATTAATGAATGGTCAAGATGCCTTACCATAGGTAGCCTTCATATAACAAATTTCAAAGAACAAAGAAAATGATTGAGACATTTAAACACCTGAAACTACGGTCAACATCCTAAATGTCAAAGATGTAATTTGTAATTGTCTGTATTTCATATTGTTACTGGCAGTTGAGATAGGTCTTGAGAACATTTTTCTCAAAGAATATTTACATCTTCATGCATATATCTTTCATCCTTTAAAAAGTCTTTTAAGATCCAGTGTAAAATAGGATTTCCATACAAATTTCACAACATCCCTGGATCACTGACCTGGAACCAATGATGTTCAATTTTAAATACTATTCACCATGTGCCATAATATTAATAGTAGATATTTGCACATTGGTGAGCATATCTATGCACTTGGGGTTATAGCTTCTTAATATAAGTTACTGTGGTTTGAGATAAAGAGCTTTGTAATGAAATGGATAATCATTAGGGATCACAAATTTCATAAGTTGTATGAACTGTATAAACTTAGATTTATTTGGAGTCTATTTTTCATAGAAAAAATATTTAAAGAAAATGATTTTAAAAACAGAATTATTTAGAAAAAAAATCTAAATAATTTCTTGAGGAAATTCTCATTCACCAACTCATTATTCACTCAATAACAACAAAAATACCATTTGCTAAGCACTGTGATATAGAGCTTGGGGAGATGAAGAAAACTGAAGTGTGATTTCCTCATAGCGTTTCTCTTTAGTGAGAGAGATAGAGATGCAGATCATAGTTGTAATACAGAAACATTGGTGCTAGAATGGAGGTATGTGTGAAGGTCACAGGACAAGAGGGGGAGGGTGGTATTCTCCACCGAAAAAATCGTAGGAAGATTATAAAGAAGGTAATTCTTAAACTAAATCTGGAATGATTCGAAGAAATCTGCAAGTCACCAACATGGTAAGTAGATATTGGACACTGTGGCTTGAGGAAACATCACAAATACTACGAAGGTATAAATAGCACAACATCTTCAGGAGTTTATATGTACTTTGAGATGCCTGGGACACATACCAATATGCACAAGAGGAAGTTGGAGAGATAGGCAAGGAAGAGGTCATAATAATTTAAACTGAAACTGACTCCAGTCAGCATGCTTGAGTTTTTCTCAAGTTACTATTAATATTCAGATTCTAGAATAGGGTATATGTAGATGTTAGTTTAATGAAAATTGCCATTTTTACCAGAGACATAAACTCTTGCAAATACATGAGAATACTGAAGACAAACCCATCAGAGAAGAAAACAGAACTGAGACTGAGACATCACTGAAGACATCATTGGAGAGCCTGGATTTGGCCCGACCCTCACACTACCCCTTTGACTTTTCAGTTACCTGAGGCAATAAAGTCCCACTTTTCATTAAGCCAGTACAGTTTTGTCACTTGAAATGGAGAGTCCTATGGAATATAATGAACCAAGAGAAAATAATTAGACTGGATGTAAATGCTGATATGGGGCAGGGCGATGCAGGACTTTATATATCCAAACTAGGTATAGTTACTTCTCATTGTTTATTATGTTGCTTGAGGGGAATGTTTTCTATCTAACCTTACTGTCATCTTTTGATTTTGATGATAAACACAGCCTCCCAAGTCTGTTTGCCCGGTAACTGGATGGATAGGATTGGAAGTGTAGGGTGAAATGGAGTGGAAATGTGCTTACCTTTCTAAAACAACCTTTTTCTACAGAAAGACTAACACATGTGCCAGGAGATATTCCAATTTATTTTTCTTTAATAGATGGATAGTTTTGGGGGGAAATCAGTCCTGTCTGTCCTATATCTAATGGGTCTCATGTATCAATTTAATAAAAATTGCATAGATGCAAAAACAAAAAAAGAAAAAAAAACAAATGGGCAGACAACATTTCTGGCAAGTTTAGCAAGACAGCATGTTAGAATGTGAAATATTTTGCTTAATTGAAACCTATCTAATTATAAACTAATTATCACCAAAATACTGGAGCTAAATTCCTGTGGAAGGCTTTTAGTGAATTTTCACAGTTTATGGTAACATGAATTTGAGGCTACAGTTGTCCTTTATTTGGCATCAGTAGAACTATTTATGGAAGCACGGCTAACCACAATGCCAGGTGCCAATTTTTCTTAGCGTTATGGACCCAAGTATATTTCTTTTAGGACCTGCTATTGCTTTATGCCAAAACTCATTTAACCATCTCCTGAAAGTGAGTAAGTTCTAAGGGAAGCTTTTGGATCATTGTTTGAAGCCTGTTCTGAAGAACACCAAACTATTTACCTCAAACTACCTCTAATCAATCATCAGGATTAATTCTGGAGAGATTCAATGGGAGACTATTCTATTTTAAAAAGGCCAACCCCATGGTAGCACAAAACTATGGCTCCATCAATTTTTTCAGCATCTCTTCAATTATTTACACCCTGCTTCTCCTTAAGCCATGTGTGTGAGGTCTCCAAGTTAAATAATTCGTATTAGCAGCAAGAAGGTTTTTGGCACAGTATTGCCCTACTATTTACTACTATTATTTTGAAGAAAATAAGATTGTTTACTTATGCATATTGATTTTTTCACAAAATTTTGACTTCATTGCCTAGGGAATTGAGTTAAGTAAAAAATGAAGCTTAATATTAGGATCTACAAATGTGGGAGTAAATATCTTTCTAAAACTGAAATGAAAGGGAACATTTCCTGACATACCCATTCACCTTGTCATGTAATATAAAAACCAGTATTGTGTTTTATTTATTAATTTTTAACTAGTATCTTCACAATATGGCACTGATTTTAGACAAACTGGGTATTTGCCATCATGGCAGGTAGAAAGATAAGCATCTTCCTACATGCTGATGATATGGGTGTAATTTTCAACAACTAGAATTAACTTCAGGATACAAATAATTCTGCTATCCTACTGCTGCCAGAAAGAATTGAGCATCACCAACTTTATCAAATTGAAAATCATTTTCTTTGGCAGACAAAAGGCAATTGATCAAAACTTCACACAATGAGACAAGATATTTCCATTTTGTACATGCATATTTTTTCTATAGCTTATCCAGGAAAGCACAGTGCAGAGCTACGCAGTTCAATATAACTTTTTCCATGGGAGCATTACTCCTCGGGTTTCTTTTTGATGACTTGCAACAACACCTGCTTTGAAAAATTTCCAGGCCAGAATCATCTTTTTTCCCAGTATCCTGTGGTGGGGGACTCTGAACTCTCAATCTAGAGTGTATCTAACGGTGGGGGCAGATTCAAATCTGCTTCCTAAGGACAATCTTTGCTTTGCCTGCAGCCCATTTTAGCATAAACATGGAGAGGTTTTATTTTTACTTTTGCAAAAATACTGGTTGGGCTTCTCAACATTTATAGTGGAAGGATTTCTCTATTGCTTCACCATATTTTTGTACCATTTATATCATCTATTGATATGAAAGTAGAAAATTTACATTCTAAGCACTCATTAAAGACCAACCTCAAAATTCTTAGTAAACATCCTCTGAGGTATCTGTTCAGCCCTGTCTCTGAAAACTCCCTCCACCCACAGGGCAGGAGTTTGGAAGACTGTTCTCCCTGTCTCTGGCACCCAGTCATATGCATTGGATTACCGACAGAGACCTGACCCAAACTGGACCAACCACATTCCCTCTTGCAGGAATTTGGGATTAGGATTCACAATCAGTTTGGCAATTTTCATGCATGGTTGACACTAAGGGAAATGTGATTTATAAGCCATAGACATATTTTCCTAAATGAACACAGGTAAAACTAGTCTTTAGAGCACAAAACAGAGATTGGTGGCTGTGTGGATCAGGAATAAAAGCTGTCTTTCCTTTGGAGAATTTTCCAGTTTCTTGTCTCAATCTTTTTTGAAGCCTAGTCTGGGACATTTCTTCATTCCTCTTTGCTTAACCTAGCTCATGGTTTATGTGATATCTGCAATCAAAGGGTCCTATTAGATTATTCTGATTTTAAGTTCCTGGCTAACAGACAAAATTTTTAGAAAATAAATTTAAAAGGTAACTCCTTTCATTTACTTCCTAGGTATAGTTTGTCTTAAAGTCTGTGTGCATGGAATGAATTAAGTAACCTTCCTTTCTCCCATCATGGAAAAATCATCTTCAATCATTGAAACTTTACCTTGGCTCTATCAAAGGTTGTAGTCAGAAAATGTCATTTACAAACAAACAAAAAACTTTTGTATTTGTTGAAAAAGCTGCTTGAGGCCATTTTCCTCAATGGCTTCTATAAATCTTTCTTAGAACATTTGTGCTTCATGAGCGTATGATAACTTTTCTATTCTCTGGCTGCTACTGGAAATTTCAGAGGCAGAGATGGCACATACATGTGCATCTCTAGTAATGATTATGTTCCCTCTTGTGTATATGGACCTAATTTTCTATTTTAGTTCTAACCTATTAAACATTTTGTGCATACATTTTAAACTGCCTCAAATGCTCTTAGGAAGAAGAGAAATGCAGATAAAAAATCACTATTCCTCTGTTTAGTCCTCTGAGAAAGCATCCCTATAAAAATTAAAACCAATTTAGATATGTTATTATATACATGGGGAAAGTCGTGCTACTTACTGCTTAAAAAAGCATTAGGAGATATACCTAATGTAAATGACGAGTTAATGGGTGCAGCACACCAACATGGCACACGTATACATATGTAACGAACCTGCAAGTTGTGCACATGTACCCTAGAACTTAAAGTATAATAATAATTTTTAAAAATTCATCTTTTTTTGTTTAAAACATGAAATTTGGACTATTCTTGTATTTCTCTCATCTCTATTGAGTGACATTAATAACTTAAATTAGTTATATATATGTTTGGGACTATTCTGTTAAACAATAAGTAGTTGTCAAAGATTCACAAGGATTCAAAGGCATTCTGAGCTGCAGCACAGAACGTGACAGAAAAAAGAGGCACGTGCCAAAGGTAATTAGAAAGCCCCAAGTCTTTTTGGTGTGTTCCTACTTGGTGCTCTGTTTGTCTGTCAGATAACTTGGAATAAGTTAGAAAAGAATGGAGTAGCCTTCTTTTCAGTTATTATGCTCAGTAAACAAAATGTGATTTTATTCAAGTTCAAATATTTTCAAAACTGTGTCTATCCAATAATTTGAAAAGTAAAATCCTTCTTCAAGCAAGATATTCTGTGTTTATATTCAAGAAGTGATAACATACCTAATACCTATTCTGAGCCAAAAATATCATTTTCAATATATAGCTAAGCTTGTTTTCGGGTAAGTTGCTTATTTCTGTGCAAGGACATTCATGAGATGACTATTATTTTAATTTTAAAAAATTTGTAGTGGAGTAGGTGGCTATGATACATAAGTCTTCTCATTTCCATTTGAAAACAGAGGAGGATTCCACAGAGGCTGTCCTACAAAAGGTCTTTTGCCAGAATTACATTCTTCTTCTTTTTAATTATTTCCTTTTTTCTTTACGTAGGGGAGTAGCAGCTGATTCACGGCACAGGATGGTCCAAAAAATCATACTGAACTCAGTGGAGTTTCCCTCAGAAGAAGGGTAGTAATTATCATATTAAAAAACATGTTTTATGTGTTCTCCATAGTTTTAAACACATATGTTAACTCATTTAGTCTTCAAAATAATCATAAGAAATGGTAGTATTATTACCTACATTTAATAGATGGAGAAACTGAGGCACAAAAAGGCTAATTAACTTGCACATGGTCACATAGTTAGAAAGGACAGAACCAGAATTTACTTACAGATAGTCCAATTCCTGAGTTCGAGCTTCTAACCACTGTCCTATGTTGTCTGTTTGCACTGAGACATTTGATGTGTTAAGTGTTTAAAAGAAAAGTAGGCCAACTTCTAAGTAATTTGATTACCATAGAAACAGTAGAGAGAGTAGTTCTGGATCTACAAGGTGATATTGCTGGAATGGGCCTAATGGAGGCCCCCTGACTTGCCTGCTGTGCTCACTAAGATTTGGTATCTCAGAAGTCAAAACGTGGAGTTTCTTCAGCTGAGTCAAATTGTCCAGTGCTTAAGCCCTGGGAGGTCAACATACCTTGGGGAATTCCACTCCTCCTTTTATGTCACCTATATAAATTAAACAAAAACTAACACCAAAACTAGCTAACTATCCCTATAGTAAATTCATGGGTATAAAAAATAAAATATCAGGAGAAGAATAAGAAAATGATTTGATTGCTTTTATATGGTATCTATATGCAAGAAGGTAAAGAACATTTTTAAACACTATTTTGAAGCTGTTAGAATGGAATTTAAGATTCAAAGCTAGTAACAATAATATCAGTATTAATAATCATTTATTGAGCTCTAACCACATGATAGCTGGATACTCTTCTGTTGTTAAGTACTTTACATGCATTGAATCACTGTATACTCACAGGAACCTTAGAAAGTAGGTGGTATCCTTATATCCATTTTCCAGATGTGGAAACTGAGGCACAGAGTGGTTAACTGACTTATTCAAAGTCCCATATTTGAGATGTGATCAAGTCAAAATTTAAATCCAAGTTTAAGTAAGTACAAAGCTTGAATTTTTACACAAAATTCCTCTTTGCTAATTCTCTTTTGCAATTTACCTGCAAAATACCTGCCAAATTGAATTGCATGAATCAGTTGCTAACATAAAAAATTTCTTTCTTCTTTCTGCTTGTATAAGTTCTTCCTTTTCTTCAAGACCAAAGTCAGGCCATCCTCCCTGAAGTTTTTGCCAGTTGCCTAGTTTGGAGTAACCGTTAGGATTATGGTGATAGTTAACTTCGAATGATCACGTGTTACTTGTGTCAGATACTGCAGTGAGTACTTTTCTCACATTAGGAGGCAGATACTCCCTATCCTCCTTCTCAGCTTTACTCTGCACCAGAATATCTCTTATTATCTGTCTTAGATGGGGTTTACTGGGACACAGATTCTGCAATGGAGCTTGGCTTGCAGCATGTTTTCTGGGGAGTGACCTCAGCATGAACATGTGGGAGTACAGGAAGCCCATGGAAAGATGCAGCTGTTGACTTGACATGTGGTAGCTGCAAAGACCTCAGCGGACCCCAAGGAGTGCTGGAGCTGGGATGGTCTTCTTCTGGGTTGTCTTTAATTGACACAATGGGCATGGGTCTTTGTACATCACATTGAGGAATCTTGGATTCTGACTGTCCCCAGGAAGAGGGGCATGTAGCTTCTTTTGGCCAGGGGCAATGTCTGCAGCTATGAGCCTTCAACTATGAGCTTTCAGCAGGCAGAACTCCCACTAGTTGGGTCCTGAAGGGGAAATCTAGGCAACACACCACATCTCTGCATATAAAATGTTTTGCTTATTGTTTGTTTATTGTCTTTCTCATCTCTCTAGAATATAAGCTCCAGGACAGCAGGGATTTTTGTCTATTTCTGCTATAGCCTGAGTATGTACAGAATGGGATCTCAAGAATATTTTTGAATGAATGACTCTACATACAAATGAATAAATTTCTAGTTTTCCCATGAGGAAACCAAAACATAAATCAACTACATTGCCATCCTTAGGTCCCAATACCTGGAGAGTTTCACATTTTTAGAGCAAAGGAAGATAATATAGCATGTTTGCTTTATTTCATTTATGGTTCTAAAGAGGAGAATCCTCATGAGCCAAGAAACCAAGTCCTATGATGCCTAATTGAATGTAGCATTTCTTCTTTCACCAATTAGAATGTACCTCTATGTTACTGAGCCTGAGACAAATGCCTTTGCATGGCATGTCAGTTTTGGTGTCCAACTTTCCTTTGCTAACATATCACCATTACCCCTAAGCTATCTAAATTCACTAAGTTTCCCAGATAACTTAATGTCTAGATTTTCTTGGAAGGTTTGACTTGGGATGGCTTAGCTCCAGTTTTCTCAGAAGGTTCTGGTGAGCAGGTCATAATTTACTGCATCTTCAGAAAGTTCACAGACCAAATATGAACTGTCAGAGAGACATATGCAGGCTTAAATGCTGGCAGAGAGCAAGCATGTATTAGAATTTAAATTGATGATTCCCAAGGTTCTAGCACCTTCAGTAGGTGAATTTTTTAAGGCTAAAATCGTCTCTAGGGAATTTGGAAGTTATGAGAGCTATAGGAGTGTCAATGAAAAAAGATATTTGGAAGGTTTTATTTTTAGTGTGGTAAAATGAAGGTGAGGAAATAATTAGATGTGTTCGCAGTGGTTTCAGGGAAGTCAGTTACGGGAAGCTCACTGCTGTGACTGGATTGCCTGTCTCCAAAACTACATACAGCTGGAAGAAAAATAAAAACCTAGGAAATTTGAGCCTCAGTAGCAAGGTAAGGATGGCATTGCATGGTCCTCACTAGCCACATATCTTGTGTTTCTTGTACTGAGATCATCATCCCCACCATTCCTTGCTGCCAGTGTTGTGCTATTTGAGGATGACATTGGTTCTCTAACCAAAGCTTGCAGCCGAATAACCCAGAGGGCTTGTCAACACAGAATGCTGGGTCCCACCCCCAGAGTTTCTGATTTAGTGGGTCTAGTGGGAGGTCTGAAAAATGTGCATTTCTGGTGGGTTCCCAGGTGTTGCTGATGCCTTTGGCACAGGGCTCACTTTTGGAAAAGCACAGTTCTAGCTATACTGACATTCTTCCAGTTACTAGAAAGCTCCATGCTCTCTTTGATCTCTACACTTGCACAGATACTGTTCTGTCTAAAAAGAGCAAAAGCTCCCCAATTCCCTCATCTGGTCCCTCAACCCTCACTGCACCCCTACTTTCACGGCCAAGTTTGACTTAACCTTCAAGTTTCCTTTAAGACGTTACCTTTTGGCAGCTTTCCTTGACACATTTGTTTGCATTTTTCTCCTTGTGCTCCCTTATACAATACATATTGCCTTCTACTGGAATCTTGTTTAATATTCTGAACTTCTCACTAGCTGTTGTGAAAGCAGGGAACTGGTTTATCCTTTTTTGTTTTTGAATTCCTAGTGCCTACATCTATATCTGGCCCATTTATTAATATGTTTTGATTGAGTAAATGGGTGAATGAACAAGTTGAACAATTAAACATTCTTCTGCTTGCTTTAGCTTTTACTGCTTCCTCTCAAGCGCCCTTCTCTTTCTCCTTCATGTTAAATTTAACACAAACTATATCAAATTTTAAAACAAATCATTTTTACTTCCAAGGGTAACAACTTATGTAACAATATTTAAAATAATGATAATTTCATTCCTTTATCTCAAAATGGGAATAGGAAGTGTATATGAATGTGGAATATATGTATTATATATATGAATGTGTGTATATATGTACATATATATACACACACTTACGTGTGATAAATTCAGTAAGTAATATTGCCATGTTTATTGTTGATGGAATTGCCAAAATTATTTGTTGACAAAGTTATTTAGTCTGCTCACTGATTATGCATCCAGCAAATATAAGATAACTAATTTAAAAAAACTATAGTGCAAGAGAATTTTTAAATGAATGCTGTTTTCCAGAAGCATAAGAGAATATGAAATTCAGTTTGATGTGAATCAGCTATTTTATATCTAGCAGTAAGATTGCCGTATTCTGCTCCTTTGCCTATCTTTATAGTACAGTAATGTGCTCACACATGTCATGCTTGGGTTTCTGCACACACAGCTAAATCTTTTAAGCGCTCCTGCAATTTTGCCAAGAATTCTTGTTACTCAATTTAAATTTCAAGGGAACTACTGTTTCCCTTGAAAAAGTAAAGTGTAACATGAATACTTAAGCTGCTTTTTTTTTTTTTTTTTTTTTTTTTTGAGACGGAGTCTCGCACTGTCGCCCAGGCTGGAGTGCAGTGGCGCGATCTCGGCTCACTGCAAGCTCCGCCTCCCGGGTTCACGCCATTCTCCTGCCTCAGCCTCCCTAGTAGCTGGGACTACTGGCGCCCGCTACCACGCCTGGCTAATTTTTTTGTATTTTTAGTAGAGAGGGGGGTTTCACCATGTTAGCCAGGATGGTCTCGATCTCCTGACCTCGTGATCCGCCCCCCTCGGCCTTCCAAAGTGCTGGGATTACAGGCATGAGCCACCGCGCCCGGCCATTAAGCTGCTTCTTAATTCTTCATACAGGACTTTGTGGAACTGGCTGGGTTTATTTTATAAACATTTGTCCATTCAGTATTGTGACTTTATGGTGAAAAAAGCACAAACAGCTGTTTTGCATTGGGCTAATACAAATTGAGAAGATGTTACATTAGATAATTTTAAATGATTTTTATTGAAGAGTGGCACCATGCAAATTAAATTCTTTCAAACGATGTTTTTATATTTTGACATAAACATATAATATTTAATATTCATATATTTTATATGAAATACTTTTAACCTGACTTGGACATTTTTACAACTCTTTCATTCAATTCTCAGATTTTTTTTCAGCTCTGAAAAATAACGGATTACCATGTGGATAGAATTTGACCAGGACATAAAATTAAAACAGAAACCAAAACCCCATGCTATGTCATCCTTCCAGTCTGTGACTTCCCAAAGGCCAACTTCGTCTCAGCATCATGTGTTTCTACCCTTTCCCCGTAAGAACCACATTTATATATCATCGCTATGATACTCTACAACCAGCTAGAGCTCTCCTAATGCTTTAAAACATCATTCTATCGGTACTTGCTGAACAACACAATACTTGTATTCCCTACTTGAGCTTAGTGCATGACCATGCAACAGATGAGGGTGAGAGGTCAGCCACAATTAAGAATCATTCCAACAGTTCTCAATAGGCCTCCATACTGTTATTAATATAATGAGAAATTAGGTTTTCTTCACTTTGCCCTTGATGTTTTTCTAACAACTAAAATACGACTTTTGAAAAGCCATATCAAAATACAAGTCAATAAAGCTGATTTGTGTAGTCTGAAGAATGGCTCTAACTCTTCAAGTGTTACATAGAGAATATATTTTTCACTAAATTTGGGGCAATTTGAAATACCTAAGGAACATTTTTGCTCTCTTTAAGAATTCAAGGTTGTAAAGTCAAATAGCTTGAAAGAAAAATTCAAGCAATTTATATGATGGCTGATAGAAAAAAAAATCCATCTCAAATCAAGTCAAATTAAAATCAGACTTTGGGAATGACATAAATCAGGAACTCTCTTATCTCTAGTGTGGGTTAGTGATAAGCTTCCTGAGGACAGAGACCATATATTATCTCCTTTGTTTCCTTAGCATTCAGCAGATTGCTTGTTATTAATATATGTACAAAATAAACAAAAATAAAATACTAAAAATATATAAGTAGACTAATAAAATACATGTGTTTGAAGCAATATTGAGTATTTATAAATACTGAGTATTGTGTATTTATTGGATAATATTAATTCATATGAAATTCATTGAGTGCCTTCTACTTGCCAGGTGCATGCAAAGCAATATAAGAGGTATAAAAATGAGAAAGAAATGGGGAAATATTAGTCAAAGACTACAAGTCTTCAGTTATAAGATGAATAAGTTCTAAGAATCTGATATACAGCATGGTGACTATAGTTAATAACACTGTAGTGCCTACCTCAAATTTGCTAAGAGAACAAATTCACACAGCATACACAAATGAGAATCTTTTAAAAAAAGAAACAAAAGAAATGTTCCCTGATCTTGTAAAAACTTCCAGTCAAGGGATGATGGTTTATATACCAAAGAAATAATATTTTACATATGTTGCTATATGTTATTGCCTTAAAAATAAGCTTACTTTCTGTATTAAGAAATAGATCTACTGTTGTTACTTTTCTTTTAAATATGAGCCACGCTGTAACACTGCCCTTTGATACGCACATTTTACAACATCTAAGTACCTGTTAATAGTTAATGATTTTCTTTCCAGCCCATTTAGCAAAGTTATGATCTTTAATATTTTTCATATTAAGGTCTTCAATCTGTCTTATGGTACATAAGCCTGGTTCCCATCATTTAAAATCCTTATTTGATCTAGGCATAATTGAAATAAAATATCTTTTTTTTTTTTGTCAATTCAGTCTCTCTTGAAGGGCGACTTCTACTTTCTGTGCAAATAGTTACTCTTCATCAAGACCCTGCATATTTAAGTAAATCACACTAACTGCATTATTTTGCCTCTTTGGAGTGTTATACTTGGTCTACCATGTGTACATTAATCCAGAAATATGCATTAAAACACTGCACAGCTCTGTGAACTTGATGCACTGAGATTTATAAATAGTCTTCTGAAAATCCGCTTATATTCAAAGACATTATGCTAAGGCAAAATATAAGTAATTAAGGGAGGGTGACGAATTGGAGGTAATAATAAAAAATAGTCATGTAGAAAATTATAAATAATGACTAAGGTGAAAAAGAAAAGTGAAAGTACTGAATGGGTAGAAAGGGAACTCAATTTTGGTTCTAAGCATTAGTATGAAAAGGGCCTAATGCCATAATAACCCCATTCCAATGCTTACTACCTGTGGGTACTGTTAAGTTACTATACTTCATTATGCTTTACTTTCTTGATCTGTAAAATTGGCATAATAGTATCTTCTGCAAAGGCTATACATGTTTTGGTAACCAGAAAAGATTTTAAAAAAGTGATTGGAACATAATTAGAACTCACAAATATGTTGTTATGAAATCTCAATGTTTGAACTTACGTTAAACTTGTATCACAACCTCCTAAATAAAGCAGGGATTTCTTTTACCACATGCTAAACAGGTTCCCAATTAGCTTCAGCACAAATTCTTATTATGAGGGGCCTTCGCTACCTTATAGGACAGGCCACTTTATATTCAGACAACCTAACTGCTAGAAAATTCCTCTTTCCCACTGATGTTTGCATTTAGATGGCTATGGCTGCCAATGTTGAAAGTGTGCTATTGACTGGAGATTACTTTAAATTAAAGTCTTATATACTGGAATTTGTCCTCCTCTGGGTAGACTCATAAATATGAAATCTGCCTCCTGCTTGATTAATTAACTTTATTACTCCACCAGGGTCAGCTGGTCCTCTTTCTGCTTCATGTGCTACCATTAATAATCATTCCAAAATTTCTAGCTGGTGTTAATAATGATGTGGCTAATTTCATCCTAAGTAATTGAAGCAGTACAGATTGTGCTTCAACCAACAGACTGGATCAAACATAATGGAGGTTTTTAAAAAAGAGTTTAGGGAAGAAAATGTGTTAACAACAAAATCGTCATTTTACCCTACCTAAAATGTGCCCCCAAATTTAGAATTAACAATTAATTTGTAGTAAAACTTGCATATATTATGTTTTTACATGACTCAAGCCAGTTATAGCTTGTTACCCAAAATAAAGCAAGCAATATTGCTTATCTATGGCAAATAAAATTATCTGATTCTTTCTTTTTGAACTGGTAGGCAACATACTATTCTTTAGTATTTTAATATTAATATTTAGTATTTTAGTATTTCTTTTTCTTTTTGACCTGGTAGGCAACATACCATTCTTTAGTATTTTTGTAAATCATATTTTCTTTATTTATTTGATTACATGTATATTGGAACCTAACTATGTGTAAAACACTTTCTGAGACAAACAGATATACAGACTATAGTTCTTTATCTCAATGAGTTTACAACTTAGTAAAGAATTACGCCTTTGAACAATAAAATATTTAGAAATTCCAAGGAAGAAGTGATGATTTCTCACTGGCAAGAACATTTCAGGAAAGTGGCATGGAAGCTAGAGTGATCATTTGTAATGTGATCATTTTCTGAATATTCCAGTTGGAAGTCATAGAAGAATCTTAGATATGATGAAGATACAGATTATTTTGTTCATGAAGCATCCAAATAATCTAATTTTTCCAGAGAATACCTTAATTTGCAGAAATCGATAGAAATGATATCAATTTGGATTACATTTAGAGGGGACCTAATATCTTGCTGAGAAATTCACATTCTATTCAATACAACATATGCAATGATTTAGAACTTTTAAGTGTGCAAATGGAATTTAGAAAAATTCATCAAATGGGGACATAAAAATGTATTGGGAGGAAGAAACCGAAACATAATCTTGCATCTTATTTTTTAGGATAATTTCCTACCTATAAATGGTTAAAACAAACCAAATTTCTTACATATCAACCATACAAAAACAGCTAAATCTTATGGATATTTTCAAAATAATTAAGTGGTTACATTTATTCATTTGTATCTACATACCACTTTTTGTAAAAATATATAAGGCACGACATAAGATTTTATTTTGAAATACCCACTATAATGTAGTTATTTACAGTTTGGTTTGTTAATGTTGATTATAATGATTTTTATATGATTATTTTATGTGCTATAAATTTAGTCCATCATTACTACTTTTGGTAAATAATACATTTTAAAATGCTGACAGATGTGGCTTTTGTGCTACAAAACTGATTTATGCAGCCTACAGGTGAAAACTTAAATTTACGTGTTGTTAAAATGTAAGCTGTAATTAATCTTTTCAGAAAAGAGGAATGCATTGCTTATATGTTGGCAATGTATTAATTCTTGTGGGTCATTTAGATAATTATTAAGGCAATGGAAGAGGTAAATTGCCAATTACTACATGTAAAATTCCAATTTTCTTTCAAAAATTGGCTTTAAGCTATGGATTCTGTTCCCTTTTGATAGCTCACAAGCTATTTTTTCAGTATTTAAGCAGAAGGTTCAAGCTGGCTACAATCTAGCAGAATACATTTTATTTTGGTTTTAAAACTGCACATGCAAAATTACTTACTGCTACTATATATATGGAATTTAATGTTATATAAATCTTGCTAGTGCTTTAAATAAAAACAAAAATTTTATTTCCTTATCTTTATTTTATTACTTTTTAAAATGTGTAAGTGTAATTTAACAGGATTATTGTTAAAATGTATCAAATATGTTTTTTCCAAGCAATTTATAAGTTATGGCTAATATTACTGGTGATGTCAACAATTTTTTATTTTGATTCTCATTTTTTTCTGCAGTGAAAGGCCCAGAAAATAAGCTCAGAAATAATAATAAATTTGAGCAGTTAAAATTTCCTATTATAGCTGTATAAGCCAAAAAGGACTGTATTTGACCAGTGTGTGTGTGTGTGGATATGTGTTATGGTTAATGCTTTGGGGCATAATATAGATTTTATTTTAATCTTGAGAAAATTTTTACTAGCTTCTAACACCTAATTTCCAACTATCTCCCAAGAAAATCCATATGAAGTATTTTTATATTCTTACTTTCTTACTACTGATTCTGTAATTTTATTGCAGTTTTGATAAATCTATTCTAAAGAAGGAAGGGGGCAATCAAGTACAGTACCTAATAATAAGGCCAGTACACAGTAGGCACTCAATAAATGCTGTTAGTGGACATAATATTAACTGTACACTTAGCCCAGCGAGAAATCAGAAAATACATAAAATGCGAACATTAAAATACAAGGAAATAATTTTCTGATTATATATGAGTGAATATCTTCAGTCAATTTGATCCATCTATCAATCTGTCTATATCTCTACCTCCACATACATATATGCAATAAGGTTGTTTTATAGATTTCGGTAGAGGGGAAACCAATAGCTCCAGTTCAAGTAGATTCATTTTATGATGCTAACAGTGATAATTAGTAATCTTAGCATTTGTCAGCCAGTTAGAGAATCTCCACTAGCATATTTTGATATTGAAAAAGAACCAAGCACTGGTCTCTAAGTGCAAGAGGGTCGCCATAATTTTTCTTCAGATGCCACTATGTTTATAGCACAAGTAGCCAGTCAAGAACATTATGATTTTCAAAAGGAATTATTTCATAATTATGTTATTGCCTTGGTCATTAGCAAAGTCAAAGTTGAACAAAGTAAAATAGTATGGCTAAAAAGAACTGAATTATAAACTACTTAATTTTGCTTACTTTAAAAAATTTGAACCAGATCATCAAATGAGATCACTCCTTTCCAACCCATACCTCATCTCTATGAATGTATTATAAAGTTAGTCAATTAAGTGGAATACACAAGAGAGAACTTAATAATAAGGCTGACATTACAATAATTCAGGCACTACTTGAGAAACAAAGGCTATAAAATTTAAAGAAGAGCCAGGAGGGTACGGAGAGAAAAAGATGGATGCCGTCAATTGGGATTCACATCATCATATCCTTGAATTTATGGGAAACCTATCCATATGCTACTATGGCATTATTCATTGAAATTCTCTCCTGGGTATAAACAGCAGGCTTTGAAAATGCTATTTAAAGCTAACCAGTTTTTTTTTTTTTTTTTAATGATCCTTTAAATGAATTTCCCTTAGACTGTAAATTGACTTAGGAGCCATTCTATGTTCTCAAACATCAGGTTTACACAAATATATTATTTTCAGGTTCTTCTCAGACATTTTATCTCTTCAAGGTTTTAATCAAAGTCATTTTCGCGGCATTCCTGAATCAGTAATTCAGAACATAGTTTTCACCATCTTCTGCTGCCATTGTCAGATAGTTCTAGGGTTCTAAACTTGCACCCCCAATCACTAGGTATCAGATTCTGGTAAAGTTATACAAGTTTCTAAAATGAGGCATAATCTTGTCAGAATTAAATGAGGTAATATGTGTAAATTGCTCAGCATAGGGTCTTGCATGTATTACTAGTCATGTTAATCCAGGATTCGAATTCACCAATGGATCCTGAATATTTTCTGGATACATGCAAATATCCTTAATATGGCTAAAAAGTGCTCTTGGTTTGGCCCCTGTGTAACTCTCCACCTTCATCTACCACCATTTTACAATTTTCATCTCCTCACCACAGCCACACCAAGTTATTTGCGCTTTAAATTTTTTATGTTGTTAGAGGCCTTTATGCTTTTTCTGTTCCATGACTATTCTTCTTTCAAGAAAGAACCCCAGCCTCTCACCCTCCAGAAACCTTTCACCACCCATGTGTGCTGAAGTAGTAGTCATCTTCACTATGCTGCCACCATATCCTTTGTATATCTTTATGATAGTACACGTCACTAATCTTGTATTTTTGATTTAAACTTTTTATTTTCCTCACAGAAATACAGACTGAAACTTGTTTGAAGGCATAGGCTATTAGCTCTTATTATTATTTTTTATCCCCAGAGGCTCATATGAGTATGGCACATATTAAATATTCTATACATGTCGGTTGAATGAGTGAATTGTACTGAGTTACTTGTGAGTACAAAACCTTTCTTTTTATTCTACATAACATCTGAAGAAATTGTCTTGAAAGTACAATGAGTTGAAATCTAATGTTAAAACCAAATCAAACTGTTAATATTTAAATCAGAATTTTTGTTAATATTACACCAAATGACCTTCTCTAGAAGTCCCAAATGAACACAAATGACTTATTTAGATGTAGCTCTATGAGTTTATCTGAGAGTGCATTTCTCACTTAAAAATGCAATACTCAACAATGTCAAACTTTAAAAGTCAGGTGAATTTTTTAAATCTGTGAAATAAAGTAAGAGAAGTGCAAAAGCTATTAACTTTTCCAGGCTGTGAAAAGAAACACAGCCTAAAAAAGACAATAATTCGACAATCTTGGACCAAACTTTCCTTGGACTGTATCCTTAGCTTTATACCTAGGCTAAGGTTTGACAAGCGGGCAGGGGAAAAAAAGTGAAAAAGACATAACAGGGACAAATCTTTTGATATTTTTATATGGATTTTATTGTGGATCTATGTTTTGTGATCATAATACTCTACTCCTAATAATTTTCTCTCTAGCTTAAAAAGTCAATAGTCTCCACCAGAAATTTAAATGACTATTACTGATATAAATACTCAGGCCACAAGTATTCTTTTTATTAATTAGTTTACTCATTCTCCCTAAGGTGGGGTATTTCTTACTTAAATACATCAGCACTTTCTCCCTTTGTAGTTAGATATAATTGTAACAAAGAAGTTCTTACATGTGAATACTGTTCATCAATGTAAAAACAACAAAATATTCCTTCTGTCATAGAATCTGAAACCCAAGTAGCTTCATTTTGAGGGAGTGATAAACTGAAAAACTATGACCTATTTTATGATCTTACAAAAAACACTTCATAATAATACAAATGATAAGATTTAGTAGGATGGTGGAGTAGCTAACAGCATAGGCCTTTCAATAAAACACGCTTCCATTTCAAATTTTAGCTTAGCTTCTTACTAGTTGCTTAAATTTGGGCAAATTGTTCAACTCCTTTAGGTTTCTATTTTCTTATAGGTAAAATTACAAAAATAATACTTGTTTCACTGGATGTTGAAAGGTTTGAATGAACAATTCCATGTAAAATATTTAATGTCATTTTAGGCATTTTTAGGGTCTCAATAAATGCTTGCTATTATTATTGTTATCCATAAGGAATTACTATAATAAATTTACTTTTATTGAATTATTATATTAATACAGTATGTTAACAATGATGGAAACAGATTTTTCTTATATATTTGACCACTTTTTCATAAAGATGTCTGGCAAAAGCAATCCCTACTATTCTCACAAAGAGAGCAGTAAGATGGATTTCTGAAGGCCAAAAAGAGTTCATTGGTAAAGCTGGGTTTAGAATGAATAAAAGACCTCAAAGCTGATGTTACATGACATTGGAATATCTCACTCCCTTCATCTCCCATTTTGGTTTTCAGCATGTTGAGGTCCCGGAATTAATGTGGGTTTCTGATGAAGCCCATGCATCTGTATTTAAACCTATAATGTGCATGTCAGTGGTGTTCATCTCCTGACCACTATTTTTATTGACTGAGATAAAAGGCCAAAGCTGCACAATTCTGAATTGCTTAAACCATTTGTTCACGGCTTTATTCTCTCCCAAGTTTTCATTAGGATCATATCATGATGCCAGGACTGGTGAACTATTAGGCATCCACAGAGACTCTGTGTAATAGCATAAAGGGCCACATTTTGGCCACATTACTTTTATGGTAGAGTAAGGCATTTCATGAAAGCATTTAATGATAGCAACAAATATTAACTGAAATGACTGTATGAGTATTTACATGAACAAAATCTCATTTAAACAAGCTATTAAAAACTTGGGACACCTGGTTTTAAAATATCAGGTCAAATTGGAATGATACTAAATTCACATCTTATGTTATATCCTTGTGTGAAACTTACTTTCATCTCCTGTTTCAAATTCAAATTTCTGACTGTAGCCACTGTATCCTGTCGCAGTTCTCACTCGGATGTGAAATACATATTTGGTGGCTGGCTTAAGACCTGTGATGATGACACTGGGGGCTTTGGACCTTGTGGAAGAGTAGGTCAGCTGCTCATGTTCCTGGGGGACAGAAAAAAAGGAGAAAGGAAATGAAACAGAGTTATTCTACCTTTTCCTAGAAACATTCCAAAGTTTAACTGAGAAATTATGCTCTGAATACCAAAAGTATTGATTACAAAGTAGTGTTAGCATGGTTTTCCATAATTTGGCATTTAGCTGTTTATCATAATGATGCATATGATATGGTCCTATTTGGAAATTTATTAAGAAAGATGATTAGTCTTATATAAACTGCACTTGTATTTTTGGTGATTTAGATTCCTGACCCAACTGTAAGAAATGATGGTGGTGTGAGAATATGTTTACACAGAATGGCAGCTGCATCTTGAGCAAAATGGGCACACCAGCAGAGTGCAAGGAGCAAAGGTGGGAGAATTCAAGTACCAGCTACTCACTTCTACCCGCAGGTAGTGCCAAAATGCCGGCGCTATCCGTGGGTAGACCTGTGGGTGAAAGGAGAAATAAATTAATTGCTTTTTAAAGTTTGAAATCTTTTATCCTGAAGTCATTCACTTTGTGCTGTAATTCAGTGTTTCCCCAGTAGTAAAACCTGAAGTTGAATAAAATTTAGGAAATAAAATAATGAATTTTTTCCTGTAAGGGAGAATTGACTCCTCCCCTAAATATAGCTTATTTTTAAACATATACTAGTTACATAGTGACTGTGAAGTAGATTTAAAAATAATCTGCCCATGAAGAAGCACTGGAAACACAGAAAGGCATGAAAGACTTACCATACCTGCAGAATCAGAGGCAGGGCTTGAGGCTTGGTTCTCAGTCTCTTGCGTGAATTGCCAAATTATCTCACTTCACTAAATGGAAGTGAACTTGCCAGGGCATTCTGGATGATCTAGACAGTCAGGGTTTGTTACATGGTCTCTCTTGCCCACTATCTCAGAACAGGACAGTTCATTTTACCTGTCCATGTAAGAGATTGTCCACAATATGCTGGTGGTGGGGACAAATTAAACCTACACTGTTTTTGTATGGTGTTATTATTCAATAACTTTACAATGATATTTTAATAGGGTATCTGGAAAAAAATGCATTTGTGTAAACAAAAGTCATAGGTCAAGCTAGGTCAACAGGCCCTCAAGTTAATTTCCACCATCCTCATAAAAACCCTAGAGATTTTCAGAGATGCAAAATGACTTTCAAGGTCACTAGTTGAATCATTCATTTGATGCTTAAATTCTGTCTATAATATTCCCATCAAAATTTCATTTAGTGTTTGCCTGAAAACCACTGTTATTTAGGAGACCTTCCCAACTAGCAAGACAAGTTATGAAAATGTACACATATGGAGAATAGGTCAAACTTCATGTATTTGCTGGTGATGCTTTAAGATTTAGAACTATGAAAATCATTTCTCTTAAGCTACTTTTCAGAAAAAAGTCTTATCTTAAGGATCATTTTTAAACTTTATGACCTTCCTTGTCAGAACTTTATATGCTATTTGGTTATTCTGTGTCTAGCTAAAGAATTGAATTTGCCATTTATACCCCAAATAATAAAACTGCTTATTAAACATAAAGTACAAGGAAAAAAATTGAATTAAGAACAGCAACATTTTAAATAAAAAAAGACTAAACCAAAAAACTGCAACTTATATTTATCTCTAGGTGATTTTAAGATTAGAAAGTAAATAATTATTTATCAACCTAGCATAAAATACAAGGAAATAAAGTCTATAAATCATCGATGGTGACAGTGAGCTGTTAGGGATTAAATGTAGGAGCTTGCTCATATCAAGGCCTTTATAATTAGGTGGCTTAAAACACATATTGTGGAGAAAAAATACTTGTGAACTATTAGAAAAAAAGATATTGTTTCTGGCAGGAATTTCTAGAACATTTGGATTTTTCAATCTCATATACAAGAGGAGGATATGTTACTTTTCACAGAATTTCTACAACGTAAGAGTTATGGTGCATTTTGAGTGCTGTCTCACAGTGTGAAATGATGACTGAGATAAGAACTTTAAAGCAATGAAAAAAAGCATTTAGTCTCATCCCAAAAGAGAGAAGATATGGTTCAAAAGTTTACTCTTAGAATGGCTCCAGGATAATTACATATCTTATCCTTGTTGCTTCCCCAAAACATAGCTAAATAGTAACTTCCTATTCAGTAAAGTTACAGGGAATAAAGGACACCTTTTGCAGGCAGCTTTTAGTATTTTTGTTGTTACCTACAAAAGTGTACCTGTAGCTAAATCCTTGGAATAAAAATCAAACAGTAGGAAGTGTACTTAAGGGGTTCTTCAGCCCGAATCACTCACTACCGGTGAGTGCTGCTGCCTTGTCTTACGTCTTACAGCTTGCTGACATGATGAGGAAGAGGGTCCAGGAAGAAGCAGTCACAAGAATTCTTCACAGTACACAGCAGACCTCTCTCCTCCTGGTGTTTTTAAGCTCTTGGGAAACCAAGTTAGCTTTTGTCTATGATATGCATAGGTAGGACACTATCGTCCCAGAATTTTGGCCAGTTGCCTTTCTGCTGACGCATCAACTCCATTTCAAAGGTGTTGTCACCAGGTAGCGACCAGGCTTTGCCACAGAGCCATTGAGATGTTTTCTTCATCCTGGCAGGTTGAATTTTGAATATGTTTAGATAGGGTATGTTGGCGTGCTTTTCTGGAGTTTGTACCATGATGGCATTGCTAGCTGTATGACACGTAAATCTTCAACTTAGCTAGGGAACACGTTCCATTGTTCATAAAGTTCTGTTTTTCATCTTTGCTGAATGTGTGATAAAATTCCTCTTCTCATTCTTAATATTATTTATTTTTATAATTTCTTTTTTTCATGATCAAGCTTTCCAGAGGTTTGAACACATTTTTGGCTTTTTCCCCTCTATTTTTTTTTAATCTATTACATTTGATATCTGTTCTTACTATAAATTTTCTTTCTTCTTTGTACTTTCTGTTAGATATGTTGTCTTCTAACTTCTTATGCTTCATGCTTAACTCATTATCAGCACATTCTTTCAAATATATAATTTAAGCTTACAAATTTCATGCTAAGTACTGCTATAGTTATACTTCATAAGTTTTCATACAAGGTATTATTAATTAGTTCTAAGTACTTATTAATATCTAAAAGTATGATTTAAAAAATTCTTTGTGGGAGACCAAGAACTATTACTTGCACATTTTTGTGGATTAAGACATGGTATCAGGGAGTAAATAAATGGCATAAAGTGAACCTCCAAAGGCATAGTTGCGTGGGTTGCAAAGCATACTCAACTGTGAATAGTGCAGTGGATGCTCATTGGCTGAGAGCACTGGCCATCTTGTGCACTAATGCTTGTCGGCTGAAAGTGAATCAGCTTGTTGCATGACCTCTCCTCGGATGAGCACAGAAAATAGCACCAATTGTGAGAAAAAATCATTGAGAAGCAATGAACTTTAACACATTTTAAGTTGTATCATTTTCTAAAATAAAACATACATACAATTCCTGTTTGACATATTTGTATCCAAATTAAAAAAAAATAGTTTGGAACCAAATAGTGTGAACGTAGAGCACTGTCAAACAGGGCAGGCATATACTGTTCTCTAGAGATGTTGACTTTTACCTATGGTTCTCTTCCCATGGGAAGACCCTGGCACTTATATTTAGGCACTGCTCCTTCCAAGATGCTGAGAATCAAGGCTTTTCTGGGAATCATACTGTCACACTGAATCTTTCGTTTACCTGAAATACTGAACTTAGCTTTATAGGTGTCAACTTTTCATGGTAACTAAAATGGACCCTCTTGCTAGAGTCTGGAACCTGTTAGCATTCAATCTGAAAACTATAACTTGGTGAAAACAAATAGGCTCAGGTGTTCAGACCCTATGGCTATATCTTTCTACAGTCAGAGATAACAGGGCCTGTATCAATAGAAGACAGCATGGAAAAAATTCTAGGTTAGAGTTCTCCTGTCTTGGATATTATCTTGATTCTGCTTCTATTATGTACCCTGGCAAATTACCTTTTAGGTTTTGATTTACTCCTCTAGAAGACTCATTCATTCTACAGACATTCATTGAATCTCATGGTATGTATAAGGTTCTAGAACACTTTGTTAGGTGTAGCTTACGTAATCACCAACGTTCTACCTAGCAATTCAATTCAATATTTTTTTAATGTCAGAAATGCAGGTGTTTTTCCTTCTGCTATGAATCATTGTCATCATTCCTCATCTCCCTCTCTTGGGTTTACCATTTCCATTTATGGGAATAGATTCAATAGGCCAGCATAGTGGTCATCTTTTAGCTGGTTTGCTTTCTCCTAAAGTCTTTGGGCCTATTGGGATTTCTAAAAGGTGTCACCTCTTTGTTTTATTTTTAATTTTAAATTAATTGGATTAAATGTAAGATAAAAATTATATTTTATTTTCTAGACATATCTATGTAAAGATATAACAACAATCATAATAACAATGATTTATGTAGAGCTTTACAATTTACAAGGTGTTTTCATACACATCTAAAATCTAATCTTCATAATAGTCTTGTGAAATAAGAACTGGTAATATTTTTATTTCCATTTATCTATGATCAAATTAGTCCAGAAAGAATAAGTAAATTAGCAAAACAAGTCACACAACTTGTCAGTGGCTTCCATCGAAGTTGTGCTTTTTCCACTACACCCCATTTAAGCAAATATGTCCAGAGTATATATGTCTATGGATTAGACTGAGCCAAAGTAGTTTTTTCCACACTTTATGTTCTTAACTATCTATACACTAGAAGTAACTAACACACCTTATGGACCACATAGTAATGATTTGTTGGCTAATCATTAGACTATGTTTATATGAACAACTAGTTCCTCAATTGGAAGAAAAAATTCTCAACACCAAATGTTTAAATACACATTTCAAAGGTAAAATTATTTTCTATTAAGGTTAACAAATCCATGCAGGCTGCCTTTATTTTTATTTTCTATTAATTTTATGTCATATAGGCAGATATTAAGTAATATAGGAGGCAAATAAATCACCCAGTCTTGCATGGAATATACAGTATTCTCGTTCAAGCCTGGGAATAGAATTTGTTTAATAAAGTCCAGGAGACTCTTTTAGAAGTTTTGATGTGTAAAGATAACTTCTTGGCTTTAAGTCATACCGATTTGAAAATATAGGTGCAAGTGCAGGAATAGGTCCAAGTGCTATTAATATGTAGTACTCTACTATCCAAATCTTTTTTTTTTTTTTTTTTTTGCGATGTCTTAATTAAGACAGTGGTAAAGCTCTTGTTCTACTGGCTAGAGGACTGAAGCTACAGGTTGTTTGAGAAACAAAATAATATAAAAAAGGATATTAATGGTTCCACTAGAAGTCATCTAAGTCATTTACATCCTTTCTCTCTCCGTTTCTGTTTGACTTCCTCACCCTGCCTCTCTGTCACACTCACAAATGTACACACTCACATTCATCAAACTGTGGAGATGTTTCCAGGATAATCCTCTCAAAATAAACAAAAATAAACGAATTAAAACCACATTTAGAACATGATTTATTATCTGCAGAAAGGTATTTTGCCTGGATAAATCAAGAATTGCAGGGCCTAGGAACCTAAAGTTAGAAAGGCTATCAAAAAATCTTATTGCCTGAACTATGGCATTAGCAAAGCTGAAAGTCTTTTACTTGAATGAAAGGAAGATATTTCACATGGCTCTGGGAAAAGAAAAGTTTGAATACTAGATTTGGTCAGCCTTTAACAATTACTTTCCAAAGGAAATAGACACTGAACCCCGTGGACTTTATTTTGCTGACCCTTTTAAAAATGAGTTCTACCTGGGTACACATAGTCATCATATTCTGGCTGAAAGAGTCCTTAATATTTTTCATATTTCTACTTTAATGTTGCAATCTTCTGATTACTAATGTGGATTCTCAAGCTCTGTAGGGGCAAACATAAATATATTTGTTCTTGGAAAGGGCAGACTTCTGTATATTTAATACGTGAATATTCTGGTTTGTTCTTCAGTCTCTCTCTCTCTCTCTTTTTGAGGCAGAGTCTCGTCCTGTCAACCAGGCTGGAGTGCAGTGGTGTGATCTGAACCTCTGTGGTTCAAGCGATTCTTCTGCCTCAGCCTCCCGAGTAGCTGTGACTACAGGCACGTGCCACCACACTTGGCTAATTTTTGTATTTTTAGTAGAAACGGGGTTTCACCATGTTGGCCAGGCTGGTCTTGAACTCCTGGCCTCAAGTGGTCCACTCGCCTTGGCCTCCCAAAAGTGCTGTGATTACAGCTGTGAACCACCATGCCCAGCCCTCTTCAGTCTCTTTTAGCATTTAATTAGAATAAATCAATTCCTGAATAGTTACCAACTCTGAGTGCACTCCAGTTCAAGATGTACAAAATAGAGTACCAGAATGAGTTATGTGTGAACCCAGGAACTGAGTTATACCACTTCTGTAAAATAGGAATAATGATAAAAGAGCTTATAGTCATAAAAAGTCATCCATTTCTATTCTTGTTTCTAAGTTGCCTTGATTCATCCGAAGTTTTAATCTACTCCTTTTTTTAAAGCTAGTTGGAGAAAATCTTATTCTACTCTAGCCAAATCATAAAGTATATGTTCTTTCTTTGTAAAGCATAACTTAATTATCTTACAAAACTTAAAAATAACAGTTTTTTAATATATGTAGAAAATGTCTCTCCTAAAGGTTGAATGAAATAAATCATCATTTTCTCTCTGTTAGTTAGAAATGTTTACTTAGAAACTCCGAGAGAATTAACTTAAAAAAATTTTAGAATTAATCAAGAGAAGTCAGTTACATAGTGAACATGCAATTATCAGTGGTTTTCCTGTATACTAGCAATGACCACTTATAATTACATTTTAAATATTTTAGTCACTATAGTAACAGAAACCTTATAATACCTAAATATATCACAAAAAGTATGTAAGACCTATATAACTTCATCTATAATATTTTACTGTGCAAACCAAAAACAATTTCTTATGTATTTTTTTTCTTATTGCAATGCTTTAGCATAATATTGCAAAGTAACAGTAAAAACAGAAACTTTTTCTTTTCTTCTTTAATCAAACAGATTCTAATTGTGTTATGGTTAAATATAATTATGTCTGACTTACATTTTTGGCAGATGTCTAGTTGAGGACGTTTTCTTCTTCCATTGTAGTTTTGTTTGTCTGTATTTTGTTTTTAAAATGTGAAATGAATTATGGATGTTATAAAACAATTTATCTGTTGCCAAGTGAATTTTATGTTTTTCTCAATAAAGTATATACTTAGGCAGAACTATCTTTGCATTCCTAAGATAAACCCTTCCTGTTAACACTTGTTCATAATATATTAGAATTTTTATTGTAATTTTGAATTCAATATGGTAATATTTCAGGCTAAAATTTTTAAGCATATACTTATAAGTTATCTCAGCTTACAGTTTTCTTTTTCAATCTCACGATATTTGGGTTATACTATATTTAGAGAACGGATTGTGAAACTTTCCACTTATTAATGTTCTGCAATAACTGACACAACATGGGAATTATCTGCTCTTTGAAAACTTAATTGAAATGGACCATGTTGGTAGTACACACTTGACTATCATTTAAAATTATTTTACGCTATATTCAAATCTTCTCCTTATTCAGTTTTGATAATTACCGTAAAATTATTATATTTCCTTTATATTTATTGATATATATTTACATCTAGTCTTGTCTTATTAAAAATCTCTTCCATACGTAAATAACATTTCCTATTATTTTTAGGTAAGCTTGTTTATTTGATCAATCTTTTAAAAACACTGGCTTTTGATTTTCAAATCAAATATTAGTGATTCTATTTCATTAATTTTTGATTTTACACTTGCTCATTCCTTCTAATTTATTTTTCTGCATTGGTCACATTTCACAGTTTTAGATATGTGAGGATCTTAATGTCTTTCATTTTAAATAGTTCATAATTTGTCTATTATGCTTTAATATATTATTTAATATAAAATTAAAATTTTTAAAATAAATAGATTGGAGATGTGGTGGGTTTTTTTTAATTTCTCTGATTTTGTTAATGGTTTGCAAATAATTATTTCTGCTACAGGAAATTTGTTGAAATTTTTTTGTCCTGATATAAGATCAATATGTATGAATGCTTTTAAGTGTTTAAAAATAATTAGTAAAATTTCAGAATTTTAGGAGCAATATGCTATATCAATTGAGGAAATCAAACTCTTTAGAAAATTCTTCATTAGAGAGTGCCTGTAAGATGTTTTATAATCTTCTAATATGACTATATATTTCTCAATTTGGCCTTATATTTCCAACAGATTAAAACTGTCCAAGGAAGTAAAAGACTGGCATTTGAATATTTTAAAGGTATTACACAGTAAGGAAATTAGACATCTTAAATAAATTAATCTTTAAATTCTTTGATTCTAACCAGCATTTAGCACTTAATTTTATACGATTTGGTCCCCTCCTCTACTTATTGAATGTGCATCCGTATGTATCCTAAAGTGGGCTGCAATTTCCTGAAAAATGTAGTTTACATTTCCCTCAAAAAACAAAACAAAATGAAACAAAGGAGTGCTGGATGCATAGTCAGTATTTAGTAATGTCAATTGATTGATATCCACAAAGGAATCGCTAAACCATTTAACATAAGGTGTACCTACTGCAGCTCTGGTCACATATCACTGGGAATTGAACTACTAAAATTTCTGCTTTGACATAGCGACACACATTAGGATACCTTTCAGCTCACACTGATTCTCCTATAACCAGATCTAACTATAATCTACCAGTAATGTAAGATGGGGCTGGCCAACTGTCCCAGAAACAAGAGCAAGCTAGAATAACTATATAATTCTTTTCCTAAGTAAATGAACCCATGATGAGAAACTTCACTGAACCCATGACAAAGAAACATCACTGAAGTTGAACAACCTTAGCTTTCCTGGTTTCTGCCTTTCTGAGGCTGGGAAGTTCCACTCTGCCTTGGATTCTCCATTGTGACAACATTAAATAGTAGTGGCAGCTGGGTTCTGTTGTTGGCAACCAACAGAGTTGTTGTCTTTTCTCGCATTCATTAAAATGCACAAGAAGAAATTTCTAATGGTGAGGGGTGAGTAGAAAGGGTTAAGAAGTTCCTTGGTGGTTTAAGCTAGTGGGTAAGGTGCTCTAAAATGTTTTTCTTAGGTAAAAATTAGCCACTGTTGTGGCAAAATTGCAAAATATGTATAAGTAAGAAAAATGTAGAAGTAGTTATTCCATGTACACAACTACTTTTTGACTGCATTTCTGGGGACGTATCATTAAGTATTCTACTACTATAATTTACTACAATCAACTCTTGATTATTCCCAGTAATCCAAAATTACAGATAACCCCAAATCACTTTGAAATGCATTCATGACTATTTTCATATATTCCTACCAATGTGTACCTTGTTTCACCTAAAATGAATATTTAATGCATTCCTGAACATTAAATATTGAACAGTAGTAGGAGAAGGCACAGAAGTACACTGATGATAGAGGAATATTGATCTGGAATTAAACATTCGTAATTGATTTTAATAAAATAGATAACATATATAGATAACGAACTGCTTTTAATAGTGATATTTACTGTTAGAGAAAATGGCCTAATTATTAAAGTGTGATCTTTTGAAAATACTGGTGCTAGAATGAGACCAATAGAGTCCTAGTTGTAGTCAGTTCATCTATGAAAACTGGAAAGGTTATACCTATATCAAAGGGTCAAGCTTGTTGTAAGATAAACCAAAATAATATGTAAAACTGTTTTACAGGATCCAGCAGGTGTGTAACGTAGCATTGTTTCTTTCTTTTAAGAGTAACTATCAATGGGTGGTGCATTTATTCCAGGGCAATGATAGGCTCATGCCTTAAGGTCATCTTGCAGATGCTGTGACAAGTCTTAAAAAATGTTGTGTTTACTTGCTTTTTAACCTTTATATTCCAACTACTTAATACAGTATGCCTAGCATATTGTAGGCTCTCATGATATATTGTCCAAATGATTGAATTAAAAAATGAATTAATTGCTCCATAAGCTTAGCTTTTAAATTCTTAAATATTATTAGAGCAATTAAAAGTTTGTTGGCATAAATTAATGACAATTCAAATGGGAGATGAGAAAAATTACTTTTGCTAGCATATAGTGCTTCTACAACCTAAATGTAATAATATTATGTCAGTATAGCATACTTGTTTTCTTAGGAACATTGTGGAGAATGTCCAAGATTTTACTTGCCAAAAATATTTTACAAAACAGTATGCTATACAGAAACTAAGATTTGTGCTGAAATATCTTTTAATACATATTCTTGATATTTATTCAGTTTTAACTTTCCCGTCTGTCTTCATGTAGCCTACCTGTAGATAGATGAGATACAGATTTTTCTTCTGTGCTTTACCACTCTATAAATATTTACAATGATGTTCAACTAAAAATTAAGTGTTTAAAGTTTGATACTTGGCCCTGAAGAAAATGCCTTCATTCCAACATTTCTTAATAGTATTTGTTAAAAGTATATTATAGTCAAACAACAACTTTAAATTTGTCATTCATTCTTAAAGTTTTAGATCATTTACTAGAATTTTAAAATCACACATAAATTTGGTAATAACAATATACGGATAGAAAAAACTCAGAAATATAAATAGCAGAGAGCAAAACATTTAAAGAATACATATTTATTGGACTACTGAGGATAGATAAAATGACTTGAAAGGGGGAAAATGGAGAGGAAAAAATATATTTATTATAAGAAAATTTGAGGCTGGGTGTGGTGGCTCACACCTGTAATCCCAGCACCTTGGGAGGTAGAGTCAGAAGAATCACTTGAGGCCAGGATTTGAGACCAGCCTTGGCAATATAGTGAGACCCCGTTTCTACAAAAACAAAAACAACAACCAAAAAATTGAGTATTACATTTAGTTTATGCATTCTTAGAAGAGTTTACAAATTCCTGCTGATGTCAGTAGTTTAGGTCAAGTATTAAAACAGCCACATAAATGCTAGATAAAAACAACTTTGATGATAAAAGTTAGCATAACTTAGCAACAAATGCCACTGAGAGAAAATAACACGCTAAGTATCTTTGGAAACATTAATACACATATGTTGATTTATTCAAATATAAATGCTATTCCAAATGTCAAACTGAACATTTTCAAAGTTAAACCATTATAACGACATGGCAGAATGGAGGGGCAGGAAACTAGAAAGGCAACATGTGCATGGTCCTTTGATTAATTATATCTAATTTTGGGATGCGGATTGAAAAACAACAAAAGTGGGGGAAATAATATATGCTTCAAAAAGAAAAATCTAGATGATGGATATTTTAATTTGCTTCACTATAGTAACTTTCTAAAATCATGCATATTCCATAACATCATGTTGTATACCAGGGTTGCCCAATCTTTTGGCTTCCCTGGCCACATTGGACAAAGAAGAACTGTCTTGGGCCACACATAAAATACACCAACACTAATGATAGCTGATGAGCTAAAAAAAGAAAAATCGCAAAAAAAAAAAAAAATCTCATAATGTTTAAGAAAGTTTACAAATTTGTATTGGGCTGCAGTCAAAGCCGTCCTGGGCCACGTGTGGGCCGCGGGTTGAATGCACTTGTTGTATCTCTTAATTATACACAATAAAATTTATCTAAGAACTATAGTGCATTGGATTTTTTTACAGTAGTGCTAACTGGATTATAGGACAGATTAAGAGTAATAAAAGGTAGCAGATAAAAATTCTTTGAAGATGAAATTACCAGAGAGCAAATGCTGGTTGACTGGCATCCAAAACTGTCTTTTGGTTGCTAGAGTTTCCAACAGAATTAAAGTAAATAAGAAAGCTAAGAAAGGTAAATTTTCACTAGAGTGAAATTGCCTGTAAAACATGAAAAATTATTTTGCAAGAATGTCTTCACTGAAAAACAGTATCATTTGTGAATATATGTAAAGTCACACATTTGTCCAAATCGGCCACAAAACAGTAATATAAGAGCTGCCTCTTGCATTGAAAATGCAGCAGAAATTCATTTAAATATATAAGCATGAGAATTCCTTACCCTCATTTAGGACAGGGGAAAAAACAATTTCTAATTATTTATTTTTCACTTTTTCCCATTTAAATGTATTTTGTCACCGTGGTGGAACTTTAAATTTTTTTTATATTTGTTTGTGAGCCTTAATTGTGATCTGATACCAATATATTTGTTTTGTTCAAAAACTAAAGCAGGTATCTCTTAAGATTGATTTACAAAGCTACAAAGGATTCAAGAAATCCAGTTTCTCCTCCCCAAAATAAAGATTTTAACATTCTTTATAAGTAAGTTATATAGTCTTGACTTGAAAATTATCCTATTATGCTCTAAATAACCCAATGTTTTCAAATAATGATCTAACTTCATCACTGATTTTGAATTTCCTCAGAAGATATCAAATGTGTGCCTCAAGATTTATAATAAAATAACATAAAATAAAGGCTTGTCAAGATACTGTAACTGGGAACTAAATATCTCATCACTGAGCGACTATAAGTAATATAATACTAATAAATACATTGTAATAATTGACAGCTTCCTGAAGTACACACCTTCGCACACAAAAGGTTTTTGTAGTTCTAATAAGGTGTTTAAAATTAAACATTTGAATGTGAAAATATCTGCAGATAGTTTTAAATGCGAGTAGAGTAATTCAAGGCAAAGCAAGGTCATTTTACAGAAACATTATGTTAATCTGCATTATTATCAAAGAGTGAACAAATTTATCTACTCATAAACCTAAGCTGGTTTTAAAATCAAATTGGAAAGAAAGAAAAATACCTAGGATGAAGCCATAAGTTAAATTTAGAGTAAAAGATAACTCCACGGCAGTGAAGAGCCCTGTTCTGCAGAGGTCACACATGTTGCCCATGTTAAATATTTATGGACTATGTATTTAGGGGTCTGGGAGCGAGTAATGGATGCTATTTCCTTGGTCAGGCAGAAATCTCATTTTCAAAGTTGGATAATTTCATCTGTATATATTGATTGTTGTAAATACATTGGCTCAACTCAATGCATAGTCCAGATTCAAATAACTGAAAAAACTCATTTGTGGAAGTTTTCTTTCCACAACTTTGTTCTTTATTTTTTCTCTCACCTTTTGATTTGCTTTTATGAATTAACTATTTTTTACCCTATAATATTTCCAGATACAAATACAACTACTAAGTAGACTTCAAGTTTTTAGGATGTCATGCATATTCAAAATTAATAAATTTGTTTTGACCCAGTACTGAAAATACATATTTTTAAATTATTACAAATGAGAAGCGAAGCAAATAATGTAATATTATGAAGGCCTAAAATCAAGCAGCATGGTAAAATAAAGATGTTTGTAAATTCTATTACATTCTTCTCATTGACAAGTCAAATCTGTGCTCCCTTTCCTTGAATCTGATCTAGTATATGACTGATTTGACCAACCAAGTAGGGTAGAAGTGATGAGCTGCCAGTTCCTGGCCCAGCCTCAAAGAAAACTGGCAGTTTAAACTTTTGTCTTGGAGCTCTGTATGGCAATCTAAGATGTATGGCTGGTCTGAGACTGCAACGCTATGTGGAAGCCCAAGATAATCATGTGGAGGAGGAGCCTTAGAAAGATGGAGATGGCAAGAATAAGGGGTAGGGAGGGTGGGAAGAAGGGCAAGAAAGAGAGGTGAGAGAGAGAGAAAGAGTATGATGAGATGATGCCTAGCCATTCTGCAGGTGTTCCAGCCACCAGCCATTGTTTCGCCATCCCAGTTGAGGTCCAGATTGTGAAGCAGAGATGAGCTGCCTCTGCTCTGTCCTGTCTGAATACCTGACTAATAGATTCAAGAGATACAATATTTATGAATTATAATTTTTAAGCCACTACATTTTGGCTTAAAAATTATGCAATAATAGATACCTGGAACAAGATTAAACATTATTCTGCATTTAACAGTCCTCAATTTTAATATGGAACAGTTCACTGATCCTATTTTTTTGTCACTAGATTGGCTGATGCTATTTTGCCTTCACACACAAAACTTAACCAAAATAAACACTACAATTATCTGGTTCTTTGGAAGGACGTATGACTTTTTAGCCTGAAATGACATGTCAAATTAGTCAAAATAAATCAATTGAAAGTTTACACAGGACATACTGCAGTTAACTTTTTTTTAATATGAACACTTTCATACTGCTTACTATGTTGTAGGCATGAAGAACTCTCAAAACCAAGAAAATTCTCAAAGCTACTATATGAATTAAGTCTTACAGATGACAAGATCACTCAATAAATTACTGATAGGGCTTGGATTTGAACCTAGGAAGTCTAGCTCTAAATTCTATGCTGTTACTTATTACACAATGCAGCTTCCAATGTGAGGTATTGCAATACAGCTAAATGTCACTAAGTGATTTACATATTACCTATGTTAGATTTTATATTTTCTGTTTCAGTAATATATTGAGAAGCACAGATGTAAGAAATAATAATATGGATTCCATATACAGAAATGTCACAATTCTAATCATAGTATAAGAATCTCTGAAATTCAAAGTACTTAGTCTAACATAAAAATTTAAGGTGTTTGGTGGTAAAGGATTTTCTCCATGGCCTGAATTAACACCATTAGAAAGCACCAAGCCATGGGGGTAGTAACCATCTGATGACTGTTCTCATGTATCCCGTGTCCAGGGACATGGGGCAACGTGCCTCTTCTGTGTTAGAGGGTGGAACGGATATGTTTGGTACTGCAGGGGATCTGGTGCTCTTCTTCTGGATTCGCATCCTCACCCAGGGCCCACTTTTACTAAGTGTTCTGCCCTAGCCTGGTTCAAGGAGGTCATCCACCTGACTTTGTCAAATGGAATTGGGATATATTTGATATACATTTTTCTAACAACATGGAAAAGGGTTTTCCTCCTTCTTTCCCTGCAAGGTACATCCTACTGCTTTGAACTTCCAAGTATGCCTAGTCACCTTTTAAAATGTAAAACTTTTCAGAAAAATGAGGATTGCTTTCCTTGCATGCCCTTATTATCTCGACTACCTGAATTGCAAGGGATTTTTATATATTCATATGTTCCAAAGTCAGCAACTCTCCTGTTGGTTCATTATTGACTGTGCTGTAAATGAAGTCTTTTGCAATTAAAATGAGATTTGCCTATGTCCAAAAAAAATTAAGGTTTAAAAAGATTATATTTTGTTAGTATTTCATGAGATTTTGAGTCTTCATCAAATAACACTAATGACCTCAAGACACATATTCACTTCTCTTTTTACTATGTAAGGTAAGAGACTCATTAGGAAGAACGAAACTCTTATTTCTTTTATCACAACAATTAACTTACATACCTGTGCTCATCTATGAAGGCAAACTATAGAGAACAGGCAAATTGTAGAGAACAGGCCAAACCAGTTTTCCTTATTTGCATTTCCATTTCAGTTTTTACCACCATACTGAGTTTAGGAGGATATCTATGCCGTAGATGAAAAGACTATGAGCTTCACAGTGCTTTAAACTGAGGTTTCTAATTCTTTTATAGTTTCTAACAGGATCTTCTATATTGCAAACTAAATGACTTTATGATGTGGTTTGGCTCTGTGGTCCCACCCAAATCTCATCTCCTGTTGTAATCCCTATAATCCCCATATGTCAAGGAAGAAACCCAGTGGGAGGTGATTGGGTCATGGGGGTGGTTTCCCACATGCTGTTCTCGTGATAGTGAGTGAGTTCTCACGACATATGGTGGTTTTATAAGGGGCTCTTACCCATTCGCTTCTGGCTCTTCTCTCTCTTCCCACCATGGGAAAAAGGTCCTTGCTTCTTCTTTGCCTTACACATGATTGTAAGTTTCCTGAGGCCTTGCCAGCCATGTGGAACTGTGAGTCAATTAAACCTCATTCCTTTATAAATTACCCAGTCTTGGGTAGTATCTTCATAGCAGTATGAGAACAGACTAATACACTTTATTAATAAGAGCACTGGATTGGAATTTCAAGAAACAGTGCTTCTTTCTGTGACTTACAAGACAGGTGAACATAAGCCTTTCATCTTATTACTGAGACACAGCATGCTTTGTTAAAAAGTAACATAAAACGTCAGTTCTATCCACCTTACAATATTGTAATGAGTCGAATGTTAATGCATGTGAAGTGATTTCTAAGCTGGGACATCCTCATTAAATGTTAGAATGATTATCAATGCTGTTGTGAACGTAATTAAATAGATATTTGTGTTGTTGCTGAAAACATTTGTCACTTTGAGTAAGAAGTAATATTTTAATAATAAACTATACCTTGAGTTAGTGGATGGAATTGCATTTGTTGTTTAGTAAATTAATCTCCCAGAACACCACCACCTTTTAATTCCATGTCAAGAAAATTAGTAGGATAAGTCAGCAAAATTCCCAGGGGTCTGGCACTTTAGGTAATTAAGTGGCAGTTGAGATCTATATGTGGGAATAACATCAACGTCTTGAGGTATCTTTATATAGCCAGTAACTTGAGTCTTAAGTCAGTTGCCTGTTTCTGTAGATAAGACCAGTTGACTAGTTGTAAATGTAGCTGTCATAGGTACAATGAAACCATTTTGACATTCAAGAGTAAAAAATAGTGATTTGGAATAATCATTGATTATTGCATGTTTTAGGAGCTTAGAAGGACTATACATCTGGCAGGTACCGCTATCTGTTTGCCATGTTGAAGGTGGACAGCAATAAAACCCTTCATTCCTGTGCTAACCAACAATTGAACTAAGTCCATCTGTTGATCTTTTTAAAATATGAAAAGAACTATCTGGTGGTCTTTTAAAAGTATAAACGTGTTAAACATGAGAAAGAAAAATGCTGTGATGCATAATTCAATAAATAGGAGGAAAATTACCAAGGAGTTGTGGATAACAGGAGTTGTAATAGCTATATATATTCAGGTATTACTAAATTAGATAGGATGGAAAGATTTCATCCACCTGCTGTGGTTTATCCATAAAAATCACACGAATCAAGGGACATATGGAAATAATTATTGCATTGATTGCCTTTTTTAAATGTCCTTGTCTGAAATGGAAGGATCAAACACAGGTTTGGGGAACAATTTGCCTTTGCCAACTGAAACTTAGCCAAAAACAATTAATTTATATTCTATTCAACCATGACAAACTTTAAAAATACTGCCTTAACTAAAATTTTACATTCTCTCATTATAGACTTATGATATTTTTGACTTAAAGTTTTTAAAAGGTCTACATTAATTTCAATTTTTACTTTTTTCAATTAATCTATGGAAATGTTGATATTTCTAATAGAATTTAAGCCATCAGTTTCTAATTAAAATATACACATATGTGAAAATAAACCTATTTCAACACATATAAATTGAGATAACAAACTTTCAAAAATGAAAATAGAAACAATCTCACATAGTGTAAAAAATTACCAAGAAATTTAAAACCATTATTGAAAACCAACTTTTCAAATATTAGAACCCTTAGGTTAATCAAATTATTTCATAATTTTCCATTAATATACTCAAATAAATGGACAATGTTCTTTATTGTTGTTTTTTCCCTAAAAATATAGAATCAGTACGGATTCTACAAGGTCACTGCAAATACGTGATATTAAAACACAGCCAAATTCTGTAGCAACACAAATGTTTTTATGAGCAGCAGGTGTGTTCTTTGAGAGACTGTAAAGCTATTAACAGCTCAGTAAGGAGTACATAATAATAGGTTGTTAACTCAGCCTCCCTTACAAGAGTTCTGAGAAAGGACATTTTGAAAGCATTAAGAGAAATGCATTACAAAAATTACCCAATATGAATGCTTTATAAAAAGTGGTTCATTTAAAATTTATCTCATTAAAGTAATGAATTTAGTCTTCTTGATTTGAAAATGCCCATCCAAAAGAATTATTTAACTATTGTGAATGAAAATCAAATTATAGTTTTGAAGCTAAATACATTCTAGTCATAAGTACTTGAAAATGAATTCCAATGTAGGGTATTTTTTCAGGTTCCAGGATTTGAGGCTTATTCCAATAAAAATCTATAGTACCTAGCAGAGGTATTTGTCATCTAAGACTTTAATAAGACCATTGTGTGAATAAATGATACTCTAAGATATTTTATATTTTTTGAAATTTTAGTTGCTGACCTTGGAAAAATTATTAGTGATTTTAGTCCCCTAAAATCACTTCTAGGTATTTAATTTAAAATCAGAAACTGTCATTGTATTAGTTTGTTGAATCTATTTTCTTCCATAGTTGCCATATTCATTAAATCACTTCAAATATTCTTTGAAATTTACAAAGAATGAGGGTGTCAAAAATGTTTCTGGTTATAAGTTATTCATGAGGCATAGACTATTTAGTAATGCCCAATGTAATATACCTACTGTGCCAATTTTTTCATCAGTTTGAATATGAATGTTATTCATTCTTTAATTTCATTTATAAATAAAACTATGTGATATTTAAAAATTAATTTAAAAAAGAAATAAAGGTTTTATATCCAATTTCCATGTTGTTCAGCAAACATCACATTCTCTTTGGAAGCTTGTCTGGCTTAGTAAGCCCACGGAGGGCCATAGTGCCTAGAGCAGAGATTCTCATGGTAACAAGACTCTGACTGGGGCCAATACTGCATCCACAGCAGCATCTGTATGGTATACCCTTATCAAATAGGAAGAAACTAAAAATATATTGACAGCAACATTGCAGAGTCTGCAAACACATGAAAATTACAAATATCTACTAACTATACCTCTAAAGTGTCTCCTGTTTTATAAAAGTTATTCTATCTTTGGTTTGGTTTGAAGAATGGATTTGTTTAAAATTATAGAAGCTGCATTTAGTGTATTAAAGATTTGTACATCCAAGAAAGGAAAAAGTAATTGGTAAAACTAAGGACTCTGAATAAACTTCATTTAAACTTTCGAATATGCTATAGGTGAAAAGAAACATCTTTCTTTTCTATCTCTAGGCTCACGGCTGAGGTCCTTATAAAAACTGATTAAGAACAGATAAGAAATAAAACCATGTGATATTTAAAAAAGAACAAAATATATTTACTGTTATATTTTTTCTTCCTTAGAGTACTTGCTTCAAATTCATACTTCAGTGAAATAAACAACACCATACATAGGAATGGTAAGATTATTTGGTAAAAGAAATTTAAGGGATTCACTCTGCCACCGGGGATTAATTTTCCATAACCCTCATTCTGAAGGAAATGAATAAAGGATTCAAAGGAAAAAAAGATACATGCATAATTTAAAAATGATATTTTCCTACTATAAAAGTATGGATGAACTAAAGCCCAAATTTATGTTTCTATAATTTCCTCACTTGCCAGAAATCAAGTTTGGAAACTCAGGAAAGGTTTGGCTTAAATCATTTCCCAAAGCGTTTCCTTGGAACACTATTACCAAGAATTATGTGTTGTTATGGAAAAAAAAATCATGGCTTGTGTAAGTCTGGATTTTCTTGGGAGCCAACCCTTAAATGATGTTGAAAGAGAAGGTATTTATGAAAAGAAACACCTGTCCAAGTCAAAGGGGTGAGGAATTGAGAGGAGGCAAGAAAGCTCTTTCAGACCATAATACAGGCCCGATGCCTGTGAGAAGAGAGAGTTAAAGAAGGAGGATTGGGTAGAAAATGTCTCTGATGGCACTGCAAGCCTGAGAAAGTCTTGGCCAGGCATTTAGGAGTCCCAAGAGGAGACTGCTCTTTTGAGCATTTCTGTATTCAGCAAGAAAGGTCTGGTTCTAGTACCCGGATCTCAGGCAGAATGAGGGCTTTCAGGTGAACCTTCAGGTAATCCTTGAAGCTGTGGTAGCTGGAGACCCTCCTTGTAGCCCGTTCTCTCTCTTAAAGGGAGAACACTCTCCTCGTCGCCACTGAGGGAAAATGTATTTGGAAAACACCCAGTTAAATAAAATATGTAGGTTGCTTAGTTTAGGTTTTCTCTGAGCATTTAATATGCCCATGTGATCTGTGAAACTCTAGAAATAAAAATATATTCTACATTTTCCAAATCAATTTGACCATGTAACTATAGTGGTAAAACATCTAGTGAGACTAGATCCATGATATAAGCTTCATGAAATATTAGTTTAAAATATACTAAAGTGATATAAATTCTGAAATATCATAAGCAATATTGTACATTAATATAGTAATTTAATAGTTTCCTTAACTTGTATTTCTGTGTTCCTTCCCTATCCAGTCTCCTCCCTCTTTCAAAGAGATATTTACTATCATGAATTTTGTTTATCATTTCCTTACTTATAAAAATAAAAAGTTAGCACATCCTTAAAGCTACATAAATAATATATTGTTTAGTTTCGTATGTTTTTGAGGTTTCTACAAATATTTTTATATTATATGTAGTCTTCTGGGACTAAATTATATTTCTAAAGCTTACCATTTTGGGGCAATACCAACTGTTCATTCATTTCACTAATATACACTATTCATATATTTTTTTCTGTCCAACTTTTATTTTAGGTTCAGGAAATACATGTGCAGGTTTGTTACATAAATTGTGTGTTGCAGGGATTTGGGGTATAGATTATTTTATCACCCAGGTAATCAGCATAGTGCCCCATAGACAGCACCGTCCCCACCCTCAACCCTCAAGTAGGCCCCAGTGTCTATTGTTCCCTTCCTTGTGTCATGCATAGTCAACATTTAACTACCACTTATAAGTGAGAACGTGCAGTATTTGGTTTTCTCCTCCTGTATTAATTGGCTTAGGATAATGCCCTTGAGTTCCACCCCTGTTGCTGCAAAGGACATGGTTTTGTTGTTTTTTTTAATGGCTGCATCATATTCCATGGTGTATATGTACCACATTTTTTTTTTAATTTTACTTTAAGGATACATGTGCAGTTTTGTTACACAGGTAAACCTGTGTCATGGGGTTTGTTGTACAGATTATTTAATCACTGAAGTATTAAGCCTAGTACCCATTAGTCACTTTTCCTGGCCCTCTTCCTCCTCCCACTCTTCACCCTCCAGTAGGCCCCAGTGTCTGTTATTCCTCTATGTGTCCATGTGTTCTCATCATTTAGCTCCCACTTATAAGTGAGAACATGCAATATTTGGTTTTCTGTTCCTGCATTAGTTTGCAAAGGATGATGGCCTCCAGTTGCAACCATGTTCCTGGAAAGGCCATGATCTCATTCTTTTTTATGGCTGCATGGTATTCCATGGTGTATATGTATGATAATTTTTTACTGACTCTACCATTAATGGTCATTTAGATTGATTCTATGACTTTGCTGTTGTGAATGGTTCTGCAGTGAACATAAGCAAGCATGTGTCTTTATAGTAGAATGACATATATTCCTTTGGGTATATACCCAATAATGGGATTGTTGGGTCAAATGGTAGTTGTTTTTAGCTCTTTGAGGAATCGCCACAGTGCTTTCCACAGGTGTAACTAATTTAATTATACTCCCACCAACAGTGCATAAGTGTTCCTTTTTCTCTGCAACCTCGCTAGTATCTGCTATTTTTTGTCTTTTTAATAATAACCATTCTGACTGGTGTGAGATAGTATCTCATTTTGGCTTTGATTTGCATTTCTCCCAAAGATTAGTGATGATGACTTATTTTATATAATTTTGGCCATGTGTATGTCTTCTTTTAAGAAGTATCTGTTCATGTCCTTTGCTCATTTTTTAATGAGGCTGCCTTTCGCCTGTTAATTTGTGTAAGTTCCTTATAGATTCTAGATATTAGACCTTTGTTGGATGCACAGTTTGCAAATATATTCTCCCATTCTGTAGGTTGTCTAGTTACTCTGTTGATAGTTTCTTTTGGTTGGCAGGAGCTCTTTAGTTTAATCATGTTCCACTTGACAATGTTTTTGTTGCAATTGCTATTGGAGGCTTCCTCATAAAATCTTTGCCAGGGTGTATGTCCAGAGTGGTATTTCCTAGGTTTTCTTCTAGGAATGTTATAGTTTTTGGTTTTATATTTAAGTCTTTAATTCATCTTGAGTTTATTTTTGTATATGGTATAAAGAAGGTGACATGGTTTGGCTGTGTCCCCACCCAAACCTCACCTTGAATAGTAATAGTCCCCACATGTCAATGACAGGGCCAGGTGGAAATAATTGAATTATGGGGGTGGTTCCCCCATACTGTTCTTGTGGTAGTGAATTAGCCTCGTGAGATTTGATGGTTACATAAATGGGAGTTCCCCTGCACATGCTTGCTCTTGCCTGCTGCTGTGTAAGACATACATTTGGTTCTCCTTTGCCTTCCACCATGATTGTGAGGCCTCCCCAGCTATATGGAACTGTGAGTTAATAAGTTTCCTTTATAAGTTACCCAGTCTTGGCTATGTGTTTATTAGCAGCATGTGAATAGACTAATACAGTAAATTGGTATGGGGTAGTGGGGTGATGGTGTAAAGATACTCGAAAATGTGGAAGCAACTTTGGAACTGGGTAACAGGCAGAGGTTGGAAAGTTTAGAGGGCTCAGAAGACAGGAAGATTTGGGAAAGTTTGGAACTTCCTAGAGGTTTGTTGAATGGCTTTGATCAAAATGTATGGTGATGTGGACAATAAAGTCCAGGCTGAAGTGGTCTCAGATGGAGATGAGGAACTTCTTGGAAACTGGAGTAAAAGTCACTCTTGCTGTACAAAGAAACTGGAGGCATTTTGCCCCTGCCCTAGAGATCTGTGGAGCTCTGAACTTGAGAGAGATGATTTAGAGTATCTGGTAGAAGAAATTTCTAAGCAGTAAAGTGTTCAAGAGGAAGCAGAGCATAACAGTTTGGAAAATTTGCAGCCTGACAATGCAATAGAAAAGAAAAAACAATTTTCTGGGAAGGAAGTCAAGCCTCCTGCAGAAATTTGCATAAGTAATGAACAGCCCAATGTTAATCACCAAGACAATGGGGAAAATGTCTCCAGGCCATGTCAGAGATCTTCCCGGCAGTCCCTCTCATCACAGGCCCAGAGGCCTAGGAGAAAAGAATGTTTTCATGGCTGGGCCCAGGGCCCCTCTGCTGTGCACAGCCTAGGGACTTGGTGCCCTGCATCCCAGCCACTCCAGCCATGGCTAAAAGGGACCAATGTACAAGCTCGGGTTGTGGCTTTGTGGGGGTGCAAGCCCCAAACTTTAGAAGCTTTCACATAGTGTTGAGCCTGCAGGTGCACAGAGGTTTGGGAGCCTCCGCCTATATTTCAGAGGGTATATGGAAACACCTGGATGTCCAGGCAGAGCTGTGCTGCAGGGATGAAGCCTTCATGAAGAACCTCTGCTAGGGCAATGTGGAAGCAAAATGTGGGGTTGGAGCCCCCACACAGAGTCCCCAGTGGGGTACTGCCTAGTGGAGCTGTGAGAAGAGGGCCGCTGTCCTCCAGACCCGAACGGCAGATCCACGGACAGCTTGCATCATGCACCTGGAAAAGTCACACACACTCAACGCCAGCCTGTGATAGCAGCCAGGAGGGGGCTGTACCCTGCAAAGCCACAGGGGTAGGGCAGCCTAAGGCCATGGGAGCCCACCTCTTGCATCAGTATAACCTGGATATGAGACATGGAGTCAAAGGAGATTCTTTGGGAGCTTTAAAATTTAATTACTGACTTGTTTGATTTTGGACTTGCATTGGCCTATAGCCTCTTCATTTTGTCCAATTTCTCCCATGTGGAACAGGTGTATTTACCCAACACTTGTACTCCCATTGTATCTAGGAAGTAACTAACTTGCTTTTTTTTTTTTTTTTTTTGAGACAGAGTTTCATTCTTATTGCCCAAGCTGGAGTGCAATGGCGTGGTCTCGGCTCACTGCAACCTCTGCCTCCTGGGTTCAAGTGATTCTCCTGCCTCAGCCTCCCAAGTAGCTGGGATTACAGGTGCCCACCACAATGCCTGGCTAATTTTTTTGTATTTTTAGTAGAGATGGGGTTTCACTATGTTGGCCAGGCTGGTCTTGATCTCCTGACCTCAGGTAATCTGCCCGCCTTGGCCTTCCAAAATGCTGGGATTACAGGCATGACCACCAAGCATGGCCACTAATTTGCTTTTGATTTTTCACGCTCATAGGCAGAAGGGACTTGCCTTGTCTCAGCTAAGACTTTGGACTATGATCATTATCGTTTGAGTTAATGCTAAAATGAGTTAAGATTTGGGGGACTGTAGGGAAGGCATGATTGATTTTGTTATGTGTGGATATGAGATTTGGGAATGGCCAGGGGTGAAAAGATATGGTTTGGCTGTGTCCCCACCAAAATCTCACCTTAACATGTAATAATCCCCATGTGTCAAAGACGGGGCCAGGTGGAGTTAATTTAATCATGGGGACAGTTTCCCCATACTGTTCTCATGGTACTGAACAAGTCTCAGGAGATCTGATGGTTTTATAAATGAGAGTTCCTATGCACAAACTTGCTCTTGCCTGCTGCCATGTAAGACATAACTTTGCTCCTCATTCGCCTTCCACCATGATTGTGAGGCCTCACCAGCCATGTGGGACTGTGAGTCCATTAAACCTCTTTCCTTTATAAATTACCCAGTCTCAAGTATGTGTTTATTAGCAGCCTGAGAAGAGACTAATAGAGAAGAGGGCCGGTTTCAATCTTCTGCATATGACTAACCAGTTATTTCTGCATCATTGATTGAATAGAGAGTCCTTTCCCCATCACTTGTTTTTGTTGACTTTGTAGAAGATCAGATGGCCATAGGTGTGAGGCTTTATTTCTGGGTTCTCTAACCTGTTGCATTAGTCTAGGTATCTGTTTCTGTACCATGCTGTTTTGGTTATTGTAGCCTTATAGTATAGTTTGAAGTCAGGTAATGTGATGCCTCCAGCTTTGTTCTTTTTTCTTAGGATTAGAATAGCTATGGCTATTTGGTCTCTTTTTTGGTTCCATATGAATTTTAGAAAGGTTTTTTCTAATTCTGTAAAAAATGTCATAGGTAGATTGATAGGAATAGCATTGAATATGTAGATTGCTTTGGGTAGTATGGCAATTTTAATAATAAGAATTCTTTCTATCCTGTACATGAATAGTTTTTCCATTTGTATGTGTTGTCTGTAATTTTTTTGAGCAGCGTTTTATATTTATCATTGTAGAGATCTTTCACCTCCCTGGCTAGATGTATTCTTAGGTATTTTATTCTTTTAGTGGCATTTGTAAATGGAATTGTATTCTTGATTTGACTCTCATCTTGGACAATGTTCATGTATAAAAATGCTACCAATTTTTCACATTGATTTTGTATACTGAAAGTTGTTGAAATTTTTTATCAGATCTAGGAGCTTTTGGGCAAAGATTATGGGGTTTTCTGGCTATAAAATTGTATCATCTGTGAAGAGAGATAGTTTTTCTTCCTCTCTTTTTATTTGAATGCCTTTCATTTCTTCCTCTTGCCTGATTACTCTAGCTGCTACTTCCAGTAGTATTTTGGATAGGCATGGTTAGAGTAGGCATCCTTGTCTTGTTCCGGTTCTCAAGGGAAAGGCTTCCAGCTTTTGCCCATTCACTGTGATGTTGGCTGTGGTTTTGTCATAGATGACACTTATTATTTTCAGGTATGTTCCTTCAATGCCTTGTTTGTTGAGTGTCTTTAACTTGAAGTGATGTTGAATTTTACTGAAAGCCTTTTCTGCACCTACTGAGATGATCATGTGGTTTTTGTTTTTAGTTTTATTTACTGAATCACATTGATTTGTGTATGTTGAACCAACCTTGCATCCCATGAATAAAGCCTAATGGATCATGGTGGATTAGTTATTTGATGTGGTACTTGTTTGCTCTGCTAATGTTTTGTTGTGGAATTTTGCATCTATGTTCATCAGGGATATATGACTGAGTTTTCTTTTTTGATTTTGTAATTTGTTGAGAATTGCTTTATGGCTGAACTTCTGGTTGATTTTAGAGTATGTGCTATGTACAGCTGAGAATAATGTATGTTGTTCAGTGGATGCTCTGTAGATACCTGTTAGGTCCATTTCGTCAAGTGCTGATTTTACGTCTCAAACATCTTTGCAAGTTTTCTATTTCAATGATCAGTCTAATACTGAAATCTCCCACTATTATGTGATTATCTAAGTCTCTTCAGAGGTCTCTAAAAACCTGTTTTATGAATCTGGGTACTCCAGTGTTGGGGGTGTATATATTTTGATACTTAAGTATTCTTGTTGAATTGCAGTTTCCCTATTACTAATGAAGTTGAGTGTATTTTCTTACCTAGGTTGACATACAGATCTTACATAAGGTTTTCAATTGGCTTGTTGTTCTTTTTCTAATAGTTTTACAGGATTTCTTTATGTATTTTGGATACTACTCCTTTACTAATTGTATGCATGGCAAATATCTTCTCCCAGTTTGTCTTGTCTTTTGACAATCTAAATAAAGTTTTTTGAGAGACTATTCTTTTTTTTTTTTTTTTTTTTGAGAGACTATTCTTAAAATGACTATAATGAAAATTATCAATTTTTCTTTTAAGGTAAGAATATGCATTTCATTTGTGAAATATTTTCCTTGTAAGGAGAAAGGAAATTGTTCTCTATTTTCCTTCCAAAAATTTTAAAGTTCTTTCCATCACATTTTGTCCTTAGAACACTTGGATTTAAATTTGTGAATGATATGAGGTGGGAATCTAGTTTCTTTTTTTTTCTACCAATATACATTACCCAGTACCTATTACCTAGTGAATAGCCCATACATTTTTAATGATCTGCAGTGCCACTTCTGCCATAGGTTCAAGGTCCACACATGTGCAAGTCTGTTTCTGAACATTCTGTTACAATACATTGGTCTTGCTGTCTCATTGTGCAACAATGTTATGCACTATACAGTAACTCTAAAGTATCTGCCAAGGCATGTAACTTCAACATATTTTGTGTCAAAAGTATCCTGGTTATTCATGGCCCCCTATTTTTCATTTCCTCATCAAGTTTAAAATCAGTTTTTTGATTTCCACAAAGAGATCTGCTAGAATTTTTATTAGACATTAAAGCTGCACATCATTTGGGGTAAAATTGATCTTTCTATGATAAGCTTTTCTTATTTACAAATGTGGGCTGTATTTGAGTGTTTTTAATGTCTTTCTATAAAATTTTATTATTGTTTTGTACATATTGAAAACTATTTCAGATTTATTCTCAAATGCTTTACAGATTAAGTTGCTATTGTAAATTTAACTTCTTTAAAATGTGTTTTCTTTTGATGCTGACGTATAGAAATGCATTTAAATTTGCAGAGCGAGACACCTTACTATAATCTTTTTAAATCTGAATGTACATTCGGGAAAAATTTTTATGTAAAGAGTCATATCATCTGGAATAATGTGGGGTTTTTTTAACAACATATATGCTTTTATTTTATTTTATTTTTATCCCATTGGAATGGCGAGATCCTCTAATATTTAGTAGAAACTATTGATAATGGACATTTTTATGTAGTTCTTGTTTTGGGAGAAGTAGTGTAATATTTCCTCACTAAGACGGCTATTTGCTTGATCTGAATTATGTTAAAGAAGTTATCTCATATTACTAGATTTCTGAGAATAATACCCAAGAATAGATGGTATACATGAAATGCCTTTTCTGCATCTATTAAGGTGATTATTTGGAACTTTTCCTTTTATCTGCTGAATGTTAAGTTACATTGATAAATTATCTACTGTTAAAATACTCATGCATTCCTGAAATAAATCCAAATTTGGCCCTATTTTTTTTTTTTGTCTGTTTGTCTTTTTTTCTATACTTAGCTGGTTTGGTTGGTTACATTTAATTTAGGATTTTGTACCTATGCTTCTGAGTAAGATTTACCTGTAGTTATTATTTCTCCTACTGCCCTCGTTCAGTTAAGAGGTTATTCTGGCCTTATGGAACACACTTCAGAAAATTCCTTTTTTCCCCATTCTTAGGAAAAGCTTGAATATGTTTGAAATGATGGGTTCCTTGAAAGATGGGGGAAAAAAATGACTTAAAAACCATCTAAGCCAGATGCTCTTAGTGTTGGGAACAGTTTTTATCCACTGATTCCAATTATTTAGTAGTGAAGTAATTATGCAAGTTTTCTATTTCCTTTTTAGTCATATTTAGTAAATAATATATGTATGAAGTTTTTTCTAGTTTGTGTAAGTTTTCACATGTAATTTACATAAATTTGATCTTGGAAAATTCATTATATTTCCAATCTCTATAATATTTGTTACTATATCTTCATTTTTCTTCCCAGTTTTTAGTTTCTTGTTTCTTTTATTTTGGTCAATTTTTATCTTTTTTTTTTTAAGAATCAAAGGATAAACAGTTTATTGAATGGAATGATGTATCAAAGGGTTCACAGAGAACGAGTGACATTATTATAACTTGAAGTATGATATATGAGAGATTTATGGATGTTTATAATACCCAGATTGGCACATAGATCTATCACATGCAGTGAATGAATACACAAATAAACAAATGATTCTCAAACTTAATATTTAGTGTTGATCAATTGACCCATGAAAAATGCATGTAAAGTTAACAAAAAAGACATTTTTCAGAAGGCTTTTCCTTTCCTTTTCCTCTGTATTCTAAAAATCAGGTTTTTTTTGGTAATACAACCCATTTTTTACTTTAATGTACACAGAAGTTTCTTGTCTTCATTTTGGTTATTTCATGTGTTGATTTCTAGCGGCTTCCCAGTTTCTCAGCCTTTAGAAACTTGAATTACTTCAGTCATCTAAGTGTCTTCTTTCTTGAATTTAGAAACCTAAATTTTGATCAATCTTTCTAAAGGTTTATGTAATCAATCAGTTTTTTCAATTTTTGGTTTTGTTGATTTTCTCTATTTTGTCTTTGTTTTTTTATTTTCTCACTTTTGCTCTTGTGGTAATGATTTCTTTCCTCCTACTTTCCCTGGACTTACTGTTTTATATTCCTTCTGTTAAATTCTTGTGTGTGTGTGTGTGTGTGAGAGGGAGTCTCATTCTGTCACACAGGCTGGATTGTAGTGGCAAGATCTCACCTCACTGCAACCTCCGCCTCCCAGGTTCAAGCGATTCTCCTGCCTCAGACTCCCAAGTAGCTGGGATTACAGGTGCCTGCCACCACACCAGGCTGATTTTTGTATTTTCAGTAGAGAAGGGGTTTCCACTATGTTGGCCAGGCTGGTCTTGAACTGCTGGCCTCAGGTGATCCACCCACCTCGGCCTCCCAAAGTGCTGGGATTACAGACGTAAGCCACCGTGCCTGACCCCTTCTGTTTTGTTTGTTTGTTTGTTTGTTTGTTTTTTGTGATGGAGTTTTGCTCTTGTTGCCCAGGCTAGAGTGCAATGGCAGGATCTCGGCTCACCGCAACTTCCACCTCCTGGGTTCAGGCGATTCTCCTGCCTCAGCCTCCTGAGTAGCTGGGATTACAGGTACATGCCACCATGCCCCGCAATTTTGTATTTTTAGTAGAGACGGGGTTTCTCCATACTGGTCAGGCAGGTGTTAAACTCCCGAACTCAGGTGATTCGCCCGCCTTGGCTTGCCAAAGTGCTGGGATTACAGGCGTGAGCCACAGTGCCTGGCCCTGTTAAATTCTTAAGTAAGATACTTAGTTCATTAATTTTTTGACTTCATTACTTTCCAATAAGGGCATTTATTATACTCGTTCATTTATTACCTGCATATACTGGATGCCACACTCTATGCTATGTAATATTTTCATTATCATTTAATTAGAAGTACTTGAATTTCCTTTACAACTTATTCTTTGATTCATGCATGCTATTTTATCTTGTATTTATTTCTTTTGAAAGATACTATTTTATACATGTATTTTTTCAGATTTATGTACATGTTTACTATTTTATTTATTCACATCTTGCTTCTTATACTATCGTTTTGGAATCATTTTCCTTCTTATTTATGCCCATTTCTTTATGGTAGGTCTTTGAGTGACAAACTCCCTCTTTTTGTTTATCTCTAAACACCAATATTTTACCCTTATTCTTGAAAAAATAGTTTGGCATATATCATTCTGGGTTGAAAAATGTGAGGGTACTATTTTCAACTGTCTACTTTCTATTGTGGTAAGACAGCTGCTTTAAGTCTGGTTGTCATGTTTTTTTGTCAGTGATTTCTTCTATATGCCTAATTTTTAAAATGTCCCCTTTCTCTATCCCCTTTATACTATGCAGCTGTAATAAAGTTTCTAGATATGTGTTATTTTTCCTATTTTGAACATGTTATACTTCCTTCTAGAAAATTCACAGCCATTATTCATATAAGTATTGTATGCTCTCTGTTCTGTTTTCTTTTTCTTAGAATGAAGTCCAGTATTGTTAGATTTTTTAAATGTCTTTTCATTAGTAATTATTAGTATCATTTATTAGTATATACTGATAAATATTAATATATATAGTGTATGACTGTGTATCTATTTATTGAGTTTTTTCTTATAATTATATATTTAATTTTATAAGTTTAATTTCCCCCAATCTGCTTATTCTTCTTATCTTTTTCTCAATCTCCTGATTGCATTTATTATTTTTTAAACTTTTCAAACATAGTTGTTTTGTGTATGATTCTTTAACGCATCAAAAGTCCTTGGGATACTAAATCTGTTGCAGATCGTTTCTCCTCATTCACTCATGTTTTGTTTTTTTCTGTAATTGGTAGTCTTTGATTGTGTTATTATTGCCTGATCATAATCTGTGGTGTCTGAGTCTTATATTTTGAGAGCTTTTCTCTAGATAGGATTTACTTCTATGTCTATAAGAAATCAGTGTATGCTGCTAGAATGGTACTACTTCAGTTTTCCTTCAGTACCTTAGCTCAGCACCAAAGTCGCAGAATCAATTCTCCCTCCTAGCCAGTGGCCCAAGACTCTGATCCTGACAATAGTGTTCTCAGAGCACTTTGAAATTTGCTCTCAGAGAAAACTCACTACACCAGACTGACAGCCATCTTTCCCCTCCAAGCTCAGATTTTTTTTTTGGACAAGAGAAGGCAAGTCCTTGAAATTCTCCCTTAAGTTTTGTAAAAACAAAATTACCATCAAGAGTATGCTTTACACATACCTACCTACTTTGTAAAGAAAGAGCCTTGCAAAATGCCTACTCTGGCATTATTATAAAAGCCAATAAGTCACTTTCTAGTTAGGCTATTGGACATAGCACTTTTTTTTCCATTAAAAAAAGAAAAAGTAGGAGTTCAGGAGTAAGAAATCGTTCATTCATACAATCATTTATTCCCTAATTTTTATTGAATGATTACAGTGTGTCAGGAAAAGCGCTTTTCTCCAGGGAGGCCAAAGATACATCAGATATATTCCCAACAGGACTTAGAACCCAACATGGAGAGACAAACATGGTCAGAGAAAGGTGTACAGTCACTTGCAATTCTCTTTTGTCCCTGAAAAATATTTACTTAGCAAATGACATATATGTTTAAATGAAATGAAAGACATATCAGGAGTATAATTGTTTTAAGAAATACATTTCATCAAGGACATATGCTGACTGGAATATTTTAACTTTTGAAATGGTGTTATATTTTGTTTTGGATTCATTCCAAACTAATATTTTGAGAAATAAAACTTATGAATCAAATGTATTATTTTATGATTATAAATATGTTAAAGACATTTGTAAATGCCTTACCTTGATCTGAGCCTTTAAAAAAGGGAAAGAAGAGAATGAGAGGTATAAAATACTCAATTTTTCTAGATTAGTTTCCTGAATGATGGATTGGGGAAAAATAACTGAAAGTTAAAATGATATTGATGAAAGATATAAAGATACTCATAATCATGAAAGAAAATAAATTTTCAATGAGTTAATTATATCTTAAGCATATTTAAACAAATATGATACTGTTTAAAAATTTTAATATCATTCCTAATGTGAATCTGTAGTGCTAAACATTACACATGTAGGTGTGCAATAAATATTTGTTAAATGTGGGAAAGAGGAGAGAAATGGTGTACTTTGCTTTCCTCTGCTCACTGTTTCAGGCTCATCTCTCCTTCCTTACTATATTCAAGCCACAGAACACTGTCTCTTCCTTCAACTTGCCAAGTTCCTTACCTTGGACTTTCACACTTATGTTCCCTTTACCTAGAATCTTCTTATCTTCTCATTTTGTCACAGTTATTAATATTAAATACCTCTCCATCTTAGGTTAGTGCCTAATCCAAAAATGAAAATGTTTCATCTCTTTAATTATTTAAAATTTTATCCACAAAGGATTTTTATCATAGCATTTCATTTAACTCTAAATTCTAATATAACTTTAGATTGCCAAAAAGTCTTGGATTTAATTTTTAGGAAACAGCATGGTGTGAAGGAAATAATTCTGGATCTGCTGTCAGGTTGACACAAAAATATGTAGCTCAGGAGCTGGAACATAGGGGTATTTAACTCATTTTGGTTTCTTCTCTTTCTTTCCTTTTATTCTTTCTACTTTTTTTCTATATTAAAACAAAATATTAGTACAAGGTGAAGTGTAGATTTGTAATAATAAAAACAAGTAGGTGTTTTAGATTTTTATATGCCACAGATTATAATACTTGGGCTAAAAATTGGTCCAAAAAATTCTGACAATTAGGCGAAATGGAGAAACATTTATTTTGACAACAAACAATATAACTCCATAATTACAAAATTAGATTTTTTTCTGAAGCAAAACTCAAGTAAAAAAAAATTCAAGTGCTTTTTAAAAGACGATTGACTAAATCAACAAACAAATTCAACCAATGTTTCTGAATGCAGAATGCAGGCATATTGTTGAGTTTTAATTCACTGGAGTAATTTTTTCAGGGAGCTTAATGTGTTACAGATATTTTGTTACTGATCATTTAATTTATCAAAGGAATAGAAATCAGACACGGTTCATGAATTGTGATTTGAAATGTCCATTTTGTGATCTGCTTCAAACAGATGCCTGAATTCAAAGACAAGTGCTTTAACAAGCTCTTCTGATACAGACTGTAAAAAACTGGTAGTATTTTTAAATCAAAGGATATATATGGTCAAGTTTTTGACCATTACACAGGACCAGTTTGAGTTTGTTTTGTCCTTTCACAAATTCATACCCTCATCTCAACATGTATCTTGCCTGGGATATTCTCTGCCATTTTATAAAGTCTGTCTTCATTTCTAATTTTGCCTTCAACTATATCTTTTAGAAAATTTTACCAGCTTCAAGGTGTCCAATGAATAGATAAGACAGAATTACAAACCAATACATCTCTTACAACTGGAGACTAATTAATATTGCATGATTATAAGAGGACGCTCATCCACTAATGTTGAGAATAATGTTAAGAGAAGTAGAATGTGGCAAGTTAAAAACAAAAGAGGTGATAAATGCAGATGCACAAATCAAGCTCGCTTTAGATTACAGATAACTACTCCTAATGACTCTTTCAACTATTCTTTTTTTTTCTGTAATTTTTCAGTGAAAGCAAAGTCATCATACACTGTTTGCTTCATTGTATGAGAATCAATGTTTGCATGATAAACTGCCCTAATGGAAGAGGACTCTGAGTTACCTTTTTCGAGCAAAGCCACCTAGGTTACTCTGTTTTCCCCAGAGTGACCCTTCTGTTCTGCAAGTAAGTCAATCAGAAAATGCTCTCCAGGCCATTTTAATATGAAATACAAAAGCTTAGAAGTCCTCTCTAAATAATTGAAGGCAACCATTAGGAATATAGCCAACCAGTCTCTTAATGGAGAGGTCATGAGGGACAATAGGCATAGAATCTCTCTGAAAAGTCCAAGGAACATTTGGTGGTTTACAATTGATTTTTCTGGGCAGATTTCCTTTTTTCAAATAGTAATTATATCAGTGTCATTAATAATGGCTGTTGCAAGGGGCTTTGCTTTACTCTCCAAGGCAAAAATTATATCTGGTCAAAGAAGCCTCATAATTATTTCTAGTTATTTGAAGCAGAATACAGACTTAGGTTTTTTTCCCTTTCATTTGAGAATCTAAGACACTTAAGTCTACCCTTGAGGAATGAGGATAATAATAGCAGAGCCGGGAAATGAAGCAGCTTACTATACATCGGTTACTATGCGGGAATAAACTAAAACAGTTTCGTTGTAATAGTTTAAGTATCAGAGCACTTTTGTAGTAATTATTTTTTCTCTAAATTTTAAAGGTTTGATGCATTTCTTGAGGGTGTTAAGTACCTATCTAAATTAAGAAAGTAAGGCATTTTCTAAAAGAAATTCCTTTCTAAAGAGGTGTACTGATTAACAATTAGAAAAGATGAGCCAAATATCAGAGTTGGGAGAATTGGTTGAAGCAGGGGAATGCCTCAGTGTTTAGCCATGCCTTTATTAAGATATTTATTTGAATATATTAAGTAATACAAATCTATATAAAAAATTATTGGGAAATGGCCTTTCTCAATTTAATTTTCCTATTTCAAAACTCAACCCTATATCAGACCATTATTTTATATAGATTTTCTTATTAAGATTTTCAGATTGAAGGGAGTAGCAGTAGAGTATCAGAAGTATCAGAAGCAAAAAAGTAAATGTATGATTTGGTAAGTATGTTTGTACTTGTAGCCCCAAATAATGATTGTTTAAGGAATAGACACAAATATGGTAGCATTTTTAATTGCATCTGAAATGAACAAATCTTGCATTTGTCTCCAGGGAATATGACTCGGTCAACTCTTTGGTAAGGCCAGTTATCAAGGAAAAACTTGCTAAGGGTTAGATAACATAATCTAGTTGCAGCTCTTATCTTGAAATTTATATTTAAAAACTAGTAAGATTTATCTTTAGGTATTTAGGTATTTAGTCCTTCATCATTTGGGGATAGTAAATTAGGTGCCTGCCTTGTACTTTTGGCTTGTGAAAGAAAATATAATCTCAGGACCCCAAACTCACCGTGCCAAAGGGAAAGTAAAGCTTGGGAACTGAGCCATGCAAAAACTGCTTTCCTTTAGTTCCCAGACAGAGAACTGTAATTTCACAACCTTGTATCATAGCCTCATTTCCATTGCACTCACTTTTCAAAGGCTTAGTTTATCTTATGTAAAATGTAGATTTACTAACCAAGGCAATGTAAAATTGACTTTTTCCTTTACTCCCTGTTTTCACACATAAAATGTAGATTCATTGGGGCTAATCAGAGCCTCACACGAATGTAACGATCTGCCTCACTTCCTACCCTCCTTCCCCTTTTCTCCCTCCTGCTTGCTCTTTCCCCTGTAAATACTTAAGTTCCCAAAACCCCCTTTGGAAAAAACTCAGGTCACAGATGCTCCAATGGCTGTACTTTTTTCCTCAGGCGCATCCTCAACCTTGGCAAAATAAACCTCTATCAGTTGAGACCTGCTTCAGTCACTTTTTGGTTTACAGGCTTTCAAAAGTAGGAACATTATATTTACATTTTTCTTTGCTGGAAGAGTAGTTTTTTGAAGGCTGACTGCACTTTGAATTCATGGCAATGCTACATTTTTTAAAAGTGGTGTCTGTGAGTTTTGTTTCTTTGATTTTCACCAAACTACAACAGAAATTTAGAGGAATTTTGAATTTATGTCCTTGTTACTCCCCAGAAGGCATTTTCTTAAAAAAAAGAAAAGCAAAGAAAAGAAAAATACTAATAATCCCAAGCTACACTGATTCTTGGTGGGTATTAGCCCAAATGCTTAAAAGGGACATTGTGATCTCTGATAATTTACCATTGCAGATAACATAACCTCTGGACTCCCCAAGTATATCCCACATTGTATTATTTTCTTTCCTCCAAACAGTACAGTTTCTTTAACAGAAAGTGGACATTTTTTAGAAGAAAATAATCATTTAAAAATAGCTTTATATTTTTTCTCTTTTCTTACAAATGCAAAACTTGATAGTATATGTAGATTTCCAGATTGCTGAGGAAATTGAATTACTGTTTCATCCTTATCTTTTTATGTACTTCTCTGTCATTTTTAATTTATATATACGTATACATAATATTTTCACTGAAAACATCAAATGTCTCATTCATTCCTTAGTCTTATTTGATTTTTTCTATCACCTTGTATAGCAAAGCATAACAAAATGAAAAATAAGCTTCTGCAGTCATGGAAGTTCAGAATTGGATAACAACTTAGATTATTTATTCCAACCTCATCGAAAAAGAGATAAAGACATGGAATTCAGGAAAAGTGGTGAGGAAGCAAATTCAGAAATGTATGACTAGGAATATGGAAGCAACTGAATATGAGGTTAGAATGTGAAACTGAATTTAAAGGTGTAACTTGGGCCTGACTGAAATATAGCAATTTAGCAGAAGTGGGATTAATTATGTAGCCTTACCTAGTTGTACACAAGATCAGGCTGGGACTGAAATTCTACAATATGACTCCATACCACCAAAAGAATTCCAGCCCTCTGAGCAGTAGGAAAGAGAGTTTTGTTTTCTTGTAACCAGAACATAAACTTTTGATAGTCATAACCTTTATTTCAGTCTATAAATTTAGATATTGATGGGGTTCAAAACATTCTATCCCCAAATATGGCACCATGGAATTTGAGCAAACGGCAAAAGTAGAAAGATCACCCTTTGACTTTCTCCTGCCCTCCTCCTCTGAAATCAGGTCAAGAGCCCCTCATTTGAGAGGTGCTGTCCCTATGCCCAGAGGAAAGAACATCCTTATCTATAAAGACACAAATATATAAAAAATAATCTGAACAGTAGGTCTTGTTAAGCGACTCCCCCTGAGTTTATTACCACTGGATCATATCCCTTTGCTTAATCACACTTCCGTGCAACTGTCCACTTTTGTTCAAATCTAAGCATAAAAATACATAGGTTTCTCTGTTTCTTTGGGTCTTTATATCTGAAGGCTCCTGGCCTATGTAAAACTCACATTAAGTAAATTTGTAGGCTTGTCTCTTCTTAATTCGTTTTTATAAGGACCTCAGTCATGAGCCTAGAGATAGAAAAGAAAGATGTTTCTTTTCCCCTATAGCATATTCAAAAGTGTAAATGAAGTTTATTCAGGGTCCTTAGTTTTACCAACTATTTTTTTCTTTCTTGGATATACAAATCTTTAATACACTAAATGCAGCTTCTATAATTTTAAACAAATACATTCTTCAAACCAAACCAAAGATAGAATAACTTTTATAAAACAGGAGACACTTTAGAGGTATAGTTAGCAGATATTTGTAATTTTCATGTGTTTGCAGACTCTGCAATGTTGCTGTCAATATATTTTTAGTTTCTTCCTGTTTGATAAGGGTATACCATACAGATGCTGCTGTGGATGCAGTATTGGCCCCAGTCAGAGTCTTGCTACCATGAGAATCTCTGCTCCAGGCACTATGGTCCTCCCTGGGCTTACTAAGCCAGACAAGCTTCCACAGAGAATGTGATGTTTATTGAACAACATGGAAATTGGATATAAAACCTTTATGAGTGTTTGTATCAGTAAATTCCCTTGCTGTCCATTTTCTTTCAGGTAATGCTGTTTTAATTAGTACCAAATGCTCACATCTAATTTCTCTGTGGTGGACACTGCAACAAATAATTATGAAAAAAAAAAAAACTTGCTGATTCCACTGTAAACACTGAATTGTATCCAAAATTGACTTGGTCCTTTACTGCATTTTGCTTCAGATTAATACTTGTAGTTCTGATGTCATGTAACACCTACAGATCAACAACATCTACAAATCATGTAAAATCTACAGAGATGCTAGCCAGTTATAGAGACATAGCATGTAAGTTCACGTCTATGTTGAGAGCATTGTGATTATTTTCCCCTTTATCAACACTCGATTAAATGAGGTGAAGGAAAAGTAGGGCTTCTAGAGACTGACAACTCAGAGGAATGCTGGAATCACATAGGAGTTTGCTAGGAACCCAAAATCTCATGTTACCACCACTAACACTACTCATTCGCCCAATCAAATATATTACAATCTGCATTTCAGCAAGATCCCCATGTGATCCATATACACTTTCCTCAGTCACACTTTTCTTAGTTCCTTGTGTAATAACGACATTTAACTTTGTATGATAGTTTACATTAAGGTTTACAAATGTATGAATTAGATGGTCACAGGGAAAGGGACAGGCAGAGAACAAAGATGTGTTTCTGTACCTAAATAACAGATGGAGGTAAGAGTAGCTTTCCTGGAAGTAAAGATAAAATTCTCTTCCTCCCTTGGGCAAACACTTAAGTAAAGGAAATACAACAAAAGAAAATGAGAAATGTATATTGAGCAGCATATAAGAAGGAAAGATTGTTTTTCTTTCTCATGTTGATTATTGCTACAATAATTGCTTCATGTATTTTTAAACAAAGATGCATGTTACTGATTATCTATCTTTAGAAAAATGAGGGATAATTATTAGGTTGTTATCTGTGGAAAAACTATATTGAGAAAGTAGAATAACAGGATTACGGAGGAAGAAAAAAGACTTATTGTGCAAAGTGTGATATTGAGGAGTATGCGACTTTCAGAAAAGACACTAAGACTTCAACCTTCTTTTAAAAGAGGCTACTTTAAATCATCCCTGATTGATAAAAATATTTCCCATAATGAAAAGCTTTCCACAAATCTCCTTATATTTTTTAAATAATACACTGTCCTCAGTGTCACAACATTATTTATTTTTAATTAAAAAGCAAAGATAGTTTTTCTATAATCTGTGAACTAGGTGAAACACTGGCAGGTTATATTAATTCATCATTTCATATAAATAATTATTGAACATCTGGATATAAGAAATGCTACCTTTTTCATGATGAGTTTTCTTAAAATCTAAAAACTGCTGACTGTGATAAAAATTAACAAGACCACTTTGAGAAAAAGACTTTAACAGTCACAGTGTCTTAAAATACTGGATGTGAGAATAATGAACTGTTATGAGGGGATTCATGTTTGCAAAATGAGCTACCAGTTGATAATTAGGGGAGCTGTACAATACCCTGGTGAGATAGGTATGTTTTATTCCTGCCATTTTGCAGATGCAAAATTGACATGAGAGAGTAATGAAGTGTTTGTCCTCAGGGAACCTAGAAAATCAGCATCAGCAGAAAGCACTGACTTTCTGAGACATCTGCTGTGATGTAAGGTATGATGGCCAGTTTTAACACCCACTTACTGGCTGTGTGATTTTGGTAAAGATACTTAACCTTTTTGTGCCTTAGTTTCTTAATCTGTAAAATGGGAAGAATAATAACATTTTCCTCAAACATATGTTGTTAGGAGTAAATTAGCTAGTCCTTGCAAAACACTTAAAAGATTACCTGGCATATAGTTGGTCAACAATCAGTATCTATTAATTACCATCTATGGGCCTCTCTGAGCACTAAGGATAAGAAAGTGAACAAAGTAAATCCTTGCCCTCAAGAGCTTACATTCTTGTCCTTAACAGAATGTTCTCTCAGCTGATGGACATATGTGTATAGGTCTTTCTTATGAACAGGTAGAAACAGAAAGTCTTGCTGGCTTTCTTTGTTTCTTTTCTGCCTTTAAAAAACTTGTTAGAGGTAATTTTACAGTGGCTGCATCATTTCTTAATTTCCTGGGAATGAGTTCTGAACAAAGAGAGAATTTTACTAATTCAGCTAGAATGTTATTGAAAGGAAATAGCTGTGTTAGGCAAGGATTGAGGGTTGAAATCAATTCTTTTCTTCAGGGACTCATAAACTACTGGGGGAAGTCCAGATCCACAAATAAATAACTCTGATTAGGACTAATTTTGGTAAATATAACTGTTAGAGTCTGAATGTTTATGTCCTTCCAAAATTCATATGTTGAAATCACCTCCAAGGCCATGGTATTAGGAGGTGAGGTCTTTGGGAGGTGATTAGGTGATTAGGTGATCAGGGGTGGAGCCCTCATGAATGGAATTATTGCCCTTATGAAAGAGACCCCAGAGAACTCCCATACCCTTCTGCCATGTGAGGACACAGTGAGAAAACCACTGTCTATGAACCTGAAAAGGACCTCACCCAATGCCAAAGCTTCTGGAGCCTTGGCCTTGAACTTCCTGCTTTCCAAAACTATGGGAAATAAATGTCTATTGTTTATAAGCCACATAGTTTATTAGTTTTTATCACATAGCCGAAACAGACTAAGAGAATAATGAAATAACAAAGAAGCAAGAGAAGGAAGTGTGCCTTGCTTGGGCAGAGAAAAAAAGGAGAGGAAAGAGGGAAAAGTAGGGAGGAGAAGAGAAAAGAGGGCACAGGAAGAAAAATTAAGAATGTGAACACAAAGGGTAAGGACAGAAGGGAACAGAGATAAGAGAAGGGTGCTATGGTTGGAATGTCCTCCCAAAGTGCTAGGATTACAGGCATGAGCCACCGTGCCCGGCCTCATTTTGAAATTTAATTGTCATTGTAACAGTATTAATAGGTGGAACCCTTAAGAGATCATTAGGCCATGAAGGCTACACCCTCTTGGGTGGGATTGGTGCTTTATGAAAAGGCAAGTATGGCCCTCTCCTTCCCCTCTCTTTGCTTTTCTCCTCTTCTGTTGGGTGAGGAATAGCATTTCTCCTCTGTGGAGGATATGGCATTCAAGGAGCCATGTTAGAAATGAGGAGGGGGCCCTCACCAGACACCAAACCTATTGGCACCTTGATCTTCCCAGCCTCTAGAACTGTGAGAAATAAATTTATGTTTCTTATAAATTACCCAGTCTCAGATATTATGTTATAGCATCACAAAACAAACAAAGACAAAGGGTATACTTGCTCTTCGATATGAATAGAAGCGGGTTTGGACTGTTTTGAAGGGGAGGACTGAGAAGTTGGGAGCAGATGATGTCTTAGTTCCCTCATTATAAGAATGGGCTCTACTGGAGAGCCTATTGGAGAAAAGCAGTATTAGTAAGTGAATAAAAAAATAAAAAAAATAAAAAGTTTTGTAACTTTTCTTGACTTCCCATATTATTTTAAAGTGCCTTTCATAGTCAAGCTGTATTCACTTGAGTTAAAGGAGAATGAAAGACTGAGTATGAAAAAGAAAAGTGACTAAAAATTAGGGAATGTAATTAACTGAATAAGGAATATCTAACTAATTATAACCCATAAAGCAATATGTTTTCTTTCTGACATATCACTCTTAATACACACACACACACACACAAACACACTCAGACACATCACACACACAGAGAAAGAGAATAATGCTAGGGTCTTAATTTTTACATATAATTATGATGTTAAGAATACTGCTCTCTATGGTGAGGTATTTTAAAAAGGTGTGTGTGTGTGTGTGTGTGTGTGTGTTTAATTTCAGTAGATTTCAATGAAAAACCATAGTTATCAGAGGGATAGGATAACATTAAGATAATTTATCTATATAACAGTACATACACAAACATTAGCATTTGACAATAGCTAGAACTGTAAAAGATTACCTAGATCTAGATCTTTCTAGGTCCTTTTAGAATCATATTAATTTATAAAATTTTGATTGGATGAATGTGGTTCTCTTTCTATTACATCTGTATGATTTATCCTAACTTAGAAATATTGCAAGTCATTTTCATCCTCAAACATATCAGGTATAAATGACTATAAAATTAGACAGTGATTTTTCTATGTGTAAAATATAACCCTTATAAAACACAGAGAAATATTTTGATTCTGAAAAGTTGCTTGTATATATATGCACATTGCTTGTTAAATAGTCAGAAATTTTGAGTGTATGAAAATATATTTAAACCAGTCAACAGAAAACATATGCTTTCTTGTGATAGTGTGCTATAGGCTGTAACATTTGAAAGGCTAGCCCAGCAGATTTCTGAGCACATATTGGCCAGGATAATTTGCAGAATCTGTATTCCAATTTAAACTCAGTAAATTTGTCCTTTCTTAGGCTATGGATTTATCTATGTCACTTAAAGATAATGACAGTTTTTATTGACTACATAATGCTGAAATTATTAGAGCAACAAAAAATGGATACAGCTATGCTACTAAGTTACCTCTCCCATTATCAAACCTAGATTAACTCTGAAGCAGTAGAATAGAGGAAGGTATGTGTTATGGTTAATGTCCCTGCCAAGCTTATGTTTTAATTTGATTGCCATTATAACAGAATCAAGAGATGGAACCTTTAAGAGGTGATTAGGCCATGAAGACTATGGCTTCATTTGCGGGATTGGTGTCACCATGGGAGTGGGTTTCATATTGCAGAAGTAAGCTCCTAATAAAAGGATGAGTTTGACTTCCTTTTGCTTCTCTCTCACCCTGGCCTTGCCCTCCCACAATGAGATCAATAACCAAGAAGTTCCTTTCCAGATGCTGGGTCCTCGATCTCAGACTTCTTCGTCTCCAGAACCATAAGCCAATAAATTTCTGTTTATTATAAATTACTCCATCTGTGGTATTCTGTTACAGCAGACAAAATAAACTAAGAAAGTAGAGTTCTATTTCTCCTCTTGCCCTCTATTTCTTCAGAGGAAGACTAAATTCCTTTATGATTTCCTTTGCTTCTAGTAAGGGACAGAAATGCAAGATGTTCCTTCTCATTGTAATATACCACTGGATATTACATATAATTTTTACATTAAAATTTTTATTTAACATTCCCTTTGCATACTTCTAGAAGTAGTATTAAGACAATAAGACACTTCAGAATTGACTATGTGGTCTGCTGTAATATTGATGCCAAGAATATCATAATGGTGAGGAATGAGAGAAAAATGCATAAAGAACATAAATATAATAAAGGGAATAAAGTATATAATGGGGAAATATACTAATGTATGACAAAAATGGAAATAAGGGTTCCATTATTATAAATAAGGATTTGTCAACTGAATTTATCTTGCTAGCTTATAAAATAAAATAGCTAACCTGAATGTAAAGAAAGTGTTTCATTTATATGCTATTTCTATTTATCCCTTAAATAATACTTTCCAAATTATAGCCGACTGTAACTCTAAACACACTGGCAAAGGATATGTGCTACAAAAACCCACTTCAGGTTATAGTAATTCAATATTAAAATTTCTTCCCATCTGAATTTTAGAAACAATTAGCAACCAAACTATAAATTGAATAAATTGAAGAAGTTACTTCTTCTTACAATATTATAAAACTCTCTAGAGTAGGTCATGACAGAAATGAACATCTTACATCTTCTACTTTAATCTGACACAAAACAAGATAAATTAATCAATAACTTACAAGCAGAATAGTAAGTTAGAGAGGATTCAAAGAAACAGAAGGTATGAGGCTAGGCCAAAGAAGAACAGGGTTTAAAATAAAATAATATAGTATAACGACATGCTCAATATATACATATATATGCATATATATGTAGTTTTATAGGAAGCTCCAAATAAGACCTACTTTCTCATAGTACTTGATCTCGTAGTCCAGAATGGCTCCATTGGAAAAAGCAGGTGCTTGCCATGATAGGGCAATGCTATTTTGGGATGCCCAGTCCTTCCTTACCACACCTATCAGGGAAGGTGCTGAAAGGAAAGAAAATAACTAAGAATTAATTGGCAGGAATCATTTTCCATTATCCTTTCTTTAATATTTTCTCTTCCAAGGAAAATAAAATTCTTGTTGAAGAGGACACCATTTATTGAAGGCAGATTAATAAGATAGCCTTACGATATGCTCTATTCGATCCAAATAAGGCATTAAATATATTTAGGAACACTCTTAGGGAACACAGGAAAAACTCAAATATTCCAAGAGTAAGGGCCAGAACTCATCATCTTTGGTATTATTAGGGGAGGATATTTTTCTTTAAAATGGTTTTGGTCTTGAGCTATAACATGAAATACAATACACTTGGCTCGTATGTTTTATCAAATATTGATCTACTGTAGGAAAAAACAAACTCTGCAATTACAAGATCATTTATAGGCTTCTCCCTTTCCTCTAGACATTTTAAGGCTTCAAAAAAGTTTATATTATAAGCTTTATAACTGCAATAAATGATTGTTTATGAATGTGAGGATTATTTCTTTTGCATAGTTTCTGTGACATTAAACAAAGTTAAAATATTTAACTTTAGAAGTTATTTTCAGAATCATGTCTATTTTACTTTTCCATATATTATAATTCTAAATTAAAATAATCTGTGTTAAGCTTCTAACATATAACTAAACTATATATCTCTCAGATTCTTCTCTTTGCACCTTTTAGAAAATACTTTTTAAGTATTCTAATTTCTAAAAAAACAGCAGTTTTTGACATAAAAGTCAACAATCATTCAGAAAAAATAAAATCCAAATTAAAACACATTGATACGCCATTTCTCACGTAACAGATTGGCACAAAAAAAGTACAAAAATTTGGTAAGACACTGTTGGCTAGGCTGTAGGATAAAATACTTTACCACATTGTTGGTGGTAATGCAAAATGATACAACTCTTATGAAGGGAAGCTTAAAGATTTAAGGCAAAAATTATGTATTTATTTATACTTTGGCTTTTTGGAATCTCTCTCAGAGATACACTGCACAACACAAAGTGACATATTTACAATACCATTCCTGGAGATTTATTTCTAAAGATTGTAACAATCTAAATGCCCATCAATAAGAGAGTGGTTGAAAAACTATGCTATATCCACTAGAGAATTATGAAGTTATAAAAAGGAATTATGGCTATCTATAAACACTAGAATAGAGTTATTTCAGAATATATTTTTAACTGAAGAAAGTAAGGTGAAGAAAAATGCATAAAAAAGCTGTAAGGATAAACCTAAGAATAACAAATAATTATAATGGTTGCCCTTAGTGGGTGAAAGGCAATAGGATAAACACTACAAGGTTAGAAACTGGACATCTATGAATATATTTTGCCTTGCAAATTTACTTTGTAATATAAAAATATTATAAATGATTAAAAATAACTTTAAAAGGCCGGGCGCGGTGGCTCACGCCTGTAATCCCAGCACTTTGGGAGGCCGAGGCGGGCAGATCACGAGGTCAGGAGATCTAGACCATCCTGGCTAACACGGTGAAACCCCGTCTCTACTAAAAATACACAAAATTAGCCAGGCATGGTGGCAGGCGCCTGTAATCCCAGCTACTCAGGAGACTGAGGCAGGAGAATGGCGTGAACCCGGGAGGCGGAGTTTGCAGTGAGCGGAGAGAGTGCCACTGCATTCCAGCCTGGGCGACAGAGTGAGACTCCGTCTCAAAATAAACAAATAAATAACTTTAAGAACAATTTTGAAAAATCAACAGAATCATCAAATGAAGAATACTGTATTGAATTGGAGACATAGCCTCCAAGAGGGAACTGTTAAACATAGCTTTAAACACAGTGATTTAACACAAATATCAATGGGATATTAGAATTAAATAAGAAATTTAATTTGCTTTAAGAATTAAATAAGAAAAACTTTTTTCTTATTTAAAAATTATTAAACTGTTTTAATAATGATATTGTTGATGTTAGTATTGGTATTGTAATTTTGAAGCTGTTTCATATATATATAAAGTTATGAAGCAAATGAGTAACTATGTTGTATTGAGAACTAGATTTTTTCCTCCTGAGGGAGAAAAAATAAAAAGTGTCAGATATATTAAGGTAAATAAAAACTCCAAGTTAGAAGTTACATTATAAACTCATTATATCTTTCCAATTTATTTTCAGAAATCTACTTAAATGTACCAATCACAGGTGAGAATTAGATTTGAAAAATTGATTCTGTCATATTTCAATTTCTAAGAAAGACTTAAGTATTAAAAGTTTGGCATTTTATTTCTGAAGGTTGCTTTTGTGTTCTAAGGACAAAGTATTTTCTTAAATTTGTGAGAATGACAAGTTTGGTTTTTCTAAGGAAATAAGGTCTTTAGAAACTACATTTAAAACTCTTTCTGGCTGTTCAATGGGAACATTATTTTTGATCTAGAATATATTCTCGAGAGAGAATTACAGAAGTCACTAGGAAATAAAAGTTTGTCATATGAGCTAAAACAGAAATGAATAATGTCGCATATAAGAAAAAGCACTCAGATAATTCACTATTTAAAATAAGTCCTAACTATAGACTGTAGAAACACAACAAGACCGCTTAAAAAAACAAGACCTAACTATGTACTGTTTACAAGAAACTCATTTCACTGTAAAGACACAAATAGACTGAAAGTGAAGGAATGGAAAAAGACATTCCATGCAAATGCAAGCCAAAAACAAGCAAGAATAGCTATACTTGTATCAGGTAAAATAGAGTTTATGTCAGAAACTTTAAAGAGACATTTATATAATGATGAAAGAATCAGGTTAGCAAGAGGATGTAACAATTGTAAACATATATGCACTCAACACTGCAGCAACCAGATATATAAAGCAAATATTAGATCTAAAGAGAAAGACCCCAATACAACAGCAGTTGGGGACTTCAACACCCTACTCTCAGCATTAGAGAGCTTATCGAGACAGAAAATCAAAAAAGTAATATTGGATTTAAATAGCATTGTAGACCAAATGGACCTAACTAATAGTTACAAAACATTTCATCCAACAGCTGAAGAATACACATTCTTCTCATACACATGGAACATTCTCCAGAATAGACCACATGTTAGGCCACAAAACAAGTCTCAACAAGTTTATAAAAACTGAAATAATATTAAGTGTCTTTTCCGATCACAATAGAATAAAATTAGAAATCAGTAAGATGAACCTCAAAAACCACACAAACACGTGGAAATTAAACAAAATGCTTCTGAGTTACCAAATAAACAAATCAGGAAAGAAATTACACATTTTCTTGAAGCAAATGAAAATAGAAACAAAACATACCCAAACCTAAGAGATATACAAAGGCAATACTAAGAGTGAGGTTTATAGCAATAAGTTCCTATATTTAAAAAGTAGAAATATTACAAATAAAAAATCTAATGATGCATCTAAAGGAACTAGAAAAGCAAGAACAAATCAAGCCCAAAACTAGTAGAAGAAAAGAAATAATAAAGATCAGAACAGAAATAAACAAAATGGAGATGAAATAATACAAAACATCAATGAAATTAATATTTTGAAAAGAGGAACAAAATTGACGAACCTTTAACTAGACTAAGAAAAAGAGAAAGAACACCCAAATAAACAAAACCAGAAACAAAAAAGAAGACATTATAACTGATACCACAAGAATACAAAGGATCATTAGAGACTGTTATAAACCACAAAATGCCAACAAATTAGAAATCCTAGGGGAAATGAATACATTCTTCAACATATACAAACTACCACGGTTGTACAGTGAAGAAATAGAAAATATGAACAGACCCATAATGAGTAACATGATAGAACCAGTAATAAAAAGTCTCCCAACAGAGAAAAGACCAGGAACAATGGCTTCATTGGTGAATTGAAGCCATTAATTCACCAAATTAATTCATTTAACAGCCACCCTGTTAAAGAAGAACTAATACCAATTTTTAACTATCACATCAACAGAATGAAGGACAAAAATATAATTATCTCAACAGATGCAAAAAAAAGCATTTGATAAAAATCAACATCTCTTCATTATATAGACTTTCTACAAATTAGGTATAGAAGGAATGTACCTTAGCACAATAAAGGCCATATGTGACAAACACACAGCCAATATCATACTGAATGGGGAAAAGTTGAAAGATTTTCCTTTAAGAACTGAAATAATACCAGCACATTTACTTTTACCACTCTTTTATTTATTATAGAACTGGAATTCCTAGCCAGAACAATTAAGCAAGAGAAAGAAAGAGAAGGTATCCAAATTGGAAAGGAGGAAGTAAAATTCTCCCTAATTGCAGATCTCATGATCTTATATACAGAAAATTCTACAGACTCTACCAAAAAACTCTTAGAATTAATAAACAAATTCAGAAAAGCTGCAGGATAGAAAATCAATGTACAAAAATTCTATACAACAGTCATAAATATGCTGAAAAAACCAACAAGGCAATCCCATTTAAAATAGCTGCAACAATAAATAAATATCATATCTAGGAATATATTTAACCAAGGAGATGAAAAATCTCTATAATAAAAACTACAAAACAGTGATGAAAAACTTTAAGAGGAAACAAATAAATGTAAAGACATGCTATGCTCATGGATTCAAATAATTAGTATTGTTAAATCACCATACCACCCAAAGCAATCTAGATTCCATACCACCCCTATCAAAATAACAATTATATTCTTTACAGAAATAGAAAAAACAAATCGCTGAAGCAGTTTTGAGGAAAAAACAAAACAAAACAAAAGCTGGAGGCATCACACTGCCTGACTTCAAAATATATTACAAAGATATAGTAACCAAAGCAGCATGGTTCTGTCATAGAAACACATTTCAATACCAATGTGATGGAACAGAGAACACAGAAATAAACCTATGTATTTTCAGCCAGCTGATTTTTGGCAAAGATGCCAAAAACATACATTCCTTTCCTCAATATATGTTTTTGGCATCTTTTCAATAAATGGTGCTGGGAAAACTGTACGTCCACATGCAGAAAATGAAACTAGATACCTATCTCTCACCATATACAAAAATCAACATAAATGGATTAAAGACTTAAATGTTAAGACTCAAAAATATAAAACTATTTAAAGAAAACACTAGGGAAATGCCTCAGGACATTAGTCCAGGCAATCATTTTATGAATAGGTCTCAAAAGCATAGGTACCAAAAACAAAAGCAAAAATAGACAAACGAGATTATATCAAACTAAAAGCTTCTGAACAGCAAAGAAAACAATCAAGAGTCAAAAAACACCTGAAAAACAAGAGAAGATATTTGCAAACTACTATTCATTCAACAATGGATTAATATCAAGGACTATACATGGAACTCAAACCACTCAACAACAACAAAAAACAAATAATCCTATTTAACAATGGGCAAAAGATCTAAATAGACATTTCTGAAAAGAAGACATACAAATAACTAACAGATATATAAAAAATGCTCATCATCACTAATCATCAGGAAAATGTAAATCAAAATTACAATAAACTATCATCTCACTCCATTTGGATAGCTATTATCAAAAAGAAAATAAATAACCAGTGCTGGTAAGGATACAGAGAAAATGGAACTCATCCACTGCCAGTGGGAATGTAAATTAGTGCAGTCATTATGAAAAATAGTATGGAGGCTTTTCAAAAACTAAAAATAGAACTACCATATGATCCAGATATCCTACTACTGGGTATATATCGAGAGGAAATGAAATGAAAACCCTAAGCCCCCCACATCATGTTTATTGCAGTAGTATTCACCATAGCTAAGATATGGAAGCAATCAAAGTATCCATCAACAGATGAATAAATAATGAAAATATGTAACACACACAATGGAATACTATTCCACTGTTAAAAAGAATGAATTTCTGTCATTTATGGCAACATGGATGAGCCTGGAGGCCATTATGTTAAGTGAAATATGTAAGTCACAGAAAGATAAGTACTGCATGTTCTCACTCATCTGTGAAAGCTAAAATATTTGATCTTATTGTACAGCATAGAATAATGGTTACTAGAGACTTGGAAGGGGAGGGAAGTGGCTAAAGAAAAGTTAGCTAAACAATACCAAATGACAGCTAGGTAAGAGAAATAACTTCTAGTGTTCTACAGCACTGTAGGTGACTATAGCTAATAAGCTATTGCATATTTTTAAATAGCTAGAAGACAGGATTTTGAATGTTTCCAACAAAAAATAAATGTTTGAGGGGATGTATATGTTAATTACCTTGATTTCATCATTACACAGTATATTCATGTTCAAAATATCACACTGTACCCTATAAATATATACCATTTTTATGCATCAATTAAAACTAAAAAAAGAATTCATGAGGCAAAAATATTATACTTTTATGTTGACAAGGAATAAAATGAGTGGAAAAAGAGTATGTATTTAGTAAATTCATTCTCACTATTACATTAAACAGAGAGACTACTCTTGGGTAACCAAAGAACACAATTTAGTGATTCAAAAGAAAACATAAGTTTTTGAGATATGTTCTTTATGTAGCAACCATATGTACTATTTTTGGCATAACAAATGAAGAATATTTAAATGAAAATATGATTACATAAAGTTGTATCCAGTTCAACTTCGGTAATTAAATCTCAATCAATTCATTAAAAAAAGAACAGAAAAAGTGCTCAGATAATTTGCCATTTAAATTAAGACACATTCGCTCTTAATAAACCACCATTAATAAATTTGTCCCTGTTGGAAGCTGCATTAATGTTCTTGAATTATAGTGTAATAATATATTAAATCGTGCTTGATGGATAAATTATAACTTTAAAGGGAAATCATATAAATTAGAGGTTGATTTAAACATATCAATTCATTACAATTTTTGAAAATGTCATTTTCATATATACAATCTTATGGTTAATTTTCAGTTTAATGTACAATGTCTAAAGCAATATTACCAGTGTTTTACATTTTGCTTCATAATGATTTAGCACTCAAGGTCAGCATTATAATCCTTGCAAAACTTAAAAGAAATTCAATTATAGCCACAGCATAAAAGAATGACTACTGAGAAAAATATAGGTACTATTTTTCTATTTCCAATTCTCCAGTGGGCAATTAATAGTACATCTACATCACCTAAATTTTACAAGTTCCATCCTATACTTTTATAAAACGGTAACAAATAAAAATGGATTTCATGGTCCAAATGTCCTAAACCCTAAAATCTCTTTGCTTTTGCACATTCCTTTCATATGTTAATATACATATTTTACATAGTTATGAAGTGTACATAATTTTACATAATTCTATTTATTTTTAACAATGCATACTAAATCCAATTCCATATTTTGAAATAGTATCTGTAATTATTATTTTAATTGCTAAAATACTCCATTCTGTATACTTAATGAAATCATTCCTCTAATGTTGAAATTTCCAATACTTTCCTATTAGCGTTTTCACGGTTCATGCATAAAGTTTTGATTTTGTTAAATTTTTATTAAGAAAACTGCTTCATATAACTTGGATATTCTGAGACATACTATGTAAGAACTGAATCAATATATATTAAGCACACACTTTAAATGGTTAATGAATTAAAGGAGAGGATGAGAGAAACAATTTACAGGTCAATATAAACCCCCAAATGCTGGATTTTCTGTTTTCACAGAGGCCAACAATATATAGAATTTTATTTTAAAATGAGGCTTCCATATATGAAAGCTGCAGAGTTAGTTTTGAATATATTTAATGATTTCTTTCTTAATAATCCAGGATTATATGACATTTGATTCTGACATATGGTGGTAACACTCTTGAAGTAATGAATAAAAAGCAGAAAATATAGCATATACATTTATTTTCCATATGAGAAAAACTGATTTTAGGACACAGAAGAGCAACTATTGATTTTTATCTCTGATGCTAAAAAGTCAGGGAAAAAAAAGCAAGAAAATAAAATCTAGAGTTTGTAAGATCAGAGGCTGATGGAATAACTTGAAGGCTCAAGCAATATTCCCTGAGTAAGAATTATGTATTCAGTATAGTTTTCAGCAGAATTTTATTGCTGATATACATCCTTATTTAAGTCTTCAAAATCTTAGCTTTGACCTTCAAGAAAAAGATGGTTGAATAGATAGCTGAAATGGTTTTAAATATAAACCTTTCTGATGACTACGTTTCCAATAGTTTCCCAAACACTATGTAACAAAAATTTGAAGAAAAAAAATGTTTAGGGGAATTAGTTAACAAAAGAGGCCTCATTTACAATTAGATGAGTATTATTTTCTTATGCTTATGTGGAGATAGCTGAAGAAATCCTAAATTAGTCTGGTTAACTATTTTGCTCTCAAGACAATATTTTTATTAAATACTTATTTTATACCATGTATATTTATCTTACTTCAATCTCATAAATCAATGGAATGGAGACTGTCTTTATTTTAAAGATAAGAATGCTAAATCTCACAGGAGTTGAGCAATTGTTTAATGAAGAGATGTGAAGGTAAATTTTAATATTAAATCAAAGTGCTACGAAAGAATTGAAAAATTACATTTTTTACTACATTTTCTCCTAAAATGAATTCCAATTTAGTGTAATGAGTTCAAAATTAAAATCTATGTTCAAAACTAAAGGCAAGAAATAAAATAATGTCACAAATATCCTTGTTGCCTTTGAAAATGTTATTTTTTAATTTTCCTAATACTATTATTCAAATTCACAATATGGATAAATACAAATATGCATTATTTTGAAAATTCAATACTTATGATATGGGTTATAAAGTTATGTTTCTAAAACTGTATTAAATAATGCTAATTCTCAGTCAGCTATAAGCATACTAGATATATTAAGGTTTACCTATCAGGGTGTGTGCGTGTGCACGTGCTCATTGTGTGTGTGTGCATGCGTGCATATGTGAGAAAATGAGATACACAGTGAGAGCACACTCATATACACATGCTTGTGACAATGAAAATCTTAATATTGAATGCTACAAAATAGAATCTTAGTATGAAGATAGACCTTATAAGCCATTTAATATATTTTTTCCAGCAATCCGGAAAATCCCTTGACGCTTAACTTTGATAGCTTCTTATCCATTTTTTGCTTCAGCATTAATGAGTACCTTACTCCACAAGGCTATCGATTCCTTTTTGTAAACCTCTAGTTGTTTAAAAAGCTTTCATATGGAATCACTGTCTTCCTGTAACTTCCAACTATGTCCTAGGTTCTAATTTTTAGCATGAATAGAATTAACTCTTCCACCTTCCCTCATCTATCATCCTCTTTTCTTTTCTCTCCTTTTTTCTCTTCTAAGATGCCCCTGCCTTCCTTCTTTACTCTTTTCTTTCTTCATTTACTTTTTAAAATGCTTTTTACTGCCTTATTTCTTTACATTTTTCTTTTATTTTCTTCCTTGTGCCTCTTTTAGGACAGGAATGTGTGTGTGTGTAGGTGTGTTTTAAGGGAAATATAATAAAAAACTCAATGAAATGTCAATAAAGAATAATACTAAAATAAAATAAATAATACAGACCAGAAAGTACAAATCAGAACAAAATTTTAAGACTATATAATTTTTTCCTTTCTCTTTACAAATGAACTAACGGGTATAATTGCAAAGCAGAAGCACACAACAGTGTTTCTTTCTGTGTATGCTCAGGAAGGAGACAGTATAATCAAAAACGATAATTTTACCTGTGAAATTCTGTAGATGTGATACATGTTTATCATGTTAATTGACATTTTTTGAAACCTGAGAACATGTTTCAAAATACTTCTGACCTATATTTTGTTTTGGAAATGTTTCTTAAATGTTCTGTGCTTTAGATATCACAATAGTTCCTAAGAATATCTGTCTCCTGTGCTTTTGTTTTTATGTTTTTTTCTTGTAATCAGAGTTTATTGGTAATATATATTGTTATCTATTTCCTGCATGTGGTTGAAACCTAGTTATGAGTTTGAAATATACATGAGACTTATATGCAGCAAGTTAGTACTTTATCTTATGTTCTTCCTTGTTTTTTTTTCTTTCTGAATTTGAAAATAACATTGTAGTATGTTAAACCAATATGACAGCTGTACTGTAATAAAATGAGTAACAGCCCTGAAATATCACATCTTAATTCCCAGAATCTGTGAATGTTCTTTTATGGCAGAAGCTTTGCGGTTTTTATTAAGTTAAAAATTCAGAGGTGGGGAATTAGCCTGGATTATCTGGTGTGCCCAAAGTAAGCACAGATGACCTTATGTAAGAAAGGTATATGGTAGTTTTATTTTTAATTTTTTGAAAAATCTCCATACAGCTTTCCATAATGGCTGTACTAATTTACATTCCCAACAACAGTGCATAAGAGTTCCTCCTTTTCTATATCCTTGCAATCATTTGTCACTTTTTGTCTTTTTCATCATAGCCATTCTAACTTGGGTGAGGTAATATCTCATTGCAGTTTAGATTTGCATTTACCTGATGATTAATGATGTTTAATATTTTTTCATGTACAGGTTGGCTATTTGTATGTCTTCTCTTCAAAAATATCTATTCAGATATTTTGCCCATTTAACAACTGGATTATTTGGGTCATTATTATTACAGTGTTGAGTTGAGCTCCTTATATAATCTGTATATTAATCCTTTTTCACATTCATAGTTTACAAACATTTTCTCCCTTACTGCAGGTGTTTTCTACATTCTGTTGATTATTTCCTTTGCTGTGCAGAGCTTTATAGTTTGACCTAATCTCAATTGTTTAGTTTTGTTTTTGTTGCCTGGGATTTTGCAGTGTTATCCAAAAATTCCTTTCCTAGACCAATGTCTTGAAGTGTTTTCTCCATGTTCTCTTCTAGTAGTTTCATAGTTTCACATTTTACATTCATGTCTTTAATCCATTTTAAGTTGACTTTATTAAGTGGTGAGAGACAGGGATCTAGTTTCATTCTTCTGCATGTGGATATTTTGTTTTCCCAGCAATGTCATATATTGAAGAGACTGACCTTTCTCCAGTTTTTGTTCTTGGTATCTTTTTTGAAAAGCAGTTGGCTGCAAATAGATGGAGATATTTCCAACAATTCCAGTACTGGGTAAATAGCCAAAGGAAATGAAATTCATATGTTACAAATTTATGTACACCCATGTTCATTACAATACTATTCACAATTGCCAAGAGACTGAATCAACCTGACTGTCCATCAATAAATGAATAGATAAAAAATATGGTCTATATACACAATGATACACTACTCACCCATAAAAATAACAAAATCCTGTCATTTGTGACAACATGCATGAACCTAGATATTATGTTAAGTGATATAAACCCAGCACAGGACAAATGCCACAAGATCTCATTCATATGTGTCATCTAAAAAAGTCGATCTCTTAGAAGTAGAGAGTAGAACAATGATTACCAGAGTCTGAAGAGGGTAGTGGGGAGCAAAATGGGGAGAGGTTGGTCAATGAGTATAAAATTACTTGTTCACTCTTCCTACTTCCTCCTGCCATGCCAGTGAGATGCTGGTAGCTTGATAAGACATTAGTGAAAGAATTGTGAAAACGTTTGCACAGAAAACTCTCACTATCTGTATCTGCCAGAGTGAAAATTCTCTGTATTAATGATGAGTTGAAATGCCACAGCACTGTCAGCACTTAATTACAGAGGTGAGACCAGACAAGTTATCTTTAAAGTTGTCAGGATAATCTGTGTCTTTTTAATTTCTCTTTGATAAGTCTTATGACTGTGATTTAACGTGCTCACTGTTAAGCTTGTCTTTAGCTGCTGTTTTCAGTAATTTACACCATACACATCTACTGACTATTATTTAGTTCCAGAGGCATTTGAAAAACTGCTTATATAACAGGTTCTATAAAATTCAGTTTCTTTGAAATATGAGGGAAAAAAGTATCCTCAAATTGGACCACTCTGAGATTCTTCTGACCTTATTATTACTTGTCATGTTTCAGTAAAAAGAATATATGTTGTACCACTACTTTCTAGGAATTTAGCATAGGCTATTCTCCCAAATCTCAGAAAGTTGGCCTGGCCATAAAGAAAAATCAATCATTTGGCCTACCTCATCTGAACATTAAACAAATTCCTCATTTATAACATCTGTTTATATTAAAATCAAGAACACTGGTTTCTAGTGATTCTTCCAGGCAAAAGTATTATTATTTGATCTGTACAATTATACAAATTACATATGATAATTTTAAAATAGGTTTTAAATGTAGAAATATCCTAGGTATATTTGAATATGGTTTGTAACTTCTGGGCGTCAGCTGATTTCTGATTTCCTCAACAAAAAGTTTGCAACATGTTCCAAGTACAGAAAAAAAAAGAGCTAATTGAAAAGCTATTTTAAAGGTAAAAACTAAAATAATATGACAAGTCATTAATAAGTAGATGACTAAAATCATTTTAACTAATATTACGGAAAGGAAGCAGCCAAGTAATAAAGCTTATAGAGATATAAATCTTTAAAATATTTTAGTATGAGCAGATAAAGCTTTACATGCAAATTTTATGGTTGCATTTTGTAAAAAGTTTAGAAACAGAAGAAATTAATACATTTTAAAAAGTATGTATATATAGGCATACAAAAATAAGCATAATATGTAAAATGTCAAAAACAAGTTACAAAAAAATATGTATGACATGATTCCATTTTTTTTGTAAATAGCAATACCCCCAAATCCTATATGTGATGCCATGTATATAAATATACACACACACACACAGACACACCCCCATATATATGTGAATGCATTAGCAATTTACCATGCTAGCTTAGTGAAACTACATGTAAGAAGAGCAAAACAGAAGTATATCTTGAAATTGTGCAATAGCTAATGATTTTTAAATTACCTTAACAAGTAATTGTATTATTCAAAATTCTTAAAACAGTTTAAAGGGAAAATAATTTTATTCCAAAGAGCCTACGTAAACCTAATCTTAACTCATGTCATATTCTGAATATTTATTCTAAGATATAATTCAAAATGTTAATACTTTTCAAAATGTAAAGCCCAAACGAATATATTTATAAGCTGTAACTATAAAGTAATATATGTGGCTTATTCTTCAATTTACGTGAAGACACAAAATTGCGGTGGCAGCTAGCTAAAAGACCATTGGCTTCAAGAGTGTCTTAAACCATGAAGCTTTATGAAAATTAGACTTATAAATTTTATAAATTTGCTTACTGGATGTCTCATGAAAGAAAAAAATATTTTTCTGTTGGACCCCTAAGGTACATAAACAGACAAGAAAATTTCAGTCATATTTTGGGGCTGTGAAACAACCCATGAATAACATTAGGCATTTTAGAAGAGAGTTCCCATTTAAAGACTTTCATTCATAATATGAAATAAAATAGCAGCAATTACCTTTTTTTCCCTTAAGATAGAACACCAGACTAGCTTAAGGCTTCTTTGATAACTTCAGATGGAATTGGCTTTTATGTCTGAATTCCTAGAACATTTACTCTCTATTCCTTGTGACATCCAGCAATTGACTGCCCTTATCTGAAGCTCTTCTATTCCTCCTTATATTATAGAATATACACAAATATATTGTACCGCACTTTTCTACTTCCTATGCTCTTTCACATACATTGAATAACTTAATATACACTGTAACTTAGTAGGTACAGCACTTCTCATTTTAAAGGTGAAGAAATAGGATCAGCCTGGAAAAGACTTACCCAAAGTTATGTAACATGTAAAGAACAGACTTCTGACTGAAGTCTAGCACTTACAAACTGTACTGTACCAACGGTGCTAAATTTAAAGATAGAAACCGCCCACGGGACCTAGTATGGTGCCATACAAACACATTAAGTAGCTTTCATTTGACTATCTTTTATATTCAAAATGTTTAAAACTTGTTTAAGGTCTTTCCAGACAATTGTCATGCCCTCTGAACTTTTGTTCTATAAATCCTCTATGACACCATATAAGCACAGTCCAATTGATTTATGTACTCCATGCATATGACCACCATTTTATGAAAGTAGAATTAATGTAAAAAAGTAAAAAAAAGATAATTATAATAATGATAATAGTAATGCCAGAAAATAAAGGAAAGGTTATTTCAAAATGGTGAGAGTTTGAACATGCAGTATTGATTTAAAAAATAAAACACATTATGCTATGATTCTATTGTGTAATAGTAAATGCTACCTTGGGTTTGTTTCTTGGATTATCAATATTTCCCATTATTTAACAGTTTCATTTTAAAAATTATTTGGATTGGGAAACAAAAGCAAAAATATTCCGAATGATTTGATTGTTGGTTGAAAATGCCCCAGTATCAATTGCCTTTTCACTAATTCTAAACCCATTCTTTCTCATCACCCTTGTAGGGCCTCCATCCCATGAACTGTCATCTCCTTTTCCTAGATACAGTTTAATAACTCTTGATCAGTAAAATTCTAATTGGTGAAATTTTGCTGAGTTCCATAGATTTTGTAGGATATCACAGCTTACCCTAAGATTCTACATAATGTTTTCTGTATACTCCAGCTATAAAATATTTTTAAAATGTGCATTTTTGTGTTTTTATCTCTATTGCTTTTTGGGAGTAGAAGCTATACACATAATACAATATGTATATGTGTGTGTATGAATAATTATATTATTCATAATTTATGAAAATAGTTTAAAGGGAATATAATTTATATATACACACAGCGTATATATATAATATATATATATGAAATTCCTTCTGGAATATACATATCATATATCTATGGGATATATATTCCAGAAGTCACAGAAAGGGAGAACGTGCTCATACTGCTGGCTACTGAAGGGAATGCTGAATGATCTTGTCACAGTGGTTCAGGGAGATGCTGGTATTCCTGCCAGTTCACCAGAATGGGGCTGCAAAACTGCTTTTGTTCTCTCATTAAAGGAATAATGCAATGCAACAGCAAATTCACTGCCATTGTTTCTGGTTCAAGCCCATAGAAATAAATCTTGAATCTTCCTTAATGGACGTAGTCTTTGTGTCAGACAAGTAGCCAGGTGTTTTCACAGCTGCCTTGAAACATTCATGGCTTCCTGAGGATATGGGTCATTTTGTTCTCATCATTGATCAAATAGCAGAGTAAATCACTGAGGTAAAGTAACACCTGGCTGAGCCCTGTGTTTTACCCTCATTTTCTCTAGTTAGTAATTGTTGTTCACAAATCACTTACTACATGCAGAGAAGAAGTTTGTGTTTTCTCATGTTGGCTGCTAGCTCATAATTTCAACTTCATGTTCTCACAGTAGCTTCAAAAGCATTCAGGGCATATGTTTCATTTTTTTCCCCTGATTTTTGTGACATCTTTGTTAAACATAACATTGCTTCACATTTATTGCATAAGTTAATAGGATTACAAAGAATTTTAAAACCAAAAATGTGCTAATTATTATTCAAAATGAATAATATTGAAAATCTTTGCCACATTTTCATACTTTACTTAAAATGCAACATGTTGTGCTATATAATCTTTCATTTTATGTTCTAAATTAATTTCTAAGGAAAAATACAGAAAGTTCAATGTAATGTTTTTAAACCTTGTAAAACCTTTTAAACCTTGTACAAATACATTTACAGGGTTTGTTTATGCAATCAAGAAATATTTGTTTTCTTACAATTATGATAAATTATATAGTAGGTATGAAAATAAATATAATGTAACATTAATTTCAAAAAATAAATATTATAATTCAGCAACATCTAACTCCAACATTCAAGTTACATTAGGTCACGTATAAGGGAGTTATTGAAAAATGAGATAATATAAATATCTGACATGTGCAATGCTGACCAGCACACATCATGACCATATCAACTATATTCAGCCAGTACTGCTCCAACTGGCTAGTGCCTATGCCATAAAGTTTTAAAGTATTTTGAGCATCATTCTGAGTGTATGCACTACTACTGTCTTTAATAATTTTAGAATTATATCATTTGCTTTAATTCTTATCATGTTCTTCTGCTTTGAATTGAGAGACCAATTTTAATCAATGGTCAGTTTTTTACTATTTATATACTAATTTGTATGAATTTGTCTTTGATTTGTATTTGTAGCCTGTTAGTTCCCTTTCCCTGCTTCTTAAGGAAGCCAAATCTTTTCTTAAAGACAAGTAACCTATCAGGCTCAAAATGGGCCCACAACAGCTATCAACTAACAAATGGCCTCTGATTGCTGGACGTTTTGTTTTTCAAATATCCACAATGATGGTGTTTCCTGGCCTAACACTGTGCTGCAGAAAAAACCTCAGAATAGCTGTGCAGATCAGTTTCCTTACTTTAGTCACTATCTCCCTGCATTCTTGGTTGTCCTACTCCCTCTACACTTAATATATGCCATTGTCCAGATTCATTTTGAAAGGCTCCAGAATATATCTGTGATGAGGATCTTTTTCCCCCAAACTTCCTTTATCTGCCTGAAAGCAGAGAATTTCCAAAGAATTCAGCTGTCATAAATCCCCTCCCCAGTTTAGTAGCCGAGGAAGATTGCCTCCCATTACCAAAGAGAAGAAGTCAGCAATAGGATAAGAAATCATCTAAACAGACATTATCACAAAACTATCATATCTCTCACCCATCCTCCTATGGGCCCATTTGTCTTTCTTAAAAGTCATTTTTTTTCCCATAAGAATTGTTATCCTCTCCTCTTTCCTTGTTAAGATTGTATATAAACCCCCAATTCTAACTTCCTAACTCCCTCCTCGAGTCCCATTTCTCTGTGAACACCTTTGTACATATAGAAGTAAAACTCTATTTGCTCACTGACCTGTCTTTTGTCCATTTAATTTGCAGCCCCTAAATCACTGAACTAAGAAGATTAAAAAAAAAAGTTTTCTTCTCCAACAGTTTTAATGCAATAAGCATGGTTTCAATGCTAGTGGCATAATCGTGGATGGTTTTGTTGTCTCTGAAGTTTTAATGAGAAAGACTGACTGAAATACATGTATCAAAAAGCCATTTCATGATATGGATAAGGAAAGCTTAGTGATATGGTTTGGCTTTATGTACACATACAAATCTCATGTTGAACTCTAATCCTTGATATTGGAGGAGGGGCCTGGTAGGAAGTGATTGAATCATGGGGGCAGACTTCATTTGTGCTGTTCTCGTGATTGTGCATGAGTTCTCATGAGATCTGGTTGTTTAACAGTGTATAGCACTTCCCCCTCATTCTCTCTCTTCTGCCAGCCATGTGAAGATGTATGTGCTTCCCCTTCACCTTCTGCTATGACTGTAAGTTTCCTAGGGCCTCCTCAGAATCAGAGTCCTGAACAGCCTGCAGAACTGTAAGCTGATTAAACCTCTTTTCTTCATAAATTACCTAATCTCAGGTATGTCATTATAGGAGTGTGAGAATGGATTAATACAGAAAATTGGTAATGAGAGTGGTGAATTGCTATAAAGATACATGAAAATGTGGAAGTGGCTTTGGATCTGGGCAACTGGCAAGTGTTGGAACAGTTTAGAGGGCTCAGAAGAAAACAGGAAGATGAGGGACAGTTTGGAACTTCCTAGAGACTTGTTAAATTGTTGTGACCAAAATGCTGATAGTGATATGTACAGTGAAAAGCAGGCTGATGTGGTTTCAGATGGAGATGAGCAACTTATTGGGAACTGGAGCAAAGGTCACTCTTGCTATGCTTTGGCAAAGAGAATTGCAGCATTGTGCCCCAGCTCTAAAAATCTGTTGAACTTTGATCTTGAGAGAAATGATTTAGGGGTATTTGAAGAAGAAATTTCTAAGCTGCAAGGCATTCAAGGTGTTGCCTGGCTGCTTCTAAAAGCTTATGCTCAATTGCATAAGCAAAAAAAAAAAAAAAACTGAATTGTAACTATTATTTAAAAGGGAAGCAGAAGTTGGGAAAATTTGCAGTCCCATCATGTGGTAGAAAGGAAAAACTCATTTTCTGGGAAGTAATTCAAGCTAGCTGCAGAAATTTGCATAAGTAAATAGAAGCCAAATGTTAATAGTCAAGACAATGGGGAAAATGCCTCCAAGGCATTTCAGAGACCTTCTTGGCAGCCCCTTCCATTACAGGCCTGGAGGCCTAGGAGGGAAGAATGGTTTTGTGGGCCAGGTCGAGGGCCCCTCTGCTCTGTGCAGCCTCAAGACATGGTGCTCTTCATCATGACTGCTCCAGCCATGGCTAAAAGGGGGCCAAGGAACAACTTGGGCCATTGCTTCAGGGGGTGCAAGCCCCAAGCCTTGGTGGCTTCCACATGGTGTTAAGACTGGATGCACAGAGGGCAAGAGTTGAGACTAGAGAGCTTCTGCCTAGATTTCAGAGGATGTATGGAAACACCTGGATGTCCAGGCAGAAAGTCTGTTGCAGGGGAAGAGCCATCATGGAGAACCTCTACTATGGCAGTGCAAAGGGCAAATGTTGGGATGGAGCCCCAACACAGAGTCACAACTGGCACAGTGTATAGTGGAGCTGTGAGAAGTGGGCCACCATCCTCCAGACCCCAGAAGAGTAGACCCACTGACAGTTTGTACTGTGTGCCTGGAAAAGCTGCAGACACTCAATATCAGCTTGTGAAAGCAGTGAGGAAGGGGGCTGTACCTTGCAAAGCCACAGGGACAGAGCTGCCCAAGGCTGTAGAAGCCCACCTTTTGCATCAGTGTGCCCTGGATGTGAGACATGGAGTCAAAGTAGATCATTTTAGAACTTTGAGGTTTAATGACTGCCCTATTGGATTTTGAACTTCCATGGGGCCTGTAGCCCCTTTGTTTTGGCTAATTTCTCCCTCTTGGAATGGGTGTATTTACCCGATGTCTGTACCCTTATTATTTCTTTTATTCAAATTTTCTGTATTAGTCCATTCTCACACTCCTATAATGACATACCTGAAATTAGGTAATTTACGAAGAAAAGAGGTTTAATCAGCTCACAGATCTTGAAAGTAACTAAGGTTTAATCAGCTCACAGTTCTGGAAAGTAACTAAGACTTTTTTTATTTCTCAGGCTCATAGGTGGAAGGGAGCTACTTTGTCTCAGATGAGACTTTGGACTTGGACTTTTGAGTTAATGCTTGAATGAGTTAGAACTTTGGGGGACTGTTGGAAAAACATGATTGTGTTTTGAAATGTGAGAAGGACATGAAATTTTTGAGGGGCCAAGGGTGGAATGACGTGATTTGCCTCTCTGTCTCCACCCAAATCTCATGTCAAATTGTAATCTTAAATGTTGGTGAAGGGGCCTGGTAGGAGGTGATTGGATCATGAGGGCAGACTTCCCCCTTGCTGTTCTTGTGATAGTGCACGAGTTCTCACAAGATCTGGTTGTTTAACACTTTTGTTTAAAAGTGTGTAGCACTTCCCCCTTTGCTCTTTCTCTCCTGCCAGCCTTGTGAAGATGTGCCCACTTCCCCTTTGCATTCTGCCATGAATGTAAGTTTCCTGAGGCTTCCCCAGAAGCAGGAGCCTGTACAGCCCACAGAACTGTGGGCATATTAAACTTCTTTCCTTTGTAAACTACCCATTCCCAGGTATGTCTTTATAGTAGTTTGAGAATGGACTAACACACTTAGATAAAGAAATATTTGGAGGCATTACAGGGAACTCCATAGGGCACACAATTTAAGAAGCAAAGCTCTATAGATAGTGAGTCTTTGAAACAAACCTGGGTCTAAACTTCTTACCTCTTTTCACCTTATGATTATCTCTGTGTAATTTTTCCCTAAGTACATACTATGTCCTTTTATTCTAGATTATGTTATGTCTTTTTGTTATAAGAGTATATATTTAAATAGAGTTATTACAATATAGATTATCTTGATATGCATTTAATGTTAGAATTTCTGAAGAAGGTCTATGGGTTCATAAGTATATTGAGTGACTTGGTTCAAATGTGCCTTTTCAATGTGTCCACATAAAGTAAAGATACTTAAATAAGACCCTTGAATATAATTCTTAAATATCTTTCTTGGTCTCTTATGTAAAATGGCCTCCACATCAAAAGATACTAATTTTTATGGTTATAAAAGAATAAATTATAGATTTTGTCAAGATTGATAAAGCTATGATGAGCTGGATCTAGTTCTCATCAGTTTGCCAGAACCTACTGTGTCCATCTTTTCCCCACTCTGTGTTCAGCAACTTAGTCTGGTAGCTTTAAATCAGCCATGATGAAGGTATTTATACTACAACTTGGTAAACACTGCAAATCAGGCCTTTAAAAAATTATTTTTACCCTGGGAGAGCTAGTTTTTAAACACTCATCAGCATATCACTGCTCATAACTCAGTACTTTATTTACCAAACTTAGTGTGGGTTTAACAGAGTTCTTCAAGATGTTGATATATTTGCCATGAAGAAAATATTCTATAGTCAACTATGTTTGGGAAATGCTGAGTCAAGCAAAATTGTAAATATCAAAAAAGGGGGAAATAGTATGATGTTTCTATTATTTCATGTTATCTAAAATAAAAAAATTACCATATTCATAAATTCTTTGGATATTGGAATACTACTTTGGGAAAAAATATTAGATTAACCTTTCAAAAGTTTATTCTGTTGACTCAGGCTCAAGAGTTTGAATTGACTACTGCTATGTTGGCACATGTCAGGAGGACAGTAAAGTGTTTCAAACTTTTGAAATAATACTAGGTTTCCTCTCCATTGAAATATGTTAGTAACCATTGACAGGCTAAAGCTACAAATGAGTGAATGAGTGGGGATGGCAGGAGAATCAGAATAGTCAGCCCAGGCTCTACTACATATGGCAGCACAGTGCTGTAATTAAGCATAGGGGATTTGAAGCCAGGCTACTTGGAACTGAATCCCAGCATTGCTTCTCACTGGTCATGAGACTATCATCACTTTAGGTAACTTCTCTGTTTCCTTCATTTCTTCTTCTAAGAACTTGAAATAATAATATAATATCCAACATTCAGGTTGTGAGGAATATGTATATTATTTCATTTAAAGTACTTAATGCCTGACACATGGCAACCACTCAAAATAGTTGGCTTGTTATTATTGTTGTGGACGAAAGACAACATTGAATAAACATTATAATAGTCATAAAACAGCCATTTCACTTAACCTTATAGATTTTCCAATAGTCAACATTATAAATCTAGAAAAAAACTTACATATTCTACATACTGAAATGCCATATAGAAAACAATTTATTTCTTCATATGTGAGAGAGTTTTGTCAAATATTTCCCAAAGATATTTTTCAAAATTGAATATCTCTGGTATATGCATTTGCTACCTTGGAAATCATTTTCCAGAAAATTAGATGTTTAGGATTTTAATAAATGTTATACAAGTAAAGGATTTTGTAGTTAAGTACCTTTTGGAGACACTAGATTGCAAAAAGCCAAACAAGTTTCCTTCTTGAAGGAATTATCAGAGCTTTTAATGTTCTACTTTACTTCCTATGTGGTGAGGATAGTAATATACTGCGCACATTTCCTTAACTTAATTGACCAAGGAATCACTTTTTGGAAAAGCATTTTACAGGACTAATCCTCTATAGAAATACTTTGGGGGAATGCTAATCTAGAAGATTAGTCTAGGAAGTTTAAACATTTATTCAAACTAATATACTTTCTCGCAATTCTCCAGATCATGTTAATTGTACATCAGTGAATAGACATAAAAATTTCATGTCATCCATTGGTACTTGATTAACTGAAAATACTTGGCTAGAAATCATGCCAATAAGCTGGAATTTCGTTTTCAGGGCATGTTTTCAATGAATATTACCAATAATATGAATTTGGCATTTTACTTGTTTTAATTCTATAAATACTTGTTAGCCAAATATGGGTAATGCCCTTCATTCAGTGTTTCCGGATATGTTCAGTATATGTCAGAGAGTTTTGGCAGAATATAGACATAATTTCCACAATCAGAATGCAATTACTCCTTTTCCAGGGATAGGCTATGTCAATGTCCCTATTAAAACCAGATTTTTATAGAGAGATCACTATAAAAAATATTAGTAAGTCCACAGCTTATTTTCCAAATCAACATATTGAGGTCCTAATTAGTCTTTCAATACTACAGAATCAACTCCTAACTCTGAGTCAGGCCATTCAGTAAATTACTGATTAAATGCATCGGTGGTATCCTATGACTTCAAAAATTAATGTGGCACTTTTTTGGGGACCAGATGATACCTTATTTGCTAAAAGGGTATGGTTGAATAAATGGTCATCTTAGCAAACTTTTAAATCTTCAGGACATGAGTAGATGACATCTTGCTACCTTAGTTATTATTATTTTCTGTAGATACATTATCATTAGGTACTACTTTCTTTTTTCTCAAGAATACAAGGACTGAAGCTAAAAGCATAAATACTAAAATTGAACCTAGATGGCTTCAATATGGTTCATTTGGTTTAAAATTATCTAATTCATGTTTCCCTTTGTTTTCAACATATTGAAAACTGTGGTATATTTGACTGATTGTATTTTCATAAAGTCTCTTTTTGTATATAACTGAATTGCTGATCCATCTTTGTAAGAGTCGTCAGGTGGTAGACTATATGAGTAATGCAGATCACTAAAGTTAAAAATGCTTTAGTTATTTGAAAGAGCACATCAATTGAGCACTACTGGGTATACCGAAGTCAGGGTGGATCCTAATTGCTTTGACAAATATTCTGCTGGGAAATTGATCTTCAAAAATTCCTTAATGCCTTTTGAAAAAATAAACCACTTACTTCATTTAAAACTTCAAAGTCTTCCTTTCTATTAATTATCACATATACTAGCAAACACAAAGAACAAAATGCTATGTTTTATTCATCTAAGCAGGGCATCTAAACACCAAGTTACAGCAAAGATGGGAACTTATTGAAGAAAAGGTCATCCTCTGTCAAACAAGACCATAAGAGGCTTTTCTTTTAGTAGAGAATTCATGAATATTTTATCTGAACATTTCCATGAACTTGCTATAAAAGCTATGTTTCTTGGCATTTACTGGGGATGTCAAAATCAGTTACTGTAATTTAAATCTTCTGCTAATACTGTATACTTATCAGACTCATTTAAAACATGCTCATCATGCATACAATAGTTTATTTAAAATATACATTTCTAAATAGTTAACATTATAGATATTTAAGCTTTGTAAAATCCCATTTGACATTGTTTGTAAATAAATATTACCTTTGTTATAATACAAACATGAGAGACTACAGAAAATAAGAACAATAAAGTAATTCATAATTTAATTATCTATAACTGAATGGGAACAGAATAATTTCTTTATTAAGTGCGTCCCATGTTTAGGTTAAGTGCTAAGCAGTCTTTTGGACTCTGAATGGTGAAAGGATTGTAAGCTGCTCAACCAAAAAATAATCACAGCTCACAGCTGACTAAAAGTTTCTTTAATTTAATTAGGCATGATTATTTGATGCTCCAGGATACCTCTAACATTTTTAAGTCATGACAAAATGTTGCATTTGTATATGATGTACACATTAGCAAAACCTCTAAACCTGCTAGTAATTTCACTTGCTGAAAATCAAAAAATGCTTTTGAGTGTGCACATAATTGGCCTTATGAAGAAGACAGAGCAATCAAGAGAAGCAGGGTATTTGTCTCTTTAACTTAACTTTTCCGCATGTGATGTGGTTTACCTAATAGGGGTGTATAATGTAGGATTTAAAACAGTCAAATCTGGAGCTAAATTTTCTTTAATTTGAATTGTGGCTCAGCAGATTCACTCTTGGCAATTCACTTATTTTTTCTATGCCTAATTTTCTCATCTATAAACTGGAAATACTAATAGTGTCTATGTCACAGGGTTTTTAAAGGCAATTTAGTGACTTCAGTGAAGTTAAGTGACTAGCTCAGTGCTTGGAATATAATAGGTATCAATAATAAATAAATAGGCTATTAATTCTCATTATTATGCTAATAAATATTTTCAGAAATTTTATATAATAGCTATATTTTGAGAAAATGTTTATTTTATGTATTTCTTTTAGCTCAAATGCCCTCAAGTGTATTTTCATTAAAATGTGCTTTGTTTCTTTTCAACTATAAGCCAACTAAAATATTTATATTACAAGCTTAAAAATTTTTGAAAATTAATAGAATTCCTATGGTATGTTAAAGCCAACTTAGTCTAAAATTAATAATAAAGGTCAAGAAGAAAATGCTACTGTCTTGAAAGGAAAATTGACTAGATTTAAGAGAAAAAGCATCTATATGAGAGAAAGTTGCCTTTACAATCATGAATAAAATAAAACTATGCTACAATAAAACTAATACATTATAGATAATGCTCTTTGAAATTGTGACAAGTGATGAAGCAGATGTTGTTTTAATTATGGGAGATTGCAGACAGAATAATATATCTAAAAAGGAAATTAAAAGTTTTTCACTATTACAATATTATTAAGATGGATATTTGGCTACATAAATCAACTGTAATTATTTCTTTATAATGGATTCTCAGACAAGTTACATTTTTTAAATATACTGTGATTAGCCAATATGAGTATTAAAATCTGACCTCATCATAGCTGAAATGTGTCAGAAAGTACCTTTTTCCTTTAAGAGTAAATGGGTATCCATTGTATATCTCAGACTGTTTCCATTTTCTTCACGTAAGAAATGCAACTTGTCTGGACAAGAAAGTCTTGTGGCACATTTCCCCCCTCACCACCCTGTGTTCCTGAAGCCCAAAGGGATCCACGGTAATGAGTTAGGCATTCTGTGAATTCCTCATCTTGTGTGCACTATATTGTACACATAGGTACATATATGTATACTCATTTCTTCAAGTGGTCAGTGACTTCCAGAAGGTAAAGAAGTCTATGTCCAGGGAACATCTTTTAGTTTTTATTCTACCCGAGTATAGATCTGATTATCTTTTCTTTTTTCAATAACTTTTTTTCTATCACAAAATCTGTAAGATATATTTTTTAATATCCTTGTGTTGAATAAATATACACTGAAACAAACAAAACATGTCTTCAGATCATGTCTAGGCAAACATTAATGCAGAAAATCTTTTAATTCTGCAGACAGATCAGGTATTAAAGGTCTGTTTTCAATTACAGTTTCGTCTCTACTCCTGGATTCTTCCTAAGGAGCACCAATATGCTAGAATTGTTCTCTATCTCCCATGAACTCCTGTTTCACTGCTTTAATACGTTTCCTATTTCTGAAAATCCTGGATGAGCTTTGCAAATTTGTCTGCCACATTATTAGTTTGATTTGTCATTTCTATGTGTTATTTCCTCTTATGGCAACTTTTAAAATTCTTTATCATGTATCATTTTTCTGATGTCTGTAATTAGTTCATCTATCTCTCATTTAATATCCAAAAAGCATAAAGTTTTTACTTTATGGTTTTTCTCCCTTGAGATCAAAGCACATCCTTTCTAATTTTTTTTTTTTTTTTTTTTTTTTTTGGGGAGACAGAGTCTCACCCTCTTGCCCAGGCTGGAGTGGAATGGCACGATCTCAGCTCACTGCATCCTCTGCCTCCCAGGTTCAAACAATTCTCCTGTCTCAGCCTCTCAAGTAGCTGGGATTACAGGTGCCTGCCACCATGCCCAGCTAATTTTTGTATTTTTAATAGAGATGAGGTTTCACCATGTTGGTCAGGCTGGTCTCAAACTCCTGACCTCATGATCCACCCACCTCAGCCTCCCAAAGTGTTGGGATTACAGTCGTGAGCCACCATGCCCAGCCCTTTTTAAAATCTTAAACATCTTTAAATAATATTTGTTTCTAGATTCTCTAGAAAAAAAAAAGATTTTCAGAGGTTTGAACTGCTTCAATTATGTATATGTTATTTCTCCTAGTTCTGAAGCATTTCTGATTAGTCATTGTATTAGTCTGTTTTCACACTGCTGATAAATACATACACAAGACTGGGAAGGAAAAGAGGCTTACTTGGACTTTCAGTTCCACATGGCTGGGGAGTCCTCAGAATCATGATGGGAGCTGAAAGGCACTTCAAGAAAAAATGAGGAAGATGCGAAAACCATCAGATAGTGTGAGACTTATTCACTACCTTGACAACAATATGGGGGAAGCCACCCCCATGATTCAAATTATCTCCCACTTGGTCCCTCCACAATATGTGGCAATTATGGGAGTACAGCTGAAGATGAGATCTGGGTGGGGACACAGAGCCAAACCATAACATTCCACCCTGGCCCCTCCAGATCTCATGTCCTCACATTTCAAAACAAATCATGCCTTCCTAACTGTCCCCCAAAGTCTTAACTCATTTCAACATTAACCCAAAAGTACACAGTCCAAAATCTTATCTGAGACAAGGCAAGTCCCTTCTGCCCATCAGCCTGTAAAATCAAAAGCAAGCTAGTTACTTCCTAGATACAATGGGGGTACAAGTACTGAGCAAATACAGCCGTTCTACATGGGAGAAATTGGCCAAAACAAATGGGTTACAAGGCCCATGAAAGTCTGAAATCCAATGGGGCAGTCAAATTTTAAAGCTCCAAAATGATCTCCTTTGATTCCAGGTCTGACATCCAGGTCACACAGATGCAAGCGGTGGGTTCCCATGGTCTTGGGCAGCTCTGCTCCTGTGGCTTTGAAGGGCACAGTCTCCCTTCTGGCTGCTTTCATGGGCTGGCATTGAGTGTCTGCAGCTTTTCCAGGTGCACAGTGCAAGCTGTAGGTGGATCTACCATTCTGGGGTCTGGAGGATGGTGGCCCTCTTCTCACAGCTCCACTAGGTGGTGCCCCGGGAGGGACTCTGCGTGGGGGCTCCGACCCCACATTTCCCTTTCGCACTGCCCTAGTAGAGGTTCTCCATGAGAGCCCTCCCCTGCAAATGTACAATCCAGGCATTTCCATATATTTTCTTAAATCTAGGCAGAGATTCCCAAACCCCAATTCTTGACTCTGTGCACCTACAGCCTCAGAACCATGTGGAAGGTGCCAAGGCTTGGGGCTTGCATCCTCTGAAGCCACAGACTGAGCTCTGTGGTGGCACTTTTCAGCCATGGCTGAAGGGGCTGGGACGCAGGGCAACAAGTCCCTAGACAGCACACAGAATGGGGACCCTGGGCCCTGCCCATAAAACCATTTTTTCCTTCTAGATCTCCAAGTCTGTGAAGGGAGAGGCTGCTGCAAAGGTCTCTGACATGCCCTGGAGACATTTTCCCCATTGTCTTGGGGATTAATGTTTGGCTCCTCATTACTTATGCAAATATTTGCTGGCAGCTGGAATTTCTCCTCAGAAAATGGGATTTTCTTTTCTATCACATTGTCAGTCTGCAAATTTTCCAAACTTTTATGCTCTCTTTCCCTTTTAAAGTGGAGTGCTTTTAACAGCACCCAAGTCACCTCTTGAAAGCTTTGGTGCTTAGAAATTTCTTCTGCCAGATACCCTAAATCATCTCTTTCAAGTTCAAAGTTCTACAAATCTGTAGTGCAGGGGCAAAATGCCGCCAGTCTCTTTGCTAAAACATAACAAGAGTCACCTTTGCTCCAGTTCCCAACAAGTTCCTCATCTCCATCTGAGACCAACTCAGCCTGAATTTCATTGTCCGTTCATTACCAGTATTTTTGTCAAAGCCATTTAACAAGTCTCTAGGAAGTTCCAAACTCTCCCATATTTTTATGTCTTCCTTGTCCTCCAAACTGTACCAACCTCTGCTTGTTACCAAGTTCCAAAGTCACTTCCACATTTTCAGGTATCTTTTCAGCAACAGCCTACTCTACTGATACCAATTTACTGTATTAGTCTGGTGTTTTCATGCTACTGATAAAGAAATACCTGAGACTGTGAAGGAAAAGAGGTTTAATTCTACTTACAGTTCCACATGGCTGGGGAGGCCTCAGAATCATGGTGGGAGGCGAAAGGCACTTCTTATATGGTGGTGGCAAGAGGAAATGAGAAATATGCAGAAGCAGAAACCCCTGATAAAACTATCAGATATCATGAGACTTATTCACTACCATGAGAACAGTATGATTCAAATTATCTCCTATTGAGTCCCTCCCACAACACGTGGGAATTGTGGGAGGACAATTCAAGATGAGATTTGGGTGGGGACACAGAGTGAAACCATATCAGTCACATAATGGCCTTTGTTGTTGTTAACTTCCCAATTAATGGATTATCTCCAAGATTTAGCATTACACAGTGCAGGAGAATCATATTTGTTCCACTTTCGTCCATGTGAGTTGTGGTTTAATTTACTTAGACACTGAGCTAATACAGGTGGATATGCCTGGATTTTCAGATTCCAGATGGTTTTTATCAGATATAGTTCTACTAAATATTCTGATATTCCCATGACCTGTGTATTTGGCAGTCTGAAAATGTGGAATCTGCATCATGAAATCATGAACTATTACTTACTTTCTGTCTCCCTCACCTTGCCTTCAGCATAATCCATTATTTCTTAGCATTGTTCTCTTACTTTCTAATTTTCTGTTGAGTATAAATCCCTCAATGAATGTAGAAAATAATGACCTGAGCAGGAATCTTGCTGTCTCATTGAAGCAGCACCCACCAGTGCAGAAGTGACTGTCCAGTGTTCTGGTTTAGAACTTGCATTTCTGAATCAAAATTAGACTATGGGAAAAGCCAAAAGCTCTCTTTCAGAAAAAGAAGTCAACAGTAAGATTACTCAATCCATCTCTTTCTGCCTTAGAGATTTAGAGAATCTTTCTGATTCTGATAACATACTGTTAGCCTAATAGACTGTATTCCTGTGCATGTTGTTTTTTTTGTTTTCGTATGTGATTTGTAGATAAAGAGAAACTGGAACATGTGGTCAGCCAGTTCTACTAGCCAGATGATCTTACAGTCAGAAGCCTGCCTATTTCATTTTTAATACTTCCACATATAGGTCAATTTACCTTTTAAAAGTAATTCTGTACTTTAGTTTTAACAAAATTGTATGTTTGCAGGGAAAATTGGAATTATATTTATCATGAGATAACTCTCTACTATTAGGGTGAATTATTAAAATTTAGTGTTTCTTCCTTTAATTTAATTGAAGTATAACTTACATATGATAAACTGTATATATTATTTTTATTTGTGAAAATTTATGGAATATAAGTATAATTTTGTTAAATGCATAGATTGCATAGTGGTGTAGTAAGGGCTTTTATGGTACAACTGCATATGTTGGACAATTTGATGATCTTTCATAAAGGTTTTCATCTGTGAAATCATCTTGTACTCAAGATACTGGATATTTGTATTCCTGCAAAATATTAGGCTTGTCCCATTTGTAATCCATTCCTCCTCCACCACTGTCCCCATACATGCTTTCTTTCACTATAGGTTAGTTTGTATTTTCTAGAATTCTATATAAATGAATCATAGAGTGTGTAGTCCTTTTTTCATGGGCTTTTTCTTTCAGCCTAATAAACTGGTATTCATCCATGTTGGGGCATGTATTAGTCATTAGTTCCTTTTAGTTGCTGAGTAGTATTCCATTATTAATATTTTCAAGCATTAATGTTATATCTGTAGTAAGGATTCAAATATTCAAGACAGTTTTATTTATTTACATGATATATACATTTTCCTCAAAAAATTAAGCTGAGCTATATTGCCAAGGATATGCACTGACCGTTTTTCTTCATAAACTATGTTCTTAAGTCTCCTTTTTATAGTTAGAAAAAAATTGATTAATTTGTCTGTGGCATAAATAAATAAAATTAAGATGTCACTTTATACAATATAACTGAAAATAAATAATGCTCAATAGCTTTTGCCATCTCAGTCCCTTTCCCCATCTAGCCTTGGTAAGAAGAGAATGTGGTAAAATTACCATTTAGTTACAGAGTTTAAAACACTAATAATTGTGGAATTTATGAAATTCTTCTTCCTGGTATTTTCTCAGTGATGTGAAAGAGACTAATATTAGACACAACAGAAGTAGGAGGGAGTGTTTTTCATGATTAAGACAACTGTTTCTGAAAACACCCTTCCCTTTTATTTTGCAAGGAGAGAAAGAAAGCCCTTTGTAATAGGATGACCAGTGTATGTAGAAAACATAGTTCTGTTTTCTAAACTTCATGAGCTGGCAGGTTTTGTGCTGGGGAATGACAGAGAACCTTTAATTTGTGGAGAAATAGGAAAAAATAGTGACTAAAGAACGTAGCACACTAAGAACCATTTTTGCCTTGTTAATTTTGTGTACCCAGTGCTAGCATGCGCTGGACACATAGTAGGTTTTCAATAAATATTTATCCTATAAAAGCATTAGGTCTAATAAGTGTTGACTCAAACCATGAAAATTCTTCAAACCCCAACCAGAAATTGTATATATCATTAAAGGATAGGAAAAATATTTAAATCTGGTAGTGAAAAATTTGGTAAAAAAGTAGTAATGTGGTATCTGGTTTTCTGTTTAGGATAATGGCCTCCAGCTGCATCTGTGTTGTTGTAAAGGACATAATTTTATTCTTTTTTATAAGTAGAAGCTAAACTGGATACACATGGGCATAAAGATGGGAATAATAGACATTGGGGACTATGGGACTAATATAAGGATGAGCGAGCGGCAGGACAAGGGTTGAAAAACTACCTATTGAGTACTGTGCTCACTACCTGGGTGACGCTGACTGCCTGGGTGACAGGTTCAATCATACCCTAAACCTTAGCATTATGCAATATACCCTTATAACAAACCTACACAAGTACTCTCTGAATCTAAAATGAAAACTAAAAAAGGATATTAATGTGTAAGGTGGCTTGTCAAGATGAAGAGAGAATGACATCATGGAGAATATTAAGATTAGTGCAGTAACCAAGGCTGTAGTCCACCGGGGCCTAGGGAAGAATGATCATAAGAGGTACCAAAACAAGATGGTAATTTGGCAACTGATTCATGATTAGTAGGTAAAAGGGTGTGAGTGTTAAAGATGACAGAAGCAAAAGGGTAGGAGAGTAAAAGTTTTGAGTCTGGCTGATTAGGGAAGTTAGGATAGCAACTGTGGATGTGGGCAGCTGAAAGTAGAAATTAATTTAGAAATAGGTGTGGAGAGGTATATGAAGTTTGGAGCTTTGCCTTAACTTATACTTTAGTTGCTTAAAATATACAATAGGCTATATTCTAATATAGGAAGTACTGATAGAAACAGGAGTTCAGATAACTGTTATTTTCCTAAGAAAAATAAAATTGGAGAACATATTTTGGTTTCTGAAAAAGCTTTGAAAAGTTTTGCTTCTAGTGAGAAACAAAAGTCATAGATCAAAAGCAAAAGACCACCTTTTTAAAGTAGAACTTTCTTTTGTTATAAGAATTATATATCCAGCAAGGGCTTCATATAAACTATTTTTCAACAATTTTACATATCAAACCAAATGAAATTTTTGAAGGGAAAAAATTTATATTGCACAAGGGAATAGAATGAGATAGTTCAGGACTTTAAAATTTTACTACAATGTATGAATTCTTAGTAATATAAAGCAAGATAGCAATAAAAGATAAGCTCAGAATCATATATTTTCTTTAAAAATGATCACCTCTCTCTTTCAAATCACACTGTAATATCTCAAAAGCAGTATTTCTTATTACTGACACTACTTCCTAAAAGGCTGAAAGTTACTGACTTTATGGCTGATGAATTCAAATAACAAGCCATTCTTGCATCAATTTTCTGACTTCAAAAGTAAATGACTGTGGAATAATATTCTAATCTTACCTTATCTTTTAAAGTGACTTACTTTTCTTATTAGCAAAGAATTGAATGTAATCACAGTAGCTAGAAACTTAGACATTTTCAACCACTTGACTCAGTGGAAAAGAGGAATACCACCAGCTTATTCTTACAGACTATTGTGATTGTGATTTCATGACTAAGCTGCCATCGTAAGGCTGAATTTCAGAAATGTGAGATCATATACATGATAATTTTAAAAATTACAAAACGAACAGAAATGGAAAACTGTATCTCATCCAAAATGTTTGTACCTAATTTTATTACAGTTGCTTCATATAAAACATACATTTTTAGGAGGGATTGTGAATATACTTTTCATTCCAAAGTTGCAATTCATAAATAGGAATTACTAACAAAAAATAGAGAAGCAAATTTGTTTGATAATATAAATCACAAAAATATTGCCAAGAAAAGAATTTCAAGTACCATCCTTCTGTTTATTATGAAATTTCATACACAAACAGAAAAGCACAATAATGTAATGGACATCCATACATCATCACCTACTTTTAACAAGTGGGACCATTTGAAGAATTTGGTTTGCATCTGATTTTGTGTAATTAAAACACAAACTTTTCAGGAAAGAGTCCCTTTTGTAACCTCCTTGATCAAATTATCTCGTTTTTTATTCCCAAATTAACCATTTACCTGGAGTCCAGCTACGTTTGCTAACAGTGTACAGATAGATCACTTAAACAATGCATGTTATATATGATATGTAATAACATAATATATATTGTATTATGTAGTTTAGCATTGCTTGAAGTGTTTTTAAACTTAAAATGGATTATATTATGTATATTATGTCTTTACTTCAAAGCTACACTTCTAAATTCCCAAATGTACCTGTGTTAATGCATGCACATCTGGTTCATTCATTTTAACTGCTGTATAATATTTTATTGCATGGCAATAACAGAGGTTGTTTACATATTCCTATAAAAAATGTAAATAATTTGTAGGTCATTTTCAAATTATTGCTATTAAGACCAATACTGCCTTGACCATTTCTGTCCACATCTCCTTAGCCACATGTGGGAATTTGTTTAAAGTATGAATCTGAAAGTAGAACTGATGGATGGCATGAAGGATATGCACATCTTCGTATTAACTTGCTCACCAAAGGGACTGTACAAATTGACATGCTCCCCAATATCCAGGCAAATTCAGCCCCCAACATTTCACTTGGGTCCTTTTCTATTTTCCCTAAGTGTCAGCCAGTCTAAGAAATAAAGGGAAAAGGTACAAAAGAGAAAAATTTTAAACCTGGGTGTCCGGGGGAGACATCACATGTTGGCAGGTTCTGTGATGCCCCCCAAGCCGTAAAACCAAGTTTTTATTAGTGATTTTCAAAAGGGGAGGGAGTGTACGAATAGGGTGTGGGTCACAGAGATCACATGCTTCACAAGGTAATAAGATATTACAAGGTAAATGAAGGCAGGGCGAGATCACAGGACCGGGGCAAAATTAAAATTGCTAATGAAGTTTCGGACACACATTGTCATTGATAACATCTTATCAGGAGAGAGCGTTTGAGAGCAGACAACCGTTCTGACCAAAATTTATTAGGTGGGAATTTCCTCATCCTAATAAGCCTGGGAGCACTATGGGAGACCGGGACTTATTTCATCCCTTATGTACGACGGTAAAAGACAGACGTCCCCAGAGCAGCCACTTTAGAGGCCTACCCCTAGGCATGCATTCTCTTTCTCAGGGCTGTTCCTTACTGAGAAAAAGAATTCAGCAATATTTCTCCTATTTGCTTTTGAAAGGAGAGAAATATGGCTCTGTTCCGCCTGGCCCACAGGCAGCCAGACTTTAAGGTTATCTCCCTTGTTCCTTGAACATTGCTGTTATCCTGTTCTTTTTTCAAGGTGCCCAGATTTCATATTGTTTAAACAATTTGTGCAGTTAACGCAATCATCACAGCGTCCTGAGGCGACATTCTTCCTGAGCTTATGAAGATGATGGGATTAAGAGATTAAAGTAAAGCAGGCATAGGAAATCACAAGGGTATTGATTGGGGAGGTGATAAGTGTCCATGAAATCTTCACAATTTATGTTCAGAGATTGCAGTAAAGACAGGTGTAAGAAATTATAAAAGTATTAATTTGGGGAACTAATAAATGTCCATGAAATCTTCACAATTTATGTTCTTCTGCCATGGCTTCAGCCAGTCCCTCTGTTCAGGGTCCCTGACTTCCCGTAACACCCCAACAATGAATGAGCGTTGACTTTCTCAACATCTTTGTCTATATACTTACCTTTAAGAAGTAAATTTAAAAACATAAAGCTTGCATCTATTGTAATTTTAGCATAAAACATATTACCTAAAATGCCATGCTGAATTTTGTATTGGTAACGAAAAAGCTTTAGGAACAATGAATCCCTCAAAAAAAAAAAAAAGTGGATCTTCTTGCACTAATTAAACATATTTAGCTACAGCAAAATTCAGTGCAGATAGGACCAGGCTCTTCATCTCCCACTCCTTATGAGCCCAGAAATCAACAAGTACTCAAGAGAAGAAATAAGTCAGAAGATTGATAATAGACTGGAGCCAGACATTCTTGCCTCACATCCCAGCTCTACCTCTCATTAGCTACATCATCCTGCAAAAACTCTTAATCTTATTCCCACCTCTTTGAACTTTAGATTCTCCTTTGAAAAAATGGTGATTATAATAATTGCAGCCCTATAATATTGTTTTAAAGATATAAGTCAAATAACACTTATAATTCACATAGTACAAAGCTTAGCACAGATTAGGTGCTAGAAAATGTTCATTTGTCATCCTGTATGAAATTGGGCATGTCATGTTAAAGCCAATAAAATAGAATAAAATAAAAAACCTTAAATATATTATAGCCACTACATGTTTTCCTCTTTTCCTTTAGATTCAATAGTTTTTAATCTAATACTGTTATTATTTGACATTTAATGAATATTGTCTAACAGGAACCCTGAAATTCACTCTCATATATACTTTGACCTGACATGGTGTGTATATTATAAAGCACAGCTAACTTGCTGGATATCTCCATAATATAGTAGTGCTATTTATAGGTGGGGAAAAAAGTAGCACACAAACATGTTGAGCCATACTTTTTCCATGTTATACAAGAATTTTTTGTGGTCAAGGACTTTCCTTATTTATATTTATATTTCTACAGTTGGCATATAGTAAGTATGCTTATATGCTAGATGAATGAATGAATGAAGAAGCAATTATTATTTCTTCTTGTGCTAATTTTCAGGAAAATGAGTTACTCTTGGAAGAATCAAATCATCTCCATTAATGGAAGCAGTAATGTCTCTGTTTGTGAACCATTCAGTTATCACAAGTAGTAAATTATAAACCCAAACCTCAATTTGAGTTGATTTTGCTACCATACGAGTTGTAAATGCTGCATGGCTAAAAACGTGAAGAGAGGGTGGAGATTGTAGGGCAGAGGTAGATCAATCACATTAATGCTTTTCTTTAAATTCCAAATCAATAAAAAAGTTTTTTCTTATTCTGTAGGGACTAAAATGTTATATAAGAATTCTGCTTTTTAAAAGCTACCATCTTTATGGAAAGAATAAAAGATTGAAAACTTTGATTTTTTTGTATCTGGTAGATTGCTGTTATATATTAGCAGGCTGATAATAAAAGTAGTATACTCCTAAATTTGGTAAATAACTGGAGCTATAAGTCTAGATATTATTTACCACATACAAAATATAGGAAGGACATATATTGATTATCAGTATATAAATGTTATAAAGAAGCCAGATAAATTATATTACATCCATGAATTGTTTCATTGTATCAATCAGTGAAACTCAGGGATCACATAAGAGAAGGGAAGTCCCGTGAGCAAGGAATGGAAAACAAGATGAGAGCAATTTCAGGTTAAAGGCAAGAAGCTCATACCAAACCAGTCATCCCTGAGGCTCCCACAGCTTTCCCCACGCCAGTATCTGGAACAACCATTTACCCAGTTGCTAAAGTCGAAAATTTGGAATTAACTAGGACTCCTACATTTTATTTAACCCTACATATTCAAGCCATTGTCAACAAATCCTGTCAGGTCTACTAACAAAATACATCTGCCTCCACCCACTTTTCTATATGTCCACTGCCACCACTCCAGTCCAAGCCACCTTTCCATCTTGACTGAACTTGTAACTGGTCCTTTCACACTTGACCCCTTAATATAGCTGCTAGACTCATCTCCAAAGAGTTAATGTAACTTCCCATTTGAAACTTTCAGTGTCTTCCAAAAAGAACTTAAAATATAATCCAAATCTATTACTTGCATGTTCTGGCCTCCAGGAGCCCAAAATTTCATTGTTATATCATGACACTTTGTTCCATCATTCACTGTAGTCTGACTACAAGTGTACTCTGTTAAGACATGGAAAACTCTTTTCCCAGCTCAGGGACATTGCACATGTTTCTTCTCGTTTTTGGAATGCTGTTCATATGGCCGGTTTATTCTCATTCTTCAGAAATAAACTTAGATATCAGATCTTTTTTCTTTAACCTTTGCATACAAAACAGGTCAACCTATATGTCATAGCAACCAGGTTATTTTCCTTATAATAGTAATCACAAGGAGTAAATACTTTATTTATTCATTATATACTTTTTTATCTTATGTTTCCAACACTTGGGCATAGTGGTGATCATTGTCACAAGCACCTGGGACTGTGCGTGGCATATAATAAGCACCTAATACCTATATGTACAAATAATAAATGGATAAATGAAGTAATAAATGCTTACCTACATGCCTGTCTAGAGATTCTTAAAGAGGGTAATGGGTGAATTTGGAATTTCAAAAAGGCTTTTAAATGTTATTTCATTAATTCATTCATTCTGAAGATATATCATCATTGAAACAGGTTAAATTCTTCGATAAATAAGTGTAGCAAATATAAGTACCATAAATATATTTTATTAGCTTTGACTCATATATATGGTTGTTATGATAGATAGGTTGACCTATTTTGTATTTTAATAAGGAAAATCAATAGTTATGCAATATGGTTCATGAAAACAAAATGCTATATTTATTTTTGCATAAGCATTTATATTTTCAAATTCCATAAATTTATACACGATGAAGTATTGTTGACTTCTTTATCATATTTATAAATAACTAAATATGTTTCAAAATTATTCACATAATACCTTTTAAGAGAAAAAGAAATGACATAGTCTCTCATTTTAATGTCTGTGTAGACTAGCATATTTTCTTTTCTCAAATAATAAAACACAACTAAGACCATAGAAATTAAAAGGTTTTCCTGTTAAGATTAACTGACATTTGTCTCAGAACAAAAGATAGTTTCTGGCATTCAATTCTTTATAATATTATTAGGGAAAGGCTTGCAATATTCCAGATGGGTTCAGTGTTTATCAACATACAGTAATGTTGTCAAATAAAGAACATGTAAATTTTGAGCTTTGAAGTCAGCACCTTGAACTTGTGAAAGTACAAATGAATTATTTAAGAAGCATGAAAGTAGTGTTATGTTACATAAGGAAGGAAGATAGAAGAAGTCAGCTTGTGGTTATACAGACTATATTACTTTTAATTTTTGGCCTTCTATATTTTAAATGTATTGACTTTTTTTAGGACAATATGTCTTAAGTAGAGACCAACTTTTCACTGGAATAGTTTGTTATTCTTTTTATTTAATATAGATATTCTGGCTAGTTGTATTAACCTGGTAATATAACCTGAAACTCCCCAAAATGCTTCCTAAGAGGAAGTATACCATACCAATTGGGTTACAAATATGAAATAGTATATTCAAATTGGGATAATTTAGGAAGAGTTTATAAAAGGGGCAGGTTACGAAGGTGTGAGCAAGTTGTAGGGGAACCACAGGGCTTATTCCAAGCTAGAAACAGAAAACTACAAAAAAAAAATAAATAAAAACAACCCCCCAACACAACTGTTACCATCTTCGGACTTAGGAGAAGGGAGTAAGCAGTTAGGCAAAAAACCAAAAGAAGAGTGAGAGAGAGAAGCTGCCTCGAAAGAAGCCGTCACCGGCCACCCAGGGACACGACCAGCCAGAAATAACACGCAGGAGGTGAGCCAGGGAAATTGATACTGGGACCTTGCTCTCCTTGCTTCTCTCCAATACGGCTGCAGAATAGGCCGGGGTTGAGCATGTGACCTGGTTTTAGCTGATGTAGGGGGCTACTTTATTCTCTATTTACTTTAAAAATGGGTTCACATAAAAAAAGGAAAAAGTATTAATCGTTAACACATTAATATAATACTGTATTACTGTAGTGTATGTAACACAATAGATTTCAAAGCTATTTTATTTTTATCTTATGTGTATCCTCACAAAATCGCTGACAGCTTAAGAACATGGGTCCTGGAGTAAGACACACTGAGTTCAAATCTCAGAGTCCTTCCTTATCAGCTACATATCTTTGAACAAGTTCCTAATTTATTTACCACTATTTCTTCATCTGTCATAAGAGGATGGTAATATCTCCTCCTGCAGTGTTGTGAGAATTCAATGAATCAATACGTGTAAAGCGCTGAGAATAGTTCCTGGCATGTGGTAAGTGCTTAGTAAATGCAGCTCTTCTTACTTTCATTTCATAGGAACAGAAAAGAAGTTCAATGAAATAAAGGAATTTAAGGGTATGCCGTTTTCAAACAAGGGCGAGAGGTAGCACTTACCAAAGTTTCTGGACTTACAATCCAAGGTTTTGTATATTCTACATAAGTACATAATCATAATCAATTGCTTTGTTTTTTTAAGGTTTTCCAAACATACACTTTTTCTTGGCTTTACTCACTATCATGTCTGATTATTGCTTATCCTTGTTCTTTCCCCTCTTTTCACAGGGAAGTGAGAAAAAAAAAAACAGTAATTGTGTGTTCCATGGTGATGTGCTATTAATTTAGTCTAAGATTAGTGACTGTATTAACAATAAACCTACTCAGAGGTAGCATTTCCACACATGTATATATGACCACAGTGGACTTCTGTTAATTACTGAAATGATCTAATCTATTATGTAATTTTAAAAGACGGTTTTACAACCTTAAATCTTCCATAGCTGAAAAATTTTAAACGTTGCCTTCTGGATTGACTTAGGGCATTGTGGTCAGTACCACAAATGCTGCCTGATATACAGTAGATGCTGAATAAATATTTGCTGAAGTAATTAATTAATTAAAGTGTTCCACCCAACATATTGCTTTTATTAGTATACAAGAAAGTAAAACTGCACAGAATACGAAAAAATCAGAAAAAATGTGAATATCTAGATTTAGAGGGAAATACAAAGGATCAATAAATCACAATGTGTAGGTTTCTTTAGTTAGAAAGACCTTAAATCTATGTGGTATCTCAACATAAGCGAAAACAACAATACCGTACAGAATTTTCTCAGGCTGATATAGAGATAGTCTGCTTAATTGTGAGTATATTTCCCTAACTGTTGTGAGAGAGAAATTTTGATGGTGCAATATGAATTTTTAATCCGAATTGTAGCAGTTAAGAGTTTTACTCCACTGAGTGGCTGAATCTTACTCCTCCCAAAGGGTAAGATTCTTTTTCATCTTGCAAAGCAAAGTTGTTGAAAACCAAAGCAAACCCCTTAACCTAGGGATGATCAAAACAGACTAGTTCTAACTGAAAAAAATTAACCAAGGAAACAAACCTAAAGTTACCTTTCATTTAAATTCAGTCAGGAATTGTTTACATGAAAATCACAAAGATGGAGCTTTTGTCCATTTACCGCAAATAGATGAGTAAAAAATTGTAATCTATAAAAATGTCCTGGCTGGGCACGGTGGCTGACGCCTGTAATCCCAGCACTTTAGGAGGCCGAGGCAGGTGGATCACGAGGTCAGGAGATCGAGACCATCCTGGCCAACATGGTGAAACTCCGTCTCTACTAAAAATACAAAAATACAAAAATTAGCTGGGTGTGGTGGCGTGTGCCAGCTACTCAGGAGGCTGAGGTAGGAGAATCCCCTGAACCAGGGAGTCAGAGGGTGCAGTGAGCCGAGATCACGCCATAGCACTCCAGCCTGGCAACAGAGTGAGACTCCCATCTCAAAAAAAAAAAAGTCTTTATGATTTTTCCTGTCATAATATTTTAAACATTTTGCTAATGATGTCTGTAGGGTAGTATTTGGAAGAAATAAAATAGAATATTATAGAACTCGAGGCTCATCTACTGCTTTAATCTCTTTGAAACCTCTTTATTCCAATTTTTTTTAAAAGTCTTTAAAAATGTATCTAAGTAAAATCAACATCGTACTGTAGAAGTTCTAAATGAATATGATTATGATAATAGCTTCTTACACAAAATTTAAGAGATATTCATTTGCCTTTTGAATCATTATAGGGTGAATATATCTACATCTTTCATTTTCCGTGATTGCATTCTGTATATCAAGTAGAGCAGGTCTAGTTACTAAGTTATTGATAATGTGTTTTGTTAACATGCAATTCTCCTATTCCTTTGGATTCAGCAGAGTCTTTTGGAACTTAAACATCTTGACTCTTCTGTTTAAAGCCTAAATCAACCTGAGAGAAGGTATGTTTTTAGAATGGAAAAGTTGCTTACAATAGTTTTAAAAGGCCTAGACACCTCAAGTTTAAGTCTTCAATTTGTGCTTCACTAATCTCTTCAAGTTATTGCCAAAAAATAATTTTCTAAATTTTAAGAAATCAGTAAGTTTTAAAAATGTACTTTTAAAAGTAAATTCCAAACATATTCTAAAATAAATCACACATTATTTAAATAGGACTTTTTTATTTTAGAAATTGTTCCCTTTGATTTTGCTGAGGGCGAATAATTACAGTTACTATGGTAATTAATATTCATTTAAATTCAAGTCTCCAGAGTTGCATAGAAATAAATTATGTTTTTATATTGTAACTGTTTTGCATACTCTTTTAAAACATGACTCTAATCATGAAGATTAGATTTTTTTCCTTGAAATTTTGCTAGCTGTGACATAATTCTAAGGAACTGTGTTACATAAAGAATACTTGTCTGCCTTATTTTTATCTATACCTCAAATTTGCCCTGCTTTCTTGATGTCTCCTGAAATACTTATAACAGAATGAGGAGAAAATTACTGTTTATGTCAAATGTAAAAAAAAAAAAAAACTAAAACTCCAAAAAATTGGTTTGGGTAACACTAACAGGTTCTACCATATTAGCATAAAATCCCCTTAAAAAATAATTGCTAAAATTAGACTCCCTTCTGGCTTTCTCTGTGTCCTCGTAATTTTTCTCAAAAATTTCCCACTAATTCAGAACTCTTTTTTTCATGGTAAAATATAAACAACATAAATGTACCGTTTAAATTATTTTTAAGCATACACTTCAGTAACATTAAGGACATTTATACTACTATGTAGCCATCACTGTTATCTATCTCCAGAACATTTTCCATCTTCCCAAACTGATACTTCATACCCATTAAACAGGAGCTCCCCATTTTGTCCTCTCCCAGCCGTTGCAAACCACTATTCTACTTTCTGTCTTTATGAATTTGACTATTCTAGGTACATCATATAAGTGGAATTATACATCCTTTCTCCTTTCGTGACTGACTTAGTTCACTTAGCCTCCTGTCCTTAAGGATAATCTATGTTATAGCATGTGTAAGAATTTCCTTCTGTTTTAAGGATGTATATTTTTCAATTGTATGTGTATACCACCTTTGTTTATCCATTCATCTTTTAATGGACATTTGGGTTGCTTCCTTCTTTTGGCTACTGTTAATATTGGTGTTACAAACACTGGTACACAAATAACCATTCAAGTCCCTGCTTTCAATTATTTTGGGTATATATCTAGAAGTGGAATTACTAGATAATATGGTAATTATATTTTTAATGTTTTGAAGAGTTGCCATACTGTTTTCCATTTCTAATTCAGAGGTTCTTTTTTAAACAGTAAAATACATAAAATTCAAAAATGAAAAAGCAAATTAGCATGCCACTGTGGATTGCAACATTGATTTGCTAAAAGAGACTTGAGGTTAATTATTAACCTACCCAATTCTTTTATAATGAGATAAGTAAACCAGGGGGAATTTGTGAGATGTCTAACCCTGGTACTCAAATTTGCAGGCCAGTGGTTGCCCCATAAGCCTGCATTTCAAATGGGTGCTTAAAACTTAGTTAGGATTTTAGAAAAAAAAATTAATACATAAACTTATATAACTGTAGAAATAATTTACTTTAGTTTTTGTAGCATCTGAGATTTATATATATATATATATATATATATATATATATATATATATATATATATATATATATATATATATATTGCAGGGGCAATGTGGCATAATTATGGCTTTTGATGTTTTCTATTAAAATCTCTTACATGTGGTGTTTAAGAACTGTTGTTGTGTGTAGAGAGTTCTTAACCTTATTAACACCTCCACATTATCTCTTATACTAAGTAAATTACACTTCTAGAAAAAGCAAAACCTGCAAAGTATAACAATAATAAATTACTCTTAAATTCTATAAATAATTAAATTACTTCCATTTCAAACAGATTTTGTTCCTTTTTGTCAGGAGCATTGCAGTAATCTTAATAAACTTAATACACTTAATAAACTTCCTAACTAGTTTATTAACTAGTAAATAAATTTACTAACTAGGACCATAAACACTTTCACAGATTGGACCATCTGATTAAAAGAAAAATAAAATTGACACCTTGACTCAGTAGTTTGCATACTTCAATAGACTTTCCTTCAAGTTAATTAATGTGTAAATGCTCAACTATGGATTCAATTAACCCACAGGGTACTTATTGCTGTATTTTTTCAAAAAATAGCATGAAACAAAGTATACCTAAATGACATTAACACAATATATTAAGGTTCCAACATTAAATTAAACAACCTGAAATAATAACAATTACACTTTCTCTCAGTAGCCCATAAACATATACATATAACATTCTTAAATTACTATTTGTCCTAACGTATAAAGAGGCTAAATTTATAAATAAATAATAAATGTAAAATAATTAGATATTATGAAAACCTTAACTTTCTCATTTTCTAAATTTTAATTCTAAATATCGCATGTGAGGTGTTTTATCTTTAATAATAAAGATTGAGCTATAATGTATTGTGATTTTTATCACAGAACCATAATGTAAAATAATTCACATGTGCGCATGCTCATAAATAAGCTGATTGGCAATACTGAATATCAAAATTATATATATTAATCTCTATTAAACTCAATCATTAGTTATTTAGGGCCATTGACTTCTGTGAAAATGAGAAACAGATGTAAATCTCCAAGTTACTCACTCTCATTCCACATTGAAGTATTTTATTGTGTCATAATGAAGTGGTTTGTGTACTTAGCTGTTTTTCTCCTTTACCAAAATATACATTTCATGAAGGCAAAGATGATGTCAAACTTATTTAGTACTTTTTCTTCAGTGGCTCACATAACCTGAGCATCTTAGATCTTCATGAAATATTTTCTGAATGAATAAAAACAGGTTTTTAGGTAAACTTTCTGATTTCCTTTAGGTCCACTGCCTCATTTCTTTTAGATATAGTGTAATGACTTAAAAATCTGTTAGTGGGTATACTCAAGCTGCTATGGTTTTAATGTTTATTGCCTTCAAAACTCATGTTGAAATTTAATCCCCAAAGTGGCAGTATTGAGAAGTAGGGCCTTTAAAAAGTGATTGGGTCATGAGAGCTCTTTCCTCATGAAGGGATTAATCCATTCACAGATTAATGAATTAATTAATTAATGGGTTGATGGATTAATGGGTTTTCATGGGACTGGGGCTTTATAAAAAGATAGATGCCAGCTAGCATGCTCAACTTCTTGCCACATGGCACCCTGCACTACCTTGATACTCTGCAGAGTCCCACCAGCAGGAATGCCCTCATGAACTGTGGCCCCTTGACCTTCTACTTTTCAACCTCCATAACTGTAAGAAATAAATTCTTTTTAAATTGCCCAGTTTCAGGTATTATGTTATAAGCAACAGAAAACAGACTAAGACGCAAGCCGAACTGTATGATTCATATTAAATTTCTGTTGCTATTCATGGCAACTGTTCCTGAACCTGGCATCCTGCACAGCACTGAAATTTACATCTGTGTGTTAAAAAGACTTGATCACTTGATCATTTTTGCAAAAGACTCAAGCTGTTAGATCAAGATTACTTTGGGGATGCTATTAGAGCCTAGCAGGTGAAATAAACAAAGCTATTTATTAACACGGTTTCTTACTGATAGTTACAGCAACTCTAGGTGTACACATTAATGAGGCCGGCTGCCTAGATTGTGCTATAAATGATGCATGCCTATGAAATTTTTGTGTTGTTTACACTAAAAAGAATGAGCCTCCTAGTAGATGTAGAAAACAAAGCGATCCTTGATCTCCATTGGATGGAAGACTCAGCAAGGTGCATAACAATCACAGTATTGGGAAAACAACTCAAAAGGGCACATCCAATTGATGGAATTGAGCTGAGTAATGTCTCCTACAGAGATACTTCACTGAGCTAATAGAGCCAACATAAGCATAGGTAAAAGCACTTTAGGGTCGACAGTAGCTGAGTAGTCATAGAATGCATGAGGGGAGATAGTAAAAGTTGACAAGCAAAATAAATGTTTTTGTTTACTTCATTATTTTTCTCCTTATACTATATAAATACTACATGAGATTATGTCCTATATAGTTGATTCCTTTGATTTCATTTAGAGTTACATACATTATCTTCTAAATGCATCTTATTTTCTCGAATTGTATTAACCAAACGTGGTTTAAGTTAAATAATGCAGAAGAAAATTCATGTGGTCATAATCTTATTAGATTCCCAGTGTGAAACAATGATATATGATTTCATCCCTTCTCCAAACCAGACACAAAATTAAAGAAAAAGAAAGGAATAAAATTTATCCTGACCACAAAATTTTAAACAATATAAAGAAATGCTGCAAAATGTCTGACAATGTTCATTGACAACATTTGAATAAATTTTAAAATTAATATTCAAATTATGTTTTCATCAAATCTGAAATAAAATACCAAATATCATTATACAGAGAATTCTGTAAAGATAGTGGAGTAGAAAGAACCAGGAATCTGTCTTCCCATCTAGGCAACAATTGCACTGGCAGAGTCTGTCTGATGTAACTAATTTGGAAATCTGAAGTCTACTGAAGAATTGCAATATTCAGTGATAGGTTTAGATGATAAATTGAAGTTGATTTCAGATCTTAGCACGGTAGCAGCTAACCATCCCTCACTCTCAGCTCTGTGGCAGGCAGCTGTGCACTTGTTCCTGGTGCAGCTTGCACACAGCTTGTGGGAGCCAGGGTAGCCAAAAAAGACCTTGCCCTCCAAATATCAGGAACTGTGCTCTGATTGCTGATTGCTGCTTCTGATCACAGAGGTACAGATAAAGACACCTCCCTCGGCTAAGATGACTTTCAGATATAAAGGGGTAGTACATTTTATTCCTGTTTATTTTTTTCTTTTTCCTCCTTTGGGAGCCGTACATGAAAGGCAAGCAAAAGATTGAAAAGCACAAAAGAGAAAGACACAGAAAAAATTAGAAAGTGACCACACATGCTTAGAGAAAGGCACAAGCTTAGAAAAGCCCTGAGAAGACCTTACGTTTACACCGCATGCTGATCTTTGGCACAGAGAAGGCCTATAGCAATAAAAAAAATAAAACCCAAACCAAAAAACAGTAACAAAAGCAGGAAACCCTAAAAGGAAGAATCTTATTTTCAGATTTACCTCACTATTAGATTCAAATGTCAAGTTTTGAACAAGAAAATCATAAGATATACAAAGAAGCAAGAAAATATGACCCACACAAAGGAGCAAGGAAATATGACTCATTCAAAAGATTAAAACAACAACAAAAACTGTCCCTGAAAAAGACCTGTGGCACATCTATTAAACAAAGACTTAAACAAACAAACAAAAACTGTTAAAAGATTTTCAAAAAACTAAAAGAAAGTATAGAGAATTAAAAAAAAAAAACAATGTATGAACAAAATGGAAATATCAAGAAAGTAATTTTAAAAAATGCTAAAAATAAACCAAAAATAAATTCTGGAGCTAAAAATACAATAACTGAAATAAAAACTTAACTAAAGGGATTCAAAGGCAGATTTGAGGATGAAGAATCCATGAACTTGAAGATAGGGCAATGGAAATTATCAAGTCTGAGGGACAAAATGAAAAAAATGGTTGAGGAAATGTGAACAGAACCTAAGCAAACTGTGACACCATGAAGCAGATCAGTATATGCAATGTAGAAGTTTCAGAAGAAGAGACAGAGAAAAGAGCAGAGGGAATAATTAAAGAAATAAAGGCTGAAAACCTCCCAAATTTGATTAAAGACATGGATATAAATATCCAAGCTCAATATATCCAAATAAGATGAACTCAAAAAAAAAAAAGCCATAGCAAGGCACATTATAATTATAATCAAAATTTCAAAAGAAAGAGAAAATCTTATAAATAGCAAAAGAGAAGGAACTCATCATATTGAAGTTATTCTCAATAAGATTATGAACAGGTTACTAATCAGAAACTTTGGAGGCCAGAAGTCAGTGGGATGATACATTCAAAGTCCTAAAACAAGCTGTCATCCAAAATTTCTATATCTGACAAAAGTGTCCTTCAAAAGTAAGGGAGAAATTAAATATTCCCAGATAAACAAACCTGAGTCAATTGATTATGAGTAGACTTCCTCTGCAAGAAATGCTTAAAGGAGTTCTGCAGGGTAAAATGAAAAGACATTAGACAGTAAGTAACTTGAGGCCATATGAAAAAAAAAATCTCAATAAAAGTAAATACATGTGCAAGTATAAAAGATAGTAAGTATTATTGTACAAAGGTTTCTAACTCCACTTTTTGTTTTCTACTTGATTTAAGTACTAATACACTAAAAAATAAATTATTACTCTAAAAGATAGTACAATTGTAAGTTTGGTTTGCAACTGCAGATTTAGTTTTTTACATAACTTTAAAAACTAATGCATTACAATTATCACTTTAATTTTGGGAATATACAGTGTATAAAGATGTAATTTTGTGATATCAACAACCAAGAGGGCATGAGGCAAAGTTGTAAAGGGCAGAGATTTATATGTTATTGAAGGAAAGCTGGTATGAATTCAAATTAGAGTGTTGTAACTTCAGGATGTTAGATGTAATGCCCATAATAACCACCAAGAAAATAGTTACCAAAAACACGAAAAAGGAAATGAAGAGGAAATTTAAATATTTCACTACAAAAAACAACACAAATAAGAAAATAATGCAGGAAATTAGGGAAAACTACTATAGGGAAAATAGAAGACAAATAGAAAAGTGACAGAGGTACAGTTGACCCTTGAAAAACACGGGTTTGAACTGTTGAGGTTCACTCCTATGCAGATTGTTTTTCAAAGTTACACAAAATGTTTCTGCCTCTCCTGTCTCCTTTTCCACCTCGTCCACATCTTCTGCATCTGCCATGCCTAAGACAGCAAGACCATCCCCTCTTCTTTCTTCTCCTCAGCCTACTCAATGTGAAATTGACCAAGATGAAGACCTTTATGATGTTCCACTTCCGTTTAAGGAATACTAAATATATTTTCACTTCCTTATGATTTTGTTAATAGCATTTTGTTTTCTCTAGCTTACTTTATTATTAGAATATAGTATACAATACATACAATATAGAAAATATGTGTTAATTGCTTATGTTATTGGTAAAGCTCCCAGTCAACACTAAGCTATTAATAGTTAAGGTTTTGTAGAGTCAAAATTATACACAAATTTTCAACTGCATGGGGGGTTAGTGCCCATAACTCCATTGTTGTTCAAGGGTCAACTAAAAATCCCTACTTATTGGTAATTACTTTAAGTGTAAATAGATTCAATTCTCCAATAAAAAGATTGGCAGAATGGATAAAAACATATGACCAACTATACATTGTCTAGTTGGGCACAGTGGCTCATGCCTGTAATCCTAGCAATTTGGGAGGCTGAGGAGGGTGGATCACCTGAGGTCAGGGGTTCAAGACAAGCCTAGTCAACATGGTGAAACCCGGTTCTACTATAAAGAAACTAGCTTGGCATGGTGGCACATGCCTGTAATCCCAGCTACTTGAGAGGGTTAGGCACAAGAATCACTTGAACCTGGGAGGTGAAGACTGCAGTGAGCCGAGATCACATCACTGCAATCCAGCCTAGGTGACAGAGCGAGACTCCATCTAAAAAGAAAACCAAAAAACACAAAACTATACCTTGTCTATAAGAGACTCCATTTAAATCCAAAGATATAGATTGAAAGTGGAAAGATGGAAAAAGATATTCCATGCAACTGTTACCCAAAAGAGAGCAAGGGTGGCTATATTAATTAGGCCAAATAGATTTTAAATTAAAACACATTACAAGAGACAAAGAAGGACATTATATACTAATGAAAATTTCAATACAGCAAGAAGACATAATATTTATAAGTATTTACACACATTACAGCAGACCATCAAAATATATAAATCAAAAACTGATAGAATTGAAGGGAGGAATAGTTGTACAATACTAGTTGGAGACATCAATACCCATTGTCAATAATGGAGAGAAAAACCACACCAAAGGCAAGTAAGGACATAGGGCTTAAACCACAATGAACCTACTAGATCTAACAGATGTAAGCAACAACAGGAGCATATAAAATTGTCTCAAGTGCAGCTGGGACATTTTCCAGTGTAAACCAACATGTTAGGCCACTAATTAAATTTCAACAGATCAGAAAACATTGTTATCATGCAAAGTATCTTCTGTGAGCACAATAGGGTGAAGTTATACATCAATAACAACAGAAAAACTGGAAAATTCACAAATTTATAGAAATTAAACACCACACTCTAAAGTAATCAATGTATCAAGAAAGAAATTACAAGGGAAATTAGAAAACACTTAGAGAAGAATCAAAACAAAATACAACATACCAAAACTTATAAGACATAGTGAAACAGCTGTCCCCAACGTCTTTGACTGGTTTTATGGAAGACAATTTTTCCATGGAATGGGGGTGAGGGGGATGGTTTTGGGATGATTCAAGCACATTACATTTATTTTGTACTTTATTTCTATTAATATTGCATTGTAATACATAATGAAATAATTATACAGCTCACCATAATGTAGAACTAGTGGGAGCCCTGAACTTGTTTTCCTGCAAGTAGGTGGTCCCATGAGGGGGTGATGGAAGACAGTGACAGACCATCAAGCTTAAATTCTCATAAGGAGCTTGTGACCTCGATCCCTTGTATGCAGTTCAAAATAGGGTTCACACTCCTATGAGAATCTGATTCTACCACTGATCTGACAGGAGGCAGAGCTCAGGCAGTAATGCTAGTGATGGGGAGCAGCTGTAAATACAGATGAAGCTTTGCTCGCTCAACTGCTGCTCACCTGGCCCAGTGTTGGGTACACGTATATTTACAATTGTTGCATCCTCTTGCTGAATTGACCCTTTTATCATCATATAATGACCTTCTTTGTCTCTTTTTATAGTTTTTATCTAGAAATCTATTTTGTCTGATATACGTATAGCTACTCCTGCCCTTTTTTTGTGTTTCCATTTGCATGGAATATCTTTATCCCTTTATTTTCAGTCTATGTGTATCTTTATAGGCTAAGTGTTTTTCTTGTAGGCAATATAATCTTGGGTCTTATTTTTAATCCATTCATTCAGCCAATCCGTGTCTTCTGAAAGAAGAGATTAATCCGTTAACTTTCAATGTTGTTATTGGTAAGTAAGGACTTACTCCTACCACTTTGTTATTTGTTTTCTGGGTGTTTCGTGGTCTTTTCTTCCCTTTTCCTTTCCTTCCTATCTTCCTTTTTGTGAAGGTGATTTTCTCTAGCAGTATGTTTTAACTTCTTGCTTTTTATTTTTTTGTCTGTTGTATGTTTTTTGACTTGGGGTTATCATGAGGCTTGCAAATAACATCTTATGACCCATTATTTTAAACTGATGACAACATAACCCTGATTGCCAAAACAAACAAATGGACTAACAAACAAAAAAAGAGATAACTAACAAACACTCTAACTTTATCTCTCCTGGTTTTGAACTGTTTCTTGTTTCTATTTATATCTTATTATATTGTCTAGGTCTTCAAATTTTTGTAATTATTATATTTGATGGGTTCATCTTTTAGTCTTTCTAATCGAGATATTAGTAGTTTACACACCACAGTTACAGAGTTATAATCTGTGTTTCTCTGTGTACCTACTATTACCGCTGAGTCTTGTACCTTCAGGTGATTTCTTATTGCTTCTTAATGTCCTCTTCTTTTAGACTGAAGAACTCTCTTTACCATCTTGTAGGACAGTTCTGGTGCTGATGAAACTCCTCAGCTTTTGCTTGTCTCAGAAAATCTTTATTTCTCCTTCATGTTTGAATGTTTGAAGGATATTTTTACTAGATTCCAGGATAAAGGGTTGTTTGTTTGTTTTCCTTCAGCACTTTAAATATGTCATCCACTCTTTCCTGATCTGTAAAGTTTCCACTGAGAAGTCTTCTGCCAGACATATTGGAGCACCTTTGTATGTTATTTATTTTCTCTTGCTGCTTTTAGAATCTGTTCTTTATCCTCAACCTTTGGGAGTTGGATTACTAAATGCCTTGTGATATTCTTATTTGGGTTAAACCTGCTTGGTGTTCTATAATCTTTTTGTACTTGAACATTGATATCTTTCTCTAGGTTTGGAAAGTTCTCCATTATTATTTGTTTGAATAAACTTTCTACCCCGATCTCTCTCTCTACTGCCTCTTTAAGGCCAATAATTCTTTGATTTTCCCTTTTTTGGCTATTTTCTAGATCCTGTAGGTGTGCTTCATTAAAAATTTCCTTTTTTATCCTCTGACTGTGTATATTTTCAAATAGCCTGTCTTCAAGCTCATTCTTTCTTCTGCTTGATCAATTCTGCTGTTGAGAGACTCTGATGCATTCTTTGTATGTCAATTGTATTTTTCAGCTTCAGAATTTCCATTTTCAATCTTTTTGTTAAATTCATCTCACAGGATTTTGAATTTCTTCTCTGTCTTGTCTTGAATTCCATTGAGCTTCCTCAAAACAGCTATTTTGAAGTCTCTGTCTGAAAGGTCACAGATTGGTCACAGTTACCTTATTTAGTTTGTTTGGTGAGGTCATGTTTCCTGGATGGTCTTGACGCTTGTGGATGTTCATCGATGTTTGGGCACTGAAGAGTTAGGTATTATTATAGTCTTCACAGTCTGGGCTTGTTTATATTCATCCTTCTTGGGTAGTTTTCCAGGTATTCAAAGGGAATTCAGTGTTGTGATCTAAATCTTTGGTTACTGCAATTGTATGTGCATTAGGGGTCACCCCTAGCCTAGTAATGCTGTGACTCTTACAGGTTCATAGAGGCATTGTGTTGTTGGTCTTGAGTAAGATATCAGAGAATTCCCTGGATTACCAGGCAGAGATTCTTGTTCTCTTCCCTTACTTTCCCTCAAACAAATGGAATCTCTCTCTCTGAGCTGAACTGCCTGGATCTGGGGGAGGGGTAACATAAGCACCCCTGTGGCCACCACCACTGGGACTATGCTGAGTCTTACCTGAAGCTAGCACAGTACTGGGTCTTGCCCAAGGTCTGCAGGTGCCATTGCCTGGCTGACACTAATGCTCACTCAAGGTCCAAGGGCTCTTCAGTAAGCAGATGGTGAATCCAGCCAGGCTTGTTTCCCTCCTTTCAGGGGTGCAACTTTTCCACTGGCCCATGGTAGGTCCAGAAATGCTGTCTGGGAGCCAAGGCCTGTAGTTGGAAACCTTAGGGATCGACTTGGGACTTTATTCTAGTTCAGCTACATTGGCACCCAAGCCCCAAGAAAAACTTCTTCCCATTCTTCTCCCTTCTTTCCTTATGTGGAAGGATTCTCTTCCCATGGACCCCACCACTCTAGGCCTGTGACAAGTATTGCCTGACTACTACTGATGTTCACTGAAGGCCCTAGGGCTCTTCAGTCAACTTGTGGTAAATGATTCCAGGCCTGGTTATGTCTCTTCATGGCAGCAGGGGGCTCTGGTGCAGGGCAGATGCAGAAATGTGCCACAGGAGTCTGTGGCCCACTATGGCCTATCCCACTGTGGCCGAGCTGGTGTCCTAGCTGCAAGACAAAGTTTCTTTTACTCTTCCCTCTCCTTTCCTCAAGCAGAAGAAATCTCTTCCCATGGCCCCACCACTGGGAATGCGCTGGGTCACACCTGAAGCCAGCATGGCCCTGGCTCTCACCCAAGGCCTGTGGTGAGTACTGCCTTGGTACCACTGATGTTTATTCAAGGTCCAGTGGCCCTTTAGTCAGGTGATGAATCCCACCAGGACTGGGTCCTTCCCTTCAAGGCAGTGGGATTCCTTCTGGCAGAGTATGTCTAAAAATATCCAGGAACTAGGGCCTGGATGGGGGCCTTAGAACTCTGCCTGGTGCCCTATTTTGCCTTAGGATACTTTGCCTAAGCTGGTATCCAAATTACAAGACAACTTGGATATCCTCTTTACTCTTTCCTCTCCTCAAGCTGAAGGAAGGAGTCTCTCCTGGACCTGTGAACTGCCCTGCCTTGGGATGGGGAAGGGGTGATGCAAACACTCCCCGCTTGGCCACCCTGGCTGGTGTCATGTGCACTCCAAGTCCACTGGCTCCTAGCCCAACACAGTGCCAAGACCTCCCTAGGAATTGCAGGCCTCGTGGCCTAGCTATCTTTCAAGTTTATATGGGAATCTAGGGTATTCAGCCCATGGTTGTGGGGCTAGCTGGAACTCAGGTTCTGACTGCTGGGATGGACACCTCCCCTCTAGCTAGGGCTGATCTAAATGTTCCCTTTGTGGGCACCAACTGAATTCCACCCCATGTTTCTTTCCACTGTGACAAGGCAGCACTGAGTTCCAATGCAAAGCCCACAGTCACTGCATTCTCTCTCCTCCAAGCACACACTCTCTCTATGCCATGTGGCTGCTGCTGATGGATGTGAGAAAGGTGGTGTTAGCAATTCAAGACTGTCTTTCCTACCCTCTTCACTGCCTCTTTCCTTGATGTGATGTTAAAACCAGGGACTGTAATCGCTCACCTGATTTTTGATTCTTATGAAGGTGCTTTCTTGTACAGACAGTTGTTCAATTTGGTGCTCCTGTTGGGGGAACTACTGCTGGAGTGTTCTATTTGGCCATCTTGTTCCACCCTTGAACCCAAATATATTTCTGATATTGTCTCATGATAAGTCCTGAGGCACCAATCATTAAAAAAAAATATCCTTTTGTTCTGTTTTTCAAATTGAAAAAATATCTACTGGTCTACTTTTAAGTTCATTGACTCTTAGGTCATTTTCAATCTACTCTTAATTCTATCCAGATCATTGTCTTAAGTACAGAATAAAATTCTAGACTGTGTATTCCTTTATGTGGTTTCTTCTTGTCAATTTGTTTCCATGACCCATGCTATACATGGTTCCAGTAATAATGGGGGGTATGTTTATTAATAAACATTTCTTTCAAATGTGACTATTTGTCTTTAATTATAATGATAAACCAATAATATAATAGCTATCCTATATTAGTAATGGTTAGTATCTCCTCTCATCTTCCAAACTATACTCTCCACATCCCCAATTCCCAGATATTATGAACCAAAAGAAAACGTTTTCTTTTATGACATATAAGTTAACATTCTTTTGAGGGAAAATTAAATCCAGTTTTATCATATTTTCTAATCCTAGATAGCAACTTCAATTACCTCAAGTTAAAGATCCACTTCTATTTTTAATTTAAAATTCATCACAGTAGATTGCTTCTATTTGTTATTGAAAATTATGAGTTATTTCAGGAACAGAAGAAATGGTTTTATATAAATTTGTTCCTATTAATAATTTCCCTCGCCGTACAACATACAAAAATTGAATATGATAAAACTTAAGACCTCAATGTATTCCCAAATTGACAAAAGTTGAAATATATCCTTCTGGGATTGCTAATAATTTTCTTCTGTAACAAACAAAAGCAAGCATAACAAAAATAACAGAATTTGTTTTAGTGGAACACTACATGCACATTGCTTAGGATTTATCTGATGACATGTTTAGTCACTGTTTTATAAGCACTAAATAGCCTGATCCAAGTCACTTCTGAGTTGAAGGTTGGCCATGGTCTATTTTTAAAATTTGAGATCATTGTATAAGAGCTCTGTTGGCATGCCAAATGAGGTTTTCCAGCCCATTTCCACTGTATCAACTAATATCTTTCAATCGACAAATTGCACTTTGGCGTGAACACAAGGATGGATGTCTGCCATTTTTTTGGTCCCTTGTAAAATAGCTATGAACATATGGAGCGTGTTGTTCATTTTTAGAGCTTGAGGATGGCAGGTTTAATTGTACTAAATATGCAAAGAATGGATGGCAAGTTGAAGACCAAATAGGCTGAGCAGGAGATGTACAAGGTCATTTAGCAAGAACTATTTATGCCACATTAGGATTTCCTGACATCTCATATTTCAATTTCATCCCACAGGTTATCTTTTCCTTCCTATTGTTAACTTTGCCTAATTAGACCCTGTTAGCAAGAAAAAAGAGATTATATATATTTTTTTTTCTTGAGGGCTTCAGATGTAGAAACAATGCAGGAGTAGCAGTAGAGAGCCTGATTTGGAATGAACATGTGGCATATTTTCAAATCTGAAAGCTATCCAAAAATGCAATGGGATGCCTTGGAAGTTGTTAAGTACTATATCATAGAAGTGTTCAGGATGACACTGTCCCACTTGATTAGGCTGTTATATATAAAAAAGAAGCAAATGATGACAACTGGACTAGATGTGTGCTGAGGTTTTCCCTAGGGCATCCTTTAAGTTACATCTGCTCTACACAAAATACTATTTTCATGAACTCTTAAAATAAATAGTTTTAATTTACTTTCTTTTTATTGTGGACTTCCCACAATATTCTTCTTAGGACCACTATATTTGTGAAATTTCCTAAAAATGGAGTCTGCAAGAAAATATTCAACACAACAAAATGCATTGGGTAGGTCTTTTAAAATGTTCTGCATTGTGATACTCTGTAGTAGCTGAATATTTTGCTAATTAAACTGTAAACAATAACAACCTTTACAATCTTCCCAGCATGTTTCAGCAGTTCCACCATGTTTCTCAGGGCCTAGGATGTTTTATACTAGTCTGTCATTCTTGGTGTGAGTGCCTTTTATGGTCAGGCTTTCTGCTTCAGTGTCACAAGACCACTGTTAATATTCCAGATATCTCATTCTTTCTCTACAATATCCAAAGCTGGAAGAGTGAAAAGGAGCAAGACAAAGCTCTTTCTCCAATGCTATGTCTTTCATTAGGAAATTAAAAATTTCCCGGAAACAAACCATGGGAGTTACCCTGGCATATCTAATTCGTGAGAAGTAGGTCATACTGGTCCTCTTAGACCAAAAACTGGCAAAAAGAAAAAAAAAAAAGATTAGCATGATTAGTTTAGACTATTGTTTCTCAACTAAGAGTGTTACTGCCCCCTAAAAGATATTCATAAACCCAACAGCATTTTTTAAAAATTTTTATCACGTCTGGAACATAATGTTGAACATGAGTTGTGAGGGGCCAAGATTAATACGTATGATGCTATGATCAGAAACTCCTGCTCAATGAAGACTTTGAAGCTTCCTAAGTCTCATGAAGATCACTAGTCTGGGCAAAACTGATACTTTTCCTTGGATCCAGGCACATTGCTGCTGAACAAAATTGGATTTATGATGATAAGAAAAAGAGAAGGCTGTGTGGTAGGCAAGCAATTATATTTGCCACAGTTTTTATACTTCCTCTCTATGACTCTTTCTTTTATTTTTGTACAACTCTGAAACCACAAAGGGAATGCATATTTAAATTTCTAAATACCTTGTGGAAGATATTATATATCATTTTGAGTTGCTATTGTTTTTCACAATGCTCCATATTTCTGTCTCAATAAATATGGGTTGATGATGCTGACAATGGTATGTGTGAGGAGTTGTTGATTAGCCTGAAGAGAAACATAAGTATATGGGTGATTGTAATTGTCAAAGCATACTCACATATTTGAAGTTGGCTGTACCCAAAAGCCTGAACTCTGATTTTCTTTTTTTACTTTTATATTAATGGAACTTGAATGCTTTTCAAAACTAAAATCCTGATCAAAAAATAAGACTAAAGGTAATATTGTTCACTTTTATTAAAAACCTTTATAAGACTAAAATTGAATTTTGATATAAAATGAATTTAAGGGAGATTTTAATAATGTGTGGAAATTGATACCAGATAAATTTTAAGGATACATGAAGCAGTGATAGGAAATATGTTTTAATATTCAGATAAGTACTTAATAAAAGCCAGGATATATAAACAATTTTTACGGGCAGTATAAAAGAACTCTTGTTAGGAAAGAATCATGAAAACCTGCTGAAATATTGAACTCATTTGTTAAGGTATTTTAATTATTTCTGATAATTGTCTATTTGGTAAAATTATATTAGCAGTCTAACTAAACCCAAGAAGAACCGTCATGTCGACTCCCTCACTTCCATGATTACTACTCCCTGTTGCATGGAATAAAAACACCTATGATTACTCATCTGAGCCCCATCCCAATTGTCTATGCTCCCAGACTATCCTGCCCCATGACCTACCTTGTGATACACTTAGTAGACAAATCTTCAATCAATGCATGATGAAAAACCTTCCTGATATTAATATATTTAATATTTTACCTAACTCTTTCAGTTTCCTGTATTTATGTAGTTTCATTAATTACATTTTGTAACTGTGCTCACCTAGCCTAGTTATGCATAATTAGTTGCTTAAGAAATGCTTTTTCAATATGATAGTAATAAATTACTTTTTCAAATAATAATAACTATTCTCAAGTAACCTGAAAAAGTTACTACCTAATAAAAAAAAAACTACTCCATCTTATATGTGGAATCAAGATTGCTTTAAAATAACTTGGAAGGAAGTAAGATTAAATCTATATAGATCTGATACTTATTTCTGCCAAGTTTTAATATGTATGCGCATTCACTTGCTCTTAAACTTTTATATTAGACAAGAAAAAATAATTTTTAAACTCAAGAAATTAGCCCAGAGTCAGAATATGAATATCATTGTCAACTGAATTTGCAACACAGTCTAAGAGTCATCTTTATTACTGGATTTATATTTGTCAAGAATAAAGGTAGAATTTTAGAAACATAATACTTAGCCTATGGCATTACATTCTTTATAGGGAATCATGTACTCCTCTATTCCCTGCAGTCGTTTTCACACAATTTTACTCTCTAATGTTAGCATAGAAAGCATGTATGTAAAATAATTTTATTTCATGTACAAACACAAAAAGAGGGTTGCCAAAAAAATAAGTTGGAAATGTTTATAAGTGCATTAAACAAAGGACAGTAGTTTTGCTGACAATGTAAATTTTTAGAAAATCAGATAAGACTCTGTAGAGTAAATTAACTCTAGATGTTTGTGACCTGAGGCTTCTTTAATTAAAGATGTGTTGATATATGGCTATCAAAAGATTTATGTTGCACTTTAATTCTTATATGTGAAAATGTACTTGCCAGATAAATTCATTTTTGAAATGCTGAAGTTTATGGAAAGAGTCCTTTCAGTTGACAAAATACTTCAGAAGGGCATGGAAAATTTCACCAAGAAAGTTGAGGCAACACTGAAGCTGGTCAAAGGGAATGACTAACAACTACATTTTCTCTAAGAATTATGGCTCTTTTATCTATTAGCTTAACTGATTTAACCATAACCCTTTCCCCCTCCAAATTTTTTTCTAGGAGAAATAGCCTCAAATTCATGTTCATTGGAGTCACTTTCAAATACTATATTATCTTTCCCAGAATTACTGTGTGAATACATGATTCTCTCCTGTACTCAAAGTCAAAAAAATTCATTGAATGATTTATTTATTAAACGTACTTAGTAAATTTTTTTTGTACATTTACTCTGTGATAGGTACAGGACATATAATATTGAACAAAACAAACACTGTTCTTACCCTAGTGGAGTTTGTGTATTTTATATCTAAGAAAAGTTAGTATCAATTGATAAGGTGAATATATCTGAATACTGAAAAGATCACGTTCCTTGAAAAATAGAGAATTAATTGTAAAGAAGCCAAAGTGGATAAAGTGAAGTAAATTATGAAGATATTTTAATAATTTAAAATATCTGAAGATGGAGAAACAAGAAAGTGAAGTCTGGATGATAAATCCTACAGGATTTCATGATGCCTTTAATCTCCAAGGAAGGGAAGAGGAGGTGTTAAATATGATGGTACATTTCAGAGACAACTGGTGGTCTCTCCAATTACCATTTTTCCTCTTTTCAACAGTAATAAAAATGTTGGTGAACATCATGGAATCCTTCCAATTTCTTGCTCCACGTAAGCCCAACTAGAAGACTCAAGTTATCATCAGACTCTCCTTCATTCATTTATGGAGTCATTTTATGTGTCAGGCATTTTATAAAGGCACAAGAGAAGATATAAGGCAGGAATAAAAGCTTCTCAGAAAAATACCTCATATGTGCATGGAATCCCTCTTGCTGCTTCCCTGCACTTGGATTGTATCTCAATTTCTCCATGATAATGTCCATGACTATGTCCTAGAATATAGACATTTGGTATCCCAGCTAAAGACTACATTTTCCAGCCTCATTTGAAGCTGTATTTAGCTATGTGACTAGGTTTTGACAAAAAAAAAAAAAATTGAACATCTGATGTATACACGTTGGGTCATGTTTGTAAAACAGAAGAGTATGTCCTGTAAACGTTCCTTCCTCCTTTCCCTTACTAATCAGTGGAATGGGGATGTGATGGTGGGAGCTGGAGTAGCCATTCTGCATCCAGAGAAGGAAGTCCTGAGGATGGCAGAGTAATGGGCCATTGGTACCCTGAAACCATCATATCATCTGTGGACTGCTGAGAAGGATAAACGTCTACTTTGAAGACACTTATTATATCTGTTTGAAGGCATTTATTATATCTGTTTCTTTTTAACAGTAACTTTGTACAATTAGCTTTCTTTTTATTTTGGTTTCCTGGCTAAGTGTTTCAGAATACACTTTTCTGTACCTATTTTCTTCAGTGCTAATGCCTCTCTTGAGAGGAACTTAATTTTGTCCAGCCTCTAAATAAAAATTGTGCATTTCAAAAATTTTAACATATGGTTGCAGACTTTGAAGGGAAGAACACAAGGACTTTAGGAAGATTACAATTCATTAGTTGATGAACTGGATTATGCAAAGTAAAAGGACAGGATAGTAGACCCCAACCCCTCTGGAAAAAAAAAATATCAGAAACCTTGCTGGTTATCCACCAATGCAGTATAGATTTTTATGAGAGGAGGTGTAGCATTTGCACAGTATATTAAGGGACAAACTTTTATCAATAAAATTTTTGTGACAATTTTTTCAAGATAGTCTTGAAAAAGGTTATGACCTGCTGTCATAATGCCAGTGGGTATTAAGGCAGCAATAAAATCTATGAATACTTTGAGAAGCATACTAATCTCATTTTTTCTTGCAGTTACTCAAGATTTCAAGCAGCTATAGCTACTAAAAGAATGATCCCTCAGCTGTGACAATGCTTACAATTTTTTCATCTCAATTAAATTATAAATAATTTGTGGGTAAAGGTTATACCATATGTTTACATATATATATACATGTTTCTGGAATTCAGAATATAGTGTTAATCTCAAAATAGATATCCAATACCTTCTCTTAAAAATTAACTTGATGCATTCACAGGGATATTGAAATGTCATCTAGTCAATATCTTGTCAACCACCAGTAATTTAGTATAGTTGACCAATACACTGTTGGTGAAAAGCATGGAATCCCTCATATTTCTTGCCCACTTAAGCCCACCTTAAGAATCACATTGTCATCAAACTCTCCTTCATGCTTTTATGGAGTCCTTTTATGTGTCAGTTATTTTATAAAGGCACAGGAGAAGATATAAGGCAGGAATAAAAGATTCTTAGCAAAGTACCTCATATCAGCATGGAGTTCCTCTTGCTGCTTTCCTTGCACTCTTGGCTTGCATCTCAATTTCTCCATGATTATATCCTGACCCATGATGTCAATTTCTAAGCAGTTTGTTTTGACCTCCAAATATTTATCAAAACATCCTCTAAGCAGTATTCTAAGTGACACACTGTCAGAATTTATGCAAATTACATTCACTAGATACCTTTACTTGCTTCACTTTTATTTGGACATATTCTCAATGTTATGTACATGTGAAATAATTTACTAATAGTACGTATGTTGGTTGGACCTTTTTTTTTTCCCCTCATTTGGCTTCCCTCTACTTTGCCTCACTTTTTAATTTGACTTCTGTGAAGTTAAGCAATCCAGAATTTACACTCTTGCTCAGGCTTCCCACATTTACTACAAAGTTACCATTTGGTTGTAACACAAAATCCAATCCTATTCTTTCTCCTTCCTTCTTTTGTTCCTTCATTTCTTTCTTCCCTTCTTTTCTCTCTCTCCCTCTCTCTGTGTGTGTCTCAGATTCTATAGAATTGATGATATTCTTTCCAAGCTAATAAAAAAGGCCTGTATAACATTATTAGCAAATTAGAGTATGCAAATTAAATCCATAAGGAGATACCACTACGCACTTACTAGAATGTTTAAAATGAAAAGACAGACAATATCACGTACTGACAATGGCATGGAACAACTGGGAACTCATATACAGCAAATATGAATACAAACTGATAAAGCCACTCTGTAAAACAATTTGGCAGTTTATTTCTTACAGTTCTGGGGGGTGTAAGTCTGAGGTCAAGGCATTGGCAGATCTGGTGTCCAGTAAGAATGCTCTTCCTGGTTTGCATATGGCTACCTTCTCCCTGTATCCTCACATGGTGGAGAGGAGAGAGAGAAAAAGAGGGAGCAAGCTCTCGTGTGTCTCTTCTTATAAGGGCACTAATCCCATTAGGAGGGTTCTACCCTCATGATGTACTTACTTCCCAAAGGTCTCACCTCCAAATACCATCACATTAGGGATTAGGCTTCAATTTTACTATTATTATTATTTATTCTTTTGCAGGGGGACACAATTCAGTCCATAGCACTCCACCCCAGTCCTCTGTAATTCCTGTCCTTCTCAGATATAAAAAACACACACATTTCGTCCCCAAATTTCACAAATCTTAACTCGTTCCAGCATCAATCCTAATGTCTAAAGTCCAAAGTCTCATTTAAATATCATCTAAATCAGATATGGGTGAGACTCAAAGTAAAAGTCATTCTGAGTCAGAACTCCCCTCCACCTGTGAACCTGTGAAACAAAACAAGTTATGTGCTTCCGAAACGTAATGATGGGAGAGGCATAGGACAGACATTCCCACTACAAAGGGGAAAAAATAGGAGACTAGGGAAGTTAATAGGCCCCAAGCAAATCCAAAACATAGTACATCAGATCCCATGAGACTTTAAGGCTCAAGAACAATCCTCTTTGTCTCTCAATGCTTGGTCTTATGGGCCCACTGGTGTGGCATGGCTATGTCACTCCCTTTGCTCTGTAGGGCAGCCCTGCAGTAGCTCTTTCTATGTCCCAACCCTGCCCTCTTGACACCCAGGTGGTGTCCCTGATGATCTCCAAGTCACCTTTGAAGTCCTTTTTACATTTTCTTCAATGATAGCATACATTTACAGTTTTCCTTCATTTGGTCTCACTTTCTCTGTTTCCTTTAGTCCCATCTGGTAGTTTTTCTGGTGGCTTATTTCCTCTCTATCCTTGGCTTCTGGTGAGATGGCCAATTAAGTCTATGGGTCACACCCACACTAACCTCCTTAACAAAGGTTGGTTTGCCATACCCTTAGTTTTCTCTTCTGAATATACTCTCTCACTTTTTTGTAATATAGACAGGCAGATTTAGAATCTTTAAGTTCTAATTTATTTTTGCCTAACAATTCCATCTTCAATTCATTTCTTCCCTTTTTCATTTTACTATATGCAGTCAGAAAAAACCAAGGTGCCGCTTCAACACTTTAATTAGATATCTCCTCAATTAAACACCCAACTTCATCCCTCACAAGTTGTACCTACTACAGAACACTAGAACACAAACACAATTTAGCCAAGTTCTTTGCTACTTTACAACATTGCCTCTCCTCAAGTTTTTAATAACATGTTCTTCATTTCTGTTTGAGACTTCATCAGAATGGCTTCTGACAACCATATTTCAATCAACTTTCTATACATAATTATTTATGTATTCTCTAAGATGACAGAGGCTTTCTCTACAGCTTTCTTCTTTTTACCTTGAGCCAATACCGGAATTGCTTTTAAAATTCCCTTCACAGGAATATTGGCTTTTTCTAGCACATACCTCAAAACTTTTCTAACCGATACCCATTACCCAATTCCAAAGCTGCTTCCACAGTTTTACATATTTATTACACTATTTCTCCACCTCTCTGTACCAATTACTGTCTTAATCAGCTCAGGCTGCTGTCACAAAATACTATATACTGGGTGGCTTAAACAATAAACATTTATTTCTCACAGTTCTGGAGGCTGTATGTCTGAGATTAAGGTGCTCATAGATACGGAGACTGGGTTAGGGCCCTCTTTCTGGTTTGCAGGCAACTGTCTTCTTATTTTATCTTTCCATGGCATAGGACAAAGGGACACAGAGAGAGAAAGAGAGAGAGAGAGAGAGGGCAAGGAGACAAACTTTCTTATATCTCTTATCATAAGGGACTCCACTTCATGACGTAATTACCTCCTAAATGCTCCATCTGGAAATACTATCACATTGAAGGTTAGGGCGTCAACATATGAATTCTGTGGGAACACAAACATTCAGCCCGAAGCAAATCTCAAAGGTATCATGTGCAAGCCTGAGGCTACACACCATATGATTCTATTTGTATGACCTTCTGGAAAAGGGAAAAGTATACAGGCAAAAATCAAATCACTGGCTGCCTGGACTAAGCTTGGGTAGGAGGTTGACTGTAAAGGGATAGAAGAAACTTGTTTGAATTGATGACAGTGTTCTGTTTCTTTACTATGATAGTGATTACATTTGTCCAAACTCATCACACTGTAAAATTTAAAAGGGTGAACTTTACTGTATATAAATGATTCTTCAATTTTGTACTTAAAAATTGGAATCAGAGGTATTTTTTACTTAAAAATAAAAACACACAGAAGCCATATTTGCTATGAGTTCCAGTTCTGTGAAGACAGGGCTATGAAAATTCGAAAGTAAAAGGGAGAAAAAGACTGCTCTTTGCTTAATAATAATTTTAGGCAAATTTTTGAAAGAGCCACAGTTCCGCAGTTATCTTTGTCTGTTTCTCTCTATATCCTGCTATTCCTCTCTCTATGTTACAGAAAACTTGAAATAGCTTTGATGTATTCAGATCCAAAATGTGCCTTCTATATATGTCTACATTTTTTTGTTCTACAATGCTTCATTCTTCACAATTGTCTTTCTCACCCTCTCCTCAAATGCAAATTTCTATCTGTCAGTATACTTTTTCTTAGTAATGTATTTTGGAAAACTGATTTTGCTGGGGTAATATAAATATATGAAGGCATGGAACACGGAAAGGTACGTTGAGAAAGAGAATATACCTCCCTTAACTACTGTATCACCAAAGCAAGCCAAAGTTTTTGATTATATATGTAAAACATTGAATTATAAAGAATGAATTTTATATATATGATCTAATGTTTCCTATATGTTACACTTAATATATATTAAAATTGGCAGTGAAGGAGTAATCCCAGCTCTTTGGGAGCCCGAGGCAGGTGGATCACGAGGTCAGGAGATCGATACCATCCTGGCCAACATGGTGAAACCCCGTCTCTACTAAAAATACAAAAATTAGCCAGGCGTGGTGGCGGGCACCTGTAATCCCAGCTACTTGGGAGGCTGAGGCAGGAGAATTGCTGGAACCTGGGAGGCGGAGCTTGCAGTGAGCTGAGATTGTGCCACTGCACTCCAGCCTGGCGACAGAGCAAGACTCCGTCTGAAAAAAAAAAAAGGAAAGAAAAGCATGAGCAGAATACCATAGCATAACAAGAGACTCCAGCTGTTGAGTCAGCTCTTCTAATTTGCTTTTTTTTAGCCCCTTCTTTCCCTTTCCTTTAAAGTACCCAGAACCTCTTAAAGTTCCAAGTTGCATTTTTCTGACAGCCAACGTGCCCATTGCTTTCAGTTGCCTCCACACAAGCATTTTCTCCTTCCTTGCTAATGAAGGCAGATTCCATTCACTCCTTGGGTATTCAGGTACTTAAGAGGAAGCTGAACCTACTCGGCCTCTGGCCAGGAAACAGGTGTTGCCATTTTATTTCCCTTGCCAGTAAATGACTTAATGGAGGAGAAGATGGATTGAGACTTCTGGGAAAATTTTTTCTCACACTTTAAAAGGAATGTGAGTAAGGCATCATAGATTGAGTTGTGCCCCCAGCCCCAAAATCGTACATTGAAGCCCTAATCTCCAGCATGACTATATTTGGAGATATGATCTATAAAGAAGTAATAAGGAGTAAATGAGGTCATAGGGGTAGGGCCCCAATCCAATAGAACTGATGTCCTTATAGGAAGAGGAAGCAACACCAGGGCTAGCTCTCTTGCCATGCTAACACAGAGGAAAGACCCAGTGAGAACACAATAAGAAGGTGACTGTCTACAAGTCAGGAAAGAGAGGCCTTAACAGAAACCAAATTTGCTGCTACTTTAATCATGGACTTCTATCCTTCAGGATTGGGGGAAATTAAATGTTTTAGCCACCCAGACTGGAGTATTTTGTTATGGTAGCCTGAGCAGACTAATACATAAGGGAAACACCCACTATCCCTTTCTCAGCTTTGGACTTGGCTATGTGAAAATGTGACGATTGACGCTTCTGTGCTTCTTTTGAGTTCATGAAGGAAAAAGCCTGAGAGCAAAAGCCAACAGGCTGAGAATATTAATTAGAGAAAAAGAATTTCTGTCCTTCATGATTTTACTAAACTCTTATATAAACCAAACCTCCATCTCCTCACTCACCCTGTCACTTCTTAGTCAGATTCCTACCTGCTCTTATCCCACCAACAGAGCTCCAATGATGGTGGCAGTGATGCCTCCAACCACGGGTGGTTGTGGGAGTACAAAAGCCACAGGAACTTCTACATATACAAAGGCCTTTGGTCAAGAACTGCCTGAAAAATATTTTTTACCATTGGAAAACTCAATATTTAGCGGGAATCCTTCATGCTACATTGTTTGAAATAAGAGTCTTATCTTCTGTAGTACCTGTCCTTAATAGACTATAAATATCCATCTCAAAAATTTTTTATCTATTTTGAAATTTCATCTGGAAAAAATATTTAGGTTATCACTGTTTTTCATATATCCCAAGCCCTCTGGCAAGCCAGCTGGCTCTGGCCCAGCTTGTGACTTTTTTTTGGCAGAAAGGTTTTGTTCTTAAACATCTCAATGGGAGCTAAGCTACCAGAGCTCAATTCTGTTTTATGACCTTCTGTGACATCACTGAAGGCCACCTGTCCACTTCACAGTCCTTGTCGCTCAGTTCAGGATGTGAGCTGCTTCTTTCAGTGTAGGGTTATAAACAGTGGAGTACCCAGGAGCTACTGCAAACTTCTATTTGCCTCACATATGTGTCGTTTATTTTACTGCTTGGTGGCCTAGGCTCGTACCAATATAGGTTTGATTTTTTCCCAAGTCTTGTGAAAAGCCTTTCTTATATATTTTAATTCTAACAATTATCCTAAGGTAGGTATTGGCATCCCTTTTTCACAGAGACACAAGGTAACTTGCCTGGGGTGATCAAAATAGTAAGTGGAAAATAGAGCATATAAACTCAGATTATCCTGACACCAAAGCCCACGTTGTTAAAATACTTCAATCTACTGCCATTGTAAAATGTTAAGATGGAAGGAATGCTCAGATAGTATTAAATTTCTTCACTCTAGCATGAGGTAAAAAGTAAATTAAAGATAAAAGAGGAAGGAGTGATGAAGAGACACAAGCCTAAGGGATCAGAGTGAAGACCAGGATGATGCAATCTTTGGTGATTCTAAGTGCTGGATTTTGTATAGGTTCAGACATGAAGTGTGCTGGAACTTTAGAGATGTATTTGTTTACATATGTCCTGCATACCTGTATCTGCTCCTCATATAATTGCACCCTCTATCTCTCTCCAAAGTCCATGTGATTCTGGTAGGCCTGCACATTACATGACTCCATTCCCTTGACTAAGTGGTTTGTCTAGGAGTGGCTGTTACCTAAGTCAGGACAATCAAAGATCAATAAATCACTGAAGATGGTGAGAGGTCAGGCTTCTCCCTTCTCTAAGAGCATTAAGCAGAGATGACTTAAGACAGGATCAGTAGATAGCCATGTTTCCAACTACTTGGAATGAGCCAATATAGTAGTAGAGATTGGATGGGGAAGATGATAGAGGCAGAGATTGAGAAATAATCACAGTGGTGATTGAGTTCCTGGTTCCAATATCTGAAGTCCTGTTTTCTGTGGGAAGCCTTTTGATCACATGAAATGTTTCAGCACCCCTCCATTAAGTCTTGTTCACCCTTTTGGCATCTCTATCACTTGCAACCAAAAGAATACTGACAATAGTAGACTTCGGGGGCTGAGTAATGCAACTAACACTCTCACTTCAAACAGTAGTTTCCTAAGTGATATGGTAAATTTGCAAACTGGGCAAGTGACATATCTCAATTACGTGATATAATGTGTGTTTGCAAGCCTTCTGGAGCTTGTAGGCTGTGGGGCAATATTTGAAGTCAGCTATAATAGGGTTGGCAGCATCTTAGTTTCTGAGATTTACAGAATGATTCATTTGAGTTGAAACAGAAGTCTAGTGTCCTCAGAGCAAGACCACAGCTGAACGTGTTTGGAATTCAAGTAAGAGCTCTAGGGGTAGACAATACAAAATAAACAAAAATGTAGCCATATGATCTGGTGATCTGGGTAGATGCTCACAGAGAGTTAGGGTTAAGGATGCATTTCAAGGACCCCCCAGGTATCAAAGGGCTTATCTTAGGGGCAATATACATTACAGGCTTGTGACTGAAGAATTATACTTCATGTCTTCATTTATCGAGCTTTAATTGCATACCTACTGTGACTATGACCCAGGTTTGGTTCTAATTGGCATAGGATCTAGTCTGAGATGGATATATAGAATTGTACAATGTGGCAGGATTGCATGGGTAGAGGATTTTAAGGGGTAGACTCTCAAGAGCTAATAAGTTTTACTTGTTTGTGGAAAACACACACACACACACGCACACACACACAACCATTATCTGAAAGTTCTTCATACTACTCCAGTTCTAGTCTCTCCAACGATATCAAAACTCATATATCCAAATGCACATTTGATATCATCACTTGGAAATCTGAGAGTTATCTCTAATTTAGCATGGCCAAATAAAACAGTTTCTCTGCTAGTCTTCCCTGGCTTAGTAAATTGCTACATCCTCCACCCACTGAGTTGCTCGTCTTCAAAGGAGTAAGTGACTTGATAAATTTTTATGGTATAAATATGATTACTGTGATAAATCTAATAGTTTATCAATGAAACCCTTGAATTTTATTTTAATAAAACTTACATTTCTGAGCATTGTAGCTCTCACCCTATTAGAGGATACAGCTTTCGGGGCTGATGGACTCATTTTTCCAGTTATAATCCAAGATTAGTAGATATATGGCATCCCTAAAGTTTCCTCCTTGCTACCATAAGTGGGAAAGGTTTATAGCACAAATGTTGGATGAATACCAATAAAATATTTGTGGCAATGGATATTGCTTTGTCATATATCCTTTATACTATGTTTCTTGAAAATATCTCCTGGATAAATCCTGTCATGGTAAAAGTAGAATTCACTTTATATCTTTTCATTCTTTAGCCTAGTGAAATGGGGAGTAAGGGAAAAGGTGAGAACGATTAAGAAGAGAAATAGAATGACTTAGTAAATGGGTCAGGCCAATTAAAGTTTAGCACTCCACAAAATAATGAGTGCGTGGGACTAATGAAAAGAATTTTTAAGGTCACTTAGGTCTTTAAATATGTAATTTACTATTTGAAAATCTTCCTTTGAAATGAACAGTGACTTTGAAGAAGTTGCAAATTCACTTTACAGTAAGTCAGAGATCAGGTACAACACCTGCTGGTAAAAGTGGAACACTATAATTTGCCTATTTCATCCTCTGTGATAACAGTAAATCCATCAATCTGTGATTCAAAACTCATACATGATATGGTTCTCTCTCTTTGTATTTTATAAAAGATTTTAAATGTTTAGATATTCTAGTATCTTTAAAGTACTATATGAGATGTAGAGAGAACATTGTATAATGGTGAGTTTTATGAAATATCGATTTTTTACTACTCTTTTTCATCCCAGAGTCCTGGTTTCCTGTTACAGTAACTGTTCAACTTAGCGGCATCCCAGATAATCTGGGAGGGAGAAAAGCACCAGCCTATTTCCAAGACCTGAGTTAAATATATGGGCCTTTCCTCTCAAATGTGTGACAATGAAAAACATGATTCTTTTCTGCATTAATTTCTCTGCCTATAAAATAAATATTCCATGTAGCTCATGTAGTAAGAGATCTCTGAGACATTGAGCTCTTTCAGACAAGTTTTGTAAAAATGCAATAGAATTATGATTCCTGGATCTCATTCTTGCTAAGAATGAAAATAAAACTTTCGTAAGCACTTCAGAACAGTAGAAGAAATAACAGTAAACTCCCCAACAGAGAGACTGCACTTGTCTTTCTAAATGTTAGAATCAAATAATTTATATAGGCATACATAAGTCCTATGCCAAATACAGAACTAAGGTCCAGCATGGATAAAATCTGAGACACATTTCATGATTGGCTCTACTACTTTCCCTCACAGAAATCAATGACTAAAACTTGGAGACGTGTAGAGAACACTCCACATAATGACAGCAGAATGCTCTTTATTCAAGCATCCAGCTGAAACTACCTTGCAAAAATCATAACTGATAAAATTATTACAGTGAAAGAGATCTGACCTAACTAACTCCATATCTTTTTTCTAACCTCCAAGCTGTCCTTGTTCTTTCCTAGGCATAGGCCAAACTAACTTTGGGAGGAACTTAGCTTACAGTGTAGCTTTGAAACAAAGCTGATAACAGCTCTTTCTCAAACCAAACCCCCTTTCTACCTGGGGACTAGACTGCCTTTGCAGGACTAAGAAATTAGCCACAAGATTAGAAATTGTGCTTTAGGAGTCATGCAACTGGAGGCTGCAAGATTCTAAACCTCTCCAAGTTGTTCCTGGAGATAGCATCATTATTGTAAAACTTAAGATACGTGCTTGAGATATTTTGCAGACTTTGTACTCAATAGATCAGTTGGCACCACCCAGATTGATAAACTGGCTCATTTGGTCTTGTGGCTCCCATGCGGGAACTGGCTCAGCACAAGAGCACAGCTTCAACACTCTATGATTTCATCTCTGACCCCACCAAGCAGAACTCCTGATTCACTGGCCACCAAATTATCCTTAAAACTCCAATCCCTGAATTCTTGGGGAGACTGATGTGAGGAATAATAAAATTCTAGCTTCCTGCACAGCTGGCTCTGCATAATGACTCTTTCTCTATTGCAATTCTCCTGTCTTGATAAATTGGCTCTGTCTAGGCAGTGCGCAAGGTGAAATATGTTGGGTGGTTTACACTGCTATGGACAGAATTGTGTCCCTCCCAGATTCACGTTTTGAAGATCTGGGTAAGGGATGGAGGCTAGAAAAGTTTTGAGGTGCATGGTCGAAAAAGCCAATAGTGCCATAAAGGAACAGGTAATTCTGGCAAGGACTCAGAAAGAAAAGAAAATTGCTGTGGAGAAAGCTCCTATCCTCTTAGAGAATATGTTAATATTCATGAACAAAATATTGGTAGATGTCTTAGTTCATTTGTGCTGCTGTAGCAAAATGCCTGAGACTGTCTAATTTATAAAAAACAATTTTTTGTTCCTCACTGTTCTAGAGGCTAAGAAGTCCAATCTCAGGTTTATTCCAAATGTATTGCAAGTATTGCAGATGGCTGCCTTCTTCCTATAACCTTAAGTGGCAGAGAGAGAGAGATATCTAGAGACAGAAAGAAAAAAAGAGAAAGCACGCTCTTTGTGGTTTCTCTTCTTATAAGGGCACTAATTACATGATGAGTACCCCACACTCATGATCTCATGAAGCCTAATGACCTTCTGGAGACCACGTCTCAATGGGAGTTAGGTCCTCAACATATGAATTTTGGGGAGACACAATTAAGCCCATGTGGAAACACATGTCTGTTGTTTAAGCCACTTGGTCTATGGTATTTTGTTATTACAGCCTGAACTGACTAATAAACATGCATAGACCATTCCACAAAGACAGAGTTTATAACAGGCCGTAAAACAAACCTTAACAGGTTTAAAAGAACTAAAATCATATAGAGTACATTCTGTAACCATAATGGAATCAAATGAGAAATCAATGGGAGAAAGACAACAGAAAACTGAAAAACAGTAGAGAAATCACTTAAGCAAAAAGCTGTTTCTATGAAAAAAGTCAATAGAATTACATTTTCAACAACTTAAAGAAATGAAGCAGTTCTTCAAAAACCACAAATTACCAAAGCTCAACAAGGATGAAAGAGACCATGTTGATAGCTATTTAACTATTAAAGAGGTTTAATTCATTATTTAAAATCTCCCTTTTATCTGGGCATGGTGACACACACCTGTAGTCCCAGCTACTTGAGAGGCTGAAGTGAGAGAACTGCTTGAGCACGGTATCTCAAGGTTGCAGCGAGCTATGATTGTGCCATTTCACCCCAGCCTGGGGGACAGAGAAAAGTTGTCTCTCATCAAAAAAAAAAAAAAAAGAAGAAAAAAAAAGAAAGAAAAGAAAAAAGAAGTTTCATTAAAAAGTTGTCCAGGCACAAGTGATTTCACTGGGGAATTCTACTAAACATTTTAACAACTAGGTAAGAACAAGTTTATTCAAACTATTCCAGAAAATCTCTTCTTTTAGAAGAGTAGAGAATGCTTTTTAACTCATTTATTGAGGTCAGCATTACCCTAATACAAAATTAGAAAAATATAGTTAAAAAAATAAAGACCAATATCTCTTATAAATGCAAAGATCTTTAACCCAGTATTAAAAAAATTAATTAAGCAAGCTATAACAAAGTTATATACTACGACCAGGTGGGATTTCTTCCATATATATAAAGCTGTTTCAACATTTGAAAGTCAAACACTATAACCGACTATATCAACAAGCGAAAAAATAAAAACATGATTATATCAATTGACACAGAAAAAATATTTGACAAATTCCAACACTCACTTATGATAAAAGCACTCAGCAAGTTAGGAATGGAGAGAAATTAACTTAACTTGATAAAGGGCATATAAGAAAACATACAGATAACACCACACTTTGATGGTGCAAGACTGAATGCTTTCTCCATAAGTTCAGGAAAAAGGCCAGGATGTCTACTCTGCTACTATTATTCAATGTAGTACTGGAATTTCTAGCCACTGCAATGAGCAAAAAAAGAGGTAAAAACATAGAGAGTGGGCCAGGCACGATAGGTCAAGCCTGTAATCCCACCACTTTGGGAGGCTGAGGAGGGACGACTGCTTGAGCCAAGGAGTTTAAGACCAGCCTAAGCAACTTAGTGAGTCTTCCATGTCTAAAGGAAAATATTAAAAATATTCAGCTGTGTGTGGTGGTGTGTGCCTATAGTTCCAGCTACTCGGAGGCTGAGGTGGGAGTATCACTTGAGCCTGGAAGATCAAGGGTACAGTGAGCCATGATTGCACCACCGCACTCCAGCCTGGGCAACAGAGTGTGACACTGTCTCAAAAAAAAAAAAAAAAAAAAAAAGAAAAGCCATACAGAGTGTAAAGGAAGAAATAAAACTCTTTCTGGTTGCAGATGACATGACTGTCTTCACAAAAAACCTCAAGGGATATACAAAACACAAAAACAAAAATAAACCCCTAAAATGAATAAGTGAGTTCATCAAAGTGGTAGGATACACGATCAACACATAAAAATCAATTGCATATTTACATACTAACAATAAACATGTATAAACCAAAATTAGAAACTCAGTACCACATATAATTGCTCCAGGTAAAATTGAATACTTACACATACACTCAACAATACATGTACAGGATCTAGGTGCTGCAAATTATAAAATGTTGATAATAGAAATCAAAGAAAATCTAAATAAATGGAAATATACTCTGTTCATAAACAGGTAACTAGGAAGACTCAACATGGTAAATATGTTAATTTTCCCCAATTTAAGCTATAGGATTAATGCAATTTCCTACTGAAAACAAAGTTTTCTGTAGACATAGACAAGCATTTTCTAAAATTCATATGGAAAGACAGACTCTGCAATAGTCAAAAAAATCTTGACAAAAAAAAAGAATAAAATGGGAGGAATGATCTATGTGATATTAAGCCTTACTTTGTAGTAAAGTAAACCAGACAGTGTAGTATTGAAGGGACTATAGATGTATAAATCAATGAAACAGAATAGAGAATCCAGAAATAGATCCACACAGATGTGCCTAAGTGATTTTTGACAAAAGTTTAAAAGTAATTCAGTGGAGTAAGTCTATATCCCTTTCTCCAAAGAATGCTGGAACAAGTAAGCATCCACAGGCAAAACACTGAACATTGACTCAAACCTAATATCAATTCAAAATGAATTACAGACTGACATACATGTAAATATACTTAAATTTAGAACATAAAAACATAAAACTTTTAGAAAAATAGCACAGGAGTTGCCTATCAGCTTAAGGAGATTTTGGGCTGAGACGATGGGGTTTTCTAGATATACAATCATGTCATCTGCAAACAGGGACAATTTAACTTCCTCTTTTCCTAATTGAATACCCTTTATTTCCTTCTCCTGCCTGATTGCCCTGGCCAGAACTTCCAACACTATGTTGAATAGGAGTGGTGAGAGAGGGCATCCCTGTCTTGTGCCAGTTTTCAAAGGGAATGCTTCCAGTTTTTGCCCATTCAGTATGATATTGGCTGTGGGTTTGTCATAGATAGCTCTTATTATTTTGAGATATGTCCCATCAATACCTAATTTATTGAGAGTTCTTAGCATGAAGGGTTGTTGAATTTTGTCAAAGGCCTTTTCTGCATCTATTGAGAAAATCATGTGGTTTTTGTCTTTGGTTCTGTTTATATGCTGGATTACGTTTATTGATTTGTGTATGTTGAACCACCCTTGCATCCCAGGGATGAAGCCCACTTGATCATGGTGGATAAGCTTTTTGGTGTGCTGCTGGATTCTGTTTGCCAGTATTTTATTGAGGATTTTTGCATCGATGTTCATCAGGGATATTGGTCTAAAATTCTCTTTTTTTGTTGTGTCTCTGCCAGGCTTTGGTATCAGGATGATGCTGGCCTCATAAAATGAGTTAGGGAGGATTCCCTCTTTTTCTATTGATTAGAATAGTTTCAGAAGGAATGGTACCAGCTCCTCCTTGTACCTCTGGTAAAATTCGGCTGTGAATTCGGCTGTGAATCCATCTGGTCCTGGACTTTTTTTGGTTGGTAAGCTATTAATTATTGCCTCAATTTCAGATCCTGTTATTGGTCTATTCAGAGATTCAATTTCTTCCTGGTTTAGTCTCAGGAGGGGGTATGTGTCGAGGAATTTATCCATTTTGTCTAGATTCTCTCGTTTATTTGCGTAGAGGTGTTTATAGTATTCTTTGATGGTAGTTTGTATTTCTGTGGGATCAGTGGTGATATCCCCTTTATCATTTTTTATTGCATCTATTTGATTCTTCTCTCTTTTCTTATTAGTCTTGCTAGCGGTCTATCAATTTTGTTGATCTTTTCAAAAAACCAGTTCCTGGATTCATTGATTTTTTGAAGGGTTTTTTGTGTCTCTATTTCCTTCACTTCTGCTCTTTTCTTAGTTATTTCTTGCCTTCTGCTAGCTTTTGAATGTGTTTGTTCTTGCTTCTCCAGTTCTTTTAATTGTGATGTTAGGGTGTCAATTTCAGATCTTTCCTGCTTTCTCTTGTGGGCATTTAGTGCTATAAATTTCCCTCTACACACTGCTTTGAATGTGTCTCCTACAGATTCTGGTATGTTGTGTCTTTGTTCTCGCTGGTTTCAAAGAACATCTTTATTTCTGCCTTCATTTCGTTATGTACCCAGTAGTTATCCAGGAACAGGTTGTTCAGTTTCCATGTAGATGAGTGGTTTTGAGTGAGTTTCTTAATCGTGAGTTCCAGTTTGATTGCACTGTGGTCTGAGAGACAGTTTCTTATAATTTCTGTTCTCTTACATTTGCTGAGGAGTGCTTTACTTCCAACTATGTGGTCAATTTTGGAATAGGTGTGGTGTGGTGCTGAAAAGAATGTATATTCTGTTGATTTGGGGTGGAGAGTTCTGTAGAAGTCTATTAGGTCCACTTGGTGCAGAGCTGAGTTCAGTTCCCGGATATCCTTGTTAACTTTCTGTCTCGTTGATCTGTCTAATGTTGACAGTGGGGTGTTAAAGTCTCCCATTATTATTCTTTGGGAGTCTAAGTCACTTTGTAGGTCTCTAAGGACTTGTTTTATGAATCTGGGTGCTCCTGTATTGGGTGCATATATATTTAGGATAGTTAGCTCTTCTTGTTGAATTGATCCCTTTACCATTATGTAATAGCCTTCTTTGTCTCTTTTGATCTTTGTTGGTTTAAAGTCTGTTTTAGCAGAGACTAGGATTGCAACCCCTGCCTGCTTCAAAGAGAATTAAATGCCTAGGAATCCAACTTACAAGGGATGTGAAGGACCTCGTCAAAGAGAACTACAAACCACTGCTCAATGAAATAAAAGAGGATACAAATAAATGGAAGAACATTCCATGCTCATGGGTGGGAAGAATCAATATCATGAAAATGGCCATATTGCCCAAGGTAATTTATAGATTCAATGCCATCCCCATCAAACTACCAATGACTTTCTTCACAGAATTGGAAAAAACTACTTTAAAGTTCATATGGAACCAAAAAAGAGCCCACATTGCCAAGTCAATCCTAAGCCTAAAGAACAAAGCTGGAGGCATCAGGCTACCTGACTTCAAACTCTACTACAAGGCTACAGTAACCAAAACAGCATGGTACTGGTACCAAAACAGAGATATAGACCAATGGAACAGAACAGAGCCCTCAGAAATAATGCTGCATATCTACAACCATCTGATCTTTGACAAACCTGACAAAAACAAGAAATGGGGAAAGGATTCCCTATTTAATAAATGGTGCTGGGAAAACTGGCTAGCCATAGGTAGAAAGCTGAAACTGGATCCCTTCCTTACGCCTTATACAAAAATTAATTCAGGATGGATTAAAGACTTAAATGTTATACCTAAAACCATAAAAACCCTAGAAGAAAACCTAGGCAATACCATTCAGGACATAGGCATGGGCTAGGACTTCATGTCTAAAACACCAAAAGCAATGGCAACAAAAGCCAAAATTGACAAATGGGATCTAATTAAACTAAAGAGCTTCTGCACAGCAAAAGAAACCACCATCAGAGTGAACAGGCAACCTACAGAATGGGAGAAAATTTTTGCAATCTACCCATCTGACAAAGGGCCAATATTCAGAATCTACAATGAACTCAAACAAATTTACAAGAAAAAAACAAACAACCCCATCAAAAAGTGGGTGAAGGATATGAACAGACACTTCTCAGAAGAAGACATTTATGCAGCCAAAAGACACATGAAAAAATGCTCATCATCACTGGCCATCAGAGAAATGCAAATCAAAACCACAATGAGATACCATCTCACACCAGTTAGAATGGCAATCATTAAAAAGTCAGGAAGCAACAGGTGCTGGAGAGGATGTGGAGAAATAGGAACACTTTTACACTGTTGGTGGGACTGTAAACTAGTTCAACCATTGTGGAAGTCAGTGTGGCGATTCCTCAGGGATCCAGAACTAGAAATACCATTTGACCCAGCCATCCCATTACTGGGTATATACCCAAAGGATTATAAATCATGCTGCTATAAAGACACATGCACACGTATGTTTATTGCGGCACTATTCACAATAGCAAAGACTTGGAACCAACCCAAATGTCCAACAATGATAGACTGGATTAAGAAAATGTGGCACATATATACCATGGAATACTATGCAGCCATAAAAAAGGATGAGTTCATGTCCTTTGTAGGGACATGGATGAAGCTGGAAACCATCATTCTCAGCAAACTATCGCAAGGACAAAAAACCAAACACCGCATGTTGTCACTCATAGGTGGGAGTTGAACAATGAGAACACATGGACACAGGAAGGGGAACATCACACACTGGGGCCTGTTGTGGGGTTGGGGGAGAGGGGAGGGATAGCATTAGGAGATATGCCTAATGTTATATGACGAGTTACTGGGTGCAGCACACCAATATGGCACATGCATACATATGTAACAAACCTGCACGTTGTGCACATGTACCCTAGAACTTAAAGTACAATAATAATAATAATAAAAAGAAAAATAGCACAGTAGAAAAACTTCAGAATTTAGGAGTCAGCAATGAGTTCTTTGACTTGATACCAGAGTACCATCCAGAAAAGTAAAATTGATAAGTCAGACCACATGAAATTAAAACCATTTTCCTCTGTGAAAGGCCATATAGTAAGGATGAAAAGAAAATCTACAAGCTGGGAGAAAATATTTGCAAACTGTGTATCTGACAAACGAGTAGTACTTAGATTATACAAAGAACTCTCAAACCTCAGCAGTGAAAAAAATAAAAAACAATCAATTAGAGAATGTGAAAAGAATATGAAAAGACAATTCACTGAAGATGCATACAGATGGTAAATAGGTACATGAAATTATGTCCAATATCATTAACCATGAGGAGAATGCAAATTAAAACCACAATGAGATATACTACCCAACTAATGGCTAAAATAAAAAACAGTGATGATACCAAATTCTGGCAAGGATGCAGCAAAACTGAATCACACATATTTTGCTTGTGAGAATGTAAAATGATATAGGCACTCTGGAAATTAGTTTCACAGTTTCTTATATACCTAAACATGCAGTTTCCATAAGGCCCAACAATTTCCTTCTGAGCATTTATCCCAGAGAAATGATAACTTATGTTCACACAAAAACCTGTGTATAAATGTACATAGCTGTTTTTTTGTTTAATAACTAACAAATGGAAATAGCCAAGACATTCTTCAATGAATGATTATACAAAACAGGTTATATATATATATATATATATATATGTGTATATATGTGTGTATATATACACATATACATATATACACATATACATATACATACACATATACATATATATGCACATATACATATATATACACACAGATACATATACATACACATATACATATATATGCACATATACATATATATACACACATATACATATATATACACACATATACATATATATATACACACATATACATATATATATATATACACACACACACCAAGGAATATCATTCAGCAATAAAAATGAATGTAGTACTGCTACAACTTCGATGAACCTCAAATTACTCTGAGTGAAAAAAGCAAATATCCGAAAGTTATATACTGTATGATTCCATTTACCTCATATCTTTAACATGATAAAGTTTTAGAAATGGAAGAGAATTTAATGTTTGCCAGTATTTAGTGACAGAAGAGAGGGGATGAAGAGAGGTGTGATTATTAAAAAGCAACGTGGGGGGATCTTTGCAGTGTTGGTACTGTCCAGTATCTTGACACACAAACATACATAGGTGATACAATTTTATAAAGCTTAGCATATACACACACACACAAACACACACACATATAAATGAGGACAAGTAAAAGTAGGGAAAGTTGAATAAAATTGATGGATTATATCAATGTCAATGTCCTGGTTGTGATATTTCACTACAGTTTTGCAAGATGTTACTATTGAGTGGAAAACTGGAGGACAAAGTACACAAGGGATCTCTGTATTATTTCTTATATTTGCATGTGAATCTACAATCATTTCAATAAAAATGTCAATTAAAAATAAGAATTGCACTCATGAAAACAATATATGGCATAGATTAGTAAATATATAAGAGATGGTTGCTTGCATTATAAAGTACTTTTATATTTCATAATGTAATTTACTGTTTATCACTTTCAGCAGTAAACATTCCTGTTTAATTCAAAATAGAGCTGAATTTAAACATGACAAGGTTTAAAGGTTACCGGTTTCAGGCTTAACCTCCCTCATAAAACAGACTTGTGGTTTCATTGGCAAAAGATTTGTTCACAGTATTTGTAAGACTGAACTCTACAGTTACCAGTGAGAAGCTACTGTATAATGGGAAAATCACTGATATAAGCTCCTTTTGGAATTCATAAAGTTTTGCTACACAATATTGTGCTCAGGAGCATCAGTGGATTGGTTAGGCAGTTTTCATGCAAATTAAGACGTTCACATTTAATTTCAGAGGATCTGCAATGAGGCAAATCATACTTCTTAGAAATCTCATCAGATTTCCCATGCCTTCTACTATTCCAGCAGTTCAGTATTTTGTTTAGAATCATTTTGTTCTTTGCAGTGGGGAAGGTTTTTACTGTTTCATGATGTGTGCATCCAATTTCTACCAAGACCATTTGCTTGACTGAAACCTAAAACGCTGAAACTTCTGTAAAAAGCACATATTTCTGCTTCAAGTTATAAAAGTTTAAGCTCCTTAAGTTCCAAATGTTTTCTAAGGAAATGTCATTAATTCAATTTTCCTTAAGAATGGACTATGGGTAGTTAAATCTCTGAAGATGGAGTGATTTTCTCTTCCTGCTTAGGTTATTTTCATGATTAAGTCATTTTCCCCCTTGCTTAATCACTACTAAGCTAGTTATTCAGAATAAAAACATAAGATTTATATTGTTTAATCCAGTATGCCGAAAAGAAGAATAAAGGGTAGCTGATTTAAAATTTCAAAGCTAAACTACTCTACTATTGCATATAATGCTGCAAAATGTTACCAGGAACAGCTGCTGTTGTCTATCTGTACATTAAAACTCAGTCACTGGACACTGATATTATTAAGGGGATTCCATGAAAATATTTCTAGATTATAATATGCCTATGAATTGATTTTTTTTATTTTTTGTGCCATCTGAAATTCCCTGAGAGTCACAAATTATTCTTAATATAGTGACTCAGGTAATATAACTTTCAGTATTTCACTATTACCTCATATCAGTAACAATCTTTCTCATACAATATATTGTGCATGTAATATATTTGAAATTTGATACACTTCTATCAAACTACTTAAATCTCTCATATTTCAATCACTGCTATCTCTTGAATAATCCTATGGTAATGGAAAATGCATCGCAACTTAAGTAACATGCAGTACCTTTTTAATAAGCAGAGTATAGAAAATAGGAGATTCCTAGGTTAAAATTCCAGATAAACATAATAAAATAATGAAATATTTATAGATGTTAGATTAGCAGATGGCAAGTTGGTTTTAACGTAACTAGGCATAGGATAGCTGCCCATAGGAGTATGAATTTCAAATTATTTTAGATTATAAGAAAAAGGAGGTATTCGTTAACAAAAGTAGATGAACATACCAAAAATTATCAGAAGCCAAAGGAAACAAGGCTGAAGTGAGAGAAATACCATCACCACTACCTCCAGGCTCACTGAGTGAGTATCATGCACCAGGTACTGTTTTATGTACTTTACACGGATGCTAGGGGCTGAATTAGATCCCTTCAAAATTCAAATGTTGAAGCCTAGACCCCTGTACCTCAGAGTATTTCTAGATAAGGCCTTTAAAGAAGTGATTGAGTTAAAATGAGGCCATAAGAGTGAGCCCTAATCCAATGTCACTGCTGTCCTTATAAAAATAAGACATTTCTACATACAGAGTGACTCCAGGGATGTGCACACACAGAGAAAAGACCAGTGAGGACACAGTGAAAGGAAGGCCATCTGCAAGCCAAGGTGAGGCAGCAGAGGAAACCAAACTTGCTCACACCTCTATCTTGGAATTCCAACTTCCAAATAGGCAAGAAATACATTTCTGTTGTTTGAGCCACATAGTCGATGGTGCTTGATTACGGCAACCCTAGCAAAGTAATGAATTAACCTATTTATTCCTCATGAAAGCCCTATATTATTATCCCCATTTTACAGTTGAAGAAATTGAGGCAGAGATGTTAAGTGAGATCTCTGCTTGAGATCACACACCAGTGAGTATAAAATCCTGGAATTAGGCCCAGCCAGCGTACCTCCAAAGTAGTGTGGAACCATGATTAACACTGTTCAGAATGGGATGGCTCTTTAGAAAGAGGTTAGAAAACACTGGAATGTTAAAACTCATTGACTCACATTTATCTACTAAATATTTCCTGAATGTGTATGTGCAAAAGACATTTACACATCAGTGTAAATTCATCATATATTTTTCTTTAAAAAACTTAGAATCTGGGCTGTGCACAGTGGCTCACGTCTGTAATCCTAGCACTTTGGGAGGCCGAGGCAGGTGGATCACCTGAGGTCAGGAGTTTGAGACCAGCCTGACCAACATGGTGAAACCCCATCTCTACTAAAAAATGCAAAAATGAGCTGGGCGTGGTGGCAGATGCCTATAATCCCAGCTACTTAGGAGGCTGAGGCAGGAGAACTGCTTGAACCCAGGAGGTGGAGGTTGCAGTGAGCCGAGATCATACTATTGCACTCCAGCCTGAGCAAAAAGAGCGAAGCTCCATCGAAAGAAAGAAAGAGAGAAAGAGAGAAAGAAAGAAAGAAAGAAAGAGAAAGAGATGAAAGAAAGAAAGAGAAAGAGACGAAAGAAAAAGAAAGAAAGAAAGAAAGAAAGAAAGAAAGAAAGAAAGAAAGAAAGAAAGAAAGAAAGAAAGAAAAGAAGGAAAGCAAAGAAATCTTAGAATCTGGTAGCAGGGAAAAAATGATATGCATAAAGAAACAAGTTAGAAGAAAGAAATATGTCCCCAAAGACTAAAAATTATCTAGATGTATTCAGAGGAAGGGAGCTCCCCTTTGCTCTGAGAGGTTCAAGAGAGTCTTAGAATTGGAGGTGGCATTTGAGTTATCCCTCAAAATATCTGTTAAGCAGGAATCTTTGAAGAAGAGGAAAATGGAAATCTACATAAGCATAAAAGGAAGAAGCAATCATAGGAAAAGTGAAGGGTCTGTGAGGGACAGGTTGGGAAAATAAGGTTTCTAAGTATGCTTTGGAAGAGGATTAGAAATTCTTATAAACCCCTGTGGTTCTGTGCTTGCTATGGACGGTCACTCAGTCAACAGAAGCTGCATTTTTTTTTTAAAGAGAAAAATTGCTTCAATTCATAGACTAAGTACATGAGAACTGAATTCAGACTTACATTTCCATCAGTATCTTATTTAATCTGATTATTTTAATAAGTAATTTTCAGTTGCTACGTTGTTTCTCAGCTCTGTTTCAGCTTTTCATATTTCCACTAAAAATTACTATCTGTAATTTCTCTTTTGCCTTCAAACTGTGTTTCTTTCTCCCTGTGGCGCTATTGTGGGGAAGATTTTATTTTCTTTCCAGTTTTATTCTGCTTAAAGTCAATAGAGACCATTTACGTTTTACAATTTTATCAGACCTCAAATTTTTTTATGTGAGGATTTGAATATAGAATTAAATAGTTAGATTTCTAGAGCTTTGTCTTCTGTAGAGTACAAAAGACTTTAAATATTTAACAAGTTTCATAAGTTTAGTGTTTTCCTTTTTAAACTCCCATGACTTAGAAACAGACCTGAGTACTAATTTATACAAACATGATCATTTGACATATTAACTAGACAAATGAGGTATCCACCCATCCCCCCTAATATTCTTCCATCCCTCATTCTCAAGTATATATGCTTTATTCTATGAACTGATAACTCACATCGGTTTAATAGTTTTTCACCTATATATTTATTTAGTTTTTTCTCTTATATGCATATACCTTTTTCCTACCTTGTATTTACTTCTTTTGTCAGAATAAAATTATTCTCAAAAAAGTAATAAACTATTTTCCTTATAATTTTATAGTCAAAATTACATTTCAGAATTTATGCAGAACTTTTTAAAAAAAAACCAGTTCATTATGTCAGATGAAACATATGAAACATATATCTTGTCAGAGACATTCTCAGTAGCATGATTAAATGCTTAGAAAATGTATAATGACATGTGGTGTAGAGTATTTTGTTCAAATTTAGATACACAGATTTTTCTTAACTACAAGGGAAGAGGATACCCTAAGGGGTCCAATTTTCTTTGTCATCCACCTGAATAACTTCAATTAACATTAATATACATGCTAGCATAAAAGCATCTGCTTTGAATATGTAAATGGAAGTAGTAAGTGCTGGAATTGAAGGAAAAATTTGATTAAATAATATACTAGGCAATGTCACTATATAGGTCAGCTCTCGTTAGGAGGATTGTTCCTCACTGAATCAAATACCATAATTAAAACATTATAGATTTTTTTAAAGTCTTAGTTTTTCCATTCAATTAAAAAGGAAAAAAGTATGCCACTAAAAATGTAATTGCATTTTAGTACAGTGACTTGGTTTTAAATTACTGCAAATATTTAGAATTCAAGAATCATACAGAATAAATCTTGTTTTTTTATAGCATGATATTTTCTAGGAATATTTTTTCCAGCCAATAGGAAAATGTTTCATTAATAAATGATATAAATCATACTGTAATGCTTTCTTTCCTTTAAAATCAATTATTGCTGCTTTGATAACCAGTGCTTGCAAACACGAAACCCAGATCATAGTTTCTTATTTGCCATGGAAAGCAGTGTCATTTTGAGAATAGTGGGTAACTTCTAAAGGTCACCTTGTGTGTACTGCCATTTTCATTAGCAGTACTTTTCTCTGCAAATCTGCTGACAGATGGAGAGATACTTGAAGCTTCTGAGTTTGCCTTCCATAAACAGGAAATGTGGGTATAGGAATGACGAAATGTAATTAACTGTCTTTTATTTCATTTTTACTTTAGCTAGTGGTACAAAATTCAAAATATTTCTCTAACTCAGAGGCTTAAAAAACAAATAGTCAAGCAAAATGATATTTTGCATAGCTTAGCATCTAAACATTTTTTGTTAATTTTACTTAACTAATGACATTTTAGTGATCTGTATATGGATCATCTCAGTTTAAAGTTGCTTTCTTTAGAAAGGAAAACCAGTAGTTTGAGAAAGTCTGTTCTTCTTCATCAGCAAATAAAATTACAACGTTAAATTTTCATAGCTAGGACCTGGAAACAGGGCCAGATTCATGAACATGAAACCTGTGTAGTCACACCACACCTCATGCTTAGAAGTGCCTTGCACTTAAAGTTTGCTGTTGTCTTAACATTCTTAATAACATTTGAATAAAGAGCTCCGCCTTTTCATTTTACACTGAGCCTTGAAAATTAAGATAGCCTGTCCTGCCTGGAAATATGATTTTTAACAGCTGTTGGCTGCTTTGAAGCTAGTCTATAGTTAACAAATAATTTGTTGACTCTTCTTCCAATTTTTATACTAATAAAAGTCAGTCTATTTACACTTAAATTATTCACAATTCAATAGAAGTCCCTGGTTTATTTTTTTTTTACACACTGTAAATGTCACTTTAAAAAAGCTAACCAAGCAAAAGAGAGATAGATTTTCAGATGATATTTGGGTCACAGACCCATTGGGGGTTTTTAAAACTCTATTTGTCTCCCAAGGTAGTAAGGGTAGGGGGAAAGGAAAATAGGAAGACTCTAGTTTGAAAATTTGGACAAGATAATTTATTTAAATGATAAAATTACATTAATAAATTGCATATTGATTTCTGAAAATATCCAGTAATTGATTTGAATATATGTGTTATTGCTCCCATCACCTTCCCGACTAGCAGAAACTATATTGAGGTCATTGTATCACTCAGAGCCCAGGAAAACCTCAAATTAAAAGTATTCATGGGCTTAGTGTTTTACAGCCCAGTTAAAGAATTATTGGCATCTAAAACCCAAAGTGACAACCCAATTTACTTTTGGGGGAAAAAAGAGCAATCTGGAAGCCTCTGGAAAAATAAGTATGATAACTTGATGCTGAATCATTTCAGCATTGATGAATCCAGCCTACTGCCTCAAATAGATAAGTAGTAAACCATTTCCAAGATTGCTCTCCCCAAACAATAAAAGCATACCCTTAAACCTGACATTTCCACCGTGATGAATCTTAGATGAAATCATATGAAAGGTCAAAATAAAGACAGAAAAAAATCAATAGTTGTGCAGATGAAGCTATGTAAGGTCAATAGTTTCATAATGTTTGTGACAGGCCACCCATGTTTTTTGTGTGACAATATTTTTTAATGTGCAATAACTCCAAAGCACTGAAAATTAATTTTTGAGATGGAATTACCTCTTGACAAGGATGTAATTAGGATGTAATTAAATTCATCCCTTTTTTTTTATTTTTTTTATTTTTTGCCCCCAGAGAACACAGAACGATGTAGTAAATAAGCTGCCCCATCAAGGTCAGAAACAGGTTTCTAATGCCAGAAAATAAGAAGCATCACTTTGGTCCAAAGGAGTGTCATTTCTCTGCCTATCCCAATTTTCTGCTATACCTCAGCAGAATCACAGACTGTGCTGGATCCTCTTCCACACCTCCCACAAACATAAGTCTTGGGGACCTATGCAGTCTAAAACATGATTTGGATGAGGAGACCTTTTATTTCTCTGTGGAAGGAGGAAGGGAAATGATAACATGTTTCTCTGCAGCTATCATATTCCTCATTCCCTCTCTCAAGAAAAAAGTTTGAACCTTTACTCCACTCCAGAGCATTCAGAAAAGATTTGCCATGAGGTTAGTCATCTGGTGTATTTCAGACCCCCAATTACATTTCTTCATGATTTGCCTTTTATTTTATAAAAATAAGGTTTTACCACACAGAAAGGAAAAAAAAAATAAACATATAAATTTTTCATTCCTTAAAATGCATCTGTTTATAGCATAGCAGGATGTCATGGAAGGTAGAAAACCTTAACAATATCCCAGTCTTAGCCTGGAGAATTAGTTCACTAATAAAAATTTATTGTGTTATACTAACTGTCTATTTCTGTGTTCTCTGGCTAAAATAAGATAAAATTTTATATACTGAGAGTAATAGATACTGACAGTGTGTGGTTAAGATTGTAAACCTATGCCAATACTGAAAGAGAATATTGAAAACAGAGAAGAAGAAATAGATAAAGAAAGAGGGTGAGGAGAGAACGAAGCAGGTCTTTAATTCTTGATTTTAGAGAGAGTTTTTAAAGTGAGATTTTGTGAAATGCATTGATGTTCCACAGATATCAAACATTTTCAGATAACTAACTGCTTGTCTGAATTCTAAAACTACCCCTACAGTTATGACATAACTAGTAGAGTTGCACTTTGTACTCAGTATTTAAAAGTTTTAATTGTGTCATTAATTTTACCTAAAAGATATACTTTACTTTAGACTAGCTCGGGATATAGAAATACTTTCAGTAATATTAAGAAAAAATGGAGGCTTTATATATTTTTCCTGTTTTTTTCGTTTTGTTTTGTTTTTTGGTGTTGTTTTTTTTTTGTTTTTTGTTTTTTTTTTTTTGAGACAATCTCGCTCTGTCGCCCAGGCTGGAGTGCAGTGAGGCAATCTGGGCTCACTGCAACCTCTGCTTCCTGGGTTCAAGCGACTCTCCTGCCTCAGCCTTCCAAGTAGTTGGGATTACAGATGTGGGCCACCATATCTGGCTAATTTTTTTGCATTTTTAGTAGAGATGGGTTTTCACCATGTTGGTCAGGCTGGTCTCGAACTCCTGACCTCAAATGCTCCGCCCACCTCAGCCTCCCAAAGTGCTGGGATTACAGGCATGAGCCACTGTGCCAGATATTTTTTCGGTCTTTTAAAAAGTAAGGTAGTATACACAATTTTTGATTCCACATTTGAAAGGAAAAACAATGCCATGTCAATGCTGAAAAGGTCTAAAATACTGAAATGATTAAATATTAAAAATTAGAATTATCTTAAAATTACCATTGAACTAAAATTTTACTGTAAGGAAAGAATTGAGCCATTCTCTTCTTTCACAGAAGACACAACTAGATAAATGGTTTTAAACTGAAGCAAAAAATGAATAAATTATATATATGGAAGTGTCTCTCATGATAAAAGTACAAGTGATGTCGTAAGAGAATTTCTCTAAGAACTCTCAATATAAAGGAACAGATTGACATCAACCTTGGATCATTTAATTTTGTCAAGTTTGAAATCATACAACTTACTGAAGTCACTTCCCTTTTCTATTTATTATTCTTGAGAAACAAATTCTACTATTGGAATGTTGTTCATTTTTTTTTACATAAATAACTTGCATAAATAACAATAAATAGAAGGAATCTCAATAAATGTTCACTTGAAAGAAACCACTGAAGTTATCAAAACTGTGATATTTTATCAAAGGATTATAGTTACTCAATTTTGCTGGTTAACTTTAAAGCCATCTGTTAGTTATAATATTTATATAATACCATGGACAGCTCATGTTATCATAAAGAATATTTCTTTATTCTTTAATAAAGAAATAGTGAGTTCAGAGAATTAAGGAGGATGTGAGAAATCCAGACTCTGCTGTGCACATCATTCCTTTTAAATTAGATTTTTGTTTCATGCAGCATGGTCAAATAAGGTAGTAACTGAAAAATATATATTAAATTAGCAAAAGAGTGGTAATAGGAGACCTTAACAAGAAGAGTTTCAGTTGCCTGAGAAGATGAGAAGCCAGAATATCTTCAAGAACTGGTAACAGTGATTAAAATCTACTTGTTCAAGAACACCAAGTGTGAAAAGAAACACAGAGTTCGATAGGTGGGCACCAGAGGCTAAGTTCCAACTAGAACAACTGAGACATTAGGAGAATATTTAGCTGGATCTCTGCTTTTACATTGCTAGATGATTTTAAGCAAGTTCTTTAAATGATCTAAACTTCAAATTCTTCATCAGTGAAGATTTCTGGTTAGGTTTTTTAGGAGTCTTCCAATTCCAGGTCACATGTCCTCCTATAGTTGTCATCTTTACGTTTTCAGTTTTAAAATGATTCTGGACTTTAACGTTAAAATGTTTCATGATGGCTTAATTGTGTTTCAGTTACAGCCTGTGATCCCTCTATAGATTTATGTATTTCTCCCAAACAGACCTGAGCTCCTAATTGTTTCTAAATTCTCAATTATGTATCCATACACTGAAACCTAGTACTCTGGCTCTTAGGTCCTTTGCATGCAGGAAGAAGTAATTTTCAGAAAAACTTTCTGAAAATGCTCAATTTAAGTCTCCCCACTGGCAAAGCAAATGTAATCCTCTAGTCCCCTTTCCACTTAACACTCCTTATAACCAACAGTTCTTCTCCAGCTTCTGTGTGAATTGCTCTTTGGGATTCCATGTTGCCCTGTACCTGTCTCCTTGTGCACTGGGAATGCCCAGCACCATGCAGTTCTAGAAACCACAGAAGACCCAGAAATTTCTATGCTTAATTATCTCATCTCCCACTATAGGTCCTGAAGGATTCTTTGGATGAATGTCAGACTGTGCATTAGCAATAGCTAAGATCATTATAGAATTTAGTTTCACGAAGTCACAAATTAAAAAAAAACTCCATGCATAATGATGATTATAAAAATAGCCCAAAGTTACAAGTTTGTAAAACAATCTACTATCAGTCCAATCTGAAGGGTATATCGAAACAAAAAAGGAAATGGGAAAACAATCATAAAACTATAACTTCCAGGATAAATTTTGTTACTCTATTATCATGACTACCATGATAACAATGAGTTTAAAATAGTGTTTGCCATGGAATTAAAATTAAACACTTTTTTTGTAGTTTATTAAAACATCCCTGTGGTTGGGTTACACATCAGGGCAAAAGAGAACTTATAGTTATGTAGTATCTCTTATCATTGAACTCTTAGAAGAACTGAATGAGAGGAAAGTGCTGCAATACTAGTCATCTTCAGTAGTTCCAACCATTGACATCATGGATTTTGTTGATCTTCTTTTGGGAGATATACTTTTCCTGCAGAAAACCATAACAGGGCTGACAGTGACACAGTTGGCCTTTCCATCATCACATTTTCTTTTTTTTTTTCTCTTCCAATCCTGAGATGGCAACAATAAGTACTATTCAAGTTGAAAAGACATATATGTGTTGTTTTAAGTAATTATAACTTGGTATTGTATTAAGTTAATTAAAAGCATATTGAGTCAAAGAGTTAGTACATAGGTAAATATTATCTTTTTAAAATTTATTTATTAATATCTTTCATTTCAGAGATGAAACAACTGAGGGCCAAAAAGTTTACAAAATTTTCCAAGATCATACAGCTAATTAACAACATCTGGGCTCTTCTTGACTTTTGGAATCCAGTAAGAAACTGTTTAGATTATTAATATTTTTACTTTAATGAAAGCTTTACTGATTACTTCCCAAAATGTTTGGGAAATTCTCATTTTTCTGGTATTTATCCAATTGTTAACATAAAACTACTTGTAAAATCAAACTAGAAACAAAGTTGATTTCACATTAGAGTTGGCATTTTAGCTGAAAAATGTCAATAGTTCTGATGTAAGTAAAGAAACCTGAATCTAAAAATAAATGACATAAATTTGCTAGGTCATTCCAATATTTATATACTTGAATCTGAATCATCAAACACGTTTTATAGCATCAGGGTATGGATTATAACACTATGCTCTTAAGGGGATCATCAGAATAAATAACACATGACACTTCAGAAAACGCAGCAATCCCTGGAAAGATGCCTTCTCTGTGAGGTTTCTCCTTGCATGTGGAACACTATTTATTTCATCTTCTTGATTGGTGTTCCTGGGCAGGGGTCACAATGTAATGCATATGAGCACATCTAATCAGAGAGTGTTTTCATCTTAAGACTTTTTATTTAATTGTCTAAAATAAAAGTTGCCAATTGCCAATATTATTATTTTTTCTTCAGCAAGCCTACAGTGATTTTGGTCCAATTATTGTGTAATTCTTGATCTGTCTGTTTTGGTTTAAGTGAAATAGCTAGCTAGGAAGACAGCTCATATTCTCCCATATCTTGAGGGAAATATATTTGATAAAACTTAGTCAATTGTTGCATTATTATTTCATTTTAAAATCATTTAATATGACACAATAATTTAAGGGTTCTAAATAATGTTTGAGAATCATTAATTACATACAACCCATTAGCTATATGTTTGAGCAAATAAATTTCCATAAGCCTTTTTACGTAGACACAGCTCTAACAGGCCTGACTTTAATGAAAGATAGCTTTATGGGATAGCATTTTGATTGCAGTTTGTTTTGAAATTCTATACAAACTTATAGAAAGGTGCACATGATGGTGTGAAGAACACAGTGTGTGAAATAAGAAGATCTGAGTTAAATACTGGCTCTTGCACTTTCCAGTGTGTGAACCTCAGTTTCCAAATCTGTGAAATGGTAATAACAAACATTTCATAGACTTGTTAAAGAATTAAATGGTGTAATTATATACTGAAGCTTTTTTATGTTTTGAATAGCTCTGTGCATATGACTTTACACCAATAAGAAAATTTCACTAAAAATTTCTCCTTTTCCCCCAGTTTTCAAAGCCACTTTTAAGAAACATCACGTGTAAATGAAAGTTTGCTAAATTATATCTAAATAACATGCCTCCTATATTTCAAATTATTTGATTCTACTTCTTCCCCTTGTCTATCATCCTTTCTCTTCATAGACAAGTTTTATGACAGAGTGGGCCACACTCACTATTCACACTTCTTTTTCTGAGATCCGTGAAGATATTTAAAAGTCATCTTATTAGGGAGGGGCAAGAAATTTAAGTGTATAATTGTATTTTATGTTGTTATGCCACGACTTTATGCGAAACAATTAAATTCAACAGGCATATTGCTGTGCAGTCTTTTCTGTTCCTTTACACAAACTTTATTTCTCGTGATCCCTAATTTTAAACTGTAAAAAAGTGATGTGGAAAGTGGATAGTGTGCTATATCTAGGTGTCAGTTTCTTAGATGGCAACCTATATTGTTTTTAAAATATCTGCATCTATAAGATTTCATCCACAACACTAGTAAAAGATCATTGGAATTATAATTTATCCCTATATTTGCAATCTTCTGCAGAGAGAACTTTTTTTTCTTAAAATACAGCCAGGCTGATCCATACTGATTTATTTATTTCTACTACAGTAAGTGTTCAACCAGAAGTTGAAAACACTCTGACTTTTGAAGTGGTGATTTTCATCGTTGTAGAATGCTTTGTATCTATGACGTATTTTGTTCTGTGCTGCCAATGAAACACCTCTTGCTAGATAAAGATGCAGCTGGTGATAGTGATTTGAAGACTTGGCATATATGATATGTGTGATATTGATGACTAGTATGTGTCAATAAGTTTAGGCTAGGGTTCCAAACTGTTCTCATCAACCTTTCATTATCTAATTTTGACCATCTTCAACTTAACTTCTATCTTCCTTCCTACTCCTTCTGCTTCCCTAATGTCTACTTGATTTCTTTCTTCTACTTAATTTGTTTCTTCCCATCAACTTTTTATAAACATTTTAGAATTTATTCTCTTGCTTATAAAAATGTTACCTGTCTTGTATTTGAGATTGTGATTCAGAATGAAGATTTTTAGTGGATGCTGGTGGTTTCAGCTATTCAGCTTTTAGATACCCTAAACCAAGAAGTAAATTTCAGCATGAAAAATCCCTTGCTGAAAATCTAAGACATTGATTATAATCCTTAGAATGGTTTCTAGTGAGTTTGATTATTCTTCTCAATTACTGAATTCTAACATTCCCCAACTTTCATACAATACTCCTAGTTAGACAAAAGTAGCATCTTAAAACTCATATGGATCCAGAAGAGACTCCAAATAGCCAAAGCAATCCTAAGCAAAAAGAACAAAGCTGAAAACACTGCACTCCCTGATTATAAAGCTACTGTAATCAAAACAGCAAGGTACTGGCATAAAAATGATACACTGGCCAATAGGAAAGAATAGAAAGCCCAGAAATAAACACCATGTTTACGGTCAATTAATTTTTGACAAAGGTGCCAAGAATACACAATGGAGAAAGGACAGTCTCTTCAATAAATGGTGTTGGCAAACTGGATATTTACATGCATTAGAATGAAACTGAACCCTTACTAACATTATATAAAAACTCAACTCAAACTGGATAAAAGACTTACATGTAAGACCTGAAACTAATGGTATTAGAAGAAAACATAGGAAGAAAGCTCCATGACATTGGTCTGGGCAATGATTTCTTGAATAGGACTCCAAAAGCATGAGCAACAAAAGCAAGAAATAGGCAAGTTGGATTTCATCCTACTGAAAAGCTTTTTCTGCACAGCAAAGGAAATAACGAATAGAGTGAAGAGACAATCCAGTGATTAGAAGAAAATATTTGCAAAGAATACCTCTGTTAAGGGGCTAATAGTCAAAATATTATAAGGAACGTATCAACTCAAAAGCAAGAAAACAAACAATTTTAAAATGAGCAAAGGATTTCAACAGGCATTTCTCAAAAGAAGACATACAAATGTCCAAGATACATGAAAAATGCTCAAAACCTCTAATTGCCAAATTAATGCAAATTAAAGTCACAAAGAGATATCACCTCACACCTGTTAAAATGGTTAGTATCAAAAGCAGACTAAAGATAACAAGTGTTGGCAAAGATGTGGAAAAAAGGAACCCTTGTACAATGTTTGTGGGAATGAAAATTAGTACGGGTATATTAGAAAATACTATGGAGGTTCCTCAAAACCTAAAAGTAGAATTACCCCAACAATCCCACTTCTGAGCATATATCCAAAGGAACTGAAATCTGTTTGATGAAGAGGTGTCTGCACTCCCATGTTCATTTCAGCATTATTCATAATAACCAGGATATGGAAGGAACCTAAATATCCATCAACAGATGAATGGATAAAGAAAATGTGGTATATATACAATGGAATACTATATAGCCTTAAAAAGAAGATAATTAGAACTGGAGGGCATTAAACTAAGTGAAATAAGCCAGACAAAGAAACACAAATACCATATAATCTCACTTATATGTAAAATGTAAAAATATTGATCTCATCGAAATAGAGAGTAGAAAGTTGGTAACCAGTAGCTGAGGGGAGACAGGGAAGGACAGGGAAGTAAGAGATGTTGATCAGAGGGTACAAAGTTTCACACAGACTGGCAAGATAAACCTTAGTAATCTATTATTAAGCATAGTGACCACAGTTAATAATAATGTATATGTAAACATTGCTAAAATAATAGATTTTTAATATTCTCACTACAAAGGAAATAAGTTGGTGAGATGATGGATTTGTTACTTATCACAACTAACTGGGAGTTTCTTCCTGAAATAAAATGTTGGTTTAACATTCAAAAATCAGAAATGCCAGGTTAGGATTCAAAAAGCAAAAAAAATGTGACCACAGAATATTAGAGAAAAAAAAACTTGTATAATTATATCAATAAATGCAGAAAAAGAAATGGATAAAATCCCACTCCATTTATTTAAAAAAAAACTATGCATAGGAGGAAACTTCTTCAATCCAATTTGATAAAGGATACGTATAAAATATGTATATAGATTGATTATCCCTTATCCAAAATGATTGGGACCAGAAGTGTTTTGGATTTCAGACTTCTTTAGATTTTGAAATATTTGCAGATACTTAACTGGTTGAACATCCCTAATATGAAAAACCTGAAATCCAAAATGTTCCAGTGCATTTTCTTTGAGGATTATGTTGGAACTCAAACAGTTTTGAATTTTGGATTTTAGATTTTCAGATTAAAAATGCTCAACCTGTATCATACTTAATCGTGTTCTCCACTCCACGCAAATCAGGACTATAGCATGGATGTCCACTATCACTACATCTGTTCTCTATTTTATTGGAGGTCCTAGTTGGTATAATAGGTCATGAAAATAATAAGGCATAAAATTAGAAAGGAAGATATATACCCATCTTTATTTGCAGATGGAATAATTGTGTACACGGGAAAAAATAAAAGGATCTTATACATTTTAGAATTTATAAATGAATCTAGTAAAGTTGAAGGATACAAGGTTCATGTGCAAAAATCTGTTGTATTTCTATATGCTAGCAACAAAGAATTGGAAATGAAATAATGGAATCATTAGGTAGAAACAAATAAAAATGAGTGAGATCTCAACATTAAATATACAAAACATTGCTAAGAAAAATTACACTCTAAGTATGTGGAGAAATGAACTATAGTGATTGGAAGACTAAATATTGTTGAGATATTAATTCTCCCTAAATTGAGTTATAAATCCGGTGTATTCTCATTCAAAATTCTAGTGGGTGTTTCTTTTGCTGTTTTGTTTATTATTGTTTTGTTTTGAACAATATATTTTGTTTTGTTTTGAAAATCTTACTCTAAGACAAATAAAAAATTGTAAAGGACTTGGAATAGCCAAACAGATCTCAAAAAGAAGAACCAAGATTGTAGAAATATTCCTTTGGATTTCAAAACTTATAATAAAGCCACAGTAATAAAGTCAGTGTGGTATTGAATGAGGAAAGATAAACGAATCAATGGAATACAATAGATTCTAAATACAATCCAGTCATTTGAATTTTTAAATTTCTTTGAAGTTGCCAATGCAATTCAAAAAGGGAAAGAAAAGGTAAATGGTGCTGGAGCAACTTGATATCTGCATACAAAAAACAAATCAAAATATTGACCCAGAGCAAACGTGTGTGTGTGTGTGTGTGTGTGTGTGTGTGTGAAAGTGTAATCCAAATGATGATTTGGTTCAGAGTGCAAGAGGCTGTGTATGGTCAAGTCTTTAGAGAGATTAGGGCAGCCAGAGACAACAGCTAGAGCTTGAGGAACTACAAACAAGGTTAGAGAGGGAATGTAACAGGATAATGACAGAACTTCAAAGATGTATTTGAAATTTTGCTTAGATTCATCCATTTTAACACCTTTATCCAAGAGAAAAGTGTTTTAGGTTGCAAGAGTTCCTGTCTTCAAGAAATAGACTTTATGTAACATCAATACTTCCATGTTTCAGCATGGAGAAGAGAAATAGAGGAAATATTTTTCAAGTTTTGGCACTTCAGCATCCAGACTTGCAAAAAACACTAACTTACCAGAATTGGGAAGGCAGCTAGTCCCATGGCACCTAATACCACCTCTCCTTCTATGTTACTCATCAGGTTGATCAAGCTGTCTCCAGGTGGGAAAGGATAGCTAGGTACCTACTGTTTGTGTGTTAGGAAGTGGATACTTTACAAGAAAGATATCAGGGTTAGCTGTACAAAGAACATGGATTTTTGTAATCTTCATTGTACCATACAAATGAATCTCAAAGAGTTTGGCAGATTCGTTGCTTAAGCTATTTCAAGGAATAACAAACAGTTAATATTTATGGAATAATTTATATATTTAAAACACTTGACGGACACTTTAGATGCCAATAATTTAAGTTATAATCTAGTTGAGAGAGGATCCATTAAAAATTCATCTGAGGATCAGCACTTGTTGAGGACTTACTATGTTTAAGCTGGAAGGGTATGTCAATGCTCTTTCTCTCATTTGAGATAACTGACTTCAAATTTACCACCACTAGCAGTAACAACCAAGGTAGTGTGACCAGACTCTTTTTTTTTTGCCTATAATCATATTTTTGAGCATCAATTTTGAGGGCAATAATGAAGATCAAAATCATACATGTTGTTCTCAAATACCCCACAGGTGAAAATCAATCATGCTTACATTGAGCTTCCCCATTATTCGAGACTCAGGTATACTTCATGAAATTCATTTTCATCTCAGTCTCTTTCCCAAATATTTTAGTGGTTCTCAGTGGTCCGTAGAGGCTGCCTTTTCCAAATTGAAATGGCTTTTCCAAGTTGATGTGTGTTCAGTAACGTCTTTCACAACACCCATTGCCTGCCAGCAAATCCTCTGTAAGAAAGTATTTCTTTTATTGAATAAACTTATTTGAGTTGGGTTTTTCTGACATTTGCAATACAAACACTTCTAACCAATATAGTATTGAAAATGTAGAAAGAGAGGAGTTGTGGGGGTGGGAGTGAGGGATAAAGATTTTGGCTTTATTTTGAAAAAGGCCACGGAAGTCTTTTAACCAAAAGAGTTATATAATCAACCTGTTTTCTAAAGATTTATTAATGAATCTTTAGGATAAATAATAGTGTTCACAGATGTATTCGTGAAACTTCACAATATTATTGTTAGTTATTATTTGATAGTTCAAAGTTATTATAAAGTAATTCAGTGACTTATAGTGGTTACTGTAAACAGTTAAGTCAACAACTTTGAAAAATGCTCATCTTCTAATTTTGTTTTATTGTTTTTAAATTACAAAGGTGGTTACTAAAAACATTTTGTTTGTTCATCATAAATTTTATTAGACATTTTCCCCAGGGTCTCATTCTGTCAAAATGTATTTGCTGATTATACTTTTTTCTGAGTACTTACACTGAGTATTACAGAAATTATACTAAAATGTATCTTCTAATTAGTGGAGTAGCTTCGGGAATAAAGAAATAAAAAAGATAATTAAAGATGTAAGTAGTACTTAAATATGTTACCAGTAAACTACCAATTTTTAAATTAATTCAGTAACTATTATCAGTATATAGTTAACTATTTGATTTCTGTTATAAAAATATTTTCTAAGTATAATAAGCCATTTTCATATTAGAGTTTTATACTTCCTCATTTATATTTAAATGCTTAACACATATTACTAAATAGTTGATATTTAGTTTTGGAGGTATCCAATTATTTTAATGTCTATTACTAAATTTGAATCATTAAAAATTTCTTGTACAATATCATACCAATTAAATGATTGGGAAACTAAGAGTGCCTTGCACTGGTTTTAATGGACAAGTAAACAGTAAATTGTCCAGTGTTCTTTCCAATAAATTAAGACAGTGTTGGGGGAAAAATAACTTTAAATGTTATTTTTATGTGTCTATAACACATAAAATAGTCAGACTGTGTTAGAAATAATATTAAAAATTGTTTTACAATACATTTTATAAGTTGACTAAAATTTTACATCTTGCTTTCTTTATAATTTCTGAACTGAATTTAGAAAGCATATACAAAATAAAGACCACATCCATAAATCAATCATTCAAGGATATGTTGTCTTTGTTATTATGCAGTTGTTTTGTTTTTAATTCTCCTGTAGAAAATAACAAAAGCAAAATATCAAGAGGATAAGTGAGATATACTTTTATATAGTGATTTAAACTCACATATGCTGTGATTTATTTCACTGAAAGTTGTGTCTGACCTCATGGGTCTGAAGGAGTCAAAGTACTGTGGTTTACAGTTCAGTTCAGATTAAGAATTATTCATTGAGTGCACATGATGTGCCATACTCGGGTAGAATGTAGTGCTCAAATAATGAATAATTGCTATCTATAACTTACTAATATTACAGTAGGTTTGTTAGACATTCAAACTACCAGTGATAAAATAGCGAAATAAATTCTGTAGCAGAGGTTAGCATATGAAGTTTCTGTTGCAGAGTACAGAGAGGGAGTATTCATTTTATTTTTCTGTGTGGAACAATGAAGATATCACAGATGTTAAACTTCAGTTGGATTTTTGAAAGATAATTAGGAGTTAATAGAGGGATAAGATGGTGAAAGAAATTCTGCACAAAGAGAATAGATATGTGAATTGACAACAACAGCATAGTGCTAGAAGTAGCTACAAATTTACTCAGTAGTACTAATTTGTAAAGTAGAAGGAATGGAAGAACATTAGGATTTGTCTACAGAGATAGAAAGGCAAAATTTCAGAGAAACTTGCTTGCTATGTTGAGTACTCCAATCTTTCTTTTATAGGTGGTGGGTTCCCTACGGAGAGATTTTAAAGAATATGATTACAGGATTATAATTTCACCAAGGCAGTTTGGGGAGAGATGAGTAACAATGGAAAATGGGATTATAGCCGATTACTATAATCATACAGATGAGAAATAATCATGGCTTGAGTTAAGGAAATTAGTGGAATTAGAAAAGGGAAAGCCAGGGACATAATTTAAAACACAATTTGTAAAATCATCAAGAGGTGACGACTGATGAGTTTTTGGAAGCATTAATGAATATAAGGAGTTAAAGATAGATCCCAGGTTGAGGGCTGTGTGTATAGTATTGACAGCAACATAGAAAAAGGATATGAAAGGAACACAAAAAAAAAGGTTGATGGGAGAGAAGAAGAGACTATCTTGAGTAAAATTTTGGAAATGCTGAGTTTATGTTGTCTATGATAAATATAGATTAGCATGTGCAGTTGAAAATCTCAGTTTGAAACTTGGTAGAGAGAGATAGTTTGAAATGTAGAATAAAATAATTAGTGGAATTAGTAGAATTTCACAGATGTAAAATTCAAGCATGCCATTTAACACTACCCATGTGGTGTATATATATATTTTTTTTTGTCTGAAACACACAGACTATATTTTCAAATGAAACAAAATTATTGAAGATATGGAGATTCATCTTAAATACAGAAAAAGTGCCATAAATCTGACTCTAAGAGTAGACATCACCTTTAAAGAAAAAAAAAAAGGCAACAAAATGTAAAGACAAAACTAGTATTTCCTGGCATCTCCAAACTAAAACTAAAATACGTATCTCAGTTCTGTCAGAGCTCATATGACAGCTAAGTACAGGTAAATTTATGTATTATATTCTGATGGGGAATCTGACATGTACAACACATGATAAAAATAGCCCAATGACACATTCTCATTATCATCATCTTCCTCATAGTTAATACTATGACTCTCTGAGGCACGTTCAGGTTACATTTGTGCACAGTGTTTTACAGGCCACTTACTAGTGGTGAGATTAGAATTTGAATCTGGGGCATCTGACCCCAGCTCTATTGTATGGAATTTCATCAATTGAGACCTTGTGAAGTCCCTGAAGTTTAAATTGACTTATCTCTAGAAGAGTGGGCGGGGATGAGGAAAATGGCATCCAAACTGGTAGTGAAAAGATGTGCAGAAGCCATAGGTCCTTAAATAACTAGATATAACCAGATATTTCTAAAATAAAATGCATTGTTAGGAATATGCAGAGAAAGAGTTAATTAGATGAGCTTGGCTACTAGAATAAATTTATAACAAATACTTCATAGCTCAATTTGATGTTAGATTAGGCAACTGTCACCAACATTTTATTTACAAAATACAGGGAGGGAAATAAAATCAATACATAAGGTAACAGCAAAATTTGACCTCAAAGCTGAAGGATAAGTCTTCTCTAACATGTAAAAAAAAAAAAAATGTAGGTGACAAATGAGTCATTTGTGGAAATAACCTACTTCAAAAAAAATTTTTTTTACATAACTGGTAGGCCGTATTTTAGGGGGATGCCCAAATTCCAAAAGGTAGTTCCTAGAGCTCAGGATATTAATGTGCCTAGTCCTATAAACCAATTCCTAGCATGCGATATTTGAATTTTTAATAGTAATATATTTGAAATTGAAAGGAACAGAAACTACTGTGAGAAACTTCTCTCTTGCTTGTTTCCTGTACATCCAGCATTTTATGTTGTGTTTCCTGAGAAGCAGATACCTAGACAAGGACTCTTGTTTCTGTGGTTCACTGGGAGGGACCCTGCAAGGTTATGGGAAAGTAAGAGGAAGGGGAAGGAAATCAGAACAGGGTGTGTTAGAGACCACTGACTGCTGAGGTTAGGAAGCTGGGGATGCTATCCTCACACTTCCATTTCTCCCTGCTGGGGTCTTCCCAGAGTGCTAATGCCCTAGTACTTGTATTGTGCCTTAAGGGCAGGTCTGGAGAGAAAACCGTCAAGTGGAGAATGCTCAGGTAATTTCAATAGATAAGAGGAACACTTTAAAAAAAAAAAAAAAAAAAAGAGGGCCCTGACATAGTTGATTACATTGTTTCCCCTCTTCAAACAATGCACTGATAATTTATATAAATGTGTTTGACTGTCTTTCTGTATGTATCCTTCCTACACATGATAGAGGGATAGGTACCAACCTACGAAGTTGTTATCAATTCACATTGCCATCAGCAATGCATGAATGTCTATTTTCCTTGATTCTTAAAACCTTTTCAGATTTTAGGGAAATTTTAGCCTTTTTATTTTCTGAGTCTCATATATATCATTGTATGTCCATATATTCCCTTATACCTATATCATCTATATTTTAGTTTATCTTTGCCTTTAAACTTTGCTTGTGTTGGCTTATGTACAATTTAAAATATTTTCCCTTTATTTCTTATGGCAATTTTACAGTTTTATTTTCTGAAAATTTTAAAATTTAATTTAATTTTAAGTTCTAGGATACATGTGCAGGACGTGCAGGTTTGTTACATAGGTAAATGTGTTCCATGATGGTTTGCTGTACCTATCAACCCATCACCTAGGTATTAAACCCCACAGGCATTAGCTATTTATTTTAATGCTCTCGCTCCCCCCATCCCCACTGACAGGCCCAGTGTGTGTTGTTCCCCTCCCTGTGTCCATGTGTTCTCATTGTTCAGCTCTCACTTATAAGGGAGAACATGTAGTGTTTGGTTTTCTGTTGTTGTGTTAGTTTGCTGAGGATAAAGGCTTCCAGCTCCATCTATGTCCTTGCAAAGGACATGTTATCATTCCTTTTTATGGCTGCATAGTATTCCATGGTGTATACGTACCACATTTTCTTTATCCAGTCTATCATTGATGGGCATTTGGGTTGATTTCATGTCACTGCTATTGTGAATAGCGCTGTAATGAACATACATGTGCATGTATCTTTATAATAGAATAATTTATATTCCTTTGGATATATATCCAGTAATGGGATTGCTGGGTCAAGTGGTATTTCTGGTTCTAGGTCTTTGAGGAATTGCCACAATAGTTGAACTAATTTACATTCCTACCAACAGTGTAAAACTGTTCCTATTTCTCCACAGCCTCACCAGCATGTTTTTTCTTGACTTTTTAATAATCACCATGCTGACTGGCATGAGATGGTATCTCATTGTGGTTTGGATCTGCATTTCTGTAATGATCAGTGATGTTGAGCTTTTATTCAGATGTTTGTTGGCCAGATAAATGTCTTCTTTTGAGAAGTATCTGTTCATGTCTTTTGCCCACTTTTAATGGGGTTGTTTATTTCTTGTAAATTTAAGTTCCTTTTAGATTCTAAATATTAGAACTTTGTCAGATGGATAGATTGCAAAAATTTTCTCCCATTCTATAGCCTTTCTGTTCACTCTGATGATAGTTTCTTTTTCTGTGCAGAAGCTCTTTAGTTTAATTGGACCCCATTTGTCAATTTTTGCTTTTGTTGCAATTGCTTTTGTTGTTTCTGTCATGAAATCTTTGCCTGTGCCTATGTCCTGAATGGTATTGCCTACATTTTCTTCTGGGGCTTTTTTAGGTTTTACATTTAAGTCTGTAATCCATCTTGAGTTAATTTTTGTATAAGGCGTAAGGAAGGGGTCCAATTTCAATTTTGTGCATATCGATAGGCAGTTTTCCCAGCACTATTTATTAAATAGGGAATCCTTTTCCCATTGCTTGTTTTTGTCAGGTTTATCAAAGATCAGATGGCTATAGATGTGTGGTCTTATTTCTGAGATCTCTATTCTGTTCCATTGGTCTATGTTTTTGTTTTTGTGCCAGTACCATGCTGTTCTGGTTACTGTAGCCTTGTAGTATAGTTTGAAGTTGGAAAATGTGATGCCTCCAGCTTTGTTCTTTTGCTTAGGATTTTCTTGGCTATATGAGCTCTTTTTTGGTTCCATATGAATTTTAAAGTAGTTTTCCTAATTTTGTGAAGAACATCAATGGTAATTTAATGGGAATAGCATTGCCCCTTTCCTTGAAAACTGGCACAAGACAAGGATGCCCTTTCTCACTACTCTTATTCAATATAGTATTGGAAGTTCTGGCCACAGCAATCAGGCAAGATAAAGAGATAAAGGGTATTCAAATAGGAAGAGAGGAAGTCAAAACTGTCTCTGTTTGCAGATGACATTATCCTATGTCTAGAAAACCCCATTGTCTCAGCCCAAAAGCTCCTTAAGCTGATAAGAAACTTCAGCAAAGTCTCAGGATACAAAATCAATGTGGAAAAATCACAAGCATTTGTATACACCAACAATAGACAAGCAGAGAGCCAAATCATAAATGAACTCCCATTCACAACTGCTACAAAGACAGTAAAATACCTAGGAATACAGCTAACAAGGGAAGTGAAGGGCCTCTTCAAGAAGAGCTATAAATCACTGCTCAAGGAAATAAGAGAGGACATAAACAAATGCAAAAACATTCCATGCTCATGGATAGGAAGAATCAATATCGTAAAAGTGGTCTTATATTTTCTGAAAATTTTAAACCTTGATTTATTTGTAATTTTGTCTGGGAAAAGCTGTGTCTTATGAATCCAAATTTATTTTTTTAAATGGCTCCCCAGTTACCACAATATATAAAATAACTCATCTTTCACTCAATAAATTGAAAGGTCACCTTTATCATACTTGAAATTCTCATATATGTTCGCCCTGTTTTAAATTATTTCTGTGTTTCTCTCTGTAATCTTTCTATTTCTCTATGCTGGTACCAATACATATTTTGGTACCAGAAAGGTGCTACCAGCATCCCAAGGTGTCCAGCTTGTAGACAGCCTGTCGTGGGACTTCTCAACCTCCATAATTGTGTAAGCCAAGTTCCCTAATTAATTCATAAATTCTCTCTCTCTCTCTCTTGCTCGGTCTTGCTCTACTGTTTGTTATGTCTGGAAAACTCGGACTAATACACTATTTAACACCTTGTTTGAATTTCTCAGGAAAACTGAAATGCTGAGTTTTTCCTTAAATCCTTCCCTTCTCAAAATTCTTTTAGCTTATTTTTTTTGTCCTTATATTATTCCAGAGAGATTTCACATTTTTGTCATATTTTAAATAATGTTTGCTTTGGATGTGGATTAAGATTGCATTAAGACTCTATATTTATAATATGTATCTTTCTAACATTAAAATCATTGAAATTATCTTTTTATAACTGTTTCAGTATGAAATGATTCTACTTTTTAGAGTTGTCTAACACTTTTTAAAATTAGAAGAGTTTTCTTTAGTGTTTTGCAGGTAATTTCACTAATAATTAAATCTCTCTTCATTCCTTGGTTTCATTACTTGAGTGAATATTCCATTTACCTCAACATTAAGTTATATGGAAGTCATTATTTTTATCACATAAAAATAACAACTTATTGCCTTATTCCTAGAAAGGCTGACTATATAAATTTGGTCATATAGCAGAAAAAAGCTATACTGAGTGAATTGCTTAATTTTTCTAACTGCATAGTATAATTTATACCAAAATGAGAAATATTTCCATTGAATATAGAAAATTCTAGAATATTACAATTAAGGAATTATCCTTTTTTCAGTGGGAAAGATAAAATATTATCTGAAAATAAGGTAATAAGTCTTGCTGTGCCTTTAACTTTCCAGGCAAAGATCAAACTGTCTACCAACCAGAAATATTAGAGAGGTAAACAGTGTTATTGCATTTCTGACAATTTATTTTTTAAACATTTGCACTTATCATTAATGTAATAAGGCACCTGATATGGTGTTTTCCTATGCAAAGACAATATATACCACTTAAGGGTAGCTGTCACTTTTGACTGTGACAAAAAAATAATAATAATAATAAATTAAAAAAAAAAAACACCTGAGGTTAAAAGTATCATTGCCTAACAAAATCTCTGTGTAATGACATCAGGCTTTAGGAAAATCTCTATGGACAAAAATAATATACAGTGGTTTAGGAACAAGTTTTACTCTTTATTTTTAGTATTTTATTATGACAAGAGCAGTTCATTTTCCTACTTTCAAACTACTTTGTGCAGAATAAAACAGATTTAAAAATAAAAGAAAACCATCATACTAAATTCTCTTTTTGCCTAAAGAATAATTAAATTGTATATGCAATTGAGAAAAACAGCCCAAATTATCAATAGCCCTTATTCTGAAATACTGTAGAGAAAGGGAATATGATTTTAACTTGGCAGAAGTTTGATGTATGTGAGTTCAACAACCACATCAAATTTCAACATAAACATGAAAGCAAGAAATGTAGTCAACAATTTTCTTTTAAAGTACATTAACTGGCAAACAGAAGTCAAAATTGGTAGTAAAAGAGTACTACGCATACACAAGTTACTAGATATTCATTGCTACCACAAGCCTTTATTATACATTCTAAGCCCTTTCTCTGCTAGGTGATGCGGCTTCAAATATGATTAAAATAAGCTATGTGTTGCTCAATATACGGGTGAGTGATCTATAAGTATTATAGAAAAAAACAGATTCATTATATAATTATAAGTTAAACATTAATCAAAATGTAGCATTTATTTTGGCCAAGTTTTTAAGTGAACTAGTTAATAGTCTAAATAAAGATATTCATATAAAAGCTTTAATTTAATTAATATTTGTTGGTCATGTCCTGAGTAGCAAGGAGAAATATGTGAGAAAACTGCCAGATTATGGCACAGTATAAGAGCACTGGATCAAATGGCTAACAGAATAGTCTAGGAGCCTGATGGCCTGGGTTTGAAACCTAGTTCCAATACTTATAAGCTGTTTGAACATGATAGACAAGCTATTTATTCTTTATCTGCCTCAATTTCCTTATCACTAACTTGAGAAAAATAATTATTTCATAGTTCTATTGTGAGAATAAATGAGTCTATATTGGTAAACCAATTTGAGTACTGCCTGATACATAGTAAGAACTATGTGTTTGTTAAATGAATTGAATAATATTAAATAGGTAAAAAGGATCAAAGAGGTAATACTTAAATCTGCTTAGTCAGCATGCTGAATTCATAGTGATCCTTCAGTAAATTCTAGAAGACAATTTGACAAATAGCAGGGAAAAACATTCTGGATTGTGGAATAAGTAGAGAAAATGGAAAATATTTGAAGTTAAAATGTGCTTCCTACCTAGCATTTCTCATTCTCTCTTTTTTAAATACCCTGCCAAGATCAGATAACCTCAAAGTAATGGGAGAAGATACACAAGTGATCATTGCCAGGACTGAAGACTGTTCCTAGGACTACTATTTGGATCAACAGAAGCTGAAAATGAGAATATCAAAGGCTGGGCAGATAGTTTCACTCACGGGCATTGATCAGGATGGCTGGAGGTCACCTGCTGCAAGAAGCACTGTGTTTTCTGTGCAGCTTAATGAGAGGGAGCATATCATTTCAGGACTCTCACAGGATGCAGTGTTACTGAGAATCTCATGAGGCAAATCCTAAATGCCAGGATAAATTTGCAGAGATAGAACTACTACTTTTTTTTTTTAAATTTCCTTTTGTTATGACTTGAACGTGTAAGGTCATGCTTCGAGCCTGCTATCCTATAGCTCTCAATTCTAAACTAGTTGCAAGTATATTGGACTTCTTGCCCTGACCCCTGTCCCTTTGATAGGCCAGGTGAATCCAAATATGCCCGAGTGCATCTCACAGAATACATCTGATTCTAGGATGGGACTAGAGGTCTCCTGGTATTTAGAACTGCAAAATGAGGTAGCAAAAGCTCTAGTCATATGCCTCCCATTTATTTGACATATCATCACAAACATGTCCATAATTTACCAAGGTTGATCCACTGCCTACTACATTTGTGTGTGAAAATGTGTCATGCTTTGTGGAAAAAGTGAAAATAGTTATCTGTATGGTGGGTGCACTTTGAGTGACTGGGGTGGGGTATGAGCACTGTCTTACAAAAAAGTCAAGAGTAATATCTGACAAAGATACTGTCCTTTACCCTGGATACCAACAGATGTTCTTGTTTTCATTCAAAATTACAATTATCATTGAAGTGCACAGTGGCTTTTAATTGAGACAGATAAAACGTAACTTCAAGTATTGAAGTAATTTTTTTTTACTGTTTTTAAGACAACTGAAGATCTGAGCAATTCTTGGCATGACTTTTCTCCATTCAGTTTAGATTTTTGTGATAAAAGGCGACTATAATAAAGAGAATGGTAAAGGAAAATATCTAACATGGAATTTATATCTAATCTTCTTGAAAGTTATGAACACTTGTTAATCCTTAATTTCAACTCTTGAGATTTCATCTGATTTGAGATATTCCTTTGAACATTCAGAGTATAAAATGTTTCATATGTGGTGAAGGAATCCTAATTTTCCTATTATACTATAAGAATGAAACAGGTGGCAAATAAATTAAACAACGGTATGCAATCTATTATTCAGTAGGTTCAGTTAAACCACCCTATTCTCTAAAGGTCATGCCTTCCTTGTGAAATATGTTGAATTAAAGCTTTCCTTACCAACTGAGGCACAACCTAAGAAGAGTTAATTTACAATTTTTATCCTGGGTTTCAAGGAACTTACATATGATTTGTCAATTTATAAGAAGAAAACAAATTCCCTGAAATACACTTCCTTTTTAACTAACAAAATTAAATCATAGGCATAATTTTGTAGCAAAATCATCAAATCTTACAAATATATTCTACATCATGGACGTCATCTTCTCTTTATAATGACTCTAATGCTGATGGACATTCAGTGTTCTTAAAACTTCCTTACACATAAAAATAAACAACAATAAGAAAGATACTCATCTATTCCTCTCAAATAGCTGCTTCAGAACTTCTAGGAAGCTTGGAAACATGAAAAAATCTTTCCAACTTAAAAGAAAGCAAACTCTCCCACATTTATTTCCTTTTGGGCCAGTTTTAGGCAAAGCGATGCTCTTTAATCCTTGGAGCATCTGGTGTCAACCTAAATTAATTTTTATCTTACCTGAGTTTTGAAAGGAATAGTTTACCTAAATGATTAAGAAATATGCTCTCATATGGCCATATATTCCTTACATAGGAAAATGATGGGGTCTAAAAATTATGACACACACACACACTCCCCACTACACACACACACACACACTCCCCCCTACACACACACACACACACACACACACACATCCTGATCATCAGTGCAAAACCGTCCAGCCAAAAGGAGTTCAATTTTAAGAGAAACTGAAGTTTGGTAGACTATATCATTATAAATCCAGAAACATTCTATTTTGTAAACATTGAGAAAAAATTTATAAGATCATCAACTGGCAGTGTTTTAAAAATGCATATTAAATAAATGAATATAATCACTTCAAAATCAGAAAATCTAGTGGGAAAAATGCAATGATTTTTTCAAGTTAAAGAAGAATTTGATAAAGTTAGAATTTTAATTTCAAATTCCTAATCATATCCTATATATTTATTAGGAGTAGATTAATGATTATTTTCTTTCTTGACATTTAGACAATATATTTCAGTGGTTACACTTTTATTTATGGTGATTTGGTAGAGATTGGAATTTTTTTTAGAAGAAAATCAATCTAAAAACCTTTCAATATATATGTGTGTGAATTATTGTGAATAATGGTTACATTTATTACTAAACAATACACTAAATAAGAAATAATAACTAAATAATATTTCTTTTTTTTAGGATTAACAGAAAATTTTCTTCTGTCTTATATATTTGGTAATTAAGATTGAATCATGCATTCCTATCACATTATAGACAATTTAGGTGGCTTAAGTTTAAGAAAACTATTTAAAGAAGGATCCAGGAGTATAGTTCCTTTTTTAAAAGTAATTGTCAAGTAAGGGAGTAGCTGTCACACTGTAATTAATTATTTACTAAGTTGTCCCCATGTCCTAGAAACAGGCATCTAAGAGTGAAACGAAATGCTATGATTCCTTTGGCCTAGTAATCATTGTTATCTAACACATGCATATGCTTGGGGAAAAGTGCAATCATAGCCACACTGAGATGGACGTGTAGAAGTTCTAACTCTGTCATTTCTTATGGAAATTAACCAGAAAGCTTTATTGAAACTCACTCATCTCTAGGTTTGAAATTCCCATTCTGGGGAAAATACATCAGACAATAACAGGAATGGAAATATCATGTTTTGGTACAACATTAAACTCTTACATAAGGCAAATTTGGCATTGCGTTTGATTTAAAAATCTATCAAAGGATTTGGAAAAGGAGTAAAAATTTAGTAGTATTTAAAATTTCTTTAAAATAATAACCCACCCAGGCACGGTGGTTCATGCCTGTAATCCCAGCACTTTGGGAGGATGAGGTGGGCAGACCATGAGGTCAAGAGATCGAGACCATTCTGACCAACATGGTGAAACCCTGTCTCTACTAAAAATACAAAAATTAGCTGGGTATGGTGGTGTATGCCTGTAGTCCCAGCTACTCAGGAGGCTGAAGCAGGAGAATCACTTGAACTGGGGCAGTGGAGGTTGCAGTGAGCCAAGATCATGCAACTGCACTCCAGCCTGGGCAACAGAGCGAGACTCTGTCTCAAAAAAATAAAAAATAAATAAAATAATAATCCAAGTCATTTATTAAGATGTTGAAGAGGGTGCAAGAAACATGAATTCTTCAACATATCATTCCCATGTCAAGATATAGTATGCCATATATAATGCTTTATAGTTAATCCATCTTGAGATATGGACTTTACTACTATTTTTCTAGAAAAACCAACTTTATTGTTACTTTCTACCTTCTGGGACCTTCATATTAATACTACACGGATTGTTGTAAAGCATGTAAACTCCATGAGTTTTACACAATCACCATAAGCAAAGTCATATTTCTTTAATTAAATTTAGAGCTAGAGAAGAGATTCACCTAAAAATTGACATCAAAGGTAAAAATCAAGGAAGGAGGCTTCAAGATGGCTGACTGAAGGCAGCCAGAACTAGCCTTTTCCATAAAGAACAATCAAAATAATGAATAAGTAAGCATGCTTAAAATAGTGCATTTAAGAGAGAACACTGAAATTGAATAGAAACATGACAGGAAATACCTGAAGCATGGAAGGGGAGGAAAATGAGGCAGCTCACTCAGTTGGTGTTGGCTGGGAGCCAGGAGTGGCTCCCCGGTGTGTGAAATGGTGAGAGATCCCCAGAAGTCCACATTCCACTGTGAACTCCTACAACCCTAGTGACAGGAGAGTCTCTCAACCCTCACAGGGCCTCTGACTAGACTAGGGACCTGCCTGGAGACCACATGATGGGATTACTCCAAAGAGAGAGTTCATGCTGAGTCCCCAAACCTAAGCAGCTGCACTATGTTGCCATTTTAAGAATCCAGCCCTCACCAGACTGCATTCTTCTCTGGGGCCCAATAGACCCTGCTTTTCCATATTCCTGGAGCCCCAGTGATATTCCCCTGTGTTCACCCAGAGGACTACAGTGGGATGATGCTGCTTGGACCCAGTTGGGTATTTAGCACTCTAGCATACAGTGTCCTGAACCCCAGAGAAAAGGTGGTGCAGTGCACTGAGTAGGCTGCCCCTGAGATAAAGAGAGCCAAAGCATGTGCTCCCTATAAAACCTGCCTGTCTGTGACTGCTGCCATTGACAGCAATCCTGCTACCCCTCACAACAGGGCCATGGTACACTTGCACTCATCCCAAAGATTGGATTTGTTTGCTATCCTCACTGCCACTGCTGCTGCTGGGAATAAAAGTGTGCACTCCCCAGAGCCTGAGAGCCAACTGCTTATGTCTATTGCCACTAACAGCAACCCACCCCCACTCAGCAGGATGGCTCCTATGTACTTGCATGCTCTCTATAAACTGGCTTTCTCCACTGCTATCATTGCTACTGCCACCTCAGCATTCTTCAAGGGGAATGAGGATCACTTTGCACTGCCCACCTTAGCCTGTACCCATCCGCATCACCAGGAAAACAGAACAGGCATACCTTCCCTTGCACTGCCCCCATCCCAGTTCCTGAGCACACTGTCTAGTGTCCTGGGGATAGTGCTAGACTATCCAACACTGCTGGTATCTGCACACTTCTCCCAGGGGCCTGAGTACAGGCCTACCTGGTTTGCTGCTACCACTGGAGCCATCATCTAGTAGAATATGCCTCCTGGGGGTCTGGGGACCGGCCCACCCAGCCCACTGCAAACACCATTAATAACAGTATGAGTCACTAGGGAGCCCAAAGTTTGTCCTGTCTCTGCTACTGCCACCACCCATGCCACATACACTGTCTAGAGGACCTAGGACCCACACAGCTGCCTGGCCAACCACTTCCACTGCTGGCATCTGAGCAAGCTGCATGAATATCCAAGAATCAACTAGCTCAGATCTGCTAATACTGGTGCCCACATTCACCATCCAGGGTCCCAAGGATAGGCATGATTGGCCCACTGCTGCCACCACTGGGGCCTGAACATTGGCCCAAATGATATCCCCATCCCCAGCAAAACCTCACCACAGCCTCCAATGAAAACCACAGACTAACACACTGAGGAAATCATGGACACCACTGACTCTGTGTATAGTCAAATAAATAAAAAAACAAAGCTAAAATGAAGTGACCTATGCAGCCAATACCATCAACACATCTTCAGTAAAAAGTCTTCTCATATGAAAGCCAATCCAAAAACTTGGAAAAAGTGACTGTTGCACCAATGCACAGATACAACATAAAGACAAGAAACATTAAAAAAAAGGAAATGTTTACAAGGATTACAATGAAAAATAAATTGATAAAAGTAAAAAAAAAAAAATTCAAAATATTGATTTTAAGAAACCTCAGTGACATACAAGAAAAACACAAACAAACAATACAAATAAATCAGAATATCAATTAGGGATATGGATGATACATTTACCAAAGAGACAGATATCATAAAAAAGAACCAAACAGAAATCAGGGAATTGAAGCATTCAATGAATGAAATAAAAAATACATTTAGAGCTTCAAAAATAGACTGGATCAAGCAGAAGAAAGAATTTCAGAACTGAAGACAAGCCTTTTGAAATTACTATGTCAGACAAAAAAGGAAGAATAAAAAAGCATGAAAAAAGTCTATGTGACATATGGACCATGATGAAACAAACGAATATCCAAATTTTGGGTGTTCCAGAAGGTAAGGAGGAGACCAAAGTCATAGAAAACCAATTTAGTGAAATAACAGGTAAAAACTTCTGAGGTCTAGCAAAATATTTAATCATCCAGATATAGAAACTCAGAGATCCCCAAATAGCTATTACCCAAAAAAGTCTTCTACATGATACATTATAGTCAAACTGTCAACAAAGACAATTAAAGAATTACAAAAACAGTGAGAGAAAAGCATCTATTCATATTTAAGAACCCCCCCATCAGACTAACATCAGATTTCTCTAAAGAAACCTTATAGGCTATGTGAGAATGGAAAAATATATTCAATGTTCTGAAAGAATAATATACCCAGCAAAGTTATCCTTCATAAATGAAGGAGAAATAAAGTTTTTACCAGAGAAGCAAAGACTAAGGGAATTCACTACTACTAGACCAACCAGATAATAAATGCTTAAGTCCTACACTTGGAAACAAAAGGACAATATTATTATAAAAATACATGAATGTATAAAATGCACTGGTAGAGCAATCACACAAATGAAGATAAGGAGGGACTCAAATGTTACTGTTACAGAAAATCACCAAACTGCAATGATAAACAATGAGAGAAACAATGACAAAAAACAACAAAATAAGTACAAAATATGAAAGGCAATTAACAAAATAACAGAAGTAACTAATTACATATCAATAATAACTAAATGTAAACAGATTAAATTTTCTACTGAAAAATATAGACTGGTTGAATGAATTTTAAAAATGACACAACTATGTCATGCAAAGAAGACACACACTTCACTTGTAAAGACACATAGAGACTGAATGCAGAGAAATGGAAAAAGACCTTAATTATAAACAAATAGAAACCAAGCAAGCCAAAGGGGCTGTACTTATGATAGCTGTCCATCTGGAGTGGCCACTGCAAAGATGCTGGCTGAAGTGGGGGAGGCATGGCTGGGGGCTGTGTGCTTTGTGGATTCAGTGGGGGCTGAGAAAAGGTGGGAGCCCTGCCCACTATGAATTGGCACAGCAGGAGCCCTGCGCTCCCACGTGCAGCTGCAGCTGCCCAGCTGTGGCTCCAGACCTGGGCATCCCTGTGCTCTTGGGGCCCAGAAAGCCTCTCCTGCTCCCACAGGCTTGGAAGTACCAGCTCCTGCTCCCTGGCCTCCCCCTGCTCCTGACACCAGCAACAATTTTGGAGCAATGTTGTAGCTGAACCTGGGTGCTGTTGTGCCCCAGCTGGGGTGGTTTGCACGCTTGAGTCAGCCCCATGCCACCTCGGTCCCCAACTCCCATACTTTGGGAACTGATGAACACGGGAGGCAGGCCGGGGAGGCTGAAGGTGGCTTGGCACAGGCTTGCAGGCACTCCTCGGCATGGACAGCCAGGGATCCATGGACATGTTGATGACAGCAGGAGGCAGTTGTGTTCCTGGGTGGGAAGGGGCAGGTCCCCAGTGAAACCCCTCCTGTGAGCCAGGAATTACCTGAAGCCTGGGGCCTGGGCTGCCCATTCCAAGTGGAGTCCACACTCCAGAGTGGGAACTTATGGGCTTTTTCCAGGCCCACCCATGGCCACTCATGGATCCATCAGGACAGGCTTCCTCCCTTCTGAGCCCATAAAAACCCTGGAATCAGACTCACACAGATGTCACGACTACCTGCTGCATGAATGGAGCTACCTACTTTGGGTCTCATTGACTCTTTGGGGTGACCTGCCTGTAGAAAGGAGCTCCCCTCCATGAGTCTCCTCTCCACAGAGAGCTGGACGCTCACTGGGATGACCTGCCTGCCAACAGAAAGGAGCTACCCATCATGAGTGTCCTCTTTGCTGAGAGTTGGATGCTAGCCAGGATGACCTGCCTGCCAAAAGGAGCAACCTACCCTGGGTCTCCTCTCCGCTGAGAGCTGGACACTCACTGGGATGGCCTGCCTGCCAATGGAACATCATGAGTGTCCTCTTTGCTGAGAGGTGGACGCTAGCCAGGATGATCTGCCTTTGAAAAGGAGCTACCTATCACGGGTCTCCTCTCTGCTGAGAGCTGGACGCTTGCTGGGATGACCCGGCTGAGGAATGGAGCTGCCCACCATGAGTCTCTGCTCCACTGAGAGCTGGGCCCTTGCTGGCATGCCCTGCCTGTGAAAAGGAGCTATCCACCACAGGTCTCCTCTCCACTGAGAGCTGGAAGCTCACCAGGATGACCTGCCTGAAGAAAGGAGTTAGACACCATGGGTCTTCTCTTCACTGAGAACTGGATGCTCGGTGAGATGACCTGCCTGCAAAAAGGTGCTACCCACCACAGGTCTCCTCTCCACTGAGAGCTGGACGCTCACTGAGATGACCTGCCTGAGGGAAGGAGCTACCCACCACGGGTCTCCTCTCTGCTGAGAGCAGGACGCTCACCGGGATGACTTGCCTGAAGAAAAGAGCTACCACCACGGGTCTCCTCTCCACTGAGAGCTGGATGCTCACCCAGATGACCTGCCTGCAAAAAGCAACTACCTACCACGGGTCTCCTCTCCCCTGAGAGCTGGACGCTAGCTGGGATGACTGCCTGTGAAAAGGAGCTACCCACCACAGGTCTCCTCTCCGTTGTGAGCTGGATGCTTGCTGGGACAACCTGCCTGTGGAAAGAAGCTATCCACCTATCCATCACGGGTCTCTTCTGCTGAGAGCTGAACCGTCGTCAGGACGACCTGCTTGCCGAAAGGAGCTGCCTCAGGTCTCCTGAGAGCTGTTCTGTTACTTAATGAAGCTCCTCTCTGCCTTGCTTACCCTCCACTTGTCCACATACCTCATTCCTTTTGTATGCAGGACAAGAACTTGGGACCCGCAAAATGGCAGGACGGAAAGAGTTGTAACATAAACAGGGCTGAAACTTTTCTCCCCCATTTACCACATTGTGAGTGACAAGGAGAGAAGAGCTGTGGTCCTTCTAGGAGCGCAGACCTTGGGGCTCCCTGAGCCAGGGCTCTGACACGCCGTAACACCCTCTTTGGGGCTCTGCGGTTCCTGGCATCTCCGAGCTTTCGGGTGCCATCAGGTTCCCCTTGTTCAGACACTGGTGCCCGCAGCGGAAGCCGCTTGTGGTATGTCTGCTTCAGCTGCAACCTCACACAAAGCTGGTGCTTGTGCTGGTGCCTGGAGCTGCCCAACCTGCTACAGCTGGTGCACCTGGCTGTGCGCAGCGGCTGGACCCTGTGCTTGTTTGCTCACATACCCCCCACTGCTCCGTGCCTGGCTTGCCCTTGGCAGGTATGGGATCCACGCTGGTAGCTCAAGCAGAGTGCAACCTGCCAGGCACAAGTCCAGCAGGCACAAGCAAAATCTAAGCAGAGGCACAGCTGGCCACAGAGGTTTCCGGCTGGTGAAGTGACACCCTAAAGATCCCATGACACTTATGTAAGATAAAACAGACTTTAAGTCAAAAGCAGTAAAAAGAGACAAGGTCATTATAGAATAAAGGGATCAATACAACAAGAGGACATACCAATTCTAAATATATATGTACCCACACTGGAGGACTCAGATACATAAAACAAATATTAGATCTCAAATAAAAGCATAAATTTAAGAACCTCAAAAACAATAGATTAAGCAGAAGAACGTATTTCAGAACACAAAGATAGATCTTTTCAAATAATTATTTTAGAACAAAATATAAGAAAAAGAACAAAAAAGAAAGAACAAACTCTATGTAGTATATTGGAAACCCTAAAATAAACAAATATCAAGTTGGCTCCAATACAATAACAGGTGGGGACCTCAACACCCACTCTCAGCATTAGGCAGATCATATTGACAGAAAATTAACAAAGAAACAATGACCAGAGGGATCTAACAGACATTTACAGTACCATTTTCTAACAGCAACACACATTCATCTCATCAGCACATGGAATATTCTCCACGATAGATTATACGTAGGTAACAAAACAAGCTTCAACAAAAATGTAAAAATTGAAATCTTCTCAACTATCTTATCAGACAACAATGAAATAAAACTAGAAATCAATAACAAGAGAAACTTTCAAAATAGTATGAACATATAGAAATTAAACAACATGCTCCCAATTGACCATTGGGTCAATAATGAAATGAGGAAAGAAATTTAAAAAAAAGCATCTCGAAACAAATGAAAGTCAAAACACAACATGCCAGCCAAAGCACAGCTAAGAGGAAAGTTTATAGCAACAAATGCATGCATTAAAAGAGTAGAAAGACTTCAAGTGAACAATCCTAATCATGAACCTCAGGGAACTGAAAAAGTAAGAATACATTAAACCCTAAATGGTTAGAAGAAAAGCAATAAAGATCAGAGCAGAAATAAAAAGAATGAGACTAAAAACACAATACAAAGGATCAGCAAAACAAAAAGTTATTTTTTTGTTTAAAAAAAAAAGATGAGCAAAATCAATAAATTAACCACTACCTAGACTAACTAAAGGAAAAAGGACCCCAAAAACTAGAATGGGTAGCGAAAAAGGAGTCATAACAACTGAGACCTCAGAAATACAAAAGATCATCAAAGACTGTAATAAACAACTATACATAACCAAACCAGAAAACCTAGGATAAATAGGTAAATTTTTGATAACACAACCAACCAAGATTGAATTAGAAAGAAATAGAAAATCTAAACAGAGAGAGAATCAGTTATAAAAAGTCTCCCCACATGGGTTTCAATACCCTACTAACAGAGTTAGATCACCAATGCAGAAAACTAACGAAATTCTGGATGTAAATTCAACACTTGACTAATCAGACCTAATAGACATTTAGAGAAAACTCCACCCATCAGCCACAGACTATACATTCTTCTCACTTGCACATGGAACACACTCCAAGATCCACCACATACTTAGACGCAAATCAGTGTCAATAGATTCAAAAAAATTGAAATCCTAACAACCAATTTCTACCAATAAAAATCAATACCAAGTAGATCTCTCAAAACCACACAATTACATGGAATTTAAACAACTTACTCCAGAATGACTTTTGAGTAAACAACAAAATTAACACAGAATTTAAAAAATTCTTTGAAATAAATGAAAACCGGGACCCATCATACCAAAATCTCTGGAATGCAGCAAAAACATTGTTAAGGAGAAAGTTTGCAGTACTAAATGCCCAGCTAAAATAGTTAGATCTCAAATTAACAATCTAACATCACACCTATGAAAACTAGATAAAGAAGAAGAAATTAACCTCAAAGCTAGCAGAAGAAAAGAAATAACTAAAATCCGTGCAGAACTAAACAAAATTGAGATCCAAAAATTCATACAAAGAAGCAACAAAAATAAAAGTTGGTTCTTTGAAAGGATAAACAAGATCAATAGACCACTAGCCGAGAGCCAAATCAAGAACACAATCTGATTTACAGTAGCTGCATACTCACAAAAAATAAAATCCATAGGAATACAGGTAACCAAGGAGGTGAAAGATCTCTACAAGCAGAACTACAAAAAACAGCTGAAAGAAATCAGAGATGACACAAACAAATGGAAAGAGATTCCATGCTCATGGATTGGAAGAATCAATAACATTAAAATGGCCATACTTCCCAAAGCAACATACAGATTCATTGTTATTCCTAAAAAAGTACCAAATTAGGAAAAACTATCATAAAATGCATATGGAACCAAAAAGAACTGAAATAGACAAAACAATCCTAAGCAAAAAGAACAAAGCCAGAAGCATCACATTACCCAACTTCAAACAATAATATAAGACTACTGTAACCAAAAGAGTATGGTACTGGTACAAAAACAGACACAAAGACCAATGGAACAGAATACAGAACCCCTAATAAAGTTGTACACTTCAGCCATCTGTTCTTTGATGAACTCAATACAAATAAACAATGGGGAAAGGACTCACTATTCAATAAATAGTGCTGGGATGGGTGGCTAGCCATATGCAGAAGAATGAAATTGGATACCTATCTTTCACCTTATACAAAAATTAACTTAATATGGGTTAAAGATTTAAACGTAAGACCTAAAACTAGAAGAATCCTAGAAGAAAACCTAGGAAATGCCATTCTGGACATTGGCCTTGGGAAAGAAATTATGACTAAGTCCTCCAAATCAATTGCAACAAAAACAAAAATTGACTTGTGACCTGATTAAACTAATGAGCGTCTGCAGAGCAAAAGTAACTGTCAACAGAGTAGACAACATACAGAATGGGAGAAAATATTTGCAAATTATGTATCTGACAAAAGTCTAATATCCATAATCTATAGGAAACTTACACAAATCAACAAGCAAAAAAAAAAAAAAAAAAATCCCCATTAAAAAGTGGGCAAAAGATATGGACAGACACTTCTCAAAAGAAGATGTAACAAGTGGCCCCACACACATATGAAAAAGTGCTCAACATCAGTAATCATCAGAAAAATGCAAATAAAAACCACAATGAGATACTATGTTACACCAGTCAGAATGGCCATTATAAAAAAAGTCAAGAAACAACAGATGCTAGTGAGGCCGCATAGTACAGGAAATGCTTATACACTCTTGGTGGGAATGTAAATTAGTTCAGCCACTGTGGAAAGAAATTTGGAGATTTCTTGAAGAACTTAGAACTACCATCTGACCCAGCAATCTCATTAACGTGTACATATTCCCCCAAAATTCATTCTACTAAAAAGATACATGCACTCACATGTTCATTGCAGCACTATTCAAAACTGCAAGATAAGGTATCAGCTTGGGTGCTCATAAACAGTGGACTGGACAAAGAAAAATGTGATGTATATGTAATGGAATACTAAGCAGTCATGAAAAAGAATCAAATCATCTCCTTTGCAGCAACATGGATGCAGCTGGAGGCCATTATCCTAAGTGAATTTACACAGGAAAGGAAAATTAAATATTGCATGTTCTCATTTTTAAGTGGGAGCTAAAAGTTGAATACTTATGGACATAAAGATGGCAACAAAGGACATGGGACTACTACAGAGGGTGAGGAAGGAAGGGGAACAAGGATTGAAAAACTGCCTGTTGGGTGCTATGCTCACTACCTGGGTGAAGGAATCATTTGTACCCCAAACCTCAGCATCACACAGTATACCCATGTAAGAAACCTGCACATGTACTCTTGCATTGAAAATTAAATTTCTTTCTTTTTTCTTTTTTCTTTTTTTTTTTTACGTCTCCTAACAGAGAAAATCCCCAGACTGGATGGCTTCACTGCTTTATTCTACCACATTTACAAGAATAACAAACGCCAATTCTATTCAAAGTATTCCCAAAAATTGCAGAGGAGGGAATTCTTCCTGACTCATTACCCTGATACTACTACCCTGACACCAAAATCAGACAAGGATGCAACAAAAAATAAAACTACAGACCAATATTCCTGATGAACATAGATGCAAAATCCTCAACAAAATACTAACAAACTGAATCCAACAGCCCATCAAAAAGGTAACACATCATATTTAAGTGGGATTCATCCCAGGGATGCAAGGGTGGTTCAACATACACATATTAATAAACAAGATGCATAACATCAGTAGAATGAAGGACAAATAACATGATCATCACAATAGATAGAAACAACATCTGACAAAATTTAACATCCCTTCATGATAAAAACTCTCAATAAACATAAAAGAACATGGCTCATAAACAACATACCTCAACATAATAAAGGATGTAGGCCCAAAGGCCATTATTATGTTAACGTATGCTCCTTCTTTGCCTAGTTTTTTTTTGTTTTGTTTGTTTTTTTTTTGTTTTTGAGACGGAGTCTTGCTCTGCTGCCCACGCTGGAGTGCAGTGGCGCCATCTCGGCTCACTGCAAGCTCCGCCTCCCAGGTTCACGCCATTGTTAAGAGTTTTTTTTATCATGAAGAGATGTTGTGACAAACCTGCAGCTAACTGAACTCAGAGAAGCTAAGCCTTTCCTCTAAGAACTGGAACAAGACAAGGATGCCAAGTCCTAGCCAGAGCAATCAGGCAAGAGAAAAAAATTAAAGTCATCTAAATTGGAAAAAAAGAAGTCAAATGGTTTCTGTTTGTAGGTGACAAAATTTTACATATAAAAATACCTAAACACTCCACCAAAAGACTCTTAGACCTGATAAATAAATTCAGTAAAGTTGCAGGATATAAAATCAACATACAAAAATCAGTGGCATGTCTATTCACTAATAATGAACTAGCAGAAAAGGAAATGAAGAAGGCAATCCTTTTTTTTTTTTAACAGCTGCATAAAAACAAAAACCTAGGAATAAATTTAATCAAGAATGTGAAAGACCTCTACAAGGAAAACTACAAAACACTGACGAAAGTGATTGAAAAAGATACAAACAAATGGAAAGACAACCCATGCTCATGGATTGGAAGAATTAATTTTGTTAAAATCACCATACTACCGAAAGCAATCTATAATTCAATTCAATTGCTATAAAATACCAATGTGATTTTTTCACAGAACTAGAAAAAAAAATCTAAAATTTGTTTGGAATTTAAAAAGAGTCCAAGTTACCAAAGCAATCCTGAGCAAAAGAAAAAAAAAAAAAGCTTGAGGCTTCACACCACCTGACTTCAAAATGTAGTATATGGCTTTGGTACCAAAACACTATGGAATTGGTGTAAGGACAAACACATAGACCAATGGAATGGAATAAAGAACCTAGAAGTAAGTTCACCTATTTGCAACCACCTGATTTTCAACAAAGGTGCCAGGAACATACACTGGGGAAAAGACAGCTTCTTTAATAAATAGTGCTGGGAAAACTGGATATCCTTATGCAAAATGAAACTAAATCCCTATCTCTCACCATATACAAAAAAATCAACTCCAAATGAATTAAGGACTTAAATGTAACACTTGAAAATATACAAATACTAGGAGAAAACATAAAGAACAAATTTCATTGCATTGGTCTAGCCAAAGATTTTATGGTTAAGACTTTAAAACCACAGGCAGCAAAAGAAAAAATGGAGTAATAGAGTATATTAAACTAAAAAGCTTCTGCACAGCAAAGGAAATAATCAATAGGGACAAACTGTTTAATGGGAGAAAATATTTTTGAACTAATCACCTGACTAGAAACTAATGAGCAGAAAGAACAAAGAATATACAGAGAACAGAAATAACTCAGTGGTAAGAAACCAAATTATCTCATTCAAAAGGGACCAAAGGGATAAACAGACATTTCTCAAATCAGGACATACAAATGGCTAACAGGTATATAAAAGAATGTTTAACATCACCTATCATTGAGAAAATGCAAATCAAAACCACAGTGAGATATCATCTTACCCTAGAATGATTATTTATGAAATGACAAAAAATAGTACATGCTGGTGAGGATGTGGAGAAAAGGAAACTGTCATACACTGTTGGTGGGAATGTAAATTAATGCAGCCATTATGGAAAACAGTATAAAGATTTCTCAAAATAAAACCAAAAAACTAAAACTAAGAATAGAACTACCATAGGATGTAGCAATCCCACTACTGGGTATTTATCAAAAGGAAAGGAGATCAGTATATCAAAAGGATATTTGCACCCCATGTTCACTGCAGCACGATTTGCAATAGCAAATATATGGAATCAATGTTAGTGTCTATCTATAGATGGATAAAGAAAATATGATATATACACAATGGAATACTATCTGGCCATAAAAAATAAAATTATGTGCAGCAATTATGCAGCAATATCAATACAAATGATGGTCTTTATGTTAAATAAAATAAACCAGGAACAGAAAGACTAGTATTGCATGTTCTCACTCATATGTGGAAGTTTAAAAAATTGATCTCATGGAGGTAGAGAGTAGAATGATAGTGAGCAAAGGATAGGAAGAGTGGGAGAGAGCAATGAAGAGAGGCTGGTTAATAGGTACAAACATACAGTCAAATAGAAGGATTAAGTTCTAATATTTGATAGTTACATTTATCACATTGCATCTATGAATCATGACCAAAAACCATAAATATGCCAAACAAAATATCTTACAAATGCAATGTCTTCCACTTCTATCAGTCATTTTTCTAATTAAATATTTAACAAAATAACAATATTTAATCATCATCAATGGCTCTTAAATTTATCTTTAAAAGATGAAGAGTCGTGGTATTTGAAATTTCACTGTGTGTCTGGATCAATGCCTATCAGCAGAAGTTTATCAGATGGCGGTATTCCAGAGGCTGAACAAGTTTTTGACACACGTATAGTCAAAATTTCCCAAAACTACTAGTTCCAATACCATTTAAATGCTAAACACATAAACCAGAAAAATGTTAAAATACAAGATGTCAGTTATATAGTGAATGTATATACCTATCCCTCTAGAACTAAATAATTCAATTTTTAATAATTTACTATTCTGATAGATCTATGTAAATATTTTAATTATTGCACTGGTGTACAAATTAAAGATTTAACATATTTGTATTAATTGGGAGGAGAATCAAATGGCCTTGGGGAATTTTTTTGTCTCCCACCTTAATAGCAACTGTCATGAATCATTATTATAACAACAGTATGAAATCTGGGATAGTTCACTATTTTTCACATCATGTTATTCAGTACTTCTACTCCATAGTGCTGAACTGGCACTTTAGAAATGAGTGTACTCTTAGTGTATGAAATCAGCAGTCACGTGTTTGGAGATGATGTTTTTAGAAAAGCCAGTTCAGTAGAGGAGTAGAGGTAGTAACAAGCATATGGCTAAAAATTACAAACAAAAAATGGGAGTGGAGACACAAACTCGGACTCACAGGTAAATGAAACAAAAGTAAGTGTGAAGCTTTAAAGGAAGAAGTAAGATGTTCTCAGAATAAGATCGAAAATTGGAAGAGAAATGAGGGATTACTTTCCTTAAACTAACAAGCCTTTCTCTCTTTTTGCATAAAAAAGGAAAAAAGATAATAATTTTAAAATGAAACTTCCAGTAATTTTTAATTCAAAAGTAACAAAAGGGCACAGATTTAAAAGCTAGTAAAACAATAAGAATCAAATATCTAGTTTAGAAAGAAGTATTGACTATACTTTTATGCAAAATAGGTTTATGATGTCACAGATGGGAAACTTTAAATAGATTTCTTTAAAAATTGTAGAAAAATACATTTTTGATATAGAATTTATTTATTTAAACATGTATTATCTATTAATTGCTGTGCATTGAGTTAAGCAAAAGGTAACAGAAATGTGCACAGCAGAATTTGTGAAAAAACTTTATTTTAAGCACTAGAAAATATAATTATGAGATAATGGAATTTATTATATTTCTAGGTAAAGATATAGTTGGGATTATAATCTTCAGAGATAAATAAAATTGCTTTATTGTGTATCCCTTGTTGACTGAATTGAGGCCTAGTATTTTGCCATTCTTAACTTAGTCTCTATAACATATTTTAATTATCACAAGTAATGTACTTAAATGTCATTGCTTGATAATAAGTTTCATTATTATTATTTATTTTAAGTTATGAGATACACGTGCAGAACGTGCAGGTTTGTTACATAGGTATACATGTGTCATGGTGGTTTGCTGCACCTATCAACCCATCATCTAGGTTTTAAGCCCCTAATGCATTACATATTTATCCCAATGCTCTCCCTCCCCTTGCCCCTCACCCCCCTGAAAGGCTCCGGTGTGTGATGTGTAGACTGTTTAGCAACATTTAATATTATAATCACCATTTCTATAATCACCATTTCATTTAATATTATAATCAACATTTAATATTATAATCACCATATCTAGGCTAGTTTAGATAACTGTATCCTATCATTTTCCTTGCCAATGTAATCACAAAACAAAGTTCAAAAAATATATAAAAGAACTTTTTAAGATAAAATTGGCATAGTTACATGATTCAATGAATCTCATAATTTTTGAGATATTTATTCCCATTTATCTTACTGCATGCAAGATAATAATTTATATTTCAAATATTAAACTATAAAATGGAACTAAACAATTTCAAAATTCATTTAACTTGTCACTTTACATAATGTGCTATCACCTACCTTTATGCTTTTTAAAAAAAAGTTGTTGACAGTTTGAAAATTCACATACCAAGTCAATAAGAGAGAATAATGCAAAAAATCTAACAAAGCATTTTGATTTTGGTGGTATATCTTAGTTTATTACAATATTAATTTTCCAGTACTATTCTTTGTTTATATAATTACTGACCTGTAGAGTACTTGCTGACATTGCCAGTCTTTCTTTTTTAAAATTTTATTTTATTTTAAGTTCTGGGATACATGTGCAGGACATGGAGGTTTGTTACACAGGTAAATGTGTGTCATGGTGGTTTGCTGTACCTATCAACCTATCACCTAGATATTAAGCCCTGCATGCATTAGCTATTTATCCTAATGCTCTCCCTTCCCCTGCCCTGCTGATAGGCCCCGGTGTGTGTTGTTCCCCTCCCTGTGTCCATGTGTTGTCATTGTTCAGCTCCACTTATGAGTGAGAACATGTGGTGTTTGGTTTCCTATTCCTGTGTTAGTTTGGTGAAGATAATGGCTTCCAGCTTCATCCATTGTCCCTGCAAAAGACATAATCTCGTTCCTTTTTATGGCTACACAGTATTCCATGGTGTATATGGACCACATTTTTTTAATCTAGTCTGTCAGTGATGGGTGTTTGGGTTGATTCCATGTCTTTGCTATTGCGAATGGTGCTGCAATAAACATACGCATGCATGTATCTTTATAAAAGAATGATTTATATTTCTTTGGATATATACCCAGTAACGGGATTGCTGGGTCAAATGGTATCTCTGGTTCTAGATATTTGAGGAATTGCCGCATTGTCTTCCACAATTATTGAACTAATTTACATTCCCACCAACAGCGTAAAAGCATTCCTATTTCTCCACAGCCTCGCCGGCATCTGTTGTTTCGACTTTTAATAATTGCCATTCTAAGTGGCACGAGATGGTATCTCATTGTGGTTTTGATTTACATTTCTCTGACATTGTCAGTCTTTCAATGTAAAAACATTTACATTTCTCTGTACATATTGAACATACTTATATTTATCTGACATCATCAGTCTTTCCTATTGTAAAAAGCTTGATAAAAAAACTGGGCAATATGGACACTGTAAATATTATAAGGAATGTAATTTTAAAGGGCAATGTGTTCAATTACTGAACTGCTATGTTTATAAACATTCCTTGACTGTCACAGCATATGGGAAGGAACTATAGAATCATATAATGCCTTGAAAATCTTAATCAGCCACATACTGAACACTTATTATGTGTGCCACATTATTAAAAATTTGGTGATATTTTCTAACATTTTCTGATTTGTAAAAACGTTTAAATTATTGAAAAGGATTAAGTTACACACACTGTAAAAAAATTCAACCAAATTTAAAGTTATAGGCCCTGACTTATTAAAAATTCCCTTGTGTCTCAACTCATTCACCTGTGAAATGAGGATAACAACTGTTACTGTACCTAGGCATGTTGTGAGAATTACATATATTAATACATGTAAAGCCCTTAGAATAGTACCTTGTCCATATAAAGCACTGAATAAATGTAACATACAGTAATAATGATGATGTTGAAAATATTATTATTACAATCTCAGTTGATTTCATGTGTGATTTTCATTGTGTTATAATCCCTTCAGGCTTGTTTTTGAGTATTCTATGCAATTTTCTGTGGTTTAGTGTAAAAATGATTGGAATCACAGTGAGAGACTCTTTAGTGTAATAGGCACACTTGATTAGGAGACTGAGGGTTTGTGCTCCCTTAGCAGTATGAAAAATATCTAAATTTACTCATATAAGGAGAAATGCAAGTTAAAATAAAAATAAAATGAATGCAAATTAAAATACAAATTGAATTGAGATCCATCCTTCTCTTTGAAATATGTGCTTCCTTTTCCCCCAAAGAAGTTATAAATTAACTGTATTTAAATGGGTTAATTCTAATAAAGCAGTGACCTTAAAACACCACACACACACATGCTCATGCACACACGCGCGCACACACACACACACACACACACACACATAGACTCTTTGAATTAATGATTGCAATTCCGGTCATAGCTTTACAAAGTGTAAATCAAACTCTTCTCCTTTTCCTTTTTTATGACACCTCTCTAGTGTCATCTGATAACACTTAACTTCTCTCCCTCATTGTAAGTAATCATAACAAAGAAGTTTACTTAATTTAAAAATAGTACAGAAATGCCAAGTGACTGAACTATGTAGATAAAAATGTATTTATAAAAGATAAAACTTCACTATTATTCAGAGGGAGTAATTGCCAAATATAGACCACATCACCTGCTAGGTTTACTGTTTGAGATGGGGATACAGAGTCAAATTGCTTATCTTGTGGGACATGTTTAATATGCTCATAGTTACACATTAAAGGGTAATAGAGATTTAACTCAATACTCTGCCTTTAAGAGTTAATCCCAGAAGATTTTTGGTTTTGGAACTTGCCCTCATATTTGCACAATATATGAAATTCAGAACCTTATAAAGAGATATATAAGGAAACTATAAGTATGAAAATAGTTTTAAAAATGTATACATGCTAGACAGCAACCCTATACAAATGTTCAAATTATTGACACACCAGGTTCTGAAAATTATAGGTGTGCTCGAAGAGACCATAGAGATAATCCAGTTCAACCTCAGTTTTATAAATGGAGATTAAAAAAAAAGGCTCAGAAAAATGAAGTACCTTGAGAAAGATTACTCAGATGGCAGAGTAAAGGCTGAGACACAATTATTAGTGAGTCTTATGTTTCAACCTTTTGTTTGCTTGCTGATCCTATGTATGTCTTTAAAATGTTCTTGGCTTTCTAAATACCAGCAATAATAATATTATTTGAGCACTTACCACATGCCAGGAACTGTTGTATGAAATTAATTTATATAATTGCATTTAATCTTTACAACAATCATTTAAGGAGAACACTATTATCAATCCTTACTTTACAGAGAGAGAAGGAAATCTAGCAGTTAAGCTACACTTTTACAATTTCATCTGTCAGTTATTTAAAAATGCTAGGGAGGTCAGGTGCACTGGCTCACTCCTGTAATTCCCAGCACTTTGGGAGGCCAAGGCGGGTGGATCACTTTAGGTCAGGAGTTTGAGACAAGTATGCCACATGGCAAAACTCTGTCTCTACTAAAAATATGAAAATTAGATGAGACTGGTGGCAGGTGCCTGTAATCCCAGCTGCTCAGGAGGCTGGGGCAGGACAATCGCTTGAAACTGGAAGGCAGAGATTGCAGTGAGCCAAGATCTCATCACTGTACTCCAGCCTGGGCAACAAGAGCAAGACTCTGTCTCAAAAAAAACAAAAACAAACGAACAACAAGAAAAAAGAAATGCTAGGGAGCATATAATTATTGGCAGTTATTTCTACTCTTCAATAAAATTAGCAGTATCTATGAATTGGACAGTGTTTGATCTAATATCTCTGACCTTTTTTCTAAAGAAAATTTGGAAGTGAAAATGTCATTCATGTCTTCAGTAAACATCAAGATTAAACATATAATCTTTTCTATATTCTTCCATCCTTGAATCCACCTTGATCATAACCAGGTTTGATTGATTCTCTGCTTGGCTTCGTGCCTATGATGTATTGTGTAACTAGATTTGGACTTTCTTATAAAATGCTCTTTCACATTGCTTAAGCCTTACCTGATTTTAATTTGCACTTCCCTTGCTCTGACCTGCTTTTTTTTTTTTAAATAGATTTCCTATTCTCTTCACTTGAGCAGTCTGACAGCACTCAAAAGATGCTTATGATGGCTCATTTTAAAATTTTCATGTAGTCACAAGTTAGTCACCCTTGTTAGAGATATTTTCTTCTTATAAAATAGCACGCTTTTCATGAAGGGGGTTCTAACAAAGTATGTGATGGGTGGGTTGTAATTTATTTATTCTAATAGTCACAGTAAGAACACTATTAATAAATCTATTAATTTTTTAATATCAATAGATTAAAAAATACCATGTTTCTCTTTCCAAACAAATATCACTGGAATATATTGGAGGTAAAAGCAAAACTAGGAATGGATGTTCTGGCCCTTTTCATACTTAGTAATTTGTATGTTCCCATTTTGTGACTTGACTATTTAAGAAACATCCTAAATTGCTTGTAAAGAATCCACTAGTAAATTATGTGAGTGTAATAGATTATAATTGTTGTGAAAAGCTGTCTCACGTTCACAGTCTTTCACCCCTTCTACCAAGAGATAAAGAGCCCACACAGCCTGTACTGTGCTTATTACCTTGTGTGGGAATATCCTGCCCTGTTTCAATCGTATGTGTTTTTGTCCTGCCTAAGCATGTGTGTCAGCGGCCCTCAGATACACTCTCAGCTCCCATGGAGGAGGAGTCTGAGTCAAAATCCTTCTGCTGCTGCCCATGAGGGGTGTGTGCAGGCCAATACCCCTAAATCAGGTGCCTAGAGAAACCTGCTGGCCATGGGGGACCTACACCCACTACAGGAGCTGATCTTACTCTGTTATTCCTGTATTTGAGTAACACACTGCACCCTCTAGTGCTTAACTGTGTTGTTTTTCTTGGTGATTCTGATATGCAGTGGACAGAGTGTATAGACTTCTATACTGAGTGGTTGAAATAGTGATGATCTTTGCTATCCTCCATGTTCAAGTTCTTTCCTAGAATTGACAACCTGTGCACAGTTTTTTGCTTGACAGTTTGGTGCAGCAAGCAGGGTCTCCAAAGGACACATTATGGCTAGATGAAAACGCAAAGGCTTATAATGTATAAGCCTGTTATTCAATTTATAAACTTTAAAACACATTTTTAAGAAACCTTTATGCAAAAATGAAAGAACTTCCTGTATACAATTAGTTATCAATGAAAAGATCAGCATTTGGGAAACATCTTTAAGTATCAGCATAACACGACCAGTCCTAACTTCAAAGTAGTGTTATTTTTTTCATACAAATAGACTTATAATATTTACTAGAATAAAGGAAACTAGCAGTCATTGGGTCTAAACTCTGATTTTAATTTTCACCATATTTGCTTTAAAGAAATGTATGAGAAATCAAAATCAGAGAGGAAATGAAAAACATGCTTAGTGAACATCCTTTAAGAAGTGGCCATTAGTAGCCAAGAGTTAGAAACAACTTAAGTATCTATCAACAGATAAACGGAAATTATAGTACAGTCATGTGCTGCATAATGTTTCGGTCAACGATAGACAGCATATGACAGTGGTCCTAGAAGATTATAATAGAGCTCAAATATTGCTGTCATCTGGTGACATCATAGCTGTTGTAGCATAATTACTTTCTTTTTATAAATTTAGTGTAGCCTCAGCGTACAGTGTTTATAAAGTCATCAATAGCATGCAATCATGTCCTAGGCCTTCACATTCACTCACTGCTCACTCACTCACTGACTTGGAGCAACTTCCAGTCCAAGCAAATTCCAGTTCTATAAGCTCCATTCATCATAATTGCTCTATATATGTGTACCATGTTATAACCTTTATACTGTATTTTTATTGTATCTTTTCTTTGTTTAGATATGTTTAGATATATAAGTATTTACCATTGTGTTACAATTGCCTAAAGTACTAAGTACAGTAACAAGCTATACAGGTTTGTAGCCTAGGAGCAATAGGTTATACCATATAACCTATATGGAGTAGGCTATATCTGTCAGGCCTCTGAGCCCAAGCTAAGCCATCATATCCCCTGTGACTGCACGTACACATCCAGATGGCGGGTTCCTGCCTTAACTAATGACATTCCACCACAAAAGAAGTGAAAATGGCCTGTTCCTGCCTTAACTGATGACATTACCTTGCGAAATTCCTTTTCCTGGCTCATCCTGGCTCATCCCAGCTCAAAAGCTCCCCCACTGAGCACCTTGTGACCCCCACCCCTTCCCGCCAGAGAACACCTCCCCTTTGACTGTAATTTTCCTTTACCTACCCAAATCTTATAAAATGGCCCCACCCCTATCTCCCTTCGCTGACTCTCTTTTCGGACTCAGCCCATCTGCACCCAGGTGAAATAAATAGCCTTGTTGCTCACACAAAGCCTGTTAGAATCGTCCCAAATTCTCCTTCTTTCCGTCTCGCCTGTCCCCTCAGTTCCAACCCCAAGCGTCACTGAGTCTTTCTTCCTTTTCTACAGACCCATCTGGCCTTTCCCCTCCTCCCCAGGCTGCTCCTTGCCAGGCCGAGCTAGGTCCCAATTCTTCCTCAGCCTCTGCTCCTCCACCCTATAATCTTTTTATCACCGCCCCTCCTCACACCTGGTCCGGCTTACAGTTTCGTTCCACGACTAGCCCTCCCCCACCTGCCCAGCAATTGGTGGCTGGAGCTAAAGGCATAGTCAAGGTTAATGCTCCTTTTCCTTTTTCCTTATCCCACCTCTCCCAAATCAGTTAGTGTTTAGGCTCTTTTTCATCAAATATGAAAAACCCAGCCCAGTTCATGGCTCATTTGGCAGCAACCCTGAGATGCTTTATAGCCCTAGACCTAAAAGGTCAAAAGGCCGTCTTATTCTCAATATACATTTTATTACCCAATCCGCTCCCGACTTTAAAGCTCCAAAAATTAAATTCCGGCCATCAAACCCCGCAACAGGACTTAGTTAACCTCACCTTCAAGGTGTACAATAATAGAAAAAAAGTTGCAATTCCTTGCCTCCACTATGAGACAAACCCCAGCCACATCTCCAGCACACAAGAACTTCCAAACGCCTGAACCGCAGTCGGCCAGGTGTTCCTCCAGAACCTCCTCTCCCAGGAGCTTGCTACAAGTACTGGAAATCTGGCCACCGAGCCAAGGAATGCCCACAGCCCCGGATTCCTCCTAAGCCGCATCCCATCTGTGCGGGACCCCACTGAAAATCGGACTGTTCAACTCACCTGGCAGCCACTCCCAGAGCCCCTGGAACTCTGGCCCAAGGCTCTCTGACTGACTCCTTCCCAGATCTTCTCCACTTAGAGGCTGAAGACTGACACTGCCCGATCGCCTCGGAAGCCCCCTAGACCATCATGGATGCCAGGCTTCGGGTAACTCTCACAGTGGAGGGTAAGTCCGTCACCTTCTTAATCAATACAGAGGCTACTAATTCCATATTACCTTCTTTTCAAGGGCCTGTTTCCCTTGCCTCCATAACTGTTGTGGGTATTGACGGCCAGGCTTTAAACCTCTTAAAACTCCCCAACTCTGCTGCCAACTTGGACAACATTATTTTATGCACTCTTTTTTAGTTATCCCCGCCTGCCCAGCTCCCTTATTAGGTCGAGACATTTTAACTAAATTATCTGCTTCCCTGACTATTCCTAGGCTACAGCCACACCTCATTGCCACCTTTCCCCCCAGTTCAAAGCCTCCTTTGCATCCTCCTGTCATATCCCCCCACCTTAACCCACCAGTATGGGATACCTCTACTCCCTCCTTGGCGACCGATCATGCACCCCTTACCATCTCATTAAAACCTAATCACCCTTACCCCGTTCAATGCCAATATCCCATCCCACAACACGCTTTAAAAGGATTAAAGCCTGTTATCACTCACCTGTTACAGCATGGCCTTTTAAAGCCTATAAACTCTCCTTACAATTCCCCCATTTTACCTGTCCTAGAACCAGACAAGCCTTACAGGTTAGTTCAGGATCTGTGCCTTATCAACCAAATTGTTTTGCCTATCCACCCCGTCGTGCCAAACCCATATACTCTCCTATCCTCAATACCTCCCTCCACAACCCATTATTTCTGTTCTGGATCTCAAACATGCTTTCTTTACTATCCCTTTCCACCCTTCATCCCAGCCTCTCTTTGCTTTCACTTAGACTGACCCTGACACCCATCAGGCTCAGCAAATTACCTGGGCTGTACTGCCACGAGGCTTCACAGATAGCCCCCATTACTTCAGTCAAGCCCAAATTTCATCCTTATCTGTTACCTATCTCGGCATAATTCTCATAAAAACACATGTGCTCTCCCTGCTGATCGTGTCTGACTAATCTCCCAAACCTCAATCCCTTCTACAAAGCAATAACTCCTTTCCTTCTTAGGCATGGTTAGTGTGGTCAGAATTCTTACACAGGAGCCGGGACCACACCCTGTAGCCTTTCTGTCCAAACAACTTGACCTTACTGTTTTAGCCTAGCCCTCATGTTTGCGTTCAGCGGCTGCCGGTGCTTTAATACTTTTAGAGGCCCTAAAAATCACAAACTATGCTCAACTCACTCTCTACAGTTCTTATAACTTCCAAAATCTATTTTCTTCCTCATACCTGACGCATATAGTTTCTGCTCCCCGGCTCCTTCAGCTATACTCACTCTTTGTTGGGTCTCCCACAATTACCATTGTTCCTGGCCTGGACTTCAATCCGGCCTCCCACATTATTCTGGATACCACACCTGACCCTCATGACTGTATCTCTCTGATCCACCTGATATTCACCCCATTTCCCTATATTTCCTTCTTTCCTGTTCCTCACCCTGATCACATTTGGTTTATTAATGGCAGTTCCACCAGGCCTAATTGCCACTCACCAGCAAAGGCAGGCTATGCTATAGTATCTTCCACATGTATCATTGAGGCTACCACTCTGCCCCCCTCCACTACCTCTCAACAAGCTGAACTAGTTGCCTTAACTCAAGCCCTCACTCTTGCAAAAGGACTACGCATCAATATTTATACTGACTCTAAATATGCCTTTCATATTCTGCACCACCATGCTGTTGTATGGGCTGAAAGAGGTTTCCTCACTACGCAAGGGTCCTCCATCATTAATGCCTGTTTAATAAAAACTCTGCTCAAGGCCGCTTTACTTCCAAAGGAAGCTGGAGTCATTCACTGCAAAGGCCATCAAAAGGCATCAGATCCCTTTGCTCTAGGCAATGTTTATGCTAAGGTGGCTAGACAAGCAGCTAGCTTTCCAACTTCTGTCCCTCATGGCCAGTTTTTCTCCTTCACGTCAGTCACTCCCACCTACTCCCCCGCTGAAACTTCCACCTATCAATCTCTTCCCACACAAGGCAAATGGTTCTTAGACCAGGGAAAATATCTCCTTCCAGCCTCACAGGCCCATTCTATTCTGTCATCATTTCATAACCTCTTCCATGTAGGTTATAAGCCGCTAGCCTGCCTCTTAGAACCTCTCATTTCCTTTCCATCGTGGAAATCTGTCCTCAAGGAAATCACTTCTCAGTGTTCCATCTGCTATTCTACTACCCCTCAGGGATTGTTCAGGCCTCCTCCCTTTCCTACACATAAAGCTCGGGGATTTGCCCCTGCCCAGGACTGGCAAATTGACTTTACTCACATGCCCCGAGTCAGAAAACTAAAATACCTCTTAGTCTGGGTAGACAATTTCACTGGATGGGTAGAGGCCTTTCCTACAGGGTCTGAGAAGGCCACTGCGGTCATTTCTTCCCTTCTGTCAGACATAATTCCTTGGTTTGGCCTTCCCACCTCTATACAGTCCGATAGCAGACCAGCCTTTATTAGTCAAATCAGCCAAGCAGTTTTTCAGGCTCTTGGTATTCAGTGAAACCTTTATATCCCCTACGGTCCTCAGTCTTCAGGAAAGGTAGAATGGACTAATGGTCTTTTAAAAGCACACCTCACCAAGCTCAGCCACCAACTTAAAAAGGAATGGACAATACTCTTACCACTTTCCCTTCTCAGAATTCAGGCCCGTCCTCGGAATGCTACAGGGTACAGCCCATTTGAGCTCCTGTATGGATGCTCCTTTTTATTAGGCCCCAGCCTCATTCCAGACACCAGATCAACTTGGACTGTGCCCCCAAAAAACTTGTCATCCCTACTATCTTCTGTCTAGTCATACACCTATTCACCATTCTCAACTACTCATAAATGCCCTGCTCTTGTTTACACTGCCGGTTTATACTGATTCTCCAAGCCATCACAGCTGATATCTCCTGGTGCCATCCCCAAACTGCCACTCTTAACACTTAAAGTAAATAATCTTTGCTGGCAGGACTATGCTGAATCTCCTTAGGCACTCTCTAATTAGATGTCCTGGGTCCTTCCAATTCTTAGACCTTTAATACCTGTTTTTCTCCTTCTCTTATTCTGTTTAGTTTTTCAATTCATACAAAACCATATCCAGGCCATCACCAATAATTCTAAATGACAAACGTTTCTTCTAACAACCCCACAATATCACCCCTTACCAGAAAATCTTCCTTCAGCTTAATCTCTCCCACTCTAGGTTCCCACACCGCCCCTAATCCCGCTCGAAGCAGCCCTGAGATACATTACCCATTATCTCTCCATACCACCCCCCAAAATTTTTGCCGTCCCAACACTTTACCACTATTTCGTTTTTTTATTATTAATTTAAGAAGACAGGAATGTCAGACCTCTGAGCCCAAGCTAAGCCATCATATCCCCTGTGACCTGCACGTACACATCCAGATGGCCGGTTCCTGCCTTAACTGATGACATTCCACCACAAAAGAAGTGAAAATGGCCTGTTCCTGCCTTAACTGATGACATTACCTTGCGAAATTCCTTTTCCTGGCTCAAAAGCTCCCCCACTGAGCACCCTGTGACCCCCACCCCTGCCTGCCAGAGAACACCCCCCTTTGACTGTAATTTTCCTTTACCTACCCAAATCTTATAAAACGGCCTTACCCCTAGCTCCCTTCGCTGACTCTCTTTTTGGACTCAGCCCGCCTGCACCCAGGTGAAATAAATAGCCTTGTTGCTCACACAAAGCCTGTTTGGTGGTCTCTTCACACGGACGCAAGTGAAAATATCATCTCGGTTTGTGTAAGTACACTAAATGATGATGTTCACACAATGATGAGATCGCCTTATGTTGCATTTCTTAGAGTGTATCCCTGTCGTGCAGCAAAGCATGACTGTGTGCATATGTATGTACACACACACACACACACACACACACACACACACACGAAATGGAATATTATTCAGCCTTTAAAAAGAAAGAGATGCTGCCATTAGTAACAACATGGCTGAACCTGGAGGACATTATGCTAAATGAAGTAAGGCAGACCCCTAAAGGAAAATGCTGTATGATCTCATTTATGTGTGGAATCTTTTGAAAAAATGCCAAATAAATAGAAACAGAGAATGGAACAGGGATTACCAGGAGTGGAGGGACAGAGGAAAAAGAGAGAAGTAGGTAAAGGAGTACAATTTGTAGTTATGTAGGATAAATAAATCATTAGAATATTTAATACATAGCATGTGGACTATAGTTAACAATACTGTATACTGTAAATTTACTAAGAATAGATTGAAGATGCTCTTAACCTTTCCCCCATCTACACACAAATGATAACCATGGAAGGGGATAGATGTAGTTTGTTTAAACTGTAGTAATCATTTCATATGCATATGTATATCAAAAATCATATTGTATACCTTACATACAATAAAAAATAAAAAGGAAGTGGCCATTTTTGACTACCTATGAAAAACTAAAATTATTTATCACATTAATTGCTATAATTTAAATTGTATAAAAACTTAAAAATTGCATAAAGTGTAAGACAAACTCCAACGTATATTTTTATCTTTAAATATTTTTAAGGATGGGTGCGGTGGCTCATGCCTGTAACCCCAGCACTTTGGGAGGCCAAGGCGGGCAGATCACCTGAGGTCAGGGGTTCAAGACCAGCCTGATCAACATGCTGAAACCCCGTCTCTACTAAAAATACAAAAAGTAGCCGGGTATGGTGGTGCGTGCCTGTAATCATAATTACTCAGGAGGCTGAGGCAGGAGAATCGCTTGAACCCAGGAGCGGAGGTTGCAGTGAGCCGAGATTGTGCCACTGCACTCCAGCCTGGGTGACAGAGCGAGACTCCGTCTCAAAAATTAAAGGAATTTGAAGAGAGAAGGCACACAAAAGGACAGTAAAATACCATTTAATAATTATTTGTTTCAGTAAAGTGAGGAGAGAACTCATGGATTTAGTGAGTATGGGTGCATATTCAGAAATGTGTAAATTCAGAAGCTCATTCATTTCACCTGTGTATCAGGCTAATTATAAGTAAGTTTGCATAGGACAATCCAGGTTAACACCTGGTGTACTGGTGTAATTACAGCATCCCCTTTTATTTCAGAAATGTCTGTTTGGATATAAATTATATTAGTCAATTTAGTCCTTGATCACTCATTACCCTCTAATTGTCACAGGTGAAGGGGTTAATGAGTGCCTGGATTCCCAAATATGAGATATACTCTGGAAGGGCTATATACTTCTTTTCCTCAATGGCCCCTATAGTTAGGCAACAGCAGAGTTTGGGCAACTGAAACCATAAGCCACAGACTACTTTATGACTGGGAATTCAGGGAGTTACTTCTAGGCTTTCTGTTGTACAATGATAACTACTGTTCATAATATTGTGCTTCTTGTCTATGAGTGAAGCTTAAAAAAGGAAAAATTATTCTGAGTTTGCACTGGAGACATCTTTTGTAGTTACTGTGCTGGAGGATATCATGAAGATCCTCTAAACTGGGCAACCTTGTTACTGAGTATAAATAGTTAAGAAACTGAATAAAAGCAGTCAGTCTTGATGCACTTCTGACTGGTTATGACTGTGGCAAGATGGCCTAATTCAGTTATGCTATGAAGCTTTGAAACCTTATCTGTCAAAAAGGCAGAATGGAGTTGCTCAGAAGATTGTATTGTTTTAGGCAAATCCGACTTGCTTAATAAGAGGAAGCATATTATCTTCTAGCATAAAAAAATTACAAATGCAATAACATACCCTATAGCAAGCTAAGATTACACATATCATTAATTTTTGGCAAGGCTGCTAACATGCTTTAAGCACAGAGAGAGGTCTTTGGAGGATAAAAAGATTTCTTAACCCACAAGGGAAAAAATGATGAAAGCAATACCCTGAAGGAGATTCTTTACCAACATATTATTGGATCCCTCTTTTATATTCTAGAACTTGAAAAGTAGAAAGTGTGTTAGGGTTTGTAGCAGAGTCAGTAGGGGTAAAGATTTTTGCAAAATATTTTCATTATTTAAAAAATTATTTTTGACAGTAATTTTGCTTTCTCTGTGAATTCAATCTAAATATTGACATTTTAAAATGTGATCATTATTTTTAGCTTTTTCTGAAAATTATACTCCTATTGACTACGTCTAGGCAACAAAAACTCAAGATATGAAAGATATAGTGTATTGTGAAATTAGTAGTGATTTTAAAGATCTACAAACTTTAATACCTGAGCATTTTAACAAAAGAAAATTACAAAAATAATTCAAAATTCAAAATGATATCATAAAAACAAATTGTTGGCTACATTTATGAATTAACACCCACAGTTTAGTTTCTTCTATTACTTCAACCACATGAATAATTATTTGCCATTTTTTTCTTGTATACTTTGTTTCATTCATCCAGCAGGATATGAAGAATACAATGATACAAAATATATTGTTTCCATCCTTAATAAACTGGGACTTTGTTGGAAGAGAATGACTGATATGCAAGTAAGTGTAGGTCATTGCGTAAAGTTATATGATGTTTTCATCTGGGAAACAAAAAAATTCTGATGCTCAGGACATACTCCAGTTGTGTTACATCAGAATATCTGGGGTAGGGACCCAGGCAACGGTGCTAGTTTTTAAAGCTACCCAAGTGGTTCTCGTGTGTAGCCAGGGTTAAACATTGCAATAGAACTTTGCTACTCAAAGGGTAGCAGCATCAGAAACACTGGGGATTTTTGTTCGAAATGAAGCTGTTCAGGGTCCACCCCAGGTGTAAGAAATCAGAATGTGCATTTTAATGAGGTGTTCCAGGTGATTCATATGCATGTTAAAGGTTGAGAAACAGCCCATAGAAATTGTGAGAGAAGGGGAGGGACACTTTGATCCAGGGAAGCCATCAAGAAATGGATACCTGGAGTAATTGACAAATGGGACAATGGAGAAGAAGAAAGTAAACAAGATAAAGAGCAAGGGGAACAATGAAGAAGAAAGTGAAAGAACAGAGGAAGAAACAGAGAAAAACAATTGAAATGATCAACAGTCCTCCGCAATACTTAGCTTGTGAATATCTTTGGACAATTGGCGTATGTGTATCTAAAATCTGGGAACAACTGATGAAAATAGGGAGTGGTGGCTCCCCGGGTCACTAGCTGTCTCAGGGAATGCTGCTCTGAGTTTTGATTTCCTTACAAAACCATTTATTTAAAGCGAACTAGCCATGGCTGCTTCAATAATATCCTAAAGGGAATGTTCTCCCACGCCATAAGTAACATATAGTTAGAAACTCAAGAGTTCAATTTTATTTTCCTAATTATAATAAAGTTATAACTGCTAATTTTTAGAAAAATATAGAGAAAATTTAAAGAAAACAAGAATCACTCATAATAGTATAAACTAAGAAACTATCAGTAATATGATTAGTATCCTTACATTAATATTTCTGTGAACATATTAAATATCTTCTCCTCTAAAGATAGAGCTCTGCTTATGCAGACTTGTGTACTTTTTAAATTCATCATTGTATTAAACATTCAAGTATAAGTAAATCATATCACCAACATCATTTTTCTAGAAAATATATTCTTTGTTCTTTTAATAAATTATAGCATCTTATGGTAAAATATTTTAAAATACAAATAATACTTTTAAAAATCTATCATTCCACATCCCCAAGATAGCCATTCCTAAACTTTTGGTATTTAGGCTCCCAGCTGCTTTCTCCAAACTTAGAAGTATGTTCTAAATATTGTTTTATAACTCACTTAAATATTCATACTGATAAAGTTTCTCAGAATCTCTTTTTTAAATAGTTAAATTAACAAACTTGCTAAAGATTATTGTGACAGGCACTATGGGTCAGCTTATTCAACACCCATTGTTGTTTTCTGTTGACCTTTTATCCTATAGTGATTAAAATGCACCAAACTTGATCTTCCAGCCTGCCTTGCAGTTAGAGATAGCTATGGGGCCAAATTCTAACAAATAGAATCTAAGCAGAAGTTTGCTTCATTAGAAAAGAAAGCTTTTTCTTTTCTAATGAAAAGAGACAGAAGAACTGGTATTGCAGTTTAACCATGCATCCTTTTCTCTGTCTTGCAAACAGATATGCTGCCTGGAGGTGTAGCTGGCATCTTTGCAATCAGGAAAAAGGAATCCAACACTCTTTGTATGATGAATCAGATATATAGAAAGATCCCAAATCACTAAATTATCACTGAATAGTTCAACCACCTCCAGCAAGACCCTACCTTTGTTCTTGTTATAAGAGAAAAATAAACTCTTTTTTTATTCAAGGAAGTCTTAATCAGGTTTTCTGTTACTTTCAGCCAATTGCATTGCTAACTGGTAGAAGGTTACTCATCTTTATCTCGTCATGCATTTTCAGTCATAATTCTGTGGAAATGTCTACTGCTCAGAAAACAAAGATAAGGATAGGATATTTGTTCTAGTTAAAAGAGTAAAGAGGAAATCCTTATACAACTCCTTCTTGGGCCTAGAATTTCCCCAACTTAACCCTATCCCACTGTGCTTTTACGGTAGGTGACTTTTTACACTTAAATCACTTTATCTTCCATTTGGGTCAGAAGAGGAAAATAAGAACAAAACTTCCCAGGCTAAAGTAAGTGAACTTCAAATTTAAAATATAAAATGGAAAGAGATAGCAAATATAAACATAAGATTTTTTTCGTTTATGCATTCATTCCTTTAGTCAACCAATATTTATTTGAAGGACTTTTACATGACACATACTGCACCCTCAGGAAAGATGTGGTGAATAATATTTTTGTTTTATTTCCTTCCTTCCTTTCTATTGATCTTAAACTATTATTCTAATAGGGGTGGACTCTGACAAGCATTATGAAAGCAGATATTAAATTGGATTATAGTTTTCTATTTTAGTGGGTGCAAGAAAGTATCTCAGACTACAAAGGACCGATGCATCTGTGTTCATAAAAAGCATTAAGAGATTTCCCACCAAGATAGACCCATTGGAAAAAAATAATAAGAGAAATAAGAGAGAAAACATACTAGGTTTGTTTAAGTGGCTTTTGAAACAGTTCGTTACTTTTTCAACTCAGCAGAATGTTCACAGGTGTAGAAATCCATATTCACAAGTTGAATAAGCAAGCCAGTATAACAAAAAGTGTAGGCAACTAATTTTCACTTAAAAGCAGATTAAACTCACATTTCGACACTAAAATAACAAACTGGTATGGTTATAAAACATTGGCTACAGATCTCAATAGTTCCATCTCTGATTCTATTTGATGACTCTACCCCTTTATTCCTATTTATTTCTAATGGAGAGTAGAGCATAAACATACCTTATACATAAATTAGCTTATCTAAACGCAAATCATCTCATGGAAACTTCTAGTAAAATGCTTATATACAGGCCCACCTTAAAAAAAAGCAAAATATCAAATTCCTGATTCTCACTTTTCTTTGTATTATATTAGTATCATCCTTTACTAGTTTTCCAGAGGTTTATGCAGTTCATCAAGACAAGGTTACAAAAAATGACATATGGATAAGGTTCCATCTTGTTTATCTTGATGGCTCAAATCAGTGTAATATTACTATTCTCTAGTATTTTACAAATCTACCCAGGCTTTTGCCAAGACAATTCTTTTGTATTGGATTTACAAAGTTTTCAAGCAACAATCAAATAAAGTGAAAGGTACAATCCTGGGACCAGTTGTCTGGGCTAGTGGTAGCAAATTTTTTTTTTAAGCCCGATTTTATTTTCTTTTTTTTAAACATGAGATCCTCTTTAAATCATGCTCATGTGAAAATAACTTAATTAGAAATATTAGCATTTTACTTGTCACCATTACATTTAATTCAGTTTTGTATTGCTCATCCTAAAATGGAGATTAGAATACGGTAAACTGGAAAAATATAATAAATTATGACCTTTCCCCTGCTAGTTGGGAGAATTTTGTTTAGGTTATATTAAAATTTCTTTAAATCACATTATTTTAATTTTATGTATGCATGTACATAAAAATGGATCACACTTCTATTTTCACATTAGTTAAGATTAACAATGCCTCACATTATTTTATGAAGTCTAAAAGCCTTAAATGCTCAGGTCTCTTTAAGATGGTTTAAAAATAAAATTACCAGCTACCCATTTCAAAATGTTTATTTCTAAATGAAGAAAACATGTAGGTCTTTGGAGAATCTTCCCTTTTCTTTTCTTCAGATTTTAAGTTATGGGCATATTAACCAAAAGCATCCAATTACTTAAGAACATAAGGTGTTATCTAGGGCAGGGGATGGTAAACTACAGTCCATGGGACAAATCAAGCCCAATGCCTGCTTTTATAAATAAAGTTTTATTGGAACACAGGCATGCTTACTCATTTACGTATTGTCTAGGGCTACCCCGATAGCAGCAGTGGGCCATCTGGAGCCGCTGCTGCCATTGCGCCGGCTGCAACAGGAAGGCACAAGCGGTGGTGGCAGGAGTGGCTGCAGGAGCAGCAGTGGCAGCGGTGGGAACCCCACCACAGGCTGTGGGGAACCGCAGCTGGGGCTGCCTGCAAACCTCACAAAGTGGATGGGAGCACCACCCTCCCAGGCAGAGGACCCGGGCTTCTCTGTGCTCTGCACCCTCGGGGTCTTGGGAAGGCCCCCCCTGCCCCTGCAGGCTCGGGAGTGTCTGCTTCTGCTGCCTGGCATCTCCCTACTCCTGGTCCTTGCTCTGATCTCAGAGCAGGAGGGCTGGGGCTGAGCCCAGGCGCTGTCACAGCCCTGCCGGATATGTGCCTGCTTGGGGCAGTGCTGACACACCAGCCCCTTGCCACCTCGGACCCCTCTGGATTTTGGGCACCGACGAGTGATGAGAGAGAAGCCGATGTTGGGGGTGGTGACAGCAGCTACATGCTGGCCTGTAGGTTCCCCTTGGCGCTAGCAGCCTGGGAGCCATGGAGGACGGCAGGAGGCAGACAAGCTCCTGGGCAAAGGTTGAGAGTCCCCAGTGAGGCTCCACCTTCAGGCCAGGGAGGGCTTCCAGTCCCGTGGACCAGAGTGGGAACTTGTGATACCTTTTTTGGGCCCACTCATGGCTGCCCATGGATGAATTGGTGCCCACTTCCTTCCCTCTGAAGCCCATAAAAGCCCCAGGGTTAGCCAGAGCAAAGCAGACGACAGGATGACCAGTTGCAGAGAGGAACTAACCTCTCTGCTGATAGCTTAACAATTGTCAGGATGACCAGCTGCAAAGAGGAGCTACCCTCTCTAATGAGAGCTGAACGCTCGTTGGGACAACATGCCTAGCAGAGAGGAGCTATGCTCTCTGCTGAGACCTGAACACTCTTTGGGATGACCTGCCTAGCAGAGAGCAGCAACCCTCCTCTCCATAGCCAGGGTGTCCCAATGAATGTTCAGCTCCTAGCCCTGCTAGGACAGGGGCACCTGGCTATGGGGACACCCTGGTTATGGAGGGAGCTTCCCACTGTGGGTCTCCTCAGAGCTGTTCTATTGCTCAATAAAGCTACTCTTTGCCTTGCTCATCCTCCATTTGTCTGTGTACCTCATTCTTCCTAGTTACAGGACAAGAACTTGGGACCCACCAAATGGCGAGGCTAAAAATGCTGTATCACAAACTGGGCTGAAACATGCCCCTTGATCACCATATTGTGGGCTAAGAGAAGGAAAGAAGAGCTGTGGGCCTTCGAGGAGTCCAGACCTGGGAGCTCCCCAATCCAGGGCTGTGGCTCCCTCTTTGGGTCCCTGCAGTTTCGGATGTCTCCAAGTTTCCATGCACCACCACATTCCCTGCTGCCAGCTGGAGGAGCTACATGCAGTGCACCTGGTACAGTTCCAGCTTTGCAGAGAACTGGTGCCCGTGCCGGCACCTGGAGCTGCCTGTCCTGTGGAAGCAGCTGGCATGTCCAACTGTGCGCAATGGCCGGACCCCATGCTCACACACACGCTTCTTGCCACTCCACGCTTGATTTGCATTCTCCCTTGGAGGCATGGGATCCAGGCTGGTAGCATGAGCCAAGGGAAGCCAGCCAGGCTGAGTGGATGGAATGAGCCTAGTGGGCCTGAGCAAAACTTGGGCAAAGGCACCACAGGCCACAGAGGTTTCCAGCAAGGAAAGTGACACCCCAAAGATCCTGTAACACTTTCATATTACAAGGAAAGAGTTCAGTAGTCTGACAGAAAATGTATAACCTGCACAGCTGAAAATATTTACTATCTTGCTCTTTACAGAAAAAAGTTAGATTCTAGGGGGACGCATAAAGAGATCTGGCATCTTTATCAAATCTTCATTATACTTATATGAAATTAATATGGAAACTGCTGTGTTTATGTCAATAAATAGCATTGGTACAGAAAACTACAATGATGTACAAATTCAACCAAATTTGTGAACAGAATTAGAATAAAAACCAGGAGCCAGAGACCTTTGGTTTCATGTTTACCTGCCACACATTATACTTTCCTCTCTAACAACGCACACCTCATCTTATCATTTTTCTTCTTTTAACTTTGCATATTACAATTATAACAAAAGATGGTATAACTTACAAAACAGCTTTGATATAAGCATACAAAATTCTGTGACTTAATATTTTTATTCTAAACTTTTATAAGCATATTAATACATAAATTTAAATTATTAGATTCTTTATTGAAACTAATTCCTAAGTACAACACCTTGCTTATATTATTATATATTTTTATTATATTATTGTAAGTTAAGAAAAGTAAGTAGTTGCATTGTGTGTTAGTTTGCAGACCTTATTTGCCTAGCGGGTGTGTGTGTGTGTGTGTGTGTGTGTGTGTGTATCCCTTTAATTGGAAGGCGCTTTGTAAAAAAATTCATGAAAATTTAAAGTGCATTCCTTTATTTAATCATATATTCCTTTATTGAACAAATATATATGAATGCCTTTTGGGTACCAGGCACTGTACTAGGCCCTGAGAATATATCAATGAATTTATTTCTAATAAAAAAGTAAGAATTATTTAAATAGGCTACTATAACACTTTTAAACACTTCTTCTTTAAAATAATTTGTCTTCCCCAGAAACACATTTATAAACCAGATTATACTGTAGGTATGGTTAATAAATATTGATTCTGCTTAGCAGTTAACATCAACTTTTATACAAAATGCTAATTATACAGAGTATTTTAATAATTGACTACAGCAAAATGTCCAAAGAGATATTTGACATTTATAGCTAGTTTTACTATAGATTTTTGTAAAGTCTAAATTATAGACATATTTAGATCATCCAGTTAGCAAGTGGCTAATAAATTATTTTCATGAAACCATGACTTTCAAGGAATATTCACTTATTCAACTGTTCATGCATTCATACATTCAACAAATTGGTACTGGGTGCCTAGAATGAGCCAAGTTTTATTGTAGGCACAGGGAATATAGCAAGTAAACATGACAGAAGTCCTTACATACATGGAACACACATTAAAGTTGATGGGAGACAGAAAATAAACATATGACTAAGTTGGCAGATAATGATATTTAAAAAAAAGGAAGGCAGAGAATGAAATGAGGAGTGGTAGATATGAAAAATTCTAATTTTTAATAAAATGGCCATGGAATGTTTATTTGCAAAGCACGACTTTGAGCAAAGACCTGAAAGAAGTAACAAAAAGTCTTGTGGCAGAAATGTGTCTGGAGTGTTTGGGCAACTGCAAAAAACACCAGATTGACTGGGCATACATTTCTTTTGTAATTGACAAAATACATGCATGTGTAGAGGTTTACCAGGGAATATATTCATTCTAAATTTGAAGTCTTCCTTGATTAAATATATCTTTTAACTTAACTTTCCCTTAACATTTGTAAAATGTGTCATATTATAAACATATGAATATTGATGAATAGCAAAAACACTTATTTCAAGATCAAGATCAAATATAATGAAAGAACAAAGGCCATTTTTTTCTTTATAAAGATAGAGGGTAATTTAGAGTTTCAATATCCTCCTTCAATTTATAGCCTGCTCCAATTTAGGCAAGACATTGTGGTGAGAGACTTGAAAAGCTCATGCACTCCAAGGATAGCTCAGAAGCCACCTGTAGTCCATAAATTTACTGTGATGGCTCATCGTATTTTCTAAAGAGTCTGTTAAAAGCTATCTTAATCTTTTCATTATTTATTTTTTGATGAAAGTATGTTTCTGGCTAGCATTAAGTAGAGAAGCAAGAAGAATGGTTTGAGTAACTTATGACTAAATAACTAGGGTTTTATAACTAAGAACTGTGGCTCTCCCTAGGTCCAGGTCTCAAAATGTCCTAATGGTTAAGAGCTCACTCTTTGGACCCAGATTTCTTGCTTATAAATTCTAATTTGTCCATGTATTAACTATATAATCTTGACATTTTATTTAGTCTTGCTGTGTCTCAGTTTCCTCATCTGGAAAATGTCAATAGTAGCATCTCATTGGGTTGGTTTGTTTAATGATTTAATATAAACTATTGGAAGCGCATCTGACAATGAAGTGCTTTGTGACTTTATCCCATTGAATAAAGGTTGCACCACATCTTTCTTTAAATTCATTTGCAACTCCAAAGAACAGGTTCTTTCTTGAAACATCCCTCAAACACCACTAAAAATCATTAGGTCAAGTAGGAAGTCACTTAAAGAAAAAGCTGTTGTCCTATAAATGTCTAAAGACAATAGGAGCCAGGAATGTAAATAGAGAAAAACAAATGAGAGACAAGTTAAAAATTTTGTGATGTATAACATCTCCAGGTTTTTAAGGTCACATTAACTTGATGTGTAATTGTTCATTTTAGCACATCTGCCATAAGTTCATGTGTAATTGTTCATTTTAGCACATTAGCCATGGGAAGAGTTGACAGGCATTCTAATATCTGCTCAACAGTGGTAGAGATATGGTGTATCTGACTCTCAAACCTCTCACCTCATCTACCATATAGGTACCAAGATTCTAATGAATCTGTCCATTTACTTCCTTGTTTTCTTAGACTAGAAAAGCTATTCTTAGAGGGAAGTCCTTTTTCATATACCTGGATTCATCCAACTAGCCATATAATAAATGCTGCCCACCCCCAGCCCTGCTTTGTTTTTAACCTGAACTAATCATTATTTGTACATCTCTATTTTCTAATATTTCCTCTGGGTATCCTGTTTAGGTAAAACACAGCTTTATGATGCCCTTCCCAATCAACATTAGACTACTTGTTTCAAGATAGTAATTAACTTCCTGCCTAATTTGTCACACTTAATTTGAAATTAGGCATGCAAAGCTATTAAACACTGTGGTTGTGGTGTTTGCATCTGGCTGAGGCAATAGCTACTGGCAGCCTTGATTTATCACTCTTCATTTAAATTCCTGTGCCAATGATTTCAGTTCCTAAATGCTGTGACTGGCATTTATGGATTTCAAAATCAAAGTGAAAATAAGCTGCAGTTAAGATCCAACAGCTGAGATCAATGAAAAACGGTTTTATAACTGAATGCCCTGCAGTTAAATCCTAGGGGCTTGACCAAAAAGTGCTTCATGCTCAGAGATGTTGCTGTGGGAAGACAACTGTATTCTACCCTAATGGCTGTTTATAAATCATGATCAAAACTGTGCATCTTGTAACAGTGCCATATAAATTTGCTCCCAGATGAAAACTATTTTTGCTAAGTCTTCCTTAAAAGAACAATCCCCAAAAGCAAACTTAACCTACTGGGAAATCTCATCTTTGATATTCAAAACTCTATCCAGCATTGCCCATATTTGAGGAAGCAGAATATAATATTGCTACTAGACCTAGCCTATAATTCTGTGGGCAAATTGTCTCCTAAAGTGAATGAGCATGATTCTATAACTTTCTTATCAAAGTCTGACTGTGGTGTAAATCTTGAGTTAGTGAAGGCTTCTTCAGATATGGACATGAAGAATCTGGCTTTTCTATAACCCTGACAGAAACAAATTGTGCAAATTTGTTCTCCCTGCCTGGCTTTATGATCCCAAGGCTCCACACTCTGTTAGGGCAACCCAAATGCTATTCTTCCTTTAGGGTAAAGCTCCACTAGGAATTGTTCCAGCTTAGTTAAGCTTTTCTTTCCTCCTCTAAACTAAAGCATTTACAATTTGTATCTTATAATTTAACATGTTACTTAAGATATACTTTCTGGCTGGGCACGGTGGCTCATGCCTGTAATCCCAGCACTTTGGGAGGCCGAAGCGGGCTGATCATCTGAGTTCGGGAGTTCCAGACCAGCCTGACCAATATGGTGAAACCCTGTCTCTACTGAAAATACAAAAATTAGCCAGGTGTGGTGGCACGTGCCTGTAATCTCAGCTACTGAGGAGGCTGAGGCGGAAGAATCGCTTGAACCCAGGAGGCAGAGGTTGCAGTGAGCTGAGATTGTGCCACTGCACTCCAGCCTGGGCAACAGAGGGAGACCCTGTCTCAAAAAAAAAAAAAAAGGTATACTTTCTTTTATTTTTCACTAGCCTTTTTTGGTCTGCCAACCTTGTCTTCTCAATTAGAGTAAGTAAGGCAATTGAATTAGACAACACTACCTCTCTTCCTTTCTTACTTCTACTGTATGACAGCACAGAGTACTCATGCATTATGACTTAATAAATGCTTGCTCCTCAGTTTATTAAACATTTACTGAGCATCCACTTTATATGTCATACTGTTCGAGGCTCCAGGGATAGAGTGAGCAAAACAATAAAATACATTGAGAAAAATCCATCCCTCATGGAGCTTACATTATATTGTTGAAAGGCAAAATTCTATTTGGAAAGTATTGCATCATAGAATTAAGTGATGAAATGAAGAATACACCTACATCACTTTGAAGAAACTTCTAAGCTTAGGCATAACCTTGAGAAATACATTTATGATAAAAACAAATGGTAAACAAACAAAAAAAAAGATAAGGTTGAAAGTGACAGAGAGTGGAATGTGAAAAAAATGCAGAGAAGATATTCTTATTGTTATGCCTAAAGAATTAAAATTATTTCTATTTACATAGATTTTTTTTCAAATGCCAACTTGAACCAGATATAGTGAGGTTTTTAATGTGGTGTATTTTTTATTTTTCAAAAACTATAAGGAATTTTATTTTCTTCTGAGTCAAAGGATACAAACTTTAATATGAGAGGAAACATTACTGAGATACCTCTTTACTTTCTAAGAACAACTGCACAACTTTAAGTCACTATAGCAAAATTTCAAGAATTCCTAAAAATATTACAATGTAGAGCCTCTAGCAGGACCTGTATGTATGGAAAGTTAAAATAGGATTTTAAGAGAGGTGTCCTTCTAGTGGAGGTGTAGAAAAGTTCTTGCATATTTATAAACTGTTATTTTCTTATTTCTGTTAGTCTTTAGAATGATATAGAATGTTGATTGCAAATATGAAAAGACTACACAGTTATTGAGCATTTGCTTGCTCATCATGTTATCTAATGCAAGATACTTATTTTGTAGATGCAGAATCTGAGGTCTGGAGAGATTAAATAACTTAACTGAATTTACACAGCTGGATAGTAACAGTTTAGGGACTAGAACACAGAGTTGATCAGATTTTGACCAGCTGTTTCCCATCTCTATACATGATGAAACTACTGGTCATTTCAACAGGAAAAAAATAATGTAATTATGAGTTATAAATTCATGAGTATGCAGATGGTAAACAGCAGACTAAACTATGTACACAGTATATGAAATCTGGGGCCCAAGAGATTCATAAAAGCAAATAAACAATAATCTTTCCTATATATTTTCAGGGCATTCATGCTTAGGTTTGCACAACTGAACACAATGCCTTCTGTAAGTCTGTTCCAGGATGGTGAATCTATAAACAGAATGCTTATTGTTGATGTCCTGAGTGAGCACTTTACCACCAAGGGGCAAAAGTATCATAACATTGAAATTTTAAAAGGTTCCACTGTGAGTATAACAGATACTCTGTGCGTGTGTGTGTCTGTGTGTATGTTATGTATGTGTGTGTGTGTGTGTGTGTGTATATATATATACTCATACACAATCACCTAATTTATTTATTTAGCAAATATTTAATGCATAGATTTTATGTGACAGGTGCTATGGTAGACCCTGGGGATATTAACATTTGTTGACTGTCCAATAGAAAATATTGACATACAATTGAAATGCAGAGTATAGTTATGCACTGTGATAGGGTAAATATAAGGAGTTATGAAAGAACAAGCAAGATAAGATCATAAAGGACTTTGCAAATAATTTTACAGAAATAATCAACTATAAACACACCACACAGAGAAAAACATTGGTAACATTTCATAAATTTAATATTCATTTCCTTATGACCATGTGTGTACATCAATTGTCACATAACTGGGGTAACAATATATATAGGGTTTCTAATCCTGCTACACTTAACACAATATTGTAAACATTATTCTCATTCACTAGACTTGTCATTCCATTTCACAGACATAGTACACTTTATTTATTGTTTACTGTTGGTCATTTAGGATATTTATACCCTTCCCTATTATAAATGATAAATTTTTCTATACACATACAGTTTTTCTACCCATATTATCTTTCCTAAACACTGACAAGGCCTAGTAGTGGATTTAAAGAGTATAATAATTTTAAAGTGCTAGATACACAATACCATGTAATTTTATAGTTACTCCTGCAGTGATATGAAGATTTTTACCAAATCATACACTAAGCAGTCAGAGCATTACCATTTTCCAAAGAAAAATCAACGAGTCCAATTTGATGAGAAAAACATTGCCTACCATTACTGTTTTAATTTGCATTTCTCTGATTTGCAGCAAGAGTGAAGTTTTTTTGTAATGCATATTAGGTAATTGCCTTTTTTCTCAGAATTGATCGCTCTTGTCTTTTGCCAATTTTACCATGGTTTTTTCATTACAAATATTTTCCCCAGCTTACCCTTTATTTTCATTTTGTTTATAATAAATTTTGATGTATGAAATTCCCATTAAAGCCACATGTTTTTTGCTTTGTAATTTTTTTAGATCATTATTTATATTCACACCTATATGCACCTCTTCTTAAGATTTTATTTTTACCATATCTGTTTGATCATTTAAAATTTGTTTTAGGGTATTTTCCTAGTTAATGATTTGATTTGGAATATTCTAAATAATAGTTTTCCCTGAATAAATTTTATTCAATGATGAACTTTCTCATTAGTTTGAGATATATTCTTTATCCTATATTAAATCTCTTTGTGTGGTAAGGACTTCTTTCAAGACTATCTCTTCGGTTTCTTTAATCAGAAATTTTTTATGCTCTCATAGGAAACACAAATAATTTCTGATACATAAGCTAATTATTCACTAGTTGATTTTGATTAAATATGCATTCCACATTTTAAGAAGACATTCCTGGATGAGAATCCATGTTAAAAAGTTTCCATATCCACATGGAGCAGCACTATATTTCATATTTATGTAACAACTGCATTATCCTAGCAACAAATGACATTTCACTATATAAACACAATACCCTGAATTTTTGTAAAGTATTATGGAAACCTGCCACCACATCTCCTAAGAAAGCTTTTAAACAGAAAACTAAGTAAAATTTCAGTGAAGAAATGTAACCATGAAAAAAATGATTAGTTACTGAAAAATGAATATTAAAATTAAATAAAGCTCTTTTATGCAAAATACAGTATAGAAATACCATCTGCTTGCCATATCTGTGTTAAGTTTAGACAGTGTACAATCTAAGTGTTTGGCTAGCTTAAATCCTAAACATAATTAGTCTTCTTAGTTGTTGAATCAATAGGCAACAATGATTTTGCATTTTTTGACCTTAAAATTATACTTTTCCTGAAAATCAGGTCCCTATTGGCCAAATTTACGTTAAATAAAGGAAAACTCTTCCCATACTCTGCCTGTGGTGTTTCTTACACCTTGATGAACCATAATTGGTTAAAAAGTCACATGAAGGCAGATACATTAGTTCATTCCTTCCACTTGAGGCAGAGAGGAACTGTGAGACACCAGAAAGGGAACATTTAAAAAAAATATGAAAATATAGAATAAAATTAAAATTAGTAGTGAAATAAAACAAAGAAACATTCATTGTGAAAAGTTTAGAGAATGACATTCAGTTCTAGATTGCAGTAGAAGAATGAGGATCTCTGCTTTGACGGGTCATTAAAATTTTAACTCTTCATAAATGAGGAAAGAGACCATATCATAAGAAAAGGTCTTCAGAAACCTAATGCATTTTGATTGTTTTTTGCATTTCATCCATCATTATGTATTCTTCTTCTATTTTGAAAATGGATGACAAAAATTATATTAAGTGTATTTTTAAAATTTTGTTTAACAAAGAACTAAACGAGTTTTCATAAATTGGCTACATCTAATACCTACTTTTAGAATAGTGATAAATTACATGGCATGTCATTTACTGAAAATCTACTTTTATAGTTTTATTAATTCAACAATTTAAGGCAAGAGTGTCTAATGAGATTTTAACATAAACTGCTACAACTTTATCTTCACTATATGCTGTTAAAATTTGACATAAGCAAAAAATCTCTTTAATTTATGCTACATTTAAAGTGCTAATTATTTGAGTCTTTCAAAATGTGTTGTATGTTTTCGAGCATGTCTGCATTAGGTTCAGCTTAGTCATATAAAAGAAGCTATACCACCCTGTAGTATTTTACCATAGATTTCATTTTATGGATTTTACAAAAATAAATGTTTAAAAAGGCACAGATTTTATGGAATAAACACTTCCCTATTTTGAGGGTTTGAGTGGCAAATGTTAAGGGTTTGAACGATAAGAGAAAACTAAAACTCAAAGTTTATTCATCACCACTACCTGCACATTATTTGGGATAGTGGCTTTCTTTTTCCCTTTGCTGAATGTTCCCTGGAGGAACCATTACTGTTGCCAGAATGACCATGGTGAAAGCACTACGATTTTGAAGAAGTCTCCTTAATTTTGTGAATCTCATTCTTATTTTGGAGATGAGTCTTCTCCTCTGGAACCTAACGTTTTCATAGCACTCATTTGAGAGAATAACTGAGAGGCTTTCAGGTTATTTTGAACACACACACACACACACACACACACACACACACACATCCAAGATGTACCTCTGGAAAAATTCTTAGTCTGATATACTGTCACTCCTTTGTGACCCCTTAAAGATTTGTGAACATTCATGAAGAACACTTCTTCATTCTACTAAAAATAAAGAATTGGAGAACAGTGAAAGAAGGTGGTTGGCGATGATAAACTTGCAAATTGGAAATAAGTAGTAATGCTCTAACTAGAATGTTCTACTGATGGTGTTCCTGTCTACAAAGAGTGACGATGCAGGGGATGGTGACCTTCTATCTCCTGAAGTGCAATTTATTTTTTCTGTTTTCCTCTTAAATAAGCTAACAAACATTTCTGCTGGTTGCAGGAAGGTTTTAGGTGAGATATTTCAGGAAGACCATCTTAAAAGAGTCAGTTAAAAGATACAAGGGGATTAAAAATATTTCTTAGAAATCTTTGAAATAGGATAAAAATAATATTTATTTGAGAAGGGCATATGTGCGTCTTGCCTCATGACTAGTAGCTGAACTCTACATTCTCTTTAGATTACTTCAAGCATGTGAAAACCATCACCTTATAAGTGTAAAACTAATATGAGCTGGTAGGAATTTGGTTAATACAATTCAGAAAGTGGAAAATAATTTATTTTAGGAAATAATTTTGCACATCAGTTATAGTTTAAATTTAAATATAATTAAGGCCGGGCACAATGGCTCACGCCTGTAATCCCAGCACTTTGGGAGGCCAAGGCAGGCGGAACAAGAGGTCAGGAGATTGAGACCATCATGGCTAACATGGTGAAACCCCGTCTCTATTAAAAATACAAAAAATTACCCTGGCGTGGTGGCATGCGCCTATAGTCCCAGCTACTTGGGAGGCTAAGGCAAGAGAATCGCTTGAACCCAGGAGGCAGAAGTTGCAGTGAGCCGAGATCGCGCCACTGCACTCCAGCCTGGGCGACAGGGCAAGACTCTGCCTCAAAAACAAACAAATAAACAAAAAGGAAAAACATATATATATATATATTTGAGTTGCATTTCAAATAGCATTTAATTGTTTACCTCTTAATACAAGTATCTCACATTTTGTAAAACAGCTAAAAAAAACCAGCAGATAATATTTTAAATATTCAAAACTGCTCAATACATTAAACATTTATTCTCATAAAAATAGAATGAGAAACCTATTCCAAATTTCTAGGATTCTAAATGTGCAATCCCTATCTAGAGCTGATCAATATATTTATGTTTATAAAAAATAATAAACTTAAAAATATCAAATTATGATACAGGGCATAGCTACTAAATAAATAGGTCAAAATACAATCTGAACAACTCATAGATAGACAATGGCCAAACATCCACTATTTATATATAGAAGCCTTGAAACAGGAAGTCAAAATAGTATGGCATCCATTAATATGAGCATTATAAAGTAAAAACTAATACCTATTTAGGATATTTAGTTTCAGCAGAAGATAATTTTTGTAAAAAAACAAAATGAAAAACAACATAAAGCACATTTCTATTTATATACTATAGATATATCTATCATCCTTGGAATAATATTTACTTGCTTTAATAAAAGATTACTTAGGAAATATGTAAGCTGAATTGCAATATAAAAGAATGAATACAAATAATTTCAATTTCTGTAATAATTATTTCGAGGGGAAAAACACTTTTATATTTTAGAACACATGTTGAAAGTGACTAAGTATAACAATATATAGCAGAGCATAAAAGTATCGATAACTGAAATCCACCCTTAGACCTATTAGAATGTCAAAATAACTAGAATGCATTAAATTATGGAACTCTCTTTCAATTTGTTTTTCTGTTTTTAATCTTTCATTACTAAAAGCTTTGCTTACTACCTAACAGAATAAATGTGTGGTCAAACAACTAGGCTTTCTTTCATAAAAATCAGGAAAATGTCAACATTCACCGCCTGTCATATCACTGTTTAATCATTTATTACTTCATATATATTTTAAGGTCTTGTGTACTAAGTAATATTTCAGGCAGTCAGTTCTTGAAAATGTATATTGAATCAGATATTATATATTTAATTTTGTTTTTTTTCACGTAGACAAACTTTCACTTCCAAATCTTAAAGAGTAAAAGACTGTTAGCTGCTCCATAGCAACCATCATGTCTCAAACACACAGGCATCTTTTTTTCCCACTACATAACAGATAGCTCAATATTTAGTGTGTCAGAATCATTGATTATATTGGTTTGCTGAGTAACACAGAGAGGTAAATTTGAAAAACAGTGACATTACCACTTTACAAAATGTTTTCAGGGCTGGCTTCATGAATGTATGGCTTGTGCAGATGCACAGCTCTCCCAACTCTCTTAGGGTTTAATGCTCAGCTAATGCCATCAAAATTCTTAATAATGTTTATCTTTGCACTCATATTTTTAAAGTGAATACAAATGGGACAATGGTTGCCTGGGCTCTAGGATCTAGGTTCAGCCTCCCACTACTTCACCATATCCACAGGATGCGTTCTCCCTGGCACACTCCCCCACTCTTAGCCATGCAGTCTTCCAATCCCTATCCCTGCCCTGTGACTGCTGTCATAGTCTGCCTGGGTTAGGTGAATATATTGACCTCAGTGCAGGTAGGACCACATTCCTGGGTTGCCTGTTCATTTTCCCCAGTGAGGGATCTGGACATCATGGAAAGGATCTAGGTTGGATATGCTAACCCTGGAGCATCGTGTGGGTGTGCCTGTGCGTGCGCGCGCGTGTGTGTGTGTATGTGTGTGAGTGTGTGTGTGTAGCTGTTTCTGCTTTGCAGATTTCATGTCTTAACGCAAGCAGGTCTCTCACCTACCAGGGAGGAGATTTGAAGACCACTGGTGGTCTCCCATTGTGGGTTACAAAGGCAGCTGGAGTCCTGAGGCAGGGCCCTGGGAACCTGGGAGTGTCATCATTTTTCTGCTCAAGTATCCCTGGTACAGAGGGAGTGCTCTCTGGACAGGCACCGTGTTTTAAGGGACCCTCTCTTTTACTTCCCAACCTTCCTGAGTCTGGCTGATATTTTTCTGTTCTGGCCTACTTGAGACACACTTGGGAACAGGAGGTGCATGTGGGGTCAACTACAGAAAAAAGACTTGTATATTTTGATGCTTTCACTTATGTTAAATGTTCTTGTATTTGCATTTAAAATGGTCACTGAACAATATAAAGATGAATGTTAAATTTTAATGCAAATAATTTGAAATTTTACTTTTTCTTTACTTAGAGGGACATTAAATGGCAAACAAAAAACATTGTGCCAAGTTGAGAGAGAAAAATCACTGAAAGAAAGAGCACTGTATTTTAGTACCTTTTATGGCTCTCTTTTCCTACTTTTTGAACAAAGGGTCCCGCATTTTTATTTTTCACTGGACATCATAAATTATTTATGTAGACGACTGACTGTTTTAGAATCTAAACGAAATAGAAAAGTGCAGAGGAATACATGGAAGAAAAAACACTCATCTAATGATGGTCTGTGGAATTTCTGCCTGATTAAAAGGTCGGCAATTAGTTTTTCAATCTTTGCAATTGAAATATTTTTAAGTATGAAGAAATTCACATTTTTAATGATGATCAGAATAATCCATCCACTTTGAAAGTAATTTTGTTTTATTTATTTTTTTTTTGAGACGGAGTCTCCCTCTGTCGTCGGCTGGAGTGCAGAGGGACGATCTCAGCTCACTGCAAGCTCCGCCTCCTGGGTTCAGGCCATTCTCCTGATTCAGCCTCCCGAGTAGCTGGGACTACAGGTGCCTGCAACCACGCCCGGCTAATTTTTTGTATTTTTAGTAGAGACGGGGTTTCACTGTGTTAGCCAGGACGGTCTCGATCTCCTGACCTCGTGATCCGCCTGCCTCGGCCTCCCAAAGTGCTGAGATTACAGGCGTGAGCCACTGCGCCCGGCCTTTTGTTTTATTCTTACACATTAATGCTATTTTAATCCTTATGGATATTTACTTCAAAGAGGCTTTTAGAAAATATCACAAATGGCCAGGTGCCGTGGCTCATGCCTGTAATCCCAGTACTTTGGGAGGCCAAGGTGGGTGGAACATGAGGTCGGGAGTTCAAGATCAGCCTGGCCAACATGGTGAAACCCTGTCTCTACTAAAAACACAAAAAAATTAGCTAGGCATGGTGGTGGGCACCTGTAATCCCAGCTACTTGGGAGGCTGAGGCAGAGAATTGTCTGAACCCAGGAGGCAGAGGTTGCAGTGAGCCAAGACCATGACACTGCACTCCACCCTGGGGACAAAGTGAGACTCTGTCTAAAAAAAGAGAAAAAAAAAAAGAAAATATCAAATATCACAAATAAACCCAGTGTTAAATATTAACAACATACATAATGAATCAGTTATCCAAATCATCTCATTCATTTTGTAGGCAGAGTTCAGTTAATGAAATCAAATTGGCATCCATTTTCAAACAAAGAACTATATTGAAAATGTGCCAGTTTGTTAGACATTTGCCTAACCATAAAGTAGAGCCTTATATCATATGATAGCTATAGATTATGTAGGATGTGATCATGCACACACTTAATTTCAATTTAGTTAAACATCTGCTAATCTGGTTTAATTTTACAGGATTTAAAGCATTTTACTAAAGAATCGTATGACTATTTTTTAATTCGTACAGATAAATGCCATTAAAATTGTTGATATAGTAATAGAGGCACCAAAACAGCAATAAGGTCTTATTATTTTATGCTATATAAAATACTTAGTCACCTTTCCTGCAAAATGTGCAAATGAGAATTCCTCAGAGAACACAGCTGACGACTCTAAAAGCCAACTGCTCAAAATCAAGTTTAGGATTAAACACATTTCTTTAGCAATGTATGATCACGGAGAAAAATTGCTATTAAAGGATGGTTTAGTGTTGATTAAAATCCATTGTTGAAAATGTAGGTATAGCACCAGAGGATTTAGTGAACATGAAATTTAGTATATGCTAAAGAATAAATATGCCATTAATACTTTCTTGTTACTTTCCAGACGTATTCCTGCTTGAATTTAAGGCTTTGACCTTTTTATATCCATTGCCTGTAATAGTCTTCTTTTATATAGTTACAAGATTTTCTCTTCAATTCGTGATCTGCTCAAGTGTCAAGTTATAGAGGTGTTTTTGGTTTCCTTGCATAAAACTAACCATTTATTTTCAAATCACTTACTCTGTTTAGTTCTTCCTCATGGGACCTATCACTTTTTAACACTAAAGTATAATGTCTATAAAAGCAGGAACAGTGTTAATTGTTTTTCTCTTTATTGCTATATTCCTAGAACACAGAACAGTTCTTGCCAGAAGCTAAACAGTCAATAAATATTTTTTAATGAATTCAGCAAATGAAAAGTTAACTCACACCATCTTCAATCTCTATTAATGCAGTGGGTAGAGATTTATTGTTATAGGCAATGTAAATGGAGGATATTCTTAGTCAATAACACATCATTCATGCCCTCAAGAAGCTTACATATTGGTGGAAAGGCAAATTATTAAAAAATATGATTATTGTCCAGTGAGACAGTGACACCGTAGTGTTTTACACAACTGTCTGAGAACAGTTGTTCAATTTCTACAGCTGCTGACTGGGAGCAGAGTTGCTGACCAACTCTCTGCAAACGAATTTCTAAAGTCTGAGGTCCTTTCCTATAGTATTCAATTACTCAAAAGATGTGTGTCACAAAAAGATGCTAGACTTGGAAGTAATTTGGTGTTTTTCAGGAGTGTAAACAAATTTTACAATCACCTAGATTATAATTTAATATTTGGCTGCACTATAATCATTATGCAATCATTACTAATCATGATTTAGTAATGATTAGCCAGTTTGACATTTCTTCCATAAATAAAACATTCAGTGCACTTTTCAGGGGAACAACACTTTTGTTGAAGACAGAAATATTTTATACTTCAATATATCTAGCTTTTGAATATATAATTTGCCTATGTATAAGAAATATGGAAAATACAAATAATACAGCATCTTTCTTAGTTAAAGTCAGGGTTATTGCCTGTTTTAATAAACAAAATAAAACTTATCATGCCTCTGGCTTGTATTTCATGTATATTTAGTAAGTATTTAAAACTTCCACACTTTTTTTTTTTTTACTTTGAATAGTATTGCATAGGTTTTTAAAAGAATATTTGCTGTGAGCATTTTTGAAAACACAGTGAGGACTGTGAGAGATGTTCAGAGATAAAATACATTAAAATGCAAATATAAAGACAAATGAATGTTTACACTATCCCTAATTACTTACTCCAGCAACATGTAAAAGGTTGGCATTTGAAATAGACTGTATTTCTAAAATCCAGTGAACTGTAAACCAAATAGACATCTCAAGTTTATAAATATATAGAGACTTTTGTTGATTTAAACATATTTTCAATGTCAGTTTAATTAGTTATTCCTGCTACAGTAGGTACATGAAATCTGCAATCACAATGTGGGCCTAAGGCAGGCCTATACAGAATGGTCACTTAAGGGCAGAGATAGGAGTGCTGAGTGTATTTTTTAAGATACCAATGAATTGGACAACTTGCTTCTGACAAGAATTGCTTTAAAGACCCTTTAGCAAATATCAGCAGAATTGGTTTGTAATTTACCATGTCTTTCACTTTGAACATGGTCCCTAAAGGTTTTTGCACATGTCAGGATATCTACAAACACAATTTGTTTTGGGTCGACTATCCATGATTAACGTTTTCCTTTACTGTCTAAAACCTGAATAATTACTTTTTACTGAACTACACACCTTCGTTTTCCTATCATGCACTGAAGACTAAAATCAAATGTCTTCTGCATGTTGCTTTCTTGTTTTGCTCTCTAAATGAAACACCTTTCAAGACCATTTACATAAACTATGAAAACAGAAGGTTGCAAATATAGATCTTAGGAACTGTAGAAGTCAGTTAATTAAGATTTATTGCAAAGATTCCTTATGATGAAAGTCATAGTTTTAACTTCATAATCTTATTTATCAAACTAGACTCAGAATAATCAAGGAATGTTTCTCCTAACTACATCTAAGTGGTTCTAAGTGATTTCAAACTTTTTTTTTACATTTGTTTAATTATAAACAGAGCAAACAATTAAGCCAGATTTGTTTAATGTGGTTTTCTTAGTATTTCTTAAATATGAGAAAAAATATATACATACAGTCAACTACATGAAAGAAAAAGCAAACCAATGCCAATTTATTTCATATCGATCTTCATGTTCCACAATGTGCATACATAGAGTAGGAAAAAATAATTAATATAACTGTCTATATTTTTTGGTCTCTAATATTTTTTCCATACTCATGTAAGTATGACCTCATGAGCAATCTTATTAGTCTGACTTCTTTTCCCTATTTGTGGCCCTGGAAAAATTCCAGCATCTTCTGACAAGTGGCTGATTCTTTAACTTGTTTCAGCTATTTGCAGATACCCATTCATTTTTCCAAATTTTAGATGAACTCTTCAGCTCCTTCCCCAAATCCTGCTGTACTTCTATGATATGCTATCTTACATATGATCAGCCTCTAATTCCTCCATTATCCAACTTTTGCCTGGTTCCTTCTACTCAGAATGATTTCTCTTATATCAGCCTCATTTTACCTAATCACTTTCTATTCATCCCTCAGAACAGAACTTAATTTAAATGTTGCTTCCTTGGTAAGATGGCCCCCCAACTTATCCTCCAGATTTGGAGAATATATGCTTTCAGAGCACCCTAGGCTTCTCCTTAGCAGTACTTTAACTAGAGTACTAACTACATATTTGTGAAATTACCTGCTTATTAACTGCCTCCCACCAGACTTTAAGGTACATAAAGGCTCACTATCATACACAAGGAATACACTAAAAATATGTTAAATAAATTGAAAGTTTATGAATAACACTTATCAATTTTGCATTTTTGTACAAAAACAATATGTAACCTACAGAGAAGGTAAACCACTTTACTCTTGTCCTCTCAGTCCAGTGAAATCGTAACGTGTTATCAGATAGTTTTTGCAATTGTCTCCTAAATCAGTTAAAAGAGAATTCCCAAAGATACTCCAAGTGGAGTGATGGGAAATTATTTCCTGTATTTGAAGCAATACAATTATTTTATTTTATTTACTAAGCAATACAATTATTTATTTACAACTGAACAAAATGGCATCAGTTGAAAGTTTGTTCTGAAACATTCAGTTTGTATAAATTCTTTTTAAATTGAACACTACACTCTGACTCCTTTGGAAATGGAAAGGATATCTGATACATCCACAGATTGAATAGTTCATAACATTACCCTTACCTGGAGTATCTGCATTTTCACAGGTGTGATTCTCTAACTTTAGAATTTCAAGCACAAGAAGAGGGGGTCTTCTTGGTATCTCTCAAAATTATGACATGGAGGTAGATGCTTATATTTAAGGCTGGTCATAATATTTTATTAGTATATACATGACAATATTTTAGTTGGTTTAGGACCTTTATGTACTTTCAAATAAAATATAAATATATTTTGATTATTTTAATATTTATATCTAAAACAAAATCAAATTAAATTAACAATAATCATTTCTTAATATTCAAAAAAGATAAATTATTGGAACAAATTGCTTAATGATATTATCCTTCCAGAATATATAGTTCCAATATATGTATACCACCTCTTAGTTCATGTTTGATATATATCTTTTTTCCATATAACAACATACTTTTAATGAACTATCCCATTTTAAAAGTGAAAAACAACTTATATTTTATCCTTTTGATAAGCAGAGACATGAACTAAATATACTCTTTTGTAATCCTAGAATGAAAGGCTGCTGTATGTGTGAAATTATGTAAGCATATTTACATATTTATTTTATTTAAAGTGACATACTGATTTTGTACAGAAATTAAATTTTTTTCCCTGTAGCTAAAAATCGTTGTACTAGATTGTATTTTTTGATAAGGTTGAGGCAATAAAAACCTTCAAAATCATCTGCTGAAGCAGAGAGGAACAGAAAACTCTCATCTACTTTATATTTAAGATATATTTGACAAGATTTTGTTGATACTAAAGGAAAGAGGAAAAGAAAAGAGAAAATAGGAATTCTATTTTGAATAACCATAAAGCAAATTCTATGATGTGGAACTATGCTAAATGAAGAGGAAAATTACACAGTAAATACAAAGACTATGAGTGTACAATATTATATGGCTTTGCTTTATTTATTAGAGGTATTTCTGAAGATTATCAGCAAAGTGAATTTATGTATAATATCATGGAACACTAGGAAATTGACATTGGTCCAATCTACAGGGCTTGTGTGTGTGTGTGTGCATGACATTTATCATGTACATGTCCATTTATCACGTATGTAGTGTCAGGTAACTATCACCACAATCAAGATATACAACTATCATCACAGTCCTCCCTCCTACCACTTCATAGCCACACTGCCCTCCTCCAAATCTCTAAGCCCTGGCAACCACTAATCTGTTTTCCATATCTGTAATTATATTATATCAAGAATATTATATGAGTGGAATCATACAGAATGCATCCTTTTGAAATAGGCTTTTCAGTCTGCATAGTGCCACTTTGTTCATTTTTATTGCTGAGTATTATCACAACACATTCAAATCAATGTATTTTATTTTAAATATGCTGCCATTGTGTATATTATGCTGAATTGTCTTTCTACATATTCATATGTTGAAGTCACAACCCCTAGGACCTCAGAATGAGATTGCATTTAGAAATGGGGTCTCTAAAGAGTAATTAAGGTAAAATGAGATCATATGAGTGGGTCCTAATTCAATATGACTAATGTCCTTATAAGAAGAGAAGATTAGGAGATTAGACATAAGGAGGACAGACCTTGTGAAACCAAGGGAAAAGATGGCCACCTACAAACCAAGGACACAGGCCTCAGAACGAAATCAACAATGCTGACAACTTGATTCTTCTAGCCTGCAAAGCTATGAGAAAATAAATTGTCTGTTGCTTAAGCCACACAGCCTGTCTTATTTGTTATGGCTGCCTTAGCAAACAAATGTGGTGTATAAAAATAGTTTTATCTTTATAAATTTTTCTCATATATGTGTTCATTTACAATACTTTCTACTATAAGGCAATAACTTGTGTGCCCATATAATTTATGAACACTTCTCGAAAGGAGTTTTAAAAATCTCTGAAGCTTTTCTTGTTTCCTGGTCTGCAATATAATTATGTTATGAAGGAATTAAAGAAAGTATATACTTGTAAAAATCATAGGAGTGTTTGCGCCTGACCATATTATAGTAAAAATCTATGATGTTATAAAGAGAACATTTAGCTGAATTCATCAGATTTCTGAACAGTTTAACTACTTTTCACAAACTTCACATAGATGATGACATTTGAACACATTTCTAAATTTTTCTGCTACTTAGAGTGGAACACAAATATATTAGTTGGAATGCTTTCATAATATAGACATGAATTATAGTTTTAAAAATTCTTACTATTTGCTTTATTTGACATGCAAAAAGGATGGCAGCATAAGTGGGGCAATTGAAATTCAATTCATTTAATAACATTTTATTGATTTCTGACTTCTATTGGTAAGTAATATGGACTTACTCATTAAGATATATTGTTATATGATTATACAAAATACATGAGTACATAAACAGTGGAGGGAAGCATTTCATCTTATTATTCATACTGCTGAGAAGTAATATAAAAATATCTTTCTGAGTTTTAGGAAAGAACAAGAACAACAACCAGTGCATTACCTCTGCAGTGTATAACGTATATGACTGCATAGCACCTGCAATAAATACATGCCCATGAGGGATATTTATGCATCAAAAGAAATTATGGGTCTGTTTTGAGAGAACAGCAGTGGAACTTACCATCTTGATCCGTGGTCACTGTAATAGCTGTGAATGGCTTGGGAGAAAAACTCAACTCAGAAACTCCATTCATTGCTTCTATTTCAAAGGTGTAATTCACGTGAGACACAAAGTCAAGTACTATCACGGAATTGTTGATCAGGCCTGTATGTCTTGGGATGAAGCGGAGTCCTCCACCACAGTCCTCACACTGGCTGGTGTCTAAGCCACATTTCTTACAGATTACACTGTATGTGAGATCTTTTCTCCCTCCTGTGTCACTTGGTGGGCTCCATTCCAAAATAAGGGCTGTTTCATTGATGTTAAAAACCACATTCCTAGGAGCTGAAGGTGGCCCTAGAGAAAAGCAATTAAAAAACAAATGTACATATATAGGACAATGAATTATGGCGCTAAAATGAAAACTTCATCAATAAACACTTGTTGCTCTTTTATGTTAGTTTGAACTCTTTTTCTAATGGGATCTATAATGATCACATGGTTAAAATAGCTCATTAGGTCTAGTAGGGAAGGAGTCTTGAGGAATGAAGATCTATATCATAAATTTTTGGAGTATGAATTTCAATATTTAATATAAAAATCAGGATATCTGTAAAACATATGGTAATTACACCTTTTAAACTTGACTGAAAATATATAACAAAAATTATTTTAAATTATGTGATGGCTTTAATTACATCTTATTAATTATATCACCATTTTCAAAATTTGAAAAAAAATAGTAACATACATATACAAAACACATTGTTGTAAGTTTTTCAGTCTTCATACTATAATTCATATGTAGATAAAATCCCCATTCATCACCTCCGAAAATCACTAAAAATCTGTTTCCCAAAGGTTGAGATTAAATGACCATAAATTTAGGGTGAGCAGATGATTTGGAAAAAGGAAAAACGAAATGAAAATTGAAGGCAACAAAAAACCTTTTATTAAGTCCTTGTCAATTTGATGTGATAAAAGCATGATATGGAAGGGATAAAAAGGGGCCACTGACAAGAAATGATGGCAGGACTTTCATTTAGATTAAGTTTACTAAACACAAGTAGGTGTGTCCTTTAAACTAAGCGTGGGCCTAAAAGAGACCCACACTATTCTCCTATTTGTCATAAAGACCTCGAAAACCAAGTCAGTCTAAGGAGGGGATGAGCATCTTCTTATTTTCCACAAAGATCACACCGTGTAGAGTGCTTGATAGCCGCTAATTACTCCAGCCTTTCCTTAAAATTGTGTGAATAATCCTATATACTTATCTGAGTCCTTTAAGCCTCAGTTTTATAATGTTCATTAAACAAATATTACCTGAATGTCTTCTAGGAGCCAGACACTATGCTAAGTACTATATGTGAAAAACCACAGAATCCGTATGCTGTGAGAGGCTATACTTATGAGAGATATTTAGAAAAATAATATACTATATAAATGACTGTTGAAACAACAGTCACGCCATATTTTAGAAGGCTTCATTTAAAAAAAAAATCTAAACCAATTCTCTAATTTCTGTTACCAAGAAACTCTGCTTAGAGCGTGGAAAGCAATGTCTCCCTAGCATTCGCTCCTAGAAATAAATTCAAGTTTTGATATAGGCTCCTTTTGGATTTCAAGCTACGGCCATTCATTCATTAAATATTTTATTTAGTGTCTACTATGTGGCAGATACTCTACTAGATCTTGGGCTTACAGAGATAAGACATGGTAGACATTATTCCTTCTCTCTTGTTATTTACATTTTGGTGGAGTGACTAGATCTATGTAAGCGGATGAATAAAATTCAAATCATAATGTTTGCAATTACAAAAATTAGAAAGACAGGTGCTGAAATAAAAGCAATCAGGTGGACCCCTGTTTTAGGTAACATTCTGAGAAAGCCTCATAGAGGTGGTGAGGAGAATATGCAGAGGGGTGGGAAAAATATTAGGAATAGAAAGTATGCCATTCTTGTTCAGAAAGATCTTGAAATAACCATGGAACTGGCAGAAAGTCACTGTGGCTAGACTGCAGAGGGAGAATGCATGAAGTAAGATTTAAGGAACAGGAAGAAGCTAGATAGTGCAGGACTGCTAGGCTCATTGGAATGAGTATGGATAGTTTTCTATGTACAACAGGAAGGGACCTCAGCTACCTATAGGTACATCACCTAGAAATGCAATGAATCATTTTTTCTAAAAGGTTGCTGGGTGCCTTGCTTTATGCCATTTCATATTCCATAGGGTTTACAGAAACGTCTACCTTCAGGAAGGCAAACATGAAGGGGATGATACACTAGAGAACAGGGATAAACGTAGCTTTTTACCTCCAACCTAGACTTAGTCTAGGAGATAAAGATTCATTGTCATTATCATAATAATGTTTTCCGACAGAATGACATATTCATATGGTTGGTCTTTTCTCTTATTTATAATGGAAAGCAGGAATTATTATTCACTTATATTTTCATTCTAGGAAGAATATTATCAATTATGTTATGGGTGTCTATAAGTATATAACTGTCCGCCTGCAGATACTAAAAAAAAAAACAAAAAAAAAAAAAAACAAGAAGGCTGACACCCTTCTTACTCAAGGGCCCTCATACCAATTTGCATGATGATTAAATAGCTTTTTAATTGCTGTTAAATTATGCCAGCTAAACTGTGATTTCATGCAAATATTAAGCTGTAATGACATACAGTGAATCATTTACTAAGATTTAGAACTTGGAACAAAGAGAGACAATTAATTCTAATCCTCAGATTCAACTAAATGATGTGTCACTGGGCTTTTATGAATGTGGCCTGATTGCTTTGTTATCATTTATAAATTATATAAACATTATGTGACACATTGAAAAAATAACATGGCAGCAATAATACTTTTGGAGACATCTGTATTGAAAACTCCCAGGTATTTCCTTATGTTGATTTTGTTTCTTTAAAAGAAACAACTAATTCACACAGAAAGAAAGCAATCTCCAGTCTTCACCCTCCAGACTAACTTCATAAGAAAAAGGCAATTATTCTGATTTGAAACTAGCTGTTTTTCAAGTCCATCATATAATAAACTACCTAAAAACTACAACTTAATTTCTATTAGTTATGCTACAATTTTATTTTCCACTAGCTTTTTTTTTTTAACTAGAAAACACTTTTCTTTTGCTTCAATTTGAATTTCTACTTTATAACTTTAAAGAATAAAGGAACAGTGCTCTACCAGTAAAACTTACGAGATACTTATAGCAAGGTAGACTCTCCCTTACCAGAAAAACATCTGTCCCGGTAGGTCCCAATCTTCCTCTCGGAGTAGCAGAGGCCAGGTGTGCTATGATTTTTGTTTGTTTTATTTCATTTAAGTTTTTAATGTAAATTGTTTTTAAACATAACTGTGTTTCCCAAAATATGTCCTATGCAATCCTTCTAGTCCCATGAAATATCACACAAAAATCAGTTTGTTGCTCAAATAAGACTCTTTTGGTGGACTGATGTGGAAACAAAATTAACACTATTTGCTTCACTTTGTTGAATCCAACATTTCCCAAAAATTTGTTCATAGAATCTTATTTTCCAAGGATCATCTAGAGGAATACTAGCATTCTGCAGAACATGCTTAAATAAAGTCTGACACAGAAGAAGAACAAGCTGAAGGGCCATATTTCAGTTGTCGCATCAACCAGTACAGATTTATGTTTCACGTTTATAATCATAAAAATATGTTAAACCCATAAACAAACAGGGGGATTTTTCATATGGGCTGAAAAGTGACTGCTCACCAATTAAGTCAATAACTAATCATAGTTTGCAGAGGTACTTTTTAAAATCTTAAGAATAATAAAAATTTCACCGAAATATCTGAAGATACCAAGTCATGAAAGACAATTGCATATTAAGCTATATTTAATCAGTTCTTAAGTTACTACCTTTGTTAATTTAATGACTGCCAAGAATGTAGTGCATGGTTTATTAACAGAAAACAAATTTATTCATATTTCTGAGTTTACAAATGAGAGAAAAATAGTTCTATGCTAATCTGGGTTAAAGACAAGATTAAAGGAACACACTGAACCATTTAAAGATGGTTAGGTAAATGCTTTTACGTATCAGTGAATATCATGTTCACTGATATGATATTGATACATACGTATCAATGAATTTCATATTCTCTTTCTCTAAATCACTTCTTTCTCTATCTATATGTTTTGTTTATTAAATTTTTTCTATTTGGAAATGAATGGCAATCACAAAACTGGAGCTCCAATCTTAGCACAGGAAGGAACCATATCAGTATATTCAGATGAAGAAACGAGGTTCAGAAAAGGACAATAATTACATTAAGGTTATGCAGTCCATTAGTGGTAGAATGACAGCCAGTATTTATCTGTTTAGATTATTAAAAACCCTATTACATCATATTCAGCCTATAAATAGAAAATCTGACAAATATATATGAAAATGTACAGTTGACCCTTGAACAACATGCATTTTGAACTGCATGGGTCTACTTACATTGAGGAATCTTTTTCAATAAAAGTTAAACCAAGTGTGCCTGCTTCTCCTGCCTCCCCTTTCACCTCCTCCACTTTTTCTGCCTCTGCCTCCCCTGAGACAGAAAGAACAAGCCCTTCTTTCTCTCCTCCTCCTCAGCTTACTCAACCTGAAGACAATGAGGGCAAAGACCTTCATCATGATCCACTTTCACTTAATAAATAGTGAATACATTTTATCTTCCTTTACGATTTTCTTAGTAACATTTTATTTTCTCTTGCTTACTTTATTGTAATAATATAATAAATAATATGTAGCATATAAAATGTATTAATCAACTGTTTATATTCTAATTACACTTTCTGTTCAACAGTAGGCTATTAGTAGTTAAGTTTGGGGTGAGCCAAAAGTTAGATGCAGGTTTGCAACAGCAAGTGGGGAGTGGATTGGTGCCCCTAACCCCCATGTTGTTCAAGGGTCTACTGTATTTTTATATAGTTTTTTTTGTTTTCAAAGTATTGTCAAATACACATTTTCAAAACATACAAATTAGTAACTGATTATTGCCTTCCTATAGGAGACTCCCTTAAATAATGCTATTAGAGGGTTTAAATAATTTTATATACAGAAGAGCAACTGAAACTTAAGTTTTCAAAGTAAATATTACTCAAAATTCAGGAGTATGCACACTTCAAATCTTTTGCATTCCATATGGCAAAACGGATTGCTTCTGATTATCTTTGATATGCTTGCACCTACTTTTAGTAATTAAATTGATGCCTAAAACAAAACTTGTTATGCATTAATGTTTTCATAGTCCCATCAATCAGGATTTAGTTAACTTTTAGAAGTTATTTTATTTTTAAAGTTAATAGTTAAAACAGGCAAACAAAAAATCGAATAGACCAAATACCATTCATTTCCAGAATAAAACCTAAACTTCTCAGCTTTGTCTACAAGTGTCTTCATACCAGGCCCCCGTCCATTCTTTAGCCTCTAGCTCCCTTTTGCCTTTGTACCTACTGTTCCTGAATTGCCTTTACCGCCTTTTGCTCTCTGAAAAATTCCTACTCACCCTTCATATTCTGATTTAGTTGTTACCTCCTTTGTGACAACTCCTTGCTATCGTCTGTCAGAACTGATCACTTTTATACCTGGTAAGCATGTATTGAAAAAAATATAGCTAACTGTAAGGGGTGTACTTAATATTTCACATAATTTGTTTCACTCAATCATCACAATAACCCTGTAAAATGGTTATTAATATCCCCATTTTATAGAAGAGATGATTGACACTTAGCAAATAATGCACATATTACACTGAAGTAATTTTTTTCATAGGCACAAGTCTGCTAATCTAGCTTGAACCAAAGGTAACATGTTTTAACTAAAGAAATGAATGCAATGCATAGTTTTGTGCAATTCTCTAAGAATTATATTGCACATAGTACAAATTTTGACAAGTATTGTAAAGCAGATAATTCAAGGTTATAATTTTTTAAGAGCCTAGTGCTACTAAGAACAGATCTATATTACATGAAAATTATTTGAAGCAGAAGGGAATGTTTATATTATGAACACTGATATTAACTAATAAAGACCCATAAGAGAATAAGGTGCCACCATCTCTTTACCCATTAGGAGAGAATAAAAATTTCTCAAAATACAGTTCTCTAGACACTTGAAAACCTGAAAAGTAAGCATTTGCATCTTCAAGTTTCTATGCCATACAGCATGTACATAATTTTAGCTTGGGAAATTTCCAAAATGGTAGCTATCAACTATCCTTATCAATGCAAGAAGAAAACCTCAATATTAGTCCATAGAATAACTAATTGTAATAATTACAGAAATGTATTATAGATATGCAGATCAATAGTAAAAGTAAACATAATCACACAAATGAGAAAAAGAGCACTTAAATATAAATAAAATAATGAGGACCTGGCCTTAGATTTTTTGAGTTAAACATTATCCAGTTTCCCTAATACCATGGAAAAAATCATGCTCACTGACATATGGCCTTTTTCATGTTTGAGTAAATTACTTTTAGACAAGCATCCATTAGAAATGGAAAGAGAAATATGAAAAATCCGAGCACTGTCATAATTTCAGAGGGAAAAGCAAAACAATTAATGAATAAATTCAAGCAAATTAATAAACTTTCCTCAAAATGCATAACATTGTAGCAACAATTATGGATGTTCTGTTTCAAATTATGAATGATTTCTTGATAATGATCTGTTTTGTACAAACAGATGATATTGAGTGGGACAATTCTTTCTGAGATACAACTGCAGAGGTCAGGAATAAAGACATACTGGCAACAAGTGGTAACTCGATTCTCCAACATCAGCAGAATGGCCTTATAATAGAGGAAACTCTCCCAGATTATTTGATAAAAGAACCTCTGCTGAAATGTAAATTAAAGTATATGTGTTTAGGCAACTCCATCAAACTCAAGTGATATCTATCAGTAATTTATAATTGGGGAAACGAGGATTCATTACATATAGGTGTCTATTCAGTAGTGTAAGGGTTATTTTAATTTTAAAAATACAGCATTGCAATATACGAAGTGAATATTTAAGTTATTTTTATGATAAGTGAAGTCTAAAATATAACAGCTTGCTTGAGGTAAAAAAAAAAAATCAAAAACAAAAAAAACAAACTGTCGTTGCAATTTCTCCCTTTCTAGGCTCTGCAAAATCGTGAATGCTGCATTGTCTGTACAATGAGTCACCTAAACAATCAGCTGTCCTTTTGAATTTCAGTTGTGAGATGGAAAAGCAAGAGGGCCAAAATGGTTTTCTTTATGCAAAACTTACATTTAAGAAAAAGAGAAAAAAAGTAATGAGATGGCGGGGGAAGAAGAGATAACAAGCAGAACAGGGATGCTTGGATTGTGAGCATCCTGAGCATACCTAGGAGCGGCGATGTGGCTAGAGCAGCTGAAAAGAGGAAAGAATACTTCTCCAACTACATCTCAACCACCATTTGCTCTACGCAGAGTAAGAGTGAGAGAATAATAATTTTCTCAAGTGGCCAATTATTCCAGCACTAAAGAAACCATGCTTTACACTGTTAGCCTTAGAGCAAATGTAAATTCAAGTTTTATGCTTTCTTCCCAATCACTGTCACTGTATATCAAACACAAAGACTTGATATTTGCCTGTGTATTAAGAATGAAGTTGTAGCAAAATGTTTTCACTCATAGGTATTTGTTTGATTGTATATTTAGATAAAACAATACAAAAGAAATTCCTAAGGGTACGCATTAGAATTTACCCATGTGTATGACTTACATTTTATGTTTGAACTTTTCTAAGTAGGCAACGTAAATGTTTGTTAAATGCGTTAATCTTCCAGCACCTGTTTAATAGTTTTAAAAGACAATTTCTCTATTGATTTAAATACATGAAAAACATCAAAGTAAAAGTGCTAAGACCATGGGATTTTTTTTTCTAACCTCTCACTCACCCACCTATTAGACTCTTACGTCATTCCTCTCCATCTTCTCCTACTTTGTGTTTTCTGCTTGACAAGTACTTTTAAAATAACTCTTATTTGCCTACTTTGTTTCTCCAACCTCAGTGACTATTTTTCCCTTTTGGCCTGGAAAAGCCTTGGACAGTTATTTTGATAACAGACTTCTTGGCAGATAGCAGGATCTCCTGTACTCCAAACTGCTCCCAGAGGCAGCCCTAATTGACCAAGACCTGATAGTGTGGAGTGTCCTCCACAGCTCATTCTTTAAAGTACAGAGCATATATTTAATGAGTCACCTGAGAAAAAAAGTTAAGAGGATATGAAATATATTAAAACATTAGATAAAACATTCAGCTTTCTTTTTAAATTTCTTATTCCTAATTTTTAAAATATATTTTTCAGTTAATGCAAAAGAAACACAATGAATTTTTAAAAAGAAAACAACAAGGACAACAATAAAAAGAAAAACAAGGAAGCCCAAACCTGCAGGTATGTAACTGGTATAACTGGAATAACTGGATTAAGATCCAGACTGTTTGAGAAATCCTGGTAAAGTTAAAGTTGGTTAGGGAGAGACAGACCAAGCCTGAACCTTGGATGTCCTTAGATTGACTTATAATTTTGGCAAAGAAGGGTTGTAGATGTGAAAGGCTATAAGCAGCAGTGGGGATATGATCAAAGTTTTTCATTGTTATTGTTGTTCATTTAGAAATAATACTTTCTAATAATTTGGAAGATATTTAGGAAGGATGGAAGACTAAAGGAAGGAGAGTTGCTAGGAGATTGTTAAATTAACCCAAAGGAAAGTTGAGAGTCTTAACTAAAAGGATAAGGCCAGGAATTTACAAGAAGGAATGGATAGAAGAAATGCTAAAAAGTAGAACTGAAAGGCTATTTTGAAGTCAGGGGTAGGGGTTATGACTTAAGCTTCATGGCTTAGATGGGTGGATTGATGATGATTCATCAGGACACAGAAACAAAAGCTAGGCTTGATAAGCAGTCTGAGAGAGAAAGCAATAATACTGGCTAACTCAGGTTGAGCTTGAAATTATTAGTTATTCATTCATCAGGTTCTTAGTGTCTACTATATGCCAGGTACCTTGTAGTCTCTTGTGGACAGAATGACAACAAATGAGGAAGCAAGTATATAAATAAACCAAGTATTTTCTAAGAATGATATAATCTATAAAAAAGAAAGCACAATGACATAAAAAGGAGTAACTGCGAATAATTTTATTTTGAGGGGGCAGTCAGGAAATGCCTGCCCTAAAAGCTGATATTTGATTCTGAATAGCAAAAATAAAACCTAAGGAAGGAGCATTTCAAGTAGAGGAAACTGCTGGCACTGAGAATGAACACAAGTTCAGCATCTTTGAAGTCCAGGAGTTTGGTAATCAAGGGGAGTATGCTATAATATAAGGTCAGAGATGCAGGCAGGTTTCCATAGGACATACAGGTTGTCAGATCCCACAATCAGTTGTCTAGAAGACTTTGCACCTCAGGAGAGAAGACTGAGATATGGATAAAAATATGGGCATCATCTATCTACAGGTGACATTTGAAATTATGGGAGTTAAGGAGAACATATGAAAAGATAAAAGGGCAATAAAAAGAACATGGGAAAATTTAATATTTAACAGGTGAGCAAAAGAAGAAGAATCATCAATGGTGATAAACAAAATGATCAGAAAATTAGGAGGGTGAAACGGAGATTGCAATGTCTTAGATTAAAAGGGAACAGGAAGTTGCAAGAAAAAAAGAATGATCAACAGGATAAGTGTCATGAATAACAGGACAAAAAATGTTTCTAATACAAAATGTCAATGAAGATCATTGGTGAATTTTTCTTATGCAGTTTACTAGAAGTAGTAAAAACAAAATCTTCTTGTAGTAGAGTGAATGGGAACATCTAAATGCAACAGAGTAAAAAGCAAATTAAAAGTGAAAAGTAGACATAGCCAATGACGATGATTTTTCCAAGGTATTTGTTTTAGAGAAGAGAAAAATTGGACTGGGAGCATTTTTTTTGATAATATAAATTTGAATATATACTATAGGTTCTAAGGAAGGAGTTAGCAGAAACAAAAATTCAGTAGAGGAGATAAACAAAACCAGCTAGGCCCAACAGAAAATTGAAAGATCAGATCATCCCCCAACAATTGGAAGGATTAGCTTTGAATGTGAGACATAATTTTCTTTAGACTGTAGCCATTTGAGACACCTAATAATCTTTATGTGAATAAATTAGGATTATAAAATAAAAAGACACCATCTCTACAAACCCAAAGAAATCTGTAAAACTCTTAATGGTAAAATCTCATGCTGTGTTGTACTAGAAAAATTTTAGGTTTGTTGCTGTTGTTTTGAGAAAATCACTAAGGAACCGGGCTTCTTAGCATCCTTAAAATCTTATCATTTATATGATTGCCTCCTATACCTATCTATGAAATTTTCACCTACTAGGCCATTTACTGGCCAAATATTTTGGTTACTCATTTCCACAATTTTAGTTCTTCATTTTATTAATCATACATTCAAAATGGTTTCATCACATACTTGAAATTTTTAGTTACTTTTCTCTCTACCCCTGACACCAAAAAATGCTTCCTTTTAAATCCCTAGAAGGTTCTCTGAAAGCACCGTTTTAAATGCTAAGATTGACCAAGACACCAGATAGTAATGGGAATGACTGATGATCTAAATTCCAACTCTTAGATAATACACCATAAGAATAAAGGAAATAAATAATGGCAAATTCATAGAAATACAATATCTAGCATGGAGAGAATGCATATCTATTAAAATATTGCTACTGTTTGTGGTTAATGAAAAACAGGAAAGATTGACTGCTTGTTCGATTCCTGGCCCCAAAAGTTCTATATCTTGCTGGACTTACCATGAACCTCTTAAGTGTAATTGTTCAACAACCTCTTAACTTGTCATTTTTCTGATCTTCTTCCCCAACAATCTCATCTTTTAAGTTTTAGAAGACATAATGTTTTGAAGTTTATGGTACTTGCTTTTTTTTTTTTTTTGCATACATTGTAATAACTGCTAGGGTCACTCCATACTAATCAAAGTATGATTCAGACTACCTCACTGATATTGATGGAGTAGGCAGCTAGGCAGACATGAACAGGGCAGGAGAGGGCCCTCCACCCCAAGAATGTCAGGCAATGACCAGGTGATGGTCAGGTGGCTGTTAAACTATCTCTCTAAAACCATAATTGGTGGCAGCTGGTGCCAGGGAACAGTGGTCTCCCAATAGATAGAAAACACCTGAAGCTGGTGATCAGCTGCTTACCAATAAGATCTCAGGAATTGGACGAGTGGGCTCAAGCAGGTACATAAGAGGCAAAATTGCAGAGTTTGACCGGTATATGACCTTCCCCTAGAAACACTCAGTAAGAAAAAATGACTCCAGTGAACATGTGCATAACTTCAGTAAACATACTGTGCATGTGGCCCCTCCCGAGTGCCAGCAGGCCACTGTGCATGAAGACAGCCAGCCCCAAGGGAAGAATCAGGAGAGAAGAAACAGAAACCCTGGAACCATGCCAATGTATATAACCTCAAGTAAAGGGCCAAATGAGGCAGCTGGAACTGTCAAGGTGCCTGCTTGGCCCTCTTCCAAGTGTACTTTCTTTTGTTCCTGTTCCAAAAACATTTTAATAAACTTTCACTCCTGTTCTAAAACTTGCCTTGGTCTCATACTGACTTATGCCCCTCAGCCAAATTCTTTCCTATGAGGAGGTAGGAATCAAGTCGCTGCAGGCCTGTTAGATTTGCCACTGCTAACAATATCAGATGATAGGCTTAGAGGTGCAGGACTTAATATATTTTGTGAAAAGGTCTTAGGCATTCAGTATATTATTATCATTATTGTTTTTAGTTTGCAGGAATACAAATGATGGAAGCCGTGAACCTGACAAAATAGCATCAACATAAAATTTCTAATAGTTTGAATTTTAACTTACCAGACACTCTTTCAAAACGAATTGTAAGAGAACAGCTTTCTTTTTAATTTAACAAGCATTTATGTAGCACCCATTATGTGCAAGCTACTGTTTTTAGCACTTTTCAAATATTAACTCATTTAAATCATTGTGACAACAGTATGAGGTATGTATTGTTATCAATATGGATGGTACAACTGGAGTCAAGAGAAGTTAAATAATTTGCCCAACCTTACATATCTAATAAATGCTTTTGGGGTTCAGAAAATCACACCCAAAAATGTGGTCCTTTGGCATGTGGAGTTCTTTGAATTAGAGGAAACTGCAGGGCCTCAGAAATAAACCTCGAAACCAAAATCTCTCTCTGACCTTTCCTGTCAACCTGTCTCTCTGATCCCCTTTCATTCCCACAGCACAAATAGGAGATTTCTCTGAAGTTTCTTTATTTGTTTAAGGGAACTTCATCCAGAAGAAATGCATTGTCTTAAAAGCCCTTCCCTAGGAGTCTTGTCAAACAACCAGCAAAAATTAACCACTGGAAAAAAGAAACGACTATAAGTCATCACCAAGCCCAGAAAGACATTTCATCTATTCTTCTGAGGGCAGCTCCTAGGGATTACCTGAGATACTTTATCTGCATAATAACACTATTTTTCTTCATACTAAAGTTCCACCCTTCATCTTCTTCACTACCTCCCTCAGACCTCAGAGGAACTTTCTCCCAGGCCATTGTTCCTTGGGTGCACTCATTTCTCCTAAAAATCACTTACTATCCCTCCAATTGTCTACATGCCCCATTTCCTTTCCCCTACAAAGAGGGTATATAAACTTCACCATCTGGACCTTCTACAAGTCTCATGTTTTATATGCCCCCTCACCATGCTTATGCACATTAATACATTTCTACGCATTTTTCTTCTCTTAATCTGGCTATTGTCAGTTCATATCAGTAAACATTCAGAGAGGGTGAAAGAGTAGCTTTCCGTTTGCTCTTGTATCACCAAGATTCGCTCTGAGAAAATCTGGCTTTAAAAGACAGTGAATTCAGCATGAAGCTGAGTCTTTGCCAAACAAAGTAAGTAAGCTCTTAAAAAAGTAGAAGAGAGAAGCCTTGAGAAAGAAAGCTTCCTGGGTCTGGACTAGGAAAACTTGACTAAAGCTCTATATTTCACTTTTCTTTGGGGGTTCTCTCTTTGGATCATTGATAACAATGTAGGAGATCAAATTATGCCCTCCAAAATATGACTGGAGGAGACCAGAATATGTCACCCTAAAATATGGCTATAGGAGACCAGAATACGCCACTCAAAAATATGCCTCTTTGGCATAAGGATTATTTTGAGTCATTTTATTTGAGAAACTGCAGACACAGTAGCAGCTCTGAAAACAAAGTAGAAATCACCCTTTCCTATGGAAAATTTGTATCTACAAAGGAAATCTCCATTTGTAAGTGTATCTCTCTGTCTTCTCAGGAAGAGAAGGATCACTAAGTCACTAGAAACTCTTATCCATGAAGAAGGCACTGACTTAAATCAACATAACAAATCCTGTCCTGGTTTACTGTGATTTTACCTCCCCATTACTGCTCCGCCACCCAAAACTCTTCTTTCTTTGCTGCAGCTGAAGATGGTATTTAAACCTAAACTCAGAGCTACCTCTTTGAGATTTACTCATTCCCTAGGTATGTCCAATGTATACACGAGGTACATGTTAGTAAATTACTGTTTGCTTTTCTCTTTCTAATCTCTTTTGTTACTGGAGTCTGTCTCAACTAAGAACTATGAAGCGTAGAAGGAAAATTATTTTTCCTGCCCTATAGCAACAATGGCATGCTCTTCCCTGTCTAAAATTCTGCCCAGCCATGACAGAATTAAACCTTTCTTTGCTTCTACTTTGAATAAACAAGCTAGGCTAGCATTTCTGAAATATAATTTATAATATTAAGCATTAAAGAAGGAAATTAGAAATGATAGCAAATTTAAGTGACATAAAATGATGTGGAAAAATACACATATCTGATTCAAAAATGACTGACAAGCTTATCACATTCATAGACCTTGTTGTAGCCCATATTTATTTTTCTTTGACTAGTTTGTCATGCTGAATAACTCTAAGCCTTCTCAATTATTGACTATACTACTTTACTAAAGGGTTACATTGATGGGAACTTATTTCCTCAATTTACCAATTTTCTATTTATAGCCTCCTAAGAAAATAAAAAGATATTTTCCTCTAACACTTAGAAAGCTCCATTCAGTTTCCTACATAGGTTTTGAGGGATACATGCCTGACAGGTCTGTAACTATTTGAAATATCACAAACTACCTAAACTGTAGTATGTTGTCCATACTATATATAATACTATTCAGTAACCATGCAAGAAAGATTGCATGTATAGTAATAGGAAGATTTGTCTGCTAAAAACTTTTTTCCATAAGTGAGAAATTATATTAAGAAGTTTTATTTTGCTATTTATAAATTTAAAATATGTTCACAGGAAAAAAAATACCTAAGTAGTAATTTTCTAGGCTGTAATTTTCTGAAGAAAGCAGTCACTTAGCATTTACAATCAGAAAGCCAAAATTACATCTACTAATGAATAGCAACAATGAATGTATTACATTTTTATTAAATGTGTTCCATAAAAATATTTTATAAGGAAATCTATAGTAATACAGACAAATCTATGAACTGCATTAGTTAAGTTTAAAAAATTGGGACATCTCTAAGAAATGCCTCTAAGAAATATGTGACATTACATAAGTCTAGTTTTGCTTCTATGGAAGTAAATAAAATAAGCAAAATTTTGGTACCAATTCATCACCAGGAAGGGCAAATGTTCACCTTAATATCTGACTTATGTAACTGATAAATAAAAATAAAAGCAAACAAAAACATAAAGTGGAGAAAGGACACCCTATTCAATAAATGGTGCTGGGACAATTGGCAAGCCACACGTAGAAGAATGAGACAGGATCCTCATCTCTCACCTGATACAAAAATCAAATCAATATAGATCAAAGACTTAAATCTAAGTTCTGAAACCATAAAAATTCTAGAAGATAACATCAGAAAAATTCTTCTCGACATTGGCTTATGCAAAGAGTTTATGACCAAGAACCCAAAAGCAAATGCAATGAAAACCAAAGACAAATAGATAAGACCTAATTAAACTAAAAAGCTTTCACACAGCAAAAGAAATAATCAGCAGAGTTAATGGACAACCCACAGAGCAGGAGGAAATATTTGCAAACTATGCATCCAACAAAGGAACTCAATCTGCAAGGAACTCAAACAAATCAGCAAGAAAAAAAACCAAATAATCCCATCAAAAAGTTGGCAAAGGACATGGATAGACAATTCTCAAAAGAAGATACACAAACTGCCAACAGACATATGAAAAAATGCTCAACATCACTAATTATCAAGGAAATGCAAATCAAAACCACAATGCGATACCACCTTACTCCTGCAAGAATGGCCATAATTAAGAAATCAAACAATCATAAATGTTGATGTGGATGTGGTGAAAAGCAAACACTTACACTGCTGGTGGGAATGTAAACCAGTACAACTACCACGGATAACGGTATGGAGATTCCTTAAAGAACTAAAAGGAGAACTATCATTTGATCCAGCAATCCCCCCTACTAGGTATCTATCTACCCAGAGGAAAAGATGTCATTATTTGACACTTGCGCATGCATGTTTATAGGAGCACAATTTGCAATTGCAAAAAAATGTTGAACCAGTCCAAATGCCCATCAGCTAATAAGTGGATAAAGAAAATGTGACATATATATATATATAACATTTATATGACATTTACATTATATATATATATATATACACACACACACACACACCATAGAATGCTACTCAGCAATAAAAAGGAACAAAATAATGGTATTTGCAGCAACCTGGAGTTGGAGACCATTATTCTAAGTGAAGTAATTCAGGAATGGCAAACCAAACATCATATGTTCTCACATAACTGGTGGCTAAGGTATGAGGAGCAACAACATAAGAATGATATAATGGAATTTGGGAACTCAGTGGGGAAGGATGGGAGGGTAGTGAGTGATAAAAGACTACACATTGAGTACAGTGTACACTGCTCGAGTGATGGGTGCACCAAAATCTCAGAAATCACCACAAAAGAACTTCCCCCATGCAACCAAACACCACCTGTTCCCCAAAAACTATTGTTATAAAAATAAAAATTAAATAAAATCCGAATTCCACAACCTATTGAACAGACCCCCTCATGGCCAAGCTTACCCCAGAGAAACCTTAAAACTGGGATCCCGACTATGATGATGAGATGAGAGGCTGGACACACCTCCCTCCTTTACTACCATTAAGCTTCCTTCTTCAAGGGTTAAAGAGAAGCCAGCCCTTTTTAAAGACCCACTCCACCGCTGATATCAACTATCTGATGCTGCCCCTCCCTTTCTGTGGTTTAGACATAACAACTAACCAGCTTCCTTCCTGATAAGAGACCACCAACCACGGAGTAGTTCTGGCCAGTCCAGAGTATGCTCAGTGAGGGTTTCTACGTCCTCTGCTTCACCTTTTGACATCAGAGGGCTGAAAACTCCACCCTTGGGTTGTGCTAACATGGCCATTTTTTTGTACATGGGTCCCATGCTGAGGCATGAAGCTCAATTGCCCATGTGCATGTTTCTGCTTTCATAAATTTCATGACTCCTATAGCGTTATTTAATATGTGTCTTTGACCACCTCACTCAGCGTAAATCCCTGTCATTCTTACCACCCTCAAAGTGCATGTCTTGGTCAGAGGCTATATTTCCCAGCCTGCAGGATGGCCACCTTGCAAGCTGTAACTCTTCATAAAAAATAGTTTCGGCCAGGGGCGGTGGCTCATGCTTGTAATCCCAGCACTCTGGGAGGCCAAGGCAGGTGGATCACCTGAGGTCAGGAGTTCGAGACCAGCCTGGCCAACATGGTGAAACCCCATCTCTACTAAAAATATGAAAATTAGCTGGGCGTGGGGGTGTATGCCTGTAGTCCCAGCTACTCAGGAAGCTGAGGCAGGAGAATCGCTTGAATCCGGGAGGTGGAGGCTGCAGTGAGCCGGGATCATGCCACTGCACTCCAGCCTGGACTACAAGAGCAAAACTCTGTCTCGAAAAAAAAAAAAAAGTCTCCTCTACCTTTTTCTAAATTTATATATTGTGTTTTTTGTTTTTATGTTAACATATTAAACAAAACTTTAAAAAAAATCTAAGGGGTGATTATTTTACTTTTGCATAACTTAGCAATGTATTAATATATTCACTTTTATTTTTTAAATGTACTGATATTTTACAATATTTTAATAATAGAAGAATACAATTCATTTAAAATTCTTGGTGTATGCATTAAAATGACCTTCACATTTAGATTTAACATTCTACTGCTTCTAACCAAAAATATTGGAGAGAAAGTAAGAGGTGAAATGTGGAAAAACTCAAAAATACCTGCCTTTAAAGATAAATGTCAAGGGAACTTGAACTTTTCTACATAACAATAACACAATGACTTTTAAAGTTTCCTCTGGAATCTCCCTCACGCGTTAACTATATGGTCCTAAATTGATATGCTTTAAAATGGTCAAGGGTTGAAGCAAAGAACAGAAGTTTTGTTCATAACTTCTCATGCAGCCTTCAACTGCTATAATTTCCTAAGGACAGATTATGGATAAGGAAAACTTGTAGGGCCTCAAACCAGTGCTGGCATTTGTACATCATGAATCCAAATGAATTTTGAGGAGTAAACCCATTCTTTACAAAGAGTTGAAAAGCAACTATGCTGAGAAGAGAGAGAAGCTTTTTCCTTGACTGTTATCACAGACAAATGGCATTGATAATGCAAGATTTTGTACATTTACTTATTTTTTAAATTTAGAATGAAAAGACCAAAAGGGTTGGAAACAGAATTTCCAAATCCAAAATGTATAGACTTACTGGTACATGCCATAGAAGGTGGGTCTTTTTCAGCTCGGAAATAACCCTTTTCACACTGACAGACAGAAGTTGCTTCCATGTATGTTAAACTGTGTGGAGGACATTTAGAACATTTTGTGTTCCCAGCAAAAGCTTTATAGAATCCTGGTCTGCAAGCTGTAAAAAGAGAAAAAAACACTTTTTTAGTTATTATTGCTAGGATTCTTTTATTTGTACATGTACAACATACTTTAATTTATATTCACATTGGATCTCAGAGTACAGTGTTACACATACATAGAGAAGACATCTATATTAAGATTAACAAATGAAATTAGTTATTGAGAGTTAATAAAACCACAATGCAATCATATTTTAGCTGAGGCTGCTAATTTTTAAAATTATACCTCAAGCATACACACATACACACACACACACTCACACGGGCACGTGCACACAAAATATCAGTGCTTACCTAAGAATGGGGATGCCCATGACTGGCAGTAAGGAAAATGATTTTGTGTCGTTCTCAGAGAAGGCATTAAATAACATTAAACCATTCTGTTCAAAATGTATTTACATTCTATTTTCCCTTCAGTTCTTCTGAGTAGTCAAGAAGAAAATTCTAATTTGGTGAAAGTATGTCTTTGACACCTTTCTTAGTGGCTAAATTTTCTTTTGTATATGCTGTAACTCTATTTTTTGATAGTTTATGTTTGCTTTTATAATAATATTTTTATAAATGATCTAGTAATTCAAAAGAAGCAAAATTACCAATTCCACACAGTAAAATTACTATCAAGAGGTTGGTTATTCAATATCAACATCAATGAGGAGTGGTGGTACACAAATATACAATAGTCTCTTCAATAACTTATTAATAAATAAATAGTATATAGTCACTCAAAAAAGGTTATCATTAACATATTGTTCTAAAATTTTGAAAATTCAGAATACATAAATAATATATGAGAAACATTGCTAACATTTTCATAATTGAAGTATTGTTTAAAAATAATTACTAAATGTGATCTTATGACAGCAGTTATGACAATGTATCACAAAATAGTCAATAAATCTACCTTATACAGTTTGCCAATAAAATAATTGTTTTCTACTAAAATATGCAGTTTAAAATAACTGAATATATTCGACAGGATAGGTCTGTTAATAATTAGCCCAAAATTGCCAGGTGCGGTGGCTCACGCCTGTAATCCCAGCACTTTGGGAGGCCGAGGCGGGCTGATCACAGGGTCAGGAGATTGAGACCATTCTGGCTAACACGGTGAAACCCCCTCTCTACTAAAAATACAAAAGATCAGCTGGGCGTGGTGGCGGGCGCCTGTAGTCCCAGCTACTCGGGAGACTGAGGCAGGAGAATGGCGTGAACCCGGGAGGCGGAGCTTGCAGTGAGCGGAGATCGCGGCACTGCACTCCAGCCTGGGCGACAGAGCGAGACTCCGTCTCAAAACAAACAAACAAACAAACAAAAAAACCCAAAAAAGCAAAAAAAAAAATCAGTCAAAAATTAACAAGTTGGACCTGAAATTGAAGTAATACCTTTAATCTATAACAATATTTAAAATTCTAACATACTAGTCAATTTATAGAGAATATATAAATCTAAATGGGGAGCTTACATTCTAAATATTGCAGTGGTATTTAAAATATTACTTTAAGATAAAGTAATATTTAAAACATTTTAAATATTATTTAAAAGGTTTTTTATGTTATTCTGTAGAATAAGACCGTTTAAAATTAATTAGGAATATGTATGCCATAGAACCACAATATAAAAGATATTTTTACATGTACATATATAGAACCTATAAGACACATAAAGAAGAATTATAAGCATATTGTTTTCTTCTTTTAATCAGCCATGCAAATTTCAGCCAAAAACATTGTTCAGAATATAAAGTAGCGTGCTTATAACTTAATTCTGTGCAGCAAGACATTGTTACCTTTTACTTATTTTCTTTGGTAGCTAAAACAAGAATTTAAATAATTTCTTATCTGACGTGTTTTCTGTTAATTTCCCACTTCTTAGAATCTTTTCAGAATGCTTAGAACATCTCCTAAGATATTTAGAATAGGCTAGTGATATTCGAACTGTTCTTGAGAACAGTCTCATAACTAGCCTCTCAGCAACTATTCTTGCCCACTTTAATCCATTCTTCAGACAGAGTGATCTTCTAAATACACTGTGTCTAACAGCAATATAAAGTGAGACACATATAAATAATTTTAAATTTTGTAGTAGCCACATTAAAATACTAAAAAGAAACAGGTGAAATTATATTTTAATAATATATTTTATTTAACCCAATATATCCAAAATATTATCATTTCAACATTAAATCAACCATTGAAATATTTTACATTCCTTGGATTTTAAATTTTTTTTTTCTCGAAGTATTTGAAATCCTGTATGTACTTTAGCAGATCTCAATTTAAACTAACTGCATTTCAAGTGCCCAATAACCTCACATGGCTAGTGAATACCATACTGGATAGCACAATTTTAAACACAGAAATCTATTCATTACATTCTTCTATTCAAAAATTTTTTATAATTTCCGACCATATTAATGTTAAAGTTTAAAATATTTAACTTGGATTACAACGTTGCCCATGATTTGGCCCTGCCTACCTCTCCAACCACATCAGATGAAGATACTCCCTTCTTGCACCTTCTCCGTTAAGGCTTTGCCCTTCTCCAATTTATGGTCAACCCAGTAGCTGATGATCTCCTTAAAACATGTATAAGACTGTATTATGACTGGACTTAGAGCCTTCCATTGGCTTTCTCTTCCTCGGAGAGTAGAAGCTGTTGCCTTGATAACTGCCTCCCAAGCACCGCATGGTTTTGCTCCCCACCCCCAGTGACTCTGCTTTTCATTTCCTACCTTTTGTTCCTTCAGATACTTCGCTCTAGCCACACTGGCCTTTTCCAGAATCTTGGACACCCAAGCTTGTTCCCACAACAGGGCTTTTTTTAACACTTGCTCTTACTCAGCTATCTGCATGCTTTAACCCTTCCTTTATATCAGGTCTTTGTTCAAATGTCACCAAATTAATGAAGCCTTCCCTGCTTCCTGCTACACCCTGCTGCAATATTTCATATTATGCTCCCCACTCCAAAGAACTTCACATCTGATACATGATGCATTTAATTTTTAAATCATTCCACAGTAAAATGTATGCTCCAATAAGGGAGATATTTTTCTTTGTTTTGTTTTCTAAAATGCATTTCCAGGGTCTAGAACAGTGCTAGGCATTATTAGACCCTCAAATGAGGTATATTTGGCAAATAAAGGAATGAATTGCCAAAGATCTCCTTTAATTTCTATGGTTTTACCATGCTCTTTCTCCTGCTTTAAGGCTTCTTCTCTGTTGAAAAGTCTATTCACTGTATCTCTACCTCATGACCCACGTATGTTGCCAATTCCTTATAACCCCGATGACTCTGTGATTCACTTATCTTTCAGCTCGCACTTCTTTAAGAGGGCCATTCTGACTTCTTAGGCCAAATTTAGTTTCTCAAAGGACCTGGGCCTTTTCCGCATTAGTTAGCCTTGGTAATTACCTGTTTAATGGCTGTAAGCACCACAAGAGCAGATTTGTCCGGTGCTTAGTGCTTGTTATAATGTAGGTGCTCGATACATACTTGTTTAATTGAACTGGATAGTGTGTGAGTACTCTGCTAATTAAATTCCTGTAGAAGATTATGCATATCTACTTAATGCATGGTCTGGTAATGGCACAATTCATCTTTCTATAGATTTATATGTTTTCTGCTTAATGTGTTATAGGTTAGGGATGAAAACAGATAGTAAATATCTTGAAAGTGATTTAACTGTGTCTGAAAAATGATTATTCTAATATTGCAAGATGACCTAGTTATTAACAAGTTTCCATTTGAAATTATTATTAATGTGAACTTGGATATTACTCCTAATGCAAAAAATACATATATAAATTGGATATAGGAGCTGCAACTTTCAACTATCCCTGATTTCAAATGTTTTTGTACATCAACTTGCCTTTGAAATCCTAAAAATTTTGAACCCATAAAATATATTTGGGTTACTTCAATATTTCTCTATTTCAATATTAACATTTAGTATAATATTTCATTTAAAAATAAAGAATTCTGTTGTTAGAAAATTATTATTGAGGCACTCACATTCTCTTATATAGCACACATTAATAGTATACAGCATATAACTCTCAGATCATATCATATTAGATTACAACTATTGTGTCGAGTGTTATCTCAGCTTTATGTAACTGCCACAAGCCAGAGATGGGCCTCAATATCACATATCACAGTATGCACAATATCTACCGTATTTCAGGCATATTTAGGTTTTAGGGTTTTTGTTTGTTGGTTGGTTTTTTTTTTTTTTTGAGAAGGGGTCTGGCTCTGTTGTCCAGGCTGGAGTGCAGTGGTGCGATCTCGGCTCACTGAAACTTCTGCACCCAGATCAAGCAATTCTCCTGCCTCAGCCTCCTGACTAGCTGGGATTATAGGCACCCACCACCATATCTGCCTAATTTTTGTATTTCAGTAGAGATCGGGTTTCACCATGTTGGCAGGCTGGTCTTGAACTCCTGACCTCAAGTGATCCACCTGCGTCGGCCTCCCAAAGTGCTGGGATTACAGGCATGAGCCACCGCACCCAGCCTTTAGTTTTTATAAACACTGTAAAAATGGAATGATGGTAAATAAATGGTGAATGCTAATACCGAACATGAGATAATTGCACAAGTATTCTGTGTATCTATTCAATTAGTGGTCTTAGGTTTTGTTAGAATTGGGTTATAAATGGGGTATCAGTACTCATGTCTTGAGAACTTTTAAATTTCTTTCTTATATATTCTTTCCTTCTCTACTACTTCCTTATTTTTCTGTTTATATTATAGGATGTATAAACTTCTTGCTTTCAAGAAACAAGCGAGTGGAGATAAGAATGTTGTCCAACATATGTCTATATTCTACAGAATCATGTAGGAAAGTTACAGGTTATCTAACAAAGTGGTTTCTATTATTTTTTCCTTTAGAAAAATCTATTTGGGAATAGACCATCGTTACTTTCCTTTTTTTTTTTTTTTTTTTTTTTTTTTTTGAGACAGAGTCTTGCTCTGTCACCAGGCTGGAGTGCAGTGGCAGGATCTCGGCTCACCACAACCTTCAACTCCCTGGTTCAAGCGATTCTCCTGTCTCAGCCTCCCGAGTTGGGTTCTCAGGCATGCACCACCATGCCCATCTAATTTCTGCATTTTTAGTAGAGTCGAGGTTTCACCGTGTTGGCCAGATGGTCTCCAGCTCCTGACTTTGTGATCCGCCTGCCTTGGCCTCCCAAAGTGCTGGGATTATAGGCATGAGCCACTGCACCCAGCCTGCATTACCTTTTTAATTTCTACTTTTAAGTTTTCCCCCATAATAATAAAGATTTATTATTTAAATCACTACATCTTTTGGAATAGTGCATTCATCTCAGGTCTGCCTTTCTCTGCTTTCTCCCTGCTCATATCCACTCCACAGTTTCTGCAAGTTACATTTCTAAATAGTAGATATGGCTATGCTATTCTCTATTGTCTATTGTAAGAGTTTAGCCTTTTTGCAAAACCAGACCACTGCACAGATTTGTACAGACTGATTTGGTTAGGCTTTGTGTCCCCACCCAAATCTCATCTTGAATTATAATCCTCATAATCCCCATGTGTCAAGGGAGAGACCACGTGGATATAATTGAATCATGGGGGTGGTTTCCCCCATGCTGTCCTTGTGATATTGAGTGAGTTCTCACAAGATCAGATGGTTTTATAAGAGGCTCTTCCCCCTTCTCTAGGCAATTCTCCTTCCTCTTGCCTTGTGAAGAAGGTCCCTTGCTTCCCCTTTGCCTTCTGCCATGATTGTAAATTTCCTGAGGCTTCTCCAGACATGTTAAACTGGTGGTCAATTAAACCTCTTTCCTTTATAAATTACCCAATCTTGGGCAGTTCTTTATAGTAGTATGAAAATTGAATAATACAGTAAATTGGTACCAAAGAGAGTGGGGTACTGTTATAAAGATACCAAAAGTGTGGAAGCGTCTTTGGAAATGGGTAACAGGCAAAAGTTGGAACAGTTTGGAGGGCTCAGAAGAAGACAGGAAGATGTGGGAAAGTTTGGAACTTTCTAGAGACCTGGAGGGCTCAGAAGAAGACAGGAAGATGTGGGAAAGTTTGGAACTTCCTAGAAGTTTGTTGAATGACTCAGACCAAAATGCTGATAGTGATACGGACAATTAAGTCAAGGCTGAGGTGGGCTCAGATGGAGATGAGGAGCTTGTTGTGCACTGGAATAAAGGTGACTCTTGCTATGCTTTAGCAAAGAGACTGGTAGCATTTTGCTCCTGTCCTAGAGATCTGTGGAACCTTGAACTCATGAGAGATGATTTAGGGTATCTGGCAGAAGAAATTTCTAAGCAGCAAAGCATTCAAGATGTTACTTGGGTGCTCTTAAAAGCATTCAGTTTTATACATTCACAAAGAGATGGTTTGAAATTAGAACTTACGTTTAAAAGGGAAGTAGAGCATAAAATTTTGGAAAATTTGCAACCTGATGATACAATAGAAAAGAAAAACCCATTTTCTGGGGAGAAATTAAAGCTGGCTGCAGGAATTTGCATAACTAACAAGGAGCTGAATGTTAATTGCCAAGACAATGGAGAAAATATTTCTGGGGCATTTCAGAGATATTCACGGCAGCACTTCCCATCACAAGTCTGGAGGCCTAGGAGGGAAAAAAGGTTTCGTGGGCTGGGCCCAGGGCCCAGCTGCTCTGTGCAGCCCTGTGACATGGCACCCTGCACCCCAGTCACTCCAGCTTCAGCCATGGCTAAAAGGGGCCAAGGTACAGCTTGGGCTATTGCTTCAGAGGTTGCAATCCCCAAGCGTTGGCAGCTTCCATGTGCTGTTGGGCCTTCAGGTGCACAGAAGACAAGAACTGAGGCTTGGGAGCTTCTACGTAGATTTCAGAGGATGTATGGAAATGCCTGGATTAACATTTATTATAATATTTCATTATATGGCAGAAGTCTGATGCAGGGGTGGAGCCCTCATGGAGAACCTCTACTAGAGCAATGAAGAGGGAAAATGTAGGGTTTAAGCCCCAACACAGAGTCCCCACTTGGGTACTGCCTAGTGGTGCTATGAGAAGAGGGCCACCATCCACTAAACCCCAGAATGGTAGACCACTGACAGCCTGCACCATGTGCCTGGAAAAGCCACAGACACTCAATGCCAGCCCATAAAAGCAGCCAGGAGTGGAGCTGTACCCTGCAAAGCCACAGGGGTAGATCTGTCCAAGACTGTGGGAGCCCACCTCTTGCATCAGGGTGACCTGAAAGTGAGACAAGAAGTCAAAGGAGATCATTCTGCAGCTTGAAGATTTGACTGCCACACTAGATTTCAGACTTACAGGAGGCCTGGAGCCCTTTTGTTCTGGTCAATTTCTCCCATTTGGAATGGGTGTATTTACCCAATGCCTGTACCCCTATTGTATCTAGAAACTAATTCACTTGCTTTTGATTTTACAGGTGCATAGGTTGAAGGGACTTGCCTTTTCTCAGATGAGACTTTGGACTTGGAATTTTGGGTTAATGCTGGAATGAATTACAACTTTGGGGGACAGTTGGGAAGGCATGATTGGTATCATAATGTGAAAAGGATATGATATTTGGGTGGGGCCAGGGACAGAATGATTTGGTTAGGCTTTTTATCCCCAACCAAGTCTCATCTTGAATTATAATCCCTATAATCCCTATGTGTCAAGGGAGAGACCAGGTGGAGGTAATTGAATCATGGGGGTGGTTTCCCTGATGCTATTCTCATGATAGTGAGTGACTTCTTACAAGATCTGATAGTTTTATAAGGGGCTCTTCCTACTTTGCTAGGTACTTCTCCTTCCTCCTGTCTTGTGAAAAAGGTGCCTTGCTTCCCTTTTGCCTTCCGCCACAATTGTAAGTTTCCTAAGGCTTCCCCAGCCATGCTGAATTGTGAGTGAATTAAACCTCTATTTTTTATAAATTACCTTGTCTCAGGCAGTTCTTTATAGCACTATGAAAATGGACTAATACACAGACTGAGAGCTAAGAATGGTTTTACATTTTTTTTTTTTAAGATAGGGTCTCACTCTTTCATCCAGGCTAGAGTGCAGTGGCATGATCACAGCTTACTGCAGCCTCCACCTCCCAAGCTCAGGTGGTCCTCCCACATCAGCCTTCCAAGTAGCTGGGACTACAGGCATGCACCACCATGCCAGCTAATTTTTGTATTTTTTGTAGAGAGGGGGTTTTGCCATATTGTTCAGGCTGGTCCCATTCTTCTGTGCTTCAGTGATCTGCCTTGCCTCGGTCTGCCAAAGTGCTGAGACTACAGGCATAAGCATCTGCACCCAGCCTTTATATTTTTAAATGATTATATAAGTATATGATATTCTAGATTTTTGACTCAGACTTCAAAGTCTAAAGTACATACTCTATGGCTTTTCACAGAAAAAAATATGACAATACCTGGTTTCTAGAATAAAGTCCAAACTAAGATTAGCATTTAATTTCCTTCAGAGATGGACTCACATCTATTTTTCCAAAATCACCTTCCACTGCTACAGAAATTTTATACTTCTTGCCACTCCCTACATGGACCATATTATTTTCTCACAGTTTTACTGAAGTATAATTGGCATACACAAAACTTCAAATAAAGCATATGATTGGATATTGTGATATATCTACACAACTGTGAAAACTTGGCACAATCAAGATAGCGAATATATCTGTCAATCCCAGAAGTTTTCTTATACCTCTTCATTTTAGGGTATTTTCATTTTTATATTTAAAGTATGTTTCTTGGAAGCAGCACATACCTCGGTCTTGTAAAAAACTACTATTTGACAATCTATGCCATTTAATTGGGGTATTTAGATCATTTATATTTAATGTGATTATTGATATTCTTAGGTTTAATTCTACCTTGCTATTTGCTTTGCATTTGTCCCATGTCTTTGTTATTTTCCTCTTTTCCTATGTTCTTTTAGAAAAGTGACATACTTTTTACCATCTGTTTTATCTTCTTTGTTGAATTTTTTTTATTAGTAAAATTTAAGTGAGCACTCACAGAGAACCTCTGCACCTCTCTGGAGTTGTCTTTTGGAAAGCCCTTTTCTCTGTCATACTGACATTGTGAAATCTTGCTACCTTGATTTCCCTGAACTCTCAGATCTGTCTTCTCGATTAATAGTGCATTAAGGAGTTTATAAGGTTTTATCAGGGTCCTTTCTCCTGTGCCAGGGCCTAAAAATTTACCCTAAATAGTAAGTTGGGGAAATTGTAGGGCTTTCCTCTTTTAATTACTATCTCTTGGTTATCTGATGTCTCATGTCTTAAATATGTTTTTTTCCACATATTTTAAATGAGTTTTCTTATCTCAGATAGTAGAAGTTACTCCATCTTGACCAAAAGTAAAAATCAGACTGCTTGAGTCATCCTAAATTCTTATTTTTGTCTTCATATTTCATTGTCTTCTATAATGTCCTTTTCCTATCTACTATATCTAGTTTCTCAAATACATATTTAAATAACTTATTTTAAAGTGCAGTGTAATACTACCACCTGTACCAGAATACTTAGATGAAATAAACACACAATACCAAATGTTTCTGAGAATATGGAGCAATACGAACTCTAAAATATCACTGGAGGAGTTTAAGTTCGTGCTACCACTTTAGAGAACTGTTTGGCAGTACTTACTATAGGTAGGAACATAGGCCTACCATTTGATATAACAATTCCACTGCTTGCTATATGCCCAAAAGAAAAGCATGAGATGAAAGGGGCCTATCCCCCTGAAGTAGTCATACTAATTTCCATTGCTACATGAGTTATTGATCCTCCACTTGATTTTCATTTTCTGAAATTTGTTGACATTGATGTGGTTTGGATATTTGTCTTCTTGAAATCTCATGTTGAAATGTGATTCTCAATGTTGGAGGTGGGGCCTGGTGGGAGATGACGGGATCATGGAGGTGGATTCCTCATGAATGGTTTAGAAGCATCCCCTGTTTATAAGTGAGTTCTTGCTCAGTTAGTTCATGCGAGATAAGGTTGTTTAAAAGTCTAGGACCACAACCTCCCCACCCCTTGCTCCTGCTCACACCATGTGATGTACAGGCTCCGCTTCTCCTTCTACCATAATTAGAAGCTTCCTGAGCCCCTCACCAGAAGCAGATGCTGGAGCCATGCTTGTACTGCCAGAAGAATCATGAGCCAATTAAAACTCTTTTCTTTAGAAATTACCCATCTCAGGTACTTCTTTATAGCAATAAAGAAATGACCTAATACAGACATTGACTTTTCTCACCTGATGTAGTTTCTTTTCCCTTTCTCTTTTGCTTTCTTCTTGTTAGAGTAAACATTCCATATACCCTTATTCCTGTTAGTGAATTGTCAAAAAGGCATACAGGTAAACTAATATGTTCAATAAACTATGTTTAACAAAAAGCTTTTACCTTCCTAAATTTCAGATCATATAATTGGAGGAAGTATATTCAGTTAAGAATAATCAAATTACAAACATATCCTTATTTCTGAAATATGTTTTGAAATTTTTATTTCAAAATATGTTTATAATTTCAGAAACTTTACATGATTGCTTAAAATAACAATGAAAATGTCATACATATGGCAAAAGTCAATTTTTAGAGAAGACATATATTAAAGGCAAACTAAATATGGATACAGTGATTGAAATATCACTAATTTTCTATTTTTTTTTTTTTTTGAGACAAAGTTTGCTCTTGTTGCCCAGACTGAAGTGCAGTGACATGATCTCAGCTCACTGCAACCTCCGCCTCCCGGGTTCAAGCAATTCTCCTGCCTCAGCCTCCTGAGTAGCTGGAATTACAGATGCCTGCCATGATGCCTGGCTACACTAATTATCTTATACAACAATTTCTCTTATAGATGTTTGAAATTTCATTATCCACAGAAAATTGAAATCAGAATATTGAAGTATTGATTGAAACACAGCTGAAGCCTGTGACTTTCAGTCACATACACACACACACAAAGTATGTCTCTAATAAAACAAAAAATAAGAAATGAATAATCTGTTCTACTCATACTTTCAAAATTGAGTGGTTAGACTATATATTGTTAGCAGTGTTTTTAGGCTTATCCTTATTATCAGAGAACTGGAAGACAAAAAAATAACATGAGAAATCCTAGCTAGCATATCATGCTGTGTGGTTCTCATTGTTTGATTAAATATTGAATTGCGTCTTGTGTGTCAGGAACTGATATTAATATAATCGACTGCTTTTCCCTCATGGTGTTCAATAGCCTGTAAGTTTAGATAAACCTGCATGACTTATCAGTAAAATATATGATCTGCATCATTTCTCAAAATAATAGCATTCTTGAAAGAACTTTAAGAAACTGGCAAAAACAGTATCATTTATGTTTTCTAGATGCTGCTGTACAATAAATATTGTTGTCAAGTTACTAGCAAAAGCAGAGAAGATTAAGGAATTTAAACATAAGAAAACTGCAAAACTTAAGGGTGAATAAACACACATATGTTGTTTCTTCTGAATAACCTCATAGCATCCAGTGAAATTCTCAAATTCACCAAATCCAAGTCTATAAATAATAAGCTTGTATATTCAGTTAAGAATAATCAAATTACAAACATATCCTCATTTCTGAAATATGTTTTGAAATTTTTATTTCAAAATACGCTTATAATTTGAGAAACTTTATGTGATTGCTTAAAATAACAATGAAAATATTATACATATGGCAAAAATCAAAGTAAATTTTTAGAGAAAGATATATATTAAAGGCAAACTAAATATGAATACAGTGATTGAAATACCACTAATTTTCTTTTCTTTTTTTTTTTTTTTTTTGAGACAAAGTTTCGCTCTTGTTGCCTAGGCTGGAGTGCAGTGGCACTCCACGCTTTTCTGTTGGGCGTATAGCAATAGTATTGTGCTTCAAAATATTCAATCCAACTTTCTTCAGAGGATGGCTACTGTAAAGAATACATGAAGCCAGGTGAGGTGGCTCAAGACTGTAATCCCTATCACTTTAGGAAGCTAAGGTGGGTGAATCACTTGTGGTCTGGAGTTTGAGACCAGCCTGGCCAACATGGTGAATCCCTGTCTCTACTCAAAATACAAAAATTAGCCAGGCATGGTGGCAGGCACCTGGAATTCCAGCTCCTTGGGAGGCTGAGGCATGAGAATCACTTGAACCTGGGAGGCGGAGGTTGCAGTGAGCTGAGATTGCACCACTGCACTCCAGCCTGGGCAACAGAATGAGACTCCCTCTCCCTCTCTCTCTCTCTCTCACACACACACACACACACACACACACACACACACACACACAGAACACATGAGATTATGATTAGATAATGTATGTAAAGGAGTACTGGTACTAATTCCAATTTCTTACTGTCATCAGAAAAATGCTTTAATGAACTTCCCGTTGAATAAACAAATAGAAAAACCATTAGACCTACATAAATATACTGCAAGTTACATCAATATCATCCCAAAGAATAAGAGTAAAATGCTCTTGTTCCAGAAAGGATAGAGTAAGCACATGGCATCCTCTTTCTCCCGCTTAACTGTAAAATCTAGGAAGAATACACAAAGCAGCAATTTGAGGACTCAAAGTAGAAGTAGGCACATTGGAGAAGACAAAATGTGAAGTATCGCTGGGCTGATGATAAGTTTACCATTGTTCTCATTCATCTTTCTAATTCCCACTCAACCCTCTCCTGCCCTGAATGAACTGGAAACTTGGAAGTGGACACCAGGCCATAGACAGCTCCAGGACAAGCCTGCTCATTTTAGCTTTAGGAGTGGGAATCAGAACTCATAATGCTCAGAGAGAATGTGGCAATTCCCCACCCGTTTTTTCTTTTCTTGCTTAACTCTTGCCCAGTCCTCAAGCAATCACATGGTGATGGTGGTGGTGGTGGCCAGAAATGGGAAACACAGGAGCCGAAATTCTTAAGAAAGTAAATTTTCTTGTTTGTTCACTGAAGCTGTGGTTCCAAGAGGGTTGGGTCAACCTCCATTATGTTTCTTTTTCTCTCTGTCCTCCTCTCACATGGCCCTGGAAGTGAATGTAGTTGCAGAAGGGCACAGCACAGTGGAGGAAATAAAGCCTCAGCCTTCTTGCCAAGGGATCTTAAAGAGAAACCACAGGAAACCAGAAACTACCCGGAGAACATGGAGAGACAGAGAAGCTTAGAAAAGCAATCCATAAACTTGTTTATGAACTCTTGGGCTTACTCCCAAATGCACACATGTGGATTCTATTCTATTTAACATGCCAAAGACTTAAGAACTAGGCCAAGACCAGCACCCAGGTATCAGACAAGCAGTCCGGTTTTTAAACTTCTGGTTATGTAGAGAAGAGGACATCAACATAGAAATCATATACTGTTGTTTTCAGTTAGTTTGTTTCTTGATGTGGCTATTTTGACACATGAACTTAGAAACAGGGGTTATATACACACACACAGGAAAACTAACACCATATTCCTGAATATCCTGAAATGAATATATATTTCCATACTGGCAAACTCAGGTAAGTTGCCATTAATAAGCATAAAGTGAATGTATTATATTTCAATTTATCTTTTATCATCTTTTCTCATTCATAGATTTATAATTTATATGTTAAAGATGATTTGAAAAAAAGCACATACACTCAAGGGATGGACAAGTGTCAAGGTTACAGCATTATTTGGAAAAGAGTCAGAAACAGTTTAGTAGTCTGAGGGTAGTGACAAGCAAAGTTAAAATTCTAAAGCTGTTTCTAGTGTGAGAATAAGGTAAGCATTTCTGTTCTGGAAGTTAAGATAAGGTATGTAGACCAAAAGACTTACATCAACAGTTTTTAGGATTAGGCTAAATTTTTATTACCATTTTGAATATAATCTGGTAATAATACTCATACAACATAGAAGCTACTATGTTGTTTCTATAAATATTGATCACCCTTTAAATGTTCCAACATTTATCTTCTAACATGATTTTTACTTAATGTTATATTCCCAGATATGTTTTAGTCAACCATACTTAATCCCACATTAATATTACTTTCTTCATATTTGGTTTTAAAAAATGTGCTCAGTGAATCTATAATCAGATTCCCAAGTATCCTGAAATGAAATACTATTTAGTATTTTTATCCCCTAGTCAGAGATTCTTATTCTTGTTTCACTATTTTGTGTAGACCATCTAGTTATGACAGTTTGTCATCTTTTCTTTCAATATTTCTTTATTGCATACTCTTTAAGTCAGACTGAATTTGCTTTTATGGATAAAGAAAAATGTCTTCAAAAAGAATACATCCAGTAACTTACTATAAGATATATTAGTAATAATAACTACAACAAAACCATTTATAATTATTGAACATTCAGAATGAGCCAGGCACTTTGATAAGCACTTTGCATATAATATTTTGGTTATTCTTACAAAAATTAACTACAAAGTAAATAAAGAATGTGGCCTTTGAAACTAGATCACATGGGTTTGAGTTCTGTTTCTTTAGTTTACTCGCTCTGTCATTTAAGGCGACTTATTTTCATGTGCATCAGTTTTCACTTCTGTAGAATAGGTGTTATTGACTGAGTGTGTGTATGCCCCCCAAATTTTGATGTTGAAGCCTGAAATCCCCAATGCAATCATATTTGAAGATGGGGACTTTGGGAAGTGATTAGCTCATGAGGATGGAAGTCTAAATGGGATTAGTGCCCTTATAAGGGAATGAAGAAACCAGACCTCTCTGCCCTCTTACATGTGAGGACAGCAGAAGATAGCCATCTGCAAATAAGGAAGAGGGTACTCACCAGACACCAGATCTTCTGGTGCCTTGATCTTGGACTTTCAGCCTTATGAACTGTGAGAAAAACATCTCTGCTGTTTAAGCCACACAGTCTATGATATTTTGTTACAGAAGCCCAAACTGACTAAGACAATGGGAATAAAAGATAGAACTTAACTCAGGGGTGGTTGTGAGGGATTAATAAATGTCATATGTATAAAATGATCAGAAGGGTGTCTACCATTTTATTATTAAGATGAGGAACCTGAAGCTAAGTAATATTAAATAATGTACTGTGGCAGATTGTTTTCCAAAAAAATGCCCCAACAATATTTTTCAAAACATATGTTCTTTTGACAATTTCTTATAGACACTCATTGCACAAAACTGTTAGGCCTCCGTTCTCTTCTCTTGAAATCAGTGTGCTTGTGACTATAGTAGAAGTGACTTTATATGATTTCCTAGGCTAGGTCATAAAAGGTAATAGAGCTTTCGTCTGATTCTTCAGGATGCTTACTTTTAGAAACTACCCATGTGGCAGGAGGAAGACCAAGCAGCCATGGAGATGGCCACGCGGAGAATTTAGGTTCTTTGCTCATAGCTCTGGCTGAGCTCGTGGTTGAAAACCAGCACCAATTTGCCGGACAAGTGAGGGACCCATCTAGAATGTAGATCCTCCAGTCCCCACTCCTGCCAATCCAGCTGATGCTGCATGGGGCAGAGATGAGCTGCCCTTGCCAATCCTGGCTCACATTACAGATTTGTGAGCAAAATAGATGATCAGTGTTGTCTTAAGTCATTAAATTTGGGGGTGTTTTTTTATGTAGCACTGAGTAACTGGAACATTTGCTCAAGGCCATATGGAAAAAGCCAAAAGTTAGACAGAGGTCCATTCTAACCTATAATTCGAGTTCTCATCATTAGTTACCCATTATATTTGGAACACCATGCTTATTTTGCAATCTAGGGAAGTGATGGAGTGAATCACACTTTTAAAGAATAATTGGTGAGTGATATGGTTTGGCTCCGTGTCCTCACCCAAATCTCATCTCAAACTGTAATCCCCATCATCCCCACGTGTCAAGGTAGGGGCCTGGTGGGAGGTGATAGGATCATGGAGGTGGTTTCCCTCATGCTGTTCTTGTGATGGTGAGTGAGTTATCATGAGATCTGAAGGTTGCATAAGGGGCTCTTCCGTCTTCACTTCACTCTCATTTTTCCTGCCACCTTGTGAAGAAGGTACTTGCCTCTCCTTTGCCTTCCCCCATGATTGTAAGTTTTCTGAGACCTCTCCAGCCATGCAGACTGGGAGTCAATTAAACATTTTTTCTTTATAAATTACCCATTCTCTGGCAGTTCTTTATATTACTAACAGTGTAAGAACGAACTAATATAATAAGGATATTCAGATTATAAATACTATAACAAAACAGTCTTTAGTAAGATTTAATTGGCATATACAGTTTTAGCTAATTGTTTTATATTATATTAACCATATTTCTTTTTTGTAAGAGGTGAAACTAATATTGCTTTATTCAAAACTTAGAAATAAAAATGTATTACACAACTTTTATTTCATTAAAATGTTTTATGTGGTCACCTCATTTTCTGTAAAAAATAAGTAAGACATTCGTCTTTCAACCTAGAATTGAATCGTATTCAATTCAATTGAATGAATTGTATGTGTGATTTGAACATTTTGACGAAACTCACTCATCACTGCTGAAAGTATCACATACTCTGACACCTCAGTAAAGTTTGACAACCCTATATTCTGCTGCCTTAGCAACAAATTTACAATCTATTTTTCAATCTGACAATTTTGAATGTCCCACTGTCATATATTTTGTGTCATTTCTGTAGCTGAATAGGACAGGAAAATAATGTAAAAATTATTGAATTATAACTATACAATTTTTACTAAGCAAGGAAAGCATACATTTTTATAGAAAGTTATTAATCATGCTGGCAATCAATACAATAATCACAATTTTCATCCAGTACAAATTGATGTTTTATATATTTATTCTATTTAAGTCTTACAAAAAGCCAATGATGTGAGTATTAATGTCCTCATTTTACAAATAGGGAGATGAAAGCTCAGGCAGTTGCTGAAGGTCACAGAGATGATACGTAAGCAAGCCAGGCTCTCGAAGCCAGGTGTCTCTGATTCTTATGCTGAAACTTTGGTACATCTTTTCATTATACAAATACGTGTGTGTGTGTGTTTGTGTGTGTGTGTGACATGAGACATTCCTGGTAATAATTACCACATTTATCTCTTCCTCTGTAGCCTACCATTGCAATTATCATATGCATCCTCATCTTAATACCTGTTATTTATCATTTCATATAAAGAAGCATCTCTTCTCAATTCCATTGTTAATTACTTAATACTAAGTATTCTGTGTGTGCTAATTCACTGGAACAATACTGCAGACAAAGCAGAGGTGCAAATATGAATGTATCATTGCTTGTACACATAGTTAATGTACACTTATTAGTCAAAATTACATGAGAATATTATAGAATAACAGCAAAGCAGACATAAAAAATATTCACTATCTGCTGTCTTCAAAATTGTAAAGATAATATACTACAATATGACTTAAAATTTCTAAGCTTTTTAATCGAATCCATCTTCTCCATGGGTAAGTTTTCACATAATATGTGTTTGTATTTATCATACAAGGTTTAAATGATTATTTGTATCATTGAACCATTGGTTGAAAAGTAGATGGATGTTCCCAATGTATTTCCACCATATGTAGCCTTCCATTTTTTTTTTTTAATTGAGACAGAGTCTTGCTCTGTCACCCAGGCTGGAGTACAGTGGTGTGATCTTGGCTCACTGCAACATCCACCTCCAGGGTTCAAGCAAGTCTTGTGCCTCAGCCTGCCAAGTAACTGGGGCTACAGGCATGCACCACCATGTCCAGCTATTTTTTTTGTATTTTAGTAGAGACGGGGTTTCACCATGTTGCCCAAGCTGGTCTTGAACTCCTGAGCTCAGGCAATCCACCCACCATGGCCTTCCAAAGTGCTAGGATTACAGGCATGAGCTACTGCACCCAGCCTGCGGCCCTCCATTTTTACAGTCCAGCTGTAGTGCCTGAACTTCATAATGATATTTTGAGTTTTATTTTGTATTATTTATTGCAATTAGGGTTTTATATTGAATAACAACTATTCATGTAACTAAATAGTTTATTTACCACCTTTCCATTAATATTTTAAAATAGCTTGCCAAAACTTTGATCAACATTTCATTGGAATGCTCTGTAAATATTGAATTGAAGAAAACTGGAATAGCATCTTCTATCCAGTACAAGTAGAATACCTATATCGATTCAGCATGGTTTGGATATGACAGATTCTCATGGATTACAAGGGCACATTCAAGGGTGAAATGCTATATGCAGCAACAGCAGACACTCGAGATTCAGAACTTCTAATGCCCTGCTTGCAATAGCTCTATGTGGCTGTGTAATCACCAGAGACTAGGGCATGTCAGTTTTACAGATGTGATGGGTCTGATTGGAATACGGTTCCTTGATTTGGCTCATACCAAATCCCCCTATATAGCCATTCCATATATTAATGCTGTTGGCCTGAGCCTGAGTTTCCCAATGACTATTTCTCACCCAGGCAGATCATCTGTAAGCTGGTGCTTGGATAATCCAATTTTCATGGCAAGCAGGAGCTCTTCTGCAAAAGCAGTTCTAGCATTTCATGAACCTATAACAAGTGTTTCTACTGGAAAACCTGGAACCATAAGGACAGTCTTCTATTATAAAGCTATAAATCCATTCCATTAATCAAAAGCTGTACACATACAAAATTTTGTGTAAATCATTTTTTACACATGTTCATCCATGTGTAAATATTTTAAACATAGCAGAAAAATTCTTAGCAGGCCTTGTTTTATGCAAAACAAACCCTCCAGTTAATCAATTTTATACATATGCATATCAAATTTCCATAAATTGGAACATATTATAGTCACTGAGCTAAAATAATCTACTGGACCAGACAAATGCGTTATCAACATACACAAACTTGTCTCTCCTCTCTGTTCCTGTTGCATATCACATGTGCTGCTATTACACAAGTATTTGATTGTTTTGCAGTGGTTTGATTCCTTGACCATCTTAACATCAGAGTATGGGCACTTGTGAGAATAAACTATCTTTGTATTAAAATTTTCATACTCTAAGACCGTACTTTGCAAATATTAGGTGTTCAATAAGTATCTGATAAATGACTAACAAAATAAATAAGTGACCCTTGATATTCTTTGACTTATACAACCAATTTTTTTATATTCAGTCAACATTGCTACATTATATTCTGATACAGCTTTTTTTGAAAGAGCACTTGCAAAAGACACCTGGAATTAACATAACATTTTACTGTATCCATTATCAAAGAAATACCATATTCAAGAACTGACTATTTAGAGTTATTTGCAAATTGTAATATACACTTTTATGTTGAAGCCTGCAATTTTAGTACTTTTGTCTCAAATTGCTATATTGATGAATATATTTAGCTCTCATGTTTGACTACATATTTTAATTTGAAAGCATATGTAATTTTCATTTTTGCACTTTTACAAACTACAGAATTAATATAAAAATAACAGTTATTGCAAGAACTGTTTGGCTAATACTGCATTATCAAGTACAATCATCTTTGATTATTCTGAAGTGGAATAACTTTGATAAATGTATAATAAGTTGTAGTTACTATTCATTCAGGATTTAATAGAGAAGTAGGGGGGTATAGGTTGAATAAAACCTAGTCCCTGAAGAGATAATGAGTATAAACCTCAACTTATAAGATAATATTAGACACGGAGATTAAATAACTCATTGGCGGTATATTAATAAACACCTGGAGTTTCAACAAGGTAAAAATTAGTATCAAGTAGAGTAGCTCGAATCAGCTTCTTAGCCTGGAGATGAGGCATTTTAACTGGACCTTTTCTATGGAAAGGTAGAATGAGAAGAATGAGCAAATAGATGTAAGCATGGAAATGAGTATCACAAAATTCTATATAAAGAGAGGAAACGAACTCAAATAAAACAAAAAGTGAATGGTATAAAGATGGAATATATAAGGTAGCTAATAGGGTATGGTTATCAAGGGTCTTATAAGGCGGCCTAAAGAATTCCATAGTTATACTAAACACAGAAGTTTTTGAACTAAGGATAAAGAGTTTACATACATGGATTCTGTTGACAGTATACCAAATTTATTAAAGAAGCGTGAGAAAAGAAGCAATGAGACCAGGTAGGAGACAAAGTCATTGACCCAGACAAGAAATATTTATCAGTAAACAAAGACGATGAAGGTGAGAACAGAAAAAAGTGGCATTGTAAAGATAAACAACTTAAAAAATAGTCTTAAAATAGACTGAGGGCAAAAAACAAGATAAACTTTAAGTGCGGCTTAGACATAACTATTAGATATATTTAATATTCTTAATAATATTGACCATATCATTGTGGACAGGATGTATGCATCTTTTAATGCAGAAGCCTTACATTCAAATCCTATTGGCTGAAATATATTTCCTTATGTAAGTTATTTAACTCCTGTAAGTCTGAATTTATTCTTTTGTAAAATGGAGACAAGAATAGTATTATAACTATCTGTTGAGATGATGCATAATGCAATTTATGTAACATGTTTAGCATGGTGTCTGGATCATCATGAGCGATGATTAAAAGTTAACTACCTAAGGTCAATCAGCCCACAAAAATTTTCATTGCTAAGAAAGAAACTCTGCTATACACAAAATAGTCAGGAAAATAGCTGTAATGGCTGACCAAATATTCCAGTCATGTATAGTCCTCCCTCAGTATAAGTGGGGTATTGATTCCAAGACCCCTAGGTATACCATCTTCCCATACTCAAGCCTCACTGTCAGCCCTGTGAAACCTGTGCATATGAAAAGTCAACCTTCTGTTTACATAGGTTTCCCATTCCATGCATACTGTGCTTTGGAGCTGTGTTTGGTTGAAAAAAATTCACGTCTGAGTGGAGCCATGCAGTTCAAACACATATTGTTCAAGGATAATCTGTACATAGTAAATGAATTGCCATTTCCCAAAAAATCGAATTTAAAATGTATAGTATAATACTATAATTATATTTAATAAATAAATTCTATCTTATGTAATTGAAAGGGCACTTTATAATTCAACAAACATGTTTAAGTTTTTCAATGTCAGTTCTTATCTAAAATTTCATACTAAATATTTTAAACTTTTCTATTTAGATCTTACCTAAAATTTCATACTCAACATTTTTAACTTTTCTATTCCCTCATATACATCAAACCAAAGAAAAACAAGCAAAAGCAATAGGTTATGTTTGCTTTGTGGCATAAAGGTAATCCAGAAGAAACAAGCCTTTCTACATTTTCCAACTGATTGGAATGAGTGCTTTTGTGAAACAAGTGAATTTAATTTTGTGGTAACCTAGTTGATGGTTTGAAGGAAGTCCAAGATTTGCAAGAGTTACAAACCTATAATTGCCCAATTTTTCTATGTAATTTTAATGGAAAATATAAGTTCTAAAATATATCCAAAAACATTTCTCCCCTTCTCCCTTTATCCCTTAGGAAGATCATATCTTCTAAATTACTCTACTCAGCTGATTGTAAAGATTAGTAGGCAAAATGCCTGTTGTAAATGAATCCACTTGAAACTTACTCTACTGTGGATTGTGTAAACAAATCTGTATTGTATGTTCTATTTATTCAGTCAACTCTGCTGAATGCATAAAAAGTCTTTGACTTATAAATTTTCCTTTTTACTTCATAATTCCTTTCCACGGATTTAAGTGTCTTTGTTTTTTCCCAAAATGATGGAGAATAATTTATCATAAAAATATAGAAACTTCTTCTCTGCGTTAAATTCTCATAGAAAGAACACAGTCTTTCATTTATAAATCTGAGATATAATATAGCATTTAGGGGCAGAGACCTTAGAACCAGAAATCCTGGATCCAAATCTTGGCCCATCCACTTACTAACTTTGTGACCTTAGACAAGTTAGTTAATTTCTCTGAGTCTCATTTTTCTCATCTGTGGAACGGAAGAAAACAATACTTGTCTTGTACAACTATCTTGAGAATTAATTAATAATTCTAAAGTGCTTAGGCCCTAGTACATGGTAAGTGCTATGTAATGATTCAGGCCCTAGTACATGGTAAGTGCTCTGTAATGATTCATTTATATATGATTTATCTAACCATGTAAAAATGTTTATATTTCTGGAGCCTAGTACATAGGAAATTAATTAACTATTTGGAGAATGTATAACTATGTCAATACTTAAGGCAAATATTCCACAATTTCACTATTCCTTAAGTAAAACACTGTTGCATTTCATATGGATAAAATTTACTCTTTTCTAAGTTCTTAACTCTTCTAAGTTTAAAATACACTGTCACTTAGTAAAAAAAAGTTGTTTAGAACACATAATTATACAACCTTTCATCATGCATCTTTCAGCCATTATTTTTCTTTTTTTTTCATTTATTATTTTTATACTTTAAGCTTTAGGGTACATGTGCACAATGTGCAGGTTAGTTACATATGTATACATGTGCCACGCTGGTGCGCTGCACCCACTAACTCATCATCTAGCATTAGGTATATCAGCCATTATTTTTCTAAAGCAAAAGACTAATGGGGTAATGAACATTTTAAGCTATTAGTGACTATAGAGACAATCTTCTTCCACATCACTCTTCTTTTACAAATGAGGAGACAGGACTTTCAAAAGATAAAGCTCATTTCTCAGAATTATACCTTGGATTAGTACTTGAGATGGATTCCGAGTTCAAGACTCCTGACTCCTGACTCCCAAACTGTTTTTTTGTTTTTTCCCTCCACACCACAATCATCTCACAGACTTCTGTCCCTTAAATATTTCATTAGATTTTTTTCTGCATTCATCTCCCATGTCTTTTCTTCTCCTTTATGTATTATAATCTGCACTACCTATACTATTTCTGTAGCAGAGGCACTACACGGTTTTGTTAAAAATTGGGTATGATGCTTTGTTTTGTGGCAACTTCTCTACCCTTACAAACAATCCTTATTCACATCAAAAGTCTTATGTGGTCTCCTAATTGCCTCAAGCAGGCAAATCGCTATGTGAGTTCCTGTGGCTCTAACCCCTAAATACATGTTAAATCTGTCCCTTTATCTCCATCTCCACTGCTAATATCCAACTCCACATTACCTTGATTTCTTGCTTGAATTATCCCAATGACTCTTTCTACTTTTGCCTCTACCACCTTACAACATAATTTTGACACTATGATCAGAGTGATCTTGTAAATACGTCAATGAACCTTAGAAGCAGAGACTCTAGAGTCTACATTTACTTACCCTGCTTAATAAAGCCTCTAATTGATGGCATTAAACTTAGAATAAAATTCAAACTCCTCACATTGTCAGAGGGCAGTTGGGCAGTTCTGTAAGAGCTGACCCCTGCCTACCTCTCCAACTCCTCTCTTCCATGATCATTTGGTGCCAGTCACACTGGTGTTCTTGCTCTTTCTGGATTACCCCAAAGATATCCATGCTTTCAGACTGATCCTCTAGCCAGTAAGTCCCTATCATATCACATGTTCCTATATTCAGCATAATACTATAAGTTGACTTTGTTTACTTTACTTTTTACTGCTATTCTCAAGAGCAGAAAACATTATTCTTATTTATGATTTATCCATAGTACATAAAACAGTATTTGGCAATAGGGGTTTGCTCAGAAAGTGTTTGTTGAATTGGTGGGTATGACTCCTATAGTCAACACAAGTTCAACTATCTTCCAGCCCAATTATGGGTAAATTGTTATTACTATTCACTAAAGAAGACATATATCTGGCCAAGCACGGTGGCTTACGCCTGTAATCCCAGCAATTTGGGAGGCTGAGGTGGGTGGATCACTTGAGGTCAGGAGTTCAAGATAAGCCTGGCCAGCATGGCAAAACCCTGTCTCCAATAAAAATACAAAAAACCTAGCCGGGCATGGAGGCAGGTACCTATAATCTCAGGTACCATGGAGACTTGAGTCCAGGAAGTAGGGGTTGCAGTGAGCCAAGATGGTGCCTGTACTCTAGCCTGAGTGACAGAGCGAGACTCCATCTCTCAAAAAAAAAAAAAAGATTTTAATATACCTTAATATTCTTTCTCCAAGATACCCTTAGGATGCCCCTACCAAAGCATTGACCTCAAGCTTCTTCAGAGTGTTATCAATTTTAATATCTTCCTCGTAGCTCTACTATAAATATTATCTTTGTTCACAGAAAGAGAGCCTACCTTTTGAGTATCAAAAAGGAGTTTCTGGTATGAAGAGTATATATGAGTTCTATCTGAGGGGCAATATTCATTTATGTCTCTAGTCTTTCAGTAATTTTCCTTAGTTCATAAAATGCCATGTTCAGCATTACTCTGTTATCTCCTCAAGGCTTCTTTTGCTCACATAGAACCCTCAGATGTAAAAACAGCATCATCAGCATGTTTGGTTATGTATGTGCCCATTAGAGTGCCTAGTTAGAGTACTTTGCCAACGATGAGCAATCAAAAATTATGAGCTGGTGATGAAGATTCTGGTCCTTATGTGCCTGTGTGCCAGCATTAATTCAGGCAGTGAGGAATTTACGTCTTCACTGGGCATTGGGAAATGCAAGGCCTATGTGTTGCTGCATATAACAGCACTTTCTTAATTAAGGTTGGAAGCCAGATTTAGCTTTACTCAATATGTATTATTGCATTGCAGATGAGAACACTAAGGCAGTGCAGTATGATGGAAGATACAAGCACTGCAATTACAATATCTTAATGTTATACAAATTTAACTTGAAAACAAATGTTAACAAATGGATAAAAGGACTTAATATTTGCTTTCTGAGGGATTTCTAGTCATTAATATTATTTTGTAGAGATGTTCACTTTAATAAATAGTGTTCGTATGTTTAATTTTCTCTAGGAGATTAGCTAATGTGAATCAGGTGACCTGCAAAAATTGCTTACAGGATAAAAGCATCCCAATTAAGAATTCAAGTTTTAGTACAAACTGTTAACAGATTTTAGGCTTCTGGTAACTTTCAATTTTCCTATATTGACTGTAACTATGAAAAATAATTATATAAAATTGAAGAAACAAACAAAAACCAATGCTAATCAAAAGATACCCCAGACAATTTTCCAGGATTGCCATTTTTATAGATGTGTTTAGTGAGTAAATACATCAGTGATTTGAAGTTAAGACACGTTAGAGAAACTGACAAGATTTACTGTTTGATAATTTATTGGAGGAAATAAATTTTCCTTTACTGAATTCTGTAACATATTTTGATATGCTGGACATAGTAGAGATGCAGAACAATTGTCAAGCTAATACATTGGCTTTTATTTTGCATGGTTATTGAAAGATAGATACAATTCACAAACTGAGCATTTAGACATGTTTTCCTCTATTTTCTAATATGCAGTTTCATTATAATTCATCTGTAATTTCTGAGCCAAAGTACCTTAGGCTTTTTGTCAAATGTTTACAACTTAAACCAACCATTTTACTTAGGCCTAATTAAAAAATAAACTACAAAGAACTATCACATTTTCACATCTGCCCTTTCTCTGCCTCCAGCAGGCAATCAAAGCTATGTCCACATTGGCCTTGTATTAAATATTTATGACTACATCTATTTTCACTATTGGATTGCAGGCTCCCGGAATGAAGACAGTATGCCATATTCATTTTTGCATCCTCTTATTCCTAATACACAGCCATCTACATGGTCTGCTGAGCACTAGCAAGATTTTAGTAACTATTGAATTAAATTGAATGAGAGGACTGAGAAACTATACTAAGAATCTGGGTAATGGAGGCTGTCAATCACGGTGTAACTAAGCGGTACAGGTAAAAATGCTGAGTCTGCATGCTTTCATTGCTGGAGGGAACACAGGTACAGAGGTTGCCAGGTTGAAACCACCACAGGACAGAAATATATAATTTACTGAGCACTTAATATGTATCAAGCATGCAGTAAAATATGCATGCACTATCTCATATAGTCAATCACAGCAAAGTTATAAGGTAGAAAGGATTTTTCTCATTATGGTATACATGAAAAGCCTGAGGCCGTATGGTCTGATGGTTAAGAAGGACCTCATGGATTTTGCGTTCAGACTTGAGTTTGATTCCCGGACTTGCCAATTAAAGCCTCCCTGCAGCACTGACCCAGGAAGGAGCCTGGAGGGCAACTGGGAAATATTTCTCAAAATGTAAAATGCAAAGCTCTTTAATATCACTATCAAACTTTTACTATTTCTCTTATACTTGATTGAGTGCCTGAGTTTAAGACCATTCACAATCTGGTCCTGGGAAGCCTTCATAACTTCTTGTCTATAGGATCAATCAATGAGGCCACCCTTAACTATTTGTTCCCAAAACATTTTCTGCACTCTCCAGAGCCTTTGCAAATGCTGCTCTATAACCCCTATTTGAGATTAAGCTCAAATCATACTTTCTTCACGAGATTAAGACTTCTCTGTTTAAAAGACAATTGATTGCTGCCATTATTTTGCATGATTTACTTGTATTAATGAAACTCTATTAAAGTTAACTCATTGTCACCCCCCCAGCATCCGACAATAGCCAGTGAATAACCAAAGGTCAAAGACAATATCTGATTCATATTTATATTTCTTACATTGTAAACAATATGTTAATATCTGTAATTAAACATTAGTGTTTTGTTTGTTTGTTTGTTTTTTCTGGAAGGAGATAATTAGAATCCCAAGTTCTTAGAGCAGAATGAATTTGAGAGCTTGGTTACAATAATAACTATGTTTTCTCAAAGAACTGATATAATTTCACAGAGGTTAAGACTGCTCAAGTTGGCGAAGCCAGGACTAGAATACAGATTCCATTGTTCTAATTTCAAGGCTCTATCGGTCAGGAAATGCTGTCTTCAGGAACATGGGTGGTTCTCATGCCCACAGGCAAATCAGAATTACCTGAAGAACTTTGGCAACTACTGATGCCCTGGTTGTTTGCCAGGCCAATTAAATCAGAATCTCTGAAACGGGTAGGGGGTAGTTCTCCAGTGCTCCCCAAGTTATTTTAATGTACAGCCAGAGATGAGAAGTATTATTACATTATATGCATGTGTCCTATAAGTGCATTCTTACCTTTATGAATAAAAGTAAGAAAAATCATGCCCAGGAAATTGCCTAACCTCATTTCCTTCCCCAATACCCTATTTTACAAAATCGCAGCCATGACCTCCAACTGTGGCTCATCACAAATTTAATAACAATCAAAACCAAATGCATGTTGTTATTATTTTCAGAAAAGATATTTGCCACTGGCTAAGGTGGAAAAGAAGCTAGGAGAAGTCTCCGTCTCTGACTTTCTCATCTCATATATGCCTGTGCCAACACAAGTACATTCAAGGTACTTGGTGTTCTATTTGGCCAGTTCACCCTGGTCAACTGCAATTAACCAAACTAATTTCAAAAATAAAAGCCCTATACTTACTTGGGAAACTGGAGAGAAAGAATGCCATGAGAGCATGTCAAGTAAATGCCATGCCCTTCTGAATCAGTCATCATCATGGAAGGCAATTATATATATACAAATATCAAACTTTAAGCCAGTGAAAACTGCTTTGTTTTCTCAATTTTTATTTAACTCTTACATAAAGCATGTTCAGACACTAGCATGTTCAATGTTGAATTTTTGCTTTAATGATTTTTCATTATAAATGGCTTTGTTTTTTCCAGAACACAGTTAGGCAAAAGAAAGAAATAATAAGATAATTTTTATTATGTTACCTTTAGCTTTTATCACTATGTATACTTAGGTTTTAGTTCCCAAAGAAAAATGAAAATCTCAAGAATTAAAGGGGCCAAAGCGAGGAGCTCACTAATTGTACCTTATCCCCATAGATCCTTTTACAATGCTGCTGAGCAATCCAGAGTGCTTGTATGCCACAGTCTGCGTGGACTCAAAAAAAGTGGAGTCTGTAGTAACTGGGAGGGACTTCTATAGTACTCGGGCTAAACTTCAGAAGCAGGAAGTCAGAATTGGAAGCACTTCAGAATATGGAGCTAACCTGAATCTAAAATCAAAGGTATGCTAGGAATAAATAACAGCACCGGGAGGATTCAGTCACACACATTTTTTTGCATGGGTCATAACCACTTCAGTGATGTTTTCAAATACCACAATGCCTTAAAAGTGCCTTTTGGTGAGCAGGCAGAGCAAGACAGCCAGATAGAACCCTATAGTGATTGTCTCCACTGCAGGAACAGGAAATTGAACAACTACTCACACAAGAAAACATCTTTGGAGGAACAAAAATCAGGTGAGTGACCATAGTACCTGGTTTTAACATCATAAGGAAAGAGGCATGAACAGTGTAGAAAAGATAGTCTTGAGTTCCTGACAGCCACTCCCATTTCCTGGCAGGGGGCTCATGGTGCTGAGAGAGAATCTGTGTGTTTGGGAAAGGGAGAGCACGGTGATTGTAGGACTTTGCAGTGGAACTCAGTGCTGCCTGTCACAGTAGAAAGCAATGCAGGAGATAATTCAGCTGGTGCCCACAGAAGAAGTATTTAGACCTACTGTAGCCAGAAAGGAATTGTCCATTCTGGGAGTCAGAGCCTGAGTTCCTGGTAGCCCCACCACCATGGGCTAAAATGCTATGGGGTTCTAAATAAAGTTGAAAGGCAGTCTACACCACAAGGACTGCAATTTCTGGGCAAGTCTTGGCGCTGTACTGGGCTAGAAGCCAGTGGACTTGGGGTGCATGTGACCTAGTGAGACACAAGTCAGAGTGGCCAAGAAAGTATTTGTGTCACCCATCCCCCAACCCCAGGCAGCACAACTCAGAATTCTGAGAGATTCCTTCTTTCTGCTTGAGAAAAAGAAAGGGGAAAGGAGAGAACATTGTTTTCCAACTTGGATACCAGCTCAGCCACAGTAAAATAGGGCACTAGACAGAGTCCTGAGGCACCCATTCCAGGCCCTAGCTCCCAGATGACATTTCTCGACACACCCTTGGACAGAAGAGAACCCACCACCTTGAAGTTAAGGACCCAGTTTTGGCAGGATCCACCATGTGATGACTAAAGAGCGCTTGGACCTTGAGTAAACATCAATGGTAGCCAGGCAGTATTTGCTGCAGGCATTGGGTGAGATCCAGGGCCACGCTGACTTCAGATGTGACCCAGTACATTCCTAGCTGTGGCAGCCATGAGGAGAGATTCTTTCTGTTTGAGGAAAGGAGAGGGAAGAGTAAAGGGAACTTTATCTTGCAGCTTGGGTAGCAGCTCAGTCACAGTGGTGTAGAACACTAAGCGGCCTCCTGGGGTTCCTGATTCCAAATGTTGCCTCCTGGGCAGAATTTCTGGATCTGCTGGGCTCAGGGAGAGCTTGCAGCCCTGAAGGGAAGAATACAGGCCTGGCTGGATTTGTCACCTGCTAAGTGAAGCGCCCTTGGACTTTGAGTGAATATTGGTGGTAGCCAGGCAATAATCACTGCAGGCCTTGGTGAGACCCAGTGCTATGCTGGATTCAGGTCTGACTGGATGCAGTTCCAGTGGTGGAGGCTACAGAGGTGCTTGTGTCACCCCTTCCTCAGCTCCAGGAAACTCATCATGAAGAGAGAGATTCCATTTGTTTGGGGTAAGGGAAGGAAGCAAGAATCTCTTCCTGGTAATACAGAGAATTCATTCGGATCTTACCCAAGACCACCGAGACAGGACTTCTACGATTCTGAAAGAGTCACACTATTATTGGGATTGGTGTGCCTCATAATGTAGATATGGCTGCAGTACCAAAGACAGATCACAATACTCAATTCCCGTTGAATACTTAGATAGCCTTCACAAGAATGTTGGGTACAAACAAGCCCAGACTGAAATGACCGTAATAAATATCCAACTCTTCAATGCCTGGACATTGACAAGCATCAGGACCATCTGGGAAAACATGACCTCACAAAATGAACTAAATAAGGCACCAGTGATCAACCCCAGAGTGACAGAGAAATGTGATCTTTCAGACAGACAATTCAAAATGGCTGTTTTGAGGAAGATTGACGAAACTTAGGATAACACAGGGAAAGAATTCAGAATCCTGTCAGATAAGTTTATTGAATAGATTGAAATAATTCTTAAAAATCAAGCAGAAGTTCTTGAGGTGAAAGATTCAGTTGAAATATTGAAGAATGTATGAGTCTCTCAACACCAGAACTGATCAAACAGAAGAAAGAATTAGTAAGCTTGAAGGCAGACTATTTGAAAATACACAGTAAATGGAGACAAAAGAAAAAAAAAACAAGGAAGAATGCCTACGAGATCTAGAAAATAGCCTCAAAAGGGCAAATCTAGGAGTTACTGGCCTTTAAGAGGGGATAGAGAGAGAGATCTGGGTAGAAAGTTTATTTAAAGGGATACTAACAGAGAACTTTCCAAATCTAGAGAAAGATATCAATACACAAGAAGGGTATAGAACACCAAGCATATGTAACTCATATAATACTAACTTGGGACATTTAATAATCAAACTCATAAAAGTCAAGGATAAAGAAAAGATCCTAAAAGCATCAAGAAAAAAGACACAAATAACATAAAGAAAACTCCAATACATTTGGCACCAGACTTGCCAGTGGAAACTTTACAGGCCAAGAGAGACTGCCATGACATATTTAAAGTGCTAAAGAAAAAACTTTTACCCTAAAATAGTATATCTAGTGAAAATATCATTCAAATATGGAGAAAAATAAAGACTTTCCCAGACAAACAAAAGCTGAGGTATTTCATCAACACCAGACCTGTCTTACTAAGACATGCTAAAGGGAGTTCTTCAATCTGAAAGAAAATAATGTTAACAAGCAACAATCATCTGAAGGTACAAAAATCACTGGTAACGGTAAGTACACAGACAAACACAGAATATTATAACACTGTAACTGTGATGTATAAACTACTCATCTCTTGACTAGAAAGACTAAAAGATAAACCTATCAGAAATAACAACTACCACTTTCAAGACATTAACAATAAAATAAGATATATATAGAAACAACAAAAAGGTAAAAGGGCTGGGATGAAGTTAAAATAAAGGGTCTTTATTAATCTTCTCTTTGCTTGTTTGCTTGTTTTTGCAAAAAATGTTAAGTTGTCATCAGTTTAAAATAATGAGTTATGCTATTTGCAAGCCTCGTGGCTATCTCAAATCAAAAACAGTTACACAAAAGTAACTTACAACAGTTACACAAAAAGTAAAAAGCAAGAATATATTCCACCAGAGAAAATCATCTCTATAAAAAGGAAGACAGAAAGAAGGAAAGGGAGAAAGAGAAGACCACAAAACAAGCTGTAAACAAATAACAAAATGGCAGAAGTAAGTCCTTACTTATTAATATAACATTGAATGTAAATTGACTAAACTTTCCAGTCAAAAGACATAAGGTGCCTGAATGGATTAAAAAACAAAACAAAAAAAATGAGACCCAATCATATATTGCCTAAAAGAAACACACTTCACGTGTAAAGCCACACATAGACTGAAAATAAAGGGATGGTAAAACATATTCCATGCCAATGGAAACCAAAAATGTTGCTATACTTAAGTCAGACAAAATAGATTTCAAAACAAAGGCTATGAAAAGAACAAAGATAGTCATTGTACAATGACAATGGAGTCAATTCAGTAAGAGGATATAACAGTTGTAAATATATACGAACCCAACACTGGAGCACCCAGATAAATAAAGCAAATATTATTAGAGCTAGAGAGGGAAAAACACCAATACAATAATAGATGGCAACTTCAACACACCACTTTCAGCATTGGACAGATCTTCCAGACAGAAAATCAACAACAAACAGTGGACTCAATCTACACTGCTGAATTAAATAGACCTAATAGATTTTTATAGAACAATTCATCTAATGGCTGCAAATACACATTCTTCTCTTCAGCACATAGATCATTCTCAAGGATAGACCATATGTTAGGCCATGAAACAAGTATTAGAAATTTCAAAAAAATTAAATCATATCAAGTATTTTCTCTGACCACAATAGAATAAAACTAGGAATCAACAACCAGAGGAACATTAGAAACTATCAAAACACATGAAAATCTTACAATTTGCTCCTTAATGACCAGTGGGTAAAAGAAGAAATTAAGATGGAAATTGTAAAATTTCTTGAAAAAAAATGAAAATGAAAACAAAACATATTTCAACCTATGGAATATGGTGAACTCACTACTAAGATAGAGATTGATAGCAATAAGCACCTGCATCAAAAAAAGTAGAAAAACTTCAAATAAACAGCCTAACTCTACAAACTAAAGAACTAGAAAAGCAAGAGCAAACCAAACTCAAAATTAGAAGAAAGGAAATAATAAGGATCAGAGAAGAAATAAAATTGAAACAATAAAACACAAAAGATCAACAAAAATGAAAAGTTGTTTTTTTGAATAAATAAGCAAAATCATCAAGTGGGATTTATCCCAGGATGCAAGGATGGTCCAATATTTTGAAATCAACCAATGTGATATATCATATCAACAGAATGAAAGACAAAAAACGTGATCATTTCAAATGATGCTGAAAAAGCATTGGATAAAATTCAATATCCCTTCGTGATAGAAACTCTCAAACAACTGGGGTTAGAAGAAACATACCTAAATATAATAAAAGCCGTATATGACAGATCTATAGCTAAAGTCATACTGTGGGTATGGGAAAAATACTGAAGGCCTCTCCTCTAAGATCTGGAACAAGACAAGGATGCCCACTGTCACCATTGTTACTGAACATAATACTGCAAGTCCTACCTAGAGCAATCAGATAAGAGAAAGATATAAAGGACAACCAAATCAGAAAAAAAAAATCAAGTTATCCTTGTTTGCAGATATTATAATCTTATATTGGGAAAAACTTAAGGACTCACCAAAAAAACACTATTAGAACTGATAAACTCAGTAAAGTTGCAGAATACATAGTCAACATACAAAAATCAGCAGTATTCTTATATGTCAGTAGCAAACAATCTGAAAAAGAAATCAAGAAATTAATCCCATTTACAATAGCTACAAATAAAATAAAGTACCTTAAAAAGACTTAACCAAACAAATGAAAAATCTCTACAATTAAAATTGTAAAATGTTGATGCAAAAAAACTCAAGAGGTCACAGAAAATGAAAAGATATTCCATGTTCATAGGTTGGAAGAATAAATATTGTTAAAATGTTTATAGTACCCATAGCAATCTACAGATTTAATGCAATCCCTATCAAAATACCAATGACATTCTTCACAGAAGTAGAAAAAGTAAGCCTAAAATGTATATGAAAGCACAAAAGACCTAGAATAGCGAGAGCTATCCTGAGCAAAAAGAATAAAACTGGAGGAATCACATTACCTGACTCCAGGTTATACTACAGAACTATTGTAACCAAAACAGCATAGTGTCGGCATAAAAACAGACACGAAGACCAGTGGAACAGAATAGAGAACCCAGAAATAAATTCGTACTGCTACAGTGAACTCATTTTCAACAAAGGTGCCAAGAACCCACATTGGGGAAAGGTCAGTCTTTTATTTTGTCTTTTATTTAATAATTGATGCTGGGAAAACTGGATATCCATATACAGAAGAATGAAACTACATCCCTATCTCTTGCCATATACAAAAATCAAATAAAGATTGATTAAAAACGTAAATCTAAGATCTGAAACTATGAAGCTACTAAAAGAAAACACTGGGGAAACTCCAAGACATTGGCCTGGGCAAAATTTCTTGAGTAATACCCCATAAGTACAGACAACTGAAACAAAAATGGGCAAATGAAATCACATCAAGTTAAAAAGCTTCTGCACAGTAAAGGAAACAATCAACAAAGTGAAGAGACAACCCACAGAATAGAAGAAAATATACGCAAACCACCCATTGATAAAGGATTAATAACCAGAATATATAAGGAGCTCAAACAACTCTACAGGAGAAAATCTGATAACCCAGTTTAAAAATGGGCAAAATATCTAAGTAGATGTTTCTCAAAAGAAGACGGTCAGGCACCTGTAATCCTAGCACTTTGCAGGCCGAGGCAAGTGGATCACTTGAGGCCAGGAGTTCGAGACCAGCCTGGCCAACATGGCAAAACCCCATCTCTACTAAACAAAAAATTAGCCCTGTGTCATGACTGTGCCTGTAATCCCTGCTACTCAGGAGGCTGAGGCACCAGAGTGGCTTGAACCTGGGAGGCAGAAGTTTCAGTGAGCTGAGATCATGCCACTGCACTCCAGCCTGGGCAACATAGCAAGACTCAGTCAAAAACAAAACAAAATAAAAAACAAAAAAACCCATAGAGTGGCAAATAGTTATATAAAATGGTGTTCAACATCATTGATTATCACAGAAATGCAAATCAAAAATACAATAAGATATCATCTCACCCCAGTTAAAATAACTTTTATCCAAAAGACAGGCAATAACAAATACTAGTCAGGGTGGAGAGAAAAGGGAATCTTCATATGCTCTTGCAGGAATGTAAATTAGTACAGTGACTATGGAGAACTGTTTGGAAGTGCCTCAAAAAACTAAAAAATGGAACAGCCATATGATCCAGCAATCCAACTTCTAGATATATACCCCAAAGAAGGGAAATCAGTATATCTAAGACATATCTGCACTCCCATATTTATCTCAGCACTACGTGCAAACTCCACAATTTGGAAGCCACCTAAGTGTTCATCTGTTAATGGTAACAGATGAATAGATAAAGAAAATGTGGTACATATACACAGTGGAATACTAGTCAGCCGTGAAAGAAAATGAGATTCTGTCACTTGCAACAACATAGATGGAACTGCAGGACATTATGTTAAATGAGATAAGCCAGACACAGATAGTCAAATTTGGCATATTCTCACACATTTGTAGAAGCTAGAAATTAAGACCATTGAACTCACAAAAATAGAGAGTAGAATGATCATTACCAGAGGCTGGGAAGGTACTGGGGGAGAGGGAAGGGGTGATGGTTAATGGGTAGAAAAATATTGTTAGCTAGAATGAATAAGATCTAGTATTTGATAGCACAACAGGGTCATTATGGTCAATAATAATTTATTGTATATTTAAAAATAACTAAAAGAGTATAATTGGAACATTTGTAACAAAATAAATGATAAATACATGAGGTGATGGATAATCATTTACCCTGATGTAATTATTAGGCATTATATGCCTGTATCAAAATATCTCATGCACCCCAAAAATATATATACCTACTATGTACCCATGAAAATAAAAAATATGGTGCCGTTTCACTGAAGGGTTTATTTGTCTCAGTTTGGACTGCAGTCAAATCCTTTACAAATTATTCTAAGCAGTTAAGTTAGGATACAGAAGACAACAAGTACAATGGCAGTTACCAGAGGCTAGGGAGCGAGGAGACTGGAGATATGTTGGTCAAGGGACATGAAATTTCAGTTAGACAAGAAAAATACATTCAAGAGATACACTGTATATCATAGTAACTATAATAATTATTCTCATCCTTGTTCTTACACCTTTTGCAATACATTACACACTTGAAAATTGCTAATAGACTTTTTTTTTATTATACTTTAAGTTTTAGGGTACATGTGCACATTGTGCAGGTTAGTTACATATGTATACATGTGCCATGCTGGTGCGCTGCACCCACTAACTCGTCATCTAGCCTTAGGTATATCTCCCAATGCTATCCCTCCCCGCTCCCCTCCACAAAAAATAAGTATGTGAGATAATGGATATATTAATTAGCTTATTCAGTCATTCCACAATCTATACATATATCAAAACATTGCATATCATAAATATATATAATTTATATTTGTCAATTAAAACATAAATAATAAAATCATAAAAATGAAGGCAATAATGCTATTTTAATTTGGGTTCCTCCAGATACTAAGGCAGCACATAAAGGGGATGTTTTCATGCCAGCTACCAACATGAGTAACTGCAGTTTAATCCAGCTGGGGAAATTATGACAGTAAGAGTGGCATGCACCTCAGAATTATCCCACTTAAGGGGTAAAGAAGTTGGGGTGCTTTTACACCAGCTTCTCATAGGTCATTCATTGAGGGCTGTTCCTAAGGGACACTAATTGTCCACAAACTGGAATCCAGCCACAAGATAAAGTCTTCATGCAAAACATAAATATGTTGGTAGTTAAATATGCTGACAATTGGAAGTCAGGCCAATGAATTTTGAAGTGGTAACAGTGAAAAGATGGACATGATAGCATCACTACAAGTAAAGGGTGGTTGCTGTATACTGTTCCTTTCAAAGTGTAGTATGTTCTCACACCCTATGGATATTTGGATTACCCAAACTCTCATGGACGTTTCTACTGACCCTGCCTACTGTATCCACTATCTATAAGTATCCATGGCTTATAGATAGTGCTGAGTCAGCTTATGTGAGATTCTGTTATTTCCATTCAGGGGGACTCAGATCCTCATCCATCTCCAATACACTGTTACCAACTAGAAGGGAGATCTACATGGGATTCTGTAGCATGGGATTCTGAGCTCATGGAATAGCACGTAAAAATTGTGGCCAATCATAATGCATTTAAATATATCTATATATATTCATTTTTATTTTTGTTATACAAGTAGAAATGGTTTATTTGGTAGAAGATACAGTTTCTGAACTAAGTCATAGTCACATAATGACCTACAATTTGAAATGAAGAAAAGTAGACCAAGTATGTTTCTAAGCTTCCCTTGAATAAAAACCTAATAATGTATAATCTCCAAAGTGGAGAGAAAATAAATGCTGCAATTAAAGGACCTTGTGGTGAAAAGTGTGAGAAGAGATAGAGGACATTTCTGAGGTTACATAAATCTTTCTAAAGAGATAAAAGTAGAACCCTGTTGCACTGCACTTTACCCATTTATAGCCTAAATAATGGCATGAAAATACTCCAAACATTTTTAAAGTATTAAAATTTTGTTTGGAGAAAATGACAAAAAAATACAGTAGGCTTGTTTTTAATTTTACTGCTCCTTGTTCTCTATAAGCAAAAATAATTTTATTTCAGAAAACCCTCAGCTGAACTAACTTTCTAGGAACTGCATGATTCTACATTCTTCAAGAATGCTCATGTTTCCAAGGGCTATTTCTCAAACAATTTAAAATAAGTATTTAAAGAACACCTTTCTTGATATTGATTATCCTTACTCATTATTGTTGGCACATCTCATATCATAAAGTTTCAATGAAGCCTGAAAATGTAGATAATATTATTTATTTTTTAAAGACAGAAATTGTACTTGATGATGTTATATTTACATTTCCAGATTTTATGGACACCTTGTAAAGTTTCCAGCATCATCTCAGCAAAATGAAATGTAATAATGTCATGGTGGCAGATAACTATCACCATTGCTGAGCTTTCAATGATCAACTCTTTCAATTTTTATCGTAAAGATAATATAAAATTATAAAATATAATAATAGCAATTTTTAAATTCAGACAATATAACTAAAGGAAATGTCACCTGCCTCTTTCCCTAATCCCAAACTGCTCATCTTCAGTAGCCACTGTTAATGATTTAGCCTATGTTCTTCTAGATTTTTTTATATGCTTTTATAAACATATGTATATCCACTTGGAAATACATAATTTCATGTTTAATTCTTTCAGCAATACTATAACTCTGTACATATTTTTCCTCTAAATGATTTTTTTACTTAACATAAAATGGAGCTGTTTTTATTTGCATAATGTAGATTAAATTTATAGTACAAATTTACCATTACTTATATAACTTATTCTTTATTTAAGAAATATTTCAAACATATGATATATGTGACACACACCAGATGTAATAAATGAAAACATTTCTCCATGATAATGGTTTGCTGTATTTATTTCTTTCTAAAGCAAATAAAATCTTAAAGATACAGTTGAAGCCTTTCTTCTTATTCCATTTCCTCTTCTTTGTTTTGCTACTTCTTCTCCCTAGTTTGATTTGTTTCTTTCTTGTCCTTGTTATTATATCTTTTGCAATATAGAAATACGTAAATAAATAATATATAGTATGCTTCTGTGTGTTTTAAAATTTAATGTCTACTTTAAATATATTTTTTAAATTTATTTTTTACATTAATTCTTGAGTTATCCATGCTGATACATGTAGATGCAGTTTATTTGTTACAGCTGATGTTTAGCATCCCATCATAAGTAAATGCCATAATTTCTAAAATTTGCTGATCCATTTAGCTGCTGAACACTATTTGCAATTAAAAATAATGCTGTGATGAGCTGCCTTGCACATGCCATCAGGAATACATGTGGGAATATTTTCCTGGAAAAATAAGAAACTTCTGGATCATAAACTCCACAGCTTTACTAAACATTACTAATTTTTTTCTAAAGGGATTATGTCAATTTATAGTTTCAACAGCAGAGAATGAGAGTTCTGATTTTGGCATGATCAACATACTGGATTTTTGCCAATCAGATATGTGTCAAATGGTGTCTCATTCTTGTTTTAATTTGCATTCCTCTTATATTTTGGGAGAGTGTAAAAGATTATATAATTACTCCTAATCACTTCCTGCCCAAACTAAGAGGACTGCACCTCCCCCTCTGTACTCATTGATTAACATTAGGCTTGATTCTGTGTCTTGCCAATGTAATGAGGACAGAAATTGTATATGGCATTTTTCTTTCTTTCTTTCCTCTTTCTTTCTTTCTTTCTTTCTTTCTTTCTTTCTTTCTTTCTTTCTTTCTTTCTTTCCTTCTTTCTTTCTCTTTCTTTCTTTCCTTTCTTTCTTTCTCTCTCTCTTTTTCTTTCTTCCCTTTCTTTCTTTTTCTTTCTTTCTCTTTTCTTTTTTTTTTTTTTTGACGTTTTGAGACGAAGTCTCGCTCAGTCAGTCACACAGGTTGGAGTGCAGTGTTACAATCTTGGCTCACTGCAACCTCTGCCCCCCTGGGCTCAAGCAATTCTCCTGCCTCAGCCTCCTAAGTAGCTGGGACTACAGGTGCCTGCCACCATGCCCAGCTAATTTTTGTATTTTTAGTAGAGATGGGGTTTCACCTTATTGACCAGGTTGGTCTTGAACTCCTGATGTCAAGTGACCTCAGCCTCCCAATGTGCTGGGAATACAGGCGTGAGCCACCGTGCCCGGCTTATATATGGCATTCCTAAGTAGAAGTATCAAGAGCCATCACATTATTCTAATTTTTCTATTTTTCTTTTGCCTCAGAAAAACACATTTCAGAAAAGAACTGATCCTTAAATCTGTATGTACAGAATTAAAAAGAGCCACAGGACTAAACCCCACAGCTAGCATATAATGTGAACGAGAAATAAAATTTGGTTGTTGTAAGCCACCACGGAGATTTCGGGTCATTTCTTATGACAACATAACTTAGTTAATGCAAGACTTATTACAGAAATTGGTTATAAAAGTATGGTGTTGCTATAACAATTTTTTTAAGGTGTGATATGGTCTTCTAGGCCAGGCAAGACAATAATTATTAGAGCTGGAAAAATGGCAACCCATATTATACAGTGTTGAAACATTTGGTAAATTGGTAATGTGGCAAATCAGCTTGTAGTTACAGGTGAAAAGAGTGGGAAACATAATGTTACTAATGTGTCTTGAATGCTACTGGCTGTATTTGACAGTATTTGACAAACTTGTAAGAAGTCATGAGGTCACAAAAATAAAATGGCTATTTTTTCAAAGGAAAACAAAAATGAATGATCCTCAAGATTCATGATTTGTAGGGTTGAAAGAACCAACTGCTTTTTGTCTCTTTTCACTGAGAAATGTTTTGAGTAGCAAAGGTTGACAAACTAATTCAAGGGCTGAGCTACCACAGACTTTATTAAAAACTTTGAATCGATACGTTTGGCACCCAGTAAATCCTTTTCATTGGACAAAGTGTTCAGCGAAAAGATATTAAAGGCATGGCTTTCCCAAGAAGCTTGATAAGATCAAGGTACTGGCAGTTAAGTTGAGAGAGGGGCATATCTCAACAAGATCAAGAGTTTGGATACTGGTACATGGAATAGATTAGTTTTAACAAATGAAAAAACTACTATGTTTTTGAGAGTTATGAGCTGTACTTCTGAGAATAGTACCAGTAAAGCTACCAGCCTGCATTAGATTAGTCAGCAACTTAAAAAAATCTTGGGGCCCCAAATTCTATAGCTAGGAAGCAGGCTGAGAGGGCTGCTTAGTTCTTGAGGATGACATTTTTTTTTATTATACTTTAAGTTTTAGGGTACATGTGCACAACGTGCAGGTTAGTTATATACGTAAACATGTGCCATGCTGGTGTGCTGCACCCAGTAACGCGTCATTTAACATTAGGTATATCTCCAAATGCTATCCCTCCCCCCTCCCCCGACCCCACAACAGTCCCCGGTGTGTGATGTTCCCCTTCTTGTGTCCATGTGTTCTCATTGTTCAATTCCCACCTATGAGTGAGAACATGCAGTGTTTGGTTTTTTGTCCTTGTGATAGTTTGCTCAGAATGATGGTTTCCAGCTTCATCCATGTCCCTACAAAGGACATGAATTCATCCTTTTTATGGCTGCATGGTATTCCATGGTGTATATGTGCCACATTTTCTTAATCCAGTCTATCATTGTTGGACATTTGGCTTGGTTCCAAGTCTTTGCTATTGTGAAAATTGCCGCAATAAACATACGTGTGCATGTGTCTTTATAGCGGCATGATTTATAATCCTTTGGGTATATACCCAGTAATGGGATGGCTGGGTCAAATGGTATTTCTAGTTCTAGATCCCTGAGGAATCGCCACACTGACTTCCACAATGGTTGAGCTAGTTTACATTCCCACCAACAGTGTAAAAGTGTTCCTGTTTCTCCACATCCTCTCCAGTACCTGTTGTTTCCTGACTTTTTGATCATCACCATTCTAATTGTGAGATGGTATCTCATTGTGGTTTTGATTTGCATTTCTCTGATGGCCAGTGATGATGAGCATTTTTTCATGCATCTGTTGGCTGCATAAATGTCTTCTTTTGAGAAGTGTCTGTTCATATCCTTCACCCACTTTTTGATGGGGTTGTCTGTTTTTTTCTTGTAAATTTGTTGGAGTTCATTATAGATTCTGGATATTAGCCCTTTGTCAGACGAGTACATTGCAAAAATTTTCTCCCATTCTGTAGGTTGCCTGTTCACTCTGATGGTAGTTTCTTTTGCTGTGCAGAAGCTCTTTAGTTTAATTAGATCCCGTTTGTCAATTTTGGCTTCTGTTGCCATTGCTGTTGGTGTTTTAGACATGAAGTCCTTGCCCATGCCTATGTCCTGAATGGTATTGCCTAGGTTTTCTTCTAGGGTTTTTATGGCTTTAGGTCTAACATTGAAGTCTTTAATCCATCTTAAATTAATTTTTGTATAAGGTGTAAGGAAGGGATCCAGTTTCAGCTTTCTACCTATGGCTAGCCAGTTTTCCCAGCACCATTTATTAAATAGGGAATCCTTTCCCCATTGCTTGTTTTTGTCAGGTTTGTCAAAGATCAGATGGTTGTAGATATGTGGCATTATTTCTGAGGATTCTGTTCTGTTCCATTGGTCTATATCTCTGTTTTGGTAACAGTACCATACTATTTTGGTTACTGTAGCCTTGAAGTATAGTTTGAAGTCAGGTAGCGTGATGCCTCCAGCTTTGTTCTTTTGGCTTAGGATTGACTTGGCAATGTGGACTCTTTTTTGGTTCCATATGAACTTTAAAGTAGTTTTTTCCAGTTCTGTGAAGAAAGTCATTGGTAGCTTGATGGGGATGGCATTGAATCTATAACTTACTTTGGGCAGTATGGCCATGTTCACGATATTGATTCTTCCTACCCATGAGCATGGAATGTTCTTCCATTTGTTTGTATCCTCTTTTATTTCATTGAGCAGTAGTTTGTAGTTCTCCTTGAAGAGGTCCTTCATGTCCCTTGTAAGTTGGATTGCCAGGTATTTCATTCTCTGTGAAGCAATTGTGAATGGGAGTTCACTGATGATTTGCCTCTCTATTTGTCTGTTATTGGTGTATAAGAATGCTTGTGATTTTTGCACACTGATTTTGTAGAGGATGGCATATTTTAAATTTGACTTTCATATATGGCTAGGGAGCATCTAGGGAAAGGAAGAATCCCTTAGAAGATGAAACCATGAACCATGAAAACTGTTGATTGGAAAGTTGCTTCCAGGATGCAGAATGTAAGACTCAAGGAAAATCTTTTACTTCTAACCTTGTATTAGTTGTCATTGCTTTAAAATAGAACTTGATAACCTCTCATAAGAATAATTCTCTTATTCTCAAGAAATTGTTTTAAAGCTATTAGAGTGGTTTTAAAAATACATGGCAAAGGTACAACTCCAAAATTAATGTTATACAAACATTTCAGGTATATGATTTTATAATTCTATCTATAAAACTATGTAAATCCAATCGAACTTTCAATGATGATTTTAAAATGTTCAGTGAAACAATGAAGCCATTATTATTTTGGAAGATCAGCTAATGAAATTTAAAGTGTAACACAGAACTAAGGAAGTGAGCAAATCTTGTTGCTGAACTGCTGTAAAAGGCATATCAGCTTCTGCAGAATCCACTGATTGCCTTAGACATCGATTGGTTAATTTAATGAAAAAGGAAGGTCTGGAGTCTGAATAAATTTACAATGCTGACATGACAAGATCTTACCTGAAGTTACGGCCAGGAAAACACGAACATCTATGAGTGTGCACACCCACACACCACACACACAAAATTAAGACTGCCAATAATGACTAACATCTTTAATATTATAAAGTGAGGCCATTATGTTTAATTTAATTAAAGAAAACATGAGATATTGACAAAGAAAAATCTACCTAGAATAAACTATTTCTTTTTACATAAATTAGTTTAGAATGTGAATAACTTTTATGAGATGTTCCTTTACTTTCAAAATGTATAGCTGAGAGTTAAAGTTATGACACTAAGTCATAAAATATAGTTGTGCCAGAAAATGTAGATGTACAATAGCATAATTTAATGAAATCTCATTTTTGTCCAATCTATCACATTATCTAATATTGTGGAATTTATAGTTGTACCTCATCATTTTAATTTGTATTTATTTCACATCTAGTGATAATTAACATTTTTTCAGGGTTATGGAATTGTACTTAATTTTTACTTTAGACCTGAGTCAGGGAGAGTGATGATATTTGGGAAAGTACATTGACTCTACTCGATTGTACCTTCTCATCACAAAATGGGCATAAAATATTCACTACTTAGGGCACATGAAAATTAGAGATATATATTTGAAAGCCCTTATGAATTACAATTGCACAGTGTTATTAAATAAAATTAAGCTAAACAATTAAAAGAGATGTACACCATTTAAAAATAAAAAGCATTTTCAAATAATCTTGAAAACAAAGTAGAACCCAAGAGAAGAAAAAAAAAGTAGATTTAAAATCTCTGTTTTCTTCTTCCATAAAAAACAAAGAAGAAATTGGCCAGGTTTAAACATTTTTATTACAAATTTTTGTCTTTATCTATTCTTGGTTTTAGAGTTCCAGGCAACCACCTACTTTTCAGTAAAACATAGGCTGTGGCCTTATGTTTACCACTCACATAATTCCAGTTTTCTTATTTAAAACATACTGAACTAGTTCTACACTACTTTCTCTTATGAAACTATGTGTGAAGACTTTTTTAAAATATCAATGAAGAAAACATCATCTGTCTTAAAGGTATTCAATTTCTTTGAAGAGGCTTCCTGGAGTCACTTTAGTCTGCACAAACTCATCAGGACTGATTGAAACTAGACTGATTTCTTGATATTTTCCCACAAGAGTAGGATGCAGTTCTGTCACCTTCATTAATCCTCCTTAAAGACAAAATACTGATTGTGTTCCAGTTGAAAAACTATGATATGTTAACAATAAAAAATTTATAGTTTCTGAAGAGTCAATTGCAAGGAACCAATCTGTAAAGACTGTCATTGTAAAACTAAAAATTCCGTGCATTTCTTAAATTTTTCAATACTGTTGCCCTTTAAATAAGCAAGTGTATTAGTATAATAATATATTATGAAACAAACATATTTATTATAATATGATAATTATATATAATATTATAATAATAAATTTGTGGATAAAAGTCAACATTCTGATGGAATGTCAGCAGGAAGCAATTATTTTTCTCAGAAATTTTTAAAATTATTGTTTTCTGAGAACAAACTAGAAATGATAGTTAATATCATTTTAGTTATAGGAAATAGAAGCCAAACTGACAGAATGAGAAAAATAAATGTAGTGCATACTTTTTTGAAAAACCAATGGGACATAATAAAAAGCTTCTGGAAGGGCAAGCACCAAGTTTGTTCATCTTTTCTCTGGGGTATGGCCACCAGAATGATTCATCTGCAACAACCTTTGGCAGTTATACTTCTCCATTCCAAGTTTAAATTAAAGAAGATGGGATCTAATTGGCTCAGCTGTGCCAAGTGTCGGCTCCCAGATGAATCATAATGTTTGGAGGTCAAGGTCAAAAAAGCACAGTGACAGTCCCTGGAGTACCCACTGTGCAGTGGAGCCATCGAAAAGAAGGTGACACACAAGAGAAAAAGCTTCATCTTGCCTTAAATAGAATTGATATCCATGCTATAAATCTAGTTTTCCCATTTGCTTTTTTAAAAAAGGTCATCAACCATTGTGTGGCTACTGCTGAACTCAGTGCGAAAATCAACTGGCCAAATCCTCTAATAATTATAAATAAGCTATTTTAGATAACTTCAAATTTATTAAATTTAAATTTTCCTGGTTAAAAGTTTTATACATATATATACACACACACACATATATACACACACACACATATATATATACACTTCTGCTATTTGATATCCTTAAGAACTAACACATCAAAGCAAAACAAGAATTATTGTGCACCGTTCATGCATGACTTACTTTGCATGCTAGGGAACGTCAACAAACAAGGAAAGGGAGGAGGGCAGAGAAAGATGTGAAATAGAAAATTCCAGTGATCATTCCCCTCAATGAGAACACCAAGATAACAACTATCTACAGAGAAAAAACACCTTCATAAGAACCAAAAATCAGGTGACCACTCATAGTGCCTGGTTTTAAATTCATATTGCTGAAAGAGGCACTGAAGAGATGAAAAAACCCTTCTGAATGGCCAAAGCCACCCTTCTCCACCCTGTGCAGCAGCAATATGGTTGGGAGAGCATATCTGGACACTGGGGGAGAAAGGACATAGCAATTCTGAGACAATGTACTCAGTGCTATCTTGTTAGGGCAGAAGGGAAAACCAGACCAAACGCACCTGGTGCCCACCCACAAAAAGATCATTTAAACCAACACCAGCCAGAGGGAAATCGAAGATCCCAGTGGTCTAAACTTGAGTACCTGCAAACCTCATCACAGAGGGCTACATCACTCTGTGTCTCCAAGTAAACTTGAAAGGTAGTCTAAGCCATACGGACTACAACTCTTAGGTGAGTCCTAGTGCTGAAATAGGTCCAGAGACAGTTGCCTGGTGGGGTTGGGGGGCGGGGCTCCTAATATACTGAGACGCTAGCTAGGACAGCCAAGGGAGGGCTGGCATCAAGCCTCCCCTAACCCCAGGCTGCACAAATCACAGTTCCAAAAGAGACCCCTTCCTTCTGCTTAAGGAGAGGAGAGGGAAGTGTAAAGAGGACTTTATCTTGTATCTAGGATTCCAGCTCAGCCATAGCAGGATAGGGCATCAGTCAGAGTTGTGAGTCTCCCATTCCAGGCCCTAGCTCCCAGATGACATTTCTAGACACACTCTAGGTCAGAGGGAAACCTGCTACCTTGAAGGAAAAGACCCAGTCTTGGCAGCATTCATCACCTGCTAACTGAAGAGCTCTTGGACCCTGAATAACCAGCAGTGATCCTCTGAAACCTGGTGGTTTCAGGTGAGACTGAGCACATAACAAGTGGTGGTGGCTACAGGGCAAACTCCATCTGCCTTGGAAAGCAGAAAGAAAAGTAAAGGGGTCTTTGCCTTGTACCTTAGGTACCAGCATGACCATGGCAGGGTATAGCACCAAGTGATTTCCTGGGGCTCCATATTCCAGGACTTGATAATTGGATGGTATTTCTGGACATGCCCTGGGCCAGAGGAGTGCCCAATGCCCTGAAGGACGAGTACCAGGTCAGGAGGAATTCATGACAAGCAAGAGACCTTGGCCTTAAGGGAACATTGGTGGTAGTCTGGTGGTACTCCTTGTGGCCTGAACTGCTGGTGGCTACAAACGAACGCTCCTCTGCCTTTGAAAAGGGGAGGGAAGAGTGGGAAGAGCTGCATTTCGTGATTTAAGTGCCAGCTTAGATGCACTTATAGAACACCAAGTAGACTTCTTAGGTTTTTGGCTCTTGTCCCTGATTCCAAGACAGTACATCTGGACCAACCCAGAATTTGGGGGACCTTGCCAACCTTAAGGCAAGGAAACAGACCTGGCTGACTTTGCCACCTGCTGATTATAAAGCTCCAGGGTCTTGAGTGAACACATGCAGTAGCCAAGGAGTGGTTACAGCACGCCTTGTGTGAGACCTAGTGCTGTGCTGGCTTCAAGTCTGACCCAGTGCAGTTACAATGGTGGTGGCCATAGAAGCAATTGTAACACCCCACCTCCAGCTTTAAGTGGTTCAGGAGAGAGAGAGAGAGAGAGAGAGAGAGAGAGAGAGAGAGAGAGACTCTGTAGGTTTGGCAGAAAGTAAAAAAGAATAAGAGTCTCTGCCTGGCAATCCAGAGAATTCTCCTGGACCTTGTCCAAGATCATCAAGGCAGTACCTCTAAAAGTCTGTAAGAACCACAGCATTACTGGGCCTGAGGTCCCCACTAAAGCAGGTACTAGTTAGATCACAACACCCAAGTCTTTTCAAATATCTGGAAAGCCTTCCCAAAAAGACTGACTACAAATAAGCCCAAACAGTGAAGACCACAATAAATACCTAACCATTCAGTGTCCAGACACCAAAGAACAGCTACTAGCATTAGCATCAACCAGGAAACCATGACCTCATCAAATGAATTAAATAAGGCACCTGAGAGAAATAGAGATATATGACTTTTCAGACAGAGAATTCAAAATAGCTGTGTTGAGGAAACTCAAAAAAATACCACATAACACAGAGAAGGAATTCAGAATTCTATCAGAAAAATTTAATAAAGAGGTTGAAATAATTAAAAAATCAAGCAGAAATTCTGGAGCTGAAAAATGTAATTGGTATACTGAAGAATGTGTTTGAGTCCTTTAATAGCAGAATGGATCAAGCAGATGAAAGAATTAGTGAGCTTGGAGACAGGTTATTTGAAAATACACAGTTAGAGAAGACAAAAAAGAAAAAGAAAAGAATAACAAACCATGAAGACCATCTACAGAATCTAGAAAATAGCCTCTAGATTCTACAGTATCTAGAAAAGAGCAATTCAAAGAGTTATTGGCCTTAAAGAGAAGGTAAAAAAGAGATAGGGGTAGAAAGTTTATTCAAAGGAATAATAACAGAGAACTTTCAAACTTTAGAGAAAGATATCAATATCCAAATACAAGAAGGTCATAGAAGACAAAGCAGATTTAACCCAAAGACTACCTCAAGGCATTTAATGATCAAACTCTCAAAGATCAAAGATAAAGAAAGTTTCCTAAAAGCAGCAAGAGAAAAGAAACGAATAACATACAATGGAGCTCCAATATGTCTGGCAGCAGACTTCTTTGTGGAAAGCATAGAGGACAGGAGGGAGTGGCATGACATATGAAGAGTGCTGAAGGAAAAAACTTTAATCATAGAATAGTATATCTGGTGAAAATATCCTTCAAACATAAAGGAGAAATAAAGACCTTGACAAACAAAAGCTGACGGATTTAATCAACATTAGACCTGTCCTACAAGAAATGCTAAAGGGAGCACTGCAATCAGAAAGAAAAGGACATCAATGAGCAATGAATAGTCACCTGAAGGTACAAAACTCACTGGTAATATTAAGTACACAGAAAAACAAAGAATGTTATAACACTGCAATGGTGGTGTGTAAACTACTCTTATCTATGCAGAAAGACTAAATGATAAACTAATCAAAAACAATAACTATTACAACTTTTCAGGACATAGTGAATACCGTAAGATATAAATAGAAACAACAAAAAATTAAAAAGCAGTGTGATAAAAGTTAAGGCATAGAATTTTTATTAGTTTTCTTTGTGTTTGTTTGTTTATGCAAATAGTGTTAAATTGTTATAAGGTTACAATAGTGGGTTATGAGATAGTATTTGCAAGCCTAATGGTAACTTCATACACAAAAACATAAAAACAAAAAGCAGGAAACTAAGTCATATCACCAGAAAAATCATCTTCACTTGTGGAAGACAGGAAGGAAAGAAACAAAGAAGAGAAGATGACAAAACAATCAGAAAACCAAGTCACAAAATGGCAGGAGTAAGTCCTTACTTATCAATAATAACATTGAATGTAAATGGACCAAACTCTCCAAACAAAAGATGCAGACTGGCTAAATGGATGAAAAAACAAGACCCACTGATCTGTTGTCTACAAGAAACACACTTCACTTTTAAAGGCACACATAGACTGATAATAAAGAGATGGTAAGAGATATTCCATGCCAATGTAAACCAAAAAGGAGCAACAGTAGCTATACTTATCTCAGAAAAAAATAGATTTCAAGTCAAAAACTATAAGAAGAGACAGAGTCCCTATATGATGATAAAGGGGTCGATTAAGCAAAAAGATATCATAATTGTAAATATATATGAACCAAACACTGGAGCACACAGATATATAAAGGGGTTGAATCAGCAAAAAGATATCATAATTGTAAACATATATGAACCAAACACTGGAGCATGCATATATATAAAGGAAACATTATTAGAGCTAAAGACAGAGATAGGCCCCAATATAATAATAACTGTAGACTTCAACACTTCACTTTCAGCACTGGACAGATCTTCTGGACAGAAAATCAACAAGGAAACATCAGACTTAATCTGCCCTATAGATCAAATGCACATAATAGATATTTACAGAACATGTCATCCAAGAGCTTCAGAATACAGATTCTTTTCCTCAGCAGATGGATCATTCTCAAGGATAGGCCATATGTTAGGTCACAAAACAAGTCTTTAAACCTTCAAAAAACTGAAATCATATCAAGCATCTTCTCTGACCACAATGTAATATAACTAAAAATTAATAGCAAGAGGAATTTTGGAAACTACACAAATACATGAAAATTAAACTATATGCTCCAGAATGAACAGTGGGTCAATGAAGAAATTAATAAGAAAACTGAAAAATTCTTTTATCAAATGATAATGGAAACATAAAATACCTATGGGATAAAGCAAAAGCAGTACTCAGAGGAAAATTTATAGCTACAAGTGCCTACATCAAAAGAGAGGGAAAACTCCAAATAAACAATCTGATGATGCATCTTGAAGAACTAGAAAAGCAAGAGCAAACCAAACCCAAACTAGTAGAAGAAACAATAAAGATCACAGCTGAAATAAATGAAATTGAAATGAAAAAAAAATACAAAAGATCAATGAAACAGAAAGCTCATTTTTTGAAAAGTTAAACAAAATTGACAAACCTTTGGCCACACTAAGAAAGAAAGAGAAGATCCAAATAAATGAAATCAGAAATGAAAGAGGAGACATTACAACTAATACTGCAAAAATTCAAACGATAATTAGTGGCTACTATGAGCAACTATATGCCAATAAATTGAAAAACCTGGAAGAAATGAACAAATTCCTAGATACACGCAACCTACCAAGATCGAACCAGGAAGAAATACAAAACCTCAATAAACCAATAAAAAGTAACAAAAATCAAAGCTATTAAATAAGCCTCCCAGTAAAGAAAAGCCTGGGACCCAACGAGTCCACTGCTGAACCCTACCAGTCTTAAGGAAACTAATATCAATCCTACTCAAACTCTTCTGAAGAGCAGAGAAGGAGGGAATAATTCCAAACTCATTCTATGAGCCCAGTATTATCCCACTACCAAAACCAGACTAAGACACATCAAGAAATGAAAACTACAGGCCAATATCTCTGACAAATATTGATGAAAAAATCCTCAACTAAACACTAGCAAACTGAATTCAACAATATATTAGAAAGATCATTCATCATGACCAAGTGGGATTATCCCTGCAATGCAAAGGTGGTTCAATATATGCAAATAAATCAACATGACACATCATATCAGCAGAATGAAAAATAAAAATCATAATCATTTCAATTGATTCTGAAAAAAATTGATAAAATTCAACATGACTTCATGATAAAAATCCTCAAAAAACTGAGTATTGAAAGAACACACCTCTTCATAATAAAAGCCATATATGACAGACCAAAGCTAGTATCATACTGAATGGGCAGAAAGTGAAATCCTCTCCTCTAAGATCTTGAACATGGCAAGGATGCCTACTGTCACCCCTATTATTCAGCATAGTACTGGAAGGCCTATCTAGAGCAATCAGAAAAGAGAAGGTTATAAAGGGCATCTAAAGTGAAAATAAAGAAATTAAATTGTCCTTGTTTGCTGATGATATGATCTTGTATTTGGAAAAACCTAATATAAAAACTGTTAGAAAAGAAACACAAGAAAACTATTAGAAGTGATAAATTCAGTAAAGTTGCAGGATACAAATTCAACAGACAAAAATCAATAGCATTCTTATCTGCCAACAGTGAATAATGTGAAAAAGAAATTTTTGAAAAGTAATTACATTTACAATAGCCACACAAAAAATTAAATACATAGGCATTAACCAAAGAAATGAAGGAGATCTATAATGAAAACTATAAAACACTGATGAAGGAAAATGAAGATTACAACAAAAAATGGAAAAATATTCCATGTTCATGGGTTAGAAGAATCAATATTGTTAAAATGTCCATACTACACAAAACAATCCACAGATCTAACACAATTCCTATCAAACTACCAATGACCTTCAGATATAGAAAAAGTAAGCCTAAAATTTCTGTGGAATCTCAAAAGACCCAGAAAATCTAAAACTATCCTAAGCATAAAGAACAAATCTGGAGGAATCACATTACCTGACTTCAAGTTATGCTACAGAGCTATAGTAACCAAAACAGCATGGTACTGGCATGAAAATGGAAACATAGACCAATGGAAAATAATAGAGAACCCAGAAACAAATCCACACACCTACAGTTAACTCATTTTTGACAAAGATGCTAAGAACATACACTGGGGAAAAGACAGTCCTTCAACAAATGGTGCTGGGAATACTGAATATCCACATGCAAAATAATGAAACTAGACCCCTATTTCTCACCATATGCCAAAGTTAAAACAAAGCAAATTAAATACTTACATCTAAGACCTCAAACTATGAAACCACTACAAGAAAACTTTGGGGTAAACTCTCCAGGATATTGGTCTGGGCAAAAATATCTTGAGCAATACCCCACACGTACAGGCAACCAAAGCAAAAATGGACAAATGAAATCACATCAAGTTGAAAAGGCTCTTCACGGCAAAGATACAATCAACAAAGTGAATAGACAACCCACTGAATGGGAGAAAATATTTGCAAACTACCTATCTGACAAGGAATTGATACCCAGAATATATAAAGAGCTTAAACAACTCTATGGGAAAAAAACTATAATAATCTGATCAACACATGGGCAAAATATTTGAATAGACATTTCTTAGAGGACATACACATGGCAAACAGGTATAGACACTGGTGCTCAATACCACTGATCATTACAGAAATGCAAATAAAAACTACTATGAGATATCATCTCACCTCAGTTAAAATGGCTTATATCTAAAAGACAAGCAATAACAAATGTTGGCAAGGATGTGGAGAAAAGGGAACCCTTGCATACTGTGTGGGAATGTAAATTAGTGCAAGCACTATGGAGAACAGTTTAGAGGGTCCTCAAAAATCTAAAAATTGAGCTACCACATGATCCAGCAATCCTAATGCTAAGAATATACCCAAAAGAAAGGAAATCAGTATATTAAAGAGATACCTGCACTCCTATGTTTGTTGCAGCACTGCTCACCATAGTTAAGATTTGGAAGCAACCTAAATGTCCATCACCAGATGAATGGATAAAGAAAATGTAGTACATATACACAATGAAGTACTATTCAGCCATAAAAAAGAATGAGATCTAATGGTTCACAATAACATGGATAAAACTGGAGATCATTATGTTAAGTGAAATAAGCCAGGTACATAAAGACAAAAGACAAACATCACATGTTCTCACTTATCTGTGGGATCTAAAAATTAAAAAAAAAAATTGAACTCATGAACATACAGGGTAGAAAGATAGTTATCAGAGGCTGGGAAGGGTAGTGGGGGACTGGGGGGGAAGGTAGAAGGTGATGGTTAATGGGTAAAAAAAATAGAAAGAATGAATAAGACATAATGTTTGAAAGTACAATAGGGTGACTGTAGTTAATAACAACTTAATTGAATATTTTAAAATAAATAATGTAACTGGAATGTTTGTAACTCAAAGGATAAATGCTTGAGTAAATGGATACCCCATTCTCCATGATGGGCTTATTTTACACTGCATCCCTGTGTCAAAACATCTCATGTACTTTATAACTATATACACCTCTTACATGTTTGCACTTAAATGTGTCATTTGTTACTTTGGCAGGATAGTTAATAATTATAAATCTATACACTAAATCAAAGTACTTTTATTTTCACATCTTGTATACATTACAGATTCCACTTACCTAAAAGAGAAGCAGACTGATTATTTCATAAAGGTAAGTACAACAGGAAACTTGTTGAAAATACTTGTAGAATTAAGAGTGTAGTTAATGTTCTGTTTCCTGACACATAGTAATTAGTATAGTTTTCAAAAAATGTTCCCACTCTGCTGCTATCCTGGCATATTTTAGGACTAGAATCTAAATGATCTGGTTACAAGTCCAGTGGTCTCTTTATTTACTGACCATGATGTACTTAATACATATATACTTCATAAAATTTTAAATATTTTTTCCACATTGGTCTGGCATTGGGAAATGTTTTGTATGAACAGACATTTCCACTAGTTCTTTAGCTCGTATTTGTTTAAATGTCTTAAAATAATATTTTAAAACATTTAATGTAAATCATATTTCTAAAATATGCTAGCATGCCACTTGACATTTAAGCTTTAATACATTTCAAAAGCACTTTATGACATTTCACATTTACATTTATTACTGTTGGTAGGTTATCTAACTTGTCCAAGTGTAAGCCGAGATCCAGTCAAAACATCTAAGATATCTCAAAAAGTTTAATATATTTACACAGTATATGGCATGGGAGGTAATAAAAAAATGACAAAACATGGCAAGTCAACTAAAGCATAAAATCACATCCCATGGAAATCTATAAGCTCCTGAAATAAATTTGTTGTTGCTGACCATTAATCACTTTTCAGATCATCAGTAACCCCTGGTCAAAGCAATGAATAGCATTCTGTTTGCTCAATAAAAATGTAAATACTGTTGATTTCCTAAAACTACAACAGTTTGGTTGTGCTTTGTAACCGGTCATTTGAGCAACAGAAAAGTAAATTGATGATGCTATTATTCAAAGCAAGCCAGTTGAGATACTGATAGAATACAACAGTAAGTACATCTCTAAGTTTTAGAGCAATTCTTTTTCTTTAGGATATGACACTTTTGGAATGTTATGATCAAAGCAGATGTACACAAACCTACAGATACATATTCATGGGCCAGAAGCGACACTTAAAAAGGAATCTAATTCAGTCCCCCCCAAAAAAACTATTTGGCATTGTGTCTAACTGTATGACTAGTTTTCATTTGCTTAAAGTTGTGTTTCAGCATTTCATATTTCCTCTATGTACAAGTACCAATAACAGATTTTAGAATGAGTAAGAATCACAGTGCAATTAGATAGTTTTGCTTGAACTATCTATTCCTGAAATAGTTGCAAGGGATGAGAGTTTTAGCATTCTGGATAGAAAAGTAAATAGCTTCCCAGCTGGCCTTCTCACTCATTTCTGCATTAATTCAACAAATATGTTAAGAAACTTCTTTGTATGTCAGAAACTGTGCAAAACTCAACATAAGATATAAAATAGTTACATATCCAGAGGAGACAGAAAATAGGTAAGATATAATAGTTATTATTTCTACATATTTCACATCTCTTGATCCTAATCCCATTTAGGTCACTATACACTCTTTTAAACCAATGCCTCACTGTAAACTTTCAAAACATCAGTCTATATATGCCATGTTCAAGACAGCACCCACCACTTTTTTGGCCCATTACAACCTGGCTTCCCCTCATCATTTCATTAAAACCATATTCTTAAAGGTGACCAGTAAATCAGATACCAATTGCCTTTCTCAATACTCTACCTCAGTATTGAATTGAGCAAAGTTGAAGGCACTTCCTTCTTGATATTGCTGCTTTGATTTACTTGATAGTATAGCCTTATTGTTCTTCTTCAGTAATTACTCCATAATTTTAACCTATAGTTTACCAAGGTTTTTTGTTATCCCTAAACTCATTCTACTCCGGATTGGCTCTTGGTGATTCCTGTTTTCTGCCTTTGACAAATGACATAGGCTTTTTTTCAAATTATCTTCTGGGAATCATAATTGACAGGTATTTAAGCTTATTATGTCTCTAATTGAACTAATCATTTTCTTCCTCCCCACTAACTGCATCCTAAATCTGTTCATCCTCTAGTTTGCTATAATTCTGGTAATTGTACTATCATTCTCCCAATAACTTACAGGTGAATTTTGGGGCTAGCTGTGGTTCCAAACTTACCCAGAAATCATGTCACTTCTAAGATGGTTCTATCTTTGAACATATTGGTTCTATCTTTATAATACCTGTTGCATGTTTGTCTTCTTCTCCATTCCTATTAATTCTATGTTCATTATTTCTTGCTTCCTATAAATATAGGTGATTCAATTCCTGTCCCTCTTCCTCCCCCCTAGATTCTACCAAATGATATTATTACTCTCCTACACATAAATTTTCCTATTTTCTTATTCCATGATTCAAAAAAGTTTAAGCTTTATCTTCTTCTCACACTTTTCATTCATTAGATAGTAGTTAATTCCTTTCTATGCATTTGGAATAAATGTTTATACTTAATGTTTTTCATTCATTCATTCACTTAAACATTTGAAAAACACTGATTTAACATGGTTTGTCTCAACTCCATGGGAAATCAATGCCGTCCATCTCTCATAAATCTGTAGCTGATACTAACCATCTTTGTTCTAATTGTCTCGTTTTCTCTAAGACAATTTTTTCCTGGTTAGTTCCTACACTTAATGGTGAGTTTCTCACTCCTTTTCAGTCCATTATTTATAGTGGTTCAAGTTACATTTTTTGAATTTATGGTGATACATGTTTTGACTTCATAGTGATACACATTCAATATGCAAAAATACACTTTTGGCTTACAATATCCTCAACATACAATAGGTTTACCAGGATGCAACCCCATTTTAACTTGAGGAACACCTGTATTCTCAAAAAAGAAAAAGTGTATCAATATGAAGAGTGCATATGTATAACTCCTTGGAATTTATTTCTCTGTCTCCTCTCAGACCTGGTCCTATATTTCTTTTTTTTTCTTTTCTTTTTCTTTTTTGAGACATCGGCTCGCTCTGTCGCCCAGGTGGAAGGGCAGCGGTAAGATCTCAGCTCACTGCAATCTCAGCCTCCTGGGCTCAGGCAATTCTCCTGCCTCAGCCTCCTGAGTAGCTGGGACTAGAGACATGCACCATGACACCTGGGTAATTTTTATATTTTTAGTAGAGATGAGGTTTTGCCACAGTAGCCATGCTGGTCTCGAGCTCCTGACCTCAGGTGGTCTGTCCACCTCGGCCTCCCAAAGTGCTGGGATTACAGATGTGAGCCACCACGCCTGGCTCCATATTTCTTAATCTCTTTTCAGCACAAGCCTTAAACTTGCCAACTTTATCCAGTCTTTCACATTCATCATGGCTCATTCCTGCAGATTACGCCCCAGGTATTAAAAGCAGCTTCATAGCAGTGGTCTTTCAGTCATAAAACATGGATTTCTTGATTCAATTTTGTGTACAAATAAAGTTGCACTAATAGTAACAATTTTAACTTGCTCATTGCCTTCAACCATAAAACCTAAAATTTAAGTTCCCCTCCTCAATTCCCTTCCATATAGAACTCCTTCACTTATTCTTAGAGCAGTGATTGTTTCCTTCTATTTTGGCTTTTTTTTTTTCTTTAAGTTCTGGGATACATGTGCTAAATGTGCAGGTTTGTTACATAGGCATACATGTGCCATGGTGGTTTGCTGCATCTATCAATCCGTCATCTAGGTTGTAAGCCCCACATGCATTAGGTATTTGTCCTAATGTGCTCCCTCCCTTTTCCCAAACCCCCTGACAAGCACCACTGTGTGATGTTCCCCTCCGTGTGTCCATGCATGCTCATTGTTCAACTCCCACTTATTACTCTGGCTTTTTTATAGCCTCCTTGTTCACATCCAAATTTTGCATTGCATATGAAATCTACTTAAAGTAAAAACATATAAAGTTAAAATCTTTACAAATTTTACTTTTAGTAGTGGGAAAAGCAATTCATTTATTCAAATGAAAAAACTAAGGTGAGGTAAAATGAGAAAAAGGAAAAATAAGACAAGAATCAATACATAAATGGCTGCATTTTACGAAGCACTACTGTGCAAATATGTATCTATGAATTTATATTAGTTTGACAATAATTCTTTTCATCTGCAAATGAAATGGGAAGACATATCAGAAAATGAGCCTGTAGAAGAGAGGCTTTAATAAGCCTCTAAAGAAGTTTACAATGGAACCACATCATACATACAAGATACTAATAATAGTTTAACTAGATAGGGAGAGGAAGATTATCAGGAAGGGAGAAGGATAAGAAGAGAGCAAAAAGAATGCCTAAATAATTAGGCATTGAAGGTAATTCTACTATCCATTGCACTGAATGAATGTGTATTCCAGATTGAACAGGAAATCAAAGTGGAGAACCTGCTATTGTATCTTGTGTCTTAGCTAAACTACCATGCCCTTCACACATCTAGCCTCAGCACATGTGATGCTACATTGAATGTGATTTGATTGCTTAAAAATGTGTGCATTTAATCCAACTAAACACTAAACTAGTGGTTTAATGGCCATTAAACACAGGCAAACAACTTCACCTGGATCTCAAATGAAGAAACAACAACCTCTTTCAACGCTGAAGGAAAAATTGACTACATTGAACATTCTGAGAGCATAAGACAGTCTCCAATGTGACACACAAGTGTTGCGAAGTATAATAATCCTACACCAATGTAAGATGCCACTCTACAAGTACTAGAAAAAAGAGTGTATATTAGTCCATTATCACACTGCTATAAATAACTCTCTAGTTCCAAACTTTTCCTCATCTTCCTGTCTTTTCTGATCCCTCCAAGCTGTTCCAACCCCTGCCCATTACTTACTTCCGAAGTTGCTTCCATATTTTCAGGTATCTTTATAGCAATAACCCACTCCTGGTACCAATTTTCCATATCAGCCCATTCTCCCACTGCTATAGAGAACTACCTGAAACTGGGTATAACGAAAAGGGTCTTAATGAGCTGACCATTCTTTGGGGCTGTACAGGCTTCTGTTTCTGGGGAGGCCTCAGGAAACTTACAATCATAGTAGAAGGCAAAGGAGAAGCAAGCACATCTTCACATGGCCGGCAGGAGAGAGAAAGAGAGAGACAGAGACAGAGAGAGACACACAGAGAGAGAGAGAGAGAGACAGAGAGAAAGAGAGAGAAAAAGAAAGAAAGAGAGAGAGAGAAACACACAGAGAAACACAGAGAGAGAAAAAGAGAACATGGACACGTGCAAGGGGAAGGTGCTACACAATTTTGAACAACCAGATCTCCTGAGAACTCTATCATGAGACAGCACTAGGGGGATGGTCCTCCAGCACTAGAAACCACCCCCACGATCTAATCACCTCCCACCAGGCCCCACCTCCAAAATTGGGAATTACAATTCAACATGAGATTTGGGTGGGAACACAGAGCCAAACCATATCAAAGTGTTATAGAATAAATAACTGTAGAGTTAGAATCGTTGTTGAGAATGAAAAAGCAGGTGTCAGAATTTACAAATAACATTTTCAGTCACAGTAAAAAAATTAATTATTTTATAATAACTTTATAACAATTGATATTTTCCATTATGTCAGCAAAACTATAAACAGAATTATTTTAAAATTCATGCCATCATGTGAAAAGGATGAAATTAATAATCTTTACTTTCTTAAGAAAAATTTCTTAAGTGAATTCTCTTTACTAAATACATACAAAATGAAATTATATTGAAATCTTTAATAGTTTAAATCTTTATTAGTTATGGAATCAAAGAGAAAGGTAAAGTCTAAAATCTTAATTTGTGTAATACTGAAATAATTAAAACTTCAGAGTATTAAAATGGATGCTATGGTACTAATAATAAAAATGGTGAGCCATCTATTTATTTTAAGAATATTTGGATTCCAAATATTAGTTTTGAAAACCTATTATCCATTATAATTAATACTAAAGAATACTGTTTATTTTAAATACGCTATATAAAAATATGACTTGGATAAATTAGGCTGTTCCTCATGCAAAGTGTCTTAATGAACACTATTCTTTAGAGTTTGATAGTATTAAAAAGAACCTACATAATCTTTTATGACACCTTATATCTTAAAGCACAGAGAGTTATCAGCTAGTTAGCTTTGTTATTAATACTCAGGGTTTTGAACTTCAAAATTAATGACATGTCTAAGTCAATTCTCTAATTAACTTAGATTGGGATTATTTTAAAATAAAAGTTAACATGAATATCCACACCTAAACATACAGTAGAGTAAAAAAACCTAAAATAAATATTTATGGAGGCTGAAAACATAGAAATTCAGGGTCTAAGTTGAAACAGAAATCATTGAGACTTCATTAAGAGGAAGCTGGGACTATGTAGAATTTCTGAGATAGAGGAAAGCTGGGCACCGTCTGAGGCATCTGTTTCCCTTTGTGATTTACTTTTAGGTTGGTGGTAGATGAAAAGATAAATGATCCTCAGAAGTATTAAAGAAGGGAATACATGCTTTTGATTTCTTATCAAACCCATATTTTCCATCTGTCTGAATTTTTCTTTCTTTTTAATTCAAACAGATAATATACTGTATTGCTTTAATATAAATAAACAGAAAAGATGCTTCCTGGCACAACAGCATTTTGCATACATGAATGATGTCATTTGTGTCTTATTGAATATGAATGGTGCCTCTGGTAGATCACATTAATGTCTGCCAATATTCCACGGTGTATCTTGTAGGAAGATTATATGTCCATGCCTTGGTGAATTGTGGTCATTTGAATTCCTTTGTCCAATGAAATATAAGCTGAAGTTCCTGTATTATTTCTGGTTAAAAGCTTTAGGAGTCTGATTATGTTTCACTGTTTCCCTTTCCCTGTTTCCCTGAACAGAAATTGATAATAGGAGACACTTCTTTAGCCTAGAAGTATGGCATGAAGGTGACATGTAGCAGAGCAGTAGCTGATCAGCAGTACTTATACAGCATGAGAAAGAAACAAAACATTGTTATGATAATCTGCCCTGATTTAGGGTGCATTTGTCACTGCAGAATTATCTGGCCCATCCTGAGGAATGTGGGGCCTTTGGAGTTATGCAGTCCACAAACTAAACAACTGTGTATGGTAGCCCAGGCACTGTATTTAACATTCTTCCAAAGATTCTTCAAAAACGCTAAAATATCTGCCAAATATGAATAAATATGGATTTTTGTCAACCATGAGAGAAAACTGTTTTAATTTCTATTTTAATTTGACTTTCCAACCTAACTTAATAAATCACCTACTCGTGATACATAAGATCACAGGCAGGGTCTCCCCACCCCCCAACATCATAGAAGCCATTATACACACGTTTGTTATTTTTTTTTTTTTTTAAAAACAAGTACATACTTTCAGCTTTTCTTTCCTGACTACAAAGGATGAAAGCATAAATGTTTTGTTAATTATTGTAAGGTCTTTTTAAAAACTATAAAGGTATTTTAATATCAAACTAATTGTTTAAAGTGTGTAAGTATTTGGAACTGAGAACAATATCTAGTGTCCTTCATAGCAGCACTTACATATTTGCACATAATAACAAGATTACCGAATGTTTGCTCCATTAAATTAAAACTTCCTTTGGGAGAGTAATTGCTTCTACAATAAAACAATCACCCAAATTCAATATTAAAAAACATAGTGGTCCATTAGATATTCTAAGCCTATTCCAAATGACATATGAAAATATGAAATAATTTATCACATCTTCATAGGTACACAGAAATCTAGTCATGCACTTCTTTTCAAAATTGAAACCAAAAGCATCTGTATTTGTCAGACTGCATTGCAAACTTGATTTGTAGGGACAAGACACAATGCAATTTTTTATTGAATACTTAACACTAGACTTTCAAAGAAATCATTAATTACCAAAATATAATACCATTTCAACTTCCAATAAGAATTTATTTACTTCTACTTCCCATATGGAGAAGCTCCTTACCTCTTCTACTTTCTAGATAATTTTTCCTACACAGTGGTGCTCACTCACGCTAGCAAAATCTTTATTTCCTTCTGCAGAAAACTTAACCAGTAGAGTCAGAGTGATAATGATCCTAGGCTATAACAATCACTTCTAGTCTGTCCCACTTTAGTCCAGACTTGTCTCTGCTCATTATACCCTGACTCTTTTCTGCTCTTTACCAGGCTCAGACATTTTTCACTCTTAGAACCAGACACTGTAGATATATTTGCTCTGATTTCCACTGCCCCATGATCTTAATGCCACCTGCAGCTCACCAAATAGTGATATCAATTAAGTAAATTTTAAAAATGCTTATTATATACTTTGCAAGTGTAAGTCATTATACTTTGCAGAAGGTATACTGTTTATAATAATTTATGAAAAATATATATAATCTGATGTTGAAAATATTATATATGTTACAAGTCCCTGAAGTGGAATTTAAGAGAATAGAAAGGTTGCATTTTGTTGGAGAGTGAGAAGACATTTGAGGTAATCTTGGAGTATAGGTGGTATCTCCAAGGAAAAGATTACAGCAAAGGAGTAAAGAAGTCCAGTCAGGGATGACAGCACAAGCAAAGGAATGCAAATGCAAAAACAGAAACACATTTTAACTCACAATAAAGTGACCAGTTTTTCTCTACCTCTATATGTAGAAGACTAGTAACAAAAATGTTTGAAATGGTAGCATGAGGCCCTGATGTGGAGGGTCTTACATATTAAGCTGTGTATTTCATATTCAACTTAGTTGGCAGTGGTGAGAAATAAAGATTATTGATAAGAATTCTGTTCTTACAGTATTAAATTGGCCTCAGAATGGATCAGTGGCAGAAATGATTAAAGAGAAAGAGTCCATTAAATAAAAGTTCCAGAAAGAGTTAATAAGACCCTCAAATAGGATGCTGGTGGTAGAAATAAAGATAAGTAAGTGACATCATGAAAGCAGAGCCAATAAAAGCTGACAATTAATTGGTTGCGAAGAGAGAAAAAGTAAAGTAAGACTTAATCATGAAAAAAAGACTGTCTCCCAAAATATCATTTGCCCACTGGGAACCACATATGCCATGTGAATATAATATAGCTTCAAATAACACCAGTTATTTGAAGATATAATTGAATTACTCAGTTATATCTGAGTAATACTGAAGTACTCAGTATTTCCAATTCACAATTTTAAATAATATTTAAACCAAGCCTCTACTTATTTTTGCAATTTTAAAGGACATAATAACACTAAAAAGTAGCAGAGGAGAGAAAAATAAGCAACATGAGAGGTTTAAACTTTCAGAAATTGAACAGTCTACATAAAACACGTAAGAAATAAAATGAGATATGTAAGAGATACTATTATTTTAACCATTTACTAATGCCTGAATATATGACCAAATTAGCCATCTGTGGTTACGTGGAGGCAAATAATATGATAGGATTAGATTTAAAGATGCTAATAACACTATTCCAACAGCAAAGAGAGCAGTGATAGATAGTCCCTAGCACAATCTGGCAATACAAATATGCAAAATATCTATATGTGATACTCCTATTCCACTACTTATAAGAAGCAAGGATCTGAGTGAAAGTGTATAGGATATTTTTGGACATGTATGTCAAATATATATGAACAAATATAATGAGATTGGCTAGTTACCTCCTATTGTCACTGGAAGAAGTGGAGAAAGAAAAGCTCAAGAATTGGAATTCCTGGTTTATGCACCACAAAAATAACCTGAAGGCATCTGTGTGTACCCACAAGAAGACTTTTATTTCCAGTAGCTGCAGAATTGAAATTGTTAAAAATCAAATGCAGAATATCTTCCTTCAACAGGCTTAATGATAATACAAGTATACTCCCAGCTTTTTCAGGGTGTCTACTGTTACAGTGAGGGCACTGACTGGGAAGAAATAGAATTCTGTAAATTGGGGCCATGTGGGAATGGCCTGATGCAGCCAAGGTCACTGAGTTCTTAAATTCTGATGAGTCTTCTTTGCCAGTGGCAGATGCCTCCCTGGCATGAAAGCTGCCTCTCCATCCCCATCTCAGGGAATTAGCCTTACACTGCCTGTGGAGACTGTAATGGTCTCCTATGGGATAGCTGCCTTGCAAGTTTATGCTGAGCCTCCTCAGGACCCATCACCACTATCCCTCTTTACTTCTAGACCTATAACTAGACAAGGTACAAATTGTGACTCCTAAGGAGGTGTCCTATATTCCAAAAGACCTACTGAGTTTTCTAAATGTATAAAGACAGAAATCCTGGAAACATGTGTGGGAATGAATAGTAAGAGTATAATATAATTTTGAATATAAAGTTAAGTCAAGCTGAATATGTTGATATGAGCTCAATAAGCAGAGATTTTGCAATAAATTTTGTCGTTTGGGGAGCTGGAAAAGGTTTGTTTGCTAATGGTTTGTTTGCTTAGTTGGTTGAAATATGGATCAAAAGATGACCCATCATGAGTGAGTTGGAAATGCCAGACCTGCCTTGGTTTAATGGACAGAAGATGATTTAAAAACTTAGAGGAATTGGAATATTAGAGTGAATTTGTCATTTAAGTCTTAATGTCATTTCAGTAGAACCCACAATGGGAGAGTCCAGAAGACATACCTTTCATAAATAATTTGAAAAGTAAATATGTGAGGGGAGTGATTTCACTTATCTGTAAGCCAGACCTTACAGTGGAAACTGTGGCTACTGAATTAGGAAACCTGAATGCAATGGAAGTAATCAGTTCCAGGGCAGCAGGGGCTGATACACAGCACTCAACCACCAAAGGCAAAGTGGGAAGGGTTATGATAATGCACAGCAGAACTGAAGCAGCCATCAAGATAATCTGAGTCGAGAAGGACTATGACATTGGCTAGTTGATAGTGTTTCTAAAAGTAAAATAGATATCTAACACTAAGTTCCAAGTCAAGTGAACAGAAGTCAAGCCTGAATCATATAAACAGAGAGTCATGCTCTCTCAATCAATTCCCAGACTTGAGCCAGTAAATAGACCCAGAACACCTTAAATGAGGGGAGGCTGGGTACCCTTGAGGAAGGACCTCAAAACGCTGCCAAAAATTTACACTGTTAATCTTTCTCTCACCCTTCCTGAAAGGCATCTCTATCTTTTTACCAGGGTAAGAGTGCATTGGGAAAAATGAATAATCCGATCTTCCAGGGACTACTGGATACTGGCTTTGAATTGATACTAATTCCAGGAGACCACATGGCTATGGTCTACCAGTTAGAGTAGGGGCTTATGGATATCAGCAAATAGAGTTCTTGCTCAGTTTTGTCCCATAGTTGGTCCACTGGATCCCTGATCCCATCCTTTGGTTATTTCCCCAGTTCAGGAATACATAATTGCAACAGATATACTCAGCTGGTGGCAGAATCCCAGTAGTTCCCTTATCTGTTGAGTGAGATCTATTACATTGGGAAAGGGCAAATGGAAGGTACTAGAATTGTCTCTACCTAGGAAAATTGTAAACCAGAAGCAATACTACATTCCCAGAGGGACTGCAGCAGTCAGTGCCATCATTGAGAACTTGAAAGATGGAGGAATGGTGATTCCAACCACATCTGCAACCAACTTGACTATTTGACCTGTGCAGGAGAGAGACAGATCCTAGAGAATGACAGTAGATTATCATATGCTTATTCAGGTAGTGACTCCAATTGCAGCTGCTGCAGATGTGGTTTCATCTTGTACCTGATATGCAGCTATTGATTTGTCAAATGCCTTTGTCTAAATCCCTATCAATAAGGGCCACCAGAAGCAATGTGCTTTCAGCTGGCAAAGCTAGCAATATACCTTCACTGTCCTACTGCAGAGATACATCATCTCTCCAGCCTCATGTAATAATTTAGTTCACAAGGATTTAATTCCTTTCCACAACATACAACATTGGTCCATTACATTGATGACACTATGCTGATTGGACCTAGTGAGCAAGAAGTAGCAACCACTTTAGACTTATTGGTAAGACATTTCTGTGTCAGAGTGATAAATAAATATGACAAAAATTCAGGGGCCTTTTTTTTTCTGCCAGTGGTTTAGAGCATATCAAGATATCCCTTCTAAGGTGAAGGGTAAGTTGTTGCATCTGACCTCTCCTGCCGCCAGGAAAAAGAAAAAAAGGCACAGCGCCTTGTGGGCTTCTTTGGATTTTGAAGACAACATACTCCTCATTTGTGTTACTCTCACCCATTTACCAAGTGACCAGAAAAACACTAATTTTGAGTGGAGCCAAGAATAAGAGAAGACTCTACAACAGATCCAGATTGCTGTGCAAGCTGCTCTTCCACTATGAGCCATACAATTAAGCAGATCCAATGGTGCTTAAAGTGTCAGCGGTAGTGGTAGTGGAAGCTGTTTAGAGCCTTTGGCAAGTTCCTACAGGTGAAGGGTAGAACAGGTCCCTACAGGTCTGTAGTACAGGCCCTTTGGATTTTAGAGCAAAACCATTGCATCATCTAAAAATAATTAGTCCCCTTTGAGAAACAGCTTTTGGCCTAATGTTGGGACTTAGTAGAGACCGAACACTTAAACACAGGCCACCAACTTACCATGCAATTTGAGATGCTCATAATAAACTTGGTGTTAACTAACCTATGAAGCCATAAAGTTGGGCATGCAAACAACACTCCATCATCAAATGGAAGTAGTAAATACGTTATCCAGCCCAAGCAGGCCCTGAATGCAAAGTAAGTTCCATAAAGAAACGGCTCAAATACCCATGATCCCCACTCCTGCTCCATGGCCTTCTGTCTCCTGTCTGCACCTATGGCCTCATGGGCAGGGAGTCCCTACATTTGGTTGAAACAAAAGAAAAGCCTGGTACCTGATTTATAGATGGTCCTGTATGCAGGCACCACTCAAAAGTAGACAGCTACAGAACTAGGGCTCCTTTCTGAAACAGCCCTGAAACACTGGTGAAGGGGAATCCTCTCAGTGAGCAGAACTCTGGGCAGTGAACCTGATTATTCACTTTGCTGGAAAGGAGAAATGACCAGACTTGCAATTCTGTAGCACAATGCATGGGCTACAGCCAATGATGGCTAGATGATTAGGAACTTGGAAGGAAGATAACAGGGAAATTGGTGACAGGGAAATCTAAGGAAGATGCATGTGGATAGACCTCTCTGAATGGGTAAAAATATGTAAAGATAGGCCGGATGTGGGGGCTCATGCCTGTAATCCTAGCACTTTGGGAGGCTGAGACAGGCAGATCACTTGAGGTCAGGAGTTCGAAACCAGCCTGGCCAACATGATGAAACCCTGTCTCTACTAAAAATAAAAAAAAAATTAGCCAGGCATGGTGGGGGGCACCTGTAATCCCAGCTACTCGGGAGGCTGAGGCAGGAGAATCGCTTAAACCCGGGAGGCGGAGATTGTAGTGACCCGAGATCACTCTGCTGCACTGCACTGGGTGACAGAGCGAGATTCCATCTAAAAACAGAAAAAAAAGTGAAGATATTTGTGTCCTAGGTGAATGCACACCAAAGAATGACCTTCACAGAGGAGGATTTTAATAATCCAGTGGATAGGATGACCTGTTCTGTAGATACCAGTCAGACTTTTTTCCCGGCCACCTTGTCATTACCCAATGAGCTCAAGAACAAAGCGACCACGATGGCAGGATGGAGGTTATACATGGATTCAGCAACATGGACTTCTATTCACCAAAGCATACTTGGCTATCGTCACCTTTGAGTTCCCAATATTCCAGCAGTTGAGACAAACACTGAGTCCCCAATATGGCACCATTCCTCAGGGTGATCAGCTAGTTACCTGGTGTCAGGTTGATTACATTGAATCACTTCTATCATAGAAGAGGAAGAATTTTGTTCTCACAGGAATAACACACCGTAGATACATATTTGCATTCCTTACATGCAATACTTCTGCCAAAACTTCTGTGGATTTACAGAATGCCTCATCCACCATCATAGTGTTCTACACAGCATTGCTTCTGACCAAAAACTCACTCAGCAAAGGAGGTATGGCAATGGGTCTATGCTCAGGAAATTCACTGGTCTTAACATGTTCCCCATTATCCAGAGGCAGCTGGCTTGACAGAATAGTGGCAGGGCATATTGAAGACCCAGTTACAGTGCCAGTAAGGTAGCAATATCTTACAGGGTTGGGGAAGGTTTTCCAGAGGCTGTATATATTCTGAATCAGCATCCAATATAAGGTATGGCTTCTCCAGCAGCCATAATTCACAGGCCTAGGAATAAAGGGATGAAAATAGAAGTAGCACCACTCACTATTTTCCCAGTGACCCAGCAGGAAAATATTTGTTTCTGGTTCCTGCAACCTTATGTTCTTCTGGCCTAGCGGTCTTAATTCCAAAGACAGGAATACTTCCACCAACATACGTAATGATGATTCCATTGAACTGGAAGTTAAGACTACCACCTGGCCACTTTGTGCTTCTCATGCCTCTGGCTCAAAAAATAAGTGAGTTACTGTGCTGGCTGGAGGGATTGATCCTGACTACCAAGAGGAAACTGAAACACGACTCCACAATGAAGGTAAGGAAATGTATATCTAGAATACAGGAGATTCTTTAGGGTGTCTCTTAGTATTACCATGCCCTGTGATTAAGGTCATTAGAAAACAACATTAACCTAATCCAGGCAGGGCTAATAATGGTCCAGGCAGTTCATGAATGAAGGTGTGTATCATCCTACCATGTGTGAAAGGAAACTAAATTTTGGGACCCCAAACTCATTTAGCCAAAGGGAAAAGTCAAGCTGGGAACTGGGTCACACAAACCTGCCTCCCCCTTTTAATTCCTAAATAAGATGGCTACAACATAAAAAGCTACACGCCTCCCCCATATTTTGCCCACAAAGAAATTCCTAGTGAGCTGTTAAAATTTCACCATGGCAATGCAAACTGATAGCTTATCTTTAGAGGTGCAGTCACCTCCAGCCCACCATACACAAATGCATATCTGATTGTTCCCCTGGTCCAATTTGTCTGTGTTATCTTATGTAAAATGCAGATTCCCTGCATTTTCCTCTACTCCATTGGTTTATGTCATCTTATGTAAAAAATGCAGATTCACTGAGCCAGACAAAGACATAAATGACTATTTTTCCCTACCCCCTTCTTACATGAAAATTGTGTACTTCTCAATATCCCACCCTTTCCCGTTTAAATTTGGAGCCTTCAAAATCATCTCCAGAAAAAGGCATAGACCTGTCTCCCTGGTGCCCATCCTTAACTTTGGCAAATAAGTCTCCTAAAATGATTAAGACTTGTCTCATCATTTTTCTCGACTGACACTTGTAAAGAACCATGACCACTTGAGGTGCCTGCTAAAGACAAAGGGAGTACAGAATAGGTAGTAGAAGAAGGTAGTTGTAAATACCAGCTATGGCCACGTGGCCAGTTACAGAGAAATGAGGACTAGTTGTCATGAGTGTTTTCACCTTATTTTGTAATAAATTTGTGTGTGTGTCTGTGTGTGTGTGTTTACAGACAGATGGATAAAGCAAATATTTTCATTTTCTTCCCTCCCCTACTCCCTTATCATGTAAAGTAAGATGTGTTAACTTTACCTTATATTGTGTAAGTTACATGACATCAAGGAGAAGAGTTAACATCATTCCAGGACTTTATCTCCACTTCTAACATATTAGTGTGTTTTTGGTTGTACACAGGATAACTGTAACATGTTAGGAGGAAACATGACCTTGTTATTGTCTTTTTTTGGAGAAGTATGGTTTAGGGAGATGCATATGGATGCCAAGTTGACAAGGGGTAGATTTGTGATGATTAATTTTTTGTGTCAACTTGACTGAGCCATGGAATACCTAGACATTTGACCAAATATTAATCTGGGTGTGTTTGTGAACGTGTTTCTCGATGAGATAAACATTTGAATCAGTAGACTGAGTAAAGATACCCCTCCCTAATGTAGGTGCGGTGATCTAATCAATTGAAGATCTGAACCAACAAAAAGTCTGAGTAAGAAGGAACTCCTCCTGCCTTACTGATTGAGCTGGGACACTGGTCTTTTCTCATCTTTGGGCTCAGACTGAAATATCAGCTCCTCTCGGGTCTTGAGCCTTCTGGCTTTCACACTGGAATTTACACTATAGGCTGTCCTGGGTCTCCAGCTTGCTGACTGCAGATTTTACATTTCTCAGCCTCCGTAATTACATGAGCCAATCAATATATTATAATCACTCTCTGTCTGTGTCTCTGTCTCTGTCTCTCTCTCTCGACAGAAGGTATATTAAACATGGACTTAGGAAATTTAGGGGTTGAAATACAAAATTGAATATTTATGTGTACTGCTAAGTAGAAATATTATTTCAGGTATATATTGACTCTTCTAGCAAATTATACCAAAAGAAAACAATAACCACAAAAATAACCTCTGGAAATTCATTATATAATAGTGCTTAAAACAGATAATATCTGGAAGCAATAGAATGTACTATTTCCCACCATTTGGAAACTTTAATAAGAATATAAGTTATTTCATAAAGACAAATGCTCAGGATAACAATAAAACAAACTTCTTAATCTTCATGGTGACATGTTTGTGACAAAATAAAGTTAAACTTACTAAGATTGAAGCACTTCATGAAAACACTAACACTTAATCCTTTCTCTATAAAGGTTACTTCACAGATACTGAGGCATTCAGATCCCCTACAACAGATATATGACTTTTTATACCTCAAAAATAAGCTCTACTCTTCTTCAATATGAAACTGTACTTCTTAAGCAAGAATGGTGGTAACTCTAAAAGTTGCTGTGCTAAATAATAACCACATAGTTGGTTTTCTTCTTAAATTCAATTACTAATTTTTTCATTTAATATAAATTCTTCACCTTTAACCAAAAAAGTATATTTCAAATGTGTTTGAGAATAGGGATACATTTTCAAACACTGGAATACCTATATTGAAATGGCCCCCTATTTAGTCCCTTCCTCAAATAGAAGAAAATATTAAACTGACATTAAAAAGAGGTTAAGAGTAAAACAAGCAATGTTCTTAAATTGTAAAAAGTGCAGATGACCTTTTCTCCATCATATAACTTAAAATATCAAGCATACAGCATTTATGTTAATGCCAGAGTAACTAAAAACTATATGGAAGCAAATTTGCCTGTGTCATAACTGCATAAATGTAGTTTCAGCTATAACTTTTATCTGCTAATGAATAAATTTTATTAATTTTTTTTCATTGTATCTCTGATATTCTGCACTAAACAATCTACTGACCAATCTAATCAGGGTTGTTTTAAATTGAGATCAATAGCTCTGTTAATCAAGGTAAATTATTACAGATAAGATATAGCACATTCATATTAATCTGCCTAACATTGATTTTATTAAATTACATTTTTGGAGAAATTTTGTTAAGTATATTTATTTGTATCTAAAATTTTAATAATTATTCTTCAATATGAAATCTGCTTCAGGTATGGCCATTTACCACACAGGTCCCTTTCCTTCCTGCATTCTGATCAGATTCTGGATCAAACCCACATCTGATTTAAAAGACTATTTAGTCACTCCAGTCTTAACATGAACACTCCCTTGACTCTGACCAGTATTATTTCAATTTTCCAAGCTCATTCTTCTATATCCATTTACAGAGCTGATAAAATAACTTCACATTTGTATTATGGTATGAGGTTGGAACCTGTGAAAACATTACCTTATATGGCAAAAGGGACTTTGCAGATATAATTAAGGTTACAGACCTTAATATAGGGAGATTATTCTGGATTATCCATCTTGGTTGGCCTAGTCTATTCACAGGAGCCCTTATGAGCAGAGAGCTGTTTCTAACCAGAAGCAGAAGAGAGATGGAGTAGAAGAGGTGGCTTCATTTACCTCTTGAAGGGAGAGGTGGCTGCAGGGGCAGTTGAGAAACTCCAAGTTTGAAAAGGATATGTGTGGTGTTGCTGGCTCTGAGATGTAGGAACCCACATGCAAGGGCCTGGGAGTCCTCGAGGAGCTAAAATTGGTCCCTGGATGACAGCCAGCAGGTTCACAGGACCTCATTCCTACAACCACAGGGAAGTAATTCTACCAACAACTCAAATGAGCTTGGAAGCAGATTCTCCCCAGAGCTTCCTAGTAAAACCCAAGACAGATGACACTTAAGTTTCAGCCTTATAAAACTCAGAACAATGATGTCAGTCAAGTCAACCTGGATCTGGGGTAAAAAGACTGTGGGTTAATAAATTTGTATTTCAAGTTGCTAAATTGGTGATTATCTGTTATGCAACTGCAACAAACTAATACACAGAATTACCATATTTTTGTATTTAGCAATATTCATTATTTGTCATGAAGTGTACTGACAAACATTCAGGTATTTGGGAAGAGCATAACTGTACTCTTTTTCAATGATTAGGATGGGTCTCAGAGAAACTGAATGACTTCTGGAAGATTCTGTACAGCTACGGCAAAAGAACAGAATCCATTTTTTGAGGGGTTTTGGTCTGAGGTTCTTTCACTCTAACAGAAAAGAGAACCTCATTTAGTATTGTAAAATAGAACATTAAATGTTGAAATTTTCTTTTCTTTCCTCAATATTGCCTTTCTTGACATTTTAAAATAATAATTACTTAATGTTTACATATTCTATTTTTAAGATAAGAAAAAGATTGATCTTCTAATTATCTCTTAGCTATTGCAAAAAAACCCCACATAATATAGAAGCTTCAAAGTGTTGGAATTCCCTAGAAAATGTATAGAAAACTGTGATACAATATAATCTTTATTTTACCTAAGTCATACAAACAGCTAGGTTGGTTTCTTTACATAACCATCTAATTTATATATTCAGATGAATGTGGTCTAAAATGTGAATAAAGTATGCATATTTTAGTCAATTAAACTAATTGAGATGGCTCTGGCATCTTTCATCTGATATAATTTCATCACTGTGTCTTGAACAGACAGTCTAGAGGGCACAAATGAGGGTTGTTTTTGAAGGTGTAACCAGCCTTTTCAAAAAAATAGAGTGAGTTAAATGTTCACAAAATCTGAGTAAACAGATGCATAATAGTAGTCAATGTTGTACTATAAATGTTATAGCATTATTACACAAGCAATAAAATGTTTTTAAAGGTGGAGGAAGGGGAAAATGCTGGACAAAGGGTACAAAGTTTCAGACACAGGGAATACATTTTTGAGATCTCTTGCACAGCACAGTGACTACAGTTACTAATAATGTAATGTATATTATAACATTTCCAAGAGAGATTTGAAATGTTTGAATCATAAAAATATGTTAATTATGTGAGGTGATGGATATGTTAATGAACTTGGTTTAATCATTTCATAATGTGGAAATATACCAAAACATCGCTTTGTACCTCACAAGTATATATAATTATTATTTGCCAATTTAAAAGAAAATAAACAAATTTTAAAGGGTACATAGTAGAAATATACATAGGGGAAGAAAATGAAAATAAAAATTCATTAATTATTGTTTAAAGAAAAAGACGAGACATATCTTCCCAATATATGCAAATTTGGATGTATCAGTGCCCTAATAGTTTCCATCAAAGACTGATATTTTTTTTTTTTTTTTGAGACAGTGTTTAGCTCTTGTTGCCCAGGCTGGGGTGCAATGGCATGATCTCGGCTCGCTGCAACCTCCATCTACTGGATTTGAGCGATTCTCCTGCCTCAGCCTCCTGAGTAGCTGGGATTACAGGCAGGCACCACCACACTGGGCTAATTTTGTATTTTCAGTAGAGATGGGATTTCGCCATGTTGGGCAGGCTGGTTTCGAACTCCTGACATCAGGTGATCCTCCTGCCTCAGCCTCCCAAAGTGCTGGGATTATAGGAGCGACCCACTGCACTCAGCCGAAGTTTGCCATATTTTTAGGAAGTATCAGTGTTCACTGTAATTGACCATATTGGAATTTCTGATGGGGCCAGGAGTGGAAGTTTAATTTTGATCACATGCAGTATTGCTTCATATAAAAGTTGCTCTCATAGTAGGAAGGGTCCATACAATCTAATGAAATTCCACATGGCACAATCAATTACATTTAGGTGTAAATAAATAACATTTTATTAGATATCAATTATTCCCAGAAGTTTTAAGGAAAAAAAAATGTTAGGTAACTATGTTTTTTTAGTCCCTGGAGCTCTATTACTGAGATTTGTATTCAACAAACATTCATCAAATACCAATTATGCTTGAAAGTTGGATCCTATGTAGATTACTTATTTAAAATATGCATATTGTAATTTTTTAGAAAGTGATTCATGTTGTGTTCAGAAAACGTTTCAAAGGCATCACTTTGCTTTTATATTAATAACCGTTTTGAAAATACAAGGTTGAATGATGACAAGGAGTAATTTCATTATAGTGGGTAAAATGGAAGGAATGGATTTTTTTTGTTTAAACTATTATCGAATCATAATTTGATGGACCAGAATTACATTTCTAATCAGTTATTTAATGCTTCTCAAGCACTTTGAAAAAAATTGTGATATACCAAAGCTATATATTGATGTTGATCTTATCAGAAGTTATAAGCATTGACTTTCCATGAAGAACAGTGTACATAAGAGATATTTAAACCAGCTGTCTAACTGACAGAGTTATAGGTACACAATATATACAATATATTAATTAAACTCAGTCTTTCTTTTTGTATGCTGGAGTTCACTAGTTTAACATTTTTACTAGGTATAACAGAGGTGACCCTTTATTACCTGTGCCTATTTAGGTTCTCAGAATGATTATTAGATGATAATGACCCTTTTAACTAGTACAACTCTAAAGCCACCAGGAAAGCATCATGATAGCATGATGAAATACAAGGCAGATAATGTTTTAATAGAAGAGAATTCATAGGATAAGAGTAATTAACGAAAATGCTGCTCAGGGATGGCTTTAATTATCAATCCTAGAATTCCCTGTCTTTGTCTCACATGAGAAGAAAAAGACATTGAGTTGGCTTTCCTTCTTATTGCCCTCTTACTGTAGAAGGACAAAAATGGGCAATGAAAAGAAGTAATCATTAAGACCATTCTCATTGTTGGCTTTAAGAATACTTTAGTTGTGCAGCCAAACTGAAGTAAAGGATAATAAGTATTAAGTAAATGCTGAATCCTCGGTCAAAGCAAGATGGAAAGTCTAATTCTGCATATTATTGAACACACAGAATCTTCCCTTAGTAGAAACCAGAGATAATGACAATAATTTAATTTTGCTCCTCTATGCATTTCAGTGTTAGTTCTGTAATATTTTCCTTTCTTTTCAAGTATCTAAAATTACTAATATAAAATATTTAATATATATTATTTATTAATAATAATATTAGTTTATACTTGCAATGGTTTTACTGTCATCAACTTTTTCACATAAATAATTTTTATTATAAAATGCTAAAGGAACAGAGCTGTTGCAGAAGTGAATTTTATCTCCACCTGTTAATATAAACTCTATTATTATTTTTATTCCCTGATTCTAAAATCCTTGGTAGAAACAACCCTAAACAATGTATTAGTATAACTTTCCTCTGCTCTTCTTGTCAGACATTGCACTTAGTGAAACACAAACTTTGTACAGGAGTATAATCTCCAACTAAAGCCTGATTTTTGGCATCCCGTTTCTCAGTCATTATGGCCATTAATTTTAAAGGTTACTTATGTCCCCAGGCATGTTACGTAACATTTCTTGACTTTAATTTCTCTTCCCACATCACACATGGAAATAATAATATCTACCTCTTGAAGTTACTGTATGTAAACCATTAAGCAGAATGCATGACACATAATAAGCACTCAGTAAATTCCATTTATTAATAAAAACGCTAAATATGATTATATAAAAGTACTATATAATTACTACGATACATACTTAATACTGATTTAAAATAATATAATCATATATTATTACCAGTATAAATTATAGAAATTTTCATGATGCCACAAAGTTAGATTTATTGTATTAAAGTGAAAATGAAATAATTATTTTATTTTTCACATTAAATTTTCAAGTAATAATAATTTCATAGTCTAGATTTATGTTTCAGGTTATTTATTATTTGTCAGGAACTCTGAAGCATCTCACAGTAAGGCACAAAATATAATTATATTCTTTACCTAGTTATTAAAAATGGGGCCACTAAGACCCAGATAGTGTTAAACTCAGACCATCAGATCCTATGTTGATGGTGTGTGCTGATGCTCAAATGGCCAGCTCTGAAGGAAGAAAGAAACTCTATCAATTGAATTTGGTTGACTTGGCTTGGCTTTGGGTGCTTCTCATATCTGTATTTACTGTCTTATTCTAGTTTTATTGATTACCTACTATGTATAAGGCACTGTAAAACACAAAAATTATGCAAAACATTTTATATTTCCTCAAATTGCCATTGTTTGGTACAGAATTAAGGAATGCATTCAATGATTACAATATATGTGAGTATCATATGAAAGGAGACAAAAGATCACTTCTAAGTGGAGTTAAAAAGGAAAAACTACAAAGAAATCATACTTAAAATGAAGCTATAATGCATAGACTCATTTTTAATTGATGGAGATCCAGAAGCAGAGTATTTTAGGAATAGATAAAAGTACAGGCTTGGAGAATAACAGGGCCTATTTCGAGGCTCAATCAAGTTTGCTGGGGCATAGGTTCTTTGAAGACAATAGTATAAGATGAGACAAGGAATGTACAGAAAGCCAATACTGGAGACTTCTATGTAGTATTCCATGACTAACTTCTTCACCATTTATCTCAAGTGCCTAAGTAGTAAATAGTAAATACTTTAAAAAATCTGATAAATGAATGAATTAGTGAATTAATTAAAGTTTAAACTTTAACCAATAAAAAATTGGTAGTCATGAGATTTGGCTCAGAAGTGAACATTAGAATGAATAACCAGACAGTGGCATATTATGAAGAATTAAAGAGATTAGAAATTAGAGGAGGAGAGGCTAAAAAGAAAACACTTTCTACAAATAAGGAAAAGGGAGGTGAGCACCAAGAACTGTGAAGGAACTGAGATTTATACTGCTTTCAAGCTTACATATTAGGCTATTGTAGTCTCATGAACATTGGGAGAAGACATGAGATCCCTGGATCAGAGACAAATAACTTCATTACTCACAGTTATAAAGGCAACCAGAGTATCAGCACCCACGTTGTTTTCCCAAGTCCCAATTACCACAGAGACAGGTGCATACTTAGTGGACTGAGGAACAGGGGCGGAACCCTGAGCTTGCAGAATTAGAATCTTTTGTAACAGGTCAAAGCTAGGTTAAAAAGGTAAGGTAGCCTAAACGTTGCTGCAGAGTAAGACATTGATTTTATTTTACTGTACTGTAAGCAAACATGTCCTTTACTCTACAGGAAGACACTATCTCTTTTGTAAAAGGCTGTTAGCTATACAAACGTCTTCAAAAAAGCCCGAAACAAAGGAAACTTAGATGATATATAGAAACATTATCAATAGAGAATTGTCTCCCAATAGAGATGGCCTGACTTAGGAGGTGGTAGTGAAAATTCCTCTCAAATAATCACTGTATTCATGGCAGGTTTCTGTGGTTTAATTTAGTCTGAAGATCAATTTTTTAACTAGAACAGGATTTTTTTGTTATATTACATCTTCTCAACACAAACAGAAAGAATAATTACTTTATTGCATCTACACCAAAGCTCATCATAACTTAGGAAGGAAATGTTGACTTCCTACAAGAATGAACTGTAAGTCAGAATGTAACACTTCTGGACTTTTCTCAAGGATGGGAGTTAAATTCATAGAATTCAGTAAGTTAAATTAATAGAGCTTAAAACCTTTCTAGAGAGAGTTTCTAGTATCCTGACAAAATCTGTTTTTTATATATATTATATATAATGCATATAATGTATTATATGTATTATAATACATTATAATACATACTCTTTAAAAATTAGGCATATCATATCTAAAAATAAGTTTGTACTTAAAATGATAATAAATTTGACCATCTTACAACCATCACAGGTTGATTCTTCCTTATTTTTAAGTGATTTTACTTTTACATATTTCTTAAGATTTGTTATAAACATATAGAATTCATGTTTTAAAGTTTTTTCACATGCAATTTTTGAGTTTCTCAATTAGAAATATTACTATTGCATAGCCCTAAGGATTCTCATTAGTGGAAATGTAATCCCTTGCTGCTTAACAAAGCCTTGGAGACACCTTTCTACAAAAAAATAATAAGGTCACATTCAGCATACTGATTCATCATTACTTTAAGGAATATATTCTTTATATATATTATACAGTGGAGACAGACAAACTGACAGATGATAGATTCTTGCTGCAACAGCATGAAAGGCAAATTTACATGTCATTATTATTAATAAATGCTTATTACATGTCAACTGTGTAAAACTGTACAAACACGATTGCCAAGCATCCTTCTCAGCCATGTGGTTTTGGATCCTGCCACAGCAATTTTTAGCCTCAGAGTTTCCGATTGACTTGGGCAGGCCATGTGCATCAAAGTCCTCTAGGTATCTGCATGAAAATATGTTCTCATTACTTCTTCTTAGCACTGTAACCTAGTGACAGTTCTTTTAGTCATGGGCCAGAGAAAGCAAGCCAAAAAAACCTGTCATCTTCTAAATTCACAGCATGAAGCTATAACATTTCTTTAAGCCTTCTTCTTTTATTTCTGTATCCTACTGCCAGTCTGACTGTCAAAGTCACAGCGTGAGATAAAAATGAAAAGAACCATCAAAGAAACCCATCTGCAGAATTTCCCTACAGGAGTTTCAGCAAGAGGGGCCAAAATATGAAAGTGGCTACTCTGACATTTGCCCTCCAGCAAAACATTAATGAAAGGAAGAAACAAACGTATGCTTGCCCACCCCTCAAATGTGTTCCCTGATATAAGGAAATGGAATGTTTCATTTTTGTAATAGATAAAAAGATCAATTGCTAGAACATATTTTGCTGTGAGGGGTTTTTAAATATAAAAATTGAAAATGGTCCATAATATCCAGACAGACAAAAGTGAGTTTAAATTTCTATTGATTTCAAGGTCAGAGTTCTATGCAACATTTTTGGCAAAATCATTTTAGATATAATTTTTTAAAATTTTAATATAAAATAGAGAATTAACACAGTAGTGTGATCATAAAAGCATTCGCATCATCTCAAATCAAAACCAATATTATAGCAAGTAGCATATATTAAAAGGAAATGTGCATTTTTAAACAATTATTCTAACTTTCCCTCAAATTTTTGAAAAAGATATGCATTTTTTTCAAGACAAGGTCTCACTCTGATTGCCCAGGCTGGAATACAGTGGCATAATTGTAGCTGCAGCCTTGAATTCCCGGGCTTAATGATCCTCCCTCTTCAGCCTCCTGAGAGGCTAGGACTACAGGGGCATGCCACCACATCCAACCAATTTTTAATTTTTATTTTGTAGAAATGGAGTCTTGCTGTGTTGTCCAGGCTGGTCTTGAACTCCTGGCCTCAAGCAATCTTTCTGCCTCAGCCTCCCAACGTGCTGGGATTACATGCATAAGCCATGTGACCAACCTAAGATGTGCATTTTAAAGATATGAAGTACACTTTCATTACAAGTGTCTCTGGGTGCATATGGTTTAAAAAACCTGTATATTATGCTGTGTTAACAATAAAATTTTTGTTAAGTCATAAATGCATTTTTATAAATAAACTTTAGATTTGAATAATTTTAGATATACAAAAAATATGCAAAGATTAGAGTTCTTATATACCCCTCACCTAGTTTCCCATATTGTTAACATTGTACATTATCATATTACATTTGTCAAAACTAAAAAATGGATATTATCGCATTACCATTATCTAAATTTTAAACTTTATTTGCATTTCACCGGTTTTCCAGTTTCTTTTCTAGTACTGAATCCAGAATACCACAATGCTTTAGTTGTTATCACCCCGAGTCTGTGACAGTTACTGTCTTTCCTTGATTTTTATGACCTTGACAGTCTTAGGGTGTACTGACCAGATATGCTGCAGAACATCTCCCAGTCTGGGTTTGCACAATTTGCTTTTTAATACTACCAATTTAATGAATGTTTTTATAGTTTTTCCTATGTATAATTGTTGCACCACTAATCACTCAATTAAATAAATAAACATTATATTTATTTACTAAAAGGAGGACATTGTACTTCCAGAAAGACTTAATACAATTTTCTCCACTAGTTAAACACCTTTATAACAAGAAAAGTAATCAAGATGAGATTCATTTATTAAATCAGTAAGTAGTGCCACTTTGTGACTGGCATTGTGCTTTGCAGAAAAAAAAAATGTGGTTCCTTTCCTCTCAGGAGGACATAGTTAAGAAAGGAAAAAAGTCAAGTAAACATAAAATTATCATACAGAGCACAGTGAACTGCATGGGGGGTTAATGTCTGAGACATGTCTTGACCATAAGGCCTCCAAAGGCCGACATTCATGACTATACAAAATTAGATGTGCCCAAATGAATCTCGTTATTTTTATAAATATTAGCTGCATTTCATTCTATCAGAAAGCTGTGTAAAATATATCTGCTCAGGCAGAAGAGGTAATATCCAAGATAAATTCTGTAGAAAGAGTTATGTTTCACTGGGGGAGAGGTGGGCAAAGGAAAATTTAGGTAAAGGAGGAAAATGCTATATAGTGTGGTTTGAGCATATGATGCCAGCGTGCTTTGCCAACATCTTTTCAATTTTTGAGTTGAGGATGGGAAGTTAAAAGAGGATTATTTTCCCTACTGATTTCAAGGAAGAGCATGACAAATAAGATTTGCATTTTAAAATTTATTTTTTTAATTAAAAGAGCAATTTACATCACTCCACACATTGTAATTATTTTTCTTTTCATTTCTTTTTAAACATCTTTGCATTTTAGAGAGTATTCTGGCAGTAGTGCAGAGAATGAACTGGAGGTAAAAGGAATTAGAAGTGGGAAACAATTAGAAAGCTGTTAGTATAATCAAGACAAAATAACAAGATTATCAACTAAAGATAAAGAAGAGTTTTCAAAGAAAGGTAGAATCTAAAGGACATGCATAAAATTGAACATGAAAAATTTTTTAAAAAGAAGAGGAGGCATCATTTTAAAATTTCTGCTTAGTTGATAAGGTAGCTATTGGTGTGAGTTACCTAATATAGAGAGTACAAGAGTCATGGATTAAGAAGGTTGGAAGCTGTGAAAATCTTTCAGTTTTGAAGAGTTTGGGTTGAGATGCCTGAGTCTGAGGAAATAATGTAGAGATGCCCAATAGTCTTATGATTATTGGAAACAAGAGTTAAGGAGAGAGATGCTAGGGATATGGTTTGGGAGACATTATCATACAGAGAGTATTGGAAATAATAGAACTAAGTGATATTCTCCAGCAGCAAAGAGAATGAGAGGCTGTTTTTGGAACTCTCAGAAACATTCACATTTAATTAATGAGTGCAGGTAAACTACAGAGAAAACTACACTAAGAAAGAATGTCAAGGAAGGATAGAATAAAATCAAGAAAACTTTGTCATGGAAACTAGGATGCAGGCTTCAATATTCAAGGACAGAGGTTATAAAATGAGAGAAAGACCAACACTACTAAAGCTACAGAGAAGTCAGTTAAAATTAGTACTTTATTCTAAAATAATTTTTCATAGGATGGCAATATTGTATAATTTAAAAGGAGCAATCAAATAATATGGTAGTCATTTAGTTTCAAATAAAAATATGGCAGTGTGTATGTCATTTGGGGGTAAATTTGCTAATACATGAGAATGGACCAATTTAAAAATATTAAGAATACTCTATGAAAAAATTCATAGGTAAATATGAATACTAGATACTTTGGCGACAAGAATTTTATAACCAATACATTCTTGAAGTTGGAAAGTGCTCAACTCATTATATGATGCATTTTGCTATCTCTTAAGCTACACGTTGCACCCAAAACACTTTGTAAAAATACAAAATAATTTTTCTCTATTTATTTTAGCTAGTAAAAAAACTTCATATTTAAAAATAAATCCTTCAATAAATGTGGTATGACACAAAATAAAAAACCTATGCAGTAGAATTTCAAGACTCATTGAGAATTGTCAAATTCTTTCAATGACAAATGATTTAAAACATTTTCCCGTTGTAAAAATAAGAAGTAGTAAAATAAACATGAAATAGGATGTTAGCACAATGCATTAAAATGTTTTTTTTTTTAACTGTTGTCATTTCCTAAAGGTAAATAAGGTATTTTAAAATTTAAACTAGGAAAATCAAGAGAAATAAAAATTTTTTAAAAAATGTGAGGAAAAGAAGAAACTAAAAAGTTTAAAGATACATTTTGGATATTAAAAATATTCCTGATTTAAAGGAAGAAAAATACAGCCCATTTGGGTCAAGCAGAAAATCAAATCTGAAAGTATAGAATATATACAAAATATTGACCATAATATAAAGTATGATAAACAGATGTAGAAAAATTAGAGTAAGTTCTCTTGTGTTAAAACTTTAGAAAGAGTTATATTTCATTGTACATCTGTCAATATAGTTTTATTTGACATGTATTATTAATATACATAGTAAAATAAAATTTAAGGAAAAAATTACCTTAATATGAAGTTAAAGGGATTTTTTTTACTCTATATTAAATATACAGTTCTATATATACACAGACACGGATATGCAAAGAGTTTAAATACTTATATTCTATACCATTTTTCTGAAGAGCTCAAGAAGCTTTGAGGAGATGTAGTCCATAAAATAGGAGCGCATTGATAGAAAATAATTACTAAATGGGATTTCACATAAGAAAAAGGCAGAAGAAATTCAAGAATAAGCAAAAGGAAGTCTCAGGACAAAAACTGTGCAGCAGACATTAAGAAAGAAACAAAACCAAAGACAAGATGAGAACCACAGAAGAAAAATGTACAGAGGAGAAAAGAAAGATACAAATCATATGAGACATTTAGCTGTATGAAAAAATTTATTAAAATATAGAGTATAAGATATATTAGAAAAGTTACTCTTATATTTTAAAGAAAATTAAGCACACTAAGAAAGACGTAATGAAGATTATTAATTTTAAGATAAAATCACTGTAGAAGAAAAAACATTTTTATTTCAATGTACATTTTATTTCCCAGCAGTGAACAATATTTACAGTGGTGTAGCAACAGAAATATTGAATAGGAGCATGGAAGTTAGCTAAATATATTAATCTACCAATATATGTAATGTCTAAAATTAAGATTGCAGTGTATGAATTTTATTTAGATATGAACAGATGAAAAAAAAAAAGCTAAAAAAGAGAAACTAATTGCCTCTGAGGAATATGGTAAAAAATGAGCTGGGGTGCATAGGAATTTCTTTCTTTTTGTTATAAGCCCTATTGATCCATATAATTGTAAAGTTGTAAATATAAATAAATTTTAAATGTGTAAATTATATTAACAGAAAATATAGAGATAAACAATTCCAAAAGGAAAAGATACTCAAACTTCTTTTTGATGAAGGAAATTTAAATTAAAGCAATAATTAGTATACCTATACTAACCCTGCTGACAAAAATGGAAAGTTCTGTGAAAGTTGTCAAAATCAAAATAGAGTCACTTATGTTAAAGATCCTCACAAACAGAGCCAGGGAAGGCCATGAAATTAAGGGAGGGTTGTTATACACAAATGCTTGATAAAAATAACTATCACGGAGACTGCAAAAACCACAACCTTGCACAAAGGTCATTATAACCTTACACAAAATATACATCTGCCAGGACGTCTGTCTAGCAACTCCCTAGACAGTTGAGAATTATCTCAAAACAATTATGTAATCCTCATTTTTCCTTTAAAAACCTTTGTTTTATTTTACCTCCCTGAATACACACATAGCTTACAATGGTACTCATATTCTCACTGCAATGCCTATTCCTCCTAAAAGACCATTATCTCTTAAAAAAGGAGTCTCCCCCTCTGTTTGTTATTGGGTTGACAGTTCTACAAAACTTATTGGTGATGGGATACAAGAAAACTCTGGAATCATACAACATGAAGGAAGCCATTGACCCTGGGGAATAACAATAATACTATATATTGCTTCTTGATTATACCAGTTTTTGGTGAACTTATGGAAACAATTACTTTACTATCTCATGTTTAGCAAGATTGAGGTAGTTGTATAAGCATTCATAACACCCTCTCCAGATGATATATTAGATTCTGACCAACATTTGGAAAACGACAGAAGGAAAACCTCCTACTTTTGCTGGATCAACATAAGAGAATACAGATATGGTACAATCTATAACCAACTTTAGGCAGTATCTAAAAATTGACTTTGTAAATACGGCATTTCATGTTTTTAAGGAAGTTATCACATGGTTTCTAACAATTGTGAGAACATAATGCATATAGTTTTCTGTTATTATTATTTTTATAGATTCAGGGGGTGTAGGCACAGGCTTGTTACATGAATATATCCCATAATGGTGAAGTTTGGGGTTCTAGGTGCCCATCACTCAAACAGTGAACATTGTAGAGATCTTTGACTTCCTTTGTTAAATATATTCCTAGGTATTTGGTGTGTGTGTGTGTGTCTATTGTTAATGAGATTGTGTTATTGATTTGGTTCTCAGCTTGAAAATTATTGATGTATGGAAATCTTACTAATTTTTGTATATTGATACTGAAGTCATTTTTCATGTAATTGATGAGCATAGAAAGTTGGACTTCCTCTTTTCCAATTTGGCTGCCTTTTCTTACTTTCTCTTGCCTAACTTCTCTGGCTAGGAATCCAGTACTATGTTGAATAGGAGTGGTGACAGTGGGCATCCTTGTCTTCTTCCGGTTCTCAGAGGAAATTATTTCAGCTTTTCTCAATTCAGTATGATGTTCTCTGTGAGTTCATCATAGATGGCTTTTATTACTTTGAAGGCTATTCCTTCAATGTCTACTTTGTTGAGGGTTTTTATTGTAAAGAGATTTTGAATTTTATTGAATGCTTTTTCTGTGTCTATTGAGATAGATAGTCTGGTAAGATTGGGCTGTGAATCCATTTGGTCTGGGGCTTTTCTTTTGTTGGAAGATGTTTTATTACTGACTCAATTTCATTACTTATTATTGGTTTGTTCAGGATTTCTATTTCTTCATGGTTCAACCTTGGGAAGTTGTATGTTTCCAGAAATTTACCTGTTTCCTCTAGGTTTTCTAGTTTACACACAAAGACATACTAGTAGTAGTCTCTGATGATGTTTTGTATTTCTGTGTAATGTCACTTTTATCATTTGTGATTGTGCTTATTTAAATCTCTCTTATTTTCTTGGTTAATTGAGCTAGCAGTCTATCAATTTTGCTTATGGTTTCCTAAGAGCCAACCTTTTATTTCATTAACCCAAAAGCACAGCTTGCTGCCAGTGCTCATTAAATTTTACATAAACACACTCTTTGAGCCTGAAGCAAATCTTACAGATTTTTAATGTGAAAATAAAATATAAAAACTGTTCTTGTTGTTATTTCTAAGCAGAACTAACATCAGAATCATCTGAATTATCAGAATTGTCTATTTTGGAAAAATTGTATTCAACAAATGAATCTTTGATCAACAACTGTTCAAGAATGATGTTAACATCACGGAAAGGAATGCTGTTTTCTAGGATTTGACTTTTTAGCCATCAAGACTTACTATCGTTTGTAAATGGAAATACCACCACTAAAAACAGAACACTATAAATAGAATGATGTCTTGTTTCCAAAGTCAATATATTAGAGTGATGCAAAAATAATATACTTGAGATATTTCATGGCAAAGTTATCTTGGGGCAAACACTGCAGCTGCAAGCACCACCAGCAAGTATTCTGGGGCAAATCAGAAAAGGGTTAATCCTTTGTATCTTTTTCTTGTTTTTTGTCTCAATCTCATTTATTTGTGCTCTGATCTTTGTTATTTCTGTTCTTCTGCTAGTGTCGGGTTTGATTTGTTCTTGTTTTTCTAGTTCCTTGAGTTACGATATTAGGTTGTTAATTTCAGTTCTCTGTATTTTTTTTGATGTAGGCATTTTACACTATAAACCTTCCTCTTAGCTCTGCTTTTGCCATTTCCCAGAGGTTTTGATATGTTGTATCTCTATTTTCCTTCAAGTTTTTGATTTGTTATTTAATTTCATCATTTACCAAAAAGTCATTCAGAAGCAATCTGCTTAGTTTCCATGTTTTTGTGTAGTTTTGAGTGTTCTCCTCGTGCACTGACGTCTAATTTTATTCCACCATGGTCTGAGATCTTAAGATACTTGATATTATTTTTATTTTTTTGATTTTATTGAGGCTTGCTTTATGACTAAGCATATGGTCAATTTTGGAGAATCTTCCATGCACAGGTGAGAAAAACGTATATTCTGCGGCTGATAGGTAGAACATTCTATAAATGTCTATTAAATCCACTTAGCCTACAGTCCAGTTTAAGTCCAGAGGCCCTTTGTTGATTTTCTGCTTTGAGGATCTCTCCAGTGCTGTCAGTGGGGTGTTAAAATCCCCCACTATGATTGTATGGCTACATATCCCTTTCCTTTAGTACTTGTTTTATAAATCTGTGTGCTCCAGTGTTGGGTACATATATACTTAGGATAGATATATCTTCTTGTTGAATTGAACCCTTTGTCATTATTTAATAACCATCATTCTCTTTGTCTTTTCTTTTTTACTGTTGTTGATTTAATGTCTGTTTGATCTGATATATGTATAGCTACTCCTGGTCATCATTGTTTTTTGCTTGCATGGTATGTCTTTCTCCATCCCTTTACTTTGAATTTGTGGGTGTCCTTACTTGTTAGGTAGATCTCCTGTAGGCAGCAAATGATTGGATCTTATGTTTTTAATCCTATTTGCCAGTCTATATGTTTTAAGTGGGGCACCTTGGCCATTTATTTTCAAGGTTAATATTGATATGTGAGGTTTTGTACCTATCATAATGTTGTTACCTAGTTGCTTTGTAGTCTCATTTGTGTAACTGCTTTATAGGATGTGAGCTTTGTACTTATGTGTGCTTTATCATGACCAGTATTGTCTTTTTGTTTCTAGGTTTAGAATTCCTTTGAGCTCTTCTTGTAGTGCCAGTCTAGTAGTGACAAATTCCCTTAGCATTTGCTTGTCTGGGAAATACTTTATTTCTCTTCCATTTATGAAGCTCATTTTGGCAAAATATAAAACTCTGGGCTGGCATTTTTTGTCTTTAAGAAACCTGAACATAGGCCTCGATCTCTGGCTTAAAAGGTTTCTCCTGAGACGTCTGCTGTTAATCTGATGGGATATCTATTATAGGTGATTTGATGCTTCTCTCTGTTTTTAAAATTTTTCCTCTCATGTTCACTTTGGATAGTCTGATAACCGTATGCCTTGGTGATGTTCATCTTATAAAGTATCTTCCATATGCTCTCTGGGCTTTCTGTATCTGGATTTCTACATCTCTGGCAAGACCAGGGAAATTATCCTGAATTTTCCCTCAAATACTTTTCCAAACCTTTTACTTTTATTTCTTATTATTCATAGGTTTAGTTGCTTTACATAATCTCATATTTCTTGAAGGTCATGTTTATTTTTTTTAAATATATTTTTTTCTAATTTTTATCTGACTAGGTTAATTCAAAAGATTTGCCTTCCAGTTCTGAAAACCTCTTTTGTCTTTTACAGTTTATTATTAGAGCTTTCAATTAAAGTAATTTGAAGTTCCCTCAGTGAATTTTTCATTTCCAGACACTCTCTTTTTTTTAACAGCTATCTCATCTTTCATATCCTAAATCATTTTTTCTTATTTCTTTGTATTGGTTTTCCACATTTGTGGAAATTTTTCTTATTTCTTTGTGTTGGTTTTCTTGGATCTCATTGAGCTTCCTTACAATTCATATTTGGAATTCGTTGTCATTTTAGAATTGTACTTTGGTTAGGATCCACTGCTACAGACCTAATGTGATCCTTTGGGGGTGTCGCAACACTGATTTTTCTAAGTGTCAGAGTTCTTATATTGTTTTCTTCTCATCTGGAGAAGCTGCCACTTTTACTTTTGAATTTTCTTTTGTTTGGGAGGGATTTGTTTCCCCCCGAGGGTGGGAGTGTTGCACATGTTGGGTAGGGTCCTTTGGCTTTGCCTCTTTGTGCTGTTAGTGGGCCAAGTCTCTGTATGAATTCCTTGGTTATACATATCCTTAGTATAGTGGCTTTCTCAAATGCTGGTTATTTGTAGGTTTTAGTACTTGTGTACTGTGAGTGTGTGCAGGCTCATTTTCTGCTAAAGAGATGGGGAGGTGAAGGTCTTGGGAGGCTTTTCTTGTTCCCTGCACTTCTGTCAGCAGGAATTATATTGGGTTGTGCAGTTCACTCTACAAGCCCATAGGTGGTACTTGTGAGTAAGAGTGGCTTAGTGCTATACAATGGTGTCAGAAGTTGTAATGGTATGTGCAGGCTGGCTTCCCCACCAGTAGGTGGTGCTTGTAGGAGAGAGGCAGCTGTGTTGGTGGCAGTGAAATTTTTACTTGCCCTTTGTTAATCAAGAGAATTTCTGGGGTGTCCCTGGTAATGGGCAGGGCCCTGGTGCTCTCTGAGGTCCATGTCCAATGTTCCACCAAGGTGCCTGAAGGTGACAAAGCTGAGTGGGCTGGGTCAGACAAGCCTGTGACCTGGTGAATGCAAATGCTGATTACAATGGGGTTAGGGACAACAGCCAGGCCACTTGGGCAACCCTCCAGGGAGGGGCAGAGGCAACTGTCTTGCACCAAGAGTCCACTCAGAGAAGAGCACTGACCCAGAGTTTTCAGCATATCAGGTGGCACTGGGACACACCTAGGTTTCACACCCCAAATCCAGAGGGTCTCCACTGGCAGTAGCCAGAATAATTAGGCTAGTTCCCAAGCAGTCCACCTTTTGATCCCTGAGCTGTTCCAGGCTGCAAGAATCCCTGTCTGTGATAGATAGCATGACTATCAGGCCACACCCTTCTCAGTCCATTCTCGTGAATGGAGGGGCACTCAGCCCCCATGCCACAACAGGGACCCACACCATGATCTTTTCTGTATTTGGACAGTGGAGGGTCCTCCTTGGTTTGAGATTAGATTACAAATCTGATCTCCATGCCCCTGGACTGGGGCCAGGCCCACAGACTTGTTCTCTGGCTTGGTGGACTTAAGCTTTGGCTGTGATAGGGAGGGGTGAATTACTCCTAGGCCACCACTAAAACATGCAGATGAAGCAATGGTTGCTATGCTGTGGGTCCCCCACTGCAGGAATGACCAGGCAGGCAGTCTTGGGAGGGATAGGCAGGCATGGGTTATGTGGTTCTAATGCATTTGGTTCTACAACTATGGGAGTAGAAGCTGTCTTTGAGGTGCATGAGAGTGTTGGACCCCTGCTCACTCCTCAGCCTGGCAGATACAGCAGCAGCAGCTTAGGGCAGGATGCAGAGCCTTGGGGGATGGGCTCCCAGAACTGTGCTTTGCTGCAGTTGCTCAGCGGGGTCCGTGTGAGTTCAAGCAGTGGCTCTGCATGGTCACCAGCAGCTTCCTCAGACAGTCTAGAAGTCTAGGGTGGTCACAAAACTCTTCTGTAGTTAGAACAGAAGTCTGCAGCTAGAATATGAAGTCCTGGGGTTCCTTCACTCACCTACTCCTTGGCTTTGGGTCCAGAGAATGGTCCTGGTGTCCAAGCAGGAAGCTCTGCTTCCTCCCTTTTCATCCCTGGTGCCTCCTGTCATCTCTCTGCTAAATTTCAGTGTTATATCTTGGAAGACCTATTTGATTGTGTAGATTTATGTGATATTTTGGTTCCTTTCTGTGGAAGAGGGACGTCATAGCTGCATCTAGTCAGTCATCTTGAACCCCTTCTCTCACATTTTTTTCTACATTTTTAAAAATTACATTTATTTATTTTTATTTTTATTATACTTTAAGTACTAGGGTACATGTGCACAACGTGCAGGTTTGTTACATATGTATATATGTGCCACGTTTAAATTATTAATGAAGACACAGATAAAGGACTGCAAGTTGGTAAAACCAATGTCTAGACCTACTCTATTCACATTTGGCAAATGCTGTAATTTTTTTTCAAAACAATAAATAGCAATATAGTTTTATAAAGATTTTGCTAACTTAATTTCTTTGTATTAAAGGCATCAATAAATTACTTGATGGTCTAAAGAAAATAATATTGAGTACTTGTCATATTCCTTTTATGAGGCCCTGTTATGAGCATTAGCATGTACTACCTCACTTAATCCTCAAAACAGCTTCAGTTTTGTAGGCTCAATTATGATATCCATTTTACAGGTCTGTTAACTGAGATAAAGGCAGAGTAATTTGTTCAAGTTCAAAGCTCAAATCTAGACTTGAATCCAAGCAGTTTGACTCTAGCATATACTCCTGGCAAGTAAAATCAAAATCTATGGAACATGTGGTAAGCAATCTGGGGCAGGAGGAGTACAAGAATTGGCAGACTCTAAGGTCCAAACAAGGAGAATAAGATGCAGGAACTCTGTAAACACATACCATAGGCAGTGAGGATTGCATTTCAAATTGCAGCCATCCAAATAATTTGTAAAATGACAAGTCTTTGCTACCTGTCCCCCCACTGAATTTATAAATGTGATTTGTATGTTATCAGATATAACATTTAATTACTTTTACATACTAATATTTCTGTTTTTTAATTTTTTTAAATATTAAAGGATCTTATAATCTGGATGTGATTCTTTTCAGGTGATGTAGAAATTCTTTTGATGGTAGGTTATTATATACAATCATGAGTGAGATTGAGATTTGCATATTTTTATGTTATTTTCTTTTAGGGTGTCCTTCTTTCCAATATGATAGACCATCTTCCTGAAGAACACTATCATGAATTTTGTTAGTGAAGAAATATTGGTGTTAAAATTTATATTTTTATATGAAGGTATCTTTATTTAACCATCACACTTTAAAGATCGTTTTGCTGGATAATTAATACTAGATTGATGGTTATTTTCTCTTAGCACTTTAAAGACACTATTCTATGCATGTATGACTTGCATTCAAACTTTATGAAGTTTTCTGTCGACAGTAATCATGGCTCACTGTAGCCTCCATCTCCTAGGCTCAACCATTCCTCCCACCTCAACCTCTTGAGTTGCTGGGATTACAGGTACATGCCACCATACTTGAGTACTATTTTTTTTATCTTTAATTGTTTTTCTAGAGACGGGGTCTCACTGTGTTGCCTAGGCTGCTCTCCAACTCCTGGGCTTAAGCAATCCTCCTACCTTGGTCTCCCAAAGTGCTGGGATTACAGGTGTGAGCCACCATGCCTAGCCCCATTTCACTTCTTTATTCAGCCTTTTCTAATACACTGTTTAACATAGCAGTTGAGTTTTATCTTTTTATTTTTAAAAGGATTTTACTGTCTTATTGTGATAGTCTCTACCATGCTTTTTAAAATTACATCTCTCATTTAGTTCTTCAGATATTTTATATAATATCTAAGGTATTAGCACCTCTAGATTTGCTGATTTTTGCTTTTGCTGACTCATAATAGGTTAGCTCCATTAATTATTGTTACTTGTAGTTTAGGAGCTCATCTTTCATTGCATGTCATCTGTGGGAGTCCTAAAGGCATAACTGGGGATGTTTTCTTAGAAAGAAAATGTACAAATGATTCTCTGTGGAGTACTTCCAAATTGAGATCACTTTAACCTCCTTTGAGGGTTCCTGTTTCAATGTAGAACTTTCAGGTTTAGATCCAATACCTTAGTAGAAGTCCAAGACTCCGTCTATATAATGCAGCATGGATATTGGCTTCAATCTCAGACAACACCATTTTATTCTTACCACTCATAGCTTGCTTGCTGCTGTGGTTTTAACTTGCTGGTGCGTGTGTGTGTGTGTGTGTGTGGCATTTAATCCAGCGTCTAGTTGAGTTTTATCCTGAATTTCCTTCAAAGCGTCTACTTAGTTTACTTACTTACATAGCCAAATCTGTGGGCCTTTTTTGGCTTTTTTTTTTTTTTTAATCTTGCCATTCAAATAAGATGCAAGAACCAGCAGTAGCAGGAACCAGCAGTATGGGCATCACCGGGAAACTTGTTCGCACTGTAGAATTACAGGTTACAGAGGAAATATTGCAAATCAGAATCTGCATTTATTCCTGGGTGACTTGAATACACTTTAAAGTTTGAGAGTCATAGCTCTAATAGACTCTTACAATGTGTATTAAATATTTTAAGAATGTCTGAATAAAAATTGAGGTAGACTTCTTGCAACATATTCTTAGTACTGATTTCTACTTTCAGTACAATTTTTTATTGTGTGTCAACAAAATTTTTTGAAGTGAAAATGGTTTTCCAGTTTTTCAGATGGAGATGGTTCAAAGAAAAACAACAGGAGCTATGTTTAAATACAATCAGTAAGGTTTGGGCTCTAGAATTAGAAAGCTCAACTGGAGCCGAAATTTATGAGCTTGCAGAAATTAAGTGACTTTTCTCAAGTTCACGCAGCTTGTAACTCAAAAGCCAAGTTCTGAATGCTGGTATTCTAACTTTAAAAGTTAGCGTTGTGCCACTGTGTCATATCCTGCTAGTTGTTGGGCATAACTGAAATACGTGTATTTTCAAGTTTTTATGTATCATCTAGGTATCATCTCTCAAGGAAACAAAATATGCCATCTCAATATGCCACTTTGGTATACTGATTATTCTGAGGTGAAAGTACCTGAAAAACAGCAAACGCAGGGAGAGGCTTTCTCTGAATTCCTCTTATCTGCCTAAAGACAGATCCTCTGAAAGGAACTCAATTGTCATTAAATCCCAACCTGGGGAGTTTCATCAACCAGGGAAGATTGACCCTTATCAGAGGACAGAAGATTAGAAGTTGACACCACACCTAGACAAACTTCTTCACAAGTTGTCATATCTCGCATCTATTCTTCTAAGGGCCATAATAATTTGTTCCATGCAATTATTTGAAATTTCTGTTGTCATTCATTTTGGTAGTATTCTACTCATTGATTTTTTTAATCTGTAAATTTGAAAATTAAAAAATCATAATGATGCATTTTTCTTACAATGCACTAGTTTTTTCTCTAATGAGATATAGTTACTGCTTCTTCCATCTTTAATAACAAAGCATAAGCATAATAGTATTATTTAGGGGAATTATTTTAATAATCATGATTTTACTTGGTTAGTTCTTCAAAATCAAATCCAACATGAAGATCTTGAAAGTACTGTCTCATATTTCAGAATCGATGACTCTTGATTTCTCTCAATTGTTCTCAACCCTGATTGCACTCAAGGATCACTTGGGCAGATTTGCACATACACCAGTAGCCAAAACACTTATAAAATCAATTACTTCCAAATCTCTTGAGTGTGGGTCATAGATATCAGTACTTTTTAAAGGCTCCCTGTATGATTCTCACATTTATCTAGAACTAGGAACTACTAATTTGCCTTATTAAAGTTTCAAAAACAATTATACTAAAAATAAATGAAAGAAGCAATCTAAATATATAGCTTCAGAAATAGTATATTGAAAGAGTTGCTATTTTCATATGTTGATATTTTATTAAGTGGGAGAATCTCATTTGGATACTAAATAAAACGCATATGAAATATAAACTTTACATCAAATCTCTTCATTTGTTTTTAACTGACCTCTGACTCTATAGTCATATTTTGCAGCATGTTACATTTATGTAGGCTCTTTTTTTTAAAATTTCATGAAAACAAACAGTGGCAAAAACAATTTCCTTTAGTTCCAATATGTTTACTTTTCTAAAATCACCCTCTGAGCTGCTAATAGAATTTTATATATCATACTCATATCATTAATCTACTATGCAATCAACAGCTTGAATTATGTTGATAAACTTAAAAGGATAAAATTTAGAATTCCCTATTGAGAACAAATTAAACTAATTACTGAAGAAGACACTTTTGACTTCTTTGATCTCCTAGGTGGTATAGGGATTCATATGATATTCTCATCATTTTGTACTGTTAACATATCAATTATTAACACAAATATTTTAATACAAGTTACAAAAGGGAGCACCTTTATGCCATTCCAGAATAGAAAACATCAAGAAGGATATTTCTGATTTCCTGGTCTATATATTCAGATATAGTTTACAAAATACATTGTAACTTTATGTTTGCATGTTAGCATTAGACATAGGGATATTTTATGATAATTTTAACTCTGCCTCTTAGCACTTGAAAGTAAGCTTTTATAGCCTCTAGAGTCATTCTAAATGTTTGTGTCAACTGTACATTTTTCTAATAAATATTTATTGAAAATTCTGATTTTTTTTGTAGGAAAACAGAAGACAAAGCATATGTGAACAAAATACATTTGAAAAATCTGGCTATAAGTCTTTTACATCAACTTACTCTTTCAATTTCAATGGTTTTTAATTGATTTACATATCTTAAAAAACCTTGTTGCTTAAGCTTTGAGCAACTATTTTTGTCAAACATTGACTGCACCAAATATAGATGGCTTAACCCAGTATTTCAGGCCAAACATACATCACTTTCCTACTTTGTCTGCCTATTTCAGTCATATGACTCTGGCTGCTCACTCTCATAGGATGTCATGTGCCTATGATCTACGTCTACTATCTCATCGGAAAATTCTCAACCTTTACCAACTTCTGGAAGCTCTTAAGAACACCAGTTATCCTTTACTTTCCATTCTGTCATTTATGGACTCATTTAAAATTCTTTTTTAAAATTGTATATATGCATACGACATTTTTTAGCACTGTTATGCTGTAACAGGAGAGTAAAACGTTACCTTGAGTGGCTAGAGTTCAATATCCTCAAAGGCAAATACTGTTTTCTCTATTTTATTAATTTATATACAACGAATTTAGTAGCAAGCTTAGCCCTGGGTGAATGCATACTTCGATTAGTTTTTGTAAATTTACTTTGGTTGCCTACATTCTACTTTACTACAGGACAATATTCTTCTACTCAGAGCCACACTTTTTAGGGGATGTGGAATATTCTATAATTGTCCCTTTGTTCAGCTTTGTATTCTCAATTGAGTAAAGTAATTAGATAAATTAATATTTTAGGATTGTAAAATAAAACTGGTAATAGCTTAATGTGTTAAGCCCTGAAAGGTGTGCTGTGATGTTAGAGGACATTTTTTCATAATATCCTTTCAGGCAGGAACACAAGCATCTGGAAAACAGCTAAGAGCAAGAAAACATGTCAATAACTCCTTAAATATCATCACGTAAGGAGCCATCTACTTTACTAACACAGGACTTCTTAATAGAGGAGTAGAGTGAGATATTTAAAAAGACTAAGTTGAATGAATGATTTTACAGTTTTTCACCTCCCGTAAGTTAGGATTCCACCCATATCAAATAATTCAAATATGAAAAGAACTTTAAAAATAACATTTGATATTCAACACTTTAATCAACCCTGAGCGCCTCTCTTGGAAAGTACGGTATGTGTCTACAAGACCTTGAAACAGTCCCTGACACGTTGCAAGTGCTCATTAAATACCTGCTTTATGAATTAATAAATATATGCATTGATTTTAAACTAGATAAGTGCTCTGTAAAGCAAAGGGTCTGAATGCTGTAATTTTACAATACATATGTACATATTTGTTGTTTTTATTATCAAACTAACTTGAGGGCTGGCTTCTTTGAATAGTATAATGATATTCACAGGTTTTTCACACATGGGTAATATTACATCATTCTAGTGCCATATATACAATTTACAAGTTTATACACTTTAAATTTACCTAATCTGTTTTCTTCATCCTTAGTGGAAGACACACTATATTTAGTTTGGTTTTGCTTTTAACATGGCAGGTCATTTAGGTTATGATTGAAACCGTATAAGGTTGTTTGCCTGCTATGGCTGACTTGCTAACATACAACCTGTATAATAACGTATAGACATCCAAACACTTTGATCAAGATCTAAATTTTCTAGCTTATTATTTGTAGCAATAACAGTACAGCAAGATGAAAATGTTTATTACTCTACATGTCTGGACTGAGTGGGAACTTTCTGATCCTCTCTGCTGTGGCCAACTTCCTGGCAGATTGCCTAGATAATACACAAGGCATCTGGGTCATTTTTAGCCATCCACTTGTAAATAAGGTCATGTGTACATAATTATCCTTTCTTGGAAGAATGAAGTAACTCTGTGATAAATATTATGCAAGAAATAAATACAATAAAAATTCACAGATTTTTCCAATACCTCATACTTACTTGTTTATTCTTTTACTAACAAATCTGGCACCAAATAACTCCTATTACAATTGTTTTACATTTGTTACTGCTATAGTTCAATTTAACCATTATTATGACTAAGGAATATTGTAAGTACACCTTGATCTGTTCCTATTTTTTATACAGTACTTTGGGGGATATTGACAAGGGTGTATTAAGTATCTATCTCTCTATCTTCTATCATCTATCCATTTATTTCTATATGAACCCATGCATATATTACTACCATTTATATTTTGAAAATCTCCATACATACCACTGTATACATTCATATAATGTAGACTTCTGTATATTTTACATTATATATCTAAAAATTAAGCAAAGCATGCACTTGTGGAATTAATTTAGATAATTTTCCTTTTCTAAATACGAGTTCTTTTTCTTCTCTGCTATGACAATTTTAATCTGCCACTGTAGTATCAGAGTTTCTACAGATATAAATCAACTGTGCTATTGATTTTTCCTGATGGAATAATGAAAGAATTAACTGCTGAATGATTAAAGATCACTTTGTGTCAATTAAATGGCACAGAAGTGGTTACAATACAATAATTATAATAATTTCTTCACGAACATATCATCCAAAATACAAATTTAGCTCTTCTCACTAGGATATGGTTTGTTTATAATAAGGGTGAATCACGGTAGAATAAGTGAAATACTTTTCACTTTTAACAGATCTAGGAAAGTACCCATAGCCTAGAATAGGCATAGTCTTGTTAGAAGTTTTATGTAATCAAATTATTCAAGTCTACATTCCTTAATATTCCCCTAATGTCAGATGAATTAATATGCATATTGGCAGGAGAATAGCTAAATAACTTGTCTAACTGGAAAGATGTATCAATAGGTTAGGAAACAAATTAGGATGTGTATAAGTGGAAATTTTGTAATTCAGGTTGTAAAGTCTGTTTAAGGAAATGGATATATTTTAACAGGTGCAGAAAAATGACAAAAATAGCATTCAGGACAGTCATAAAATGTGTCAACTAGAAATATTTGTATAATTAAATAGAACATAGATATTAAAAAACAAAATCATTAACATGATCCTATAAAAACTGGATTAAACCTGAATTATGACCAAACCAATTTACAATAAAAGCAAATTGGATTTAACTACCATATGTAGAAGAATTGAGAAATCCAGTTTGACAGATATCCAGTTTGACAGATGGTAACTAGAGAAAAAATGAAGAAAAAGAGAAAAAAACAACCCCGAGATGGTAAGAGAATGTAGGAAGGGTACCCAGAATACTGTAGACATGTGCATAATCCAAGAGAGAAAATATCAAAAGTTGTTATCAGAAATGAGTAATAGTTCCATGTACTGTCACTACCACCACCCGAGAAAAAGAGAAATAATTTTATCAACAAAATGCACTTTGACAGATACTTAATAATATTTATTTTGATCATATGAGAGACCTTGAAGTTCCATTTTAGTTTGTACTGACAAAGACTATTCCTTGACCTAACTCTAGTTAATCTCCTTGAGCTCCACTAGGGCATTTTCTCAAGAACCCAAATGTAGCAAGAATGCTGTATCAGTTTAGCCAGAATGCCCCACCCTCAATATCTGATAGTCTTCAATATCTGACCAAATCCCTCATCTCTCACTATCTCTCAGGTAATGTCTGATCACCCTGACCTGCCTTCTGTGGAAATCCTGATAGGTCAGTTCAGCAAGAATTACTCTACTTGATCAGCAATTTTACATGTACCAACTCCCCAACCCTGCTGCTCCTTGCCTATGAATTCCCTTATTTCTTATTTACAGACTTGAGCCCAGTCTCTCTCTACTACTGCAAAACTCCACTGCAGTATTCCTTCACCTATTACTATAATCCTGAATAAAGTGCCTTACTGTTTTAAGAAGTGTCAGAAAAAATTGTTTTTAACAGTAATGCATATAATTAACACCGAATTTACCACTGTACTTTTTTTTGTTGTTTTTTTTTTTGTTTGTTTTTGTTTTTGTTTTTTGAGACGAAGTCTGTCGCCCAGGCTGGAGAGCAGTGGCACGATCTCGGCTCACTGCAAGCTCTGCCTCCTGGGTTCACACCATTCTCCTGCCTCAGCCTCCTGAGTAGCTGGGACTACAGGCACCCTCCACCACGCCTGGCTAATTTTTTTGTGTGTTCTTGGTAGAGACAGGGTTTCACCGTGTTAGCCAGGATGGTCTCGATCTCCTGATCTCGTGATCTGCCCACCTCCGCCTCCCAAAGTGCTGGGATTACAGGCATGAGCCACTGCACCTGGCCCCACCACTGTACCTTTTTACACAAAGGAAGTGATGTCTGTGTTACTATAGACAGGTGATTCTAATGAGTACGGTGGCTCACTCCTATAATCCCAGCACTTTCAGAGGCCAAGATGGGCAGTTCTAAACCAGCCTGGACGACATGATGAAATCCCATCTCTACAAAAAAATATATAAATAAGCTGGGTGTGGTGGTGCACACCTGTAGTCCCAGCTATTTGGGAGGCTGAGGTGGGAGGATCACTAGAGTCTAGGAGGCAGGGGATGCAGAGAGCTGAGGTTGCACCACTGCACTTCAGCCTGGGTGACAAAGGGAGACCTTGTCTCAAAAAAAAAAAAAAAAAAAGACATAAAAATTCAGGTAGTAGAAGAAAGAAAAGTGTAAAAATACCTAAAAATGGGGTCAGGCACCGGCAGTGGCCTGTAATCCTACCACTTTGGGAGGCCAAGGTGGGCAGATCACTTGAGGCCAGGAGTTTGAGACTAGCCTGGCTAACATACATAGCAAAACCCTGTCTCTACTAAAAATACCAAAATTAGCCAGGCGTGGTGGCTCTGTGCCTGCGGTTCCAGCTACTTAAGAGGTTGACACATGAGAATCGAACCCAGGAGGTAGAGGTTGCAGTGAGCCGAGATCATGCTACTGCACTCCTGCATAGTCATCAGGGCAACAGAGTGAGACACTGTCTCCAAAAAAAATCCCCCAAAATGTACATTTTTCAGTGTCTAGAGTTTAGAATGCTTCTATGCCCCAAAGCTAGATATCAAGTATTATAATCCAACAGCTAGGCCTAAGAGCAGATGAAAAGCTAAAAGTAGATCCAACATTTGACCCAGCAATCCCATTACTGGTACCTACCCAAAGGAAAAGAAGTCACAATGTCAAAAAGACACTGGCATGCATGTTTATAACAACATAATTTACAAGTGCAAACATATGGATTCAGTCTAATTGCCCATCAACTGATGAATAAAGAAAATATGATACATATATACCATAGAATTCTACTCAGCCACAAAAAAGAATAAAATCATGCCTTTTGCAGCAACTTGGGTGGTACTGGAGAGCATTATTTTAAGTGAAGTAACTCAGGAATCAAAAACCAAATACTGCATGCTCTCACTTGTAAGTAGGAGCTGAGCTATGGGTATGCAAAGACATATAGAGTGGTATAATGGACACCGGAGACTCAGAAGTGGGGAGGTTAAGAGGGGGATGAAAGATGACTACTGGGTACAGGGCACACTACTCAGGTGATGGGTGCACTAAAATCTCAGACTTCATGTCTGTACATCTATGTAACTAAAAATCTATGTACTCCTAAAGCTAGTAAAATAAAAAAAAAAACTAAAGAATATTGAATTTCACAGCTTTCATCCAGATCACCATAGAATGGTCCTGATGGGATTCAGGATACACTATGTCCAAATATGACACGCTGGAAGCTAAAGAATTTGAGAAAACAGGAGAAGCAGGAAGTTCATTCTTTTTTTTTTTTTTTTTGAGACAGGGTCTGGCTCTGTCGCCCAGGCTGCAGTGCAGTGGCGCAATCTCGGCTCACCTCTGCCTCTCAGGTTCAAAGGAGTCTCCCTTGTCAGTCTCCTCAGCAGCTGGAACTACAGGCATGCACCACTGCGCCCAGCTAATTTTTGTATTTTTAGTAGAGACGGGGTTTCACCATGTTGGCCGGGCTGGTCTCGGAACTCCTAACCTCAGATGATCTGCCCGCCTTGGCCTCCCAAAGTGATGAGATTACAGGTGTGAGCCACAGTGCCCAGCCGGGAAGTTCATTCTCTTGCCCCAGCCCTTCTCCCATGAAGCAGGTCATAAAACCTAGGACGAATTTCCTAATCATCCCTTGAAGAAGATAAGAGCTTCATTTGAGAGGTGCCCACCCTATACCTGGAGGAAAGGAACATCCTTATCAGTGAAGACACAGAAATACAGAGCAAAGCAGGTCTTGCAAAGTTCCCTCCCAGTTTATTACCATTAGATCATATCCCTTTGTACAATTACATTTCTCCCTGACTGCTGTCCACTCTTAGCAAACCTACCTTAAAAATACACAAGTTTAACTATTACTTGGGTCTTCATTTCCTTAAGAAGGCTTTTGTGTCATGTAAAACTTATTAAATGAATTTGTATGTTTTTCTCTTGTTAATCTGTTTTTTGTTCTAGGGACCTCAGCCATGAATCTAGGATGGGTGAGAAAAAGTTATTTCTCCCTACCCTGCAGTCTTTTTCCTTGTTATTGTGTTCTTCAGTTTTAATTTTTTCTTTCGTTTCTCAATTAGATCTAAGTGTTCTTTTTTTTTTTTTTCACCTTCTCCCTTTGCCTCCTTCCATTGGTCCATCTTCTTTATGCTCTTACTGTAGTGGTTTTTAATAAACTAATATTGACATTTAAACATCTGCAGAACTGAATTAATATGCTAGTTTTAGTTCAAATGGATTTAATTTGGTTCTCCTGTATTATTACTTCAAATCTTTTTTTTTTTTAACACAGGTGAAGGCTCTAAGTTTCCATCATTCCTTAGTGCAGAGTACAAAGGAGAACAAATGTAACATTCATAAGAACCTAGTAGAAGTTTAGTGTAATGGGAATTAATTTGTCATCTTTTGGTGTGGCATATCTAAATTCCTAGGAGAAAACTAGTAGTGACATGTTAATAAATTGTTTCTTACTATGCTTCTTCATGTAATTATTTGGAAGTAGTTTTGTGGAGTTATATTGTCATTTGTGCTAAATGCCAAGAATAAAGCAGTCTTGGATAAATTTTACTTTTTCATCGTGCTTTTTGGATTGAAACTGCTGTTCAGAAAAGTGGGAAAATTACTGTTTTCTTCTGCACTGGGAGAATGCAGGCTGAAGCCTTACACCTGGAGTTAGCTTTCCTGGGCTGTGCTCCAAGCTGCCAGTGCATGTTGTGGATTCTGAGACAAGAGAACTACAATCCCCTGGCCATTAGAATCAGGTGGGGGTAACAACTTGTTAATATGGCCAGTATGTCTAAATCAGTAAGTCCCAAGCCTAGGTCAAGGAAAGAAACTGCAGTAACTTTCCAAATGTTTAAGAGCCCAGCAATACTGTGAAGGCTAAAAAAATGCCTTCTAAAGTAGTAGGAAATCGCATACCTGCATCAAGATAGGCTTTTGTCTTGTAATCACAGACTTGAATACTCGCCTCCTTGCCATTTGATCTTGAATAAGTCTCATTTTGTAATCTATTCACTAAACCAAAGCACAGTGGGATGTGTGCCTCTGATCGAAGTCATTTCTCAGTCTTCTACAAAGACAAACTACATCAATGGTCTTTACTTATGTCCTTATTACAATAAAAAGAATACTCTAAAACAATCTGAAAGCATTTAAAACTAGGTTTGAAATTCAGTGAAAGAGGAGTGTTGTGTGTGTTTAAGACTATCTCCTGGGCTATTTAGTCAGCAACCTGTAATTTAACTGATAATTAAACACGTTTGAGTACTATTGTCTGAAAATATTTATTTTATTTAAATCATTTATTTATCCACATAATAATAAAGAATTTTTAGTCATTTTTCAATTTCTCTTGGAAGAAGGAGAGAATAACCTGGTAACTATATTCTATATTTAGAAAAATTAAGATACCAAAAAATAATCTGCTTTAATTGTTAACAAGCCAGAGACAAATCAAACAGCTCCATGTTTCCTCTCAATAAATATCTGCACTTATTCTTGCATTCAAGGGAAAAAGAAATCCAAAATATGTATAGTGATAACAGATGTGATCTTAAATTTTATAGAAATATTCCTATCTATTCATATGGTAGTAGAATATTTAAATTTCCTATTAGCATAACTGGAAAAAAATAACCTTGTTGAACTGAGTGAGCTGCTTCTATAGAAATATTCTGTACTTAATGCAATATGCCAGAAACAATCAATAGAAGTGTGTTTCAATATATATCCTAAATAAATTCTTTCTTAGCTAAAGGTTAATGCTTGTCCTGAAACAGCTTAAGACATTTAGTTCAAAGAGGAAAATAATGGTCCCTTCTGGTGGCATTTCCTAAATAACACAAAACAAGCAGGGCATTAGTTTCTTCTGTCTTTAAATCTGATAGCCCAAAGGCACATATGTTTGTAAGAGTCCTTTATGATATCCTGCATTTCTCTAAGTAATATTGCTTGACTTTTTCCTATGAGGTGAAATCCTTCCTTTTGTACTTGGGGGTCAAGGTGCTCCCAATTAAAATTTGTGAGGCCTTAAAAAAGTGGGCCAGTCACTGTATTTTAGTAATTATGCTTCCAGCAAGTCAAAAGATAGATCTGGAACTGCTCATGCCCCTTGCTGGCATTTGATACCTAACCTTAAAATTTCTGAGGTCAACAATGACAGGCAGAAGCATCCCCTGTGGGTGTTACTAGGCCTTAGTAACTCTTAGGGTAGAGCACACATTTCTGCATTTGTCTTGCCAAGATGAGTGGGACTGTCTCAGAATGACTGAATTTTGCATTTTTCTATATCTAGAAGCTCTGCTGAGGTTGGGATGGGATAGACACAAGGAAGAGTGGTGGCCTCTCCTCAAAATAACATCCACCAGTGAGTCTGTTTAAGGTAATTTGTGACAAGGTATTTACTAACCTCGCTCTAATCTAAAAGATATTAGAGGAAGTGGTGAAAGCAAGACTAGGAAAAAATTGAGAAAGATAATCCAGGTTAACATCTTTCTTTCTCTTTCTTTCTTTCTTTCTTTCTTTCTTTCTTTTTTTAAACAGAATGCCTCTCTAATCATTCAGGGCAAACTTTTCTGTATGCCTGTGATGGCCAAAATTGATCACAACTCTATATTTAAAAATGCAAAATCCTTAATAAAATACTCAAATATCTTTTAAGATACTGAATTTATTGTCTTTATTCCTCCCTAAGTTTCCTCTCGGTGATGATCAGATTAATACTGAAACGCATCTGGAAAAAGATGTCTTGCTATGGAGTCAACATAGTTGGCATTAAATGTTATTTGGGATTGATTCTAAACTATATGGGGTCAAAAAAGAAACAGACTTCAGCATATACATATAAGGCATTTCACATGAATATAAGTTACCATCCTGTTTCCTTGCTTCCAATTATATTGATTAGAAATGTAGCAATTAATTTTTTATGGGAACTAAATGAGCAGAACATAAATGTTGGTTTATTAACAGGATACAAATGCATTCCATAGAAATAAAGCATTGCTGGTTCTCATGGATTTAGAGCTGGGAACTGGGAAGCTATCAAGGATCAGATAAACTACTCAGGAGATCTCTCTCTCTCTCTCTCTCTGTCTCTCCCTCTCTGTGACAATGTATGCAGCTAAACGTTTAACAACTCTCAGGAACAGGAAGCCCTGATTTGGAGCATAAGTTCTATGGCAGAAGTACATCACTATGGCTGATTTCAAATCACTTGTCCACTTGAAGCCACCCCAGATGCAAAACTTCCTGAAAATTTAGCAATTGGTTTCTGTGAAGTGAAACAAACTGATTTCAGTACGATTGTTTCTCTAATCCACAACGGTCTATTGACCCTTTCTCTCTATGAATTCAAACTATCCTTTTGATTCTCTTTGATGACTATTTTCTCTATTAACTTAACATTTACATGCTTTCATGAAAATGGCTGTTCCAGCTCCACCTCTACATGATTTAACATTTCCAGGACCCACACATGTATTGCCAAAGTTTCTATGCTCCTAATTTCAAATTTCTACGGGAGTAGCTTATTGGCTTAAATTCCCTAAATTTAAGGGAAAGACAGATGTCGATGCCAATAATCCTAGTATTACACAGCCCAAACTGGACTGCTGCTTAAGGCAGAAAAATCCTTACTTGTAGTATGAATATACAATGAACAAAAAAGGCGAGAAACTAGGCTATCGTATACATGAATAATTAACCATGGAAATATATTGTGGCAGCACGTGTATATTTTTAAATACATTACTGAATTTTTAAAGAAAATAATGCTTCAGTGCAACTCAAGTTTAACACGAATAATAGTACCACTACATGTGCTATTATTTTACATTTTTAAACTGACAAAAATATTGTAGATTGTACCTAATTTGTGATTTTCATTTACCTTTGGATAAGTGATGAAATGAAAATCACATATATTAGTATTCTCTTTGATAAACCTAAAAACAGCAAAGGTTATAACTATATATAAATCAGATAAAATAATATTCTGAGAAGAAATCAGCATATGCATAAGGACAAGCTTTGTATACAAAGAGATCTAAACAAAACAGTGTTATTATAAATATTTTTTCAAACACTCCAACATTAAATAACCTCATGACCTCTTTTATTTTTCATAAAACAGCAGGATTTGCCTTATCAACATATCATACATATATTTTATACACATACATGTTTATATTTGATATTTTAATCATATAATTAGGTTATGGATTTTCTATGTTCACTGGCTTGTATATAAAGAATTCTATACAATTAACACTCTTCAGAAGTAACTTATAAGGCTCTTGGTGACAAAAACACATTCTCTATCTGGATGATACAATCTTTTGTAATCTTTCAGCTTTTTATCATTGGTAAGTATTCAGCAATGAAATACGTACAAGCTTGGAATGAATCACTCAAGTTCCCTGATACCAAGAGAACTTTATTGGCCCAGAGATATTTGTAGTGTTTTTTTCTTTCTATTAAAATACATTTTGATTTATATAAGGATTATCTACTCAGTAGAAAAATGGAACATATAAAATCAATAGATTTCCATGCTTACCAAACCAACATGATGTATAACAGGTGATTCTGAGATCCATTAAAACAATCTCATATCTTAAAAATACACGTAATTCAATAGAAAACCGTAGGAATTTTGTGACTGTGTCATTGAGATGATATTGTTAATGTACAGAGACATGCAAAATTCAAGCTGATGTCTTCCTCAAGCACAACGATTGTTGATACCATAGAAGCAACTGAGATTAGCTCAAATGAGAGTGGACCAAACTGAAGTTTCCAATTCTTTGTGTTGTTTTCAAAATATGTAACATGGCTTTGTGTGAATTTTATAGTAATTCTAGATTTTAAACAAAATCTAATATTATCAAATATGGTAATCATTCTACTGTATTTGTTATTGAGGGCACGTATGTAAACAAGTTTAATTTCTGGCATAGTATGTTCTCATTGAATAATTAATGAAGACATATACAATAACATCTATAAGCATCAAGTGGTTATAAATTCCCTGAAAATGTGTAGAAAATAATGTGATGAATATGGGGGACCAGACCAAGACACCTAAGCATCCCATTCAGTTTGAAAAGCAGTGTAGGCTGGTGACTTGGTGTTCCTCAATATATTCTCAATATATCTGTCCAGCATTGTTTTTAGAACTGGAGCAGATCACTTTGCTTTAGGAAAAGTAAAGAAATGGGACACTGGGAGCAATAGTCATCCTTTATCATTTATTCTGGATTACAGTCCTACACTAGCATACTCCTTTCAGTAAAAATTAAATCTTGCAGTTAACTGGATGGAACCTCTTGGGAAAGCAGTTATATAGCCCTACAGTGCTCCATGAGTGTCTGCCTTTGAGCAAGGTCTCCATCACGTGGTAACAATGGCACCCAGCCAAGTGGACAAGTGGTTTTGTAAAAACAGTTTGTATTTGGAATCTGAAGCAGTCCAATATGTTCAACTGGATCCACCAGAAAGTAGGAGTGTACACCAAAGTGACATGTGAGTGAGAGGAAGCCCTAATTTTTGAGTTCACCTCTTCCATCCCAAGAGGCTTTTGAAAATAAAACTTCCACCTACATATAAGATTATCTCTAAGAATTCCTGTAAGACAACCTCTTCTATCTCAACATATTTCTAGCGTCATTTTAGTGCTACTCTTACATTAGCACTTTAGACAACCGCCCAGCTGGTTACTACTTAAATGTGGCTTGGGAATGGGCATTCGTAAATTTTTCTGAAGAAAGGGTACACAGTTTTTGTAACCAGATTCTCTAAAGGATTCCGATCTCAAAATAATTGGAAACTACTTTCTTAAAATAATATGAGTTTGGGTGGTATTGACAGGTTTCATGCTTTAGGAAACAGTGGGAAGAGAGAAATTGGTATATCTTCCATTTGAAGCATTTAATTATATTGAAAAGGATATGGATTTTATTTAATTCTGTTTTCTCTGAATAGCTGTGTGATCTTGGCAGGAACGTAACATTTCTGAATCTGTTTCACCAATAAACATTAAAAAGAAGTATTTGTCATCTAATATTAAATTTTTTTCATATATTAAATGTTTTTTAGAAGCCAGTGTTTATTTTTACTTACACTATAACATTATTTTATTTACACTATAACATTATTTATGTTTATACCTTTTAATATAGCATGAATGCCAAAAAACCTTATTTGGTTGGTTCAAGGGAAAGAAACACACTCATCGTTGTATTCACATATCCCACCAGACCATAGAGTCATGGTATTATGATCTAGAAAATAACATTCTTTTTAACACATTTGAATAATTTTGCTCAGCTTAAGGATAAGCTATGAGACAAACATAAAAGAAATAGGAATTTTTAAAAACATATACATGACAGTAAGCAATACTCTTTTAAAACCCTTTTTTTAACTAAGAAATTTAATTTTTTAAACCTACTCCTCATGTTAGCAGTTGCCTAGAAGAAGTGGTGACTCAGTCCATTATCAACTTGTCTTTCTACATTAGCAGGGAAGTGGTTAACTTTTAAGCTTTTGTACTTCCCTAATCATGCAAATGTGGGTTACTCTAAGTACAATCAATAGCCACACAAAGTTTTATAAACTTTTAAATTAAAAAAAAACTGCACATCAAGTTTTATAAAACTTACCTGTACTAAGTTTCTAAGAAGAATTACTGTTTCTAGAAGAGAAAGAATTTTGTTATGATTTATCTTAAAAATATACAGATGATAAATTTGAAATAGGGTATGTACACATCACCAAGGTACTAATTTTTATGAAATTAAAAAGAAGTGAAGCATCTAAATTCATATTTGATTAATCAGTAGAAAGAATAATTTTTGAGCCAAAGAGATACATTGACCTAGAAGGAACCTGAGCTTCAAATCAGTAAGGAATCATAAGAAGATAACTAACTACTTTAGTTCAAGTTTTCTCACACAAACTATATTCCAGTGTTACAAGGAAAATTTCATGTGATTTTATCAGTGACTTTTGGGAAATTATGAGACAAGGCTGCAACTCCGGAATTCAGCAAATGAGTCTCAGCATTCAAAAGGAGGGCAAAGGTGAATTTTTAAAACTGGGTTTATACTGATCCTGAATGAAATTACATAGTACATATGAATATTTCAGAGCTTCTGCAGAGGAAGAGTACAAAAACAAGCATCCAACAGAGTTTACCATAAACCATTTGACAGATTAAAGTAAACAACTAAAATAATACAAAAACATGAGTAACAATTATATGTTCATTCTTTGCCTGCCTTTTCCGTAAGTTCAGACAACTCCATTTACACGGGCAAAACAAAGCTATTAATACTTCCATTTCTTCATTCATAGTAATCACTCAGAATCCTCCTGCTTTTCTGTCTCATCTTCTCCAATTCCATTTCTTTTTAAGCTACTGATTTGCCCTTTTATTTTAGCCCTCTTCCTGTAAGTGGTACCTGAAGTTTCTGCGGCTTTGATTTTTGAGACTGCATTGAGACTGGTCTGTGCTCAGCTTTTTATTGCTTCTGGTCTTCATGGAGACACTGCCTCCTATCTCACTAGTTGATGGACCTGACCAACCTGCGCCCAGAGGCATAAACAGGTAGAATCATTTTGTCTATTTCATCAAGACATTTGACAGTGTTCCTCATAATAATTTTGTAGGCAACACGCACCTAGAGAAATATCCATTAGATCCTGGTAAAGTAAGATGAATTGGAAGCAGTTGTATGAATGAAGTGTGCAGAGTAATGAGTTAGTGCATAGTTTCTTAGTAGCCTGGCTTGGGTCTGCTCCTGTCCTGCTTTGTTTCAGTGTTTTGTCACTGATTAATTGGAAGTGATAATCAAGTTGGCAAAAGACAAATTTGGGAGCCTGGCTAACACAATGGCTGACTAAATAAATTTCTAAGACATGGCTTAACCAGCTGGGCCCAAAGATATATATGGTATTGATATGAAGGCTAGCATTTCTTGTACAAAAATGACTTAAATTTTTCTTGATAGAGGCTTGTGAGTAAATAGGCCAAAAAACTGCCAGAAAGCTGATGCAATCTTCATATTACTTAGTAGAATCTAGAACATTTGAAGAGATGGTATCGATCTGCTTGTAAACATAGGAAGTCAGAGGAGGAAATGAAAATATGTTAAACTACGAGAGTATTTTACAGAATATTTTAGCCACTTTCTAACTTAATCTTCACAATAGCCTCTATATTTGTTGCTAGTACCATTTACAGATGCAAAAATTGAATATTAGGGAAGTTAAGTAATTTTCCCAAGATCATGGGTACTATAGACTGGAAATAGGACTTTAGCCATATTTGTGTGATTCTTAAATATACAAGTTCTACCCTATACAAATGGATCCTAGTAGGTCCTCAAACTGAAATGAATATGGTGAGGAAACTGGAAACCACTTAGCAAAAAACAGAAAAGGAACTAATGTGTTAAGACTAGGCAAGAGAAGATGTATGTTAGGTAAGATCTTTATATTGAGATATTTCAAAAAAAGAGGGAATTATCAGTCTCCAAAAGTTTAAGTACAGATTGAAGGAACATTTGTCAAACATACTGTACACATTAGACAGCTGATGAGATAGGTAGTTTTTAAGGTGTTTTCCAAATAAAATAAATTCTGATTATAGAATATTTATGAGTGAAAGTCTCCAAAACTGAACCAGAGAGCAAAAGTATGAAAAAAAAAAGACAAATAATATTCAATCACGTGTCCTGGTAACATGCACACAGATTATATAGCATTCTGAATCAGAAGTTGACAGATTCTCTGAAATAAGGTCCAAAGCACCAGGAGACTTTGAAATAATCTTTTGTATATAAAGTTGCTCTGGCTTCAGTAAAAATTAAATCTTAATGAAATATAATCATTTAATGATTTTATTCAAATTAATGAATTTCAACTCTTAGTAAGCTAGTTATTTCAAATAGTATTTGAAGATCAAAAAGAAGTTTACAAAATATAATTCTCTTTTCAGTGGATGATTTTAAAGAGATATTCATTGCACTATTACACTGTGCCAAACACTAAAGGAACTGAATATAGCAAAAAATGATACAGAGTTCTTTGTATATGAACTACCACATATAAGAAATATATTTTGATTTGTTTTTTAAGAATAAAATAATTATGCTGCACCATTCATACTTGGTTTCTTCTTATGACCAAATTCATTTCTAGTGTAAGAAATCTTGTGAGATTTAGATGCACAGTTGCTTGCAAACAAATACAGCTAAGATCACAATCTTGATTCAAAGATAAAGTAATCAAAACAGCATGGTACTAGTATTAAAACAGACATATAGACCAAAGAAACACAACAGCGAGCTCAGAAATAAATCCATTCATTAACAGGTAATCAATCTTTGACAAAGGTGCCAAGAACACACAATGAGGAAAAGACAATCTCTCCAACAAATGGTGCTGGGAAAATTGAAAATTAACATGCAGAAGAATGAAATTAGTCACTTATATCACTCAATATACAAATATCGACTCAAAGCGAAATAAAGATGCAAACATACTGAAACTGTAAAACTACTAGAAGGAAACGGGAAATTTTTTAGGACATTGGTCTACACAAATATTTTATAGCTAAGACCTCAAAAACACAAAAGACAAAAGCAAAAATAGACAAATGGGATTACCTCATACTAATAATCTTACACACTGCAAAGGAAGCAATCAACAGAATAAAGAAAAAACCTAGAGAATGGAGAAAAATTTTGCAAACCATACATCTTATAAGAGGTTGATATCCAAAATATCTAGGAACTTAAACAACTCAATAGTAAGAAAACAAATGACTCAATTAAAAATGGGCCAAAACCTCAGAAGATATTTTTCCCAAGAAGACATACAAATGGCCAATAGGTATATGAAACATGTTTAACATCACTGATCATCAGGAAAAAACAATTAAAACTATAGTGAGATATTACTTCATATGGTTAAAAGGGCTATTACCAAAAAGACAAACGATAAGTGTTGACAAGGATGTGGAGAAAAGGTAACTGTTGAACACTTTGGTAGACATGTAAATTAATAAATAATTATGAAAAATGGTAAGGAAATTCTTCAAAATATTAAAAATAAAACTACCATATGATCCAGCAATCCCACTTCTAAATATATGTCCAAAGGAAATAATATCCGTATGTCCAAGAGATATTTGCACTCCCTTGTTCATCACAGCACTATTCACAATATCCAAGATATGGAATCAACCCAAGTGTTCACTGACAGACAAATGTATAAAAATGGTATATATACATAATGGAAAAATATTCAGTCTAAAAAAAAGAAAGAAATCTTGTTATCTGCACAACATGAATGAACCTGGAGGACATTATGCTAAGTAAAATAAGTAGGCACAGAAAAACAAGAACTGCATGATGATCTCACTTACATGTGTAATATTTTTTAAATGCATAGAAGCAGAGAATATAATGTGGTTCCCAGTGGTAGTGGAAGAAAGGGAGATGTAGACAAAGAGTATAAAGTTTTTGTTAGGATGAATAAGTTCCGGAGATCTACTGTAAAGTATGATGACTATAGTTAATAATACTGTATTGTATACCTGAAAATTGCTTAGAGTAGATCTTAAGTATTCTTTCATATATACACACAGATATAACTATGTGAAGTTATAGATATGTTCATTTACTGTGGTCATCATTTTAAAATGTATACTAATATCAAAACATCACATTGTATACCATTAAAAATATACATATTTTACTTGTGAATTATACCTCAATAAAGATGGAGGAAGTAAACAAAGATCACGATACTCTAATTGAAAACAAAATATTTAGGATTAGCCAGTGTTTTAAAAGAAGACACATGCAAACAATTTGCTTCTTCATTTTTGTTTCCCTTTATCATTCATGCTTTCACTGTAGAAGAAAATCTTCTTAGGTATTAAAGGAAATTAAAAAGAAACGTCTCAGTGCTAAATTATCTTCAGTTTGCCTTTGGGACAAAAATCAAAAGCTTTTCATATAATTATCACCTGTTGAAACTACACTGCAAGTACTATGATTTGTTTTTAGGCAGTTAGGCAATATAAGGGTGATTTTGTTTAAAAGTGCTTTTCACATGATGATGATATGGTTCAATAACGTATCATATATGTTATTTTGCCCCACAATATTCTTAACTCCGACATCCTAAAAGCCTTCTCATTCTATAACAATATGGAGTAAAGTATTTAGGGCATAATATTAAATGAGTGTATGCAATGATTGCAATTACATAAAGGGACACACATCCACAAAACATAAAATATAATGGATTCCCAACTCTTTTTCTCTCTATTCTCATTCTCTCCATTCTCTCCCTCTCTTGCTCTGGGCATTCTCATCCATTTCAATTATTGGAGCTGAAGCCTCCATATTTATGATGCTGAGTTACAGATACAAATTTCCAACTTCATATAGAATAAACAGATCTGGTTCTGCCAAAGTCACATGGAAGGTGACAATATTTTTAAAGTAAATTAACATTTCCTACCACTCTCAGTTCCTTCCCCTGCAAATCTTACATTAGTTACACTATCACCATTCACTCCAGTAATTCCCCACTTCTCCTCTTCTACATTTTTTTTCTTTCACCTGGTAATAATTATATCTCATAGTTTTCCTTACCTTTCTTCTTAATTCAACAGTCTCATATTTGGTTTATTTATATTCCCTCCCATTTAGGCTCCCACTGATCATCTGTTCTACGTAATATGACCCAAAATTCCTTTCTGAAATAAAGGTGTATTTAAGTTGCCCTCTTTCTCAAAAACAGAACAAAACAAAACAAAAATCCCTACATAGCCATCCATTAAATACAGACTAAAATTATTTTAAGGCCTTTTGATAGCTGACTTACATTTTTGTCCTATCACAGTCTGCTACACACCATGTAGCCTATTTTCCAACTATATTGCAAGTCTTTTTCATGTACACTCATGATGCAGATACAAAATCAGGCTTGTCTATCTAGGATCTGCTCAAATATGACTCCTTCATTAACTTTATTTTCCAGCAAATCCACTCTTAAGAGTTAGTTCTGTTTTTACTGCTGCCAATAGCACTGTTCACAGTACTAGAGAACATTTGTACAATTGTATTAGATCAGCTTACATATAATTATCATTGATTACACTTGTGAGAATGTTGAGAGAAAAAACAATGCAACTTATTCATCTTTGTCCCTCCTATGTACACAACAGAAGCTACAAAATAGTTGTTGAGTGAATTAGTGGACTCACAGCAAAAAAGACATTTTTCTTTTAATATGACCTTAATGAAGGAAATTATGATAAGCTATACAGCTCTAAGTAAGAATGCTATATATGTCTTAAATGGGAAGCTCTAGGAGACTGATTATCCTCTTTTATATTTACTGAAAGAAGAGACAATTTAAAAATAAAATTATATAAAATCTCAAAACACCAAAATAAAATTGTGAAATAATAAAAAAGCACTGACGATTATATAACCAGGTGTTCTTGAGTGCGGTAAGATTTTGTTGTGGCATAACCATGGGAAGAGATATTAATCAGGTAATGCTAATGTATAACTTAACCAAGTAACTCTAATGATACAGTAAATTTAGCCATATTTGCTGGTGAAATTAAAAGTCCTTAAATATAAGAAATTATTACAATTTATAAAGTAGTAATTTGTTGTTACTAAATTTCTATAAAAATGTTCAGTTGTATTTTTATGTAAACAAAACTTAAATATTATTAGAAGTCTTTCATGTGGAAAGCTCTCCTAAATGTGGTTAGCATTTAAAACGGCATGATTGGAAGTATAAAGAAGAAGAGGTCTTGTTCACCAAGGGGCTCCTCTGTGATACCACTACTTCTGCTAAATCCAGTTTTTACTGTTGTATTCTGAATGAATAGCATAATAGCAGCAGATGTTATGGTAGAGGTAGTAACCACCTCCTCCTCGTGATCAGGAACTGGCCATCTATCCCAAGATACCCCAAGCAAAGCTAGTAATATTTCTGCTGTAATTCAGGACAGGAAATGACTAGACTTAATCTATAAAAGTGATCAAATTCCTCACTATATCTCTCATAACACTAGATATGCATAAAATATTGTTTTTGTTTTTCTTTTCCTTATAGCTGAATTATAAGAAAAAAGTCTGTGGGACATTCTTGCTACTAGGCAATTTTTGAAAGAACTCTTTACATGACAATGACAAATGCAATCAATATAGCCTTTATGGGGAAGGAAGGCAGAGAGAGAGAAGGAGGGAGAGAGAGAAGTAAAAAATGTTACTTCTGGATGAAAAAAGGAAAAAGGCAAGAAAGACTTTTTTTTGTGGGTGCTCTGGTATGCCACCCAGTTCTCCCTTTGGGGATGCAGGCCTTCATTATTTCAGCTGCAAAGAGTGTTGCCTGCTGATGACACAAAGCTGAGTATTTCCTTAGGCCTTGCCCTTGACCAAAGTGGGGGCTGTTCACACAAGGTGGAGCCTGTAGCCCACAACTATGACTTGTCGACGAAAGGAGCCAGTTAGGCTCCTTCCTTGCCTCAGTTAGGAACATTTCTGAACTGCCATTTAGCTTCACAGCAATCTGTGGAGGATGGGTAAAGTCTTTTTTGGCAACTGCATCTCAATTCTGCATCTCACTCTGCTCAGTTACATGGCTTTTACTCCCTCACAGATGTTATTCACTAGAGGATTTCCCAGTAAGTTTCTTGAATGCAAATCCTGGTTAAGGGTCTATTTCCCAAGGAATCTGATCTAAAACAGTATAAATCACAGTGAAGACAATGGTAATATAGGTAATTTTCAGAATGTAATAACTCAGAAATATGACCAGTCGGGGAAATGATTATCTACAGGACAAGGTTGAGCCTGAGGGCAGCTGAAGCAGTTGAGTTGAGGGCCTGACACATAGCAGAGACTCCAACTAATATCTGTGAAATGAGTAACTAAAAACAAGTCAAGTATGCTAGAAGTATAAGGACAATAAATTAGAAAAAACAAGTGAGTGTTGAACTCTTAGGTTCACAAACATGACCTGATAGAAAAACAATGATTCTGAGTTATTAAGGAAATACCTGAGTTATCAAGGAAATTTAGAGACTATCCTATCACTTACTGGTAATAACAATGATTTAGGTGAGACAGTGATACTAGCTGTATGGTACAAAGTTCAAGAGGAGGAAAAAACTAAAAGGAGTATACATTAAGAAGCCTATTAGCAATAGACACAGATCCATATATGAATCCTCTGAACGAAGACCTAAGAAATATTGCTTGGGCAAAAAATAGTCTAAAATTTTCATTAAATCATACTAGGCTAGAAAAAAAAAACCACTCATAGTGTATCATTTCAGACAGAAACTTAGGCTATGCTGATTAAACTTCACATACAAAATCGACTTTCTTCATGTGCTTATGATACAACAGAAACTATCACCTTTGAAACAACAAAATTTTTAAACCCTAAGTAAACTCTAGAAAAATAGCACTTGGCTTTTCTTCCCCTCTCTAATGTCCTCAAGTTTGTGATTGGTCAGATAAGCCAAAATATTGTAGTAATAATCACCAGAGATAGAATCTTTAATTGCAAATAACATCATCAAAGTCTAAAGTGGAATTAGATTTACTCAGAGTATCACAGAACTCATGAATGGTTGTACTGTTTTAATAAGTGACAGCTTTCACATAAATTACTATCCCATGCTAACCTTTTGAACGTCTCAAAATAAAGGCATACCAGCACATAAAATACCAAATTATCACTTATATACAAGCAAATTGAGAGCAGAAGAAACAGAGATGAAAATTGTCTTTGTTTTTTATTTATGCAAATCATTAAATGAATACTATATCTTTATGAACCTCATATTACTACATGAATCATTGTTAAGATAATTTTAAGTTGTAGGCAGCAACACAATTTGGAAACACAGTGAATGTATTCATGCTATCTTGGAGATGGGCAAATGTCTTACAATTAGTGGCAAAATCTAAAATTACAAAATGAAAAAAGAGATAAATAATATTTCTTATTTCTTTGAAATTTAGTAAAAATATTGCACATTAAAAATACTGAGCCCAAGGCTGTAACCTTTCTGCATTCAAGGTGAGCATGAGAACGTTCCTGAAGTGGCAATCAATGTAGGGCTTTAATTGCTTCAGTGCCGTCAAATGAATGTGGAAGAGTATTGAACAATGTCCTTCAGGAATAAATTTATGTAAATATCACAAAGCTTTATTAAGATATAAGTGTACATTGCTTGAATGGAGGAAAGTAACAAAAATGAAAAAAATCCAAAGGATCTTGAGAAAGTTGTAAATTGTGAGAAAATATGTTACAATAATATAAATAAGGGCTTTCAGTGTGCATCTAAGCAGAAAAGCAATTACATTTTGTTTCCAGGGAAAAATATAATTTTAACGATTCATTTAAATGATGGTGACCTGCCCACCCAGAAGCTGTTTTTCCTTCCTTCCAATTTATCTGTAGATGAAAATATGCATTAGATATTGCCACACAGCTGTCACTCTCTACTTGGCAGGAAAATTGAAGCTATGATAGCACATATTGCTTATTATGCTAAAAGCTGAAAACAAGTACTTAACCAGGTACATGTCAAATACAATTGCAAAAAAAATTCACACAATAAATGAACACCACAATAATAGATCTCAAAAACTCAATTCAGTGGATATATTTTATAATATGCAATGAAGAAATTCATGAATAAAAGCCAAATTTTTTATAAGAAAATTCCACATTTGTAAGTTAATTACTGTTGTTGTTGAAAATAACCTCTAAGTCTGTACATGATGAAAACATCTTAGGTGTGTAAGTCAGAGCTTTTAATCCCTGGCTGAGTTTGGGAGAGTTTTGCTGAGTTGAGGATGCTCACTAGGCAGTATCATTTTCATATGTAAAGCTCTTTTTAAACCTTTTCCTAAAGCCCTATAGTGAAAAAATTTCTAAGAAAAATATTGCCTTTCACTAGGATATAAACTATTTAAATATTAGTATAGGTAATAATCACATATTTTGTAGTACTTCCTGCAAATTTTGACAACTTGGGTCTAATTTCTGTAAAATTCTGAGCAAGTCACATTAACTCTCTGAATTCCAAGTTTTTCCTTTTTAAAATGAAAGATGGCCAGGCATGGTGGCTCACACCTATAACCCCAGCAATTTGGGAGACCAAGGCAGGTGGATCACTTGAGGTGAGGAGTTTGAGACCAGCCTGGCCAACATGGTGAAATCCCATCTCTACTAAAAAAAAATACAAAAATTATCTGGGTGTGGTGGCACATGCTTGTAATCCCAGCTACTTGGGAGGCTGAGGAGGGAGGATCGCTTGAACCCTGGAGACAGAGGCTGCAGTGAACAGAGATTGCACCACTGCACTCCAGCCTGGGCAACAGAGTGAGACTCTGTCTCTAAATAAATAAATAAATAATATAATAAAATGAAGGAGTTATACTGGCAATCTAACATTTCTGAGTTCCTAAATTAAAACAATAACAAAAATAATCATAATAAATGAAATCTAGAACAATGTGATTTGGCAAGAAAAATAGTTTTTAAAATGAAAGTGAATCAGACACAACAATCAAACAGAGCTGAGTTTGATTTCTGACTGCCATTTAGCTGTACGACTCTGGGCTGGTACCTGAAATTTCTCCTAAAAGAGAGTTATGTAAATGGTAAATTACCATTATGGAGGCCCTATCATTACCATGTTTAAGTAATTTGTGCCCATCATCCACCCCCATCTACAAGTATTTTAGTCACTTTATCCCTATGAATGAAAATAATTTCATCTTTTTCACAGAATGGTGTTAAAATGCAATGAATATGCAAAGTATCTAAACCATATAGCTGAAGATTTTTTTGAAAAGTTAATTTACCCTTTTATTCTCCAAGTGGCAAGAAATGTAGAAAAGAGTATTTCAATGTTATTTAATACCTCTTTTCATTCTCATTTCTATTGATTTCATTAAATCAATAGAAAATGAAATGCTTCTTGATATGATGCCTCCCATATAACCCAGCCCTTCTAATCCCGGTGATTATTTTGGTGGAAATTGTTAGGTTACCATATGATCACTTCTGTACTTGTCACAATTACCATTAGTGATTTGAATAAGTGTAACCTTCTGTCTATCCTCTGCTAGGCCATATCTTCATAAGGTCAGGAGCCTCTGTCCATCTTGTTTACTGCTGTCAGCATCTGTCATAGTACATTGTCGTTGGTCAGTAAATATTCTGCAGTTAATGAATAAATGAATACTGCACATCTTCTTGACATCTCCATCTCGGAGTTTTGTGCTTCTCACCGTGCTGCTCCTAGCTTCCTGCTTCCAGCACAAAAACAACTCTGTACTTTATAAAAGCTGAAAAAGTAGCAGCTCTTAGCGTCTTCACTTTTCACTCCAAGCAACAGTTACTGACAGTTGCTTTATTCAAGTTTCTTTAAAATTTAACTTGAAAGTCTTCATGAAGCTATAAATCCTTAACACAACTCTCCTTCCCATGCAAGTAGAAAAGATTTATTCTATTTAGTTCCACTGGGCTGAACTAGGCCCATGAGAGACAGTTGTGTTTCATAACAACACTAACTTATGAATCCAGCAAGTATTACACCTTAAGCCTAAACAGTCTTCACCCTAAATTTGGGTCATGCATGTCTATAAAAAGTTAGACTGTGAGAGGTCCATTTACATGTTTTACAAGGCAGTCTGCTCTAGGTAAAGAACTCACTGAAAGGAAAGTGATTATTGCATAGTTTGAGCTGTGGATGAATGCTTAAAATCACTCATTCATTCAAAAATATTTATAACCCGAATCAAATAAATCATGGTTCTTTCTCTCAAGCATCTTACATTAATAGGAAAAACTTGGCAAGAAATCAATAACATCAAAAGATTGTTGCAAGTGCAATAGAATACAGAGGTGGTTATGAGTGTAGCCTGCCATCTGTCACTCTGGCTGCCCTCTGCTCAGTCCCTGGAGTGTTGTACATGCCACTGGAATGGCTGCAACATTTGATGTCCACCATAGCTTTGAACATCTACATGGAAAGCTGGAGCAAGAATGGTAAATGTTGACTGCAACACTGTAGCTGTAAACTATAATCATTAGAACACATGTTAACACCTGAAAATTCTCAATAATAACTGGAAGTATTTGGAAGTGAGGTCAAGGTCCCAAAGAGAATGACAGCAGTGCCAGAAATGTCCTAGCTTGTTAATGTTTACCTTGTCCACCAGAATAAAGCTATTAAAAATGAGATAGGCTACCTTGTAAGATGATGAATTTTCTGCCTGTATCTTCTCAAGCAGTAGCTTCTGCCAGAAGCATATGGAGTGGGTCACTGAAAAATCGTCCCTTCATCTCTTAGATCTCATGACTTTGTAATGTCACATAATGAAGCATTACACAAACATTTTGACGTAAGTATTGTGTTCTTTTCTTATGTACTTTCCTTGGCAATGCCTTGTACTTTGAAGAAATAGGCATATAGGGTATATAATGCAATAAAGATTGTGCCATTTGCTGCAGCTCATTCTGTGTTGTTTTCTGTCCAATCCCATACCAGGGCTGGAATGAATGAAATCTGCAAATATCAATGGTTCATGCTGACTAAGCTATTTTGGCATCCATTGATTGATTTTAAATGGGAACACTTGCTATCCAGTTGGTTTTAACTATTGATAATAACCAGCATATTGTTTTCATGTGTTCCTTTTCTTACTGAGCTTTCCACTGACTTTCCCCTAACACTCTTTCTCTACTACTTCCTGTGGTGGGTAACATCCTGACAGCTTCTACCTAGTATGCAATTTACCTGTGTTGGCACTGCATGATTTGGAAAGTACCAGCTAGAATTATAAAGGTCTCAGGGATAAGAAAAGGTATCCTGCTATGTTTTGAAGGAGGCCAAACTTAGTGAGAGTAACTTAGGTCCCTTATATACAATAACAATTCTAGCACTTAGAATAGTATCATGTAGTTTCATTTGAAAACCCAAGAATAATTGCTTTAAAATATCTAAGCTATATAACACATAATTTCACTTTAAAACTACAATGAGATCCTTAGGCTGAAATAACTTAAAAATCTATTTGAGGAAATAAAATGCAGAAAAACAATGAGGAATGACAAAATGTAACATTTACAAAAATGATAAATAATGTGGCATATGCTATATTTATTCTCTAGAAATTCAGCCTCCCTAATACATCAGAATCAAGTAAATTCTAATAGAAGACATGGACATGAAATAGACTCTGAAAAAGATTGGAGATGTACATTACAAATAGAAACAACATTAAAAACATGCAAACAAGGGATAAAACACTTTGTATAGGGGACAAGCATGAAGTTAGAAATAACTTAGTTAGAAGTTAGAAATTAGTCAGTTACGAATAGCTATCTTCATGGAAGTTAGAGAAAACAGGCTTAGCTTATGAAAGACTTTTTAATAAAAGTAGATAAGTACAGACTCAGTCCAGTAAGCAACAGGAAACAACATATGGTCTTCAACCAAGAAATGAAATGAGGAAAGTGATGTATAACAAAAGTATAAACAGACATTGTCATCCAGGATGACTCGGTTATGAAAGGGAGTAGGAATAAAAGCAGGGACCCCAGGTATAAAGCTAGTTTAAGAAGGCCGATGAAAATGCAAACAGCTCTTCTCACTACTATTTACTTCTTGAATATTCAGGCAGATTTTTCTCCCAGTATAAAATACTGCTCAATGAAAACATCACTTTTGTAATGTAAATTACAAAGTAAATTACATTTACTTATTGTAAATGCCCATATATAAAATTAAAATATTAATCTATATAGAAACCTGCAAAGTAGTAATAGTAGGAGACTAATGCTTTTATTCAACCATTCATTCAACCTTTAAATACCTATAATGATCAAGGATCCTGGCCGATTGGAAGATACAAGAATGGTGAATTTTCTATACTTGTTTCTTTGGTAACCCCACCATCACCAAGTCAAACTGGAACACTCTGATCCCAGACACCTGAATAGTTGTCGTTCCTTTCTCTATACACTTGATAAGTTATTGAAATGAGAAAAATTTCCTTATCCTCCTTGCAAGGCATGTGATGGGAGTGTAGCTTGCCTTCAGTGCCCCACTGCTCAAAACCCCTAGGGAGCGCAGGCATACAGGCAGGTTTTGGGGCTCCGACCCCTCGGCAGTAAGTCTCAGTGAGCCTGTGTTACAGGGTGCTCTTTTAGTTTAGCCATCAGTAGATGGCTTGTCTCAGTCAGCTCAGTTAGACCCTCTGCCTTATCACAAGGACAGAGGGCTTTCTGTATCCTGGGGTTTCTCACCTTGGTGTACCGGAAGAATTAGATCACAAGTGGGCTTGGAAAATGAGTACAACGTTTTACTGAGTAAAAGTAGCTCTCAGCAGATGGGGAAGCCAGAAGGGGGATGGAGCAGGAAAGTTGTTTTCCCCTGGAGTCAGGCTGCTCAGCGGCCTGGGCTTTCCTCCAACCACCCCCACCAATATTTGCTCACTATTATTTTTGGAGATATTATAATAAAATTTGCAATATTAATATAAGGATGTGCTTGTAAACCTGGAATTGAGATTGGGGGAAATTCTGAGGGTTTGGAAACCATAGAAAAAAAAAGTTGAATCAGTCTGAGTTTGCCTTAATCTGAAGGAGTTTCCTCAGTATCACTGGATAAACTGAGACAGTGTAGTATACCTTTAGTATACTAAGCCAGTTAGCATCATGCCAATGACAATAATTATGATGACTAAACAAATTAATATTTCTATTAATCTTTCTAAGCATTTCCATATCTATTGCAGGCAAAAATTTGCTTTTAATATATACATTTTAGTAAAATCCTAGTTCCCAATGGTATCCTGTGTTCAAAAGACCCATCTCAAATGCAATAACACCCTTAGGCTCAAAACAAAGGGATCATGGAAAATCTGCCAAGCAAACGGAAATCAGAAAAAAGCAGGGGTTGCAATCCTAATTTTAGACAAAACAGACTTTAAACCAACAAAGATGAAAAGAGACAAAGAAAGGCATCACATAATGGTAAAAGGTACAATTCAACAAGACTTAACTATCCTAAATACATATGCACCAACACAGAAGCACCCAGATTCATAAAACAAGTTCTTAGAGACCTACAAAGGGACTTTGACTCCCACACAGTAATAGTGAGAGATTTCAACATTCCACTGGCAGTATTTAGAAAGATCACCATGGCAGAGAATTAATGAAAATATTCAGGAGCTGAACTCAACCTTGGATGAAATGAATCTGATGGACCTCTGCAGAACTCTCCACCCAAAACCAACAGAATATACATTCTTCTCATTGTCACATGGCACATACTCTAAAACTGATCACACAATCAGACAGAAAATAATCCTCAGCAAGTGCAAAAGAACTGAAATTGTACCAAACACACTATTGGACAATAGTCCAATAGAAACAGAAATCAAGACTTAAACAATTGCTCAAAACCATGCAATTACATGGAAATTAAACAACTTGCTCCTGAATGACATTTGGATAAATAATGAAATTAAATCAGAAATAAAGAAGCTCTTTGAGACTAATGAGAACAAAGATACAACATACCAGAATCTCTGTGACACAGCTAAGACAGTGTTAAGAGGGGCTAAGACAGTGTTAAGAGGGACGTTTATAGCAATAAATGCCCACATCAAAGAGTTAGAAAGAACTCAAATTAACCACCTAACATAACCACTAAAGGAACTAGATAAGCAAGAGCAAACCAAATCTAAAGAGAGCAAAAGATAATAAACAAATTCAGAGTGGAACTGTAGACTGAGACACAAAAAAAACATTCAAAGGCAAAGAAATCGAGGAGTTTTTTTTTAATGAATAAGATAAATAGGCTGCTAGCTAGACTAGTAAAGAAGAAAAGAGAGAAGATCCATATAAACACAATAAGAAATGGCAAAGGGGATGTTAACACTGACCCCACAGAAATACAAGCAAGCATCAGAGACTACTACCAACACATTTATGCACACAAACAGGAAAACCTAGATGAGACAGATGAATTCCTGGACACATACACCCTGCCAAGATTGAAGCAGGAAGCAACTGATTCCCTGAACAGATCAATAACAGATCTCTGAAACTGAATTCGTAATAATTAGCTACCAACCAAAAAAAGCCCAAGACCAAACAGATTCACAGCTGGATTCTACCTGATGTACAAAGAAGAGCTGATACCATTCCTACTGAAATTGTTACCAAAAATTGAGGCGGAAGGATTTCTCAACTAATTCAATGAGGCCAGCATCATCCCAATATCAAAACCTAGCAGAGACATGATGAAAAAAGAAAGCTTCAGGCCAATATCCTTGATAAACATTGACGCAAAAATCCTCAACTAAATACTTGCAAACTGAATCCAGTAGCACATCAAAAAGCTTATCCACCACGATCAAGTAGGCTTCATCCCTGGGATGCAAGTTTGGTTCAACATACGAAAATAAATAAATATGATTAATCATATAAACAGAACTAAAGAAAAAAACCACATGATTATCTCAATAGATGCAGAAAAGGCTTTTGATAAAATTAAACATCGCTTCTTGTTAAAACTCTCAGCAAACTAGGTATTGAAGAAACATATCACGAAATAGTAAGAGCCTTCTATGACAAACTTGCAGCCAACATCCTATGGAATGGGCAAACGCTGGAAGCATTATATTTGAAAAGGGCGTAAGACAGGGATGTCCTCTCTCACCACTCCTATTCAACACAGTATTGTAAGTCCTGGCTAGAGCAATCAGGCAAGAGAAAGAAATAAAGGGCAACCAAATAGGAAGAGAGGAGGTTAAAATATACCTGTTTTCAGATGACATGATTCCATATCTAGAAAACCCCATAGCCTTGGCCCCAAAGTTCCTTCAGCTGATAAACAACTTCAGCAAAGTTTCAGGATACAAAATCAATGTATTAAAGTGACAAGCATTCCTATATATCAATAATAGCCAAGCTGAGAGCCAAATCAGGAATTAAAACACATTCACAATTACCCTCAAAAGAAAAAAATACCTAGGCATACAGCTAACCAGGGAGGTGAAAAAGCTCTACAAGGAGAACTACAAAACACTGCTCAAAGAAACCAGAGATGAAACAAAAAAATGGAAAACGTTCCATGATCATGTATAGGAGAAATCAAAATTGTTAAAATGCCCATACTGCTCAAAGCAATTTACAGATTCAGTGCGATTCCTATCAAACTCCCAATGACATTTTCACAGAACAACAATAACAACAACAAAACTATTTTAATATTTATATGGAACCAAAAAAGAGCCCAAATAGCCAAGGAAATTCTAAGCAAAAAGAACAAAGCTGGAGGCATCATATAACCCGACTTCAACCTATACTACAGGGCTACATTAACCAAAACAGCATGGTACTGGTACAACAACAGACACATAGACCAATGGAATAGGATAAACAAACCAGAAATAATGTCACATGCAACCATCTGATCTTTGACAAAGGTGACAGAAACAGGCAATGGGGAAAGAACTCCCTATTCAGTAAATGGTGCTGGGATAACTGGCTAGCCATAGGCATAAGATTGCAACTGGATCCCCTCCCTACACTATATACAAAAATCAACTCAAGATAGATTAAAGACTTTAATGTAAAACCTCGAACTATGAAAACTGTGAAAGGCAACCTAGGAAATACCATTCTGGATGGTAAATACCATAGGAATGGGCAAAGATTTAATGACAAATATGCCAAAAGCAATCACAAAAAAGCAAAGATTGACAAATGGGACCAAATTAAACTAAGGAGCTTCTGCACAGCAAAAGAAACTATCAATAGAGTAAGTAAACAGACAACCTACAGAATGGAAGAAAATTTCTGCACACTGTGCCTCTGACAAAGATGTAATATCTAGCATCTATAAGAAACATAAATAAATTTACAAGACAAAAAGATCCTATTAAAAATTAGGTAAAGGACATAAATAAACAGATACTTTTCAAAGGAAGACATGCATGTGGCCAAAAAGCAAATGAATAAAAGCTCAATATCATGGATCATTAGAGAAATGCAAACCAAAACCACAATGAGATACCAACTCACATGAGTCAGAATGGCTATTACTAAAAAGCCAAAAAAAAAGATAACAGATGCTGGCAAGGTTGTGGAGAAAAGGAAATGCTTATACTTTGCTGGTGGGGGTGTAAATTAGTTCAACTATTGAGGAAAACAGCATGGTGATTCCTCAAAAAGCTAAAAACAGAACTACCATTTAACCCAGCAATCCCATTACTGGGTATATACCCAAAAGAGCATAAATCATTTACTATGAAGGCACATGCACGTATATTTTCATTGCAGCACTATTCACAATAGCAAAAGCACAGAAGTTTAATCGTATTTGTACATAATTGGATGTTTGTATCCTTTAACAGCTCTTCATTAAATTTACAATATATTGGGCCTTAGGAATATTTTTTCAACCTAAATGTTGTTGTCATACACTATCCCCCTACCCACATTTAATGGGTTAAAATAACAATAATTTTATTGTATCTCGCAGTTCTGTAGGTCAGGAGTTTGGTTAGGACTCAGCTGAACAATGCTTTGCTCCACGTAGCATTTACTAAGATCACTCTGTGTCTGATATGGACAGTCTGGGATAGAGAATCCAAGATTGCTTCACTCATACGTTTGGTGTCTTCCTGAGGATGGTTGGAAGAAAGGACTCATCAGATACTGGAGATAGATTACCTAAATGTGGCTCTCCAACATGCAGCTCACAAGCTATGAGTGTTTCTTATATGGCGGCTCAGTGCCTCCAGAGAGTGTCTGAGTACCAAGAAGTCCAGAGAAAAGGGGCAAGGCTTCTGATGACCTAGCCATCAAAGTCCCAGATGTCACCTCTGGCAAGTTTCACTGATCGAGTAAGTTGATAGGCCAAACAATTTGGATAAAGAGTTCTAGCAGGGAGATGTTTCCTTATCATTTGGGAGGAAACTGAAATTTAGAGTAGTTAAGATATTTGTCAATGAATAGTCAAAATAGTAAGTGGCAGAGCTGAAACTGAATACAGATCTGTCTGATAAAAGAACTACAATCCAACAAAAATAAAATTAAAATAAGAAGATATTTAATCAATCTTTTGCATTAAACTCAGGAAGATTTTGTAAATATCAAAGTGTCATGTTGTAAAGAATTTTAGAGTTTGATAATCCACATATTTCCAAAAAGTAAAATGTCTATTTAGATCTTACTAAACAGAAACCTAAAAGTAAAGTTACACCTTCAAGAAGTTTCTCAGTGCTCAGGTGTATCCCTGACATTGGAGGCTAGAATCTGGCCCAAACAGAAAAACTTGCTTAAATGAATCAGGGATGAACAGGAACTCCAAATGGGCATTTAGAGGAGACACACTGGGCCTTTTGGGTTATTCCCACATGAACAACATGACACCCAGTCAAATATCCATTATAACTTATTTGGAAATTAAATAAAGTCACTCAAAAGGTATGCAGTGGCCACACAGACACACAAACAACAAATTGGAGAGAGCGGGCATATCATGGGGACAAAGGAACTAGATTTTGTAGTTGAGTTCATCCTATCAGTGACATTTTAGAAAAGCCACTCAATGTCTCTGAATCTTCCTTTGTAAAATGAAGTGGTTAGAATAGATATCTGCAAAGCTCACTTCTAATATGTTCTAATTAATTCATTTTTATTTCTGAGTATTGGATTCATTTTCCCTATTCCTGTATTAAATAATTTATATGTTCAAAATTTACTGTAAAAGCTTGAATTGACCAAAAATATAGTTATGATAATTTACTCACCACAGTAAAAAATGACAGATCAGAGACAATGTGCCTTAAGTTGAAAATCTGAATCATAATACATTATAAAGTCGTTTTACATTCACAGATACTAAACTCCATTATCAAATAATTATAGACTTTATTGATAATCTTTATTTCATTCTGTAATAGAGATGCTGTTTTAATCATTTATCTTATTCTCATTTATGATTATTTTAAAATCTCACTACCTTCTCCAGCACAATATTCAGGGAGTGGTTAATATTAGGATAGAATATGTAGAAAAAATTACAACAATAATGTCAAAAATATACAGACATTTTAGCCCAAACAAGTGAAAATGGGAAATAATAGGAAACACTTGGTATATCACTTTGATAATGTTCAGAGTAACTGAAATGTATTTCAACTTTTTAAAATAAAGGAAAAATATTTGGAACACGTACCTTCAGTTATCCCAGTTATCCTGTCTTGTTCCTACTTAACTTACTAACTCCATTCTCTGCTCACACAATGAACAGTGTATTATCTCTGAAAGAGGCTGGGCCTAGGGATGAATCTCAGTCTTAGTACTAAAGAGCTACATGATGTGGGCAAATTAGCCTCTCTGATTTTGTTTAATATCTCTAAAATCAGTTAGTAGCCATTAAGTAGAATAATGTATATAATAGGGTCCCAAATTATGGTTGCACCTGAGAAACACTCAAAATATGATTGTTATTATTATGTCTCTTTGTTAATTTGTCTGCCTGATAATCAGAAAGAAATATATAGTATTGCATTAAAAACTGATCTCTTTACTATTGTGTCATCAAAACTGCTTAGAGAATGTTAAGCTCCATATATCTATATATATATAAAATATATAGATATATATAAACTATATTTATTGTGTGCTTTGATCTCTAGGTGACTGCATTTCTTATTCTATTATGATTAGAGACATGAAATTAAATTTTGAAGTGAAGAACAGCTTCTCTTTATTAACTTTGTTTTGCTAGTTCCTCCTGCATTCATAGTAGAGTTGCTTTGGCCAATACAATAGTACCCAAATAAACTGTGGCCTTGTATAGTGACTTTTAACTTGCTATCTACAAAAATACACATACACATGGTGGAGACACTCCTTTGTTTTTAATTTTCTCCAACTTCCAATTTTGTGCTAAGCACAAATCTATTGGTCAAGGTAGACTAACAGCAATAACAAAAACTCAGAAAGTCTCATTAGTGTAAACACTACAGGTTTATTTCTCACTCACTTCATAATCCAAAGTAGTCAGCTGTGGGACTTTGCTCCATATGATCATTCAGGATCTAGGTTACTTCCATCTTACACTTCAACATATCTTCAGGGCTTTGGGGTCCTCCACTGGATTTTCATCATCAGGGTGTGAGAAGAAAGATGGAGAGAGCTTGGCAGATAATCAGGAAGGTCTTTTAATGAGCAAGACCAGAAAGTGGCATATTCTACTTTAATCAACATTCCAGTATCCAGAAACAGGTCACATGATCCCACTCGGCGATAAGATATGCTGGGAAATTTCATTAGGATGAGTCACAAACCAAAAAAGGAGGGTTTGGTAAACACATAATATTGTTTCTGACATAACACACTATCACAATTAGTAAAAGGTACTTATTAAGAAATATCTAATCCTTTAATAACTGAACATGCTTATAAATATTGTGAAAATATTAGTGAATATCAAAAGACAAATTATATGCAATATTTAACAGATTTCTGACCCACAAAATCAGTTCTTAAAGACAAACAAGTGTTTAGGATTTTAAAGAGTCACAAAACATTTCCTAATTAGAAATTAGAAAGTTGACAGGAAAAAAATATTTAGATTTTATGGTTGGCAAACCTTGATGGGAAAGTTATGGATAAGTCTGCTGAAAATAGATACCTCAACTGTGATTAACAATAAGGAAGCTTAAACTAAATTAATAAATATACATGTTGACTTTCAGCTTCAATTCACTGGAATAATTACTTCACATTAACATATCAACAAGCCAGTCATCAACAGTCTAAAGTCTCAGGTCACTGACTACTTCTACAAATATATTTTTAAAGTTTTTATTATTATACAGCCTTCTGCAAATTTTCTGTCCACACTGTTACATGCTTAATTGCATAGAATCTCATAAATTCTTATAGAAAGTGTTTTCTTAATGTTAATTTTATCATTATGTTAATGAGAATATAATAGAACTGTACTCTGATAGCAGTGCTGACAGCAGAACCCACCAATTTGTTACCAACCATCAAATAGCAACAAACATTCATCAGTTGTGGACACAGCAGCATAACAATTACATCCCTTTTTGCTTGATTGACATAGTGGATTGTAGTGTTATAATACAGACTACGAAGTGTTCCAGATACCCCTATTTTTGTTGATTCATAACAAAAAGTGTTACCTTTTTCCACTTTACTGACTTCTTTGTCATAAGGGTTTTTGAAAAAGTCTTAGAGGTTCAACTACTTTTTCATCATAAGTTAGGTAAAGATAATCACATAATATAACATTTCATAAATCTTAGTCACATAACATCATCACATTCACATTTAAAATGTACTCAAATCCTTCTGTTTTAATTTATTTTTCCATATCTTCCCTAGAATGGTTTTGGTTCTCCCATAAATTCTGTTGCCTATTCAGATCTAATGCATAAGAAAGCTTACATAAAAAAGCAAGCAGAGTTCAGTAATTCTACATATCAAAAGTTAAATTAAATTTAAGTTTATTACTTCCAATAGTCCTGGAAATTGAATAATATGCAAATAATTTAAAATAATCAGACACAAAAAATAAAGTGAATTGTTTGGATGTTTTAGAAGTATAGAATAAAAGCCTGATTAGAGCATACACTCATGAATCAGACTTGGTCCAATCCCTGGGTCCAGCACTTGCTAGCTACATGACCTTGGGTGTAATATGCCGCATTGCTATTCACAAAATGAGAGCATTAATGATACCACCCAAAAAGTCATTGTGAGAACTTTGTTAATTCCAACATATGAGGCACTGGAAGAGTGCTTGGTATGTTGTAAATATTATGTGAGTGCCATTATTGTTCATTTATCTCATAACTTAAGTTTTCTAAATTCAAATTCTTAAACGTAAGATTCATTCTCTACGATTTTTGCAAAATTTTAATTTGACAGGAGTAGAACTGTGGCATTGTTAATCATATTATTCTCACCCACATCATTACTCACATCCAGAAATGTGATTTAATAACCATTGCCTACTTGACTTCTCTTTTTGGATACATTAGCTGCATACATTCTTCTGATTTATCTGCTATGTGATTAAAATACCAGGAAGCATTTCTTAGCATTAAATTTTGTTATTTCATCAATTACTAAAAAACATTTATTGTACCTATTATGGATACAGGCTTGACATAAGACAGATATGACACTTGATATGGCATGCATTTCCATACAAAAGGTCTTCCAATCTGGCAGTGAAGACATAAATTTTAATTAACTATCTTTTATATAAAGCTATACAATGAAAGTGTCATATGATTATTCCATTTAAAAAAAAAAGAACCAATGTGATTTTATCTTCACTGAAAGGGTCATTCAGCTACAACTTATATTTTCAGATTCACAATATGTTTTTCCCATTTTAAAAATTCAATGCTTTCAATGTAAAACCTTGTGTTTTGTTTTGTTTTGTTTACAAGGTAGTATATTTCCTTTATCTCTGAAAAAAGGAAGAATAAATTAAATAACTGATTATGTCTGTTAGCTCTGACTGCCAGGAAGCAAAATATAGCAATGTTGTCAATCTTGATGGCTCAATTATTTAAATTTTTCTTCATGTCATTTCTTAAAAAATATTTTTCTTTATATTTTCCATTTACATATTTTTATTTCTTTTATTAATGATATTGCATATGTCATTTTTATAAATCAGCTAAGCTAATACTCTACTAAATACTTATTATTTCTTTGTGTTTGGAACATTCAAATTCTTTCAGCTTAAACTACATTTTTTCTTTTTTTCATAATATCATAATATTACTGCTTTAATGATAAACATTAATGAAATGACCCCCAATTGGATTTTTTTGTTTTGGAATTTGAATTTTTATTTAAATAAATGTTTACGAACTCATAAACTACGTAGGGAACTAAAATGGAGGAAACATTAGGAGATGTGGGCATTTAACACTGAGTTACTTATAATTTAGAAAGTTTTTTAACAGATGATAGACTTTATTTGACATATGTCTTTTGCTGTCCATAGATCTAAATTTGAATATAAAAAAAGATTATACTATAGCCCTTATATTGTATTAAGCACTAACTTTTGGTTTTTAACTTTAAATAAAAGTGACATTTTTATTATTAAAACCACTCCTTATTATTCAAAACTTAAGAAAATTTAAGAATCACATAAAATAGGCAAAAGTTTACCAATGATTTTAGCTTTGAGTAAAAGACACCTGAATATACTGACTTTTTTCTCCCATGTCTCACTGAGATTTTAAATGCCCAGGCTGGCATAACCCATGACAGGTTATATTCTTCTTTTGAGTACATTCAGTGGTTTAGAAAAGTCATAAGGCATGAGGTTGAAAGCCAAGTACTCTCAATACTTATGAAGTCAGTAAATCTCATTATTAATCATTACCCTTGAACAAATTTATGTAGTTCTGTGAAATGTTCATAGATTTAAAATATATAGCTATACAATAATATACTTCTAAACTACTCTAAATATTTAAACTACTCATATTTCCTATGAAAAGCTCGGCACTCAACTATATAGATATAGATATAGACATGTATATATATGTGTGTGTGTGTGTGTGGGTGTGTATGTGTGTGTATGTGTGTGTGTGTATATATATATATATTTCCTTAGGTTAAAACACACACATACACATTTTGCAAATACATTTTCCTCCATATATGTGGATACGTATAAAATAGCTTTGTTAGAGCAAAGTTAAAAGTTACAGCATTATGAAATCAAAACCCATTGCTTCCAGCTCAAAAAGACTTAATCAATATGAATGAATTTCATATTAGGTCCTCAGTCCTATGTGTCTTATCCACCATCCCTAGGACAGGGTTCTTAAACTTTTGGTTCTAGAATCATCCTGAGCCATCACATTCATGTTCTGAGCATTAGAGTGGAAGAAAAACAAAACAAGAAAGCAGAGGTTTTCAAAGTATAATATCATTTAAGCTGCAGCATCAGCATCATTTAGGAACTTACTAGAAATGAAAATTCTCAAGCTCCTCTCCAGACTTACTGATCTAAAACTCCAGGATGGAATTCAATCATATGTTTTTTTGTTTGCTTGTTTTTTTTTTTATTTTTTAACAAGTCCTTCAAGTGATGATGGTACACAACAAAGTTTGTGAACTACTGCTCTAAGGATATATCCCAGAGTTACACACACCACTTTCCCTCACATACTTAGTCATATGGCCACACATCACTTAAAAGCAGGGTAGGAAATGTGGTCATTATTTTTAAGTAGCCATTAGCCCACCTAAAAATCAGGAATTTCATTAGTCTGATGAGTGTTTGAATAATGGTAAGCATTATCAGCCTGTGCCACATAATTTTGAAAAGGAAGGTGGGGGGTATGGTCACAACAAAAGAAAGCAGGATGCTTTTTTTTATCATTATACTTGAAGTTCTAGGGTACATGTGCACAAGGTGCAGTTTGTTACATATGTATACATGTGCCATGTTGGTGTGCTGCACTCATTAACTCATCATTTACATTAGGTATATCTCCTAATGCTATCCCTCCCTTTTCCCCCTACCCCATGACAGGCCCCAGTGTGTGATGTTCCCCTTCCTGTGTCCAAGTGTTCTTATTGTTCAGTTCCAAAACCACAATGAGATACCATCTCATACCAGTTAGAATGGCGATCATTAAAAAGTCAGGATGCTTTTTAACAATATTACGCTTCTTTCATTAAAATTTTTACTTTTGTTGAAAATAGTTTCAATTAAAAACAGATTGCCAGTTTTCCGTATTTACTACTTTTAATGGCAGCCCTTTTCTCTTATTCAATTTTTAAATCTTACACTAATCATAGGCGATGGGGATCATTTTTCTCTCCATCTTAAAGATAAGAAAACTAAAACTTCCAAATTATAGGTTACCTTACTCAAGATATCATACACCCAGTAGGCAAGTCAGACCCTGAAATCCGGTTTCCTTACCCAAAGTCCTTTACACATTTTGTTACATCACATTTATTTAATAAAGGCTACACTCTTTAACATTTCAGCAGTTTAGTTTTCCTCTTTTCTTTTCCTGTCTCCCAAAGTATTGTTTTCCTGCAGATGTTCCCTGAGAAAATGTTGAAGCCTTTTAAAATGTGAAGGCTAAAATAATAGTTTATGTAGCAAGACTAAAAGAACTTTACAATTATAATACTAATCAGAATGAGATACACTTGACATTTTCCCCTCTTTCTTGTTTATATTTCAATCATTGAAACCTCAAAGAAATAACCAGATTTTAATAACTGAGAAATGTTAATAACTCAAGATAAATAGCTGCCTAGCACTAATATTTCTAAACTTTGATTTGAAGTTAAACTAATGCAACAACACAATCTTTAAGAGACGATGACAACTGATGTTAAATTGTTGCTTGCTTGTTCTTCCATTTAAAAACTGAGAAAATACTTGTTATGACAGGAGATATAATGAGAATAGAAAGTGATTAAAAGTTACTGTTTACTTTTGATATCGTGACCAGAATATTAAATTCTACCAAGTCACTCTTTAATGGTTTGGAAATATTTATTGCTAGGGGGGTCTAATAAGAGAAACTGATTATTTGCTCTAGGATTTCATAATTTCCACGTGAAAACAAAAACAGATATGTAGTTTACAAATATGCAACTAAACATAACATAATCAACATAACACATGTTAACAGTAACTATATATTTCAGAACAGGGAATAAAAGAAACTTTATTGAAAGGCCATATGACTTTGACGCTACATAGCAGAGAGTGAACTCCTTATATTGTGACTAGTATAGGTTTTCTAACGCTGTAAGGGTCAGCAGCATGGAGGATCATCTGGCCATGACTTAGCCAATCCCAGAGGTAACCCCTTTGCTCTATGCACGCTGTATCTGAAGCGATATAGTTACTGACCCAAAAGAGCCATTTTCAATCTCAGAATTGAAATTTCTCCCTGACAGAGGTCCTAGATACAAAAAGGAAGTATTTGGTCTTACTACTCCCGTGGGAAAGAATGTTCATTTAAAAAGGTCATAAATAGCTGTAATTTTATAAAATGATAAGATTAATCAGCATTCGGGAGGAATGGAATAAAACTATTACATCACCCTAAAGAGACGGAGAAGGAAGTCATCATTCCACTTATACAGAGCATGGATCACACGATGATAATAATTATAGCATGTTACCATATATTGAGAACTCATATTATGATTAGATCATATGTCAAGTATTATGCACACTATCTCAGTTAATCTTCATTACCTATCATTCAGGCGTATTATCCCGTTTATTTTTATTTTATTTTTTTTTGAGACGGAGTCTTCCTGTGTCACCCAGGCTGGAGTGCAGTTACACGATCTCAGCCCACTGCAAACTCTGCCTCCCAGGTTCAAGCAATTCTCATGCCTCAGCCTCCTGGGCAGCTGGGATTACAGGCACATGCCATCATGACCGGCTAATTTTTGTATTTTTTGGTAGAGAAGCAGTTTTGCCATGTTGGCCAGGCTGGTCTCGAACTCCTGACCTCAAGTGATCCACCCACCTCAGCCTCCCAAGATGCTGGGATTACAGGAGTGAGCCACTACATCCAGCTTTATTCCCCTTTTAAATCAGGAATCAGAATGATAGAATTTCAGTTTTTAAAGTCATACAGTTAGCTTGATAAGATGGCTAGATATCCACCAAAAGTTATAGACTTACAGCAAGGAAGTAGCTGTATAACCAAGGATTATATTTCTCAGCTCCCATTTCTATCCAAATAAGTTTGTTGGTGGGTTCTCACCAATGAATAAAGGTGACTGTGTCACTTCCAGGTCAAGATATTTAATAAGCTAGTCAGCCTTCTCCAGGTTCTCTTATTCTACCCACCAAGTGGATTTGAGACCCTACACAAGACTGGAGCTACAAGATAGCAGAGGCCTAGCTCCCTGAATCATGCTGTGTTGGAGAGCTGCTTTGCATTTTTATTGGTTAAGCCATAGATATATTTGGGATTTTTCTTTTTTTTTTGCAATTGTGTAACTCTAACTAAAACAGCCAATAAATAGTGAAACATGGAAGAAACCTAAGTTTGTCTAATTCTTGGACCCATGTTGACTCATATATGTTCTCCTGATGCACCTGGATGGGTCTAAATACAATTGCTCGATATTATAATATGGCTTCTTCCATCAAGGAGTCACACTTCAAGTTGAAAAGAGTACCAATAACCTTGGTAGCCAGTTTTTTTATACCCTAAGAAAAGAATGCTAGTAACTCATCAAATTATGATAATAATAATAGACCTGCTGAGTTAATTCACTCAGCCAGATTTATAGATATACTTTTGTCTTCCACATTCATTGAAAGAAACAAACCTCAAAACTGGTATTTGAGGGAAAACTCAAATACCTTATTTTCGCTCAGGCCTAAGACTAGTCCTCCAAGACAATTTATAGAAGCCATACTTTTGGAGTTTAGGGAGGGGTATCCATACACTGACAGGACTAAAACTGTGATCTCTATTTGATTAACATTTTGTCTATAACTGTCTCTCCTGTTGTCACTCTCGTTCCAACCTTCTCTATGATATCCCCATTGCTCAGCACAATGACAGGTGCAGAATAAGATCTGGGTATAGACACACACTGTTAAATAAAAGAAAGAGTAAATATGGTAAGAATTTGTAAAATCAAAGCTGTGCTTTCCCAGGGAAAACGTTCTATCTTTTGTTTACGTTGTTACATGTGGTGATAATATGTTAATTTTTTGCTTTTTTTTTTTAAAAAAAAAAACCTTGTTAACCAAAATATAGCATTTAAAAAAACACAAAATTTTAATTGAGGATATTCCAGTACACCAAGTTCCCTATCACAGTGGTTCTCAACCCATCAGAAAGCAAGTGGGCCTCATCACCCTCCACAACGCCAACCCCTCCACCAAGAAGCAAATGTTCAGGCCAGATACTACAACACTAACTTAGAAGATACAGACATGAAGCCTGAGTATTTCTCTTTTTCAAAGGTTTACATTTCTTTTTCTTAAAGTACTACAATGATAAGATACCACCAGACTGAGAGTCATCTTCACAGCAAGAAAAATACATGGCCTTTACAATAAATACATTCATATAATAATAAATAGCTAACATTCAATGATTGAATAGTGGGTCCACACTAAATAGAATGTGGTCATTCTCCCTTTAATCACCACAAATATTATTTAACATACATATTAGCCTAATCTTACAGAATAGAAAACAGAAGGTTTAAAGATTGAGTGTATTTTTCAGGGTCACAAAGTTATTAAATGATGACCTCTACATTCAACTTTTTTCTCTTGGACACAGAATCTATGCCTTTGAACTTCTGTATACACTTCCTATGCAAAAAATCTCCACAAATAGCTTTACATAAACAGTTTTTCCACTTAGTCTAATTTACTCAGATTCTTAGGATAACATTTGTTCGGAATGTAATCTTCTTAAAAACACCGATCCAGTGTACATTGATCTCCAGATATTTTTGTTTTTATGGTTATTGAGACTCTGATCCATAGTAGGTCTTAATATTGTTTCCAGTTAGTTTGCGGGGATCCCTTTTGAGCTAATGGCATAGAAAATGGCAAAGACTTCTGAGACTATGGAATTTTCCATATCATATAGAGAACATCAAAGGAAAACCTATTTTGCAAAATGCTCTACTGTCTGAAAATTGATCAGGATGGGAAATCACATAACGTAATTTTCTTGGGACAGTGTTGGTTTGTGCCTGTTGTCCTGGGAAAATGGAAGAGGGAAGAGTAATATCTTAACTACAAGGCCTTTGTGAAAATTAATACACATAGAATTTTTGGTAAATGGCTGCACCTGCTAAATACACTATAAATGTTCAATATTATTACTGTAATTATTAGTGTAAACAGGTGTTAAAACATCTAACTCTTTTATTCACTGCAACATATATTCGTAAATTTTTCTTGGTTCTAAAGGTACATGCTTTCAAATTTTCCTGAGTATTATTCCTCATTCTATCTAAAAAAGCAATTTAAAAAATAAATCTCAACTCTCTAAGTTTCTAGAAATCGTTTTTACTTGTGGTGATTTTGGTCAGCCAATGAGTCCATTATAAATCCCAATTTCAGGTTACAGAATGTTTAAAATTGAGGTAATGACTCCATTACCCAAGCTGAAACACAGTATTTCAGCTTTATATGTACTATATCAAAAAGAACACTGTAAATAGGTGTTTCTCTTGTCAAATGTAAGCAAATTAAATTCAGATCATATGAGGCAATGAATTAGAATTTGTTTTTTAGTTACTGTAGATTGCCTTTTCCCTTCCATTTCTTGAATTTTCAAATCTTATGTGCTATAATTTACAAACTTATTGAGCTGAATATATTGTAATGCATTATAAATTTAGAGCAAAAAAATTACAATGTCTAACCACCCTTTTATTTATACTGCAATGCCCGCAGGAGAAAAAAGATGTGAATTTATAGTGTGATCTACAAGTAAATGTATAAAATGTATAAAGCCATAATTTATATACAAACAAACCATGCTATTTCTATTTTTTAATTTCAAAGGGTTGCCAGCATTTGTTATAAAACATCCTTGTCAAAATAACCTAATAAAAAAGATAAAAATTAGTAACTTAATCCATTTTGAAACAGTTTGCAATACATGAGGAAACGAATAGCTTATTACAACTAAATTAAGGTAAATTTTCTATTCTGTTTTCTAGCATGAAGGGAATATAGTAATTTTGTGAAAAAGGCCCTCGATATGATATGTCTCTATTAGAACATAAGATATGAATAGCAATTATAATAATTAAATATAATTACATTAAGAATAATTAGTACTTAAAGTATAAATTGCAGCACACTACTCAGTAATTAAATACAGACAAAATTTCAATATGATTTATATTGCTTTATCCCTTATTCAGGAAGTGGTGAAAATAATCTCCCTGTTTGTTTTCAATTAAACCAGCATCACATCAGTTTTCCATGTTTTTAAAGCTAGATAGGTCATAAAACTAATGACTCACTCAACTTTCAAAATGGTTAGAGTTTGATGGGCTTACCAAATGCTCTAGGGAAGTCACTTCCTACTTCTAGAGACTCCTAGGGTGAAAGCTGGCTCTGCTGTGAAGCCACGTGAATAGCAATGTAAGATTTTATTATCATTTACATATAATAGGATTTGAAGCTACTGATACACAAATCCAGAGGAGAACAGGCATAGATCGTTTTGATTTCTATTTGTTTGAGTAGCTCCTTTTGAAAACAATGTGTGGAATTGGAAAATGACAGATTTCTGAGACTTTGGAATTCTCCACATTTTGAGGGCAACATCAAGGGGAAAGATAATTTGCATTAATTTCAGATTGTTGATATACCACCATCAGAAAGATTACAGAAAGAATACAGAAAGATACACCATCAGAAAAAATGAGTAAAGAAAAATAAGCCTATAGACTTTTGACTCAAGTATGATTTTAATTTCTAAAAATTATGTCATCAAATGTTAAAAAAGCAAACTGTGAAAAGGTCATGTAATATTCAGCATCTTATCAACAAGTTTGATATTAGTTAACTATTTTTCCATAGTAATTTATTTAGTTTTTGTCTGTTTTTCAGACATGTAAGAGTTATACCTTATATTCAGCCAGTTCTCACTGGTACAGCTTCACAAATTGTTAAAGTATGAAATACTTTTCTATCAATTGGTAAAACCTGGTTTCCAAACGTCCTGAGTGACCACTCTGCCACATTAGTGTCTCTCCTGGCTTTCTCTGTCCTATCCTCTTTAAGATTTGGCAAATAACCTTGGCATAGGAGATGGTAAGAACTCTGCTCCGGCCCTAAAGCTAGTTTCTATTTAGTGCCTTAATGGTGATAAAACATACTGAATGCTGCCCTTAGAAAGATGCTCTTTTCCCAAACTTTTCCCAAACTTCCTTAGCGTCTCGAGTATCACACCTAGATTCTGCTTTTAGCTGTTACCCTTTCCATATGGAATGTTGAGCAATAAAGCCAACCAAGCACTGGTAGAGTGACCAACATTTATTAGCATTTGAGGGAATCAAGGGACACAGACACTGGGAGGAAATCATAGAGGCTGACGATCAAAGTACAAAGGAATGAAGAAAACCAGTCCTCTCCCAGGCAGGCACTGAGATCTAAAGTGGAGAATAATCCAGAAGAAGAGGAGGAACAGAAGACTGTGGAAACAAAGTAGAGTCAGGGGAAATGAAAACATCAAACACAAAAGTATGTCTCAGGAAATCTGTGTCTTCAGGTGCAGGAAGGTAAGAAACAAGACTAAGAGAAATGAATCATGAAAGTCCTTCTGGCTGTATAGCTGGAGTTCAGACTTGCTTCTCCAGAGAACCCACAGACTTGAGGGACCAAACAGCTCTAGGTATCTAAGAATGGAGACAGAATGAGTCCCTAGAAGGCAGACTGACCTTCTCACATGAATAATCCTTGCTCAGTATTTGCCAAAAAGTTGATAAGATTAATTCATTGTCCATCAATTTGTAATGATTGAAATTCCAGTATGGACATTACAGTCACATAACCCTTCCATTCAATTCCTGGGAGCCTGCTTACTAATACTGTATCTTTAACAAGTGATTTAACCCCCCTTAACATGTTTCTTCAATTGAGTTAATTAATTAATTAATTTTTTAGATGGAGTCTTGCTCTGTCACCAGGCTGGAGTGTAGTGGCACGATCTCGGCTCACTGCAACCTCTGCCTCCCCGGTTCAAGCAATTATCCTGCCTAAGCCTCCTGAGTAGCTGGGACTATAGGTGCACGCCACCACCCCTGGCTAATTTTTGTATTTTTAGTAGAGACGGGGTTTTACCATGTTGGCCAGATGGTCTCGATCTCTTGACATTGTGACCTGCCCTCCTCAGCCTCCCAAAGTGTTAGGATTACAGGCGTGAGCCACTGTGCCCGGCCGAAAAAAATTTTAATGGGAAATGAAGGTACAAATATTTTTAAATTGCTGTGGACTGATCAGTACTCAATAAATGAGAACTGTGTTGTAATGATCACATTGAACATTAAGGAGACTTCATTAGCAGAGTGCCTGATATTCTGCCAGTGAGATCTTCTCTTTGGTCTCAGGAATGGACAGAGGAAAGTAGTTACTCACTACTGTCATTTCAGAAGACAATCTCACTGAGGAAGGTGTTAACACATTCCACTTTATCAAGGCCCTTTCAATGTGTAGAAATTTGCTCTACATTACTCAAGTGAAAAATAATGTGCACCTTTTGTATTTTCCATTTTCTAAATCAGTTTCATGTGGTTTTGAACACCCACCTGCCTAGCTAGTGGCCCTTTCCCTTTTGTTAAGGGCAAAAAGTGCCTCTGGCTTCTTATGCAGTACAGAAATCTGGGGAAAAATAAATCAGCTTTCAGTTCAAGGAAGGTTCTCATCAGCCATGTCTTTTTGGTTAGATCATCATGTCTACTCTCCCATGCTAAATTTAGCCAATGGGACCCTTGCTGCTCTTCCAAAGGTACTGAACTTGAGGTTCAGTCTTGAGACACACACCCCCATCAGAAGTCTAGACACAACATCCCCATCAAGGTCCTCTAGTGACTGTTGCAGTCTGGGAGAACAGAGGAGGCTCCATGCACAGAAGCTTCTCCACAGCTGTCTGTAAATTCCAGGAACCCACTTCACCCAGGGCAGCAGAATCCTTGCTCTTCTAGGCCATCTGTGTCTTTTCCTTCCCATGGGCTAGCTTTCTTGAACAAAAGCAGTTTAACTTCTGTCTGGCAGGAGTAGTGTCCAGGCTCAAGGCAAGGCTGCTTTGTGACATGCCCACAGGAAAACAAAACTTACGTGTTTTTCCATCTGACCATATTCAACATGCTTTGCAGGGATACTAAAAGCAATGAATCTTATTCGTTCACTGATAATTGCATATGATTTAATTACTCAAAATAATTTTAATAATATGCAATTCAATAATGGGAAAAAACTTTTAAAAAATCTATAAATTATAGATTAGTACATTCTTTAGATATGTAAATTGATACTTCATTAAAATATATTCATCAGAGTAATAAATTCCCATGTACAAAATCTTTTGATTTCTCCCTGTGGTATAAATTTATTCAATAAATGTTATGTAAATATCTATTTTAACATTTAGGGTGTGCAAAATGTTAAACAATAAAATATAACCACTGAATGTTAAAAATTACTGTTAACATATGTATGCATATAGGTATGTATATGTGCTTATGTGTATATTTATATTTATATTTCATTGAAAACCATGTAACTTAACATCCTTTCCATTTTCTAAGTTTATTACTGCAAAGTAGGAAAATAATAATTTTAATATTGTAAAACTTATTAAAAACTTAATATGTGAAATATATTTAATATTTCTGTTGTTTTAAAATTCCATATTTCATAAAATTAATGAATTGTAAATGTAAGTCCGGTAAAGGTAAACTATAATTTGAGGAATGCTTGCTCAGTACATATCTAACCTATAATGAAATGTAAATACTGAAGGAGCTGAGGTCTTTGTTAGACTCAAAAGTTTTAAATTTCAGCATGAGGACAGTATTATAGCTCAAGACTTTGACAGCTGTTACATGAATGATATTGCATTAATCCAATAATTTGCAGAAAAGGTCAAACTAATATTAATTTATATTGACATCCTGAGGTCAGGAGTTCCAGACCAGCCTGACCAACATGGTGAAACCCCATCTCTACTAAAAATACAAAAATTAGATGGGTACAGTGGCCGGGGTGGGTAATCCCAGCTACTTGGGAGGCCGAGGCAAGAGAGTCGCTTGAACCCAGGAGGTAGAGGTAGCAGTGAGCTGAGATCACGCCACTGCACTCCAGCCTGAGTGACAAGAGACTCCATCTCAGTGTGTATATATATATATATATATATGACATCATATATATAAAAGCTCACAAATCTGAATTTTCCATTTTATCTCATCAATTTCTACGAGAGAACTTCTTATTTCACTGACTTTAGAAAAATATACTCAGGTATTAACTGAAAAGAGATGAAAAGTAGTTTAAGAAGTAAAAACAAAAATCCAACCAAAGCTCAGTTTCATTTCTCAGCCCTAAGATAAATAGTACAGTGTATGTGAAACAACAACAAATCTAATTATGCAGCAAAATTTACCTCATACTATTACTCTATTTTATCTGAGTATTTGTAGTAAATTCTTTTGGATAAAAGTTTAAGGTCTATAAGTTAAAGGTGAATCTGCGAAATGCACTATATTAGGATATATTAAGCTACTGTGATGTCTAATTCATATAAAGCATATATGACATATGACAGAACAGTCGATACTCTCTAGTACCCCCAAAGTAACTTGTTTAAGATCACATCCAGCCATTACATAGGATCTTCATTGTGCAAGGGCATGTTGGCCATATGCTGTCACTTTATGTTTATTATAGCATTATTACTTCAAGTTTGATATTATGATTCAGTTTTGTTAAAATTCTTCAACCTCTTCACTCAAGCAATGATCTTCTGAGAGAAAAAGGGAGAGCTGGCAAGAAGAGGACACACATTTCCTAACATTGAGTTCATGAAATGATGTTTAAAGGTAGAATTAAGTTTTGTATTATGACTGTGCATCTAACTTGTATAAGGTACCTTCTGATAAAACAAATAAAAATTTCCTTATAACATTTTTATTTAATTGATGATATTAAGCTAAGCACAGTATCCGGTTATAAATTGTTATTTGATGTAATTTCAAAGTAGAATATTTTGAAGCAATCATGTGTCTTGTGATCTTAAAATATTTTAATGGTAAACTTCAACTATTCATATAATTTTGAAGTACTGAAAGTATTTCTGTGTAATCAAACTATGTAATAAATATTTGGCTAAGAAATTCTAAGACCTTTTCAAAATATTATTCTTGACTCACAAGTATTTTTTGGAATGTTTAGATAACTAAAGTTTTAAAATAAGAATATTTTTGTACCAGTACCATGCTGTTTCGGTTATTGTAGCCTTTGGGTAGTACGGCCATTTTAATGATGTTGAGTCTTCCAATCCATGAGCCTGGGATGTTTTTCTATTTGTTTGTGTCGTCTCTGATATCTTTCAGCAGTGTTTTGTAACTATCCTTGCAGAAATCCTTCACCTCCTCAGTTAGCTGTATTTCTAGGTATTTTACTCTTTTTGTGGCTATTGTAAATAGGATTGTGTTCCAGATTTGGCTCTCAGCTTGAATGTTATTGGTGCAAATAAATGTTACTGATTTTCATACATTGATTTTGTATCCTGAAACAATGATTGGTACTGTCTGGATAAAGTTAAAGTTTTGCCTGTTGTTGCGTTTCGCCCAGTGAGAAAGAAATTTGAGCAGTGTGCAAAACGCAAAGTACTCTATAGAACAGCATTTCTAGTATGATATTAAAGCAAAGTTATAGAGAGGAGTCTGTGTTATTCCAAGGTAGTAGAGGTATGGGTATTTGTGTGCGTGTGTATATGTCTGTGTGTGTGTGTTATAAGGGCTATACGATTGGCTGGACAAAGTCAAGGATATTTGGCTCTAACTTTTTTTGTGTATGACACAAATACATTTAGCAAGTGATAATTTGTACATAAAAATAACCAAGATTTCTGTGAAATTTTGCAATGGATGAAAAGTAGGATAAAAGTGCTTCCATGGGGATATTGTGTGTGTGTGTGTGTGTGTGCATGGATATATATCCATATATATATATATATATATATCCATGCACACACACACACACACACACACACACACTTTAAGAAATAAATGTACCACCCCTATCCAAACCTTTGAAGAAGCATTTTAAGGGTTTGACATGCATCTGCTAACTCACTGTACTGTTTGTTATGTTTCCCATTTTTTTCATTTTGCCTCATATCATGGACATCTTTCTAGCTCAAATTTACCTTGTCATTTTTGCTAGTGAATAGAATTTCATGTATGTATATACAACAACCTCATTTACCCATTTTTCCATTAATGAACTTTCAGATTTTTTCATTACTTAACTATTACAAATAATGATCCACTGATTATCTTTGTGTATATATGCCTGCAAATTTGTGCAATCTGTGTGTTGAATAAATTTCTGAAAGTGAAAATGCTGGAAATTTATATTTTAAGAAAGATTTGAAGTAGTGGTAAACATTCATTTGTAGGTAATACTGAATACAAGAAGTACAGACTTGGGTAGAAGAAACAAGATTCGGAGTAGAAAAAAAGACCTGGGAATCATTTATCAATATAGTTTGATAAAAACGCTATAGAGAAAGGTAGGTGGAAATAGAAAGCTAAGAAGCTCAGGATCAGTCTTGGTCTGCCATATGTCAGAGGTTTTGCAGAAGTGGTGTAAACAATGAGTGCAATAAGCATGTGATATAAAAAAGAGAGGACTGTCCAGAAAGCAAATACCAAAGAGCGTCAAAGCTAACGAATGGTCAATAATCTTCAATTATTAATAGCAAGTAGTCTTAATCCTAAAACAAAAAGCGATATTGGAATCAACCATGAGATCACTGTCACACTAAAGAATGGTTTTGTGAAATACTTATGATGAAGATATAAATTAGGAATGCCAGGCAGAGGCAGAGAAGTGGAAGTAGAAACATGTTTCACAAAGATGTATGGCAGGGGCAGGAAAAGTGAATTTGAGGCAGCATCTGTCTTAACAAAAGACACTTGTTAAAATAAGTTGAAGGAGATTAAGCACAACTGTTAATTCTTACGGCAAATTAGCTGGGGTTACATAATTTGCTCTCATGGTAGATCTGAGTTATAGATAGAATATTAAGTTAGAATGGACAAATTTAGGGACTCAAAGATATTTTATTATGTATCATAAAGCCAAAGCATTTTCTAATTGAAATATCTGTGGCATGAGAAAAAAAAGTGAGGCTATAAATTTAGTCAGACTGCTTTCAAAATGATTATAGTAAACTTTAATGCTTACATTTTAAAAAGTAAGAAAAATGTTGGTCAATACTGAATATATTTAATCGTATTTACTGGCAATTTTGTCAAATAAAAGAAAAAAGAAACATGCAGTACTGATTGTGCCCCAGGCCAGAGAAAAGACTAAATACTCGTGGGTATTTTTATTTTACAGGTGTTACACGCATATCACTGATTCTTCTAAGAGACTGGCAGATCCTAAATAAAATTAATAGCATAAATAGTAGAATTTTATACTAACGTGAAAGTCAACAAATAAACTGCCCTCGAATTGATTAAAAGTTTCTTAAATGAAAGCTTTAAAGGGAGTGTATGCAAGGGCAAAATCCAGAGAACACATAATATGGATGAATAAAAGCAGGGGGAAAATTGAGCATAGCTGACACTGACATGCTAAACAATTTTTTAAATAGATAAAGGGTAATTTAAGATATTTACGAAAAATTATCAAGTGAACATATATTTTTATACATTTCTGATCTTATATAATATAAAAATCAAATGAAATAAATAACACGCTATTTAGCACATCTTTCTGCTTTCTTCATGTGTGAATCCCATATCTGATTCATAAACAATTTTTGTAATAGTTTTATATTTTTCCAACATTAAAAGTAATACACGCTCATTTTTGAAAATTGCAAATAAAGTGCAAAATGTGAAATCATAACTGCAAAAGAGATTTTAAGTGTTCTTACCACAAAAATGATAAATGTGAGGTGATGCATATGCTAATTAGCTCAATGTAGCCATTCTACAATATATACATATTTCAAAACAACATGTTATACATGATAAACATATATAATTTTTACTTTTCAATCAAAAATTAATTAAAAAACAAAGACAATTTTTAAAATGATATATGCTTATTTTATAATTGCAAAAAAGCTTCTCAATTTACAAAGATTAACACATAATATTTGGATAAATTTTCTTTCAAAATTTGCATTCAAGTTGAAAATAATTTTAAGTTGGTATATAAATTTTGTTCCCCAAATTTTATCAAAATATAATCAGCATTTTCTAACATTATTTTAAAAATATAATAATATTTTAAATATTATTTTAATTGATGCATGAAAATTGTATTATTGTTATGGTATATCATAATGTTGATAATCTCATATTTGGACATCTAGATTATTTTATCTTTTCTTTTTAAATAATACTACAGCGAATGCAAGTTCTGATTTTTATGTGTGCATATATCCTTAGAATAGAAATGGAATCACATAGTTAAAGTGTATTGACATTGAAGGCCTACTGGTATGCTGACTAAAATGTATACTTACACCAGAACTGTATAAGTGTGTCAGTTTCAATCTAACCTGGAAAGAAAAAATACACATAATCATTTGTAAAGGATGTATTAGTTTAATAGAGATAAACAGCTATCTCCTTGAGTATTAACTTATATTTGATTTTGAACACTTTCATGGTGCACATTAGCTTTCTGTAGTTCTTAAAAAATGTTTCTTTGAACTGCTGTTTTTGTCCTTTGCCTGATTTTCTATTGAGAGAGTGGCATTTTAAAATAATTTATAAAATCCTTTTACATGTTAAAATCTTTAAGCCTTCATATGTAATGTTATAGTTTATTTGTAATTTTTCCTAAAATTTTGGAAGATATTTTAAAATTTTCATCAGTTCCTGCCTAATTTCAATAGACCTGTTAATTCTGCATTCTTATCTGTTTAAACTCCTGAGACCAAGAATATTCTGAATTCTGCTTGTTACATCTTTTTAGTGCCAATTTGACAAAAATCTTTTTTTTTTCCATATATGAATATGGCATTATGTTGAGGAATACAAAACTAAACAAAACTATAGCAAGTCACCTCCACATTTCATAAAATCAGTAGGTGCAAAACTATACAAAAGCACTTCTAGTTTTTGTAAAAGAGTGAGTCATTACTTTTTAAAGTCTGTTTCTCACCTTATGGTGTAAATACAACTATTAAAGTATATAAGCATATGTCTATGTGCTTTGTCTCAAATGCTCAAATCAAGCCTATATATTCCAAAAAAATTGAAATATGTGATGTATAATTACTCAGTTTTGCTAACATTCATATCAATATGTATGTTATCTTTATTTTTAAAGGAACAGGAAATTCAAACAAGCAAAAAACCACATACATATGAAACATTGTATGTGTCATAAACATGTATACTTTATATATAAGCACTATGTTCTTAAATTGACAGTTTGGGAGAATATTCATTTCTCACTGTAAGCTGCTTTTTTTGTAGTTTAATTTGTGAAGTCATCAACTATATTTCTTCATATACAGTAATTTCTGTTCTTATAAGTGTTACACATTTTATACATTCCTGAGTTTAGGTTCATTACATACTCTTTGAATATTCTCTTCCAGATGCCTCCTGCAAAAATAGTTATAGAAAATGCTAATTATGTGATATAAGCACTTTTGGAGAGTTCTCCAGCTTTTGATGAGAAAAACTACTTATTTCTGAGGTAAGTTTTGTTTGGAAAATAGTTTCATTACAAAGAAAAAAACAGTATATGAAATGGCTGCAATATCCTGCCATTAACTCCCTCCCCCACACTTCCAAACTGAGTTGTTGCAGCTCGATTTGAAAGTTATTTCCAGTACCATAGTACTTTGCAATCCATTTTATAACCAGGTCTGGGAAGGTTACATTATTTCGGTAAGTGCAGTGCTAATACAGATATTCATTGGAACATTGTTATTATCTTTTAAAATGTAGTATATAAGAAGCATTGGTAAATTACAGGCACACCATGGAGATATTGTGGGTTCAGTAACAAACCACCCCAATAAACTGCATTTCACAATAAAGCAAGTCACACAGACCCTTTGGTTTCCAAGTGCATATTAACGTTATGTTTACACTACAGTGCATTCTATTAAATGTGCAACAGCAACATGTTGAAAACAATTTACGTACCTTAATTTTAAAACATTGCAAAAAAAAAAAAAACCTAACAATCATGTGAGCCTTCAGCAAGTCATAATTTTTTTGCTGGTGGAGAGCCTTGCCTCAACGTTGATGGTTGCTGACAGATCAGGATGGTAGCTGCTGAAGGCTGGGGTGGCTGTGGTAATTTCTTAAAATAAGACAATAAAGTTTGCTGCATCAATGGACTCTTCCTTTCATGAAAAATTTCTTTGTAGTATTCAATGTTATTTGACAGCATTTTACCCACAGTATAACTTTTTCCAAAACTGGAGTCAACCCTCTCAAACCCTGTGGTTGCTTTTTTTTTTTTTTTTTACTTTTAATTTAAATTCAGGGGTACATGTGCACGATTGTTAAACAGGTAAACTTGTGTCATAGGGGTCTGTTGTACATATTAGTTCATCACCCAGGTATTAAGGCTAGTACTGATTAGTTGTTTTTCCTGATCCTCTCCCTCCTCCCACCTTCCACCCTCTGATAGGCCCAGTGTGTTTTGTTCCCCTCAATGTGTCTGTGTGTTCTCATCATTTAGTTCCCACTTTTAAGAGAGAACATGTGGTATTTGGTTTTCTGTTCCTGTGTTAGTTTGCTAAGGATAATGGTCTCCCTCTCCATCCATGTCCCTGAAAAAGACATGATCTCATTCTTTTTTATGGCTGTACAGTATCCCATGGTGTATATCTACCACATTGTCTTCATCCTAACATTGATGGGCATTTAGGTTGATTCCATGTCTTTGCTATTGTAAACAGTGTTGCAATGAACATATGCATGCATGTATGCTCATCAGTCTAACATTGATGGGCATTTAGGTTGATTCCATGCCTTTGCTATTGTAAACAGTGTTGCAATGAACATATACATGCATGTGTCTTTGTAATAGAATGATTTATATTCCTTTGGGTATATACCCAGTAATGGGACTGCTGGTTCCAATGGTGTTCCTGTCTTTAAGTCTTTGAGGAATCGCCACACTGTCTTCACAATGGCTGCTGCTATATCAACTAAGTTGATGCAACATTCTAAACTCCTTGTTGTCATTTCAACAATGATCACAGCATCCTCACCAGTAGTAGATTACATCTCAAGAAACAATTTTCTTTGCTCATCCATAAGAAGAACTCCTCATCCATTCAAGTTTTATCACAAGATTGCATCTGTTTGAGATATAGACCAATGGAGCAGAACAGAGGCCTCAGAAATAACACCACACATCTACAACCATCTGATATTTGACAAACCCGACAAAAACAAGAAATGGGGAAAGGATTCCCTATTTAATAACTGGTGCTGGGAAAACTGGCCAGCCATATGTAGAAAGCTGAAACTGGATCCCTTCCTTACACCTTATATAAAAATTAATTCAAGATGGATTAAAGACTTACATGTTAGACCTAAAACCATAAAAACCCTAGAAGAAAACCTAAGCAATACCATTCAGGACATAGGCATGGGCAAGGACTTCATGACTAAAACACCAAAAGCAATGGCAACAAAAGCCAAAATAGACAAATGGGATCTAATTAAACAAAAGAGCTTCTGCACAGCAAAAGAAACTACCATCAAAGTGAACAGGTAACCTACAGAATGGGAGAAATTTTTTGCAATCTACCCATCTGAAAAAGGGCTAATATCCAGAATCTGCAAAGAACTTAAACAAATTTACAAGAAAAAAACAAACAATCACATCAAAAAATGGGCAAAGGATATGAACAGACACTTCTCAAAAGAAGACATTTATGCAGCCAACAGACATGTGAAAAAATGCTCATCATCACTGTTCATCAGAGAAATGCAAATCAAAACCACAATGAGATACCATCTCACACCAGTTAGAATGGTGATCATTAAAAAGTCAGGAAACAACAGGTACTGGAGAGGATGTGGAGAAATAGGAACACTATTACACTGTTGGTTGGAGTGTAAACTTGTTCAACCATCGTGGAAGACAGTGTGGCGATTCCTCAAGGATCTAGAGGTAGAAATACCATTTGGCCCAGCAATCCCATTACTGGGTATATACCCAAAGGATTATAAATCATGCTGCTATAAAGACACATGCACACATATATTTATTACAACACTATTGACAATAGCAAAGACTTGGAACCAAGCCAAATGTCCAACAATGATAGACTGGATTAAGAAAATGTGGCACATACACACCATGGAATACCATGCAGCCATAAAAAAGGATGAGTTCATGTCCTTTGCAGGGACATGGATGAAGCTGGAAACCATCATTCTCAGCAAACTATCACAAGGACAGAAAACCAGACAGCGCATGTTCTCACTCATAGGTGGGAAATGAACAATGAGAACACTTGGACAAAGGGCGGGGAACATCACACACTGGGGCCTGTCAGGGGAGGGGGATGGGGCGGGGGCAGGGATAGTACTGGGAGAAATACCTAATGTAAATGATGGGTTGATGGGTACAGCGGGCCAGCATGGCACATGTATACCTATGTAATGAGCCTGCACGTTGTGCACATGTACCCTAGAACTTAAAGTATATATATATATATAGATTGCATCTGTTCCGTTATACCTTCAAGCTCCACTTTAATTGTAGTTCTCTTGCTATTTCCACAAACATCTGCAGTTACTTTCTCCACTGAAGTCTTGAACCCCACAAACTCATCCAAGAGGGTTGGAATCAACTTCTTCCAACTCCTATTAATGTTGATATTTTCACCTCCCATAAATCACAAATGTTCCTAATGGCATGTAAAATGGTGAGCTTTTTCCAGGAAGTTTTCAATTTATTTTGCCAGATTCATCAGAAGAATCACTATTCAGGGCAGCAATAGCCTTGCAAAAATGTATTCTTAAATGATAAGATTAAAAGTTAAAATCCCTACTTGATCTATGGGCTATAGCACAGATGTTGTATTTAGCAGACATGAATACAACACTAATCTTGTACATCTCCATCAGAACTCTTGGGTGACTAGATACATTGTCAATTAGCAGTAGTATTTTGAGAGGAATCATTTTTTCTGGGCTGTAGCTCTCCACAATGTTCGGTAAACCATGCTATAAATAGATGTGCTGTCATCAAGGCTTTGTTGTTCCATTTACAGAGCACAGGCAGAGTAGATTTACCATAATTCTTAAGGGTCCTAGAATCTTTGGAATAGCAAATGAGCACTGACTCCCACTCAACATTACAAGCTGCATTAGCCCGTAACAGCAGTGTCAGTCTGTCCTTTGAAGCTTCAAAGTCAGGCATTGACTTCTCTCTAGCTGTAAAAGTTCTAGAGAGCATCCTCTTCCAATACAATGCTGCTCTGTCTAAAATTAAAATATGTTGTTAGTGTAGCTACCTTCATCCATTATATTAGCTAGATCTTCTGGATAACTTGCTGCAGTTTTTACATCAGCACTTGCTGCTTCACCTTGCATTATTATGCTATGAACATGACTTTCATCCTTAAACCTCATGAACCAATCTCTGTCAGCTTCCAACTTTTCTTCTGTCACTTCCTTACCTCTCTCAGCCTTCACAGAATTAAAGAGAATTAGTGTCTTTCTCTGAATTAGGTTTTGGCTTAACGGAATGTTGTGGCTGGTTTGATCTTCTATCCAGACCACTAAAACTTTCTCCATATTGGCAATAAGGCTGTTTTGCTTTCTTATCATTTGTGTGTTTAATGGAGTAGCACTTTTAATTTTCTTTAATAACTTTACTTCTGCACCCACAATTTGGCAATCTGGCACAAAAAGATTAGCTTTGAGCCTTTTTTGGCTTTTGACATGCCTTCCTCATTAAGCCTAATCATTTATAGCTTTTTATTTAAAGTGAGAGATGTGACACTCTTCCTTTCACTTGAACATTTGAACACTTAAAGGCCACTGTAGGGTAATTAATTGGCCTAATTTCAATAGTGTTGTGTCTCAGGGAATAGGCAGCCCCAAGGACAGGAAGAGAGAAAGGTGAACAGCCAGATAGATGGTAGAGTAGTCAGAATACACACAACGGTTATGGATTAAGTTTACTATCTTTGATGAACATGGTTCATAACACCCCAAACAATGACAACATAATTTCAAAGATCACTGATCACAGATCACCTAACAGATACAATAATAATAAAATTTTTTAAACACTACAAGAATTACACCAAGTAAATACATTCTATTGAAAAATTGAGCCAACGCACTGGCTCTATGCAAGATTGCCACAACCTTCAATTTGTAAAAAAAAAAAAAATGCAGTATCCGAGCAGCACAATTAAGTGAGCACAATGAAATGAGATATGTCTATAATTAATATACTTGTTGCAATAAAAAGGGGAGACATGTCCAGCATGTTTCCATTATACATGTATCCTCTATACATGGTGTCATGTAAACTATGTTTCTCATAATGATACATATCAAGCTGAAAAATCTTTAGTATTTACTCTGAAATAGAAAAATTTAAGTTACAGTGCTTTAGGTTTTCTAGAAGCTAAACATATCATTATTGCCTATAAAAGTATGGCACCACACCCAGACGCCCCAGAACAAATCAAATTATTTCAGTAGTAAAAATTTGACAAAAGTCAAAGTTTAAACACAAAATTGGAAAAATTCTGGAACATGCGACATCTAGTTATCCAGTTTGCCTAATATATTAATTGATATGAACATTATCTTTATTTTTGAATGAGTAAAAAATTCAAATTGACAAAAACAATCTAGATATGAAATATTCTATATGTCATTCTACATGTCTTAAAATTCACCTTTGCTCATCTCTTTTCTACTCTGTATAACCTAAGCCTCTCAGAATTTCTTTCATTCCCTTTTTTCCTCTACTAACTAATATAATTCCATTGTTTTGCAAGAAGCTGCAAGTAGTCCTAATTGCTGGTAAAAAAAAGTACCAGAAAATCAATTTTTCTCCCTACAATGGTAGAAAAGCAGACACTATTCTACATCATGAAACTAGTTCTGATAACACGGTACCATTGAGAACTTTTCCAAAGTTATCAGTTTTACTCTCTAGTCCATCATGGAGACATGTATGAGAAAGCATAACTCTGTTCTGTTTCCATTTACTAAATGGTAATTGGAAGTTTCATTTGATATGAGTAACTGTTTTTAGATATCCAGAGTTCAGAGAACAATGCTGAGAGTTGTGAAAAGAATAATTTCTAAAATTTTGCAACTCTGCTTTATTGTTTCCATTATTTGTTGACTTAGCAATAATATTAATCTCTGTTTCTTAATGGTGTCAGAACAAAAAATATCCTTGGAATTTTGTTTTGCTTTTATGTATGAAATTAAAATCAAAATTTTATGTATAAAATTAAAACGTTTCTATTGGATTCATTTTTCAAATGAGGAGTTTGAGAATCTTTGGTGCATTAAAAGTAACGACAGAAAAGAACAAAAATATCTCAAGATCAATCTTACTCATACTTAAAAAAATTAAAACATTGCTAATTAAACCACCATTTTAAAATGAACAGATTATCCAAGGATATATTATTTAATACTCCCTGAGTGTTGCTTAAGGTATGGGAAAAGAAAAACTCTTCTACACTGCTGGTACAAGTGTAACTGCTGCCAAATTTTAAAGAGTAAATTAAAAATATGTATCAAAAATCTAAAATATATGTGCTGACTGACATACTAACTTTCATTGTATTAATATTCTACATAAGTAAACAAATATGTATACAAATATGTCAGTGTCAATGCAAGTATGTTGATTTTCTATTGGCAATAGACTAAAAAATGAAACAATTTAAATGCCCATCAAGAACACCAAGACAGGGAATGGCAAAATAACTGATAGCACACCCATAAATGCAACGTGGTGTGTGTAACTATATGAAAGGGGATCCAACTTTAAAATGTATACATTTACAGTATGCTTCAATTTGCATAGAAATAGCATATATAATCAGTAGTAGGCAAATGAATAAAGGGTATGAATAGGCAATTCATAAAATATTAAAAAAATAAATGGCCAATAAACACGTTAAAAATATACAACTTTTCTAGGATTCAAATAAATGTAAATTATCCCAATAGTGAGATAGTGATTGTCCCTGTTGAAGCTAGCATACATATTTTGTTTTAAAACAATAATTTAAAGTTTTAACAAAGGAGAGACTAATACACTTAATATAAATGCGCTATAAATAGAAATAATCTTTAATATACTGTATATACTTATAGATGCATAGGCTATTCTGCAAAAAATAATGAAAAAATCTTAGCGATTTATATCATATGCTTTACGATCATATGAAGATTGAAGAAAAATTTTTAAAATATATATCCTGTTGAATTGTTTGAATCTTGTTTTATAAAAAGAGTATGTTATTGATGTTTTAACAAATTTAGTTTTAAATAACTGATTGCCACAGTATTAACATAAATTATTAGATTTAGCTTTCCCTGTGCAGTCTAAGTAGTATCATTCTAACACACGTTGTGTAAATGCAGTTAAAGCAAAATCCATGATGTGACAAAATCTCTGAATTTTCTTTGTAGAAATAAGAAGTGGATACTGTCTCTCTTGGCTCACTTGCTTTAGGTTATATTTATTCATATTATATAAAAATTAGGAAGGAGGTTATGACATTGCTTAATAAGGAAATCCTTTTCATTTCACGTGGCATTGATCAGAAAGAAACAACGAGCGGCATGAAGGAATGGGTTTGATGAAAGATACACAATTTGGATCCCATGGATTCCTTGTCCTGATAGATTTTTAAAAATCTCATAAGGCAGATGTACACATCATACATCTGTAATTTCTTATTTGGACTGTAAATCTAAGTCACATGTGGTGTAGAGTGCCACAGGTAAAGGAGAAAGCAGTCTCTTGACATAAAAAGGATAACAGAAGAAACGGTAACTAGAAGCGGGAGGGGGCACTTTGCTGTGCTGTGCTGCAAGCAGTTACAGAGCTTGTTAGGTCAAAGTTAATCTGAGGCCTGGAGTGGAAAACCCACATGCTGTGAGCAAAACACACCTCTCAGTAAGCTCCTGAAACTTAGAAAAACTCATATTTAATTTAATTGCTGACTGGTACTATCCCAATGGGAAAATCTAAGGTTAGATTAAGAAGGAACTGATAACAGTCAACATGGCAGGCAAAAAGTTAACCTATGGTAATGGGCAAATTATATTTCCTGAAATTCTTTTCAACTTTGTCTAGAGTGATTTATACAAAAATAAGTGACTTGCAAATTAATCACCAATGAAGATCTTTTTCTATTTGAAGCCATAATACCAACTGGACATGTTTAAATTGCTCAAATCAGTTATTATTATCTAACTCATGATTCTCAGTTAGTTTTTGCCCTGTATTAGTTTTGTAGGACTGCCATATAAACCATCATATACTGTAAGTCAATAAATTTACTTAAGTAGTTTACAGTTGGAAATTAGAAGTCCAATATCAAGATGTAGGCAGGGTTGGTGCCTTCTAACGGCTGTGATAAAGAATCTGTTCCGTGCCTCCCTCCTAGTTTCTTAGTTATAGATGATGTTCTTCATGTGTCTTCACATTGTCTTCCCTGTAATATGGATCTGTGTCTATGTCCAAATTTCCCTCTTTCATAAGGACACCAGTCATACGGGATTGGGGTCCACCTTAAGAACCTCATCTTAACCTCATTATTGGCAAAGACTCTATTTCTAAATAAGTTCACTTTCATAGGTACTAAAAATGAGGATTTCAAATGCCATTATTTCATTCCTTTTTATGGATAGAACGCTATCCCATGGTATATATATTTCTTTATCCACTTATCTATTGATGGGCATTTGGGCTGGTTCCATATGTTTGCAATTGCAAATTGTGCTGCTATAAACATGCATGTGCAAGTATCTTTTTTGTATAATGACTTCTTTTCCTCTGGGTAGAGAGCCAGTAGTGGAACTGCTGAATCAAATTGGAGACCATTATTTTAAGTGAAGTAACTCAGGAAGGCAAAACCAAACACCATATATTCTTACTCATAAGTAGGAACTAAGCTATGAGGGTGCAAAGGCATAAGAATGACACAAAGGACATGGGGGACTCGGGGGAAAATGCGGGACGGGTGAGGAATAAAAGACTAAAATTGGGTACAGGGTATAGAGCTCGGGTGATCGGTGCACCAAAATCTCACAAAATAATCATTAAAGAACTTATGTAACCAAACACCACCTGTTCCCCTCAAAACCTATGGAAATAAAGATATAATGTGATATGGTTTGGCTGTGTCCCCACCCAAATCTCAACTTGAATTATATCTCCCAGAATTCTCACATGTTGTGGGAGGGACCCAGGGAGAGGTAATTGAATCATGGGGGCCAGTCTTTCTCATGCTATTCTCCTGATAGTGAATAAGTCTCATAAGATCTGCTGGGTTTATCAGGGGTTTCTGCTTTTGCTTCTTCCTCATTTTCTCTTGCCACCGGCATGTAAGAAGTGCCTTTCACCTTCCGCCATGATTCTGAGGCCTCCCCAGTCATGTGGAACTGTAAGTCCAATTAAACCTCTTTTTCTTCCCAGTCTATGGTATGTCTTTATCAGCAGCATAAAAACGGACTAACACAAAATTAAAATAAAATTTTTAAAAAAGAATTAGGACTTCAACATCTTTATGGTAAACACAAGTCAACCCATGTAATCTTTATTTGTTGGAAGGAAAAAACATATCCTACAAATAACATCAGTTAATTCAGTTATTTTTATCTTAGGACAAAAGAATGGCAAGAGTGAACAGTATAGCAAGCTGAAGAAGGAATAGTGGTAGATATGTGAAGTTTGCAAAGAATGGCCAAAGTTGTGAAAAACCATGACATTGGCTTAAGAAAGTCTCTTCACCTTTTTGGAATTACTGACAAACAAAGGATCTAGTCCTATTTTTCTCGTGGGAGATGCCTAAATTATTGATGGGATACTTTGGGGAAAATGATCACCATAATCACCCTATAAAAATCTATACTACAAAAGTTAATTCTATGAATAAATGGCAAACATTATAGGGCCTTGTTAGGCCAGTTAAATAATACCGTTTATCTGCTTTATTAATTAATTCTAAAATTTGATAGAAAACTTTGAGATCAGATTCACTATATGAGGTACTGACAATGCACTGTGGACATAAAGACACATTGATCATCTTCTCTTCCCTCAACAAATTATAGCTTCGGTTATTCAGCCTACCTAGAACACCTGTTTTCCTACAAACAAAGGTAACTTTGAGCACTAGCTCTCAAAATATTCTGTACATTTGCACATATACAAGGTGCTCCTAGCATGCACAGAACACTGCCATGAATGTGTACAAGTTATTTACAAATTGTAAAAAGAAAAATATTAGGGTAAGAACACTACATAATTCAAAATCATTACTGAGTATAATGAGAACTACATTGCTTTTAATATGTCTTATAGCTGATGTGGACAAACCAGTATATCAAGATGTCAAGGCTGAGTTACTCTGGTTCAGAGAATGTGAGTGCTATTAGTAGCCCTCATGGCCTCCCATCTCCAATTCCCTGTGTTAGGGAAAATCTGCATATGTTAATTCATTTAGCCAACTAAACAAATATTTTTATAATTTCCAACTATAAAATACAGAATACATATGTTATTTTATTTTGGTCATTCATTAATCAAGCAATATTTATTTAGGGCTGACTATGTTCCAGGCACTCAGTACCTGCCCTTACAGAATTATAGGTTAGGATACAAATAATAAACTAACAAATAAAACACAAATAGATGACAAAGATAATATTGGTTGATAACAAAAGCTCTGAAGAAAACCAAGAGATACTATTGAGCAACTGAGTAGTCAAATAGGAGAAAAGCTCTTTTAGATCAGAGCATCGAGGAAGCTTTTCCTGACATGTGCTCTGAGATAAGAATGACAACAGAATCAGTCATGCCGCATCTATGGCAGAGCTTCCCAGGAAAAGGAAACAGAAGAGCAAGACCACACAGCTTGAAAGAGCTAGGGATGTCAGAGAAACAGAAGCCAGTCCCACTCCTTAAACACACCTTTTCTATTAATATATATAGAAAATGTATTTTTAATATGCACTTTTTCCTATTTTCCCTTTTAATCACATGTTGAATTATAATATTTAATAACCATAAAGCATAGCCTATTAGTAACTGCTTTAAATGTTCAAACTGTAAGAATGAGCATCTAATATAAGCATATTTATTAAAAAACATTTTTGATACTGTATTTAATTCAAAATATATGTTTATTTTGCCAGAAACACTTTATTGTGTTTACAGCTGTTATATGCTACATCATTAGACTGCCATACAGATGCTGTTTGGGTGAATCTTTCAATGGAATTATTTCTTAATGAAGAGTTAGAGCTACTTTCCTAAGCAAGGTTGTAAAATTTCTAGAAGTAAATTTCTCCTCACATTTTTGAATTGTAATGACTTATCTAAATAACAACATGCAACACCCTTAGGGTTTCAGTAAAGAATACAGTTGGCCCTTGAACAATACAAGTTTGAACTGCGCAGGCCAACTTATGTGCAGATACCCTTCCAACTCTGTTACCTCTGAGACAGAAAAACCAACCCTTCCTCTTCTTCTTCCTTCTCAGCCTATCAATGGAGGACAATAAGGATGAAGAACGTTATGCTGATCCACTTCAGCTTAATGAATAGTAAATTTAGTTTGCTTATGATTTTCTTAATAACATTGTCTTTTCTCTAGCTTACTTTACTGTAAGAATATAGTATATAATAAATTTATCCTACAAAATATGTGTTAATCGACTTTATATTATTGGTAAGGCATTTGGTCGAGTAGGCTATTAGTAGTTAAACTGTGGGGTAGTCACAAGTTACATGTGAATTTTCAACTGTGCAGGCAACAGCACCTCTAACCCCAGTGTCGTTCAAGGGTCAATTATAAGTGTGTGCGTATGTGTGCGTGTGTGTATACGCACGTGCGCCTTACTCAGTGTGGGCTGCTGTAACAAATTGCCATGTACTGGGTGGCTTATAAACAACAGAAATTTATTTCTCACATTTCTGGAGGCTGGAAGTCTGAAATCAGGGTGTCAATATAGTCAGGTTCTGGTGAGGGTCCTTTTCCAGGTTGTGGACTGGAGATCTCTCCTTATGTCCACAGACGGTAGAAAGAGAGTGGGGCCTCTCACTCTTTTATAAGGACACTAGTTCTGTCATGAGTGTTCTACCCGCATGATCTAATTCCCTCACAAGCCCTCCTTTCCTATCACACTGGGGTTAGGGTTTCAACATATGAATTGTGGGGTAGGGGTAAAACATTCAGTCCATTGCAACGTGTGTGTGTGTGTGTGTGTGAGTGTGTACATGTTCCTCAAAACTCTCTTATTTTCAGTCAAGAAGTATTTCTTTTTATACACAACTACTAATAGTGGGAATGCATATACTCATGTTCTAGGTGCTCTGGACAAAGGCAATTTATTCATCTGTCGCTTGCTGACTATTCTCTTCTTACAGCTATATTTCAGGCCTTCAGCTTCTTTCTGTAAGCCTCCATTATCATAGTCCCATCTCAGAGAAAGGCGCTTAAGTTTCCTTTCATACCAAACACCTCTGCTTATACTCTGGATCCTGTCCCAACCCTCCCTGATCCTTGTTCCGTCGTTTACTTTTAGAATTTTCCACTTTCTTGTTTCAGTTGGCTTCTGCCTATCAGCTCATATAAAAATACTTGAGTAAAATTTTTCCACCATTAAACAACCAAAAACCAAAATGATTCTTTATCCCTGACTCTTTTTTTTTTTTTTTTCTTTTTTTTTTGAGATGGAGTCTTGCTCTGTCACTCAGGCTGGAGTGCAGTGTCATGAACTCTGCTCACTGAAGCCTCCACCTCCCAGGTTCAAGCAATTCTCTGCCTCAGCCACCTGAGTAACTGGGATTACAGCCACTGAGTAACCATGTGCCATGGTGCCCAGCTAATTTTTGTATTTTTATTAGAGATGGAGTTTTGTCATGTTGGCTAGGCTGGTCTCGAACTCCTGGCCTCAAGAGATCCTCACCTGCCTCAGCCTCCCAAAGTGTTGGGATTACAGGAATGAGCCACCATGCCTGGCCTATCCCTGAGTCTTTATTGAACTAGTGCTACTTACCTCTCTCTTCTTGACACGTCAGTAATCAGCCTGCCTTCTTCCCACAACCCATTCCCCTTACTATAGAAATGGTTGTCTCAAATGTTAATCAGGTCAAGTTGTCAGTGTCTTATTCTTGTTCCTCATTCTACCCCTCTGCTTCTTGAAAATTGCTCCTCTTTAATGTTACTACATGCCATCTTCTCTGAGTTTGCTTATGCCACTTGGCTTGGGTTCTCTTCCATTCCCTCCTTGGCTCCCTATTTTATCCTACTATTGCTTCTCTTTGGTATATATATATATATATATTTTCCTGATAATTTCAGTCTCAATCATTTCTTCCATAATAGCCTAGATTCTACTTACTTCACTCTTCTCTTTTCAGCATCAGATCCAAATGTCTAGCTTTCACGTTTCAATTACAATCTTTATATATCTCTCATTTCAAAACTAAAATATAGAAGTTTGAAAATACTAGTTTCCCTCTCCTAAATTTGAAGATCCTAGAACACAGATTGTCTTTTACTCACCTGTGTACTACTGATATAACACAGTATTATCCAGTCCATGGTAAACATCTATTAAACAAATTTAATATTCAAGAGATTATAGGATGTGAATTTATGATGTAAAGTATGCAATTTAAATTTTTGCCTAAGGCAGATGGACACTGGCAGGCAACAAAAACTAAATTATGAACACTTTGGAAATTTACCATTATTTACTTAAAATAACTGAGGACAAAGGGAAAAGGCTTACAAAATAAAAGGTATACTAAGAAGAAGAAAAAAGTCTTCTATCTGGTGAACCACATTACATTAAATACCATTCTGAGAGATCTCAGATTAAAAAAAGAGAGAGACTTCCCTCTTGACCTATTAAATTGTTCAACTAGGAGTCCGCCTCTATATTCTGTCTCCCCTGTTAGATCACTTTGATTTATCATCATAATTCTTTTCTTTTTAATTATCTCTGGATATGTCCTGTCTGCTATTACAGTCATCTGAGCATACTCAAGGAACATTTAGTGCTCAGGCATGTAAAATTTGGCTTTTGAGTTAGCATCATTAAAACAACAACAATGAAAAAAATGAAAACAGATACCTGTAAATAATCTCTGCCCTGAAATCTCTACAGTTCCTAAATAGCCGACTGTTTACTGTGCTGAGAAGACTCCAGTGAGGCTGCTTGTTGCAAAATACTGGAAAAGGTAGTAGCCACTGACATCTGTTTTGATAAGATAAACCTCTCCTTCTCTTGGGTCTTATCAGCAGAAACTCATCCCATTTGGAACACTGGTATGTCTCCTGCAGGACTTACCTGGAAATATTTTATGAAACCTTTCTCTTCTCTAGTTTTCCTAAAACCTTAAAACCTCAGGACATATGACCTATTTAATAACTGAAGTCAATAGTATAAATGACATTTTCATATTCAAATATATAAAAGTACCTTTAATTAATACATTGTGTAATCCCTATATCTAGTATTTATTAGAGAAATTTTCACTTTTGTTATTGCTTTGTAAATATTTTATTATATTCTGTGTAGCTTCTGTCGAGGAGATCCTATTAGGAAAATAGGCATAGAAGTTCCTGGAAAAATAGGCATTGCCAAATATTCTATCAGGCCTATGGTAGAAGAAACACTCTTAATTCAAAACAAATTACCAAGATCTAACTAAAAATTAAATGCACTAGGTGTACCCCCTCCTTGATTTTATTAGAAATATAAATTTCTAAAATCACATTATTCATTAATTCATTCAACAAATATTTATTGAACACCCATCATGAGCTTCTAAAATCACTGACATGAAGGTATTATTAATATTAAAAGGAGTGCTAGTAAACTTGTATTAAAAAGAGTTTTTAGAGTTGTTTCTCAATTACCATTCATTAATCATTTTATAGTTGTGAGCATCTGCATGCCATATGTATTATTATTTACTAGGATTTTTTTAAAAAAATCAAGTTGCTTTTACAAATATTTCTTTAAAAATTAAACTTTAGAGAGTTACTAAAAATAAATAGTATCATATGATCTGAACACACTGGAAGACAGTTAATACAAAATTAAAAATGAATTAAAATTATAACATGTTGGCTCATGTATGACATAAACTCATTTAATGTGACAACAAAATTATCAATACTACACTTTGGGAAGTTTGATCTTGGAAAATATTTGTGATATGTAATACTTCCTAGAAATAGTGTGTTTTCCAAATACTATCAGAGTCTAAGTATCTTGATATCAGAAATCGAGTCTTACAAGTTTTCAGTTCACTTTTTCACAAACAATGGATATGCAATGAGTTGAATTGTAGAGTAAACATTGCACAAACCCCTTGAGTTCTACACACAGGTTTTCTTTGAAGAGTAAGTGCATCTTCCTATTAAGAGATAGTTTTATTTTAAAATAAAAGGCATCTAATATTTTATCTAAATAAAAATCATGTATTCTGAAGAAAGACTCTTTGCCTTGATTTGGTAACATGCATATTTCATGGACTCTACTTTGAACATTTAACCAAGAGATTCAATGTGATTACCTCAGTAACAATTCAATTTGAAATGTCAACTATGTTCAGCATTTAAAAATTAATAGCTAAATCCCTTTAAAGATCAGGGAAATTCTGTTCTGGCTTAGAATAATTTTATAGCTTTATGAATCTCCTCGTGCATTGTTTGCATCTTTTAAACGATTCTAAATAATGCACTCTCTGTAAAGGCCCATTAGTTCAAAGAATTTTGACAGTCACAGCTTAAGGTATTAATTTTCATAGCAGATATATATTTTCTATCGGCAGCAAATTTTTCAAAACCCAAATATACTTCACCTAAATTGAGTATATACATTTTAAATAGGTTAGAGCAGTAAACAACCATGAAAAAAATTGAGAATTTAATCAAGTCTTTTCTCCTTTCCATTTATTTGCTTTCTGAGAACAGTCAAAAGGAAGAATCCTGAAGCAGCAGTCACGATGAAGCAAATGTGGTTTGTGAAGTACAGGAGCTTTCTCCAGAGGCAGCAATTGTGAGAAAAAGGGGAGTGGACCCTCATATGTAATTAACACATATAAATAGGAAAAGCACTGACCAGTATCACTTGGTATCAGAAGTACTCCCGACTTAAAGGACATTAATGTAAATGTCATTACCTCTAAACGGCACTAATAAGAAAAGACAGGTTTTTCTGGGTTATCAAGATCATCTCAGCAAAACCTAAATGATTTGTTCAGTTATTCATTAAAGAAATGGATATTATTGACATACTACTATGTGTCAGGCACTGGACCAGATATTCAGAAAATTACAGAGAACAAAAATAGTCTCTGATCTCTTGAAGCTTGCAGTTTAGTGAGGAATACAGACTTTATCAAACACTGTGCATTAATATGTTATTATGAATTGAAGTAAATATTAGGAAGAAAGAGAAGTTGGCTCTTTAGAGCATTCTGGAAGAATATAATCTTGCTAGGATTTTTGGGTGAGGGTGAGCCTCTCTGAAAATCTGACAGGAGCACACGTGTAATCATTGATCACTTTATATTATTTACCTCAAATAATGATAAAACTTGATATTCATATTGTCACACATGGTTCAAATAAATTGAGGATTCTATATGAACTGAGAATTAAAGAAAAACTGAGCTAACTCCATGACAAATTCAGTACACAAGTTTTCTTCCTTAGATTTAGCTGTGCAGTCTGAGTGTATGCAAAAATTTAGCAAGTAGATATCTATTTTTATAAGATGCTGGATCCAGAACCAAGATTCTCTCATACATCACAGAATGTGGACTATGAAATTTCCTGAGCCCTTGTCTCTTCTGTGTCCACAACCATCTGAACTTGGCTTCTCTCCTACACCATTTGTAATATTTCCAAGCACCTTTTAATCCATTGTTCCAGTTATCAATTTATTGCCCTTGAACTCCAAAATCATTCTTCATTGCTTGTTTTGTAAAAATTGAGCTTGGGCATTCAATTATTTTTATTACTTACCAGCTGACATGATTTTAAGCTCTGTCAGAAGTGTACGCTGGAGAGACACTAGAAGATGAAGGGTTTTCTTTTTTTAATTATTTAACTATTTTTTATGCTTCTCCTGTCCTTTCTTTTATATTTTTAAATTTTATTTTAAATTCCAGAGTATATGTACAGAACGTGAAGGTTTGTTTCATAGGTAAACGTGTGCCATGGTGATTTGCTGCACTATCAACCCATCACCTAGGTACTAAGCCCAGCATGCATTAACTATTTCTCCTGATTCTCTCCCTCCCTTCTTCCCCACCATAGGCCTAAGTGTGTGTTGTTCCACTCCCTGTGTCTATGGTCTCATTGTTCAGCTCCCACTTATAAGTGAGAACATGCAGTGTTTGGTTTTCTGCTCCTGCATTTGTTTGCTGGGGATAATGGATTCCAGCTCCATCCATGTTCCTGCAAAGGACACTATCTTGTTCCTTTTTATGGCTGCATAGTATTCCATGGTGTATATGTACCACATTTTCTTTATCCAGTCTATCATTGATGGGGATTTGGGTTAATTCCATGTCTTTGCTATTGTGAATAGTTGCTGCAATGAACATACACATGCATGCATCTTTATAATAGAAAGATTTATATTCCATTGGGTATATACTCAATAATGGGATTGCTGAGTCAAATGATATTTCTGTCTCTAGGTCTTTGAGGAATTGCCACACTGTCTTCCACAATGGTTGAGCTAATTTATACTCCCACCGACAGTGTATAAGCATTCCTTTTTCTCCACAACTTCGCCAGCATCTGTTGCTTTTGACTTTTTAGTAATAGCCATTCTGACTGGTATGAGAGGGTATTTAATTGTGGTTTTGATTTGCATTTACCTAATGATCAGTGATGTTAGGCTTTTTTTTTTCATATAATTGTTGGCCACATGTATATCTCCTTTTGAGAAGTGTCTGTTCACATCTGTATTAGTCCGTTTTCACACTGCTGATAAAGACATACCTGAAACTGTGTAATTTACAAAGAAAAAGAGGTTTAATGGACTCACAGTTCCATGTGGCTGGGGAGGCCTCACAATCATGGTGGAAGGTGAAACGCACACCTTACATGGTGACAGGCAAGAGAGAATGAGAACCAAGCAAGAGGGGTTTCCCCTTATAAAACCATCAGATCTCATAAGACTTATTCACCACCATGAGAACAGTATGGGGGAACCGCCCACATCATTCAATTATCTCCCATTGGGTCCCTCCCACAACACATGGGAATTATAGGAGCTACAATTCAAGGTGAGATTTGGGTTGGGGCAGACCCAAACCATATAGTGTTCCTTTGCCCACTTCTTAATAGGATTATTGGCTTTTTTCTTGTAAATTTGTTTAAGTGCCTTGTAGATGCTGGGTGTTAGACCTTGGTCAGATATTCAGATTGCAAAATTTTTTCCCATTCTATCTCGGGAACCCTATCTCAGCCTTAGGGGTGGTGGCTCTGCCTTCTGCTATTTAGTCATCTTTATAGTTCTCTTTACTTCTTATTAGCCAATCTCTTCTTACTCAAGTCCTGTTATAATTAATTTTTATATAAACATTTCCTGTCCAATTTACTATGTGGTTTCTGTCTCCTTATTAGACCCTGACTGATACATCCATCAATGTGATATTTTCAATTCCTAAACATGTTATATTATATCACAACTATAGGCTGCATAATGTGTCACTCTGTATTCCTATAATACTCATTCTCCATTATACACTTGTATGATTGTGTTATCCCTGTTCATTCTTCAAGATACAATGAAGCTATATAGTCACTGGGAATCTTCACCTCCTTTCTCTCTTCTACTCCCCAAGGACTAAGGCTGAACTAGTGTCTCCTATCTTCTCACACTCATACTATAAATATTTCTGTAATATAATTTTTGTTTTCTTTCTTTACAAATCTACCTCCCCAACTAAATTGGGAGCCTCTTGAAGGTAAATAGTATGCCTTTTTATGTCTGTATTTCCAGCACCCAGGACATACTATAGTATAATAGCACATACTATAGTATGCGTTTCAGCAGCTGTTAAATGAATGAATGAATGAGTGAATGAACTCTCTTCTTTCCTATTCCCTGCCTTATCTTGGCTTCTTACAGGGCATCATTGTTTAAGTGACTTTCAGAGATAGCCACTTTCAGAGATAGGACATCCAAAGCACAGTCTTATTTCTTTTTACCTTCTCATCCCCTATTTCCCGAGTTTATTTTCCCATCCTACCTTACCATAAACATATAGTGGTAGTGTTATTTACATTTTAAACCAAACATTGTTTTCTATGATTTCCAATTCTATAATTATTGAAGAAATACAGGGCTGATCCTTGCAATTACTTAAGCTGATCAACATCTACTTGAGGTACAAGAACAAGAGGAAAAAGGCTCTGGGCCCAAAGTACAGAATGTGGCTTTTTGTATACTTGGATATGACCACTTTCTCTGGCAGTAACACCTTCACCTGGCTCTCCAGTTCAATGTTGCCCCATTTCCCCGTATGTACCTCTGTCTCAACTACATTCTGACTTTAGTCCTAAGTTTAAAGGAAAACTTTCATAGTTCTCATTCCTGCTTAGTTCTTCTTAAGCATACAATTCATGTCCACCTCCAGGTGTAACTCCACCTCTCATAAAATCTATATACCACATACAATTCCTGTCACCTCATTTCTTGGTGTTTGGGTCCTATAAGAAAACCTTTAGCTACTTCTTCTTTACCTAATTTTGTAATGTCTGTTACCAAGATTTGGCAAGTCTTTATTCTACTGACATTTCTGAACCACCCAAGCCACCATTACCTGTTTCTCTATGCTAAGCTTTTTATCCTTGGGTTTATTAACTAGGTTCTTGGGCTGAGTGTTAGCTGACTTTTTTTTTTTTTTTTTTTTTTTTTTTGAGACGGAGTCTGGCTCTGTCGCCCAGGCTGGAATGCAGAGGCGCAATCTCGGCTCACTGTAAGCTCCGCCTCCCGGGTTCACGCCATTCTCCTGCCTCAGCCTCCGGAGTAGCTGGGACTACAGGCGCCTGCCACTACGCCCGGCTAATTATTATTATTTTTTTTTTGTATTTTTAGTAGAGACAGGGTTTCACCATGTTAGCCAGGATGGTCTCGATCTCCTGACCTCGTGATCTGCCCGCCTCGGCCTCCCAAAGTGCTGGGATTACAGGCGTGAGCCACCGCGCCCGGCCGACTTTCTTTAATAATGTAGCATATTAATTAATGAATCATTCTAAATGTGTAATTCTTTGTTTGTTACAAGGAAATTTGTAAACAAAACAAGAAATTCATGGCACTTTTCTCAGCTGATATTTGGGTCATTCAAATCAGCCACAAAGTAGTGTTTCTAAATTTCAGAGAGGTAGCATGGTTGTTAATTAAAAGTAAGTTCTCACTGTAATATATATGTTCATTTGATGAAATGATGAAATTACTTTTTATTCTGTATATATATTCTGTAATACCTTAGTTTACTTCAATTATAGCTCAGAGTATAATAAGGCATTTAATATTAATTCAAATGTTACTCTCTATACCATATTGATTATTTAACTTCAGTTTTCTTGTGTATGGTAAGAGCATACTGTCTAACAGAGGATTAAATGATATAAAGAAAGTATTGGATTTAATGTTTTGAACATAGGAAGTGCTCAATAAATATTAAGCTTTTTGTTTGTTTTGTTTTGTTTTTTGTTTGTTTGAGACGGAGTCTTGCCCTGTCACCCAGGCTTGAGTGCAATGGTGTGATCTCGGCTCACTGCAACCTCTGCCTCCCGGCTTCCAGTGATTCTTCTGCCTCAGCCTCCCAAGTAGCTGGGACTACAGGCACATGCCACCACACCTGGCTAATTTTTGTATTTTTAGTAGAGATGGGGTTTCACCATATTGGCCAGGCTGATCTTGAACTCCTGACCTCATGATCCGCCCACCTCGGCCTCTAATCCCTAAGTGCTGGGATTACAGGCATGAGCCACTGCGCCCAGCCATTAGCTCTTATTTTACTATGGATATGCTCAACACATTTGTACTTGAGAAATACATTTGAATAATTATGAATATTTATTTATTATAAATTCTTTTGAAAGTTACACTTATCATTATATTTATTATATTATGTGTATCTAGGATGACTCTGGTGCTAAATTGATCAGGAATAAAATAAATCAGGAATAAAAATAAAATTCACAACAACAAAATTGTGTGGGTGAAAATATGAGCTGATCTATGATGATCTAATTTGTTTTTTAGCTCTCAGGAATGCATAGGTGAAAAGTGAATTTTTCCTGTGTCCCCACATTACAATACCTTTGATGATAATATATCTGAAATAATTTATTCATTCTAATGACTGAAAATATGAAATCCTATACTAGTCAAACATCTTGCAGGAATTTCAATGTGTGTTACACTTATCAAATCGTAAAATGATAATCTTCCCCAAGAGACAGGAATGCCCTAAGGGGTCTGAGATTTCCTTTCCAATCAAAGCATTTGGAATGCAAGGAAAGATGTGTGTTTTCCTTTGAGGCAGCTGGTTTTATTTTGCATAGGCTATTATTACAAAGAAAAATCATTTGAGAAGAAAAATTTGATTCTCAGAGACCTAGTTCAATGACTCTGAAAATCAGATACTAAGAGGCATATATTTGCTTTCCTCTCTTCTGGGGTCCCTCTCTTTGCTCCTACATCCAAGAAAACAATAGTTTTCTTATTCTCCAGCTGCTTTGCTTTTGTATATTTTACTTAAGGCTTGTCTTTTTCCTCATCTCCTATTTTTGGTGTTTGATCTAAAGACTCCGCTGTTCAGGCAGAGATAATCTGCGTCCCCCCACTCCTCCATGCTGCCCCAGTTGTAGAATGAATAACCCAAGCTCTTGAGGTTAACCTGAGATCAGAAAGACATTTTCCCTCCAGGATTTGTCTGAGTCTTTTGTGTTTTTGATAAATCACTTTGCATATAAAATATAAAAACAATCTTACTGACATAAGATAAATCACTAAGAAGTCTTGTTCAAGCTACCTCTATTAGAACACCCTTTAAATCAGTGGAATTGATTCACGGATCTTTATATATTTTTCAAAGTCCAGTTGTAGGCAAAAAGTGATTAAGGAGAAATTCACTTTAATAAGAGAATTTAAGCTCCTGAGTAATTAAAATCATTTGAATACCTATATTGAAAGTAACAATAAAAGAACTTGATTAAAAACTCCTTACTCCAGGCCGGGCATGGTGGCTCACACCTGTAATCCCAGCACTTTGGGAGGCCAAGGTGGGTGGATCACCTGAGGTCAGGAGTTGAAGACCAGCCTGGCCAACATGGTGAAACCCCGTCTCCACCAAAAATACAAAAATTAGCTGGGGCCGGAGGGTGGTGCCTGCCTGTAGTCCCAGATACTTGAGAGTCTGAGGCAGGAGAATCTCTTGAACCTGGGAGGCAGAGGTTGCAGTGGGCTGAGATCACGCCGTTGTACTTCAGCCTGGGTAACAACAGCAAAACTTGTCTCAACAACAACAACAACAACAAAAAAAAAACTCCTTACTCTTAGATGATACTAGCTACTCTAGGTTTCAGGTAAAAAGCACTGGTTGGCTTTATATATATATTTTTTTCACATATTTATATATAAACATGCATACCTTTGTATATGTAAACATGTGGTAATGTTTATAAAAACAAATACAGATTATTAAATTTTATAATGACATAGTTAAATTGATTACCTATTTCTCTCTGCAATGGTCTTAAATACTATAAATTATTTTCACTTTTTACAACTAAAAACTGTGGTGAAAATGTTGTTTAAATTAAAATAGGAAATCCATATAAAAGTCAATATTATTATTTAGGAAAAAAATGAGAATGCAACATATAATAGGCCCAAGAACAGAATAAAAGCAGATGATTCATCTTACTCTCTGTACAGAGATGGAAACTTTAGTGCCTGCCCATGATAAAGGATAAGGGTCTAAATTAAAGCTCCATTACAAGAATGCTCAATTCTCCCCTCTGTTCTTAGAAATAACACAGGAAGTTCTTTCATGCAGAAGTAGAAGGAGAATTAATATCTAGCTCAGCTATAAAGCCTGGTCAAAATATCCCACTCTTATATACATATTATGAGTATATCCTTTCTATCAAAAATAATAACTGTGATTATGATAGTTGTGGTAGGTGCATTTATTGATGTCTCTCAATAAGACAACTCTCCTGATACTTTTACTCTGTGTATTCGCCTCACACAATGACTATGGCCTTGGTCACGTGATTTGCTTTGGCTGATGTGACATCATCAAACGTGACCCAAGCAGAGGTTTGACTGTCCTTTCATACTGGGGCTTGCCCTCTTGAAACATTGCTATCACCAAGCAAAGTCTCTTTTGAGGACAGAAGACCACATGAAGAGGGAGACTTAACCATCATAGCATCCTCAGCTAAGCCAAATCCCCAGGCAACCTGTGTGCTGTATGCAGCTACATGAGTAAGCCTGGAAGAGGCCAGCAGTGTATAGCTGATACAAAGAATTTTTCCTAATATCTCCTCCATTTGGCAGGATGGAACAAGGTTTAGTTATCAAAGTTATCAATTTTAAATATTGATATTTATAGGGAAAGTGTGTGGGATGATGGTTAAAATTAATTGTGATGAAATATCCCCGGCAACCAAAGTAAAATCACACACATGTCACTATTCTTTTCTTTATATTCTTTCTTGACCTAGCCAGTATGTATTTGCTGACTGAATGCAAGAATGGATTATGTAACTCTGCAATTTATCTGGAACAAGGCAACAGATAGGAATAATGATCACATATATCCTTTTAAACTTAAACTATTTCTCAAATTTTCTTATGGGAAGTGTATAATTTATTTAGAAGGAGCAAGAGTCTTGGTAGCAATAATTGTGGTGGTGGCAGTAGCAGTCAAAATAATAGGTACTGTGTGTAATGTATTATGAAAAATTTCCTATCTCAATAATACCTCACAACAGACCTATGAGAAATGAAGAAAGGACTTTTAATATTCCCACTTTACAGAGAAATGGAAGATTAAATGAAGATGCCGCGTTGCAAACCCAGGTCTGTTTAACTCCAGAGGCTAAGATCTCAACCACTATGTTAAAACACTTCTACTATTTTATATTCATATGCACTACTGATAAGGGGCTCTGTGAAGTCTGGGTCCAGATCCAAGCAATACGTCCTTTACCAAGACACCAGGAGCACAGATGAATCTGGACATTTTTCTACTTCTGGCGTTATACAGTACATGAGGCCAAGAGCCAACAAGAGGTAATGTGACTTGTGAGTGCAAACATTTCCAAACTGAGGGAGAAGGTCAAACTAGAAGACCAATTTCCTCCCTTCTCTTGTGACAGTGCTTTTGCTACCTATTATGGGATGCTGATAAAAGAACAGATTTGTGAAAATGTTTAGATAGGAGAAGAGACTTGTAATTCCAAGTATGTAAGGATGTCAAATTTAGGGTGAGCATATAATTTATCTAAACCAGGATACTTGAGAGCGAAGGGGGCAGTATGAATAAGTATGTTCGCATAGCAAGTGTAAATTGTGACTTTCAGACACAGTAGATTATATAGTAGCACCAATAGACGTAAGGTAGGTTTGCGATGCTGTATTGTCTACTCCAGCAATAATATCAGCTGTCACAAGATGAATAACATGTTCTAATATTCTGTGTAAAGCATTAATCTCGATTTTCTCTAAATCATCAAGGTACTGGAATGATGGTATTCTGGTTACAGTAATATTAAACATCTTTTGCAGAAGAAAGTTTTAATAATATTAGGCAAATCATAAGTATAGAATATGTAAGTTTAGAATATATTTTAAGTGTACAAAATTAAATACATTTGGAAATTAAAATACCAACTTATATTACATCAGATCAAAATCTTCCCAAGTTAAAAATGCAAAATTGAGTTTCTAAAGTGCCTATGCTTGCCCTTTGCTATATTTTTTAGGTACTAAGCTTTTCATTATTGTCATCCCCTAGGAAATACATTATTTTTACTTAAAAATAAAGAAATCAAAGGAGTGCTGCCAAAGGAAAAATATGAAAATGCTATTTAATATACTTATAGTCTTGAAAAACTGTATACATGATTTGCTATTAGAAAAATCATTTGCAAGTGTTTTATAAGGAAATAGATACCTGGAGGACAGTTGTTCCTCAACATTACATTTTATCTAACAAGCATTCTGTTTTCTTAATGTCTCCTACCACACTTAAGCACTCAGCTGTTTATTTTAGTGTCAGTCTGCAAACCCTTGTGTATTTCCATATGAATCTAACTCCTAAAAGATTATAAGCCTTCCTAAAAATTAATGACCCAGGCAAAATCTTTCTATAAACAAACCATTTCTACTCATGAATCTTAATTGGTAGAGGTTTTTAAGCTAAGATTTCCCAAGTTCCCCCTATGGATGAGGGGCATTCTTTTATTCTTTGCAACTGTATCATAATACATTTGCAACACTCCTAGGACTTAAATGAGGTAGGCTATATATAAGCTTGTGTTCTCAGACTTTAATGTGAATAAGAATCACTTGGGAAGTTTGTTTGTTAAAAATAGATGTCCCTAATCTACATCCTCAGAGGGTCAGGTTCAATAGGTTTTTGGCTAGAACACAGTAACTTTCATATTTAATAGGCAACCCAGGCCATTCTGATGCAAGTTGCCTAGAATATATCTCTGATTTGGTGCTTTTTAAAGAGTTAGTCTGCAACATTTTCTAGGAGAAATGCAAATTAAATGTGTTGGCCCAGTTCCCATTCCACTACTACGAATCAGGAGTCTACACAGCTAAGCAGAATCATCTTCATTATTTCCCAAAGGGGGGAAATTTTTAAGAAAGTAACAAAAATTTTAAATGGTAGAGAGGGCAATGGAAGAAAGTGAAGGTATCATTACCCTTGGAAAGGTTTATAAAGAAAAAAAAAGTACCCATGATAATCACTCCATTACAATGAAACCTAGAATCTTTAAATACATACAGAAATACATAATTGACATATAAAACAGGCTAAATAAAATTTAGTATCAGGTAAAAATTAGAAAAGGATTTCATTTTTCTGAGCATACCTTTTTGAAGCAATAATTATAAGAAATATTTCTTTCTTATTATTGATTGTTATATTCAAGATGTTTTTCAAAACTAAATGCAAAGATTTTCTTCTCATTTCAGTGTATAATGACATAATGACTTAGAAAGTGGACATTTATTCCTCTCCTTATTTAAGCAGTTACACAGTTTAGTGATTTTTTTGTCATATTTTATGCCATTCTGTAATGATGCACTTATTAAAGTCTTTTAAAGAGGAAAATAAATGGGAGTAGTAGAGGAATGCCCCTTCTTCACAAGTGACAACTCCACCTTCTTTTCTCTAATAACTAATATTCATTTTCAGTAGTCTCATAGCAATCACGTTTGTGAATTGCAGTCTGGTGTTTGTGAATTGCAGTCTGGTGTTTGTGAATACCAGAGCAAATATGAAACCTATTTTTAGCCATTCATGTACTAAATCATTCGAAAGAAATATTAAATTTGTAAATCTTGATAAACTATCTCTTTTTAGGGATTCAGGTAGTTTTCTTAATCTGTTGTGTGTGTGTGTGTGTGTGTGTGTGTGTGTGTTAGATAGTTATGTCAGAATCTGCTGCTTTCCTTGTAACATGCTTTTTGCACTTGCTGGCTGCTTTGAATTTTGTCATCTCATATGTAGTAAGCCCCCTAGGTGTTGGTTACTACCTAGCCATGAATGACGCCAAAGGCAGACAGTGGACACTGTGTTATAACAGAAAGAACCCTGGTTCTGATGTTACAGACCCACCCAATGCCATCTAGGTTAGGTGAAACACAAGGGAAGATCAAGATTGTGTTTGTCCTGAAATTATATAATTTGAGCGTTTCTCTAAGATAGAGATACAGGGCTTTGAAAGAGACACATGAAAATGAGGTACTCTGAAGGTTAAGCTTTTTCAGCTATAAGGTAAATTTGCCTCTGAGAAGATACTCATGATCCCTCATTCGGATAAATGTAAAATGGAAGGCATAATGTCTGCTTAAACTACATTATCAGATTTCTGTAAGAAATATAAATAAAATATCATGTGAAAGTGCATTTAGTGTCTTACAAATGCAAGTTGTATAGGACTCAGTGGCTCATATTAAGGCTGACTGAGGTTACTCCCCTGAACCTAGGCTGTTTGAGATGTGCCCATTCTTGCATAACATTTCTTGGTTCTTAGGACCTTACTCTCTATAGTTTACCTGGATTTAAAGATCGCTTGATTCTTCTGTCAGTTCCAGTCTAGTTAATTTAGTAATCATTTTTAAGTGTCTACTGTGGTCAGAAGAGGAATTCCTATACTTTCCTTTAATTCTTTCCAATTCTGGGTCATCTATTGGTTCTATCTCAGTACCAGCACATGTTCCCATGTACTACATCTGATCTCACAGCTCTGCTCGAATTGAACTTACTAGTCCTTCTCTAGACCAGACTAACCCTGTGAGTACTCTCTACAGAACCTCTACCCTTACTTACTATAACCCTTCACCCTTTATGCTCTATACTCCTAGTCGTTTATTCCGAGATGGCATTAACTTTGATAGATTCAATTTTAAAAGGCTCCATGATAAAATACCTTTATTACCTCATTCATACCTTCATTACTTCATATAGATTGTAATATCCTATATAAGTCGCTTAATTAATCCCTATGCTTTTAACACTTCCAGTCAGTCACACTTCTGTAAAGGGCCAGATAATATGCTATGCTTTGCAGGCCATTTGCAACTAATTTTATATATACCTCACCTCTTGGAACTGGGCTTAGCACCACTCCTTCATCCCTCACATTTTGCTCATTTCTGTCCACCACCATAGTTGACAATGTGTATTTAGTTAGATGGAGGTAGGCCTCCCCTGATAGAGATGGCATTGTATCCAAGATGGCTTGGGATGTTTAAGGCTTGTTCACAGGATTTCCTAGCTGGTCCCCTGAGTTTATCAAGTGTTATTGGTAGAAACAGGGTATATTATCTGACTCCCTTACTTAAAATCCTCAATAATCCCCTACTATCTGAAAATGAAATCCAAACCCCAGTCAGGAACTAAAGCAGCTTGGTAATGGCTTCTGAAATATTTTTGGCTTTACTTCTTAATAAACCAGTTCAATTAACTTACTTAAAAGACCAAAACACACCTTTACTTTCCCATACATTCAATGATGCATTCCTCCATTAAATTATTTACTTAGTCAACAAATATTGAGTGGCGACTATGTTGCAGACATTGTTAAGGGAGCTACAAAAATAAATGTAGCATAGTCTCTTTCTTCAAGGAACTCACACAGTAATGTGGACAGACAAAGAAAAAAAAATTAAAGTCTTTGGCAACTAACTGCAACAGAAGCATCACTCCTCAGAGTAGGAAGTAGGGAAAAATTCCTGTAGGGAAGTCACATTAAACTATGAACTGAAAATGGGTAAACAGTCATCATACAGGAGGTTAGAGGAAGATATCTCAAGGCAATATAAACACATATGACAGAGTTCAATCATATGAGGCAGGCATGGGGGAAATAGAGTATATGCGTGAGTGGCATAATGTAACAGTGTGCACTGTAGAGCCAGAATGCTTGGGTTCAAATCCCAGTTTGGTCACCTATTAACCATGTAGACATAGCCAAGTCACTTTGTCTCTGTTCCTCATCTATAAAATGGTAATAATAATAGCATTCATATCAAAGGAGTTTCATGAAGATAAACAAATTTATAGTTGGCACATAATGATAACGAAATACATATTAAACATTACTATTATTTTAATTGTCATCATTATCACGACTTTGGAGTCTTCAAGTAGTTCAATATGGCTAGCGGATCGAGTATTAGATGTATGATATCATGAATGGTCTTATACACAGACTATAACATTTGGAATATAACATCTACTATGTTTGGTTGTGAATAATCAGTGTCCAGGCTGCAATCTGGAACAATTATATCAGAATCTCTGAGGGTGAGACCTAAACATCAGTGAAGCCTTCCAACTAATTCCTGTGTGAAGCCAAGATTGAGAACCACAGAATTAACTAGAAGCAATCTTCCTCCTGAAAACTACTGCAACACTTATCATGTAACTTTGGGGGTACATATCTAACATCAAATGAGTTTTAAAAATACACATTCCTAATTTCCACACAGTTTTTGGTTCCATGGATGTGGACTGAATCAAGTCAAGAGATATTTTTAAAAAGTATTCCAGGTTATTCTATGTAGGTGACATGACTATGAGACTCTGCATAACACTGAATATCATATGGCACAGAGCATATAGTGCCTGGTTTTGTAATTATTTTTTATATTTTTACCTTCTCTACAAAACAGCCATTTCCTAGACAGCAGGGGTCAAGTCTTAAGCACCACAAATTCTGGGCCACACATAAACATACATACTATATCTCCTTACGGAGGAGATTTAATAAGTATTTCTTTGCTCCATTTATTAGAGAAAAAGGCAGTTCTCCAGTGACATTTTCCAAATCCTAAATGTCCCAGTGGTTGTTTACAAGATGTTTTGTCAGCAGATGAAACTACTGAGACTATTTAGTGTTAAACAAATGAGTGATGGATAGCTTATTAATTGTTTCATAGATTGCCTCCATTATGTATTGCCATTCTCAATTTTCACAATTCTCTAAGGGTCCTGACAAGCCTGTCTAAAATATTATCATTGGACATGTTTCCTGGGTAAACTTATTCTTTCTGACAACATCCATATTTTCATTCAATAGAAGCCTCATTCAAAAGAATTCTTCATACCAGGACTAAGTAAATTCAAGTTCGATATTAGTATATAAATTTAGTGAGTGAATTCCAAGGTTATGCTGAGAATCACATTTTTATCTCTACTTTATTCCTAAATAATCAGCCTGAAATATAGAATTTTATAATTTCATGGTAAACTTCTCTACCTAGGTAGTACTCAACAAAAGAACAGCAATTATTTAGTTTCTCCTGTTTAAGTCTATGAAAAAGTAAAAAATAAACAAATAAATAATCATAAAAGGCAGCAGCTATCACAAGCAATCTTTGTGCTCAATATAAGATACAGAAGTCTCCCAGTCACGTATTTTTAGAATTGGAGAATAACATAGAAATCATGAACTCTATTTCCTTACCTCTGTTGAAATACCCATTTAAAATTATTTCTGATAGGCAGCCCTCCATTTTAGTTTATCAGTATTTTTAATGCTCTCAAAGCAACACAGTCTATTTATGGGAAACATATTTTTGAAAAACAACTGAAATTTTATCTTTCACATTCTCTTCTAAGCTTACTTACTGGCTGTGCCTTTTAACCTTCTGACACACATCCCAGCCCGAGTCACATGTAGCTCGAGTCTACCAAAAGCCACTACTGAGTCTGTCTGCTAATTGTTAGATGAATTACTTCTGGCATGTCTGCTTCTTACCTCTTTCGTGAAATCTTCTTCCTAGTCAAGGCTTCTTGGGCACAATTTGCTGTGTATCCAGAGTGTCTCTCTTTTCCTGATCTCATTTGGATTTAATGCTTTTTTGGAGGGTTCCCACCATGAACTTTTCAGAGACGCTGTGATCCTAACCTGCCCAAGGCTATCTGAATACCACATCACGTTGGTCTGAGTCCAGAGCCTCAGATCACTTGTCAATGAAAGAGAGATTAGCAGAAGAAAATATTTAACTTGTCTTCTGTCTGATAGCTTTCAAATGGTTTAAAAACAGTTATTTTTCTTACTCGTTAACACTCTTTTCTTTGAAGTTTCAACAGTTTTTCACAAACACATTGCTATAGTTTGGATGTTTCTCTCTGTCAAACCTCATGTTGAAATTTGATCCCCAATGCTGGTGGTGGGCCTAATGGAAGGTATTTGAGCCAAGAAGGTACATCCCTCATGAACAGAATAATATCTCCCCTCAAGGGTGAGTGAGTTCTCATTCTATCAGTTCTCCGAAGATCTGGTTGTTAAAAAGAACCTAGCATCTCCCCAGGCCCTCTGTGCCTTGCATCAGGAGTGGAAATAGCCTGAGGCCCTCACCAGATGCCCAGTCTTGAAATTCCTAGCCATCAGAATCCTGAGCCAAATAAACCATTTTTTTCTTTGTAAATTACCCAGTCTCAGGTATTCATTCCTTTATGGTGACCCAAAATTCACTAAGACTTACATTTCCACATAATTTGTGTACTGATCAATAAGCTCTGGGTGAAGATGACTTGTAAAACGAGATTACTAAATCCACCCGAAAGCTCTATCTGCGCTATCTGCACTTACAACTCAACATGATACAACACCAGCATCATTATCTTTACCACAAATCTGTTATTCTTCCTAATATTTCTATGGGATTCACCAAATTAACAGTCATACATGTTCCAAATTAAATTGCCAGGATAACGTTCACTGTTCTCAGGTGCTTCTTCTAGTAAAGTCCTAACTGTTCTCACTGCTTCCTCTTTGTTCCATTCAATCTATTTTCAAAACAGTAGCCAGAGAGATGCTGTTAACAAACAAGTCAGACCATAACACTTATCTGATCAAATTTCTCCAATGTATCTTATGTGCCATGAAGTAAAAACCAAAGCCTTTACATTTCACTGGCCTTACATAGGAGGTGCACTCCAGTACCTCTCTGACCTTGTCGCCCACTCACTCAATCCCCCAAGCCCCACTGGCCCTGATGTTCTTCCGATATGCTTCTGTCTCAGGACATTTGTTCTTGCCATTCCTTCAAACAAGAAAGACTATTTCCAAAATATCCCAGGGGACTCCCTCACCTCCTTCGTGTCTTTACTTAAATATCATCTTCAGAATGAGACCTTTTCTGATCAGTTTACATAAAACTGCACATCCCCCTGCTCCCCAAATCTCACACTTCCTATTCTCTCTTCATTGCTTCACGTTTTTCTGCAGCATTTGTTTTTTAATGTATTATAAGTTGTATTTGTGGGTTTTGTTAATTATCTTTCTCTCCTCCTCATTTAAATAAGGTCTTTAAAAGCAGGGATTTTGCACAGTTTTGTTCACTATTTTATCTCCATTACTTGCCAATCAATGGATATTGGTTAAATTAATAATTTTTCCATGTACAAATATTACAGATCTAATGACCCCTGTGGTTTTTCTCACATCAATCCCACCCATCACTAATGTCACAGCTCAGAAAGAAATTCTATTTTGTTAGAATTATTGTCTTCCTTACAATGTCTCTCACTAATCTAATACATCATACATTCTCCTGCAAGAATAATCTTTATGTTCAATTACATTCAATTCCATTGTTTAATAAATGAAGCCCCAAATCTGTAACAAGGCATTCAAGATAATTTTAATTTGATCCCTAGATGTCACATTTAAGCCATTTGTGACGATGTATCTCAATTTCTCACCTCTATGCCTTTTGTTCACATGCAGTGTCTTCACCTGCAACCATTCTCACTCCACTCCGTTTACTAAACCCTACCCTTCCAACAAGCCACTGCCCAACTACTATATTCTTAGTGAATTATTCTCCCAGTCAAAAATAATTCTCTCAAAAGATTCAGCCTTAGCATGATTTGATATGCTTGTCATAGCTTTTCTATTAGTTTTCAAGAACTTTATCTAAAGCAACAAAATAAATCTTCATCTTGGGCAGATGTTATGTTTGTTTTATTGAATTATTTATATGTTCCATATTTGAATTCTTCTTGATTTTAATAAAATTGTTTTATATGTTTATCAACTGTATTGATCAAACTAAAACATGATATTTCTATGAGTAGAGCTATATAATATATATTTGAGAATTCTATTAAAGTAGACATTGATCCATTATTGAACAATCCTGGAACTTCATTTGTCAATAATGCCATTGTGAATGACTGCCAAATGTCTTGCTCAAATCGACATCAACTACAGCATTTCTCCAGTATTTCCTTCAGAAGGAAAATAACCCATGTCTTGATATGGTTTTTAGTGCAATTATTACTCCAATGCTCATTGCTTCTTTCATTCCAACTGAAGTTATACAATCCACTTATTTAGTACTCTGTACTACTATTTTACAAATATTAATATTTTACAAATATTAATATTTTACAAATATTAGATTTCAAGCAAATTTCACTGCAGATTTAATTTTTAAAAGATAATCTGTACAAAGTTTTCCTATTTCCAGACTTCAGGCACATAATATAAACTACCCATCCCTTATATAAGATGTAGATAGTATTTCCACTTCTCTTCTGGTTTCTTTTTTTTTTTTTTTTTTTTTTGAGACAGAGTCTCACTCTGTTGCCCAGGCTGGAGTGCAGTGGTGCGATCTCTGCTCACTGCAAGCTCCACCTCCTGGGTTCATGCCATTATCCTGCCTCAGCCTCCCTAGTAGGTGGGACCACAGGTGCCCACCACCACGCCCAGCTAATTTTTTGTATTTTTAGTAGAGACGGGGTTTCACCATGTTAGCCAGGATGGTCTTGATCTCCTGACCTCATGATCCACCCGCCTTGGCCTCCCAAAGTGCTGGGATTACAGGCATGAGCCACTGTGCCCGGCCCCTGGTTTCTTATATCTTACAGAAATTTATTATTAAATAAATCAATATGTTTAGTATTTTTTAATAGCTTATCCTGCCAGGTTTCAGAAATCCATATACACCCTATCATTATACCATATACAAATTCAAATCCAGGTTGATAAAAAGAGAATATAAAAATCAAATACTTAAAAATATTTAAAAGAATATACTATCTATGATGATAGGGTACATATGGATTTCCTAAACAAGACTGAGAAAAACACATTATCAATAAAAATTTTAAACTGAATTAGTCATTTAGACAATTCTTGTATTAGTTTATTAATGATATACATTCATCCATTTTAGTATTGAAGTTTTTCATCTATGTAAATGGTAATTTAAGTTTTAGTTTTTGATCTTTAATAAAGTTTTGTGATTATTTTCTAAAATTTTTGCAGGACATTTTTCCTAGGCCCCTATGCTTTTTAATGATATTATTAAATGGAATTTTCTTTCAATTATAATTTTCAATTGTTTCTTGTTGGGAGATAGAATTACTACTGGCTTTTGTAAATTGGTTGTGTTCAGTGATATGCTGAATTCTATTATTGATTTGGATAGCTTATTCTTTATCTTGGATTTTCTACACAGATAATAATATCTCTAAATAACAATTTTATTTCCTTTCCATTCTTAAATGTTTTCCATCTGTAGAATGAGTGCATCAAACAAATCGTTGAACAAAGTAGTGGTAGTGGGCATCTTGTCATGTCTTTCAATTCTTCTAAACTTTCACAATGAAGTATGTTTTTTGAATATATCCTTTACTGTTTTAAGGACATTGTGTTCTATTTTTACTTTGCCAACAGTTTTTACCATGGGTAGGTGTTAAAATCTATCAAAGGAATTTTCTGCATCTATTGAAATGATCATATTTCTCCTTTAATTGGCTAAGGTGATGAATTATATAAAAAGATTTTATGTTAAAATATCCTTCAATCCATGGGATAAATCCAACCAGGTCATGCTGCATTCGTTTTTGCACATCATTGTGCTTAAGCTTCTGTTTTCTTTAGGACTATGATGTCCTTGTTCAAATATAAAAATGGTTTGATTTGTCCTTTTTATACTACCCTTGTGTAAAGTAGGTGTTAAGCTTATTAGCTGTATAAGTTAGGAAGAATCTCTCTTTTTCTAATCAATAGAGGAATTTGCATAAAATAGAGATTTTCTGTGTCTTGAGGACTTTAATACCTCCCTAGAACATTCATTTCCAGACTCCTGGCTATCTGTTTTACACTATGATTTCAAATCTTCAATATTTCCACCTTCCAACACTCTCAGCTGGTTACTTTGCTTCTTATTATATTGTGAAAATGAAATAAATAAAAAAGAATGGCGACAAAATCTCACCATGATATGTACCCACATACCTACATATGTACCCACCATTTCAAGAAGGGCAGTGGTCAAACATTGCTGACAAACACATAATCATTTTAAAATCACTACTTTTCAAAAAACGTACAAAGTATGTTGTCTCTGTGTAACGGGACTATGAGGAATTGGTAGTTTTCACTATATTTTATAAAATTTCCAAAGCAATGAAATTACTTATTTCAGTTTCTGAGATTTATCTATTTTTGTGTAACTTATGATGATTTCTTTTGAGTATTTAACTAGCTTTCTTTTTACTTAGAAAAGGAACAATCAACCTTTCTTTCTATTGAAAGAAAGAACAATTTTCTTTCTTTCCCAGGAAGGAAAGAAAAAAAATGAAATGAGTAAAGCAGTTTAGAGATTTGTACGCTTCATAAAAAGACTATGTCAGATAAGTGTTGATTACGTGATTTTTGCTCTATGCTATTTACGGCAATTTTATCATTTTGTGACATACCGATCCTTCTTAATCATATTGCAATTAGCTTTGCATGTAGCCATCTGTCAGGGAGATAATCTTGACTGAACTATATAATGATACAAAATACCAGTATCAGATATTTTCTTTAACATGCTAGATTTGAGAAAGAGAAACTATGTTTTTTAACTATACATTACTGAATTTTATCTTTACTAGATGATATTTTAGATCACCAAATATCACTTAAAGTCTTAAAAACGGCACAGTTTATTAAAATATTTGCATCCATATTTAACTACAGACTAAGTTCAAAGTGTCTCATAGAATACCAGATATTAAAATAAATCAATAACTACATATTTGAATTTAAACATTCAAATTGATATAATACTTCACAATAAAGTTTTCTTCTACTAATTTATCCATATGAGAAGAGTTCTTTTCCTTAGACTTTCTAAAGACAGATTTTTATTTGAGTTAAACAAAGTTCTTTGTATTTATCTTAATGCATATACTTTGTTTTAAAAAAAGTTGGTGACCAAGTTTTTATAGTTTACCTCCACTTTTTTCATTCCATTTACTATATCTCTGTATTCTAATGTACAGTTCAATTATTATTTGAAAGTCAGAAGCCAATTGAGTCGGTGTCCCGCATACAAATCCAGAGATTTTTTTTTTTCCTAGAACATAGTTGTTTGGTTAATTGATCCCTTTATTTTTTATCCTCTCCTTCAATGTTTCCTTTCTTCCCTTTGTTATTTTGTTCCTTCCCTCTTTTATTAGTTAAACATTTTGATGGGTATCTTTATGTTAGGCCAGGTTTTAAAGAACCAGGCAAATGAGAAGGACATGGTTGGTAAAATCTGAGAACATTAATAGCAATTCATTCCTCATCACTTATCAGATGTTTCACCTTAAGAAAGTTGTAGGATAATTCTAACTATCATTTTCTTATGCAAAAATGGTTTTGAGCCTTCCTGCCTTACACAACATAGAGGGTTAAAGGCAATCATGTCTGTAAAAGCACAAAGCATCATACCTGGTATATACAGGTTGATTAGTCAAAAGTTAATTTCATTTTCTTGCTTGAAGTGTTTGATTAATGCAGAAATAATTACATCCAATGTGAAATATTATAAAGCTGTGTTATAAACAAGATGCTAAAGAAACACAGAAGAAAAAAATGCCTAAATCTTTCTGCAAAAATAGATTATAATATTTGGCTGAATCCTAAAACATAAAAAGGACTTTGTCACATGTAGAAAGCCTGAGCAGGTATTCTAGGTTTGGAAAGCATCATCTGTACATGTATGAAGGATAAAACTCTACTGACTGTATGGAGATCATCCATTGGCTGAAAGGCCATACATTGGAGAAATAGAGAGAGATGATGTAGGAAAATAGTCTATGAAGAACCATGAGTGCCCTGCTAAACATTTTAGTTCTGCATATATTTGGGATTTCCAACCAGTGTGGACAAATTCCTTCAGCCATCAGGGCTTTTGGGCAGGGTCTGGGGCAGCCCTGGGGGTCAATCACTTGTAGCAATAAATAGAGGCATTAGGACCTCAGTGTGCTGAACAGATATATTTCTTTGTATGACAATATATTCAAAAGACTGGGAAACATCTCTATAGATCTTAAAATAAATATTTTGGTTTTTATACTTGCTAAATTTTAGATGCTTCCTATCTTGGCTAGTATTAGAAAAGGCAATGATCACTGAGGAATCAGACAAGCAAAAGCCCTAACTAAAGATTACGCAGCTCACTCAGGGTGGGAGGGTGGAAGTGAAGTGATCCAGCTGTGGAGCCTGCTTTGAAAAGGTCCACAACACTGCTGCTTCTGCAGTTTGGTACAAGATCCGTTAGTGTTCTCTTAGTATTTCCTAAAGAGCATCAGCATAGAAAATGCCCTTATTCTTGGCAAGGTTTTCCAGGGTTCCTGATACATGAAGTGACCCACTGATGTTTTCCAAGTGTCCATTATATTCCTGCTCAGAGGATTAAGGTACCTTTCTGGGACATGTGGCCTTATAAAGTTCCAGAAAGAGAGAATGGGCAGCTCAGGTTTGGATATATACAGCTGACTACCTGTCCCTATCAAGGGAGAGTTGGTCTGTGTGTGGAGCTACCACTGAGATATTACATCTTCTCTCTGGTCCTATATTAGGACTGAGGCCTTAGCTGTCTTTCCTTTGGTTCAGGAAATACAGAAGGGAAGACCGCTGAGTCAATTTCCACATATTTAGGGATTTCAAAAACAAAGCATTAAAGTTCAGACTTTCTTTCCTGGGGGAAAAAAGGAATGATAGGATTAAACAAAAAAGATAAAATACAAGATCAGAGAATTACTTATATGAGTCAGTGGTTTGCAATAAGACAGTTGCTTCACTTTGCCACTCTGTTATTAAGGCTACCTTTCTGCTACCTAGTCTGCTCTAAGGGCTCACCTGATGAGATCAAGCTGGCAGGGAGCTACAGTGCTGGGCCAAGTCACCACAACAGGTTCTAGACTGCCTGCTGCAGAGAATGTGAGTGGTTAGGTGGTGGTCAAGATTTTATTTTGAACTGTTTATACATGGGGCAGTATGTCTGATCTTCTTGCTCTGATATGGATGGAGCTAAGTGTATGCTCTTCTACTCATAGCCTAGTGAGAGATTCAAAAAGTCCACAGCCCCTCCTGCTGAGTAACCTTGCCTGCTATAGCGAAAGCAGGGGAGTTCTCTAATGGTTGGAACCACGGCTAGATCTACAGGGAGGCGAGCACCGAGCATTGAGTCCTAAGAGAGTCCTGAGACATAGAGATGTGTAACAAATATTAGCAATAGGTACAATCCTTTTCAAAGAGTTAGGTGCTCAAAATTTCAATAATTTGGGCTGAGATAAGAACCACACTGTATGAGGGCATTTTTGCATTGCTAGAAAGAAATACCTGAGACTGGGTAATTTATAAAGAAAATAAATTTAATTGGCTAACAGTTCTGCAGGCTGTACAGGAAGCATGAGCCTGGGCATCTGCTCAGCTTCTGATGAGGCCTCTGGAAGCTTAAAATCATAGTGGAAGGTGCAGGGGAAGCAGGCACGTAACAGCAAAAGCAGGAAAAAGGGAGAGAGCACGAGTGGGAGAGGGTGCCACATACTTTTAAACGACCAGATCTCCTAAGAACTATCATGAAGTCGGCATTAAGCCATTAATAAGGGATCCACCCCCAGGACCCAATCACCTCCTACCAGGCCCCAGTTCTAGCACTGAGGATTACAATTCAACATAAGATTTGGGCGGAGACAAATATGCAAACATTATCACACACTACCTCAGGAATGGGATCCAGATCTTTGATATTATACCCTGGACAACTATGACATATCTCTAGGACCAAGGCCATTAAGGTTTGTCTCACTGAGGTATCAGGTACTGACATGGTTTGGATTTGTGTCCCTACCCAAATCTTATGTTGAATTGTAATTTGTAGTGTTGGAGGAGGGGCCTAAGGGGAGGTGATTAGATCACTGGGGAGGATTTTCCCCTTGCTGTTCGCATGATAGTGAGTGAGTTCTCAGGAGATCCGGTTGTTTAAAAGTGTGTAGCCCTCTCCCTTCACTCTCTCTCCCTTTTTCTCTGGCCATATAAGACTTTCCTGCTTCCCCTTCACCTTCTGCCATGACTGTACGTTTCCTAAGGCCTCCCAGCTATGCTTCCTGAGGAAGTGTGAGTAAATTAACCCTCTTTTCTTTATAAATTACCCAGTCTCAGGTAGTCTTTTAATAGCGATGTGAGAATAGACTACAGGTTGGTATAGGTACCAACTCAGTAATTAAAAAGGCAAACATCTGGATTGAAATACAGTCAAACATAAATATGTGGATTTTGGAGCAGGCAGTCATAGAAAGGACACCCTTTCATAGGAGGTTTGTATCTGAGTTATAACAGGGCAAAATTCTCCTAAATGACACAATTCACCTTACAGCATTACAAGACAGCAGTCAGTGCTTCCAGGAATAATGTCCAATAGACCCCAAATTTTCAGTTCCATCTATACACTCCAGGCTTTAAATCAGAGGGACAAGGACTGGCAAAACCAGGAAAGATATCTGATTTCAAGGGATAAATAAATGGTCAAGTGGCAATTACATATGAAAGTAGGGGATAAATGCTCTAAAAAAAGGTGTATCTGTAATGCTGTGAGAATGCACAGGAAGACTGAGAAAACTGACCCCACAGAGTTGGAATAATTGATTTCGTTGTTTTTGACTAGGACTGTTAGTACAGAGGAAAGAAAACAAAAGAAAAACAAAAACTACAAACAGTACGCTAATTCATCTCAAACTTTTATAAACAAGCAAACTAATTCATCTCAAACTTTTATAAACAAGCAAAAGTAGAAATAAGTACCTAGGGAGGAAGAAAATAAATGAAAAAGATTGTCTGGATAAGGGTAAAGATTCCTATAATTTTTGAGTAAATAGGTCCTTTGGTGTTACATTCCCTTTAAAAGTGTCAGTATTAAATTCTAAACATCAGAATTAACAATATTTTTACCACTGATATGTAAAATTTTGAATCTATGGGCATACATAGTAAAAGAAGAGGGCAAATGGTTAATTTCCTCACTCCATGGTAAACAACTGCATCATTGCTTTGCTGTTGCAGATTATGAAATAAATTATCTCTGAAGAATTTGACATAGCCAAAGAATAAAACTATTTTATTTCAGGAATCATCTCTAGGGAGAATATGAATGCTTGGATCATTATAGCTATGTTAAAATCAATTTGGATTGATCAGAGAAAGAGAGTTGAAATAATAATATAGAAAACACTCCAAGGAATTCAAGTTCCCACAGCATGAAGAATTCATAATAAGCTTTTCTATCCTTAAGACCAAAGGCCATGATAAATTGAAAATGGCTTACACACCTTAATAAAGATCTATTATCTTTTGTTTGTTTCTCACTTTTAAAACCGATTTTGATATGAAATCTCAGATATAATGAAGTTGTTTTATGTTATGAAACATGATCTATATTTAGGATATTAATTCAAAGTCCTTCTCAGAAAACCCATTTTATAATACTAACTCTTTTATGCTGAATATATTTCAGTGTCTCTCCATACTTGAGACTTAAGACACACAGGGAAAGTATCTAAAATTTATTTAAAATAAAGGCAATAACAGTTAAGAATGCTTAAATCCAGGATTCCAAGTGGACATCAATAATTGAGTGCTGATAAATATAAGTATTTGTAATAAATAGCAAAATTACTATCATTATTATAATTAATCATTATAATAATCATTATTTTATCATTAATAATTATCATTATTATAATTAGCAGGTATGATTCTCACTCAATTTAACTACCAGTTTTCTTACTGGAGTCAATAGTATGTCTCAAACAACAGGATGATAGGTCCAGTTTTAAGTTGTTCAGTTATTTTTCTCAGTTCTGAGTCATGTTTCTTCTTCATTGTCTTCTGCACTTTTATTGAACTTAGTAGTATAAAGGTTACGAGGGCTGGCTTTGAGACTGCAATTTGCTCAGTGTCCAATTATATTACAAGGACTTACTGCCTAACAACTTACTTCGAAGTGTCCCCTTGCTGTAACAAAACATCAGGATTAAAAGCTGTAAACTTGTGGCAAACAATTGTCAGTTTTCAAACTCTTTACTGCCGAATACATGTAAATTTTACATAAACATTCATTGAAAAACCATCTTATTTCTCCAGAATATTTGAAATTACAAGCTAAAAGTAAAATGCCCCAAATTAAGATATTTTAAAAATAAAACAAAACTACATATACTCATAATATTCCACTTTCTCCCAATTAAAAAAAAAAGTTCCATGACTCTCATAATCTATTCCAACTAACTATATCTCTTCTACATAATTTTTCTATGGATGCTAATTTACTTCTTCATTTCCCATTCATTCTTCAATCTACTCCAACAGGCTTGTGTCTACCACTCTCCAAATTATATTTTAAAGTCATCTGAATTCTATAAATTGAAATTCCGATGAACCACTCTCAAATTTCATTTTAACTCACATTTTTTGCAGCATTCTATGTAGCTGAACATGTTTAAACTGTTTTTCTCCCTTCATACTTCCTACACTATCATTTTCTCTCCTTTATTAACTTCCTCTTTCTAGTCTCCTTCTTCCTAAATGTTTACAGTTTGCCAACTTATATGTTGAGTCTTAGGCCTTCTTGTTTTCCTGCCCTCCCTAACTGAGCACATCCATTGCCATATTTTGTCTATGTTGTTGATAATAAGATAAACATTTCCAGCCCATTTAGGCTGTTAGGTACAACTCCTTTAAATGTCTCACTGCAGACATTTTCCAGTTTCAAAATGGCAGCAAGAAAGCAAGTTGGCTTCAATCCCCTGCACAGAAAACCAAAACCGAATATACAGTGCCTAGATTATCACCAGAAATATCTGAGAGTCAAATTTGAAGAAGAGAGTTCCTGGGGCTACAGAAAAGTGAAAAAACTCTGAACACACAGGAAGGAAATCAGACTTCCATATCTGCGATGCCCTTCTCTCCAATCTGCCTGACACCTAGCAGGTGGAACATTTCCCCCCGACTCACAATTTCCACACTGGAAAAAAAGTAAGACTGAAGTAGACAACCAGCTTCCCCACTGGGCTCCCTGACAGGAGTCTGGTCCCTGCCTACACCCAAAGAAAGCACTGCAAGTGTCTGAAGAGACAAATATTCCCGAGGACAGCCAGAGACAAAGGGGGATGATGGGACTACCACGCTTAGTCCTGAAAACTCTGCTCTTTAAATCAGATATGGAAGCAACCTCATTGCCTATCAGTGAATGAATGGATAAAGAAAATGTGTCACATATACACAATAGACTATTATTCAGCCATAAAAATACATAAAATCATGTCATTTGCCGCAACATGGATGGAACTGTAGGTCACTATGGTAAGTGAAATAAGCCAAGCACAGATAGACAAATATTGCATGTTTTCACTAATAATTTGAAGTGTAAAAATTGGACTTCACGAAGACAGAGAATGGACTGGTGGTTACCACAGTCCAGGAAGCATGGGGGGGGAAAGGATGAAGAGGGATTGATTAATCTGCAACAACAAACACTGTGATAAAAGAAATAAGACTTAGTGTTCAAAAGAGCAGCAGGATTATTATAGCTAACAATAATATATTATGCATTTCAACATAGCTAGATGAGAATAATTTGAATGTTCCTAGCATAACGAAAAGATAAATATTTAACATGAAGGATATCCCAATTACTCTGAGTTGATATTTGTACATTATATGAATGTATAAACATATCTCATGTACTCTCAAAATATATACATTATGTATCAATAAAAAATTGCAATCCTTAAACATGTTTGGTACTCTCAATGAATAAATAAATAAATAAATGCCTCACTACAATTTCATATTTAACATGCTCACAATGAAACTCATTTTTTCCTAGTTTTTCACTATCTTTTGCCATCATACCCTTGTTTTATCACACTTTCTCCTCTTACCCAACATTCAATGCTTCTGCAAACATTATTTTCCATGCCCTGAATTACCACATTGAATCATCTGCAAATATTAGCTTAGACATATATCCTCTTGTATGTCACTGCCTTTATTCTGTCCAGTATGACGTGTCAACCAGTATGTGACAACAGATTGTTTCCTGCTTCCTTTCTTTCCTCTTATGATCCGCTCTCCTCTTTTCAAATTATATCACCTTCCACTCTCAGCATTTATGATCCTTTAGTGTTTTCCCACTGCATGTAGAGCAAAACTCAAACTCTCTAGTATGGCATTTAATCTTGTGTGATCTTACCTTTCTTTTCAACTTTATCTCTTCCCTCAATCACCTTTACTCACTATACTGCTGACACATCAGTATTCTCTTGCAAATGTCAAACATATCCTGCCTAAAAGACTGCATATGATGATATTCTCTCTGCTGTTGTACTTTATTAGTAGCCCTTTCATGTTTGTTCAGGTTTCAGTCAAACCGCCATCTACTTAAAGTTAAGTCTTTCTTGACTACCCTAAGTTTAGACCTCTAGTTATCCTCTGTTTTATAAGTCATAGAAATTTCCAAGAGTTAATGTGATTTGTATATAAGTATGTTTGTATTTGTGTGTATGTGCATACTTCCCACGTTGAAATATAAGGTCCTTAAAGGCAAAGACCATGTTTGTATTATCATTTTCTTCTTAGCAAATAGCATAGATATGAATCATAGTAAGTGCTTTAATAAATTTGGATAAGAAATTTACCATCTAGTTTGTTCAAATACACCTTTTAAGTCAACGGTAGTTTTAATTTTTTTAGTAAACAAACATTTTGCCTCATTAGTATACTTAAAAAGGAAGGGGTCTGACCTTTTGAACCTCTCATATTAGTCCATCAATGGCCATGGAATTCTCCAGGGGTCGGCGAGTCACATAACTGACCTAGTAGCTCCCAGTCAATGGCAACTTTTAGAGAAGGGAGCAGCTGTGAGCTATCAGCAGCCAACAATCAGCACTGAGGGATGGGTACAATTGCTCAGTACTGAAATACAGGAAGAGGATCTAAAGTGCCCATTACATATACCTTTTCATTTAATGATTGTCACAATCATCTAGGAAGATTATTAACCATATTTTATGGTGATGAAAGTAAATGTAAAATGTTAAGTGATTAGTTCAAGGGAAAACTCCAGCAAAGGGTACTGCCTAGAATAGAGCTCAAGAATGTCACTTGAAAACTAGGACTCTTCTCCTTTGAACTGAATCCTTCTTTGTGTATACAAAGGGACTCAAATAGAAGAACGTCCAAGTTGGGAGAAAAAAACAATTGACTTAGCTGTCAGGGTCATCTTTTTAAGCTAGGTAAGAAAATTGCCAGAAAGATTAAAATGCAAAAAACACTCACAGCTCAGTTTTTAATAATGATTTTGCTCTGCTCATCATGAAGAAAATAACAACATTAATAATGGGGATACTAATAGTTATTATACTATTTGGTGTTTATTATATGCCTTTCTTTGAAATCTTTGAAAGCATTTTCATATTTAGTCCTCTCTTTGGCCTAATACTATTTCTATAAAATAGGAATTGACCAAAAATAGAACAAGACAGAAACTGATTTAAAGAATCAAAGACATAATTCACACTTTATTTTTCAAATCACCCTTTATGGTAGTCTGTTTTAGCTATAATAAAAATATCATAGGCTGGGTGGCTTATAAACAACAAAAATGTGTATTTCACAGTTCGGGAGGCTGAGAAGCACAAGATCGAGGCACTGGCATATTCGGTATTTGGTGAGGGCCTGCTTCCTTGTTCATAAATGGCTACCTTCTTGTATCCTCACAAGGCAGATGGGACAAGGAAGCATTCTGGAGCCTCTTTTATGAGGGCACTAATCCCATTCATGAGAGTTCATTTCTTCATGACCTAATTACCTCTTAAAGGCCCCACCTCCAAATATCATCACACTGAGAATCCGATTTCCACATATGAGGTTTTGGGGAAATACATTCCGTCCACAACATCCTAATTAATAAAATACAATAAATATTAAATGAAAGCACTATCATATATTTTACCATAGCAAAGAAACATTCAGATACATTATAAATGACTAACATATCAAGATATATTATCAAGTCAAGGTAACTCAAGAAGCAGAGATCTCCGACAATAAATGAAGAACCATCAGTCTTTACATGTAAGAAGTTGAAAATATAAAGAAAATTATTTTCAAATATGGAGTACGCTACAAAAATCCTATAGTGTTGAAGGCCAAAATCTCAAAAATAGAACTGTAAGTAGGGAAGAATTTTATCATTAAGGAAGTAATAGCAAAGAATCAAAAAACAAGCAATACTTACAATACTAGAAGGAGCATATCACTGTTTCAAAATATAGTTGAGGAGATATTGAAAAAAAGAAGAATGATAAGAGGGCACTATGTAAAAAGTCCTAGTGTCTATTAAAGTTATGTACCACCAAAACCTACTTCTCATCTGTCCCATTTTACCCAAAAGGGAAATTTTATCTGCAAAGCATCCTGGTGAGAGACTTGCAGAAAAGGTAAGGTACTTAATATAGCATAAGAAAAAAGAAGACAGGGGAAAAGGGAGCTGAGAGGAGTTAGATAAAATAACAGTGGAAATTGCTGGAGTGCTTGTGTACTTCTTTTCAGGAAAACTGGGTGGTTTTGACCTATAATAATGACCCCATATAAATATTTCACATGCTTCTAATAGGATTTCGCTTATTTCTAAAAGGAGTTTTGGAGAAACTCTAAAAAATCTTAATTGAGAGCAAAACAAAGTCAGGGTGTTAAAAAGAAGGAATAGGATTTAAATCTACTTTTAAATTATTCTTAGAAGTTTGGCAGAATATTCTGGAACTATTGTATGTAAAAATATGGTTACCATTTTATTTCTTTCAAAAGAATTTTTACCAAACAGTATAATGATAAAGGAAGTTTTCAAACTGTTGTGTGAGGAACCTTAATTGCTCTGAGGTCTCAGAAAAGTTCAAAAGGAAGTACAAGAGGACCTCTCCCGTGATTTCTATATCGTAGTTCCATGAACAATTCAATCTGGAACATAGAAACAGTACTCTGTATGTGTATGTGTGTGTGTGCACATAACCATTTCAGTAGACTGCTTATGCTAATTTGAAAACAACTGGTATAGGCAATATGCTAAAAATAATACCTAAACCTGGGTGATGTTAAGCAATCAGGTAAAGGAAAATCCAAAAAGTCATCTGTTCAGACACAACTGAGTTCTTGATGTTTTAAAAAATAATTTATAGCTGGAGGTGACTTTAAGCAAGGGATACAACCTTCAAAAGAACACATTTGTCAATAGAGAAATTGAAAGAGATTCATTAGATGAACAAACTGCTCACAATGGTGTTTTCATGGACAGTAAAAGAATTATATATTAAGTCTATAACACTGAAAATATTGAGATTGTGATCATGTACAGCCATGGCACTGATAATTGCAAAGATTGTAAAACTCTCCCCAAGGAACAGAAGCAGAATTTAGTTTGCCCAGATCTGTTCACATTAACATCACATTGGAGGTCAGAAAGTACAAAATTCATCACTAAGATCAAACTGTTTTTCATAGAAACATGAAACTATAATCCAAAAATTACTATATTTTCATTTTTATCAGAATAATTTGATTATGTCAGTTGAGTAAAGAATGCTTAAATACAACCTTGTCAAGAAAGTTTCTTTTTCCCTAAAGTTCCCATGTTCCTAAAGTTATATTCCCAATTAGACTGTAGACTTAGAATATATTTTATAATGTGACACAGATGGGCAGATTGTGGTCAGCAATAAGTTTAAAAAATAAATTAAACAGACTACTAAGGTAAACCCTTTCAAATCCAAAGTCTGAGGTTTTGTTATTGTTTTAGCTCAGAACAATTCTCAGAAAATATTGTTTGATTTCTAAAACCACAACGGCCTGATGTATCCTTTTCTATATCAAGTTTTCATTACTTGACAAAAGAGGTATTATAATTTGGGGGGTGATTAGACATAACAGCATTTTATAGTCTTGAACTATACAGCTTTAATTTGGGGCTCTTATCAAATACATGGTCTACTTGAATCTCAATTTCATTTCCATAGAATGAACATTAATTTATTATTTGTCTCTCACTTTTGGAAGTAAGGATTCGTTTTTAAATCTGAGTTGACATTCCTCATCATCTTTTATTGTTACTAGGTTAAGAATATGTGCAATTTTCTATAGAGGATGTTCAGCATTCTAATACTCTTATCAGCCAAACACTATCATACAGCTACCACTTTTTATGAGTAAAACCAGAATGTTTTCATTTGTTTGCTCACTAGTGATCTTTAAATAATTTGTTTTGAATATCTCTATGTGAATTTTCTTAAAGATCCATGATATATGTGGATAAATTCAGAGTGTTACTTCATTCTTTACTCGTGCTGACCGACTGACCAGCTTCTCACCTATACCACTAAAATTAGTTTGGAAATTTTCCTAGGTTAAATTTTGTCTACATTATTTTCTACAAGTTTTTTACAACTTAGAATAATTTGATTACTATCAGTACACACTTAGAATGCTTTAACTACAATCATTGTGATTAAAAATGCAATTTCAATAAAGTGGTACACATAGTAAAGCTTAAATTGTTATACCCTAAGCCATCTCATAACAACCTTTCCAAGAGTACCGAGTCTCCAGCAGCCTCCTCATAATACCGCTTGCTCAGGATTCCCTGTATTCCTCGGTTGTGGTACTGGTATACTTCCTTTTTTTTTTCTTTCTTTTTTTCCACATTTGGGAAGGTTTCATATTGCCTAGTCCAGCACTCAGTTAATGTGACTCTGATTCCCATACCCTACCTGAAGAGTGCATTGTGACATGATTTTGGCACAATATTTAAGTGGTGTTAACTCCCTGCCTAGTTTTTGCTCACAAACAAGACTATGACATATACTTTACTTCAGTTCACCGGCATGATTGTCCATCTTATATTGCGATTCAGCCGATAAAAAATATTTTGCCTTTTATCGCTAGGCTTAGGGCAATAGGTAAGGTCTGGGGTTGAATATTTGTACCAAGCTCACAGAACTTTACAACAGTACCTCATAGTGTGTAAACTCCTTGGGTGGTACAGAGAGTTTCATGACAAGAATCAGCAAGAAGTTCAGATTAGAATTCTCGATTACACACACAGGTGAAAGTAAATACTTTTATCACTTCGTATTTCAAAAGCCCACTCTTAAGGTCCTGAGTCTAACAAGTAAATACACAAAATAGGAATTGTGACCTTCATGTGTGGATCTGGCCACAGTTAAGATAGTGACTCATATTTGGATCTAGCTCGCAAGCAAAATAATGGGTCTCATCCTTTTTTTTATTCTTTTTATTTTATTATTATACTTTAAGTTTTAGGGTACATGTGCACAACGTGCAGGTTTGTTACATAGGTACACATGTGCCATGTTGGTGTGCTGCACCCATTAACTCGTCATTTAGCATTAGGTATATCTCCTAATGCTTTCCCTCCCCTCTTCTCCCACCCCACAACAGTCCCTGGTGTGTGATGTTCCCCTTCCTGTGTCCAAGTTGTTCTCATTGTTCAATTCCCACCTATGAGTGAGAACACGCGGTGTTTGGTTTTTTGTCCTTGCGATAGTTTTCTGAGAATGATGGTTTCCAGCTTCATCCATGTTCCTACAAAGGACATGAACTCATCCTTTTTTATGGCTGCATAGTATTCCATGGTGTATATGTGCCACATTTTCTTAATCCAGTCTATCATTGTTGGACATTTGGCTTGGTTCCAAGTCTTTGCTATTGTGAATAGTGCCACAATAAACATACGTGTGCATGTGTCTTTATAGCAGCATAATTTATAATCCTTTGGGTATATACCCAGTAACGGGATGGCTGGGTCAAATGGTATTTCTAGTTCTAGATTCCTGATGAATCGCCACACTGACTTCCACAATGGTTGAACTAGTTTACAGTCCCACCAACAGTGTAAAAGTGTTCCTATTTCTCCACATCCTCTCCAGCACCTGTTGTTTCCTGACTTTTTAATGATCGCCATTCTAAATGGTGTGAGATGGTATCTCATTGTGGTTTTGATTTGCATTTCTCTGATGGCCAGTGATGATGAGCAATTTTTCATGCATTTTTTGGCTGCATATATGTCTTCTTTTGAGAAGTGTCTGTTCATGTCCTTTGCCCACTTTTTGATGGGGTTGTTTGTTTTTTTCTTGTAAACTTGTTTGAGTTCATTGTAGATTCTGGGTATTAGCCCTTTGTCAGATGAGTAGGTTGCAAAAATTTTCTCCCATTCTGTAACTTGCCTGTTCACTCTGATGGTGGTTTCTTTTGCTGTGTAGAAGCTCTTTAGTTTAATTAGATCCCATTTGTCAATTTTGGCTTTTGTTGCCATTGCTTTTGGTGTTTTAGACATGAAGTCCTTGCCCATGCCTATGTCCTGAATGGTATTGCCTAGGTTTTCTTCTAGGGTTTTTATGGTTTTACGTCTAACATTTAAGTCTTTAATCCATCTTGAATTAATTTTTGTATACGGTGTAAGGAATGGATCCAGTTTCAGCTTTCTACCTATGGCTAGCCAGTTTTCCCAGCACCATTTATTAAATAGGGAATCCTTTCCCCATTGCTTGTTTTTGTCAAGTTTGTCAAAGATCAGATAGTTGTAGATATGCAGCATTATTTCTCAGGGCTCTGTTCTATTCCATTGGCCTATATCTCTGTTTTGGTACCGGTACTGGTACACTTCTAAAAAATTCTTAACTTTTCTTCAAATTTTCACAGTCACTCCTCCCCTGAATAACTTATATAATAAGGATGACCTCATAATTATGATCAATCGGTATTCTTTAACTCTTTGAATTTAAATTGGCCAACTCAAACATTAGTATGTTAAATAACACACATGCATTTTTCCTAAGAAATTACACACACACCCACACAACTTCATAGTTTATGGCGATAGAAAAACTCTCATAATTTATCTCATCATTACAAATAGTATACATGATTCTTAAGACATCATATTCATAGTAGATATAAATTTGTATTCTGCTTCTATTCTTCAATTTTAGCAATAATATTTCACCCACTAGATACTTTTCTAATTAATTCCTTGCATTTACAAACTCCTCATTAAAACAAATTTAGTGGAGTAATTTATGAGGTAATAATTATGCACCACACACATCTCTACACCCAAGTTCTAAGAAGTAGCCAAGCTCACTAAAAAGATTATGCTAGATATTCTGGAAGGGGAAGAGAGGTTAGGAGAACTTTAGTGGCTAAGGAAAAGGAGGAGAAAAAAGTTAGAGACTAAAGGGGTTACAGAAGTAGGGGAGACATAACCCGTGCTCTATGGCTCTAACTCTGGATGACGGCAAGACATCAAAGGAATTGCTACCTGGAACACCAAATAGGCTAGCTTCTAGGTAGAGTGTACCTCATGTCCTCCAAAGATGGCCTTTCTCAGAGAGTGGCAGGAACATAGCAGATCTCTGAATGCTACAGGCTGGAATGGGGTCCAGTGTGAACTAATGGCAAATGATTTGATGAGTGTCCCTGATTCATAGGTATTAAGTTAGGCTTCAGCAACTTGGCACAATTTGGTGAAGTCAGTAGTAATAACTCAAGTTAAATTTCTGCCTTCTCAGCAAATACGTAAAAAATAGATTCAACTGATTTGGAGAAAGGAAAGATATTTTTTGCACAGCTGAATATCTGGACTAAGATTCAAAACTACTAGAATAACCTACTCAGAAAAGAAAGTCTTTTTGCATGTCACTTTATCCTTCTGGATCATTCTATTGACAATCTCATAAGAGCAAAACTGGTATGTCAAAGGGTAAGTATATTTTTGATGAACCTGGAGACGCAGTACCAAATTGCTTATCCAAAAGTCTGACCAACTGATACTGCCACCATCTTCATAGATTTCAATGATACCAGTATTGTTAATTTTTTGGGTTTCATTTTATTTTTTAATCCATTGGTTAATAAAAATAGTGCCTTCATATTTTCTTTATTTACTTCAAAACTAAAGAAGTGAAACTATTGTTCTTGTTCTTTAAATAAACTTTGATGAGATATGATTGCTGCAAAATGCAGCCAATTTGATGAATACACAATTCAATAAATTTTGATGAAACCACCACAACAGAGTTACAAAATATTACTATCACCCCCATTAATTTCTTTTCCTCTTTGCAATTCATTTGTCCCTACATACTCTGCTCCAGTTAACTACTGGTCTGCTTTCTGTCAGAATAGTTTACATTTTCTAAATATTTATGTATCATTCATTATGTATTATTTTGTGCTTCAGTATGTATTTTTTTCTAGCTTTTCTCTTTCAGCATAATTCTTATTGAGAATTAGTATTTCTCTTACATAAACTATTTTAGGCCTTTTCCTCATTTATCTTCAAATAAATTTAAAAATGGTCTTTATTAAAATAAATTTATTAAAAACATCACAGGGGATTTAAACTTTTAAAATTTTTATGTAATTTATATGTAATTATATAATAATTTTTACTTTTATAACTTGATCTTACTAGAAGCTGTAATAAAACTGGAATTTAGAAAATAATTTTTACCAAATTACTCTGTTTATATCTAGCTAACTCAATATTTTAACAAAGAAAATAATATTTACTAACTTTTGTTTCTACATTTAGTCAAAATGTGGAGTAGGCTATTCCATGCATATTAGAATTTTATTGTTATTTTGCAAGAACTGTTAACTTTAATTCCAATTTTGATATACTTAAGTCGATGTTCTAACTTTTGTTTTTATTTTATGAAATTCCAATATTTCATTTCCTTCTTGTTTATAAATGTTTGAAGCTATTATATCCAATGATTAAAAGAAAAAGGAAGACATATATTAACTCTGAGGTGAATGTTCATCTTCAAGCAAAAAGGTTTGCTTACACTTAAAAACATTTAACAGATCAAGAATTAAACAAAAATTATCAAATGACATAATGTTCATATTTTACTATGATCCATAAGAATATAAATATTTTATTAATAAGTTGTATTAATGAGAAATCATATTTCACTTATACCATTTTTAATTACAGCATCTTATTAGGATATTAAAATTAAATAACATCTATAAACAGCACATGAATAATGATTTTCCAGCTTTAATAAACTGAAAAATCATCACCATTACTTTTTAAACTCTATTAGAGATAACATTTGATTGTGAAGATCATGGTACTTGTTCCTTAAAAATCAATTTTGCAATTTTTTTCCTTGGAAAGAGAAAGAGAAAGGATATTCCACAGCTAACCACCATAGCAGATAATGTTTCTGAATGTTTTAAGTAATCGCAACTGTAACTTCCCATTTTGATATCCATAGTGATCATACCACCTATTAAAGAAGACAAAAGAAAGGAAGACACTTTTATTGAGCTCCTATTATTACAGCTACTATATTCAATATTTAATCTATATTGTCTCATTTAATCCTCCCCAAACAGTCATAAAGCAGAAATATTATCTTCATCTTGCAAATGGGGATACTGTTATTTAAAGTGGTTAAATTCTACAAATTCACCAGGGAAATTAAAGCAGTAATTTAGTTCTGCCCTCTATATAGCTAGTTACTAAATCAGTCTTTGGGTTTCTCCTCTCTATATAAACAAAACCAGTTTCTTCAGTCACTTCTAGATGGTCCAGTCAAGTATTGTTAATCCTACCCTCCGCATGCTTTTATTTCCCACTTTTGGAACTTCAAAATAAAACATCAAAATTCTTAAATGATGCCAAAGTTGTTTAAAGTGCCAGAGAGTAATAAAAGAAAATTCGGCTATTGACAGTTTTAAAGGGAATTCTAGACACGCAATTCCACCTTGGGGACCAGGATACGGGAATTTGGAGTAAGTCTGAAGGAAGAAAATTTGTGTCCCAATTGCATATCATTCTTGATTAAGAACTATTAGAAACAGAAATAGGTCATCAGTAAGATAATTTACTCCAACTTCCTAATAGTAGTTACGGCCACAAAGGGATGTTAATAAAAATAGACATTTTTTTAAAAGGCAGTATGCCCCTGGGAAAGAAACTATTTCCTCGCAGTTATAAAAGGAACTGAGACTGTTATAAAGCATTAAAAGTTTGAGTTTGGGACATTAAACAGCAACTGGATTCACTTATTTTCAGATACTTCATTAACCTGTTAATGTCTATTCATGCCAATTCTTAGCAGACTAAAAATAGCTAAAATCCTACTGACACTAGTATTCTTCAAGAAGAATCAACACATTCTATTGTAAAAAGTACATCTGTTTCCTTTTTTTCCCTTGGAGGTGTTTTTTTCCTTGGAGGTGGCTTATCTTCTAGTGGCTACTCTTTTTTTAACATTTTAATTTTAGGGTTACAGGTACAGTTTTATTACATAGGTAAACTTGTGTCATAGGGGTTTGTTGTACAGATTATTTCATCACCGAGGTATTAAGCCTAGTACTCATTACTTGTGATTCCTGATCCTCTCCCTCCTCTAACCCTCCACCCTCTGAGAGGCCCCAGTGTGTGTTGTTCCCCTGTATGTGCCCATGTGTTCTCATAATTTAGCTCCCACTTATAAGTGAGAACATGCGGTATTTAGTTTTCTGTTCCTGTGTTAGTTTGCTAAGGATAATGGCCTCCAGCTCCATCCAAATCCTTGCAAAGAACATAATTGCATTCCTTTTTATGGCTACGTTGTATTCCATGGTGTACATGTACCACGTTTTCTTTATCCAGTCTATCACTGATGGGCATTTAGATTGATTCCATGTCTTTGCTATTGTGAACAGTGCTGTAATGAACATACACATTCATGTGACTTTATAATAGAATGATTTATATTCCTTTGAGTATATACCCAGTAATGAGATTACTGGGTTGAATGGTATTTTTGTCTTTAGGTCTTTGAAGAATCACCACAGTGTCTTCCACAATGGATGAACTAATTTACACTCTCACTAGCAGTGTATAAATATGATTTCTTTTTTCTCCACAACCTCGCTAGCATCTATTATTTTTTACTTCTTAATAGTAGCCATTCTGACTGGTGATAGGTGGTATCTCCTTGTAGTTTTTGATTTGCATTTCTCTAATGACTGGTGATGTTGAGCTTTCTTTCTATTGGCCACATGTATGTCTTCTTTTGAAAAGTGTCTATTCATGTCCTTTGCCTAATTTTTTATGGGGTTGTCTTCTTGTAAATTTCTTTAAGTTCTTTACAAATGCAGGATATTAGACTTACAGCCAAGTCACAGACAATTTGCCACTCACAACTACCACACAAAAAAAGACGAAAATACTTAGGAATATGGCTAAGTCAAAAGGTGAAAGATCTCTGCAAGGAGAACTACAAACCACTGCTCAAAGAAATAAGAGATGACACAAACATTCCATGCTCATGGATAGGAAGAATCAACTGGTAAAACGGCCATATTGCCCAAAGCAATTTATAGATTCAATGCTATTCCCATTAAACTATCATTAACATTCTTCACAGAACTAGAAAAAAGGATTCTAAAATTCATCTGGAACCAAAAAGAGCCCGATTGGCCATGGCAATCCGAAGCAAAAAGAACAAAGCTGGAGGCATCACACTACCCTACTTCAAACTATACTACAGTGCTCCAGTAACCAAAACAGCATGGTACTGGTAAAAAAAAAAAAAAAAAAAAAATCAGACACATAGACCAGTGGGACAGAATAGAGAACCCATAAATAAAACCACACACTTAAAACTATCTGAACTTCAACAAACCTGATAAAAACAAGAAAAGCAACAAGACAAGCATTTCCTATTCAATAAATGGTGCTGGGAGAACTGGCTAGCCATAGGCGGAAGATTGAAACTGGACCCCCACCTTACACCACATACAAAAATTAACTCAAGATGGATAAAGACTTAAATGTAGGCCAGGTGTGGTGGCTCAGACCTGAAATCCCAGCACTTTGGGAGGCTGAGGAGGGCAGATCATGACGTCAGGGAGATCGAGACCATCCTGGTCAACAGAGTGAAACCCCATCTCTACTAAAAATACAAAGATTAGCTGGGTGTGGTGGTGTGCACCTGCAGTCCCAGCTACTCGGGAGGCTGAGGCAGAAGAATTGCTTGAACCCAGGAGGCAGAGGTTGCAGTGAGCGGAGATCGCGCCACTGCACACTAGCCTGGCGAAAGAGTGAGACTGTTTTTAAAAAATAAAAAAGACTTAAATGTAAAACCATAAATACCACTGAGGACATAGGCACGGGCAAAGATTTCATGAAGACACTGAAAGCAATTGCAACAAAAGCAAAAACTAGGATATAATTAATGAAAAGAGCTTCTGCATAACAAAAGAAACTGTTAACAGAATGAACAGACAACCTACAGAATTTTTAGTAACTATGCATCTGGCAAAAGACTAGTATAAAATTTTTCTACCCAAAGTACTAATATCAGAGACTTTTTAAACTCAACTCTTTCATTAATCCTATTTACTCATTCTCTCTCTCTCTCCCTTTCTCTTCCTGTCTCACTCTTCCCTAATAGTTTTAAATTACTTTTTATTAAAAAAGTGTTGAAATGTTGCATAATAATGGTGAGTGCTTACGAAGTGAGAGGTGCTTTACTAAATCTCCTATGTACATTATCTCATTTAATCCTCATAAAAATCTCATGACATAGGTATTGCTCTCTCTCCTATATTGTAGTGCTTGAACAGCTTGCCCTGTGAGTGGCAAAACTGAGCTTAGAACTCAGTCAATCTGAAATCCAGAGCCTGCATGCCTCATCAATAAATTACATTGCCCCCTCTTTACATTACATATACAGAGGCAGCATTTCCATTAAATCATAACTAACTTCTTACATGGGTTTATTATTATACAAAAACTATTTTAATTTTTCAGGTTTTTGGAAACCAGATAGTTTGTCACTAAATGGTAGTTTTTGTTTTGTTTTTCCATATTTTTCAAGTAAAAAAATAAGAATCAAGAGTCACTTAAAATAATCTAACACTAAAATAGGAAGGAAAAAATATCCAGGAAGTAATAAGGGAACGGCTTTGCAAATGTTAACTCTTTGCAGGAAGAAACTGTGTCCAATATGTTCAATGAAATATCTTTAAATACAACACTTGGCTCATAGAAAGTGTGAGTTAAAAAAACCATGTAAACATGATTCTTGATTTCTTGATTTTGAAAATTGGGACATTTTCTTCTGTGCTTTAGATTCTGAGTTTTAGCTTCTCAAAGAATAAAGTAAACAACAAATAGCTCTCTGTTCCTTTCATGCTTTATTCAAATTCTTCATGTTTGGGAACTTAAAGTGTTTAACTCTCTTTAGAATTTCTTTCAGATCAATTAGATATAAAATGTCAGGGTATGTGCATTAATTCTAAAGCTAAAAATTTACTTATTCATTACACTAGTAAGAGTCATAAAATGGCATGTTCTTTACATGAAATCACAGCAAGCTACAATAAAGACATATTAATCATATCTTACCACCTCTTCCCATGACTGAGATCAATGCATTATTTGGGCATTAGTGGTTTCAAATAAAAGTAAAAATTTAAACATATGAGAAATATTTACATATTTTGCCATTTGAAAAAAAGATATGGTTGAGAAGTAAGACTGTATTCCATTTACTGCTCTACTCTTATACTAGGTCTCAATAGAGTAAGAATAACAGATGGGAACATAGGGTATATTTATTTGTATTAGGACTTTAATGTGCAAATTATTGTTCTAAAAGAATGAGAAATGAACTGACCACTAGATCATCTCATAACAATTCCTCTAAGTAAAAAGAGAAAAAAATACAGAAACAGAAACGGAGATTGTGAATTCTGTGAGGAATAAGCCTTGACATTTTATTTTCCTATGTAATGTACTCAAATGCAAAATATTGCTTCCATTAAAATGCATAAAAATCAATTTCAGAGTATGAAGTGTAAATGTTGCAGCAGATTCATTCCGCTAATCTTACGGATGATTCTTTACTCAGGATGATGTTTGTCTTTATGCATAATTGAATTTTACAACTCTTCAGCAGAGAAAATAAGTTATTTCCTTATTGGAGGATTTTAAATCTAAATGAATATAAATAGGAAATAGTTTTAAAAGAAACATTGTAAAATAGTAAAAAAAAAAAAATTTAACATTTTACTTCTAAAGGTCATATACTATAAAGTTGAAAACCTATTTTCCCTGATAATAGATATTAGTCTTGTTTGCTAATATTATATCTAACATATAACTAAGTAAATATATATAGTAGCAAAATAAGAACATGAAAAAAATCTTAGAAGGTAAATTATAAAGATAAAAATAAATAAGAATAAAGTACTTGAAATTGAAATAATATTCTGGTTAGGGACAATCTCTCATGAGAAATAATTTCAAATTTGAAAAAGAGATGTAAAGACAAAACAAAGGGCCGAGAGCGGTGGCTCAAGCCTGTAATCCCAGCACTTTGGGAGGCCAAGGCAGGCAGATCATGAGGTCAGGAGATCGAGACCATCCTGGCTAACTCAGTGAAACCCTGTCTCTACTAAAAATACAAAAAAATTAGCCAGGTGTGGTGGCATGTGCCTGTAGTCCCAGCTACCCAGGAGGTTGAGGCAGGAGAATTGCTTGAAAACAGGAGGTGGAGCTTTCAGTGAGCCAAGATCGCGCCACTGCACTCCAGCCTGGGCAACAGAATGAGACTCCATCTCAGAAACAAAAAAGAGTTAGTGAGGCATTGGATCCACAGATACTTTATTGCTGCCCCGGCATGAAAGCAATGACCAACAGAGAGATGGAGGTGCTAAGATAAGGAATTCTGGTAATTAACTTGTCCTCCTATTTGATGAAGCAAGGATATGAACTACTCTTGGGCATGATGGATGTAAATAATGCTGCTGTGCTCAAGCTGGCCTGCTAATACTCATTCAGGCAGAAAACAAAGAAAAGGTATGCTAGGATCAGTCTTTGTTGGATTTTAACCAAGAATAAAGTGATTAAATAAGTGGATTTGAATCTTGACCAGCCTCTTTCAGTGACCCAAGAAGTGGAACACCTCTTAGGTGATTCTAAAAGAAAGTACATGGAGACCATTCAGAATTACAGGAATTAGGAGCCCAACCATGCAGAGGACATCTAGAGTAAGTGTCAGCCTGAGAAGCAACAACCAAGGAAAAGAAGACTGCAATCTGATTGAGTCAAGTAAGAAGATATTTACCCGCTCTTGTCATATCACAGATGGAGCTGGCATCTAGAAGTGGGAGTGAAAAGAGATGTCTTGAAGCCCACCCACAACCTAGTACTCTTAAAGCTATAAGAGCTGTCATCACAGATGGGAAATGTAGAAAAACCTTTGAGTATAATTTGAGATTGGCATTTTAAAATCAATAAATAATGAAATAAACTAATAACTCAAGTAGCTGAAAAGTTATAGCATCTGTCTAAGAAAGAGTCAAGGAAGATGCTACCTAGAGAGAAAAAGGGGAGAAGTTTCATTTTAATATAGCTGGGGTGATTACTGGAAAAAATATGATAACCTATTTAAATAATGACATGTTGTAACTCCTCAAGACACCAATTGCTATATTCAGTGGTATACTTAATATAATAATATTGTGTTCTGTTTTTTAGGATAACACCATGGATCATAAAGCTCAGGTGTCTACCTTTGAGAAAGGACACATTCAGAAATAGTTATGCCCATAAACCAGTATTAGAAGAAAACATTTATTCAACAAATGTTTTCTCAATGCTTCATTATATGTGTCAAGCACAATTCTGGTTGTATATAGTAATTTTAGTGATGAGTGAACAGGGTCAGACATGTCCTGTAGAGTTACAATACACTGTGATTAAGCAATAGTTGAGGGAGAACTCTCCAAGGAAATGATATTAGAAATAACACCTGAGTAATGAAAAGGCATCGACCATGTGATGATCTAAGTGGCAAAGGATAAGGCAAGGTGATATAGACTACATTGTGTCCCCAAAATGCATAGGTTGAAACTCTAACCCCCAATGTGATATGAGATAGGGCTTTTACAAAGGTTATTAACATTAAATAGGGTTATAAGGCTCAGGCCTGAAACCAATAGGATTGTTGTCCTGATAAGAAGAAGAGACAAGTGCACAAGCACAGAGGAAAAACCATGTGATGACACAGCAAGAATGTGGGCTTCTGCAAGTAAGGAAGAGCATCCCCACCAGAAACTAACCTTGCCATAACCGTGATCTTTGACTTTCCACCTCCAGAAATGTGAAAACATAAATTTGTGGCATTCTGCTAGGGCAGCCCTAGAAGACTCATACAGAAGAGGAGATACTTAAGACAGAGGAAGCAACAAATGCAAAGGCCCTAAAGGAAGAAATTTCGAGAGTTCTAAACAATGAGTGATGGGAATAACAGAGTAGTCACAGGAAGTAAGGCCAATGTTGGAGATGAAGGTGTAGGGGCAGGCAACGGCTAGATCCTGGAAGGAGAAGAGGTCATCCTGAGCCATGACCCTGAGTTTGGATATTATTTTAAAGATAAAACGAAGCAAAAGAAAGATAAAAGAAACGACCAGCTGCTTCTTAGAAAATGAATAGTTGGGGCACAAATGTGGAACTGTTAGGCTATACAGTCCAAGTTTAACCTATGAAATTAATAGTGATCAAGAGGAAGGAACACATTTGCAGTACATTTTAAACTTGCTGATGAATTATGAGAAAGTAGTGTTACCTGTTTGGCCACTCTGGCTGCAAGTCTTTTCATTCTAAGAATAATATAAGGACCACAATATTTAGATATCTATGCTGAAGGTTTTTTATAAGTTGTAATTCATTAAAATGAAGAAAACACTTTATCAACAACGATTTAACCCATTTATGCCAGAGGTTGACTTTTTAAAAAAAAAATCAAACCTTGGTGATGACTTTGAGCAGTAGGATATAAATAACTCCCACAAGCTTAGCGTTCCAATAACGGATCACTAGGCATAATAAATGGGTTAAGAACAGACTCTTAAGGGGAATATATGCAAATTATATAAAAACAATTTAAAAAAACCTAAAGGTGTGTCTATATTTTGAGATCCCCTTTAGCAAGTAAATTTTTATCCAAATGGCTAGGAGAAGTTACTGTACTGGACCAGTGGGAATCTCTTCCTGTGAAACCTTTTTTGGGTAACTCACAGAGACTGTGCTCCAGTCTGGATAATAGCATTTATCACATCATGACCCCTATTGCTGACCACAAAACTACAATTCTTAGTGTTCTGTTCTTGTTAGCATTGCTATAGCTCTGTCTCTCCATCCTGCATTTTCTTGACTCTTCATCTATGCTCCAACAGACTTAGGTACTCTGCAGGTCCATTTCAGTATTTTGTAAACTGGACTGCCCTAGAAATATTATTTTTCTTACTTGTCCAGAGTTACATAACATGTTGTCCTATTATTTCGCTATAATGACCTGATCTGTGAAATTTCTGCATGCATTATTCATCTTATTATTGTCAGTGAATCCGCATATATCTATATTTTTCATCTCTATCATTTATTCTGGGGATTCACTGAGGTCATCTGAACTAGCCTGCACATGGCAGGAAACTGCTTCAGTCTGTGGATCTTGGCTGGTTGCAATCTTCATTGCAGTTGGGGCTCAGTCTGCACCAGAAAACACTAGGAAAGCTCCTGGTATTGACAGAGGTATAATAGAGCAAGCAAAAAGAAGCTAGGCCACTTGAGGCATAGGCTCAGAACTGGCATACTACAACTTAGACTCATATTCCATTGGCCCAAACAAACCTTATTGCTAAGGCCAAAGTCAAGGAATCTGGAAAAGCACTTGTGCTTTAGTGGAAAAAACTTCAAAGTTATATGCGAAAAAGCATGAATACAAGGAGAAATGAAAAACTGGGACCAATGATTCAAATGACGACACCTATATACAAATACTACACACAGTAAACATCACAGACACAAACTTACAAAGAAAAGCAAAAATATAATAATTATGTATATGTTTTATATATACATAATATACACGTATATATTGTGTGTATATACATGTTCTCGAGTTTATTAAAAATCTGATAAATTAAATCTGTTCTATCAGGACTTCTGGCCACAGAGATATAACAGAGAATAAATATGTACTTACTGGTGAAACAACTAAGAAAAAGGAGGAAAACACATAATCCCCAAGACAAAGGAATAAAATGAAGTCAGCCCCAACATTGCTCCAACTTATGCATAAAGAAAGTGTCCAGGCTACAACACAGTGAGAAGGAAATGAGGTAGAGACAGGCAGTCTTTTTGTGTTGAGAAAACATAGCTGGAGTCACAGCTCCAGCCGTGAACTGAAAGAGTTCACAGGAGATAGATTACTAGAGAGGAGAGTGATGGCAAAAGAAAAAAAACTGCATTTGTGGAGTGCCTCCTCAAATACTTGACCAAGTGATGATTAGTACATATGTGTGAGAAAATTACCCAAGGCCACAGAAAGAAGCACCCAGAAGATTAGAAAAGTCTTGTATCAATATTAAGAAAAATTATCAGAGCATTAATAAACTATAAAAGAAGATAAATGTGGGCGGCAAGCCACCCAGGTGCCAAGGCAAGGGACCGAGGACACGAGCTGTTCCAGTATAATAAAATATAAAATAAGAATAGTTATATCAGATATAGATCTTAGATATGATTATATATGAATATCATTAATCATTAGTTTGTAACAATTACTCTTTACTCCAATACTATAATAATCCTCCCTCTATAATCATAACCTAGGAAAAACCAGGCCATACAGAGATAGGAGCTGAGGGGACATAGTGAGGAGTGACCAGAAGACAGTGTGAGCCTTCTGTTATGCCCAGACAGGGCTACCAGAGGGCTCCTTGCTCTAGCGGTAACGCCAGCGTCTGGGAAGACGCCCGTTGCCAGGCGGACCGTGGTCTAAGGGTAGCGTGTCAAGGAAAAACACCCGCTACTTAGCAGACCGGGAAAGGGAGTCTCCCTTTCCCCAGGGGAGTTTAGAGAAGATTCTACTCCTTCACCTCTTGTGGAGGGCCTGACATTAGTCAAGCTCGCTTGCGGTTATCCGGAGGCCTAACCGTCTCCCTGTGATGCTGTGCTTCAGTGGTCATGCTCCTAGTCCGCCTTCATGTTCCATCCTGTACACCTGGCTCTGTCTTCTAGATAGCAGTAGCAAATTAGTGAAAGTACTAAAAGTCTCTAATAATGGTGTAAGTTGTTTCTCTCTTTGTCTCCTCTCCCTCTCTGCCTCAGCTGCCAGGCAGGGAAGGGCCCTATGGCCAGTGGACACGTGACCCACGTGGCCTTACCTATCATTGGAGATGGCTCACTCTCCTTATCCTGCCCCTTTGTCTTGTATCCAATAAATATCAGTGCAGCCTGGCATTTGGGGCCACTACTGGTCTCTGCGACTTGGTGGTAGTGGTCTCCCGGGCCCAGCTGTCTTTCCTTTTATCTCTTTGTCTTGTGTCTTTATTTCTACACTCTCTCGTCTCCGCACATGGGGAGAGACCCACCGACCCTGTGGGGCTGGTCCCTACACATAAAGCGGTAAAAATGCATGCAAATAAAGACCCCAAAATAAATGGGAGACAGAAAAAGAGAAGAAATTCAGAATTCTATCAGGTAAATTTAACAAGTAGATTGAAGTAATTTAAAAGAATCAAGCAGAAATTCTGGAGCTGAAAAATGTGATGGACAAATGAAGAATGTATCAGAGTCTTTCAATAGCAGGTTTGATCAAGCAGAAGAAGGATTAGTGAGGTTGAAGGTAGGCTATGTGAAAATACATAGAGGAGACAAAAAAAAAAAGAATAAGAAACAGTAAAGCATGCCTACAGGATCTAGAAAATAGCCTCAGAAGAATAAATCTAAGAGTTACTTGCCTTAAAGAAGAGGTAGAGAAAAAGATAGGCATAGAAAGTTTATTCAAAGGGATAACAACAAAGAACATCCCCAACCTAGAAAAAGATGTCCATATCCAAATACAATAAAGTTATAGAACACCAAGCAGATTTAACCCAAAGACAACCACCTAAAGGCATTTAACAATTGAACCCCCAAAGATCAAGGATAAAGGATCCTAAAAGCAGCAAGAGAAAAGAAACAAATAACGTACAATGGAGCTCCAATACATCTAGCAGCATGAGCATTTCCTTCACTACCCTAAATGGTGTCTGTGTAGGTCACTTGCCCCATAAGTCCACTGGCTGTGAGTCCAGTTCAGCCCTAGATTCACCTAGAAGTTTCAGTCATTGGGGCCTAGACTGCCTTTCCCGTTTATTTGGGGCCCCCAAGCACTTTAGCATGTGCGGGTGAGACTTGCCAGAACTCAATTTTTTGACTGCCGGGATGGACAATTCCCTTCTAGCTGAGGCTGATTTAAATACTCCTTCTGAGGGTTGGCATCAGCTGTGTTCAGCCTGGTTTTGCTTTCTGCTATTACAAAGGACTACTGAGTTCAATGCAATGCCTCACAGTTGCTGCACTGCCCCTCTCCCAGACACACAGATTCTCACTCTGAGCCACACAGCCACTTCCAGGGAATGGAAGAGGTGTGCCATCAGTAAGTCAGGACTATATCCTACCCTCTTCCAGTGCCTCTTTCAGTAATATGAAATTAAGTCTAGGTACTGTGAATGCTCACCTGATTTTTGGTTCTTATGAAGGTGCTTATTTTGGGTAGATAGTTGTTAAATTGGTGTCCTTGTGGTAGTGGGATGATTGGAGGCTTCTATTTGGCCATCTTGCTCTGTCCCTCTATAAATGTTCTTAACAAATTTGTTTGTAACAGCCACAAACAAGATACTACCAAAATGTCCATCAGCAAATGAATGGATAAACAACTAGTGGTATATCCAAACAATGCTCTACTACTCAGCATTAAAAGTAATGAACTTTTAATACTGAGTACTGATACATCCAGTTACATGAACAAATGGCAAAATAATCATATTGAATTAAAGAGCAGGCAAAAGAGTGGATACTGCAGATGCCTGTGATAATTCTAGAACACGTTAACCAACATAAAGAGACAAGTGTATAGAGCCATAGTTATTGGCTGTACTAAGGGAAAGGAGAGAGGAATTACATAGGTGCGTAAGGAAAAATTTGGGAATGAAAGATATGCTTATTGTCTTAGTTGTGATGATGGGTTCACGGCTCTAGACATACGTCAAAACTTACCAAACTGCACACTTTAAAATACAGTTTATTTTATGTCATTATTACTTAATAGAGCTATTATAAATAAGTCTCATTTGGTCTCTTGATTTTAACTGAATTGTATGCATTTTAAAGTAAATACATAATTTATAATGTAAATAACTATTTATTATTAGAACTTTTTATATTTAATTTACTTTTTTTCTGAAATTGGAATGTTCACATTATTATAGTTAAATTTAACAGAGTGGGAGGGAATTTAAAGTGGAGATTCTGTCAAAACTTTTGAAATTCAGAGAAAAAGCTTTGAATCATTGCCAAAAATTCAGATTTTTTTCATTCAAATTCAGAAGTGTTGATTTTATTGTTGGAAGATACATTAATTGTTTAAAGTCATTACCAGAAACTTGTGGAATTTAACTTCTATATAAATAACTATCTGAATATACAAAGTATCAAACAAAAAATGCAGCCCATACCTACAGCAAGCTGCTTTGGTAAGACACATATCTTCAATGTTTCATTCACCACTTTGGGATTTTCTTTTTATATTTTAAGATTAATGAAGCTGTTGATTTTTTTTTTTTTTTCAGGAAGAATGAAGAATGGAAGAATGAACAAACTGCAGGTTAGCCAAATAGTGCAAGTAAACAAGGAAAGACAATAAACAAATAGCCAAAGCAATTCTGAAATGGATGTAAAAACACTGATTTTCCTTAAATGTTTTCTCATAATTAAAAAAAGTCACTATCCAGAGATCGTCAGCTATTAGTGAAGTTTTTGTTTCTAATTTTTAAATAAATTATCTGTTTCTGTGAGCCCAATGAACTTGATAACGCTCTCAGAGTCTGGGAGCCTTGTCAAATATGTGGGGAGCTGCGTCTTCTGGATGTGGAATCACGCTCTCCAGTGCTGTTCTCACCAGCAGTGTTCACTCCTCTCCTGATCCCCTTCCACTCTGTTATATTTGTATTTTAATGTGTCCCTTTTGATTATCACTGTGAACTCAGAGCCTTTCCCAAACATAATTTATTTTAAGTAATCATGTATATATATTCTTTTTAACATTAAAATTGGAGATGGGAATAGTTTTAATGGGTTTTTCCCCTTACAACACTTATTCTTTTATTCTAAAAGCATATTTAGTTTGACATTGAAAAGACAGTCCAGACAGACCCTCATAATTTTCCTGTATTAAGAAATGAAACTGGCTATAACCCAAACACTCCTGGATCTTTCTGGAAAAGAAAACACACACCTATGTTTCTGGGGTAAAGTTCCACTACTGCTTATAGGCCCTACTTAATGACAGAGCTGGACAAAATCATTTTAAGTTGTTACTTTATACTGATTTTACCAATTGAACATCTATTTCCCTTGCTTTTTCTTACAGTATAAGGTTTCAGCAACTAGTAAGATTTTCTTCTACAATACTTTATTGTATAATGTTACTTCTTTTTTCACACAGGCCTTTACTCCTAATTTCAATTTACAATTTTCTATGACAAGGGAGTTAAATTTGATCAAGAGGAGACAATGATTTTGGTAATTATTTTCTTCTCCAATGATAAAACTTGTGTCAATAATTTTCAGTTTAATTTACTTGTTGGTGGAGGGTTCATTAAATCTACTAAAGGAACCATTTCAATTAGAATTAACACTTTTATCTAGCTTACAAATATATATAGAAGACAAACCTTGATATGCTAATCTTCTGGGAAAAGAGGCTGTCACAGCAAATTTAAGACATTTTTTCATAACATACCACTACTCCATGGCCATCAGACAGCAAATAAACATGCATTGTTATGTTAAGGAAAATTATCTCAAAAAAGAATTTCTGATCCTTTAGGAATTCTTAAATACTTTGATCATCATCCCTTTGAAGTAATATTCATTTAAAGAAACATTCCACGTGCAATGCTGGACTCTTCAATGTTTCATTAGTAGGTACAGAATTATTATATGATATATTTTGTATTCACAGGCAGATCATTAAATTCTGCAAGCATTGCTAATTTATGTTTCAACATCGCAGTCCTTTCCTAAGAATGCCACGTATACATATACAGAAAGAACTTTAATGGAAGAAGAGATGTATTAAGCAATAATTTTCTCCATTTCCTCCAAATAAGTTTTGCATATTTATGCCATAACAGAAAGGAAGGAAAGAAGGAAAGGAAAGGAAAGGAAGAAGGAAGGTGGGAGGGAAAGAAGGAAGGAGGTGAAGGGAGAGAGGAAAGAAAAAGGGAGAAATGAAGGAAGGGAGGGAGGGAGAGAGGTAGGGAGGAAGGGAGGGAAGGAGGGAAGGCAGGAGAAAGGACGGAAAGGAAGGAAGGAAGTAAAATTCTGAAAAATCATTTTAATATTTAATGGTAAATAATTTTTCCAAATCCTTACTTTTGATGAATTAGAATGAATGAGTTGGATATCTATTGACCTATCTATCGCTCTTTTTATCTCTTTCTCTATCTGTTTATCTCTATCTTAAAAGACAAGAGGTATAAAATGGGAAAATATAGTCACATTTTACAGGAAAGTTTAATCAAGTACACAGTATAAGAAAGTTCAAATATAAATAAATATAATGATAAAATATTCACCATTCAGCATAAATTCAGTTCTTTAAAGGGCAAAAATAAGACAGATTGGGTGGTGGAGAGGGCAGAGAGAAAGAGAAGTACAAAAATAAGATAATGACAATATACAATAATGATAAGTTTGCAGGAGGCATTACTGAAGACCCATGCCAAAAACAAAAACATAAAACTCCTATGCAAAAACATGCTTCATAATTTGAATATAACTATTATTTTGGTTGAAAACAAAGGTTCTTGTTTATATCTTAAGCAGATAAGATATATTACTTATTTTAGAAATATCTTCATAAAAAGTTTTTATTCAAGATTATCAATTTTGGGAAAATTTCAAAGAACATCCATTTTAAACATATTTCATAACATAATAAGCTAAGTATACAAAGTGTATATACATTTATGGCCTCCATGTGAGTGTACATCCCTTCATATAAGCAACAGCACAATTATAAATAGTACTGTGTTCCAAGGATTTATGTATTGTTTGACACAGACTGTGATAATTAATGGCAATTCATGGTTTTTCAGGACGTAGTGGGTACACAGTAAATATTAGGCCTCCATCACACCTTAATAAACATATATCTAGGATTGCTAAAAGCAGAATATAATATAGATGTAGGGAGAAAAACATGAGAACCTACTGGAAATTTAGTCTATGGTTCACAGAAAATCTTTTTTTTTATCATTTCTAAGTAAAATATAATTTAAATTTTATTTATAATCTGATGCTGTGTATACTTTTACACAAAGAATATAAATCATTAACTCACACTTTTTTAAACAAGCACATTTATATAAGACCTCACACTACAACAATCGTAGAAGAAAATCTAAGAAATACCATTCTGAATACTGGACTTGAGAAAGAATTTATGACTAAGTCCTCAAAAGCAATTGTAACAAAAACAAAAATTGACAAGTGAGGCCTAATTAAGTTAAAGAGCTTCTACACAGCAAAAGAAATTATCAACAGGGTAAACAGACAACCTACAGAATGGGAGAGTATATTTGCAAACTATGCATCTGAAAAAGGTCTAATATTCAGAATCTGTAAAGAACTAAAACAATTCAACAAGTGTAAATAAATAAATAAACAAGCCCAGTAAAGTGGGCAAATATACTAACAGATACTTCTCAAAAGACAAGTAGCCAAGAAACATATGAAAAGTGTTCCACATCACTAATCGTGAGAGAAATGTAAATAAAAACAATAACGAGATACCATTTGAAATCAGTCAGAAGGGCTATTATTAAAAAGTCAAAAAAATAGTAAGTCCAGTGTGGTGGCTCATACCTGTAATCCCAGTACTTGAGAGGCCGAGGGGGGCAGATTGCTTAAGCCCAGGAGTTTGAGACAAGCCTGGGCAACAAGACAAAACCCAGTTTCTTTAAAAAAAAAAAAAAATACATATATATATATATACACACACACACACACACACACATATATAAATTTTATGTATATATATTCTAGTTTTATAATATATTCATATATAAAAATATATATGAATATACATACATATATATATGAATATACATAATTAGTTGGGCAGGTGGCACACACTTGTAGTTCCAGCTACCATGGAGGCTGAGATGGGAGGATCATCTGAGCCCAGAGTCGGAGATGTCAATGCTACTGTGAGCTGTGATCATGCCAATGCACTCCAGCCTGGGTGACAGAGTCAGACCCTGTCTCAAAAAAAAAAGCAAAAACAGATGCTGGTGAGGCTGCAAAGAAAAGGGAAAACTTATATACTGTTTGGGAATGTAAATTAGTTCAGCCACCATGGAAAGCAGTTTGTAGGTTTCTCAAAGAACTTAAAACAAAACTACCATTTGATCCAACAATCCCATTACTGGGTACATATATATTTTTAAATCAATCACTCTACCAAAAAGACATGCACTTGTAAGTTCATCACAGCATTATTTACAATATCAAACACATTGAATCAACCTAGGTGCCCACCAATTGTGTAGCAGATAAAGAAAATATGGTATATATGTACCATGGAGTACTATGCAGCCACAAAAAAGAGAAAGAAATAATGTTCTTCGCTGCAACATGGATAAGGCAGCAAGCCATTATCCCAAGTAAATTAATGCACAAACAGAAAACCATACTTACTTATAAGTAAGTATGTCCTCACTTATAAGTGGGAGTTAAATCTTAGGTACTCATGTATATAAAGATGGCAACAATGGACACTGAAAACTACTAGAGGAAGGAGCCGGGTGGGGGATAAGGGTTGAAAAACTATTGAGTATTATGCTCACTACCTGGGTGATGGGATCATTTGTATCAGAAACCTTAGTGTCACACAATATACCCACAAAACCAGCATGTAAACATATCCCTTAAATCTAAAATAAAAGTTGAAAAAGAAATAGAAGTTAAACAAATCACAAATACATTTTTAGTGTCTGTCATGGCAATTGGTCAAAATGCAAAATGAGAGAATTAGCTGGTATTAAAAAGAGTCCTTGAGAAATGTCTCCTAATGTAACCAGTATAGCCAGTTTGCTAGCTTACTCTAAAGATAATCCCTCCCTTGTTTGTTTCTTGATACACATATATGTAACTACCTGTTTGCTTGAAATGTCCAAAGGCTAATCTTACAACAATCCAGGCATGAGGCAGAGATGGCAGTTTCAATTTTCTTCCTTTCAAGATGAAACAGTTGTGCAGTTAATCCCTAACCTGACCTCTACTGAGATGATGCCAACCAGGCCTCTGGATAGTCTGTTACTCAAACTAGCAGTGGAAAACAACAAGCAGACCTGCACCATGCACACTCCTGTACAGTTTCCATGCAACCTTCCCCCTTAAAATCCCCTTATACAGACTGAGAATTTAAGATGGATTTTTCAGACTTGAGTCTGGCCATCTCCCAAGGTGTCACCACTTGAATAAAGCTGCTTTCCTTCTATGAAACCTTACTTCTTATGTGTTTGTCTTTTCAGGTGGCATGCATCCAAACCTTAGTTTGGTTACAAGTAAGTAGCAAGCACTTGACTAACACTCCTTTATGAAAATACACACACACACACGCACCACATACACATCCCTACATTTTTTACTAACAATCTCTCTCAGATATTTCTGCATTTTAATAAAAACCAAATTCTTTCCGAAGACAAATAAATATGAAATCCTCTATTGAAAGCTTTTGAATGTATATTCCTTAGCATAGATGCTTTGATAAATAACTGAGCATGGTGGCATGTGCCTGTAGTCCCAGCTACTTGGAGGCTGAGGCACAAGAATCACTTGAACCCGGGAGGTGGAGGTTGCAGTGTGCCGAGATCGCTACCGCACTCCAGCCTGGGCAACAGAGTGAGACACTGCCTCAAAATAAATAAATAAATAAATAAAAATAATTTTTTTAAATAAGATAAATGACTGAATAAAAAGATGGTTACCTTTTGAGGGAAATATTTCCAGTAGAGGTTTTATTCTATGTTTAATTACAAAAATGCTACCCACTAATATATGGCTAAAAAATAACAAGTTTGATAACTTTATATTTCCAAGATATGCATTAATTTGCTTATAGGGCAGAGGTATGCAAATATTACCCATAAATGACTAGATAGTAAATATTTTAAGCTTTGTAGGCCATATGGTGTCTGACACAGCTACTCAACCCTACTACTATAGCTTGAAAGCAGACACAGATAATATGTAAATGAATAACTTGGCTGTATTCCAAAACACTTTATTTATAAAAATGGGTTGGGGTTGGCAATCAGGCTATGGTCTGCCAATTTCTGCTACAAGTTATTACATGATATTACAAATAATCTAGAATTTCCCTTTGATTGACCAGAACCCATATTTCATACCAACACAATGTCTTCTTAATGAAAACACAACAAAATAAAAACAAAACAAATTTTGGCTGTAAATGTAACCGTTTAATATTTTAGTAATGCTACTCTTTTGCTTTTTCTTTTATTCTTCAAAGGTTACTGTTTCGGGGTGGGGCCAAGATGGCCAACTAGAAGCAGCGGCCTTTGGAGGCTCCTATCAAAAAAAAAAAAACAATGATAAGCATGTGAATCCTTCAACGGCAACCAAGGTAACCAGGTTCTCTCATCAAAATTGACTAGAAGGCTAGCATGACCCATGGAGAGAAGGAAGAGCAGAGTGGTGTGGTGGCCTACCTGAGAGCCACAAGGGAAGGGGAGTCTGTTCCCTCCAGCCAAGTGAGGTGGTGAGTGAGCATGCTACCCAGCCAGGGAAACTGCTTTTTCTGTGGAACTGTGCAACCCATGGATCGAAAGATCCCACTCATGAAACCATGACACCGGGGCGTAGCTTCCCAACCCTGGAATGTGCAGATTCTTACAGCCTCTCAGCTGGAATCTGCTTAAGCCAACGAAACTCCTTGGGGGAGGGGCAACCAGCACCAGCGCAGCTGCCTGCTGTCTAAGCCCTTTGAGCTCTTTGGCAGAGAGGAAGCAACCAGCAGTGGGACTGGCAACTGCCTACCACACTAAGCTCCCTGGATGGGGGAAGGGCAGCACCCATTTCTATAGCTCTAGGCTGCTCTTTTCCCCTGCCAGAGCCAGGGAGGCTGGATGGTTTGGTCCCAAGACTTGTCCCCACAGCCCAAAATACTGGCTGTGGCAGTATGCAGCCAGAATGCCTCTTAAGGTCTAACCCGGACCCATCCTTCCTCAGTGGGCAGGACTTCCCTGCAGGATCTCCAGTAACTCCAGCCAGAGGATCAGGGACAGAATTTGGATCTCCCTGGGCCTTAGCCCCTAGGGGAAGGAGTGGCCAACGGTCTCTGTAGAGCAGCAGACTTAGCCTTTCCTCTTGGTAGTTCTGAGGAATCCAGGCAGCCCAGACTAGTGGGTTTCCCTCCAGCAAAACACACCTTCTCCACCAAGGGACAAAGTGCTTCACTAAATGAGTCCTGCTCCCCGTGACACTCAACTGGGTTGTCAGACACCCTATACAGGAGTGATCCTACTGATATCAGGTTGGTGACCTTCAAGGTCAGAGGTGCCAAAAGAAGGAGAAGGCACCCATCTTTGCTGCTCTCCAGCCTCCATGAATGGTATCTCCAGGCAGGGGGGCGAATCAGATGAATAAGGCATGAAGTAAACCCCCAACAAACTGCAGTAGCCCTACAGAAGAGGGACCTGACTATTGAAAGAAAACCAAACAAGCAGAAAGGGACAACAACAGCATCATCATCATCAACAACAACAACAAAAGGGCCCCCATAAAAAACCCATCCAAGGGTCAGCAGCCTCAAAGGCCGAAACTACACAAATTCACATAGATGAGAATCAATGAAAAAATGCTGAAAACCCAAAAGGCCAGAGTGCCTCTTCTCAACCAAATGATTACAGCATCTCTCCATCAAGGGCACAGAACTAGATGGAGGATAAGATGGATAAATTGACAGAAGTAGGGCTTTAGGAGATGGGTAATAAAAAACTATGATGAGCTAAAAGAGCATGTTCTAACCCAACTCAAAAAGTGAAGAACCTTGATAAAAGGTTAGAGGAACTGCTAACTACAATAACCAGTTTATATAGCTTGAACATAAAACAACCTGATGGGGCTGAAAAACACAGCACAAGAACTTCATGAAGCATACACAAGTATCAACAGCCAAATCGACCCAGCGGAAGAAAGGTTATCAGAGTTTGAAGACCACCTTACTGAAATAAGACATGCAGACAAGAATAGAGAAAAAAGAATGAAAAATAATGAACAAAGCCTCCAAAAAACATGTGACTTCATAAAAAGACCGAACCTATGATTGATTGGAGTACCAGAAGGAGACAGGGAGAATGGAAATGAGCTGGAAAACACACTTCAGGATATTATCCAGGAGGACTTCCTCAACCTAGCAAGACAGACCAACATGCAAATTCAGAAAGTATAGAGAACACCATTAAGATACTCCACAAGAACATAATCTGCAAGACACATAATCATCAGATTCTCCAAGGTCGAAATGAAGAAAAAACTGTTAAGGGCAGCCAGGGAGAAAGGCCAGGTTACCTACAAAGGGAAGCCCATCAGACTAACAGCAGACTTCTCAGCAGAAACCCTACAAGCAAGAAGAGAGTGGGAGGCCAATATTCAACATTCTTAAAGAAAAGAATTTTCAACGAGGAATTTAATATCCAGCCAAACTAAGTTTCTTAAGCAAAGGAGAAATAAAATCCTTTACAGACAAACAAATGCTCAGGGATTTCATTACCACCAGGTCTGCCCTGCAAGAGCTCCTGAAAGAAGCACTAAATATGGAAAGGAAAAACTGGTACCTGCCACTGCAAAAACATACCAAAATATAAAGACCAAAGACACTGTGAAGAAACTACATCAACTAGTATGCAAAATAACCAAATAGCATCATGATGACAGGATCAAATTCACACATAATACTAACCTTAAATGTAAATGGGCTAAATGCCCCAATTAAAAGATACAGACTGGTGATTTGGATAAGGAGTCAAGACCCATCGGTGTTCTGTATTCAGGAGACCCATCTTGTGTGCAAAGACACACACAGGCTCAAAATAAAGGGATGGAGGAAAATTTACCAAGCAAATGGAAAGAAAAAAAAAAAGCAGGGACCGCAATCCTAATCTCTGATAAAACAGACTTTAAACCAACAGAGATCAAAAAAGACAAGGAAGGGCATCACATAATGGTAAAGGCAATAATTCAACAAGAAGAGCTAACTATTCTGAATATATATGCAACCAATACAGGAGGGCACAGATTCATAAGACAAGTTCTTAGACACCTACAAAGACACCTAGACTCCCATGCAATAACAGTGGAAAACTTTAATACCCCACTCTCAGTACTAGACAGATGAACAAGACAGAAAATTAACAAGGATATTTAGGACTTGAACTCAGCTCTGGATCAAGTGGACCTAATAGACGTCTACAGAACTCTCCACCCCAAAACAACAGAATATATATTCTTCTCAGTGCCACATGGCACTTATTCTAAAATCGACCACATAATTGGAAGTAAAACACTCCTCAGCAAAAGCAAAAGAACTGAAATAATAACAAACAGTCTCTCCAAACACAGTGCAATCAAATTAGAACTCAGGATTAAGAAACCCACTCAAAACCACACAATTTAATGGAAATTGAACAACCTGCTCCTGAATGACTCCTGGGTAAATGATGAAATTAAGGCAGAAATCAAGTTCTTTGAAATCAATGAGAACAAAGAGATGACATACCAGAATCTCTGGGACACAGCTAAAGCAGTGTTAAGAGGGAAATTTATAGCACTAAATGCCCACATCAGAAAGCTAGAAAGATCTTGAATCAACACCCTAAAATCAAAATTAAAAGAGCTAGAGAGGCAAGAGCAAATTAATCCAAAGGCTAACAGAAGACAAGAAATAACTAAGACCAGAGAAGAACTGAAAGAGATAGAGACAAGAACAACATTCCAAAAAATCAACGAATCCAGGAGCTGTTTTTTTGAAAAAATTAAAAAAAAAATAGACTGCTAGCCAGACTAGCAAAGAAGAAGACAGAGAAGAATCAAATGGACACAATAAAAAATGATACAGGGGATATCACCACTGACCCCACAGAAATACAAACCACCATTGGAGAATACTATAAACATCTCTATGCAAATAAACTAGAAAATCTAGTAGAAATGGATAACTTCCTGGACGCATACACCCTACCAGGAAGAAGTTGAATCCCTGAATAGACTAATAACAAGCTCTTAAATTGAGGCAGTAATTAATAGCCTACCAACCAAAAAAAGCCCAGGACTAGATGGATTCACAGCTGAACTCTACCAGAAATACAAAGAGGAGCTGGGACCATTCCTTCTGAAATTATTCCAAACAATTGAAAAGGAGGAACTCCTCCGTAACTCATTTTATGAAGCCAACATCATCCTGATACCAAAACTGGGAAGAGACACAACAAAAAGAGAAAACTTCAGGCCAATATCCCTGATGAACATTGATGCAAAAATCCTCAATAAAATACTGGCAAACCGAATCCAGCAGCACATCAACAAACTCATCCATCATGATCAAATCAGCTTCATCCCTGGGATGCAAGGCTGGTTCAACATACCCAAATCGATAAATGTAATCTATCACATAAATAGAACCAAAGACAAAAATCACATGATTATCTCAATAGATGCAGAAAAGGCCTTTGGTAAAATTCAATATCCCTTCATGTTAAAAACTCTTAATAAACTAGGTATTGATGGCACACATCTCAAAATAATAAGAGCTATTTATGACAAACTCATAGCCATTATCATATTGAATGGGCAAAAGCTGGAAGCATTCCCTTTGAAAACTGGCACAAGACAAGGATGCCCTCTCTTACCACGCCTATTCAACATAGTATTGGAAGTTCTGGCCAGGGCAATCAGGTAAGGGAAAGAAACAAAGGGTATTCAAATAGGAAGGGAGGAAGTCAAGCTGTCTCTGTTTGTAGACGACATGATTTTATATTTAGAAAACTCCATCATTTCAGCCCAAAAACCTCTTGAACTGATAAGCAACTCCAGCAAAGTCGCAGAATATAAAATCAATGTGCAAAACTCACAAGCATTCCTTTACATCAACAATAGGCAAGCGGAGAGTCAAATCATGAATGAACTCCCATTCACAATTGCTACAAAGAGAATAATATACCTAGGAATACAGCTAACAAGGGATATGAAGGACCTCTTCAAGGAGAACTACAAACCACTGCTCAAGGAAATAAGAGAGAACATAAACAAATGGGAAAACATTCCATCCTCATGGATACGAAGATTCAATAATGTGAAAATGGCCATACTGCTCAAAGTAATTTATAGATTCAATGCTATTCCCATCAGACTACCATTGACATTCTTCACAAAATTAGAAAAAAAAGCTATTTTAAATTTCATATGGAATCAAAGAAGATCTGGCATAGCCAAGACAATCCTAAGCAAAAAGAACAAAGCTGGAGGCATCACACTACCTGATATCAAACTGTACTACAAGACTACAGTAACCAAAACCGCATGGTACTGATGCCAAAACAGACATATAGACCAAAGGATCAGAACAGAGACCTCAGAAATAACACCACACATCTACAACCATCTGATCCTTGACAAACCTGACAAAAACAAGCAATGGGGAAAGGATCTCCTATTCATTAAATGGTGCTGGAAAAACTGGACACTTTCCTTATAGCTTATACAAAAATTAACTCAAGATAGATTAAATACTTAAATGTAAAACCAAAAACCATAAAAACCCTATAAGAAAACCTAGGCAATACCATTCAGGACATAGGCATGGGCAAAGACTTCATGACAAAAATGCCAAAAGCAACTGCAACAAAAGCCATAATTGATAAATGGGATCTAATTAGTCTAAAGAGCTTCTGAACAGCAAAATTAACTATCATCAGAGTGAATGGGAAACCTACAGAATGGGAGAAAATTTTGGCAGTTTACTCATCTGACAAATGTCTAATATCCAGACTTTAAAAGGAACTTAAACATATTTACAAGAAAAAGACAAACAACCCCATCAAAAAGTGGGCATAGGACATAGACACTTCTCAAAAGAAGAAATGTATGTGGTCAATAAAAATATGAAAAAAAGCTCAACAGCATTGATTATCAGAGAAATGTACATCAAAACCACAATAAGACACCTTATCATGCCAGTCAGAATGGTGATTATTAAAAAGTCAAGAAACAATAGTTGCTGGTGAGGCTGTGGAGAAATAGGAATGCTTTTACATCGTTGGTGTGAATGTAAATTAGTTCAACCATTATGGAAGACATATAGTGATTCCTCAAGGATCTAGAACCAGAAATACCATTTGACTCAGTAATGCCATTACTGGGTATATAACCACGGGAATATGAATCATTCTACTGTAAAGACACATGCATGCATATGTTTATTGCAGCACTATTTACAATAGCAAAGACATGGAACCAAACCAAATGCCCATCAATGTTAGACTGGATAACAGAAACGTGGTATCTATATACACCATGGAATACTATGCAGCCATAAAAAGGAATGAGACCATGTCCTTTGCAGGGACACCAATGAAGCTGGAAGCCCTCATCCTCAGCAAACTAACACAGGAACAGAAAACCAAACACTGCATGTTCTCACTCATAAGTGGGGGTTGAACATCCATTAAGAACACGTGGACACAGGGAGGGGAACATCACACACTGGGGCCTGTTGTGGGGTGGGGGGGTGAGGGGAAGGAATTTAGAGGACGGGTCAATAGGGGCAGCAAACCACCATGGCACAAATATACCTATGTAACAAATCTGCGTGTTCTGCACATTTATCCCCCCTTTTCTTTTTGAAGAAGAAATAAAGAAAAAAAGAAATAGGAAAGCAAATCATTTTTAAAAAGTTATTGCTTCACTACAGTTATAAATTTTCATGAAAATCCTAATTTGTATCCTACAAGTCAGCCTCATTTTATTATAACTTTGCCTTAGGCTTCATTTTAAAGCAACAAGAAACTCTGTGGGAATTCTCTTTTCCCCAAATAGATCTCTCCACTAAGGTACGATGGCTGCTAATTTCCAACATTCAACTCACATTTAATTGTGAGAGTGACTCTTCTGGGGCTTAGTTAAGAAATTGGCCTATAATCCCAGCACTTTGGGAGGCCAAGGTGGGAGGATCACCTGAGGTCAGGAGTTCGAGACCAGCCTGGCCAATATGGCAAAACCCCATCTCTACTAAAAATACAAAAATTAGCTGGGCATGGTGGTGTGCGCCTGTAATCCCAGCTACTTGGGTGGATGAGGCAGCAGAATCTCTTGAACCCAGGAGGCAGAGGTTGCAGTGAACTGAGATTTCACCATTGCACTCCAGCCTGGGCGACAAGAGTGAAACTCTGTCTCAAAAGAAAAAAAAGAAAAGAAATTGCAATACTCACCCTATGTCCAAATGATCATTGTTTCTCCTCCCCAATATCAACCCCTACAACATAACAACCATGGCATTAAACAATCTGTCTATTCTTCCCATTAATTAATAAAGTCAATTTCACCATTGTTTTACTACTTCATGTAATTTAGTCTATTTTTAAACTCTTTTCTTGGTAACATTGATGAATATTTATCTTTGGAAGTTAATACTATATATTTTAAATATAGTCCTTTAAACACATTTTAATATCTGCCAGGAATACTCTTCTAGTTTACTGTTCTTTTTAAATATTCCTTTATATTGCAATGCATTTGTTATTTTATACAAAAATGAGCACCGTTTTTGCTGAATTCAAAGTAGCAAAAACAGTAAGAATTTTGAGTCTGACTTCTTTACAACTCCTATCCAAGAACATAGTATATATATTATATTCTTTATGTCACTCAAAACATATTTATACTTCATAGCATTCAACAGAATCTCCTCATCCCAGTTTTTAATAAATTAAAGAAAATACATAATATTCAACATTAAGGTAACAATCCATCAAGGTCAAATAACTTAACTTCATTAAACCACAGATTGGTCATCTAAGGAAATATATTATTATAACATATCTCATGATAGATAAATAGAAAAATTTTATGGTCACCTCAATAGATGAAAGAGAATTTCTGAAAAAAAAAAACAACCCTCATGAATAAAAATTATTTACATAAGTAAGGTATGCTATTTATTTTATAGGCTAATTTAAAAAATTATATACATATAATATTAATACTTCATCTCCATAGTGAATTAGTTCATAATAGCAATCTATATATAAATGCACCCACATAAAATTAGGCTTCAAGAGGAAAGTCCTCCTGGTCATAATGCAATTATTAAATTAATAGAGAATCTTCAATTAACACAATTTTTACATTTAATTTTATTAAAAATATTTAATTGTAAACATAAAGAATATAGGCTCCTTAATTACGAGGCGGTAAAAAATAACCAATCCTGAAGAGTAGTTTACTTTTAAAAAAGAATAGAAATAAAACCAAGAAATGAGAATATTAGTCATTTATTTTAAAAAAGACCAAATATACCATAATCCTAGTTAAAGAATTCTATCCAAGACAATAGTTATCTCTGTCCAACAGAACAGTGTTTCCATCTTTCAAGAGGTTTTCATCACTTTTTATGGCAGTCACTTTTGATACTGTCCAATAATGGGAATAAATCATGCTTTTTTCTGTCCATTGCTGCAGAAAAGCAGAGCTTGTTTTTACGGTCTCAATGTTCCCATCTATTTTTGGTACAGCATGCTTCTTTTCATGCTGATAGTCCTTGTATACAGTGACTTGAAACTGAACATCTCCATCTCTTTAAATTTACCACTACTCTACAGTTCCCTGTAAAACTGAGACTACCATTTCCAGTAATAATATTGATTTATTTATTGATACTCATTCTAAAAAAATAGTTTGTAGTAATTTCAGATTGAAAACGATAACTTACCAGAAGTTTTCATAATATCATAATGGAGAACTATTTATAAAAGTCAAATTTTCAATTGATAGTATCACATGCCAAAGGAAGGAAAAAACTGAGTACAAAAAGTATTATTTCCTAAAAAGGCCACATGAATAACTGAGAACACCAGTAATTTCTTAAATTTTTGTAAAGCTATTGTCTCAAAGGACTCAAAAATATTACGAATGTCCTCCAATATCACCATAAGTTATATCCGAGTTTATGTCCACATCTGGGATGATTTTCTTACAAGAGACAACAAGATATCTTAAAAACAATTTGAATGTATTTATGTAAAATACATTATTCTTCAAATAATGCATGAACTGTTATTGCAGAAGGTTTACCACAAATGTTCCCTGTTGCTATTTTTAGTTTCTATATGAAAATAATCACATTTTCTTCAAAATAGTTGAATACTATTTATTTCTATATAAAGAGAATAAGGTTTGAATTTATAAAAATAACTTTAATTTGGCATACTTAGTTCGGTTTATATCTGGTTTTATGAAACACACACACACATATATACGAACACACATGCATATATATATATATCAATTTCTGACTGGGCTGGAGAGTTTACAGAAAAAAAAAGTAAGAAGCTTTGGGCTTTAATCTTTCAGATCAAAATATCCTCAGAGAACCACAGATTTAGGAAGGCTGTAAAGAAATGTCTTGCCTTTTGTAGCCAGATAAGACACAGCTAAAAATCTAAAAATCAGGCCCCAAATTTAATTTACATTGCTAAGATATATACACTATATATATATATATAACTTAGCTTACTACCTGCCTACTGTTCAAAAAAGAAAAATCCTGATTACCGTAATTACTTGACATGACAATATTTAACCTTACACTAAAAACCTTTACCTTGTTGATTACATACATGTCATTTCTATGGCAAGTTTTTTAAGAGGCACTTGTATACTATATATGCTCTCTTTCTTGGATACATATATGCTCTACTCATTGGATACAGATAACAACAAATCCACAGGTGATAACAGAGCTAGAGAAAGAAAATGCACAGTTCCCTTATTTTGTGTATGATGGAAAGCCCTCAACAACAAGCAAACCTTAGACTGTAACGTGAATGAAAAACTAACTTCTACATTGTAAGGCTCTGGACTTTGAAATTTTTGTCTGTTACCTCAGCTTTTAAACAATATTTTAACTCCAACATATACATATATATATATAAAATATATAAAAAAAGCACACGTGTGTGTATACATATATATGGCTATATATGAGTGGCTATATATGGCTATATATATGTGTGTGTGTGTGTGTGTGTGTGTGTGTGTTTATACATACACACATGGTAATTGGAATAGACCCATAACAAAACTCTAAAATAAGTGACATTAACTTAGCAATCAGGGGACAGGTGATGTGTAACAGGAGGCTTTGGATAGATGAAAATCTATATTACACAACAGTAATAGCCTTGGTATAACTTTTTAATATGCAATAACTTGGAAGGCCGGCCAACAGCTATGATTTCTTTGTCTTGGTTGCTACTTGACACATTTAACAATATACTAATATTTCCAGGAACAGATGGGTTCAGTCAATAATTAGCTGGGTTGAGAGCTGGAAGGAAAAGAAATAGGAAAATCTTTTTGGGTAGGTAATATGAAGCTCTCCAAAAGATATGGACACTGATTAAATGGTGTGTGTCATTGTTCTCAATGACCTTCAACTCCACTATCTGTGAGATTCTTCTGTCATCCATGACCATTTCTGATGTAGTTACTGGTGGCTAATCAGCTCTGACAGCCTGTGTTATGCTTATTCATCTTAGGGGTTCAGGGATTATTTGAGCCTGATGGAGAAAACTGTGCATTATCAGACACATGAGGATCAATATCTATATTTTGTTGGTGAAGTGACAGACTGTTGCAGAGATGACCAAATGTCTAGAAAAATTTGGTCTTCCTCTTCCATGGCAGAGAATTGTTTGTGGAAAGTGACTACTGAGCTAAGAACAACATTTAATAGCAACTCCCTCTATTTGTGTTATGTGTAGCCATATACTGTAGTCATTGTTGGTATGTGATAGGAGATGATATGTGACTCTTCAAATATGAGTTGACTAAGAAGGACATAAGTCTGCTCTAATCTCTGAGCTGGATACAGACAACTACAAGGCTTTAAGAGATGTCTGCTTTACTAAAGGCAAGAAGTCTGGATCCCTGAATTACTGCATGAAGCAGAACTACCTGTCAACCAGGATTACTAACTTGAATTCTTTGGGAAATTTATTAGGCCCCTTAAATTTTCTCTATTTAAAGCCTAGGGAACTGGGTTGGTATAATCACAAACTTTTCAAATAAAAAAACTGATGACACAGTAACAGAAATCAGACAGGAAAATATGAAATTTCCAGAAAGTCAGCCTACTACAATTCCAAAGTACATGATAGACCCAAATGCTTAGAAATGTAGGCAACACACTAAATAATCAGATTAATTTGATCCAAATCAATTAGAATGGGACCTTAAAATATATCCAGAATAAAATAACCATAAAAGAGGAAGAGAATTATGTAACAAAGTAGGCAGAAATGAAACAAAAAGTAAGAACGAAAAAGTTAACAACTAAAACTAGTGAAGATAAAGATATCTCAACAGATGAGGTAAACTCTTAACTAGGCATAGTCAAAGTGAAAATTCTAAACCTGGAAATTATTGCTGAGATTTAAATTATTTCAAAGACAGGATAAATTGAAAGTTTCCAACAAACATATTTAATAAAAATTCTAGAAATACAGAATAAAAGAAAGCAATCTTTCTCTCTCTCTCTTTCTCTGTCTCTCTCTTTCTCAGGTTAAAAACACAGAATGAAAAGCAGGAAAAAAATAAATCCACACCCAGACACATCAGATATAACTAAAAACCAAAAATACAGAACCTATACATAATCTCCCAAGAAATGACAATTAAATTGTCGGCAGATCATTAGCAATAATAGATTCTCATAGACGGGGAAATAACATTTTCAGAATGTTGAAGAAAAATCATCATCATCTTGTATTCTACATCTAAATAAACAATCATTGAAGAGGGAGAGAAAAAATAAAGCTATTCTTAAATATCCATTAAATAAAAATCTTAACTGCTCATAGAACTTTATCAAAAGAACTACCAAAAGACATACTTTTGAACCCAAAAGAAAGGAGATAATGATAGACAAAATGAAAGGTACAAAAACTGTTACTATATATTGATGTTTCCAACTATTGCATATATATACATATTAATTTCACTTGTTTAAAAGGTAGAACTAAAATTCTAGGCAGAATTCACATGAAAAGGAGCCATTTCAGTGGGTGACATGGGTAACATGGTAAGTCATGTCTGGAAAGAGTACAGAGATAGTGAATAAATTTATGCTCCCATAGAAATGTGTGTAAATTTATTTACATAAATTTGACTTTTTAAATTAAGGACAGCCCTATAGCCCTACAGGAATATGACTTCAATATAGTCTTAAAGTTAACAGAATAAAATATGGACTAAACTTGGTATTAAATATGTGTAAAATAATTTGCTAAAATTATAATTTCAAGTAGGTTTGCCCTTTAACCTATTTTATAAATCATGACAAAGAACAAACTATAATGTACAAGCATGTCTTGCTTTACTGAACTTTATTGCAATTTGCAGATATTGCATTTTCTAAACATAGAAGGTTTGTGGCAACCTTGCATCAAGCAAGGCTATTGGTGCCATTTTTCCAAAAGTGTGTGCTCATTTTATGTCTCCATATCACATTTTGGTAATTTTGGTAATTCCAGCAATATTTCAAACTTTTACATCCTTATTACATGTAATGTAGATCCTATATCATAGGTCACCATAACAGATATTATCAATGATTTTTTATGTTACTTTTGTATGATTGGTGATTTTCAATGTCCCTACCCTATTTTGGGGGTGTACCATAAACCATACTCACATAAGCCAGAAAACTTAATAAATAAATATGGTGTGTTCCAGCTGCTCCACTCACTGGCCATTCTCCCTTCTCTCTCTGTCTCCTTGGGTCTCTGAGACACGGCAATATTGAAATTAAGCCAATAACCCTACAATGACCTCTAAATGGTCAAGTGAAAAGAAGAGATACACTTCTCTTACTTAAAATCAAAAGCTACAAATGATTAAACTTAGTGAGGAAGGCCTTGAAAGCTGAGATAGGTGAAAACTAAGCTTCTTGCCCCAGAGTTAGCCAAGTTGTGATTGCAAATAACAAGTTATTCAAGGAATAAAAAGTACTACTCCAGTGAACACATGAATAACAAAGCAAAGCAGCCTTATTGTTGAGAAGGAGTTTTAGTGATCTGGACAGAAGGTCAAAGCAGCCATAACATTCCCTTAAGCCACAGCCTAATCCAGAATAAGACCCTAACATGGAATTAAAAATTCCATGAAGGCTGAGTGAGGGGAGGAAGCTGCAAAATAAAAATTGGAAGCCAACAGCAGTTGGTTCACAAGGTTTAAGGACAAAAGCCATCTCTATAAGACAATAATGCAAGGTAAAGCAGCAGGTGCTGATGATGTAGAAGCTGCAGTAAGTTATCCAGAAGACCTAGCTAAAATCATTGAGGAAGGTGGCCACATTTAGGGTTTCAATGTAGATGTAACAATCCTTTTGTAACTAGAAAGGAGAAGTCATTGCCTGGCATCAAAGCTTCAAAGGACAGGCTGGATCTCTTGTTAGGACCTAATGCAGCTTGTGAGTTTAAGTGGAAGTCAATGCCCATTTACATTCTGAAAATCCTAAACCTAGTAAGAATTATGATAAATCTACTCTGCCCATGCTCTATAAATGGAACAACAAAGGTTGATGACAGTACATCTGTTCACAGCATGGTTTATGGAGAATTTTAAGCCTGCTGTTGAGACCTACTGCTCAGAAAATAAGATTGCTTTCAAAATAGTACTGATCACTGATGATGCACCTGGTCACCTAAAAGCTCTGATGGAGATACACAGGAAGAGTAATGTTGCTTTCATATCTGCTAGCACAACATCCATTCTGCAGTCCATCAATCACAGAGAAATGTCAACTTTCAAGTCTTATGGCTTAAGAAATATATTTTCTAAGGCTATAGCTGCCATAGTGATTCCTCCAATGGATCCGGCAAAGTAAACTGAAAATACTCTGCCAAGAACTCAACACTCTAGATACCATTAAGAACATCTGTGATTCATGGGAGGAGGTAAAAAAAATCAACAATCACAGGAGTTTTGAAGAAATTAACACCTACCCTCAAGGATGACGTTGCAGAAAATAACTGCAGATGTTGTGGATATAGCAAGAGAAAAAGCAGAAGTAGAGACAAGATATGAATGAATTGCTGCAATGTCATGATAAAACTTGAAAACATCAGGAGTTGCCCTTCATGGATGAGCAAAGAAAGTGGTTTCTTGAGACAGAATCTAATTCCAGTAAAGACACTGTGAATATTGCTGAAATGACAGCAAAATGTTTACAATATTATTTCAACTTAGTTGATAAAGCAGCAGCAGGGTTTGAGAGGACTGACTCCAATTTTGAAAGTTCTACTCTGGGTAAAATGATATTAAACACCTAGCATGCTACAGAGACATCTTTCATGAAAGAGTCAACTGAAGTGGCTAACTTCATTGTTGTGTTATCTTAAGAAATTGACACAGGTACCAAAACCTTCAGCAACTGCCACCCTAATCTGTCAGCAACCATCAATATCGAGTCAAGATTCTCCACCAGCAAAATGATTATGACTTGCTGAAGGCTCAGATGATTGTTAGCAATTTTTTAGCAATAAGGTGTTTTTAAATTAAGCATGTACATTGTTTTTAGATACAATGCTATTGTAAACCTAATAGACAATAATAGTGTAAATATAACTTTTATATTCACTGGGAAATCAAAATATTCATGTGACTTGCATTACTGCGATATTTGCTTTATTGCTGTGGTCTGGAACTGAACCTGAAATGTGTCCGAGGTATGCCTGTAATTATTCAACTTTATCCTTTCTTGCTTGGAAATAATACCTTCTATTTTTAGACTTCTCAGGATTCTTGATTTCACATTCTTTTCAAGATAGATGAAAGTCTGGAATTGCTTCATGAAAAAGCTGCTTTGTTTGGAATTGAAGGTTATAATATAAGAGTTTATATTCAGTGTGTGAGAACCTTTAGAAAGTGAAAATACTACCTGAGCCAATAAATCTGCCCTTTTTTTCTGATCCCAATCTTACCTTTCAGCTTTTCATCATATCCTCAAACTCCCTTATTTAATGCCAGCAAATCCTGGTATCTCATATTTCTTTATGCTCTCTGCTTGCACAGTCATCTCTGATAACATGATTAGACAGAAGATCATAAACACACAGCATAAATGTTTCTGAACTGCAGCAGAGGATTGCGCCATGAAGCCTTAATAACAACACTCTTCAAGAGATCAAATCAATACAATGTCACTAAAGGCCCTGTATATCCCATTTACCTTCGTGAACAATAATGCAATGGTCCGAGAATTGCCAGCATCCTTTCCTTCTGAATTTTAATGCACTACTAGAAAAAAAGTTTTAAAGCATATTTCTAGGCAGAAGAAAGGTTTTTAATTATGCCTAGTGTTTCACAATTTTAATTTTCATAGACAAATAGTATTTAGTTAAGTTATACTGAGTGATACATATATATATATAGCAATAATACCTTCTTTAAGCCTGTAGGTATATATAGCTCTCTCTCTCTCTCTCTATATATATATATACACACACATATTCTCAGCCTGTAGGTATATATATAGCTCTCTCTCTCTCTCTCTCTCTCTCTCTCTATATATATATATATATATATATACACACACACACACACATACACACACACATTCTCAGCAGGTCTAAAATTTTAAACACAAACTAATATCTCTAAGTACAAGTACCACTACCTTAATGAGATTCATCCTAAATTAATGTTTAAGAGGAGCTTATTAGGGATTCATGCTACTTCAGAACTCGTATAACTAAACAAAAATTGCATTCAATTTTGCATGTTGTTTCCAATTATTTCTTCCATAGTGCTAAAATAGTCCTAGACATATAAACTGAAAGACCATTTGATGTAAATTAGCATAATACTTTGCAAATCAATGTTATTTTTAAATTCAAAACCTTAGAAAAGTCTGACATTAAGTAGAATAAATTAAAACAATGTTAAATCTGTAACATCAACATGTCCAATATGACAGTCTTAATTATGAATCTATGAAATAAAATTAAAAGTTATGAAATATCAGCTGAGATTTGAAAGAGGACTAAAATACTGCTTACTATGTATAATAAAGCAACCCAAATTATTCGTGTTTGCTTTTAAATTTTAGCAAACATGCTTAATATAATCTTTCTATCTATTTAAGCCTGGTTCATACAGCAAGAGTAAAAGTCTACTGCCCTCTTTTGTGCTTCTAGAATTTGGATACAGGTAAGCCTTAACAATATTATGCAAAAAGGAATCACAAATTCAAACATTCAGTAGTACGACTTTTTGGATAAAATATCATAACAAGTTATTTAAATGCAATTTAAATATACATCAATTTAAATATACATCATTCAGTAGATATGGAGTATGACTAGATACAGATTTATTCTATTTTAAATCAGCTTATTGTGTCTTAGTTGCATAGCTGACCAAGAGGTCTCAAATTCATTCAAGCAAATTACAAAAATCCCTAAAGCCTCACTGTAATTTTTCCTGTTTATCATCTCTAAAAGCAAAGTTCCAGATGAATCCATATCTATATATATTTTCATCATCCTCAGCAGCATGAATTTCAAAAGTGATGCTTAAATCTTGCTCCAGCAGTGTCCACATTAGACTCCTGAAGAGAAATAGAAGGCAGAGCAGGCCTAATTAATAATGAGAAACTTAGGGCTCCTGTGCTTTGGGTCTGGCAGGCAGCAAACATTGAAGCATTTCAAAGTGAGGGCATAGATGTCTGGAATGAGGAAATGAAAGAGTGAGAAAGAATAGTGGGGGCCAGGAGCAGTGGCTCATGCCTGTAATCCCAGCAGTTTGGGAGGCCGAGGCAGGCAGATCAGGAGGTCAGGAGATTGAGACTATCCTGTCCAACAAATCTCAGTTACTCAGGAGGCTGAGGCTTGAGAATCGCTTGAACCCAGGAGGCGGAAGTTGCAGTGCGGCAAGATCGCGCCACTGTACTCTAGCCTGGTGACAGAGAGAGACTCTGTCTCATTAAAAAAAAAAAAAAGAATGGGGGATAGGTGGAAGGGAAACATATAAAGGCCAGATTAAGACATATTTGGGCTTTGTTCTCAATCTAACATTAGTTACGACTGTGTGGCCCCAGGAAATTAAATTCTGTTCTCAGTAATTTAGTGTCCTGATTCATAAAATGATGGATAAAAATATTTTCTAAGGCCTTCCAGATCTAAAATACTACAACTCTCCCTCAAGAAAATTTACTTATTTCACAGAAATGAGAAGAAACAGAGCATTCCACAGGAGCACCAACAGGCTGCACTTTTAACTACTCAGTGCTTTGTGATCATTCACATCATGTGATTTTTTAAGTACACCTCTTTTATCTGACAGCCCTAGTGAAACAGATACACAAATAATTAGCACAAATTGTAGCACAGAGGAGAGTGATAATAACTTTGTGAAGACCCAGAGGCATGACATTGGTGTTAGGTCTTGAAGAATAAATACAATTTCATCACAGAAAAAGAAGAAAAGGGTACAAAAGCAGCTAGGTAAAATATGAAAAAAGGTAAGAGATACAAAAACGCATGGATTGTTCAAAAATTATAAAAACCAGAATAGTGGACAGAATTTGCTGAGGTTACAAAAGAACAGGACAAGGTCAAAATGTACAATTCCTTGAATGCTAAGGTGAGTAACCCCTTAGAATCAATATATCAGAAAGAAAAAAAAAACTAGAATAATTTCCTGAAATAAAACATACTAAAATTGTTACCAGGATTTAGACAGTACACAACGTTACCTCAGACACAACAGATGAAGCATTATACATGAGTGAAGCCATCTTAGACATGCAGCTCTGTTAAACCTCCAAATAACTGCAGTTGCATGAGTGACCTCAGATAAGACAGGAAAAGAATGACCCAGTGAACCTCATCCAGATTTCCAGATTGTAGAAACTGTAAGCAAATAACTGGGTGTTGCCGTAACAAAAAGTTAAAACTTGTGATATTTGCTTTGGGATTGAACAGATGGTAGAAGCTGAAGAATAGCATGGAGATTGTGAGTAGAGGCTGGAAGATCAGTAAAGAAATTGTTAATGGGGATACTAAAAGGTCAACACATGTTATGTACTGAGCAATTGGCAATAATCCTGCCTGTGATAGCTTGGAAGAGAGAAAAACCACTTCATAACGTTGTTGATCAAATTAAAGAGGTTTCCAGACAGCTGTTGAAACTAGCAACTAGCATGTTGCTAGTTGCAATTCTTATAAACAGAGTGAATGACTAAGAGTGCAGCGGCAAGATACTAGTAAGAAAGCCAAAAGACACAGGGAACCAATCACAGGGAGCAGAACTGGGCTCTAATCAGAAAACATTCTCTGCCCCTGCAGTCAGGGACCTTGAAAACACCAGTTGCACTTCACAATCACAATGGACCAGTGACTGTTGTGTTCCCTGCCTTTCGGAATGGGAGAAAATTTTCCAATTATCCTGCCCCTGTTCCATGTGTGTTGTGTGTGTAAGGAACCATAACTTATTTTTAGGTTCTTAGTTCTGCAGATCAACAGGGATTTTAGCAACGAAACTTCATTTGAATCTGGAACTGATTTCAACATGCTATATTGGACTTCAACATGATGTCCTAATGTGATAAACCTTTGGGAGGGTGTGGGATTTTGTGCATGACGAAGGGACATTAATCAGGAGAATCCAGAGAGAAGACTGTAAAATAATGTATTGTCATGGTGGCAGTCCCCTATAAATAAACTTTCAGGTATTCACTCTTGTGCTATCTCCTCGGATACTCATTTTACAGATGGTTATGTGAATAAACTCCCTCTTAAGCCAGCAACTACGCTCCAGGAAAGCTTGGGATAGATACTAAATGATGAGAGGCCACATAGAGAAAGGCCCTGGAAGATGAGGGGCTATCTTGGACATTCCAACTCAAGTCAAGCTCCCAGTGGAATTCAGCTACATAAGTGATGGCTGTTTATTGTACATTAAGCAGAACTACTAGCTGAGCCCTGAAAAATAATAAATCATTGTGGTTTTAAGCCAATACATTTTGGGCTGTTTTGTCTCATAGCAATGAATAACAGAAACATATGCCTTATTTATGTTTATCTCTACCACTTAAGAAAGTGATTAAGAAATAGTAAATGCTCAAAAATATCAATAGTTTGGGGCTGGAAGCAGTGGCTCACCCCTGCAATCACAGCACTTTGGGAGGCTAAGGCAGGAGGATCGCTTGAACCTAGGAGTTCAAGATTGGAATGAGCTATGGTCGCACCAGTGCACTCCAGCCTGGGTGACAGAATAAGACCCTGTCTCTAAAAAAAAATCAATACTGTAGATTAATTAATTGTTTACACAGAATAGACAAGAAGAAAAATAGTGATATACTCATTTTTTCTTTTCCTATTATATATGTGGTCACTTTTCTACTTGTACTACAGTTTTTTCATATAAGTTTGAATTAGTTTGACCTTTTGATTATATGTAATTCAGAGATTTTTTTTGTGAGAAAAGTTATGAATAGATGGCAATAAAAGCAATGATAAAATTCTCATCAGAGGAAAGAAAGGGGCAACACACAACATCAAGAACACACATAAAAGTAAGTACTCTAAAATGAACACTGGTGGTAGTGCACTATATATATCTTTAAAATAATGTAGTCTCCACATCCACTCTGACATTTCTTTTGTTTATAAATAGCAATTCATTATATTTAATTAGAATCAGGCATGTTTGCTTGTTGTTAATAGTTTTACATGTATTTCATCTTTAGGTGATTATAACCACTACTTTATAAATTTAAAAAAAACACCTGATTTTGAGGTTTGTAAGCCATAGATATAGAATTCAAACTTAAATCTTCCAATTTCTGCCATCCACTACAAGGTGATGAACAATTGTTCTGTACTGACTCCCTCATGTTTCTGCAATCAGATAAAGGATAATAAAGATAACAAGCCATAAAAACACACAAGTAGAAGCTCTAGATAAACAGATGCTGCTTATCATTTGTCCAAAACTATCTTTGCCAAATCATAGAAGAAATTTGCAGGCATATAAATAAGAATAAAATTTCACAGCAAGCATATTAAGTAAAAAAAAATCTAGACATCACGGTTGGTTACTTTAATTCTGTGGTAAATGCCATAAAGAAATACAAATATTTAGTAATAGCAAATCACATAAATTCTTAGATTAAATAATTCTTCAAATATTTAAAAAACTGTATTTTTTTTACCAAGTAATGGCTTTCTACCTAATTTAAAATATGGTAAAACTGATGTGATTATTACACATATTACATGTCTGTACCAAAAACACTACATGGTTACTCTGTGTAATACATTTTATCCTTAGATCTTATTGTCTTCTCCACTTAACTGGATAATTATTCATATGTATAAATTTTTCTTTAGTGCACTGATATGGTGTGTCTATGTCCCCACCCAAATCTCATCTTGAAATTCTGGAGGAGGGGCCTGGTGGGAAGTGATTGAATCATGGGGGTGGACTTCCTTTTTGCTGTTCTCATGATAGTGAGTTCTCATGAGATCTGGTTGTTTGAAAGTGTGTGGCACTTTCCCCTTTCACTCTCTCTCTCCTCTGCTGCCAGGGTAAGGCATACATGCTTCCCCTTCGCCTTCTGCCATGATTGTAAGTTTCCTGAGGTGTTCCAGTAGTGCTTCCTGTTAAGCCTGTGGAAGTGTGAGCCATTTAAAACTCTTTCCTTCATAAATTACCCAGTCTCAGGAAGTTCTTATAGCAGTATGAGAACAAACTAATACATGCACTTTCCAATGTAAAATATCTTTAGATCCTAACTCCAGGATAATTTATGGTTTTTCTCCATTATAAATCCTTGTTATAAGTGAATAAAAATTTTGATAAACTATATTGATAACCTATATTACTAAACTTGAATGAAACATACTTTAATGATTAAAAGCACAGGAAAGCTGATTCATGCTTTGTAAAATATATACTACCGACTTCTCATGCAAATATTAGTATTCTCCAGTTACAAAACATAATCATCACTGGCAGCTTGAGCGAACTTCTAAAGAGTCAAGAACCCAAGTGTTTTATAAACAGAAAAAACCTTTAAAACTTCACATATATTATCCATGACCATTATATGCATACAGATGTTTTTCTTATTTATTCTCATCCTTTTTAATGAATGTGAATATAACATCAACAAAGAAATCAATAAACTCAAGCTGGTGCTGTAGAAAACACCCTCTTAAGAAGTTATCATTGAGAGGGAAATATCTCCGGTATATTACTATTTACCATGAAATAATTTTTTTTCTATATTTGTGTTTTGATTATGAGTCCTAAATCTAATTATAATCAAACGTATGCTCTTTATTAGGGGGTATATAAAATTTTTGAATGTATATACTTATTAGGTAAATAAGCCTTCATAAAATGAATTACATAAAAAGTGAAAAATGTTTCATCACGAAAATTATAGGTATTTCATTGTTAAAACAATGTGAAAGGTATAGTTCTAAACTTAACTAGCATTTTGCGATGTTAACATTTCCTGACAATTAGATGTCACATAAATACTACTATTAAAATGAAAAGCTAATGTGTTATATGGTGAAAAATTCTATGTAATAATAGCAAAAGATTAATTAAGCTCTGATCAGGTCAATATTCAACCACCAAACATCATACATAACACCCATATAAACTAGCTTATACATTTTTGAAATAAAATATACATGAATCCCTCATTTATTTAAATATAATTCTATTTAAGTACAATTCAAGTATTATAATTCAATATGATAGAAATAATTATTGCTGTCTTTAAATGTCATATTTCTATAAACTGTAAAAATGTGAACACCAGGGAAATCACTATTTTGAATCTCATTGCTTTTTGTTGCTGTTGTTGATGCTGCTTTCCTTTATAAAAATTAGGCGGATACAGCAATTCATATTGTTTAACGACTTTACTGAAAGCACTTTGGCACAATTTCATACACCTTTCCCAGGAGAAAAATGACAGAAATTTTCTTATGGTTAATATGAATCAATTGCTTTCACAATTAATTATCAAGTATACCACTCAAAAATGTATTATTTGAAATAAATGTATAATATTTACTTTTAATAAATCGTCATTTTGAAAAGATCAGTGTTTGAGATGATGGATATATTAACTACTTTGATCTGATCAGTATACATTATATGTATCAAAACATTACTACACACCCATGAATATGCACAATTACTATTTGTTAATTTAAAAAATAAAACTTTTTTAAAATCATTTAAATGCAAGATAAATTATTTAAATGTTTGTTTCTTACCATGGCAAGAACCCTCAATTTCTTCATATCCTGTACTGCAGATGCACCTTCCAAGAGGAACCAGCCAATCTCCATCAGCTCCACAATACAGTTTAGGAGTGTCACGCTCTTCAGCACTCTTCACACAAGAACCCCGTACTTCAACCAAAGAGGAGGAATCAACCCTTGGAATGGTATCAGGAAACATGGCCAAGTTACGAACAGTGAAGGGGCATTTCTTGTAGAAAACACGGACTGAAACCAGGGCAATGCACGCCCCAATGTCTTGAAAAGCCAGATAAAATCCTTTCCTTTCTATAGGCCCCACCTCACGAATTTCAGTGTTGAGTTTGAGGATGCGATCACCCAAATCCATCTGGGTAAAACTCTCATCAGCAGCAATTGTGTCGATCTTTGTATACTGGTTTGGCTTGAATTTAATTCCGTGGGACTCATCTGATTCCATATAAAACAGATTAAATGTTTCTTTGCAAGTCCCCAAGACCCATGGGATGCTGTTACAATCCCTTAGTGTGAATTTCATTTCCACATAAATTTTCTGAGCTGCATCACGGGAGATCCAGTTTGTACGAAGCCAGTTGTTTTGGTTTGGTTCCATTACATTACATACCTGGTATGTGTGAATGGGCCTATTATGTTCATCCATTTCAGTGATGGCATCCCACTGCAAAAAGGGAAAAAAGTAATTAAGTGATTTTAAACCACAGTGATTAAACAGAAATGATTACTTACAATTTTTTTTGTTTTACCAAAATAAAAATGAATTAAAAGGATACAAATGAAGCTACTCAAAGTATCAATGGAACAGCATTTTAACCATGAGCCTTTAGTTAAAAGTACAGGTTCTAGAATCAGCTGTCCTGTCTTGCCTTCCTACACATTAATTGCATGACAACTTTATTTGATCACTAGTTTCCTCAACTGTAAAGGAGCTGATAATAGTACCTGTTTCACAGGGTTGTTGTAAGGTGTAAATTAGATAAATACATGTACAGCACTTCAGATAGTTCCTGGCATACTATAAGAACATTAAATAGCATCCATTATCTTATCAGAACAACTAAATATATAAAAAACGCACTTAGGGTTTCCCATCTTTCCTTATATCCAATTTGCCACAAATTGTGGTGTGTTTTCTTTGCCAATAGTCAATTAAATATTTATATGACTACTTCAATAGCAAACAGACATGGATAAGGCCTTAGGCTTATTCGATAAATATTTATCAGGCATTCCCATACCCTGGACACTGGAAATACAGCAGTTAACAAGCTGAACAAAAACTCTCTGCCTTTATAAAGCTTACTTTGGAGGGAAGAGAGACAATTAAAAAGTAGAAATGAATAAAACTAAATAATATGGTAGAAAGTACAATGGGGAAAAACAGGTCAAGGAGATTAAGAAGAGGGTTATAATTTTAAGTGGGTGGCTAGAAAAGGCCTTACTGAGGTAGTGACATTTACGCATTGCCTTAGAGATGAGATAGTGAAACTTGCAAAGAGGAAGCAGTAAATACAAATAACCTGAGGCAAGACTGTACAGGTATATTTGAGGAAGAGCATAAGTGGGCACTGAAAGCACATTAGGTAATAAGAACAGACAGTCAGAGAGCAGCCAAACCAAAAGTCTTTATTAAGCATTTTAAGCCCTTTGGCTTTTACTCTGAGCTAGATCACTGGATTATTTTCACTTCTGTATGTTTATGTACAAGCAGTTTGCCACTTGATTGCATAGAAAGACTTTGTCCATTTTTAAGGGATTTAATAAAAATATTTGGGTACCCTGAAAGCAGTTTATATTATCAATATTTATTCATTTAATATTGCATACTTCTATACTGTAAATTTAGATTATAACTCCATTTTATTTGTATAGCTATAACTGATCATTTTCAATACAAGAAAAACATTCAGGTAACCTTATGGCATTTTTGGGAAAACATGCTAGGCATCATAGTTTATCATTTCTATTAGAGTATACTGAAAACAACAAATGGTTTGCTATAGTGAATAAGGGTTCTATTGGTTGATAACATACTTCAGTTATTTATAATAAGATTATTTAACACATTCTGTTTGCAGTTTCTTATTTTAACTGGCTATAGAGAGTTACTAAATCAAGGCTGGTTGAGTTTCACTAGTATAGTATAGTTTCTAACAGAATGCCTATTTTCCTCAGTATACAGCACTATTATGACACAAAGTACTTTTAATTATCTACAGTAAATTTCCAGAATAATTTATATTATCCATCATGCAAACTTAACACAATCTTTATCCAAAAAATATTTTCTGCAAATTTCTTGCTTGAAATCCAGAGGGCATTTTCCAGAGAAAACAATGAGTTCCTTTGAATTGTATATTTAATTTTACAAAATACACACATTTTTTACCAGGGGTGATTCAAAAATCTCATGGGAATATACATGATATTTCCCATCTAAATGCCTTTCATCCTAATGTATAATGGGTCTTATGTTACTCTGAGGACACTTAAAGGCAAACCAGCACTATCACAGCTCATTGGAACCACAATATAATCATTCTAAATATAACTGTGAACCAAGATAATAGTAAAAAATATGATATAATTTTAAACTGTCAAAATCAATGTCTAAAAATCTAGGTATTTTACTCATAGGAAAGAATCTAAAGTACTCATCCAATGATGATTTTTATTTTGAATATATTTATAATTACAATTGATTTCACTTCTCAGGGAATGCATATACATTATTATTAATGTCTATACTACATCCTTTACTCTCCCATATAGGAGTAAAGAATTATATTCCGGGGGGTGTTTCCAAGATGGCTGAATAGGAACAGCTCCAGTCTACAGCTCCTAGCATGAGCGACACAGAAGACGGGTGATTTCTACATTTCCAACTGAGGTACCGGGTTCATCTCAATGGGGCTCGTCAGACAGTGGGGGCAGGACAGTGGGTGCAGCCCACTGAGTGTGAGCCAAAGCAGGGCGAAGCATCGCCTCACCCAGGAAGCGCAAGGGGTCAGGGAATTCCCTTTCATAGCCAAGCAAAGCTGTGACAGATGGCATCTGGAAAATTGGGTCACTCCCACCCTAATACTGTGCTTTTCCAACAGTTTTAGCAAATGGCACACCAGGAGATTATATCCCACACCTGGCTTAGAGGGTGCCATGCCCACGGAGCCTTGCTCATTGCTAGCACAGCAGTCTGAGATCAAACTGCAAGGCAGCAGGGCTGGGGGAGGGACGCCCACCATTGCTGAGGCTTGAGTAGGTAAACAAAGCAGTGGGGAAGCTGGAACTGGGTAGAGCACACCCCAGCTCAAGGAGGCCTGCCTGCCTCTGTAGACGCCACCTCTGGGGGCAGGGCATAGACAAACAAAAGACAGCAGAAACCTCTGCAGACTTAAATGTCCCTGTCTGACAGCTTTGAAGAGAGCAGTGGTTCTCCCAGCATGGATTTTGAGATCTGAGAATGGACAGACTGCCTCCTCAAGTGGGTCCCACACCCCCAAGTAGCCTAACTGGGAGGCACCCCCCAGTAGGGGCAGACTGACACCTCACACGGCCAGGTACCCCTCAGAGATGAAGCTTCCAGAGGAACAATCAGGCAGCAACATTTGCTGTTCAGCAATATTCGGTGTTCTGCAGCCTCCACTGCAGATACCCAGGCAAACAGGGTCTGGAGTGGACCTCCAGCAAACTCCAACAGACCTGCAGCTGAGGGTCCTGACTGTTAGAAGGAAAACTAACAAACAGAAAGGACATCCACACCAAAACCCCATCTGCACGTCACCATCATCAAAGACCAAAGGTAGATAAAACCACAAAGATGGGAAAAAAACAGAGGAGAAAAGCTGAAAATTCTAAAAACCAGAGCACCTCTCCCCCTCCAAAGGAATGCAGTTCCTCGCCAGCAACGGAAAAAAGCTGGACGGAGAATGACGTTGACGAGTTGAGAGAAGAAGGCTTCAGATAATCAAACTTCTCCGAGCTAAAGAAGGAAGTTAGAACCCATCGCAAAGAAGCTAAAAACCTTGAAAACAGATGAAATGAATGGCTAACTAGAATAACCAGTGCAGAGAAGTCCTTGAATGACCTGATGGAGTGGAAAACCATGGCATGAGAACTATGTGATGAATTCACAAGCTTCAGTAGCTGATTCAATCAACTGGAAAAAAGGGTATCAGTGATTGAAGATCAAATGAATGAAAAGAAGTCAGAAGAGAAGTTTAGAGAAAACAGAATAAAAAGAAATGAACAAAGCCTCCAAGAAATATGGGACTATGTGAAAAGACAAAATCTACATCTGATTGGTGTACCTGAAAGTGATGGGGAGAATGGAACCAAGTTGGAAAACACTCTGCAGGACATTATCCAGAAGAACCTCCCCAACCTAGCAAGGCAGGCCAACATTCAAATTCAGGAAATACAGAGAATGCCACAAAGATATTCCTCGAGAAGAGCAACTCCAAGACACATAATTGTCAGATTCACCAAAGTTGAAATGGAGGAAAAAATGTTAAGGGCAGCCAGAGAGAAAGGTCACATTACCCACAAAGGGAAACCCATCAGACTAACAGCTGATCTCTCCGCAGAAACTCTACAAGCCAGAAGAGAGTGGGGGCCAATATTCAACATTCTAAAAGAAAAGAATTTACAACCCAGAATTTCATATCCAGCCAAACTAAGCTTCATAAGTGAAGGAGAAATAAAATACTTTACAGACAAACAAATGCTGCTAGTTTTTGTCACCAGCAGGCCTGCCCTACAAGAGCTCCTGAAGGAAGCACTAAACATAGAAAGGAACAACCGGTACCAGCCACTGCAAAAACATGCCAGATTGTAAAGACCATCGAGGCTAGGAAGAAACTGCATCAACTAACGAGCAAAATAACCAGTTAACATCATAATGACAGGATCAAATTCACACATAACAATATTAACCTTAAATGTAAATGGGCTAAATGCTCCAATTAAAAGACACAGACTGGAAAATTGGATAAAGTCAAGACCCATCAGTGTGCTGTATTCAGGAAACCCATCACATATGCAGAGACACACATAGGCTCAAAATAAAAGGATGGAGGAAGATCTACCAAGCAAATGGAAAACAAAAAAAGGCAGGGGTTGCAATCCTAGTCTCTGATAAAACAGACTTTAAACAAACAAAGATCAAAAGACACAAAGAAGGCCATTACATAATGGTAAAGGGATCAATTCAACAAGAAGAGCTAACTGTCTTAAATATATATGCATTCAATACAGAAGCACACAGATTCATAAAGCAAGTCCTTTGAGATCTACAAAGATACTTAGACCCCACACAACAATAATGGGAGACTTTAACACCCCACTGTCAACATTAGACAGATCAATGAGACAGAAAGTTAACAAGGATATCCAGGAATTGAACTCAGCTCTGCACCAAGCGGACCTAATAGACATCTACAGAACTCTCCATCCCAAATCAACAGAATATACATTCTTCTCAGCACCACATCACACTTATTCCAAAATTGACCACATAGTTGGAAGTAAAGCACTCCTCAGCAAATGTAAAAGAACAGAAATTATAACAAACTGTCTCTCAGACCACAGTGCAATCAAACTAGAACTCAGGATTAAGAAACTCACTCAAAACCACTCAACTACATGGAAACTCAACAACCTGCTCCTGAATGACTACTGAGTACATAACAAAATGAAGGCAGAAATAAAGATGTTCTTTGAAACCAACAAGAACAAAGACACAACATACCAGAATCTCTGGGACACATTCAAAGCAGTGTGCAGAGGGAAATTTATAGCACTAAATACCCACAAGAGAAAGCAGGAAAGATCTAAAATTGACACCCTAACATCACAATTAAAAGAACTAGAAAAGCAAGAGCAAACACATTCAAAAGCTAGCAGAAGGCAAGAAATAACTAAGATTAGAGAAGAACTGAAGGAGATAGAGACACAAAAAACCCTTCAAAAACTCAATGAGTCCAGTGGATGGTTTTTTGAAAAGATCAACAAAATTGATAGACCGCTAGCAGGACTAATAAAGAAGAAAAGAGAGAAGAATCAAATAGATGTAATAAAAAATGATAAAGGGGATATCACCACTGATCCCACAGAAATGCAAACTACCATCAGAGAATACTATAAACACCTCTATGCAAATAAACTAGAAAATCTAGAAGAAATGGATAAATTTCTTGACACATACACCCTACCAAGACTAAACCAGGAAGAAGTTGAATCTCTGAATGGACCAACAACAAGCTCTGAAATTGAGGCAATAATTAATAGCCTAGGAAACAAAAAAAAGTCCAGGACCAGAAGGATTCACAGCAGAATTCTGTCAGAGGTACAAGGAGGAGCTGGTACCATTCCTTCTGAAATTATTCCAATCAATAGAAAAAGAGAGAATCCTCCCTCACTTATTTTATGAGGCGAGCATCATCTTGATACTAAAGCCTCGCAGAGACACAACAAAAAAAAAAGAGAATTTTAGACCAATATCCCTGATGAACATCGATGCAAAAATCCTCAATAAAATCCTGGCAAAACAAATCTAGCAGCACATCAAAAAGCTTATCCACCATGATCAAGTGGGCTTCATCCCTGGGATGTAAGGCTGGTTCAACATAAACAAATCAATAAATGAAATCCAGCACATAAACAGAAACAAAGACAAAAACCACATGATTATCTCAATAGATGCAGAAAAGGCCTTTGACAAAATTCAACAGCCCTTCATGCTAAAAACTCTCAATAAATTAGGTACTGATGGGACGTATCTCAAAATAATAAGAGCTATTTATGACAAACCCATAGCCAATATCATACTGAATGGGCAAAACTGGAAGCATTCCCTTTGAAAACTGGCACAAGACAGGGACGCCCTCTCTCACCACTCCTATTCAACATAGTGTTGGAAGTTCTGGCCAGGGCAATTAGGCAGAAGAAAGAAATAAAGGGTATTCAATTAGGAAAAGAGGAAGTCAAATTGTCCCTGTTTGCAGATGACATGCTTGTATATTTAGAAAACCCCATCGTCTCAGCCCAAAATCTCCTTAAGCTGATAAGCAACTTCAGCAAAGTCTCAGGATACAAAATCAATGTGCAAAAATCACAAGCATTCTTATACACCAATAACAGAAAAACACAGAGCCAAATCATGAGTGAACTCTCATTCACAATTGCTTCAAAGAGAATAAAATACCTAGGAATCCAACTTACCAGGGATGTGAAGAACCTCTTCAAAAAGAAATACAAACCACTGCTCAATGAAATAACAGGATACAAAGAAATGGAAGAACATTCCATGCTCATGGGTAGGAAGAATCAATATCATGAAAATGGCCATACTGCCCAAGGTAATTTATAGATTCAATGCCATCCCCATCAAGCTACCAATGACTTTCTTCACAGAATTGGAAAAAACTACTTTAAAGTTCATATGGAACCAAAAAAGAGCCCGCATTGCCAAGACAATCCTAAGCCAAAAGAACAAAGCTGGAGGCATCATGCTACCTGACTTCAAACTATACTACAAGGCTACAGTAACCAAAACAGCATGGTACTGGTACCAAAACAGAGATATAGACCAATGGAACAGAACAGACCCCTCAGAAATAATACCACACATCTACAACCATCTGATCTTTGACAAACCTGACATAAACAAGAAATGGGGAAAGGATTCCCTATTTAATAAATGGTGCTGGGAAAACTGGCTAGCCATAGGTAGAAAGCTGAAACTGGATCCCTTCCTTACACCTTATACAAAAATCAATTCAAGATGGATTAAAGACTTAAATGTTTGACCTAAAGCCATAAAAACCCTAGAAGAAAACCTAGGTAATACCGTTCAGGACATAGGCATGGGCAAGGACTTCATGTCTAAAACACCAAAAGCAATGGCCACAAAAGCCAAAATTGACAAATGGGATCTAATTAAACTCAAGAGCTTCTGCACAGCAAAAGAAACCACCATCAGAGTGAACAGGCAACCTACAGAATGGGAGAACATTTTTGCAATCTACTCATCTGACAAAGGGCTAATATCAAGCATCTACAATGAACTCAAACAAATTTACAAGAAAAAAGCAAACAACCCCATCAAAAAGTGGGTGAAGGATATGAACAGACACTTCTCAAAAGAAGATATTTATGCAGCCAAAAGGCACATGAAAAAATGCTCATCATCACTGGCCATCAGAGAAATGCAAATCAAAACCACAATGAGATACCATCTCACACCAGTTAGAATGGCAATCATTAAAAAGTCAGGAAACAACAGGTGCTGGAGAGGATGTGGAGAAATAGGAACACTTTTACACTGTTGGTGGGTCTGTAAACTAGTTCAACCATTGTGGAAGACAGTGTGGCGATCCCTCAAGGATCTAGAAATAGAAATACCATTTAACCCAGCCATCCCATTACTGGGTATATACCCAAAGGATTATAAATCATGCTGCTATAAAGGCACATGCACACATATGTTTATTGTGGCACTATTCACAATAGCAAAGACTTAGAACCAACCCAAATGTCCATCAATGATAGACTGGATTAAGAAAATGTGGCACATATACACCATGGAATACTATGCAGCCACAAAAAAGGATGAGTTCATGTCCTTTGTAGGGACATGGATGAAGCTGGAAACCATCATTCTCAGCAAAGTATTGCAAGGACAAAAAACCAAACACCGCATGTTCTCACTCATAGGTGGGAATTGAACAATGATAACACAGGAAGGGGAACATCACACACCGGGGCCTGTGGTGGGGTGGGGGGAGGGGAGAGAGAAAGCATTAGGAGATATACCCAATGTAAATGATGAGTTAATGGGTGCAGCACACAAACATGGCACATATATACATATGTAACAAACCTGCACGTTGTGCACATGTACCCTAGAAATTTTAAAGTATAAAAAAAAAGAATTATATTCCCTGTAAATTCTGTTTTAGTATCTTCATCACTTCATATTAACAAAAAGCATTAACCATGTTCAACAAAAAATTAATTCTCTGAAAATATGAGATTAACTTTAACTCAAATATGAAGAAGTGTTTGAAAATATCATTTATGAAATTATAATATTTCCTTATTTACAAATACATTCAGTTGCGGAGATGTTCAGAATGAGAGAAGGGTCTGAAGTGAAAAAATATATGTATTCTCTAATCAGAACCGATATAAACCAAGAAATATAGAAGTACAAAATACACACAGGTAATCGGAAATGTTATTCTTCTCAAATACAGTGCATAAGGATACATAACAAAATGATGCATTTTTTTTTACACTGAGTTTGTGATGTTTGATGAAAAATAATGTTTCTTCTTCTACTTAAAATAAATTAGAATTAGACTTAGGTACCAAAACACTCAAAACAGACATAATTGGTAAATTTCATCTTATTCAAGAATATAGAAAGTAATATATATTGATATACAAATTTGGATCTGATTCCCTAAAACAAGAAGATAGATTCAAGATTGATATAGATCTAAAAGCCTATGGAATTTGCCATAAAATATAACATTAGTAGGTATAAAAATTATATCACATTTCAGGCATACTTTTCCTTTTGGAAATACTGCATTTATATATAAAGATGAAACCTGAACACAGGTTTAAGCTATGCAGGTCCACTTACAATGAATTTTCTTCAGCCTCTGCCACCTCTGAAACAGCAAGACCAATGCTTCCACTTTACCCTTCTCTTCAGCCTACTCAACATAAAGACAACAAGGATGAAGGCCACTTCATGATCGTCCAGTTCCATTTAATGAATAGTCAATATATTTTCTCTTCCTTATGATTTTCTTTTCTTTTTCTGAGATAGGGTCTCACTCTGTTACCCAGGTTGGAGCAAAGTGGCGCAATTTTTGGTCACTGCAACCTCCATGTCCCAGGCTCAAGAAATCCTTCCACCTCAGCTTCCAAAGTAGCTGGGACTACAGGCATGCACCACCATGCCCAGCTAATTTTTTGTATTTTGGGTAGAGATGGGATTTTGCCATGTTGCCCAGGCTGGTCTCAAACTCCTGAGCTCAGGTGATACACCTGCCTTGGCCTCTCAAACTTCTGGGATTACAGGCATGAGGCAGCATGCCCAGCTATGATTAATAACATTTTCTTTTCTCTAGCTTACTTTACTGTAAGAATACAGTATGTGTAATATATAACATAGAAACTATGTGTTAATCAACTGTTTATGTTATCAACAAGGCTTCTGATAAACAGTAGGCTATTAGTAGTTAACTTTTCTGGACAGTCAAATGTTATACATGGATTTTCAATAACACAGAGGTCAATCTCCATGCTGTTCAAGGGGTCAATTTTAACCTTTTAGTTATAATTTCAAGTATTAAATTAAATAGGGTCTCTAAAAAGTAGGGGTCCCAAGGCAAGAATATGAGTATGGCAGCTCACATACCACATGCCTTAATATTTTTAAATGATAAATCTTTTGTTACTTGTATAAATGTATAGAATACAAGTATAATTTTATTACACTAATATATTGCATATTGGTGAAGTCAGGGCTTTAGTGTACTCATCACCGGAATAATGTACATTGCACCATTAAGTAATTTCTCATCATCCACCCCCCTTTTACCCTTTCACCTTTCCAAGTCTCCATTGTCTATCATTCCACAGTGTACATCTATGTGTGCACATTATTTAGCTCCCACTTATAAATGAGAACATGCAGTATTTGTCTTTCTATGTGTCAGTTGTTTCATTTAAGATAATAGCCTGCAGTTCCATTCTTTAAATTAGACCAAACTTAAAATATACAGTACCAGTCTACTTTGTAAAGATACTTTCATAACAACCTGACAATCCAGGTTCATATTTAAAATACTTGGACTCCTAAGACCCTAGGCAGCATGTAGTGGCCTATAGAGAGCCAGCTCTTAACCTCAGTTAATCCCACTTCTTTGCCCTTACCTGACTCTAGCTCTATCTCACACCCTGACAGACTTCACATATGCACATATATGAGCATCTCATACACAAGCTGTGTCTTTTCCCTGTTTCAAAAAGCTGCCAACTTTAGTCCTCCAGTGAACTTAGGCTGAGCACACCAGTGTCACAGTACATCCTTTGGAGGATGAATCCCAGGAAGAATCTGTGAAGCTCCTAAAAGTAGACTTAAGGCCATTTGAGCAAGAAAGTCTAGGGTCTTGAATACCTGTGCTATGGTATAGAAATAAACCATAAGATCTAAGTGGCATATCTTCTTATCCCTCAAGGTCATATCTTCATGAAGGGTAATGTAGCCAGAGGAGTGAACGGGCAAGACCATCTAAAGCTCTAGCATGGAGTAGAGGCTTCCCTTCCTGGGTCTAAAGATGATCATAATTCTTTTTAAAATCCAATTTGGACTGTAAGATTACTGGAATTATTTTTTAATAGCAAAGAGAGTTAAAAACCTATGTTTTACTTCATTATTAGGTAGTTAGTGTAAACATTTACTTTAAAAGCCTTTTTTTAACGTCATAAAGTACTTTGTCACCTCTACACATCATGTGTTAATAAGCATTAATTAAAATGTTAATTGTTAATTAACAACATTTTAGTGCAGGTTTAAGTGTAACAATCTAATAGTTTATATAGTAAAATATAGTAAGTGTTCAAAGGACAGCAACACTCATGAACTGGAGTTGTTTGGAAGGCTCAGACAAGAAGCATGCACTGGACTTGAACAATAAAGAATTATAAAATTCAATAAGCCAGAGGGAGGAAAGTGAATAGAAATTAATTTATAAAACTAAGCTATATGCATACACTTTTAGACAACTTTAGTTCTGTCCCACTTAAAGTTCCTACCCCTATTTAAAACAAACATATAACTTATTATCCAACTGTGAAATACTTAGACATGCATAAACCTGGTAAATGTACAAATTACAGGATAAAGTATATTATCAAACCTGTCATTAATTTTGCTATTAATTTTGCACTTCTGTCAGGTGCTAGCTTTTATATAATAGGTAATGAATACAAAACATTACAACTCCTCAATCACATGTATGCTTTTTAAGAAAAATTTTATGTAGAACTTACAATAAAATACTAATATATAATGTAGAAAAGAGTTAAATAAATCAAATTAAATAATACATGTTTCTGCAGGGAAGAAAATCTTGCAAATAATTTCTGTTTTCATGACCTATATGAGTAGAACAAGGAACTTCTGTCTATGGTCATTTTGTGAGCTCTTTTTTGGATCAAGGAGTGGACAGATGGATGACAAAGAGATGGATGGAAAAGTTTTGTAACTAAGTGTCCTGCTCAATGAGAAGTTTTGGTTAAGCAAGAATGATTTGTACTCCAAGGAATTCTTTCTTTCATGTACTACAAGGTTACCTTGGATGTAATGATCCTTAAGGCCACTATTTATATACTGAACTTATATTCATCAAAACTTTTTCACAAATGTTAACTCATTTGGTCTTCATTGGTCCAATAAAGCAAGACAGGTATTTTTATTTTCATAATAACAATAAGGAATCCAATACCCAAGAATAAAATCAATTACCCAGTGTTTCATGGACTAGAATTAGAACTAGGTCTTCTAACTTTATTTTACGTATTCTATGACGTTAAGACCTCTTAAAAAGCTTGCTGAGAGGAGATGGTATGGGTGGAGAAACTGCACTTCTCATTGCTAGCCAATTATTAGATATAGCAAAGGGCTGGGCCTGGAGCTTCATATGCAAGTCTGCCCCTCCCAAGTCTACAGCCCCAAACTCTTCCTTATGATGTGTTACTCTCACACATCAAGGCAATATTTCCCCTACCCTAGATGATCGATCATAGGGCAGGTATCTGGTACTTATAGACCACCCCTATTGCCCAAATTCCACAGGAATTATTCAAACTAAGCAAACACCAAAGTGTTTGCTTTGCTCCGCCCTGTCTTTCCCTCAGAAACCCTAGTAAAGGCTCTAGCCTAGATTGCCCCTCACTCCTGTCTTCTACCACCTGACCAAAACATAGTGCTTCCTGTGTGGCCCTGAATGGCATGCACTGACCCCCTCTCTGGGACTTATGAGTATAATAAACTTCTTTCCGGGCCTTGTTCTCATTTCCTCCTATGACCACACTGACTTTATCACACTGTATTCAACATGTATGTCTTAGAATGAATAAATTGTTATATGGATCTTAAGACATTCCTCCTGGCATCCTGTCAAAGGACAGCTGATTCTTGCTTAACCAAAAGCTTTCATTGAACAAGAGACTCTGGCAAAATTTCCTCATATAGTCATTCCTTGATCCAAAAAAAAGGATTCATAAAATGAACATAAGACAAAATGAGTCTCTCTGTTCTATTTATCCAGGACATAAGAATAGATGTAGTTTGCAAGATATTCTATTCTGTAGAAGCATGTATAATTCGATTTTTGCTTTACTGAGCTCTTTTCTACTTTCTATATTGGTGAGTTATTTTATATATTGATATTTTAAATATTACATAAAAAACATAAATTAAAAAAAAAAAGAGACAGAGGAACTGGGATATTTTAGTTCAGTGCCTATTATGTAAAAGCAAGCACCTGACCAAACTGACCAACTTAGTACAGATTTAATAACAAAAGTATTTATAATGACATATATAATTTACAGATTCTTATATATCAGAGTTCTCTAAAAACCCTTCCCCATCAACATATAAATTTTCATTTCCATAGCAAGCTAAATAAACTAGGCCAAAAAGCCAGGTTTTAAAATTTTATGTTATAATAATAATTTAATAATATATCAATAATTAATAATATAATTTTAATATATTATTTGTAATTATTATAAGTGTAATACAATTTTAATACATTATTTATAATTATAAGTATAATAAAGCTTTATATTATAAATACAATTTCATTATATTATTTATAATTATTAATCATACTACAAATATATAATTTTATTATATATATTTATTGTATTAATAACATATTTTATATATTTTATTAAATATACACAGTATATTATATATAATAAAGATTCTGTTATAATATGTATATTTATTATGTATACACTATATTATATATTATATAATATACAGAATCTATTATATCATATATTATATAATATACAGAATCTATCATATTATATATTATATAATATAGAGGTTCTTTTTCTTTTTTTTTTTTTTTTGATATGGAGTCTCGCTCTGTCGCCCAGGCTGGAGACCAGTGGCATGATCTCGGCTCACTGCAGCCCCCACGCCCGGGTTCAGGCAATTTCCCTGCCTCAGCCTCCCAAGTAGCTGGGATTACAGGTACATGCCACCATGCCTGGCTAATTTTTTTGTATTTTTAGTAGAGACAGGGTTTCACCATGTTGGCCAAACTGGTCTCGAACTCCTGAACCCTCAGGCAATCCGCCCCCCTCAGCCTCCCAAAGTGCTGGGATTATAGGCATGAGCCACTGTGCCCAGCAATATAGAGATTCTTAATAGTACAGATTTAATGACAGATTTATTTATAATGATATAGATATTTATAATAATTACAGATTGAATTATTTTAAACCTGTAATAGCTACAATTACCAAACTTACGTACATCTAAACATTTCGCAGCTAAAGAATAAGTTATATGTATATTTGTTTTAAAAAGGGTAAGAAGTTTTACTTCCTGGATATACATGGTACAGGATTAAAATTGCCAATAGTGTGTGCATATAGCTTAGTGGTTTGGGGGCTGTATCATCTGAAGTGAATATTTGTTAGAAGTGATAGGAAATGTGAATAGCTATGAGTAATAATTAATCTATTTAATATTTATGCCTGAGGATTCTCTAAAAACCCTTCTACATCCACATATGAATTTTTGTTTCTATAGCAAGCTAAATAAACTAGGCCAAAAAACCAGATTCCTTTTGGGTATAGAAAGTCAGAACAAGGAAATTAATTCTTAAAGCAACTGGCAGTCATTGAGGAATCAGATGGCTTTCTTTTCTTGGAGAACAAAATAAGGCAATCAAACAGCCTTTCTAGGCAAAGAATATTCAGATAATATGCTGGCAAATGGACACATACATCCAAAGTTCTTACATAAATCTCTCAAATTTATATCTTCTTCCCTCTGAAAATCTTTAGAATTCAAAGAAATATAAACTTTTATTTCCAAAATCAATTTTGAAATTTTAAAATAGGAGCAGATAGTTTGTTTCTTAGCACAGAACGGACTATTGGAAAGCTAATTATATTTTCAAATGGCAAGGATAAGTCCTGATAAAATACTCAAAACATAGCAAAAGAAAAGAGCATTTACCTTCAGACCAGTGTGCTTGCGTATGTATCCCAGAGAGAAAAGGGAGAGGGAAGTCACACCCTAGATGCCTTAGGACCTTAAACAGCTGCAAGGCTGGTCTGATTTAAGGAAATGAAATATCAGTTAAAACCAATCTTAAATATGCTGACAGTAGGTAACAGAAAAGGAAATATTCTAATAACACGGAAGACTGGGACTGTTGGAGAAACATATTTTCGTCTTTACCTGTGCTTCCTAAATACGTGTGTGTGTGTGTGTGTGTGTGTGTGTGTGTGTGTGTTTGTGTGTGTGTTTCTGAAATCTCTTTCCTCTCTTCCCTTTTCTGTATTGATTTTTGTTAATTACATGCTGTAAGACCATATCCTCTAATACTAAAACTATTAAGGCATAAATTTATTTCCTCCTCAATTTCTAACAGATCCCAGTTATAGACTAAAAAGGACATAAATACTTGGAGATAATATTTTTCTTTATTGTTTTTCTTCAAAATGTATTTATAGTAAATATATAAAGGGGGAATAGTCATGGAAAATAGAATATAACAAGTGACCATTTGAAAGATATAGAATCCAAAAGACTAAATGCGTTTTTAAATTAGCTAGCATTACACTGGTAGATGATTAATACACAAATGATACAGCATATTATTATTTTTTCCCAAAAGTAAAAGACAATTTAAAGATAGATTAAAACAATATACAACAACAAAATCATAATAAATCTATAATTTCTAGCCAGGTTTTTTGTATAATATGTTCTCAATGTTTTGTAGTATATGCCAATAATTAATTATTCCTCCAAATCAACTAAATTTAAATGGGAAAGAGAGCCAAAAAGGGAAATAAAATCTTCAACTTCATTCTAAGATTAAGAATGCAGAATGGCTGAGAATGAAAAGTTGCAAAATGGCCCATATGTGATTTGTTCCAAACATTCTTCATCTTACCTTGCATAAGCCAAATAAACTAAGGTTGTTGAATGTACACGGGTATCTCATTCTGTAATTCTGCAGTGGCTTAATTTTTAAACATACGTATCTAATATTCTGTATCAAAGTAAAGCTTGTTAAAGAAGTCTTCTTATTCTAATATTACATTTTCCTCAGAACTACTTAGTCACTTTGTATCAATATACTGACATAAACTTAGAAAATTAGTGCCCTGAATTCTGCTGCTAGGCATGTAGTTAATAACATAAATCTGTTTTTGCAGCAGAAAAGTGAAGGCTCTGCATTTAAATGATAACCAGCTTTGGAGAATAAAACAAGAAGCAAAATGCATCATGTGCAGATACATTTCTATTTCACTTTGGGCAAACTTAAAACTTTTTTATTAACACTACAAAGATATTTAATAACAAAGGTAAGAATTCAGTGGTGTATCTGGAAGACAACTGCTGAGTCTAATTAAGTTTTACAATTAAATGTTTTACTTTTGGTAGATTTGTCCTATTAACAAGATTAAAATATTATAGCAATAAAGATAACTTCTACTAAGAAGGAATAGATTATCCCATAAAACTGTCATATTCTGAAGATTAAATTTATTAAACAGTTCATCTTCTGTATGTCCAAAAGGCCTTAAATGGCTTACGAAGTTGAGATTCTTACTTAACGATAAATAAAATATTGCAAATATTATCTTTGAAGATTTATAGGATTTCTAAATAAAGGGATTGCAAATATTTATCTTAATTACCCTGTCTTATGTTCAACAATATATGAATACTATGCTAGTTACATAGGACCTCCAAATATAGCAAGCACAGAAAAATAATCTCACAAACCACATTTAATTTGATTCTTGTAAGTTATAGAGAATGAAGCATATTATCCTGATTTATGGATGAGGAAGCTGATTTAAAGGAGGGAATTGACTCATCTGAGTTTACAAAGAAAACAGAAGAATTAACACCAAAAGTATGTGAAAAGTTATGTTGGACCACATGAAGGCTTTGAATCAAGATAAATTTACGTAGACCGTAAGCTCTGTTAGGACAAGGACGTTGTCTTTTCATCATAGAGCTTCCCACACAAGCCTCCCATAGGATGTTCCCACAACAGGGATTGCAGTTGGTTCTTAATAGTTGTTAAATATACAAATTAATAATAAGAAAGCTTAAATTATAACTAAAACAACTGTGAATGCTTCCACTAATGGGAGAGCTACTCCTGCTCAAGTAATGATTCTATATATGACATGAGATGGAAAATATGTAAACTTTTAGCAATCTCCTAACCTAGCCATAGCATTTTAAAGACACCAGGATGACTCAGGTGAACAGAAACATAACATATGACTTAGCTGAAGCTTGCAAACATCACATGACTCACTGGACATCATGCTAGTGCACACAATTATAAGTTAGGATGAAAACTCAGGTTTATAACTAAGAGGCACTTTCTCTCTCTCTCTCTCGCTCTGTGTGTGTGTGTGTTTGTGTGTGTGTGTGTGTGTGTGTGTGTGTATGAAGAGGCAGAGAAGAGGAAAACGGTATTTAGACTATGTGTCTGTGTCAGGAGAGAGAGTGAACTGAACAGGTGAAGTAATATTCAGGCTGCTTAGGAAGTATCCTTTAATGGAGAAGCACTTTAATAAAAAGAGACTATTTACAGATTCAATAAAATCACTTATCTTTGCTGTAATTACTAATAAAGTCTATAGCCCTGACTCTGAGTAACATTCTATTTAACTAAAAGGTATAATATTTAAGTGTATTAACTTTTGAATTGATAATTCTTATAAACATCACATATGAAATAAATGAAATGAATATTCAAACTGGACATGTTAATGTACATTGATAGACAAATCTCCTGAGAGTGTGATGTCCTGTACACATTACAATAGGAAATTATTAATGAAGGAGAAAGTATTTAGCATATTAAATGATGCTGAAAGATCCACTAAGATAAAAACCACTCAATGTATACTAGATTTTTAATAGAAAATTTATCAGTGACCATGACAAGAAAATATTTGGTGGAGTGTTGGTTTGTTCAGAAGCACAATCTTCACACAGAAATCTGGAGAAGAGTTATTTCTTATTAAAGATATGCAACATGGAAATAAAATTTGCAGAGAACCATTTAAGTTAAGATTATGATTCTGTACATACCTTATTAGGTTATATTTTGGACCACTAATGTTGCTTTAACACTTCACAATGATATATGTTTTGACCTGGTTTTTCAAAATATATTAGACCTTCATATTTCAATTAAAATTATAGCTCTATTTAGGATTTCAGTTGTATAGGGATGGTTCTTGGAAGGTCAAAGCTTGCTTGACATCAGAATCCTACATGAGAAATTATATCCACGATCATCGGCCATTCCAATGGCTTCAAATGAGGTTTATCTGCATTAATTGACTTAACAGTAGAAATTATAGGGTGCCAGATATGAAAATCTGACTTGAATAAAATTACAATTGGTTATATTATTTAATTTTGTATAGCATATTTCTATTTAGTGATTCTTAAACACAACATGTAAGTACATATATAATGGGAAAATTCTCAAAGTGGAGGTATTATTCTTTTATGATAATTCCATGGTGCTGATTTCCAATTGTTAAAAATTATCTTAGTATATCAAATTAGTAGAAGTTAGAAGAGTTGTTTTAAACTGCTGAACCAGGTTGAGAATTTCTTCTACATTCTATTTTTTAATTTCACAAATTATTAATTACCCAGAGTGTAATTTAGATTTACTATATTATTTCTGTAAAACTGCTTATAAAGAACCATATGCATTTATGTAGATTTGGTGCAATCACTACTGTGTAATATGCCAAAGACAGCATAATAAACTTACCCTACTATTTCAAACAACCTTTAGAAAAAGTTTCATTAATCTTTTCTTAAGGAAAAGAAAGAAAAAGAATATTTGAGGCTAACTAAATAACAATGCTTAATAGTCATTCGCTTAGCAAACTTCAAGGAAAAAATCTATCCCTGAATATTGCACATTATATTGCACAGAATAGTAAACTAAAATTGCTGTTAGCATAGCAGTAAAGAACCTTATGATGCATCACACAGAGTTTTAAGGTCACATTGGGAATATAAATCTTTCAGCTCTGAAATACATTATATGGATCCAATGTACTTAGGTACTTTTGTACTTAGGTTCATTGTAAGTACCTAAGTACTTGACAAAAATGATTAAATGTTAATTCTCATATATACTTCTAATTAATCCAATATTCTTAAGAGACAGAAATGAGAATTTTATCAAAAAATATTTATGAAATATTTTTTGAAGCTACTCTCAAAATACATAGAATGTGTGTGTGTGTGTGTGTGTGTGTGTGCTTTTACCATTTTCTCTATGGTAGTTTACAATTTAAATCCAATTTAAAGTTTACAGTTAAATCCAATAAGCAAAGCAATACACATTTCCTAGGTGGTCAAACATTAAAAGGACACAGAACTAAGCTAAAAGCTACACATAATTAGATATGGTTACCACAGGGAAGAAGTTTACATCCAAAGTCAGTACACTTAAATGATCTAACATATACCTAACACAGTCAATATTAGAACAAAAATTAAGTGTAATAGTTTATAAGTTAATAGAAAATAAATAATTATATACACCCGATAAAATAGAAAAACTACATTGTAAACTACAGAAAATATTACAGAATGAGTCATAAAGAGAAGAGAAAAAAATAGTAAGCATATAAATAAAAGGTATACAATAGCTCATAACAGAAGACAAAGGATACAGAAGACAAAGGATACATGTCAATTGTCAAACAATAATTGCTAAATATCCACTTTTAAAAGATAAAGACTCCCAGATCTTATAATAAACAAAATCCAACTGCCGTCTACATGTTAGCTGCAGATCCATTCTCCTTCCAAAGTTCCTTCAAGAACATCAAGTTCATCTTTACTAATCAGAGTACTTGGTAGCACTCAGTCTCCTGTGTCCAAACTTGATCACAAAAATCAATCGAAGTGCTTAACAAAGGAACTTCCAATAATTAAAACACACACACACACACACACACAACTGTTACTCAATTCTATGTTGTTAAAAAGATAACAACTAAAACAAAATAATCCAAAACAGTTAAAATGGATTTCTAGAAAAAGATATTGGTACACGATAATCAATCATGAAAAACTTGGCAACATATGTAAACATTCTAAGAAGTTATTTAAGACACTGATCTAGTAATTCTGCTTCTAGAATTTTATCATGAGATAATAAAGTTTGAAAAATAATTGTGGCAAAGTGAAATGACAGAATATCATACAGTCAGTAAAATTCAGCGTGAAAAAGACATTCAATGACTTGGAAAAGTATTCATAATATACTAGTAAATGAAAAATTTAATTATAAAACAAAAAGTAAACTATAATAATTTTTAAAACATACAGTAATATATCATATATTATATAATGTAATACATTAAGTTGTATATAATATATATCATCTAAAATTATATAATAATTTCTTATTATATAACCTATGTTACATAAAGTGTGTGTGTGTGTGTGTGTGTGTGTATTCATAGCATTGAAGCACACTCACAAAGCTGAGGAAAGTTCTCTTCAAAACCTGAAACAAGAGTAATTATTTTTCAAAGAGGGGATTATCAATGAATTTTCTTTCTTCTTCATGACTTATGAATGTTTAGATTTTTCATAAGTTTTATGCTTACACAAGGAAAATGTTATTTTCCTAAGTGGTTAAAAATTAAAATGACACAGAATTAAGCTAAATGCTACACATAATTAAATATGGTTCCCACAGGCAAGAAGCTTACGTTAGAAGTCAGTATACTTAAAGGATCTAACATATACTTAACACAGTAAATATTAGGACAAAATTTAAAGTAAATGCAATAGTTTATAAGTTAATAGAAAAATGAATAATTATATACGCCTGAGAAAGAAGAAAAATCACATTGTAAAAGAGAATGTTACTTTCCTTGTGTGAGCATAAAAATATGTCATTTTCCTTGTGTCAGCATAAATCTCATCACAAAAACAGTTTCCAAGCATAGAAAACTAAAATATCCTTAATCAATTCTGGAAAATTCCTATAATTGTGATAATAAATACATAACAACCTTATTTACTACAAAAAATCCACAAATCTCTCCCCCTAAAAAGTAATAACAGTAACAACAAAAACATTGCTTAAACTAATTTGGGAGCAGATACGTAATTACGCCAAATCTCTAGGCAAGTTAATTTAAATAAATTCAACCAAATTTTTAAGAAACAGTAAATTCCTATCTGAGTAATCATTAAGTCATCGTCTCTTGGCTTCAGAGGCATTTTTCTGTACTCTGCTCTATGGCACTAGGACTGAACCCTGTCAACCCACATTTCTGCTTTGCCAGCTGGCTCCCTGTAAGGGTCTCACAAGACTTCCTAAATAAATGAAAGCACATTTGATGCCCTTGGATGGGTTACTGTAATCCGTATTAATGATGGGATACTTTAATGCTGTAAATAACAATTTCCCCCAGTTTTATCTATAAATTCAATTCAATTCTAATCAAAATACCAGTTTAACATTTTTTAAAAACTCAGTAAACTTATTTTAAAACTCACAGAAAGAATAACATTTCAAGAATACCTAATTTATTCAATAAAAATATCCTAAATTAATAATTGTCTTACTGATATATAATATACTATAATTCCACAGTAATAAAATTTTGTTCACTAACACAATAACAGAGAAATAGATCATGGAACAGAATACAGAGCTCAAACAAGACCATGTTTACATGAGAAGTAAGTATCAAATAAATTGTACATACAAAATCACAGTGCAACTATTCTGGCTGTTCAGTAGCAAACTGGCTTACTATATGAAGAAAAATAAAACTGCCTCTCTACATAAACCCTTTATAAGAAGTTTGATCCTCAAAGAATACTGATTTAAATACGAAAGGTAAAATTATACATTAATACATAGTATAAACAAATGTTGCTGAACGAGGGCTGGATAAAACTCCTTAAATAAAAATCTGAAGTACAAAATATAAAGAGAAAAATTGGTAAATTTGATTATGTAAAAAGTAAGGATTTCTACTCAACATCATACATAAAACTGGTAGATGACAGGTTTATATATGTTATTTGCAGCATTAATATCTGTAAGAAAAAATATAAACTACATAAAGAATTCTTGCAAATGGATAATAACAAGATAGCTTCTCCAATTTTTTAAAATACTCAGATGTTATAAGGACATTTTCCAGAAGTAAGTTGAAATAACAAGTATATGAGAAGATTCACACACTCATTAAAATATAAAGATACTGAAACAGCACTAGAGTAACATTTTAGGCCCATTAGATAGGTAAAAATGAAAAACCAATTTTTTTCAAGTATTGTTAGGGAGGTAGGTAAGTAAGAAGCCTTATACGGTGTTAAAGCAAACTAAATATGGCCTGAGAAAAACACCTTACTTCTATATTTGAGTCCTTGTAGATGAACTGTAACCTAGCTTAATAGGCAGACAAGATTGAAAACTAACTTAGGAATATGCTCCTGTAACAGTAACTGAGTCTAGGCCAATCCCAGAGGCCATATTTCAACCACTCAGAGGCTGCTAAGTGTTCAAACTGTGTTCAAATAAGGCAAATGCCAACCTGCAACCAATCTAGCTGTTTCTGAAACTCACTTCCGATTTCTGTACATCATTTCTCTTACTTGTCTATATTTTTTTCTGACCACAAGGCATCCCTGGAGTCTCTCTGAATTTTCTGTGATTCTGGGGGCTGCCCGATTCGTGAATTGTTCATTGCTCAATTAAACTGCTTTAAATTTAATTCAGCTGAAGTTTTTCTTTTGACAATACTATTGATGAAGACAGTAGACTTTTGCAGCCATTACAGAGAGTAATTTGCTAGCACTTGAGTATGCATATACTCTACAATGTGCACATGCATACACACACTCACAAATACATATATCCCAGGGAAATAATTAGCAAGTCTATAACTGGAAACGGATAAGTACATTCATCAGAGCATGTTTTGTAGTAACTGGAAATTGGAGATAATCATTAGGGATAAATAAAATATAGTGGATCTAAACAGTGAAACGTATGCATCAATCAGTGCTAAAACAGTCAATGTACTCCTAGCAACAAACACAGATCGTATAACAAAGAGATGATGAAAAAAATAGTAAGGATCAAAATCAGATCTATGATACAATGTTATCTATAAAAACCAAAACAACACAGTCACAAAACAATTCACATTGTTTAATAATACATACAAATTAAAGTTTCCCCCTCAAACAAAATAGAACAGTTGTCTAAGATGAACAAAGAAGAATGTGAGTAGGAAATAGTATTAAATAATAAATAAAGGCAAGAGAGGACTTGCATAGACCGATGATAATAATGTGGCACTGAAATAATCAACCAGTTTTAACAGGCTGCTGTGATTGGGCCTTCCAGCCTCAGGGGCCACCTCTTTTCTGCAGAATGGCAAGACTACTGGATCTTCAATAATAATTGTACATCTTAAAATAACGAATGAGCATACTTGGATTGCTTGAAACACAAAAGACAAACGCCTGAGGGGGTGGATGGATACCCCATCTACCATGATGTGATTACTATGCATTACATACCCATGTCAAAGTATCTCATGTACCCATAATATATAAACCTATTAGGACCCACAAATATTAAAAATATATTATTTTTAATTTTAAAATGTGTATTTTTAATTTTAAAAAGACTACTGGATCTTACTTCTTATACATAAATAAACCATTCTAGAGATTTGGATGTCTGGAATAAAGGCACATGAAAAGACTGAACTTCCTTCTCATTGTGGCAAATTGAAGAATAGGTTTATAGCATCTTTGAAATATAATTATTATTTTACTCAAAGCCAGAGTTTTATAAAAACTGATTACCGCAAATGTTATTTACTTTATATAAACATGTGTAGCAGAGATCACAACTGAAACCACAGTATTTATTCCCACCACTTTGTATTCTGGCATATCTGTTCACTTTTGTTTAATTAGCAGGAGACAACAGAGCTCCACTGCATGACAGATGATGAGTTTTCTGGAAATGGACTCAAGTTGCCTCCACTGTAGATATGGAAATACCCAGCCATATATTGTAAACTGCTAAACCCTACAGAAGTCTTTGCATTGAATTATGTAACAATAAAAAGCATACATTTATAGAGAATTTCTCCAAAATAAAAAAGAAAGGCTATTGACAGTTGACCCAGTAACAAAGTCCTCAATATTGGAAAGGTGAAAAGAAGAGGGGTTTTGACTATAAGTCCCAGAAATATGGCTAAAGATCTGTAGGGGATTAAATTTGTGCATGAGGGGATGGAAATCCAAGTTAGCCTAATTTGTTTTGGTTTATTGGTGTTCTATGTGAAAATGACAAACTAACGCATTATTACTAGATTAGTGCTGAGCAAATGAAAACGTTTTCTTTGCCTAGTTTTTACCCTTTTAAGTTGGTTTGGGATTATTCAGAAAAGTGCTCTCTTTAGTGCCCCTCTTTTTTTTTTTTTTTTTTGGATGCAGTTTCACTCTGTCATCCAGGCTGGAGTGCAATGGCACTATCACAGCTCACTGCAACCTCCGCATCCTGAGCTCAAGCGATTCTCCAATCCCCCTGTCTCAGTCTCCCAAGTAGCTGGGACTACAGGCACATGCCACTATGCCCAGCTAATTTTTGTATTTTTTGTAGAGACAGGGTTTCACCATGTTTCCCATGCTGGTCTCAAACTCCTGGGCTCAAGCGATCCGCAAGCCTCAGACTCCCAAGGTGCTGAGATTACAGGTGTTGAGCCACCGTGCCTGAAATGCTCCCTCCTTTTCATTTGTTTTTCTCTTACTCAGCTAATTTCTATTCCTTTGTCTTTGGTAAACTACTATCAAGAATGATGAATTACTAAATGGGATTCAAAGGGCACTTAGAGGTGAATAAACAAGTATGGTAAATTAGCAAGCACAGGCAAGGTCAATGTTGGTTCTCTTTATATAAGGCTGTTTCTGAGCAAATAAGGCTAATTTGTTTTAGCTAAAAAAAAAAATTAAGCTTAAAAGGGACAGTGCAAATTTTCTGACTGACTAAATTCTCAATTCTTTTGAAAATGGAATCTCTTTATCTGAAATTCTCTTGATGGAGTGGGCTCAGAATGTTATCTAGTTAGGCCGTCTAAAAGTGGGTTTAGTATTAGAACTGGGAGCAATTCCCAGTGAGAACTGGAAACAGGATGAAGATCATCATTGTTATTCCTCCTCCATGACACTCTCAACTCTAGCTTCTGTTCTCTAATCCATTCTACACAATACTTTGGGGTAACTATCCTAAAGCACAATTCTTATCATGTTACATTTCTGCTTTAGAGAATATCAGGTCTAAATACTTCCTTGAATGGCATTCAATGCTCTCCATGGTCTGACACCAATTAACTTTCATTTCACTGTTCTGTGGGAGATGCCATCAAAGCTCTGCCCATTTCCTTAGACCTTTCAGGATGCTCTAACATCAGCTCTGTGTGTGAAGGCTGGGTTTTGTCTCCAACAAAACTGCAGAAGGTTTCTCTGTCTGTGTACACATCAGGTCAGAAAGTGCTGAGGAATCAACATCCCTAGAGGAAAAGCCCTCAGCAAATAATTCCTGGAATTTAGTACATGAGACGTGTTTTATGTGATTTCCTCAAATGTCCTGGTAGGATTAGGCTCCACTTATCAATGGTGTTAAGTAGCTTAATAAAGCACCCTTTACTGCAGTCATCCTTTTTCTGTATCACTTCCCCTCCCCAACCCATGCTCCCTGAATCTCCCAAATAAACTACCTGCACTTAAAATTCCTATCTCAAAATCAGCTATGGGGAAACTGCAACTAAAACAATTGGTATGAAAATTATTCTAGGAAGCAGACATCCTAGTGCTTGTATTACTCACTGGCCAAATGATAACAAGGACTCCACTGCTGGTGGTAAGTAGGATTGTGGATAGGCTAACATCCTGAAGTATCTCAATTGCCAACATTCTTACCTGTAGTAAACTGAAGTGTATCACACAGGTAGAAGGGCTGTGCTAGTTTATGCAAAATATCTAGGATTGGAGAAAGTTATTCTTCTATAGCAAAGGAAATTATAAAGACAGTGGTTATTGTTAAGTGCCATCAATTTATTAAGCGAAGTAAAAAATGACACACTCAATTTAGCCAACCTCCAACTCAGAGTATGGTGTGAAATACAAAGCTTTCATAATAGCATCTATAAAGACACTTTTCTCCTGCACCCAAAAGACAAACAGGAATGCAAACCAAGACCAGGATCTGACTGTGCAATGAACCAAACTGTAAAGAAGAATGAATTTGCAGTATCACTGTATCTCTTAAGTAAGTGACAGATGGATAAGGTTCTAAGTTATAGAATAGAGATGAATAGATACATTTGAGAACTTGAGCCCCAGATTTCCCTAAAACCTGTCTGTGGGCCTACAAAAGTGGCTCAATCACTCTTGCTAAAGGACAGTAGCCTCCCTTTGCCTGAGGGGCATTCAGAGGCCTTACCTCAGATGTCTGGCAAGATGAAACCTGCCCTCTTCAAGCTCTTCCTTCCCTCTCTTCTTAATACTTCTAGGTCAACCATTACAGTCAATTCTCAGTTTAATCCAGCTATACAAGTTTTCTCCCTTCATTGTAAGGGAAGGGATTATTCATCAAAAGACCTGCAAGGCCTGGCTAATATGAACTGGCAAGAACTGTGAAACCATGCTTGGGAATGGATCTCAAGACTAGTGGAAAGGGAGAGAAGGATAGAAGGTAGGTAAAACAGAGTCGATTGATATGAGATTATTCACCTATGACTCAGAATTTAACAGCAGCTGAAATCAGCTATGATATACTATAAGCATGCTTCTTGGAAGTATGTAGATAAAATAACAACCTAGAATAAAAGAGTTAAAAAATACCTGTATAAAGTTTTGATGAAGGTGTCAAAAGATTCAAAGACATAGTGACATGGATTTATTAAACAACACTAGAGAATCCACCAGCTGGCTATGTTCCTGTGATGGTCCTAAAGACAAACTCTTCCTTAAAGCAAAAGATAAATGTGCTAATGAGAACACTCCATCATGAAAACTCAGTCTTTTTTGTACTTTGTAGACTATATTTGAAGATTGGGGTAGGATCTGCTTATAAAATCGTTCCCTAGTTTCAGTAGAAATGATGAGGTTTAAGAATAGCAGAGGCCAGATGGCAACACTTAACTATAAGAGGGAAGGTTGATGCAATTGCCAAAAGTGGCAAAACGGGAAGCCAAGTTTGAGTGGCAACCAGGGAGTACTAAGGCACAGAGATCTCTGGAACCGGCTAACAGATCATGACATGCCCAGAAATAAGAGAGAAAGATGAGGATACTGACTTCAAACCCATTAATGGCTCTCACCTCCAATAAAGAAAAAATCATTCTCCAAGACCACTTTCCACTCTGCATGAGATCTCAGACCCTGAGCACATCAACTAAATGTAGGCCACATACCTCAAAATAGTCCTTACCAAAGTACTCTAAAGAACTGGTTCACAAATACACCAGCTCATTTGCCTCCAGGGTAAAATAACTCTGAGGCACTCCTCAAAGACATTACTCGTACTTGCATCACTTTCTCAGGGTGTGTTTATGGTTAGGTTCCAGGTTCTCTGTAAAGTATATTATTGCCAAAATGAAATAGTTATTTTAACTTTTTGGCACTTTCTCTTTTCCAGCTATGCCTATAATTTTCTTGCCCTCATATTTTTCTCTACTCATCCCAATTCTATTCACATTTTGGGAAACTTTCAAATACTTCAAATATTACATATTAAGTAAATTTTCTCTATTCTCTCCAAGCAGAAGTGGTTCCCTTTTTGTCTTTTTCTATGTTTCGTTTTGATTTTTTTTGTTTTTCTGTTTCATGAGCAATGTATTTATTACTGAAAAACAAAACAAGACAGCTGGATATCCACATGCACAAAAATGAGTCAGACCCCTTCCTTACACAATACACAAAAATTAATGAAAAATGGTTCATAGACTTAAATATAAAAGCTAAACTATAAAAATCTTAAAAGAATTTATGGGAGTAAATCTTTGTCACTTGGAATTAGTCATTGATTTCTTAGATATGACATCAAAAGGAAAACACTATAATAAAAATAGATTAATTACACTTTAAAAGTAAAAATATCTGTGCTTCAAATTATACCATGAAGAAAGTAACAACCTACAGAATAGAAAAAAAAATTGTTATTCATATATTTGATAAAGGACTTGTATCCAGAATATATAAGTATTCTGCCAACTAGACAACAAAAATAAAAATAACCCAATTTTAACATGGGCAAATAATTTGAATAGCTATTTCTCTAAAGAAAATAGACAAATGGCTAATAAACATATGAAAAGCTATCAACACCATTAGCCATTAGGGAAACACAAATCAAAACCAAAATATAAAACCACTCCACGCTTACTAGGATGCCTACAAACAAACACCAGACAATAAACAAGTATTGGTGAAAATGTGGAGCAATTGGAACACTCAAGCATTTCTGGTGGGAATGTAAACTGGCACAGTCACTTTAGAAAACAGAGGAAATTTTTTCAAATGTTGAACATAGAGTTACCAAATGACCCAGCATTCCATTCTTAGGTATATACTCAAGAGAATTTAAAACATACGCTTTACAAAAACTTGTACATGAATGTTCACAGCGGCATTACTCATACTAGAAAAAAGTGAAAACAACTCAATGTCATCAACTGATGAATGCATAAATAAAATGTGATATATTCATACAATTGAATAGTATTCGGGAATAAAAAGGAATACTAAACAATAAAAAGAATCACTCAATAACATGAGTGAGTCCTAAGTAGAAAGAATCTCTCATCAACATGGGTGAGTTCCACGCTAAGTGGAAGAGCCAGACTCAAAAGACCACATATATTGCATGATTCCATTTATACAAAATGCCAACTATAGGTAAATCTATAAAAACAGAAAGTAGATTACCGTTTGTCTAGTTCTTGAGATGGGAGGAATGAAGGACTGTTAATGGGTACAGAGGTTCTGTGGGGTGATATAAAAGCTCTAACAATAAGAACACCATGCAAATAACCAGTGCAAGTAAATGAAAATCATTGACTATTATTGTAATCAATATTATTAATAGTATTTATTGAATGAATAAAACCACTGTACTAGAGATTTACATGCAATATAACCTTTAGCTCTCACAAAAATCCTATGAGGTAGGTAATATTATTATTCACATTTTACATATAAGGAGACTGAGTTTTACGAAAGTTGAGCTAACATCCCAAAGTCAGAGAATTAGCAAATGGCAGAACTGAAAGTCAAGTTCTTTTTTTTTTTTTTCTTTAGGGACAGAGTTTCGCTTTTGTCATCCAGGCTGGAGTGCAATGGCGGGGTACCGGCTCACTGCAACCTCCGCCTCCCGGGTTCAAGTGATTCTACTGCCTCAGCCACCCAAGTAGCTGGGAATACAGGCATGCCCCGCCACGCCTGGCTAATTTTGTATTTTTAGTAGAGATGGGGTTTCACCATGTCAACCAGGCTGGTCAAGACACAACAGTAGAGCATGGAGAAAGAATCTAATATTCAATGAGTAGTTGAGTCACGTTTTTGGAAAATACAAAGTACAGCCCAACAAACTCCCACTGCTGAGATTTCAGGAACTCTTTTAAGCTAGTTGCTATGAGGTGCAACTTTACCACATTTTCTCTACGTCTTTTGGTCAAATATTTCAGTTTCCACATGTAGTGAAAACAACCCAATATGATCACCTGATGAATGCATAAATAAAATGTAATACAGTCATATAATTGAATAGTATTTGGCAATAAAAAAGGAATGCCAAATAAGTAAAAACAAACATATAACAACATGTTTTCAATACATGTGGGTCATGGGTCATTAGAATCTCTCTCTTTATTCAAGCTAACTAAAAATTAACAGAATTAAATTATTACTTTTCCTAGCCCACTTGTTTTCTTAACTTCTGAGAACTCCAATGTGAGTTGATTATGTACTCTCAAGGATTCTATTATTTTCACAACACCAATCAGGGCTAAGTTGACAGAAATTAACAGCTGATTGAAATTTAATAACTTCTAGTATACTTGTCAGTTACAAGATTCTCTGAGTCTCTGATATATTCCCAGTTACAAATTATCTACATTGTGAAATTGAAAAGTTTTATTAAAACTAAGTAAAGCTTGCTTCTGCATATATAAAAAGGTTTCCAGATATGAGAAGTCCCATTTTGTATCTTTATTTTGTCCAAATTTTAAAAATTAAATTGAGAACGTCTGTCTACCATAGTTATATCTTTAGCCATGCAACACTGTCAACACTTATTTTCTCCTTTTTATCTTCAAATTCTCAGCAACTTTGTAGATATCCCTCTTCTTTGGATCTCATATTTTGATTCACTAATGCCATTACTCTTATCCAAATTTTCTTCAATGATTCCTTGTAAACACTTATTTTAAAAGTCTCTGAATCACTCAGCACATTCCTGCTTTGTTCAATATACTTTCAGTTAAGTCTGTAAATATTTTAGCTCATCCAATTTTAATTTTTCTCATCACTGTGGTTCAGATTTTTTTTTTTTTTTTTGAGACAAGTTTCACTCTTGTCACCCAGGCTGGAGTGCAGTGGTGCAATCTTGGCTCACTGCAACCTCTGCCTCCTGGGTTCAAGCGATTCTCCTGCCTCAGCCTCCCGAGTATCTGGGACTACAGGCACGTATCACCACACCCAACTAATTTTTGTATTTTAAGTAGAGACAGGGTTTCACCATCTTGGCCAGGCTGGTCTCGAACTCCGGACCTCGTGATCCACCCGCCTCAGCCCCACAAAGTCCTGGGATTACAGGCCTGAACCACTGCACCCAGCCTACATTTTTTATACATTTTATTTTTCTCTTCTGTCTCAGGGTTTGTGTATTGGGACAACTTTTTCTCTTTTTATTAAATTTTATTTTAATGCCTTTCTGATCAACTTCTCTTGCCAAATAAACGCTTCCTGATCTTTGTAAAATGTCTCTCCTAGCTTGACAGGAGCCTGTCTTTAAGGAATTTGAAGCTCTATAGCATGCTGTTCACTTCACATATCGTCTTTTTATTCCAAAGTCATAACCTTTAATTAGATGTAATGAAAATACCAGCTGAGTCCATCAGTTCTCCACACAAAAGCTCAAAAACCTGACAGTTGTATTCCAGCTTTGGGGTAAGTGTGCTATTGTTTCCATTTGAATTCTGCTGGACTAACATTATCTTAGTCAATTCAATGGATCATAGCTATCTGGGCACACTTAAACTTTCTAATTCATCCATCAGGATTAGTTAATATGACCTATGTATCCCTTATGAGTGCCTTCTCTACAACTTACTGGAAGAGGGGAGAATATGAAGGGAGAATTTTCTTTTAATTACCAATCTCTATGTGTATGGATTGTTACTTTTTCAGAAAGCTTAGGAATATACTTATGAAGAGATTCATACTTACTAAATGATGCTCTAAAATTTCGTCTCATGTTCTTTTTACACTGCAACATTTTTCAATTAAGCAACCTTTTGACACTGATCTGCTGAAATATTTACTCAGGAATTCAGAGAGCATGTTTATTCCATTTCGTACTGAATATAAATTCACATAAGTATAAAAAAGGATGTGTTCCAAACATTTTTTATCCCTCAGAGCTACCAACAAATGATTTCTCAGTTGATTTCTTCAAAGCATTTTTCATATCACAAAAAACATAGTTTGTATTTGTTCCTACTTGTGAGTAATGCTTTTCAACTGACAACTGTTTTTAATTAAAATGCATTCATCTGAAAAGTTATTAGCATAATGTGTTAGAAGGTAGGAAATATTAGGCTTACTGACATGGATAATGAGTTTTTGTTCATTATATATATTTTTAAATCATTGAATTCCATCCGTGAAGGTTAAAATAAAGATCATTCAATAAACAGTACCAACCTCAACCTTTATGTTTAAATTTCTGTCTGCTTTTGCAAATGCATCAGCACAGTATCTTTTTTTATAACATATTTTTTGCCATTAGTCTTGAAATTTACCAAAAATGAATTAAGAAAACACTAAGAGTACAAATATTAAACAGAAACAAACCTAATTTCTGTAACTTTAGTGGAAATTCTTCATATACCAAAAACTGTTTCCCTCTGCTTCCTTAGAAGATATCCATTAATGAAAACCATAAATATCCCTTGCATGGATACTGAAAAGCTATAGCATGAGTAAATATCAAGTCTATGCACATATACAAATAAAATTCATGTTAAACTATATGGAAATCCAAATAAATGAAAAGAGATATAATATGTCCATAGACAAAAAACACCATTAATGTAAAGACACATGTGATGTGTCTTTTTGGAGGGCACCATGTCAGCACATATCAAATTTAAAATTTTCATATTCTTTGATACAGCATTTCTACTATTAGAAACATGTTCTACATAAATACATCACAAGAATGTTCACTGAGCACTGTTCTAGCTCTGTAAAGCTCAGTGAAATATTAGAGACAAAGATCTCCAAGAAGTAAATAGATAAATTATGTTTTATCTATACTTTGAAATATATTACAGATGTTAATGTAGCTCATTAATCAAATCATTCAATAATTTACTTAATAAATATTAAGAACCTGTTATGTGCCAGATAGCATTCTAGATGTAGAAGGCACACCAGTCCAGCTACTCGGGAGGCTGAGGCAGGAGAATGGCGTGAACCCGGGAAGCGGAGCTTGCAGTGAGCCGAGATTGCGCCACTGCAGTCCGCAGTCCGGCCTGGGCGACAGAGCGAGACTCCGTCTCAAAAAAAAAAAAAAAAAAAAAAAAAAAAAAAGGCACACCAGTAAAAATTTAAGACTAATTCCTGTTTTCACAAACTTGTATTTGGTTATAGCTTGTTTGGAAAGAAAAGGATTTTTAAAACTTATAAAACTATCATTGGTGAAAAGTGCTCTAAAGAAATATAAAGTGAGGTTAGGTAAACAGCCATGAGTGAATGAGGGAGTTGTTCTTTATGTGAGATAATCAGGAAGCACTTCTCCCTGTGTAGTGATATTTGAAACCTGACTGAGGTGCAAGCCACAGAAAAATCTGGGGTAAGAGCATGAAAAGAAGAGGAAAGAGTAGGATCAAAAAACATAACTTGGGAGCAAGCACAGCTTATATGATAAACAGCAAGGGGCCAGTGTGACAAGGGCTCAGTGTGCAAGAGAGGAAGTGGTTAAGAACTGAGTTCAAAGAGATATTGGGGAAAATCACCAAAGCTGTGGCAGGCTTTTGAGAATATTTTGGCTTTTATTCTTAATAAGACGTTGAACCACTGTAGAGTTTTTGCCATGAGGAATGGCAAGATCTGGCTTACAATTTAGGTGGGTCATTCCGCTGGCTGTCTTGAGGCAAGTGAGGAAGGGACAGCGGTTAAGATGCTACTGAAGGCTGGGTGTGGTGGCTCACACCCGTAATCCCAGCACTTTGGGACGTAGAGGCAGGTGGATTACTTGAGCCCAGGAGTTTGAGACCAGCCTAGGCAACACAGCAAGACTTCATCTTTACAAAAAACAAAAAAAATAAGCCAGGTGTGGTGGCACATGCCTGTAGTCCCAGCTACACAGGAGGCTGAGGTGGGAGTATCCCTTAAGTGCAGCAGGCAGAGGTTGCAGTGAGCTGAGATTGCGCCACTGCACTCCAGCCTGAGTGACAGAGTCAGACCATGTCTCAAAAAAAAAAAAAGTTATTGAAATAGTCCAGGGGAAAGGAGACAAAGCCTGGATTTGAAGAGCAGCAGTACAGATAACAATTCCATTTTAAGATTCACTGGACAGGATTTGCTAATGGTTTGAATATGGGGTATAAGAGAAAGAAGGAATGTCAAACATGGATAGATCAGCATATGGTGATATAGATGGTTGTCTCTCAGGTGAGATAAAAGCAATATGCAGAAAAATGTGTAGAACTGGCCCATTTTTATCTTTTAAAAAGGGTCTGAAAGACAGATACCAAACTTTAACACCAGAAAAGAGTGTAGAATTGGCTTTTGTTTAAAAAGAAGACTTGGAAAGAGAAAAGTCAAGTTTCTTCTATAAATGTATGCAGGAGCCATAAACTTTAACACTTTACTTCATGGAGTTTTGTATTATTGGAGTATTTTTGTGCTACAATGTACTATTTGTGTAATTTTAAAATTCCAGGCAATTTTAAACGGCTGGAAAAAGGAACGGTGATAATATGTATATTGGGTTTTTAAACTAGAAACAAATACAATTCTGGCAATTGACTTGCCACTTTCAATAATACAAACACTAAGTGAATTTCCAAATAAAACATCTCAAAAGACAGTGATCACATAATTAGAAATATACATTTTTCATCTTTATTTTTAACAATATAAATACTAAATTGAATTACCAAATTAACTTCTCATTAAAAAAATAAACTCCTTGGTTAGCATACTATACAGGATGGAAAACCTAACTTAGCATCATGATATATGAGAAAAACATAGGCTATAAAAAACCCAGGAAATCTTGAATTCAAATATTGTTCTTTTTTGGTTATTTCTTTGTGTTAAATGTTTTAATTTTTTAAAAACTTTTACTTTAAATTTAGGGGTACTTGTGCAGGTTTGTTACACAGGTAAACTCGTGTCACGGGGGTTTGTTGAACAGATTATTTCATCACCCAGGTATTAAGCCTAATACCCTTTAGTTGTTTTTCCTAATCCTCTCCCTCCTCCCACCCTCCACAGACAGACACTGTGGCATACTACAGTGTTGTTCCCCTCTATGTGTCCATGTGTTCTTATCATTTTGCTCCCAATTGTAAGTGACAACATGCAGTATTTGATTTCCCGTCAAAAGAAACTATCAACCGAGTAAATAGACAACCTACAAAATGGGAGAAAACTTTTGCAAACTATGCATCTGGCAAAGGTCAAATAATGTTAACACTGGGTAACAGAAAGTCCATTTTCAGTTGCTATAACAATATTGAGACAGGATAATTTATAAGAAAATAACTTTATTTTGCTCACAATTTTGGAGCATGGAAGCAACATCTGGTAAAATCTTTCATACTGAGTTATAACATGGCAGAAAGGCAAGAAGCACAAGCAAAAGAGAAACGAAGAGGGCCAAACCTCTTTATAATAACCTACTCTCACAAGAACTAACTCAGCACCACAAGAACTAACCTAGCCCTGTGAGAACTGCACTAAACCCTTCATGAGGGTAAAGCCTTCACGATCCAAACACCTCTTAAAGGCCCTACCACCTCACAATACCATTACATTGGCAATTACATTGCAACATGAGTTTCAGTGGGAACAAGACACATCCAAACTATAGCAGAAAGTAAGTTTAGAAAACAGCTATTCGGTGCTAGGCACTGTACTAGGCAGTGCTTATCAAGCTATTTAACACGCGTCAGACCACAAGTAGCTCACCTTCTTGTCTGGATGGGTGTAGTGAGGAATGCTGAATGATGATGGTCTCTTCCTAGTACAATGGAGAACAAGAGGACAAGTACCCAGGCTGAGTGATGAGAAATAATTAAATTTTCCAAGAACCTTGACTGTCAAGATTAAGTATACCCACCTAGTCTGTCCTTATATCAAACCAAGTACACCATAGTTTCCTAGGTTGCTGAGAAACAGTAAGTCAACTCCTTAACTCCTATCTTTCTTCCTTCCTGGAGACCATGCTAATTTTCATGACTACTGCAGGCCACAGAGATAGCTTCTTTCTCTCAACTGCTATAATATATGACCTAAGATATTCAGTTTGCATAAATAACATACTCTATAGTGTATTGTCCTCTGGTTTTATAAATAAAGAAGAAACTGCATAATATAACTTGGACATTTCAATCAAAAGATATGATTTAATCCACAGCCTCGGCACTCTGATTTGTATAAAAATCAGATTAGTTGCTTAAATTTATCTGATTTTCAGGTCTATATTGGACCATAAAGGACATAATATGGCTCCCTCGAGTTATTATGAAGATGTTATGACATATCTCCACAAGTGAAGATAATTAATAAACTATAAAATAAGATACTAGTAAACCAGAATTATGATGATGATGATGATTTATAGAGTTTATATTCTTAATAGAAAATATATCATCAGCATCTTGATGTCAAAGATTGTCTCTCAAATACTTGAATTCTCTTAGCAAAGAGTTACGTGCCTTTTTAGTTAGGAGGCAATAATAACTGAGTTGTTAGTAATGATTACTTTATAAATGCTACTGATTGATTAAATAACTTTATCTTCAATACAAAAATAAAAAACTTAACAAAGGCATATTTTGATTTCTTTATGTCACTAATATGGTATAAAGTATGTTAGAACAAAGAATTAAATCAAGTGATAGGTAAAAAGTAATACAGTATAAAAAAGTATAGACTATGGGCTAGTCTCTGGTTGGCAGAATATTACTGACCATGCTGGAGAAAACCTACTTTCTACTAGACAGTTTCTCAATTATTCTTTTCTTGAAAATAAAATCTGTAACAGTGAAGCAACTAAGGAATAAGAATTATTTTTACTATCATAATTCCACTGCCAACGCTGAATATCAGTTCTTAACTAAGTAAAAAAAAAGCAAAGAAGTCAACACTAAATATAATTCATAAACAATAAACAGAAAAAGAATAAAAGAAAAAGCTGGGTTAAATGAGAAGAAAATTATGATTAGCCATCACTAATTCTCTTAGATAACAAATTCCAATAAAAAACATTTAAATGTTCAATAATGAAGATCTAGGTAGACATAATAGACACTAGTAAAAAACTGGCATATCAACATGGAAAAGGCAATTATGATGTGTATATAGCAATATAAATACAAACAGTAATAAAAAGTGGATGAAGTTGAACTTGGACATATACACTACAATAGCAACACTCAAAAATAATTTTATAGAATCAGGAGGCTCAAGAGTTAACAAATAATTAGATATTAAGCAAAAGAGTATCTTTGGAAGATTACCACCCATGAATAATGATGATTTATTTCTCTTCAACTTCCATTGCTTAATTGTTTCATTGGTTCAACTTTAAAAATCCAATACAGTGATTTTTCCATGAACTAATATATTATAACTGAGAAAAAGACACAGTTCCTGACTTCACAAAGCTGCAACCTCATGAGAGAGAGAAATGCAACTCAGTATCTTTCAGAACATCAAGGGCAAAGAGGCTTACACCAGTATACCAGTATTGTGCAAAGGGTGTTACAGGGGCACAGTCTCTGCCTAAGAGGTCCTACACTTTATAGGTGAGGGCATGGCATTAGTATTTGAACTAGGGCATGAGTAGTCTTGGACAATCCAAGAACTAGAGAATGAGAGAACCTCTAATAGGTATACAGAAGCACATGAGAAATTACGAGATGCTAAGACGGGCATTGTGGTTGGAACATTAGACTAATGGGGAAAGATGAAATATGAAGCTGGGAAAGTGACACACACCATGTTTCCAAGATCCTTTAATGTCTGCTAAACACAGTAATTTGAGATAATGACAAGTTAATGGAAGTTTTAAAAGTAAGGTCTCCCTGAATAGAACTTTATTTGTTAGAAGACACTGCACAGAAGGATAAATTTTAAGGAAAAGTAAGGACACAAAGACTTCAAAGCTATGAATGTTGAACTTGTGAACACAAAAGGTTTAATGTTAAGACTTTAATTTTCGGTAGTCAATTAGGAAAATGGTGCTGGTCCTCAGGAAAAAGTCTGGGCTACAGAACATATTTTGATAAGTATTTAACCTTCTAAGGTCATGGTAGCCATAAATGAGATGTCCTAGAGAGAGTAAGTTTAAGCAGTAGAGGAAAAGCAGAGAAGAAAGTGGTAAAAATACTGACATTTAAATAGAAGTTAGAGAAATAAATATGATTTTAAAATGTATTTGCATTTAGTCAAGTATTTAAGGAATAAAATAAATTCCCCACACACATTGCCTACCTTTTAATATTAGTCATTTATTACCCATTGTAATCCTACATCACCTGCTTACAATCCTTATTATTTAGAGAGGTTTAATTTCATGTGCTAATAGATAACTTTACACAGCAATGTTATATATATACTTTTTATAAAAATCTCACTTTATTCTCAAAAAGTCCCATCATGTCATTAATTATTATTAACCTAACTTTACAAATAAAGAAACTGAGGCATAGAGTGGTTAGGTAACATGGCCCAAATCACACAGCTAATAAGTAATACTGCAAAATTTTGAATTCCCAGCCCATCTTTCAACAGCTAGATTTATACTGCCTTTTTATATGCTGCACACCTTTTGCTACTAATAGCTATTTTTGTTTCATGTAATATTTTTTGTTTTTAAGATTTAAGTTAAATTTTGTATTAGAATTAAATTCAAAACAAGTGAAAAAAAACTTACAATTTTTTCTCCGTCTATCAATCAGTAACTGGGCCAGATTCTCATTTATTTTCGACCTGATGTACACTTGTAAAACTGTAGCAATGTTCTTGGGTTTGATTTAGCAATCAAGTGCAACAGACAATAGGATTCATCCAACACCAATTTTATTGAGCATTATGAAAAGGGATATACGGCATACAACAAAACACCATACATGGTGATGGTCAACAGCATAGCAGGACTCCACGGCATAACCTCCAAATGTCCCAGTCACTCACAACTTAGGATGCACACAGTCAAAAGACACATTGCAGTGTGAGTAAAGCCAATCTCAGTTCAAGCAATCCATCTTTTCTGGTGCCCTTTAGTCTTTTGTACCTTATTCCAATTCTCTGGTACATCAATACAGATTAATTTTTACTTAGCAAACAATCTTGACAATTAGGTATAGGTGTTTTGTTTGATAAATAGAACTGCGACCAGATTTTCATTTATCTTAGATCTGCTATATACGTACAAATTTCTTGAGTCTTGAGCTTGTGGTGAAAGGAGGCATACCTGAAGATAGAGGAAACACCACTAATCAAATATAAAGACTTTCCTTTTACCACGAATCTATATAATAAGATTTTATTCATTTATTTTAATCAAAGTGTAATTACATTTTAAATACTTAGCATTTTTTTTCCATAAAGCTGGCTTATTCAAAAACATATCTAATATTCCTTCTCCTGACTTTCAGGGAAATAAAAAGTAACATCAATAAGAATTACTAAGATATCTTCCTACAGCTTAAACAATGCACTGATTCCTAAGTTTCAAAACAGCCAAAATTATGCCAAGGTTACATATGAACTGTAAAGGAATATGGGTGGAGGAATCACAATCAACTTTATGTGGTAGTTGACAAGAAATGATAGAAATTTTCCTCAATGACACATAGAACATACAGAAGCAAATAAAGTATATATGAAAACAACTGATCTATAAGACACTCCAAGTTTTAGATGACTATATCCATTTTAAGAGTCTTGCAAAGATAAACTTTGCCAAAGTGCAATTAAAAAAACAGTTTTTGCCTTCATACTTATTTAAAAATAGTTGGGGAAAATATCCAAAATACGTACAGGATACCATTTTCAAAAATCCCAGGTACATCCACAACAGAATATTATTCAGTACTAAAAAGAAATGAGCTATCGTAGCCCTGTAGTGTAGTTTCAAGTCAGGTAGCGTGATGCCTCCAGCTTTGTTCTTTTGGCTTAGGACTGTCTTGGCAATGCAGGCTCTCTTTCGGGTCTATATGAACTTTAAAGTAGTTTTTTCCAATTCTGTGAAGAAAGTCATTGGTAGCTTGATGGGGATGGCATTGAATCTATAAGTTACCTTGGGCAGTATGGCCATTTTCATGATATTGATTCTTCCTATCCATGAGCATGGAATGTTCTTCCATTTGTTTGTATCCTCTTTTATTTCATTGAGCAGTGGTTTGTAGTTCTCCTTGAAGAGCTCCTTCACATCCCTTGTAAGTTAGATTCCCAGGTATTTTATTCTCTTTGAAGCAATTGTGAATGGGAGTTCACTCATGATTTGGCTCTCTGTTTGTCTCTTGTTGGTGTATAAGAATGCTTGTGATTTCTGCACATTGCATGGTTCTGGTACCAAAACAGAGATATAGACCAATGGAACAGAACAGAGCCCTCAGAAATAATACCACACATCTACAACCATCTGATCTTTGACAAACCTGACAAAAACAAGAAATGGGGAAAGGATTCCCTATTTAATAAATGGTGCTGGGAAAACTGGCTAGCCATATGTAGAAAGCTGAAACTGGATCCCTTCCTTATGCCTTATACAAAAATTAATTCAAGATGGATTAATGACTTAAATGTTAGACCTAAAACCATAAAAACCCTAGAAGAAAACCTAGGCAATACCATTCAAGACATAGGCATAGGCAAGGACTTCATGTCTAAAACACCAAAAGCAATGGCAACAAAAGCCAAAACTGACAAATGGGATCTAATTAAACTCAAGAGGTTCTGCACAGCAAAAGAAACTACCATCAGAGTGAACAGGCAACCCACAGAATGGGAGAAAATTTTCACAATCTACTCATCTGACAAAGGCCTAATATCCAGAATCTACAAAGAACTCAAACAAATCTACAAAAAAAAAAACAAACAAACAGCCCCATCAAAAAGTGGGCGAAGGATATGAACAGACACTTCTCAAAAGAAGACATTTATGCAGCCAACAGACACATGAAAAAATGCTCATCATCACTGGCCATCAGAGAAATGCAAAGCAAAACCACAGTGAGATATCACTTCACACCAATTGGAATGGTGATCATTAAAAAGTCAGGAAACAACAGGTGCTTGAGAGGATGTGGAGAAATAGGAACACTTTTACACTGTTGGTGGGTCTGTAAACTAGTTCAACCATTGTGGAAGTCAGTGTGGCGATTCCTCAAGGATCTAGAACTAGAAATACCCTTTGACCCAGCCATCCCGTTACTGGGTATATACCCAAAGGATTATAAATCATTCTGCTATAAAGACACATGCACACGTATGTTTATTGCGGCACTATTCACAATAGTAAAGACTTGGAACCAACCCAAATGTCCATTAGTGATAGACTGGATTAAGAAAATGTGGCACATATACACCATGGAATACTATGCAGCCATAAAAAAGGATGAGTTCATGTCCTTTGTAGGGACATGGATGAAGCTGGAAACCATCATTCTCAGCAAACTATCACAAGAACAAAAAACGAAACACCGCATGTTCTCACTCATAAGTGGGAATTGAACAATGAGAACACTTGGACACAGGAAGAGTAACATCACACACCGGGGCCTGTCGTGGGGTGGGGGAAGGGGGGGAGGGATAGCATTAGGAGATATGCCTAATGTAAATGACGAGTTACTCGGTGCAGCACACCAATATGGCACACGTATACTTACGTAACAAACCTGCATGTTGTGCACATGTACCCTAAAACTTAAAGTATAATAATAAAAAAAAAGAAATGAGCTATCATATAGGGAAAAGACATGGAAGAAACTTAAAATCATATAACTAAATGAAAGAAGCCAATCTTAAGAGGCTACATTTTGTATGATTGAAACTACATAATATTCTAGAAAATGAAAAACTGTGGTACAGAAAAAGATCAGTGGTTGCCAAGGGTTAGGCAGTAGTGAGGGATGAACAAGCAGAGCATGGAGAATTTTTAGGGCAAGGAATATACTGTGTATGATACTATAATGGTAGACACATGGTATTTTAAATTTATCTCAATCCATAGCATGTACAACAAAAAGTGTGAATCCTAATGTAAATGATGAACTCTGGTTGATAACAATGTATCAATGTAGGCTCATCGACTGTAACAAGATCATGCATTTATTCTTTTTCACCTGTCTTTAGCCTTTAAGATAAATTTTACAACTTTAATCTACTAATTTTATTGGTATTCACAGATATATATATATTTTTTTCATCATTTAATTATAATGTAAATCTGTAATTAATGTGCCGCACTAAATGCTTTAAAATTATCATTTTACTTAACCCTCCAAAAAACCTAGAAAAATAGGTAATATCGAGTTATTTTACAGATGAGAAAACTACATATGGAATTGTTAAGTGACCTGACCAAAGTAACACAGGTCTATGATTTTATTTTGTAGGGTTAGTAACACATGCAACATATTTGAGTAAGCTGGTAATCAATTATAACTCGAATGCATGGCTTACACAACTTTCGTTAGCCTTGATCATGTATGAGTCAGCTGATAATGGAATTTGCCTGGCTTTGCAGTTCAGACAACACAGAGTGAGTGCAGACTACTTCATTTCAAGGAATCCATCAACTCTGGAGTTCCGTTTTGAACAGCACAGGTCTATACAGGAAAACAGACTATTGGGCATGGAGGTGAATATGGAATCAGAAAATGCACTTAGAATATGATTTTATTAATCTAGGGGAAAGATGATGGTATCATGGACCAGACCGGTTGCAATACTGGTGGTAAAAGTCAATCAAATTCTGGATATATTTTTAAGATAAAATCACAGATATCTGTTTCTCAATTGAAAATACAGTTTCAGAAAAAGTAAAATTAAGTAGAACTCCAAATTTTTATTTAGAATAACTGAAATGCTGAAATTATAAAACAATGAAAACTGTAGAAGAAACACAGACCGAGGTGGGGAGATAAAGTGTTCAGTTTTTGTTTTTGTTGTTTGTTTGTTTTTGAGACAGAGTCTCGCTCTGTCGCCTAGGCTGGAGTGCAGTGGCACGATATTGGCTCACTGCAACCTCTGCCTCCCGGGTTCAAGCAATTCTCCTGCCTCAGCCTCCTGAGTAGCTGGGACTACAGACATGCGCCACCACGCTCAGCTAATTTTTGTATTTTTAGTAGAGACGGGGTTTCACCATGTTGGCCAGGATGGTCTCAATCTCTTGATCTCTTGATCTTACCATTTTACTTACCAAAAACCTAGAAAGATAGGTAATATCGAGTTATTTTACAGATGAGAAAACTGCATATCTCTTGATCCACCCGCCTTGGCCACCCAAAGTGCTGGGATTACAGGCGTGAGCCACTGTGCACGGCCAAGGTGTTCAGTTTTAGATATGTTGGATAAGATGCCTGATATACATGCCAGCTGAATAGGTACAGCATTAAATAACCAAGTAGGAGTTCAGAGTAGAAGTCAAGCCTTGAAATACAAATTCAGGATTCATTAACATATTTAAAGCCTTGAAACTAAATAAGATCATATGGACCATATATGATAATACTTGAATCAAAGTTCTGATCAATGGAAGAGAAACGAGCCAGAGAAATTTAAAAGAAAAAAAAAAAGGGAAATATATAAGTGATACAATTGTTTAAAAAAAGAGGTGGCTATTATGTATGATAAAAGCTGCTGATAAATCATGTAAGATGAGGGTTTAACATTAAGTTTTAAAGTAGACAATGTGAGTGTTATAAATGATCTGGAGTTGAGTTGTTTTGGTGGAGTGGTGGGACAAAAGTCTAACTAGCATGGTTTTGTGAGAGAAGATGGTGAGTACATACCATTCTTTCATGGAGAGTTAACTGAGACAACATATAGATAACTTTGCAAGGAATTTTATAGAAAAATGTGTAATAGCTAAAAAGGGATAAATATATTAAGCATGTTTATTCACTGATGGATATAATACAATTTATGATCTATTAGAACAACATTATTGATATATCATATATATCATAAATTGCAAAACTCATCTTACATTTCAATAATTTCCAACATCTCAAATTCATTCCTTTCTTATCTCCTTAAATTTCATTTTACAGATACTTTTTTCAATTTATTTTTCAGCATAACATATGCTGCTAGCCTCACTGCATCCTCAACCTCCCAGGCTCGAGCAATCCTCCTGCCTCAGCCTACTGAGTAGCTGGGACTACAGTAATCAACACCATACTCTATCATACAACAGTCAACTTTGCTTTCATTATAAAAGTGAAAGAACGCTACATTATTATTTACTTTATGTTTGAATAAGTTTTGATAACTAGACAGTTTAGTCTCACTGTTAACTGCTTATGTTTTTAAATACATCATTTGCACTTGTAATCATTATGTGCATCTTCTATTCACAGAACAGCTATCACCCCAGTGCATTTCAATATTCTGAACAGAGTCACTACACTTTCAAAAGCATTTAATATATAAAATCTGAAATTCAGGATATTAAAAATCTTTGTGTTTTTGTTTGTTTTTAATTGACACATAATTGTATATATTTTGGGGCACAGTATAATGTTTTGATATATGTATACACTGTATAATAATCAAATCAGAGTATTTAGCATATACATTACTTCAAAAATTTATCATTTCTTTTTGGTGAGAACATACAAAATCCTCCCTTCTAGATATTTTGAAATATAGAATACAATAGGTAGCAGATGAATGGATAAAGAAAAAAATATATATATACAAAAAAGAATATTATTCAGACATAAAAAGAATGAAATCCTGTCATTTGCTGCAACACGGATGAACCTGGAGGACGTGAAATAAGTGAGGAACAGAAAGACAAATATTGCATGATCTCACACATATGTGGCATCTAAAAGAGTTGATCTTATAAAAGTAGAAAAGAGAATAGTAGTTACCAGAGGCTGGTGGTGGATAATGAGAGACTGGTCAATGGATACAAAGTTAGAGTTAGATAGGAGGAATAAGTTCTGGTGTGCAATTGCACAGTAAGTTGACTATGAAATTTAGGTCTCGAAATTAGTTTCAGTTAAAAAAAAAAAGTCCCTTCAAGGTCATTTTGGAATACCCTGGTTTGTATCCCAGAGTTCTCCTAGGCTTAGGAAATGAACATATGAATACTTATTACTTTTAAACTTGAACTTAAAACCAAGAGCAGCGGGAGCCAAGATGGCCGAATAGGAACAGCTCCGGTCTACAGCTCCCAGCATGAGCAAAGCAGAAGACCGGTGATTTCTGCATTTCCATCTAAGGTACCGGGTTCATCTCACTAGGGAGTGCCAGACAGTGGGCGCAGGACAGTGGGTGCAGCGCACCGTGTGCTAGCCTAAGCAGGGCAAGGCATTGCCTCACTCGGGAAGCGCAAGGAGTCAGGGAGTTCCCTTTCCTAGTCAAAGAAAGGGGTGACAGACGGCACCTGGAAAATCGGGTCACTCCCACCCTAATACTGCGCTTTTCCAACGGGCTTAAAATAACAGCACAGCAGGAGATTATATCCCACACCTAGCTCGGAGGGTCCTAGGCCCACGGAGTCACGCTGATTGCTAGCACAGCAGTCTGAGATCAAACTGCAAGGCTGCAGCAAGGCTGGGGGAGGGGTGCCTGCCATTGCTAAGGCTTGCTTAGGTAAACAAAGCAGCTGGGAAGCTGGAACTGGGTGGAGCCCACCACAGCTAAAGGAGGCCTGCCTGCCTCTGTAGGCTCCACCTCTGGGGGCAGGGCACAGACAAACAAAAAGACAGCAGTAACCTCTGCAGACTTGAATGCCCCTGTCTGACAGCTTTGAGGAGAGTAGTGGTTCTCCCAGCACGCAGCTGGAGATCTGAGAATGGGCAGACTGCCTCCTCAAGTGGGTCCCTGACCCCCGAGCAGCCTGACTGGGAGGCACCCCCCAGTAGGGGCAGACTGACACCTCACACGACTGCATACTCCTCTGAGACAAAACTTCCAGAGCAACGATCAGGCAGCAGCATTTGCGTTCATGAAAATCCGCTGTTCTACAGCCACCGCTGTTCTACAGCCACCGCTGCTGGTACCCAGGCAAACAGGGTCTGGAGTGGACCTCTAGCAAACTCGAACAGACCTGTAGCTGAGGGTCCAGTCTGTTGGAAGGAAAACTAACAAACAGAAAGGACATCCACACCAAAAACCCATCTGTACGTCACCATCATCAAAGACCAAAACAAGATAAAACCACAAAGATGGGGAAAAAACAGAGCAGAAAAACTGGAAACTCTAAAAAGCAGAGCACCTCTCCTCCTCCAAAGGAACGCAGTTCCTCACCAGCAATGGAACAAAGCTGGACGGAGAATGACTTTGACGAGTTGAGAGAAGAAGGCTTCAGACGATCAAACTACTCCGAGCTACAGGAAGAAATTCAAACCAATGGCAAAGAAGTTAAAAACTTTCAAAAAAATTAGACGAATGTATAACTAGAATAACCAATGCACAGAAGTGCTTAAAGGAGCTGATGGAGCTGAAAGCCAAGGCTCGAGAACTACGTGAAGAATGCAGAAGCCTCAGGAGCCGATGCGATCAACTGGAAGAAAGGGTATCAGTGATAGAAGATGAAATGAATGAAATGAAGCGAGAAGGGAAGTTTAGAGAAAAAAGAATAAAAAGAAACGAACAAAGCCTCCAGGAAATATGGGACTATGTGAAAAGAACAAATCTACGACTGATTGGTGTATCTGAAAGTGACGGGGAGAATGGAACCAAGTTGGAAAACACTCTGCAGGATATTATCCAGGAGAACTTCCCAAATATAGCAAGGCAGGCCAACATTTAGATTCAGGAAATAAAGAGAATGCCACAAAGATACTCCTCGAGAAGAGCAACTCCAAGACACATAATTGTCAGATTCACCAAAGTTGAAATGAAGGAAAAAATGTTAAGGGCAGCCAGAGAGAAAGGTCGGGTTACCCACAAAGGGAAGCCCATCAGACTAACAGCTGATCTCTCGGCAGAAACTCTACAAGCCAGAAGAGAGTGGGGACTAATATCCAACATTCTTAAAGAAAAGAATTTTCAACCCAGAATTTCATATCCAGCCAAACTAAGCTTCATAAGTGGAGGAGAAATAAAATCCTTTACAGACAAGCAAATGCCGAGAGATTTTGTCACCACCAGGCCTGCCCTAAAAGAGCTCCTGAAGGAAGCACTAAACATGGAAAGGAACAACCGGTACCAGCCACTACAAAAACATGCCAAATTGTAAAGACCATCAAGGCTAGGAAGAAACTGCATCAACTAACGAACAAAATAACCAGCTAACATCATAATGACAGGATCAAATTCACACATAACAATATTAACCTTAAATGTAAATGGACTAAATGCTCCAACTAAAAGACACAGACTGGAAAATTGGGTAAAGAGTCAAGACCCATCAGTGTGCTGTATTCAGGAAACCCATCTCACGTGCAGAGAAACACACAGGCTCAAAAGAAAGGGATGGAGGAAGATCTACCAAGCAAATGGAAAACAAAAAAAGGCAGGGGTTGCAATCCTAGTCTCTGATAAAACAGACTTTAAACTAACAAAGATAAAAAGAGACAAATAAGGCCATTACATAATGGTAAAGGGATCAATTCAACAAGAGCTAACTATCTTAAATATATATGCACCCAATACAGGAGCACCCAGATTCATAAAGCAAGTCCTTTGAGATCTACAAAGATACTTAGACTCCCACACAATAATAATGGAAGACTTTAACACCACACTGTCAACATTAGACAGATCGAGACAGAAAGTAAACAAGGATACCCAGGAATTGAACTCAGCTCTGCACCAAGTGGACCTAATAGACATCTACAGAACTCTCCACCCCAGATCAACAGAATATACATTTTTTTTCAGCACCACACCACACGTATTCCAAAATTAACCACATAGTTGGAAGTAAAGCACTCCTCAGCAAATGTAAAACAACACAAATTATAACAAACTGTCTCTCAGACCACAGTGCAATCAAACTAGAACTCAGGATTAAGAAACTCACTCAAAACCGCTCAACTACATGGAAACTGAACAACCTGCTCCTGAATGACTACTGGGTACATAACAAAATGAAGGCAGAAATAAAGATGTTCTTTGAAACCAACGGGAACAAAGACACAACATACCAGAATCTCTGGGACGCATTCAAAGCAATGTGTAGAGGGAAATTTATAGCACTAAATGCCCACAAGAGAAACAAGAAAGATCCTAAATTGACACCCTAACATCACAATTAAAAGAACTAGAAAAGCAAGAGCAAACACATTCAAAAGCTAGCACAAGGCAAGAAATAACTAACATCAGAGCAGAACTGAAGGATATAGAGACACAAAAACCCTTCAAAAAGTTAATGAATCCAGGAGCTGGTTTTTTGAAAAGATCAACAAAATTGATAGACTGCTAGCAAGACTAATAAAGAAGAAAAGAGAGAAGAATCAATAGATGCAATAAAAATGATAAAGGGGATATTACCACCGATCCCACAGAAATACAAACTACCATCAGAGAATACTACAAACATCTCTACGCAAATAAACTAGAAAATCTAGAAGAAGTGGATAAATTCCTCGACACATACACCCTCCCAAGACTAAAACAGGAAGAAGCTGAATGTCTGAATAGACCAATAACTGGCTCTGAAATTGTGGCAATAATCAATAGCTTACCAACGAAAAAGATTCCAGGACCAGATGGATTCACAGCCGAATTCTACCAGAGGTACAAGGAGGAGCTGGTACCATTCCTTCTGAAACTATTCCAATCAACAGAAAAAGAGGGAATCCTCCCTCACTTACTTTATGAGGCCAGCATCATCCTGATACCAAAGCCTGGCAGAGACACAACCAAAAAAGAGAATTTTAGACCAATATCCTTGATGAACATTGATGCAAAAATCCTCAATAAAATACTGGCAAACCAAATCCAGCAGCACATCAAAAAGCTTATCCACCATGATCAAGTGGGCTTCATCCCTGGGATGCAAGGCTGGTTCAACACATACAAATCAATAAATGTAATCCAGCATGTAAACAGAACCAAAGACAAAAACCACATTATCTCAATAGATGCAGAAAAGGTCTTTGACAAAATTCAACAGCCCTTCATGCTAAAAACTCTCAATAAATTAGGTATTGATGGGACGTATCTCAAAATAATAAGAGCTATCTATGACAAACCCACAGCCAATATCACACTGAATGGGCAAAAACTGGAAGCATTCCCTTTGAAAACTGGCACAAGACAGGGATGCCCTCTCTCACCACTCCTATTCAACATAGTGTTGGAAGTTCTGGCCAGGGCAATTAGGCAGGAAAAGGAAATAAAGAGTATTCAATTAGGAAAAGAGGAAGTCAAATTGTCCCTGTTTGCAGATGACATGATTGTATATCTAGAAAATCCCATTGTCTCAGCACAAAATCTCCTTAAGCTGACAAGCAACATCAGCAAAGTCTCAGGATACAAAATCAATGTACAAAAATCACAAGCATTCTTATACACCAACAACAGACAAACAGAGAGCCAAATCATGAGTGAACTCCCATTCACAATTGCTTCAAAGAGAATAAAATACCTAGGAATCCAACTTACAAGGGATGTGAAGGACCTCTTCAAGGAGAACTAGAAACCACTGCTCAAGGAAATAAAAGAGGATACAAAGAAATGGAAAAACATTCCATGCTCATGGGTTGGAAGAATCAATATCGTGAAAATGGCCATACTGCCCAAGGTAATTTATAGATTCAATGCCATCCCCATCAAGCTACCAATGACTTTCTTCACAGAATTGGAAAAAACTACTTTAAAGTTCATATGGAACCAAAAAAGAGCCCGCATCACCAAGTCAATCCTAAGCCAAAAGAACAAAGCTGGAGGCATCACACTACCTGACTTCAAACTATACTACAAGGCTACAGTAACCAAAACAGCATGGTACTGCTACTAAAACAGAGATATAGACCAATGGAACAGAACAGAGCCCTCAGAAATAATGCCGCGTATCTACAACTATCTGATCTTTGACAAACCTGACAAAAATAAGCAATGGGGAAAGGATTCCCTATTTAATAAATGGTGCTGGGAAAACTGGCTAGCCATATGTAGAAAGCTGAAACTGGATCCCTTCCTTACACCTTATACAAAAATTAATTCAAGATGGATTAAAGACTTCAATGTTAGACCTAAAACCATAAAAACCCTAGAAGAAAACCTAGGCAATACCATTCAGGACATAGGCATGGGCAAGGACTTCATGTCTAAAACACCACAAGCAATGACAACAAAAGTCAAAATTGACAAAAATGGATCTAATTAAACTAAAGAGCTTCTGCACAGCAAAAGAAACTACCATCAGAGTGAACAGGCAACCTACAAAATAGGAGAAAATTTTCACAAACTACTCATTTGACAGAGGGCTAATATCCAGAATCTACAATGAACTCCAACAAATTCACAAGAAAAAACAAACAACCCCATCAAAAAGTGGGCGAAGGATATGAACAGACACTTCTCAAAAGAAGACATTTATGCAGCCAAAAAACACATGAAAAAATGCTCATCATCACTGGCCATCAGAGAAATGCAAATCAAAACCACAATGAGATACCATCTCACACCAATTAGAATGGCGATCATTAAAAAGTCAGGAAACAACAGGTGCTGAAGAGGATGTGGAGAAATAGGAACACTTTTACACTGTTGGGACTATAAACTAGTTCAACCATTGTGGAAGTCAGTGTGGCGATTCCTCAGGGATCTAGAACTAGAAATACCATTTGACCCAGCAATCCCATTACTGGGTATATACCCAAAGGATTATAAATCGTGCTGCTATAAAGACACATGCACACGTATGTTTATTGTGGCAGTATTCACAATAGCAAAGACTTGGAACCAAGCCAAATATCCAACAAGGATAGACTTGATTAAGAAAATGTGGCACATATACACCATGGAATACTATGCAGCCATAAAAAAGGAGTAGTTCATGGCCTTTGTAGGGACATGGATGAAAGTGGAAACCATCATTCTCAGCAAACTATCGCAAGGACAAAATACCAAACACCACATGTTCTCACTCATAGGTGGGAATTGAACAGTGAGAACACATGGACACAGGAAGGGGAATATCACACTCCAGGGACTGTTGTGGGGTCGGAGGAGTGGTGAGGGATAGCATTAGGAGATATACCTAAAGCTAAATGACAAGTTAATGGGTGCAGCACACCAACATGGCACATGTGTACGTATGTAACAAACCTGCACATTGTGCACATGTACCCTAAAACTTAAAGTATAATAATAATAAAATTAAATTAAATTAAAAAAAGAACATCAACAAAAAAAAACCCAAGAGCAATATTATACATTTCCTTGAGCTTGAAGTACAGAACAAAAAGAATTACAGAAATTATCCACTGCCAGTTATATAATATACACAAAAGAGCTTGAAAAGTTTGATATAAATTTTATAATTTAACTTCATACTCTATCATTATAATGGATTCATAACAGCTTGATTTTTTTTTAGGTTTATGTAAAGCAGATACATGACTTTTTTAATTACCTAATTTTGCATGCTTTAAAACCATTACATTTCAAACATATTTTTGAAAAGCCAAATGTTTTTTATTGAGTTTTAAAAAACATTTAAGAAATAAATGTTAAGTGGAAACTAAAATGTGAACTTTAATGTACTTAACTCTGGGGCCTAAAATGACGTATTGCCATACAAAAATATCTTTCCATTTAAAAAAATAGATGTTGTTTTCCTAGAAACTTTTCCAACCTGGCTCCTATGGAGCTGCAGCATGTACATCCAGAGGAGAAGTAACATCAGGTTCTGGTGAGGTGGTCTCTTCAGTGCCTTCTTGAATTTTCCCCCCTTTTAGCAGTGTTGAAAATAGGTCTGGAAAAGCATAGGAAAGCTATATCAAATTTTCCTTAGGAGGTTTGTTCCATACTGTTTTAGCAGCTCTGCACAATGAAGGTGCTATATGGTATGACACTAAATATTCATTTTCACTAATGAGTCCTCTCGTGTCATATTAATAATATCCTCAATATAAATACATTGAATTAACTCAACTTAGGACATATTTGAAAATAGGCATGTGTAAATTAGATCAGAAACATCCTTAGGACTACACACACACACACATATATATAATGTGTGCATATATATTATATATATATAATGTATATATAATGTATATATAATATACATAATGTGTGTATATATAATGTTTAAGGCAAGTTGAACTGTTATAAATATATATAATATTTAGGATGGAAACCTTTATATAAAATGAAATATGATGCTTCACAACAATCTGGAAATTTTTATATGCTATCTTTATATATTATATTTTCAAAAATGTTTAAATATAATATGGTCTTTTAAAATCTAGAATATATGAAATGAATTATGTAAGAGAAAGTATGTCCATGTAGAATACCTATAATAGTTTTATATATGTCATATACATATATTCATATAATAGTTAAAATATGTGTAAATGTTTAACCAAAATTAAATATCACAAGTTATATTTTTAACCTTGAATGGAAAAGATAATATTGTATCCTGGAATAATATATCATTCTTAATTTGTTCAAATAATCAGAGTAGTTAATCGGAAAATAAAAACATATTTTGATTTTATTTTTCCCCAGTATGAACTATTCCTCAGGTAGTTAACCTACTGATAATTTAGTTATAGTTTATTTCTAAAATACATAAAAATGTTGTTAATGTGAGTATTGTCTTCAGGTTTAGTGAAAACGAACATGGTAAGTATTTGAAGAAGAGAGGTTGCTAAAACAGTAACCATTAATCTAAATGCTCTTAGTGTTACTGGATCATTTAAAATTGTACAAGCGTTGGGTAGACATTAGAGAACCAATATTTGAATCTTTATATTATGATTGAAAGTTAATATAAAAAATAAATGATATCATATCCCCATTTCTTTATGATGTTAGTATATTAAAAACAAGTAATGGAGAAGATAATTTTATAATGCTAGGAGCAAAGATAATATTTAAAGCTATTATACTTAAAGGATGTTTTTTCTAACCTCTATTTTCATATTTAGGATTGATTGTCCTTCAGGAAAAGGACATTTGAATTATGTGATTATTTTATGGTACTTAATTTGTGAATTTTATTTAAATTTCATTGGCCTTTCTAATTATTCCCCTTAGTTTATAATTTTATATAAACCATTAATATTTGAAAATAATGTAAATAATGTAAACAATATAAAGTAATTTTTACAAATATTCCTGTACCCAATCACCATATTATTATAACATAGTTATACACAGGGTAAAATTATACTCAATAGGTAGTTTAACACAACAAAAAACCAGTAAAGTAGCTAGTTCTGCTTACTATATTTTGTCTAATAATTCTAGAAATTTGTATTTGATTATTTTAAAACCATGGTTAATAAAATAATAAGGTATGCAGAAAAAATAGTTCTGGAAACAAATGATCACTTATAGAAGTGGTAATTTACAACTAAAATTAGAAATACCAAATGTGCTAATATATTTAATAATAATGGTATAAGATAAAATAAAAAATGGATCATAAAGAATAAACTCTAAAAACAGAAATGAAGATTAGATCTGCAAGGAAAAAAATCTGATAGAAATTGTTACTACCTCCCAGGACATTTAAGTTAAAATAAAATGGCCTACTCAATCAAAGTGAAGTATTCTATTTATAAACACCCTTCTTTGTGGCTTAAGTATGTGTAAATTTACTTGCCCCTGTGAATAGAACCCATTAAAATAGAAAAAGGTATTTCATATTTTTAAAATGAAGCTATTAACAAATAGCTTATTTTAGCATGAACAATATGAACCAATTATTTTGGTTGTAATAAATATCAAATTTATTTGGTACATAAAATAATAATATCACCTCAAATCACTTCAGAGCCTTTTTCATCAATTGTTATAAAAATTGAGTCATAAAATACCAAGCCATTTCTTCCAAATAATGACAACTATCATCTGGTCATTTCCTGTTACACAACAGGATAATCATCATGTTCTTTATGTTACCCAAAACATATTAAATATCCATACTCTCTCTCTTCTCTGATTCCTCAGTTCACAACTATTTGTGTCACATATTTAACCTTCCTATTTCACTTTAAAATTTATAATAATAAACTTACTCTGTGTCCTTAAAATTCATAACTAAATTCTTCTTCTAAGAAACTCTCAAATCCTAAACTGTTTTGTACTTTCATAGCGATTTGCAATTTGATCATGAATCTTTCTTACTTTCCCACTTCTTACAAGGTGTTAACAAAACTGTACAATTACAAGAGAATTCTGTTATAACTAATTTCACTTGTAGAATTTTGGAAATCAAAGTAGAGTTAGGAAAATTCTAAGAAACTTAACTATTTGCTGTCCATATATTTGCCTGTGTCAAAGTCTACATTCCAAAATCATGAAAATAGTTAAACTAAAGTTTTTATAAACATATTTAGCTAAAAAATTAATTAGGTAAGTAACAAAAACCTGCAATTTTAGAAACTTGGAAATACAATAATTAAATATATTGTTAGTCAGAGGAATGTAACCAGGACCTCATTTTTAAAAATATATTTTAATCACCTACTTTCTTCTTCTTTCCCTCCCATTTTACCCCTTCTTCCTTTGCCCCTCGCTAGACACTTCCCTCTGGCAATATGTACTTAACAGTTATGTCCTTGCTTAGGAAATTCCAGAGGCTAATTTCGAAACAAACCAGGAATGGAGCCCTGATTGAGGAATCCTCCTGCTTAAGGGGGGTTGCGAAGAATTAGTCTACCACCAAGGGGCTGAAGTCAAAATAATGCCATCTTGACGTCCAGATGGATGATTACCCAAGATAAGCCATTGGAACAAAGACACATAGACTCTGCACCCTGTACCACTCCTGTATCTTTCCCATACCAAGTTTCCCTTTAAAAATCCTATAGTAAATTAAAAAAAATTTTTCAGATCATACATAGAGAAGCATATGTTAACCAGATAAATCGTTTTGCATGTTTTATTATGACATTAATATTTTTAAAATACATATATGTTTAAAATATTTTTAAAACTTTAAAAACAGCCAAAAAACAAAAACACACTATTTTTTACAATTACGCATTTTAGAGATGGTGGTGAACTAATCTGTGATTATAGTCCACCATCTGCTCAGTTTGCTAACTCTCCGGCTTTCCAAATAAACCTGCTTTCCTTCCTACTAACCACTGTCTCTCCTGTCTGGCTTTCAAGCAGTGGGGAGCTGAACCTGGGTTTGGTTACAGGAGGACATACTAAAGCAATTTAATGTCTTCTAAATCCTGCAGATAAATTCTACTGAACATTCATAATTATTTTTCATTATTTCTAATTTGTATGGTTTAAGTAATGTGAATATATGTTAAATAATAGAAAACCAGTTCTCTCTTTTTAAAGGATTTTGGTAAAGTAAATGTAAAAGGTAAGCTGAATAATTGAAGTACATTCTGTGTTTTTAAAATATTTATTTTGAAAATTTTCTCCCAAAAGAGTAAAGGATAAACAAAGGATAAAAAGTTGAATGAATTGCATGGAGGGGCCAAGATGGCCAATTAAAAGCAGCTGCAGTCCACACTACTCACATAGAGGAATGAAAGGGGTGAATGAATATAGTACCTTTAACCGTAATATCCAGGTTCTCACATTGGGACTGATTAGGCAAACAACTCAATCCACAGAGAATGAAGAAAAGCAGGGTAGAGTGATGGCCCACCCTGGAATACAGCCAAGGAACCCCCACCCCCAACCAAGGGAGGCAGTGAATGACTGTGTGACCCTGCCAGGAAACCAATCTCCTCCCATGGATCTTTGCAACATAGATCAGGATATCCCCTCATGAGCCCACGGCATGAGGGCCTAGGGTCCAATGGACCCACACAGCTCTGTAGCTGTGTGGAGGGCCAGCAGAGCAGCTGCTCAGGCACACACAGAGACCCTACTCTGGCTCTAGGATCCTCAACAAGGGTGTGTGCAACTCTGGTAAGGCAAGAGGTCCATGCATATCCCTAGGAAGCGGGCTGAATCCAGGGAGCCAAGCAGCGGTATTCTGAGGGCCCCACTTCCATGATACCTCACAAGATAAGACTCACTGGTTTGAAATTCCAGCCAGCCAATGGCGACAGGGTGGAGCCTGTCTGAGAGGGGAAGGAGCTCCCAGGGGAAAAGGCAGCTACTATCTGTGCAGTTCTGTTGACTCAGCCATTCCAGCCTGCTGTCTTTGGAGAGTGCAAACAGTCTGGATGAAAGGGTCCCCTTAGTGCAGCATAGCTGCTTTGCTACACCATGGCCAGACTGCTTCTTTAAGTGGGACCCTGATCTATTCCTCCTCACTAAATGGGGGCTCCCAGCCAGGCTTCAGCCACCCCAGCCAGTTTTCTACAGACAGAGCTCTGACCTCTACCTAAAATGGAGTCCCTGGGGGGAGGTGAGGCCACCATCTCTGTGGTTAGGTGGACTCAGCCATCTCAGCCTGCTGGCTTTTGAGAGTCCAAACAGTCCAGACAAGAAAGGGTTCCCCCAGTGCAGCACAGCTGCTTTGCCAGATGGCAGCTGCTTCTTAAAGCAGGACCCTGATCCATTCCTCCTCACTGGGTGGGACCTCCCAGCCAGGGCTTCAGCTGGGACTCAGACAGTTTTCTATGAACAGAGCTCTAATTTCCATCTAAGACAAAATGGCTGGGAGGTGGGGCAGGCCACCACCTTGGTTGTTCAGGTACCTCAGTCAGTCCAGCCTGTGGGCCCTGGAAAACCCATAACAATCAGGGCTGAAGGGATCCCCAAAATGGCACACTTGCTCTACCAAAAAGCAGCCAGAAAGCTTTTCTTTTTTTTTTTTTTTTTTTTTTTTTTTTTGGAGACAGAGTCTCACTCTGTCACCCAGGCTGTAGTGCAATGTTGTGACCTTGGCTCACCACAACCTCCGCCTCCCAGGTTCAAGTGATTCTCCTGTCTCGGTCCACTGAATAGCTGGGATTACAGGCGCATGCCACCATGCCTGGCTAATTTTTGTATTTTTAGTAGAGATGGGTTTTCACCATGTTGTCCAGGCTGGTCTAGAATGCCTGACCTTAGGTGATCTGCCCACCTCAGCCTCCCAAAGTTCCGGGATTACAGGCATGAGCCACCAGGCCCAGCTAGACAGCTTATTTTAAGCAGGTTACTGACCCTGTTCCCCTTGACTGGGTGAGGCCTCCCAGTTCGGGTCTCCGGCCACCTCCTACAGGCATGTTCAGGCTGGAAATGAATTAGTACTCCCCTGGGATGGAGCTTCCAGAAGGAGGAGGCTACAATGTTTGCTGTTTCACAGCCTTCAATTATGATACCTGCAGGTACTGGAAAATCTAAGGCAACCTTGGTATAGAGGGGACCCACAGCAACCTGCAGCAGCCCTATAGAAGGGTGTTCTGACTGTTAAAAGAAAAACAAATAAACAGAAAACAACATCAACACAAAAGACCCCACAAAAACCCCATTCAAAGGTCAGCAACCTTAAAGACCCCATAAAGATGGAAAAAATCAACACAAAAATAGTAAAACTCAAAAATATAGAGTGCCCCTTCTCCAAATGACTGCAACACCTCTCCAGTAAGGGCTCAGAACTGAGCTGAGGCTGAGATGGCTGAAATGACAGAAATAGCCTTCAGAAGGTAGGTAATAACAAACTTTGCTGAGCTAAAGTAACATATTGTAACCCAATGCAAAGCAGCTAAGAATTATGATGAAACAATACAGGAGCTGACAACCAAAATAGCCAATTTAGAGAGAAGTACAATTAACCTGTTAGACCTGAAAAACACACTATAAGAACTTCACAACGCAATCACAAGTATTAAAAGCAGAATTGGCTAAGCTGTGGAAAGAATCTCAGCCTGAGAATATCTTTCTAAAATAAGAGAAGCAGCCAAGAAAAGACAAAAAAGAATGAATAAATAAAACCTCTGAGACATACGGGATTATGTAAAGAGACCAAACCTATGACTGCTTGGGGTACCTGAAAGAGACAAGGAGAATGGAATCAACTTGGAAAACACACTTCAGAATATCATCCAGGAGAACTTCCCCAGCCTAATAAGAGAGGCCAACATTCAAATTCAGGAAATGAAGAGAACCCCAGTAAAATACTCCACAAGAAGATCGACCCCAACACATATAATCATCACAGTCTTCAAGGTTGAAATGAAAGAAAAAATGTTAAGAGCAGCCAGAAAGAAAGGCCAGGTCACCTACAAAGGGAAGCCCAACAGACGAACGGCAGACCTCTCAGGAGAAACTCTACAAGCCAGAAGAGACTGGGGGCCAATATTTAAAAAAGAAAACTGCCAACCCAGAATTTCATATCAGTCCAAACTAAGCTTCATAAGTGAAGGAGAAATACAATCCTTTTCAGATAAGCAAATGCTGAGGGAATTCGTCATCATGTGACCTGCCTTGCAAGGGCTCCTGAAGGAAGCACTAAATACGGAAAGGAAAAACCATTAGCAGCCAATATTAAAACACACTGAGGTACACAAAGCAGCAACACTCTGAAGCAACCATGTAAACAAGTCTGCAAAATAACTAGCTAGCATCATGATGGCAGTATTGAATCCATGTATAACAATACTAATCTTAAAAGAAAATGGGCTAAATGTCCCGATTAAAAGACACAGAATGGCTGTGGGACTTGGTGCCCTAAACTCTAACCACTTGAGCTCCAGTTGTGGCTAAAGGAGGCCAAGGTACAGCTCAGGCTGTTGGATATAAGGCCAAGACCCATTGGTATGTCATCTTCAAGCTGGATAAAAAGCCAAGACCCATTGATATGTTGTCTTCAAGAGACTCATCTCACATGCAAAGACACACAAAGGCTCAAAATATTGAGACTGAGGATAATTAACCAAGCAAATGGAAAACAGAAAAAAGCAGGGGTTATAATCCTAGTTTTTGACAAAAGACTTTAAACCAACAAAGATAAAAAAAGACAAAGAAGGGTATTACATAATGGTAAAGAGTTCAATCCAATAAGAAATGCTAATTATTCTAAATATATATGCACCCAATAGAGGAGCACCCAGATTCATAAAGCAAGATCTTAGAGACCTTCAAAGAGACTTAGACTCCCACACAATAATAGTGGGAGACTTTACCACCCCACTGACAATATTAAACAAGTCATCAAGAGAGGAAATTAACAAAAATATTCAGGACCTGAACTCAGCTCTGAGTCAAGTGGACCTGTTAGATACCTACAGAACTCTCCACCCAAAAATAACAGAATATACATTCTTCTCATCACCGCACGGCACTTACTCTCAAATTGACACACAATCAGAAGTAAAATACTCCAAAGCAAATGCAAAATAACTAAAATCATAACAAACTGTCTCTCAGGCCACAGTGTAATCAAATTAGAACTAAAGATTAAACTCACTCAAAACCACACAACTACATGCAAATTGAACAACCTGCTCCTGAATGACTTTCGCGTAAATAATGAAATTAACGCAAAAATCAAGTTATTTGAAACTAATGATAACAAACAGCTAATATACCAGAATCTCTGGGATGCAGCTAAAGCAGTGTTAAGAGGTAAATTTATAGCACTAAATGCTCATATCAAAAAGCTAGAAGGATCTCAAGCTAACAACCTAACATCACAACTAAAAGAACTTGAGAACTGATATGGTCTGGCTCTGTGTCCCCACACAAATCTCATCTGAATTATAATCTGTATAATCTCCACATGTCCAGGGAAGGACCTGGCGAGAGGTGATCATGTCATGGGGGTGGTTCACCCTATGCTGTTCTCCTGACAGTGACTGAGTTCTCATGGGATCTGATAGTTTTGCAAAAGTTTCATAGTTCCTCCTTCACACACTCGCTTTCTTGCCTGCCACCCTGTAAGACGTAACTGTTTCCCCTTCTGCCATGAGTTAAATGTTTCTGAGGCCTGCCCAGCCCTGCAGAACTGTGAGTAAATTAAACTTCCTTGGTTTATACATTACCTGATCTCAGGTAGTATCTTTATAGCAGTGTGAAAATGGACGAATACAGGAAATTGGTACCCGGAGTGGGGCACTTCTATAAAGACAACCTGAAAATGTGGAAGTGACTTTGGAACAGGGTAACAGGGAGATGAGGGAAAATTTGGAACCTCCTAGAGACTTACTGAATGGTTTTGACCAAAATGCTGATAATGACATGGACAATGAAGTCCAGGCTGAGGTGGTCTCAGATGGAGATGAGAAAATTATTGGGAACTGGAGCAAAGGTCACTCTTACTATGCTTTAGCAAAGACACTGGCAGCATTTTGCCCCCACCCTAGAGATAAGTGGAACTTTGAACTGGAGAGAGATTATCTGAAACTGGAACTTATGTTTAAAAGAAAAGAGTAAAAACATTTAGAAAATTTGCAGCCTGACAATGTGATAGAAAAGAAAAACCCATTTTCTGCAGAAATGTGCATAAGTAACAAGGAGCTGAATGTTAATATCTGAGACAATGGAGAAAATGTTTCCAGGGCATGCCAGAGACCTTCACAGCAGTCCTTCCCATCATAGGCTCTAAGGCCTAGAAGGGAAAAATGGTTTCCTGGGCCAGGCCCAGGGCTCAGCTGCTTTGTGCAGCTATGGGACTTGGAGCCCTGCATCCTAACTGCTCCAGTCGTGGCTAAAAGAGGCCAAGGTACAGCTCCGGCTGTTGCTTCAGTGGGTGCAAGCCCCAAGCCTTGCCGGCTTACATGTGGTGTTAGGCCTACGGGTGCACAAAAGTCAAGAATTAAGGTTCGGGAACCTCTGCCTGCATTTCAGAGAATGTATGGAAATGCTCAGATGTCCAGTATAAAGTCTGCTGCAGGGGCTGAGCCTTCATGGAGAACCTTTGCTAGGGTAGTACAGTAGGAAAATGTGGGGTTGACGCCCCCACACAGAGTCCCTACTGGGGCACTGCCTAGTGCAGCTGTGACAATAGGGCCACTGTTCTTTAGACCCCAGAATGGTAGATCCACTGACAGTTTGCACAGTGCACCCAGAAAAGCTGCAGACATACAGGGTCAGCCATAAAACCAGCTGGGGGGCTGTACCCTGCAAAGCCAAGGCCATGGGAGCCCACCCCTTGCATCAGCATGTCCTGGATGTGAGACATAAAGTCAAAGAAGATCATTTCAGAGCTTTAAGATTTAAGAACTGCCATGCTAATGTTTGGACTTGCATGGGGCCTGTAGCCCCTTTGTTTTGGCCAATTTCTCCCATTTAGAGTAAGAGCATTTATCCAATACCTGTGCCCCCACTGTATCTTGAAAGTAACTGTTATTTTACAAGCTCCTAGGCAGAAGGAACTTGTCTTGTCTCAGATGAGACTTTGGAATTGGACATTTAGGTTAATGCTGAAATGAGTTAAGACTTTGGAAGACTGTTGGGAATGCATGATTGGTTTTGAAATGCAAGAAGATATGAGATTTGTTGGGGGGCAGGGGGGCAGGGATGGAATGATATGATCTGGTTCTGTGTCCCCACCCAAATATATCTCTAATTGTAATCCCCATGTGTCGAGGAAGGGGCCTGGTGGGAGGTGACTGGATCATGGGGTTGGTTTCACCACGCTGTTCTTGTAATAGTGACTTTCACAAGATCTGATGGTTTTATAAGTGTTTGACAGTTCCCCTTTCACACAATCACTCTCTCGCCTGCTGCCATGTAAGACATGCTTGCTTCCCCTTCTGCCATGACTATAAGTTTCCTGAGGCCTCCCTACCCATGTGGAACTGTGAGTCAATTAAATCTCTTTTGTTTATAAATTACCTAGTCTCAAGAAGTATTTTTATAGCAGTGTGAAAATGAACTACTACAAGACCCAAGAGCAAACGAACCCCAAAGCTGGTAGAAAACAAGAAATAACCAAGGTCAGAGCTGAAATGAAGGAGACAGAGATGTGAAAAACCCTTCCAAATAATCAAGAAATTGGCTGGGCACGATGGCTCACACCTGTAATCTCAGCACTTTGGGAGGCCAAGGCAGGTGGATCACCTGAGGTCGGAAGTTTGAGACCAACCTGGACAACATGGTGAAACCCCACCTCTACTAAAATTACAAAAATTAGCCAGGCATGGTGGCAGGCGCTCGTAATCCCAGCTACTCAGAAGACTGAGGCAGGAGAATCACTTGAACTCAGGAGGCAGAAGTTGCAGTGAGCCAAGATCACGTCACTGCACTCCAGCTTGGGCAATGAGAGCAAAACTCTGTCTTGGGAAAAAAAAAAAAAACAGCAAATCAAGGAGCTTGTTTTTTGAAAAAAAATGATAAAATTGAATGACCACCAGCTAGACTAATAAAGAAGACTAAAGAGAAGATTCAAATAGTCAGAAATGATAAAGGAAATAACACCACTGACCCCACAGAAATGCAAACAACCATCAGAAAATACTATAAACATCTCTATGCAAATAAACTAGAAAATCTAGAAGAAATGGATAAATTCTGGACACATACACTGTCCCAAGACTGAACCAGGAAGAAATTGAATCTCTCAATAGACTGATAACGAGTTTCAAAATTGAGAGAGTAATAAATGGCCTACCAAACAAAAAAAGCCCAGTGTCAGATAGAATCACAGCTGAATTTAATGAGAGGCACAAAAAAGAGCTGTAACATTTCTAATGAAACTATTCCAAAAAATTAAAAAGGAGGGACTCCTCCCTGACTCATTCTATGAGGCCAGCATCATCTTGATACCAAAACATATATACCTATCAGAGACACAACAAAAAAAGAAAACTTCAGGCCAATATCCTTGATGAACATTGATGCAAAAATCCTCAGTAAAATATTGGCAAACCGAATCCAAACCAGCACATCAAAACAATTATCCACCACAATTAAGTTGGCTTCAGGAGGTTGTTTCAACATATGCAAATCAGTAAAGGTGATTTGCATATGTTGCATAGTTACATAAACATAACTAAAGACAAAAACCACGATTATCTCAATAGATGCAGAAAAGGCCTTCAATAAAATTCAATATTCCTTCATGTTAAAATCTCTCAATAAACTAGGTATTAAACGAACATATTGCAAATAATAAGAGCCATATATGACAAGCCCACAGCCAATATCATACTGAATGTGCAAAAGCTGGAAGCATTTCCCTTGAATACCATCACAAGACAAGGATGCCCTCTCTCACCACTCCTATTCTACATAGTACTGGAAGTTCTGGCCAGGGCAATCAAGCAAGAGAAAAAAATAAAGGGTATTCAGAGAGGAAGTCGAACTATCTTTGTTTGCAGATGGTATGATCCCTTATCCAGAAAATCCCATTGGTCAGCCAAAAAGCTTCTTAAGCTGATAAGCAACTTCGGTAAAATCTCAGGATCCAAAATCAATATGCAAAAATCACTAGCATTCCTATACACCAACAACAGGCAAGCAGAGAGCCAAATCATGAATGAACTCCCATTCACAACTGCCAAAATAAGAATAAAACTAGGAATGCAGCTAATAAGGGAAGTGAAGGACCTCTTCAGGGAGAACTACAAAATACTGCTCAAAGAAATCAGAGACGACACAAACAAATGGAAAACATTCCATGCTCATAGAGAAGAAGAAACAACATTGTGAAAATGGCCATATCTCCCAAAGCAATTTATAGATTCAAGGCTATTTCCATTAGACTACCACTGACATTCTTCACAGATTTAGAAAAACTATTTAAAAACTATTTTTTAAAACTACTTTAAAAAGAGCCCAAATGGCCAAACAATCCCAAGGAAAAAGAAAAAATCTAGAGGTATCACACTATCTGGCTTCAAACTATACTACTAGGCTAGAGTAACAAAAACAGCATGGTACTGGTACAAGAACAGACACATAGACCAATGTAACCAAGTAAAGAACCCACAGAATAGAGAAACCAGACATAAGATCACACAACTAAGCCATCGAATCTTCAACAAACCCGACTAAAACAAGCAATGGGGAAAGATTCCTTATTTAATAAATGGTATTGGGGGAACTGGCTAGCCATATACAGAAAACTGAAACTGGACTCCTTCCTTACAAACCATACACAAAAATCAACTCAAGATGGATTAAAGGCTTAAATGTGAAACCCAAAACTATAAAATCTCTAGAAGAAAATCTAGGGAATACCATTCAGGACACAGGCTCAAGCAAATATTTCATGATGAAGATGCCAAAAGTAACTGCAAAAGAAGAAAAAATTGAGCTCTAATTAAACTTAAGAGCTTCTGCATGGCAAAAGAAACTATCAGCAGTGTGAACACACAACCTACAAGATAGGATAAAAATTTCACAATCTATCCATCTGACAAAGGTCTAACATCCAGCATCTACAAGGTATTTAAAGAAACTAAAGGAAAAAAAAAAACCTTAAATAGTAGGCAAAGGACATGAACAGACACTTCTCAAAAGAAGACATGCATGCAGTCAACAACTATATGTAAAAAACTTTTCAACATCAATGATCATTAGGGAAATGCAAATCAAAACCACAATGACATACCACTCACGCCAGTCAGAATGGCAATTATTTAAAAAATTTAAAAATAGCAGATGCTGGTTAGGTTGTGGAGGAAAAATGTTTTTTTCATTGTTGGTGGGAGTGTAAATTAGTTCAACCATTGTGGAAGACAGTGTAGCAATTCCTCAAAGATCTAGAGGCAGAAATACCATTTGATCCAGCAATCCCATTACTGGGTATACACCCAAAGGAATATAAGTCAATCTATTATAAAGATACATGCATGCGTATGTTCACTGCAGCACTATTCACAAGAGCAAAGACATGGAATCAACCTAAATGCTCATCAATGATAGATGGGATAAAGAAAATTTGACATATATTCACAATGGAATACTATGCAGCCATAAAAAAGAATGAAATCATGTCCTTTGCAAAGACATGAATGGAATTGGAAGCAAACTAACACACAAACAGAAAACCAAATACTGCATGTTCTTACTTAACAGTGAGACACGAATGATGGGAACACATGGAAACTTGCGGTGAAACAACACATACTGGGGCCTGTGGGACAGGGCTTGGTGGGATAGAGAGCATCAGGAAGAATAGCTAATGGATGCTGGGCTTAATACATAGGTGATGGGATAATCTGTGCAGTAAACCCCATGGCACATGTTTATCTATGTAACAAACCCACACATCCTGCACACATAGCCCTGAACTTCAAAGTCGGAAAAAAAAAAGTGGAATGAATTGCATTGCTTTGATTTAATGATTACAAATATCATACATTTTTATCATTTGTTAAAGTAAATTTTAGATATCATAACATTTTAATTCTAAATTCTTTAATCAGACTCTGAAAAATACAGTTTCTTATATAAATTTTCACATGTAATAAAACTGACAATTTTTTAATGCTATCTGAAAAATGTAGTCTATTTTCAAATTTACCTATCCAGTCAAGGTCTACATCCCACATTTGGTAACGTTTCTTCCTTTTTCATCTGAACAGTTCTTTCCCTCAATCATTTCACTTAGTGATTTTACCATTCTTTGACAATCTTTGCTGAATTAATTATTCTTTTAAGTTCTGAAAAACAGTGGTTTCTAATTCTATCATTACTTCTTTATTTAGCAGGAGGCATTTTTTGTAATGAATGCTGTCTCTCATCAACTGGAACCATCTGGCTAACCAGAAATAGAGTTCCTACCAGAAAATGAACATAGATGTTTTTAATTCTTTCCTTAATTACAAATTTTTGGTACAATAGCTAATATTTTTCTTAAAAGGCTTTTCTTAAAAAGGCTTTCTGTTTTGGCATTCTCTTTTTCTCTCTCTCTCTCTCTCTAGACATTAAGGTAGACTCATTTATTTTAATATAATTAATGTGTTTCAATCAACTTCAGTTGATTCACATTATTCTTCTAGATATTTAAATTGTCACATCAGCCCCATCAAGCTGGCTTCTGTGTTATCACAAATACACAAACCGTGCATCAAAAGTTAGGTTTTTTAGGCTGGGCGCAGTGGCTCATGCTTGACATCACAGCATTTTGGGAGGCCAAGGTGGGCAGGTCACCTGAGGTTAAGAGTTCAAGACCAGCCTGGCCAACATGGTGAAACCCCATCTCTACTAAAAATACAAAAATTAGCCAGGCATGGTGGCACGTGCCTGTAGTACCAGCTAGTTGGGAGGCTGAGGCAGGAGGATTGCTTGAATCCAGAGGCGGAGGTTGCAGTGAGCTGGAATCACACAACTGCACTCCAGCCTGGATGACAGAGTCTTGAAAAAAAAAAAAAAGTTGTGTATTTAAAATAATTCAAAACTATCTCTGAAAATTAATTTATGTCATAATCTTCAGTCATTTAAGTTGAATAGAGTTTTATGAAGGCACTGAGAGATTACCCATTCCCAATTTATGACAATCAGGAATATTTTAACAACACACTTTAGGAGAAAAGCAATCATCTTTAAAATGCATGATTTAAATGTTTATGTTTAAGTTTTCTGGATACTTTTAAAGTTTTAAAAAATGTTTTATCAAACATATTTGAAAAATATTAATATCATAATTAAAAATATAAAAGGATTTATGTAGCTAATATGCTCTTCTATTTATGTATGATCTGAAAAAAAAGTACTTACTGATTTTCATTTAGTGACTTTCAGAAAGTTACACTATACTGCCTATCATGAAGGAAAATTAAAATCACATATACCACTACCATAATTGAGTTTTTGCTACGTGTATTTTCCTAAATATTTTTTGAGATATAGTTATACGCATAGTCCTTAGTCTTAAAGTATAATGTAATTGGTCTAAACAAAGACAGTATTATTAGATATCTGCATGAGAATTAACTCTTTTCTTACACAGGTAATTAACAGTCTTAAAGAATTCTGGGCAAAGATAACTTGTAGGGTTCTCTGATAATCCATACAATTTTGGATTAAATAAAATTTTGTTCCCCTTAAAGGCTATATAAACTACTGTTTCAAATTCTATTTAAAACTAGAACAAATTATTTCTATTCTATAATGTCTGTGAATTCCAATTATTTAAATTTTCATTGCAGAGAACAAGAAATTTTATTTAAGTTCAAGCCATTTAATGGAGTTATTTAAATAAGTGGGGGAATTCTCTAAAACACACAAATATACCGATTGACATATATACATCCTAAAATGTATATACATATTAAAATATAATGAGTTATAGGTATACATACACACACACACAATCCTTACAGGTTTCTGTAATACGGGTAATTAAGTGATGAAAGAAAGAGCTACATATCAATAAAAGGATCTAAATAGAAATATGTTTACTGGTTGATTTGTTTTTGTAAATAGAACTTAATTGACCAAGAGAATTTTGACATCACCTTTTAAGAACCCCTGAAGATTGGGTCTTTGGCACTAAAGTAAACATTCAGTAAATACATTGTGCACTGAATAAATTAATGCAGGTTTTCATTTTGTTTAATATTTTTTGCTACTTTCCCTAAACTGTAGTATAATATAAGGGCATTTTTCTAATAGACAGATGAATGTTATGCCCTTAAATCTGCTGTACCTTTTCTTTTTCCATAAATAGTCCCTTTTTCTATCAATTAATTTGATCTTACTTAAGTTTAAATTCAATCATCTTTGGCTGTAGGAAGAGAGGTCACTAAAAATGAAAGTTCACAGAAGCACAAAATAGCTTCACTAAAGGTTATTAATGTTTTCCTTTACCAATCATTTATTATGATTAAAAGAAAAACATAAAATTGACTTCTGTTGCCTTTTCCCTTATCTCCCTAACATGATTTGTAATGCAAGTATTTTCAGTAGTCTTTAAGAAATCTCGGCCTGCTCCAAAGTCATTTACTTGCCTGTTGTTTGTCCTAGAAGCATATGGTTTTAGGTTTTATTAATACTTACAATTATTTTAAATTGATTATTTGAATAAAATAACTGGGTAATTAGCAAAGGAGAACTTCGATCTTTTGAGATATGCTCTAAAAAATGTACTATGACTTTTATGCACTCCTTTTCTCCTCCTGTAAAGTTAAATAACACTTGGAACTAACAGAATGAAAAATAAAGAAAAAAATACAGCTGTACTTAATAGCACAAAAGGCTTGCAGCAAAGTGATTTGTCAAATGAAGAAATATTAAGAAAAGTATTATTGGAGATGGACACACATTTCTACTTTGGCCAAAGGCATAGATTTCTATATCTATGAAACTTTAAATAGTATCCGATACCTACAAGTTATTACAGTCAATTATAACCCCTGCCTCAATAGACTTAAAAAAGATGGTTTCTCCTATTGAAATAGACATAAATATAAAAAATATTCCCTAAAGCTAAATTAAATGAAGTAACTAAATGAGTCATTTTTAAGCAAGAGACAACACTCCTTTGTAGATAATATTAATGTACTTTTATGAATTTCTATGGAATCTACTGTCCTGTCACAAACTTTAATTGAATTCTAAAACTTCTTTTATTTTACATTTTATGTATATGTGTGTACATTTAATCCATGCTCTCAAACTTAAATCTATGTGATTTTGTCATTCTTGAAAAGTTTTTCTAATTTTGAAGTTCATGATACTTTATATTTTCCTTGGTTTTCAGTGTAGTATACTAACAGATGATCTAATTATTACTCTTGATATTAACATAAAAATACAACATATCATTCAACATAGCAAAGAGTAGGCTTTTTTCCATTACACACTTATTAAAAGCGGCTACGTTCCACAGTTGCCCATATTTTATTTATGAATAATACAGTAGAGTCAATAAGGAGTAACATTTGATTTTATGTTAACAACAAAATTTGTCTTAAAGAAATTGTGACAGCATATGCTTAACTATAAAATACTCAATTATGATTTAAGATTTCAAAATAATGAACTTTCTAATTTCTCTGCTATCGACTGTATAAAATATTACAGTGTCAGTGATATCATAAGTAATTTAAGTTTTATAGCTACAAACATTTTTCTAGTAGGTTAGAACTGAAATTGTGTTTTTCTGATCACTTATTTACTTTTAAGCGCAAACATTAATTTTCTTTATGAGAGCCTGTACAAAATGCTGTGTATCAAAATCCCTTTGCAAAGAGTTTCTAGCACATACCTCAAGCATTTAAAAAAAATAGTTATACCTTCCTATATGTTTTGTACATACTTAAAGCCCAAGTTTGAAATACATATTTTTCCCATAAAATAACATTAAAACCAACTATAAATTACCTTAAATAAAATATTATTAAAACTCAATTTCAAAAAGCCTTATAAAAGTAAGTTCCCAAAGTATAAAATTGCACTGTATTTGATTTCTAATGCATTCCCTACTCCTATCTCTTTGCTGCCTTGCACATTGCCTACCATCACTGAATGGTCAAGGAATTCTATAATATAAAGAAATTGTATCCAATACGTAATGCCTTTATATATTAACTGTCACTAACAGTACAACTTCTCTTAATATAACACAACTATTTAAATCATAAAGCAACGGTTTTAAAAGTATACATTTTCATGTGTTAATAACATTAGACTATAAAAGTTTAACATGTAAACTTAGAATATAATTTTATCCATTTGGAAAATATGCCATTAGTTGCCTTTTCCCTTCAAAAATTTACTTCAATCTCTAGCATCTGAGTAAATCTCTAACATACAGTTATTACTATCTATGATTTATAATCCTTTTTTGTGTTCCAATCTCTATGCAAGGAAAATCTCAATCATGATTAGGTTAACAAAATAATTTAGTTCATCATGATTGTAAAGGTGGGATGGGGGTAGAGGGAGGGTGCTAAAAACATATAAAGTAGTAAGGATAAGTAATTTTTCATGATTTTTTAGACGTAAGTTTTGTTGCTGGTTTTCAACTTTCTCTTGGATTTTACTGAGCTTCCTTAGAGTCCATCTTTCAAATTCCTTATCTGTCACTTCAGAATTTTCATTTTGGTTAGGATCCATTGCTATGGAGCTTCTATTATCCTTTGGGGGTGTCATAACACTATTTTTTCATGAAGCCAGAGTTCTTACACTGGTTCCTTCTCACCCGGGGAGGCTGTCATTTTTATTTTTGAATTTACTTTTGTTTGGTGAGACATTTTTTTTTTCCCTTTCAGGGTGTGAGTGTAATGAATGTTGGGTGGATTCTTTGCCTTTGCTTCTGGGTGCTTTTAGGGGTCCAAGTCTCTGTATGAATTCCTTGGTTATAGACAGCCTTAGCGCAGTGGTTTTTCTCAAATGGTGGTTGTTTGTAGGTAGTAGCAGTGGTGTACTGTGCATGGGAGCAGGCTCACTGCCTCCTGCAAAGATGGGAAAGTGGAGGTACTCAGGAAGCTTATTTTTTTTCCACAGCATTGTGCACTTCTATTAGGAATTGTACTGGAGAGAGAAATAAAAACTATAATGAAAAAAAATTCTTTTTTTTTTTTTTTTTTTTTGAGATGGAGTCTTACTCCATCACCCAGGCTGGAGTGTAGCGGCACGATATTGGCTCACTGCAACCTCTGCCTGCTGGGTTCAAGCAATTCCTGTCCCAGCCTCCTGAGTAGCTGGGACTAAAGGTGCCTGGCACCATGCCTGACTAATTTTTGCATTTTTAGTAGAGATGGGGTTTCACCTTGTTGGTCAGGCTGGTCTCAAACTCTTAACCTCAGTTGATCCATCTGCCTCGGCCTCTCAAAGTGCTGGGATTACAGGTGCGAGCCACCACACCCGGCCAAAAAATGTGTGTTTGTTTGTGTGTAAACTGGGTTGCAATATGAACAATATTCTGGCTATGGAAAAAAACTGTTAGAAGATACGACGTAGGAAAATTAATGGAGATCTGTAGGAAAGCAAATTCTTTAGCTGCAATTAGAAAACTACAGCCCACTGAAAGCACAGCAATGATTCACAAATAGTAAATCTTTCACACTTTGGACATTACCAGGCATTAGACTACTTAAGTCAATGAATAAAACACTTAATTTGATTTCTCATTTTGCAAATTGTATTGGTTATTCAAATTAGGTCTTTGCCATTTGCTTGGGATTCTTATATTTCCTGATTAACTAGTATTTTGAACTCATTGGCACTCCGTTCTGAAGACCTATAAAAATGATATTCTCAAGCGCTAATAAGTCATTTTAATCAAAAGAATAACCTTTGACGTAATCTATGATATTAGGCCCAACTTACTTCCTACCCTTTGAGGACAACTCTTTCAATCTACTCATTACTCACTCCACACTGGGCCCTGTCTCTTCTGTTTCTCTCCCCCAGCTCCTTGTTTTTTTCTATGAGTCTCTTCAAAACTATTAGACTGGTACAAAAGTAATTGTGGATTTGCCATTACTTTCAATGGCAAAAACCAAAATAATTTCTGCACCAACCTATATTACATGTATTTTTCCCCAGATGTTCAGTAAGTACATTAGGATCTTTATTAACCTGCCAGCTAATGCTAACAATAGTACTATATTAACAAAAATAGTAAAGATGTTACCAAAAAAAAGGAGATTCCCCAAAGAAGATAATTACGAGAACTGTCAATTATGCTATTACTCCTTTCTGTTTTACATAGATCAGTATCTCCAGTTAGACATGTATTTACAACGTTGATCACTTTCCAAAGGCTCTGTCCCAAAATCCTAAATCAAAAGGTAAATTTAATTACTCCTTTTATGTGTCCCTGGAACCAAGAAGCTCAAATATTTCCACAACATTCTTTAATCATCCATAAATATGGATTGGTCTATCCTCCATCTTCTCTTTATTTAGGACTTAAATACTTCATAATCTTTTTAGCACTTGATGAACAGCATTTTAAATAATAAATTAGTTAAAGGATGATATATATTTAAAACCATATTGAAATAGAAAGCATCTTTAACATTTTAGTTTATCAAAGACCTGCATTTTACCACTTTGCATCTCTAGAATCACACAAACCTATACGACACATTCAATGATGGTTATTCCTATTTCCCAGATGTTTTTTTCTCATGTATAAAACTGGCATAAAACAGTACCTATTTCATAGGGTTATTTTTCAAACTAAATAGAATGAATTTATACAAAGTGCTAAGAACAATGCCTGGAACAATGAGCACAGTAAGTATGTGCTATCTCTATAATTATTACTACTGCTGCTGCAATTGCTATGATTATCAACCTCTTGTGAGAGGTCTATAGCATAAAGGGAAAGGCATGTATTAGAATGACGCATATTTTTATTTAAACCCTGACTCACTGACAGATATTGATGTTATGGAAGATACTGTCCTACACTTTATGAGCTTCAGTTTCCTTATCTGTAAACGGAGAATAACAATAAATAACTGTCAGAGTTCTTAAAATTCAATTTGAAAATATAGGTAAAATAGTAGGTAAACAATATGTGTTCCTTGAATTTATTCTGCTCATCACCTCCCATTCAAGCCAAATAATAGCAGTCTGTAATCATTCCTGTGCACTATGCCAGTAATTCCATAATTCCCACTAGGGAACAATGGTTTACTTTAGGTATAGAAAAATAGCCTAAATTACTTTATGTACCACTTACAGAAATGAACCCTCTTATTAACATTAAAATACAAATAGTTAATACATATAAAGAAATGCACAACTTAAGAGTAAAGAAACAGACATTTGAATATTTGTGACATTTTCCTTACATTGGATTTTAAATGTTCTTTGCCATTTACTTTAACTTTCTTTTCCCATGTTTCCCTTTAAAATGACATATCCTTATTTCATCACCATTTTAGCTTTAAAAATCCATCCCTTGATATGCCCATAATTTTAATAAACTAGTAGATTCAATCATGGTACTATTTAATAATAATATTAAATAATAATATCACAGTAGTATTTAATATTTAATTACTACTGACAAAAGATTTAATTAACTTACCTGCATAAAAGTTTTTTTATCACTAACATTTTCTCCATATTTTAATAACTAATCTGAATGTCATTTTGCTAAAGTAAATTTTTATTTTATTACCTCACAGTTTTCTCCTTTTCTCACAAAATAATGTAGATTATTTTCTTCAACACACTTTTAATTTCTGTCTCAGCAACAGAAAGAGTATGAAAAAAATCAAAATATACAACTTTACTCTAGATTATGTATGTATTTTCAAATTTTGCTAGCAAACAAGAAGATTCTCTCAGTTTTCTTTTATTTCTTAATAATACCTTATTTCCTTTAACAGGATTTTCTCTACTAAACTCTGCCATGTTGTCATTGGCCTTTGCCAAACATTATGAAGCGGTATCCTCAAACCCTATGTGAAATTTAACTAAGTTGGGCTATTCGGAACGCTTCGTCTCTATTAAACACAAACTATAACTTCAAGAGCTGGAATTAATTTTGCCTTTTTGAAAACCAAAATACTAAGTAGATTCCATTTGAATGCAGGTGCTTTTATAAGTACATTTGTGGGTGCTATTTACAAAGGAATGGTATTTTTAACAATGATAATATTTACTAACGGTTGTCTAAAATCATATTTTTTACTTAAAAATATTTTTACATGACTTAAAACTTTACCAAATAAGCATTCACTTGTCATTAATCAAGACAATTAAGTAGATATTTAAGAAAAGCAAAAAGATAGATATCTACAATTCATCAATATCCCCTGATATTTTGGATAGTGTTTTATCATTGTTAACAAATTATAAACAGCAGGTCTGCAACTATACTTTAAAAAAACTGTATTTATGCATTCTTTTGTGCCGGCATGAAAATAATTTGAAAGTTGAAATGCAGCTTCTGGAGTACAAGAGATCCATATACGATGAAAAATATTTTTAAGTTGTAATAAGAGAAATTCATATCGTTAGGCGCATATTTAACATTGTTGATCATATCTCCACTACAAACTTTGCTTGAAATATAGACATTATTTTTTGAATTATCTATTAGTCACATACCACATCACTTATCTTCCTTAGGTTCAGTTATAATTCTTGGCACAGATAGGCCCTCAATAAATGTTTTTTAAATGCATTCAGAAAGGAAACAATGAGAAGAAAAGAGGTTAAAATCAATAGTGATTTTTTTGTTATCTTTAGCTAAATTATTAATCTGGAAAACTGTCTTATTCATGGTGCTTAGATCCCTATAGATTACTTATTCATTACATACTTATTGAGTACTAGTACATAAAAGACACGGAGAGTACAGCAATAAACCAGACACTTTGATCTTACTATCTTATGATGCAGGTGGTAGAATCAGACACTGAGCATCTCAGCTCACAATTTATTATTTCATTGTAATTAAAAATGTGCTCCGAAGGTTGAGTCAAAGTGCTAGGAAAACTATATAAGGCGGATATGACTGGGTTTAGAAAATTAGAGAGCTTCTCTATGAAAAAAAATTCAAGTAAATAACACAAAGTAAGATGAAGCAGCATTTGCAGCCACAGACATCTTTCTTAAATGTGATTGGATTATGTCATTCTCTTAGAATTAAATCCACATTATTTTTTTTTTTGAGAGAGGGTCTCACTCTGTCACCCAAGCTGGAGTACAGTGGCACAATCATAGTTCGCTGCATTCTTCACCTTCCAAGCTCGAGCAATCCTCCCACCTTAGCCTCTTGAGTAGCTAGTTAGGACTACAGGTATGTGTCACCATGCCCGTGTGTGTGGTGTGTGTGTGTGTGTGTGTGTGTGTGTGTGTGTGTGTGTGTGTGTGTGTGTAGACGGGGTCTCACTATGTTGCCCAGCCTGGTCTTGAACTCCTGGCCTCAAGTGATCCTCTTGCCTTAGCCTCCCAAAGTACTGTGATTACAGGTATGAGTCACCACACCCTGCCTTAAAATCCACATTCTTTAATGGAGACTCTTCTAATTCTACCTTACACTGCTTCTCCCTCAAAAACCATGCCACTAGCATATTAAACAATATTACATTTTTTTAAGTTACTATGTTCTCTCTCTTGCTTATGGACTTGAGAATATGTCTACAGAAGGCCAGGTACAGTGGCTCATGCCTGGAATCCCAACATTTTGGAAGGCCAAGGCAGGAGGATCACTTGAGTTCAGAAGTTGAAAACCAGCCTGTGCAACATAGTGAGACCTCATCACTATAAAATTTTTTTGAAAAAATTAGCTGGGCATGGTGGCACACACCTGTAGTCCTAGCTACTTGGAAGGCTAAGGCAGGAAGACTGCTTAAACCCAGGAGTTCAAGATTAGGGTGATCTATGATCATGACACTCTATTCCAGCCTGAACGACAGAGTGAACCCCCTTTTCAAAACAAAGAAAATAAAACATCTGTGCCTTTCCACTTTTTGCCTGACTAAATCCTACCTTTCCTTTAGGTCCCCAGTTAGATGCTAATTATCCTAAGAAAGCTTTCTTAAACTGTATGTTTGAGATAGGCACCTCCTCTATTATTTCACGGTCTCAGTATTTTTCACAGCACTGCATTTATCTCACAATATTGAAATCTCCTGTTTTCAATATCTCCTGCTAGAGTATAAATTTCATGATGGCATACTTGTTGTTTCACTATTGATTGGCAATTAGTTCCTGACTTACTCAGAATGTTCACCCCAGTCATTTTATTCACTTCAACATGACAGGACTTTCTACGTTGGCTACTGAAATTCGACCACATTTACAGCATTACAAAATGGTTACATTATATATTTATAATCCTATTCAATTGGTCAATAAATAAATAAATATATAATGTAACCATTTTGTAATGCTGTAAACTGACAGACAGTAAGGGCAAATTTAAAACGAACAGAAACTTTGAAAAGTGAATCTTGTCTTTTTTCTCTTTACGTGTATTTCATTTATTTATGCCCCATCCCAATCAAAACAATTTGAATTTATTTAAGATGCATATTTTCTGTTTCAGATTTGATGTTTTTTCTAGTTCTTAGACACTTAAATTGAGACATTCTGTATTCAGTTGTGAAAAGGTAATAGAAGGTAAAAAAAAGCAAACAATTTTAGAAAAATAGTATCAAAAATGTGTGAAAAGTACTTAAATACATATACTGAAATAGGTAGATTAAAATATATTTAAAGTTTTTTAAAAATGTACTATCTTTAACGGAAAGCTTATTCAAGTTATACAGAGAGCCAATCATTACTAGGCTATAGATTAATTTAAATGACAAAGTATTACCAATTATCTTTAAAAAATATTCCATTGTATTAAAAATATTTAAAACATATCGAAAGTTATAAGTAATAATATGAGACAGACAAGAATTTGCCCAGCACCATGTATGAACAAATGTTAAACTTTGATTTTATTAATTTCATTTTTTTTGCTTTAAAATTACAGTTTTACAAATACCAGTAAAGGTCACATTCCCTACTGTATTCCATGGGCATGCTCAAATGTAACTGCTATCTTAAAGCTTGTCTGCATTTTTCATATTTTACTATATCTACCTAAACTTTTAGTATTAAAATAAGTTGTTCTTAAGAAGTTAAAGCTTTCCACAATAAAAACATAACCGTATTCTTACATTAAAGTGAGATTAACTTGATAAAGTTTAAGATGGGGCATTATTGTTCTTGAATATTAAAAAATTAATTTGAATGAATAGAAATAGAATCAACTTTCTGACTATACTCACAAAATATGTTTTCAATAAAATATTTAACTTATTCCTGATGTCTTAATTTTTCTGATGATAATATATGCTCATCAGATTAAACAGAAAACTTGTAAAACTGTAGCTAAATAATTATTAATTCCAACTATGTGTGTTGAATGTTTATAAGGCTAATATTTTACTATAATAGCCATCAGCATTTTCCCCCTAAATACAGCTTTTCATATAAAAGTCAAAATGTCACCAATATATTTCAAGCAAATATATCAAAGTAAACAATTTCATAAGGCATTCAGAAGCACAAAATAGAAATGCAACAGGAATAAAAGATTATTTATGAGAAAAACAATGGTCTTTCAGTTGGTAATAATTATTGTACTCCTAACTATGGGACAGAAATTATACATACAGTGGTAAACAAGATAGACTTCATGGAACCCACACTGTTATGGGGAAACATACAACTAACTAATGCTAGTAAGAAAAGAATGGAGGTTAAGGGGATATAACATGATGAATTGGGAAGACTATTTTGGACAGGTTGAGTAAAGCCCTCTTCCCATACTACTCAATCCTTTGCTCACCATTCAACCCTTTGCTCAAATGGCATTTGAGAAAAGATTTAAGAAAAGAAAAGAGAAGAACAAGTTTAAAGGCCAAGTTCAAGGAATAGGAAAAAAGCCAGAACAGTTGGGAGCCAAGAGAAAAACAGAAGGTTTAACTGATGACTGGGTTAGAGAGGTAAGCTGGGCTTAGCCACTTGGAACCTTCCAAGAAATAGTAAGTCCTTTGAATTTTGATCCAAGAGATAAATAAAGCTATTGCAGGTTTTGAGCAAAACAGTGATATAATCTAATTTTAAGGCATCATTATGGCTACTACTGGGAGTAATGGGTAAGAAATAGAAGAGAGATCAATTATCAGGCAACTGCCAGGCAAGGACTAACATAGTTGTGGTTAGGTTGTTAGGAAGTGGTCAAATTGAAGCAAAATTTGATGGTAGAAAGGGATCAAGACTGACTCCTACATTTGCTGCCTCAGAAATTGGATGGATTATTTTTGTTGTTGCTGTTAAAAAATTTAACCATAACACAATGCCCTGTCTTGTCTTATATAATTATTTCCATCAATAATTTCTATGAATATGTTGAAGGCACACCTAGTACATTTATGAACGATGTACAACTTAGACAGAATTTTAGCTAAATATAAGAAAGACTTTATTGGCATTCAGAGTTTTCCAGAGAATGGGCATCCTCAGTAATTAACAAGCTATTTATGCGACTATGCAAGCACAAATGGCCAGTCACAGCACCAAACAGAAAGGCGGAAGCTTAGATTACATCTAGGCCAACTCCCACATTGTATAATTGAAGAAATATATGCTCAGAGATACACAGAACCTTGCTTAAGGTCAAGCATAAAGTCAGATGCCGAGCCAACATTTATAATTCTGGTCCAGAGTTTCTGGTCAAGAAAGTTGAGGTTTTAGACCAAGATGTTCCACTTGCTCACTTAATATGTCTTTTGGCTTCACTCACTCATTTATATAACAATATATACTGAACACCTTAAGGCACTATAAGGGTTCCTCATAAGATGTACTATTTTGAATATCTTTAGTTTCAAAGTTATAAATATATTTACACAGAAAGCACAGTGTAATGATCAGTTGAGCCATATCCTTTTGGAAAAAGGTAAAGTATAAATAAATTCAGTAAGTGAACTCCAGACATATACTTTTATTTTTATTATAATCATACATACATTGTATAGTCAATTTAAAATCTCATACATGCATATTGTCATTCCCAAATGCCAATGATAAGGAATTACTAGAAAATTAAAAAAAATCAAACTAGTATTTGAAGATTTCTATGAAAAGTAACTCACATATTTTTCTTTATTTATGCCAGAATTTTTTGCTGGTATTTATTTTTGAACACTATTTCAAAGATTATAGATCTACTGGACTAGCTTAAGAAATTAAAACACAATTGTTGTTTGCTTACTTATCTAAGAGGTATGCCCAAATAATCTTCATCTACACTAATTAGTATATAGTTTAAAAACAAATTCTCTAGGAAGTTAATATGACTCTTAGCTCATCTTTAAAAAATCTTTCCAAACTATATGATTTTTAATATAAGGAGAAAGCCAAAATAACTAGTTATATTAACATGAAAAATATCATATGGATCTATTTGTCTACATCTCTTTATATCTATCATTAAAACCCTAAAGATTATATTTCTCACTAATTGAATCAATATAAAGCAAAAGAAACCTTTGGCTCCTGTTCTCTAACCTTCACAACTGCTTCAATTACTTTACAAATCTCTGAAAACTGTATTTCTGGCTCATAGCAGATTAACTCCAATGAAGCTATTCCCTTAAAACCAGATTAGGCTGATCCTTTCATCTTACAGTGCCTCCGAATAAGTCCAGATAGCTTTGGCTTTCAAACTCATCAACAGTTTACACTAATAGGAACACAGAGAAAATTGTTTTCTTTATTGAAACAGTTTAAGAGGAATGCAAATACCTACTTTCCCTTCTTTAAAAAAATCCTCTCATCCAACAACTCCCCCACTCAGTTGCCTCCAAATTCCATTGCAATTAATGAACCCACTCAGTTAACAATGGCTAGGTATTGTTCAGCACATAGAGCATATCCTGGAAGATAAAATGGAAACCACTGAAATCGGCACGGGAACATATGAAAACATATAAGTTTACCCTACTGACCTCAAACGAGAACTAATAATAAGCTATCCAAGCACAAAAAAAGATGAGAAGTATATGACATAAAATTCAAGCTTATAAAGAAGCTATACAGATCAGTACTTTGTCATATTCTATCACTGGTGAGAGGGCATGGCAAATCTCTGGTAAAATATATAAAACATTTTGCAAAGCTCTGTGGTTATTCAGCTTTATTCCTATAATATATATAGAAAAAATTAGTAGTTAGTTAAATAAATAAGTAAGTCTAAATGGACCTTGGAACGAAATTGCAGTCATGCTCCGCATAATGTTTCAGTTAATGACTGACTGCATATATAGAGGTGGTCCCATACTAGTATAAAGGAGCTTCCCTGTGCAGGTATACCATTTTACATTGTGCATATCACATGGCTTAGTGTACCCTTTCTATGTTTAGATACACAAATACTTACCATTGTGTTACAACTGCCTATAATATTCCATACAGGAACATGCTACACAGGTTTGCAGCCTACAAGCAAAAAGATATATCATATAGCCTAGATGTGTACCAGGTATACCATCTAGGTTTGTGTAAGTACACTCCATGGTCTTCGCACAATAACAAAATTGCTAACGATAAATTTCTCAAAACATATCCCGTCACTAAGCAATGCATGAATGTTTATTATAAACATATATATGAACTCATACAGAAAGAACAGAAAAGCTAATCTTAACCTATGTATTTGAAGGGTACTATGAACTTTTGACAATTTCCCAAGGTTGTATAACTCAAGGTATGTTGTAAATTATTTTTTCATATTACACAAAATATATATATGATTTTGGGGAGATGCTACTAAATAGCTTAAGTTCCATAATAAAATAATAATTAAGTACTAAACGTTGACTTAAAAACATGAAATACACCTATATCTTTTCTAAAAATTGACATCTCTTACTAAATATTAAAAATATTTGAAATTAAAAGTACCAATGCAAACATAAGATGCATACAAAAGATGCAATATCAATGTAAATAAAACTAAGGCAATTATAAATAATAACAGGAGAGAAATATCAAAATGAATTTTTTTTCCTAGTAAACGACAATAAGAAAAAGTCTAGAAATAGTTGCAAGACATCAGAAGGTAATAAATCCTAGTTTTTAAGTTTTCTATAATCATAATGAACAGATAATCAGAATAATCAAAAGAAATAAAAGTGAACATTCTTTTCAGTGGGGTATATAATAAATGACACCTTTAACAGCCCCTTGAACACAATAAATATTAATAAATAAATAAGAAAATAAATGACTACTCTTAAAATACTTAGATTTAAGGAAATAATTTACTTGTGTTTAAGTAAAATCTTCAAGAAAGTGCTAAACACAACTTAAAAATGATATAATAGAAATCAAAGACATGCCCATTGTATATATGTTTTTTTAATTTCTGCAGATCCTTTCATTATAACGTTCCATAATAGTTCATCAGGAGAGTAGGACAAGTGGCAGAAGTCCTCTTTTATAAATGTCAATTTAGGGGCTCTACTTTTGTCCATTAATATCTCCTTAGAACCCCATTCCATTCTCCTTCATTATTCTCCACTCCCACCGAAATTCCAGAGATCATTTATCTCGAAATTAGTGTTTTACAAACCTAAACCCAATAAGCATATCCTTACAGAAACCTTTGTCCTCTCTTCATCCTTCCCCTCTTCCCTTGGTCTGGTTTCTCCTATACCTCTAGGGACCAAATTCTGTACTGCCTTCCCAAATTCTAGGCCTTTTCTAGAGAAAAGGTGATCTTAAAAACTCCACCTATTAACCCAATGGCTGTCCTAAGCCACCTACTATGGGATTCTGCAGCTGCTATGTAGTCTCATTGACCACAACGAGCAACACAGAAAAATATGACAAAGAACAAATGATGTGGTTGAAAATTGTGGACAAAGGTGCAGAGACACAAATATATTCTAAATAAGATACAACAGAGCACAAGGGCACGTGACATGTCAGGATGTCTGAATCTGCCTTATCTGTAATACAATGAGTTCACTTGTTGGAAGAGTGTTCAAGACGTTCAACTGGTAAATAAGTGACACAAGAGGTCTTGATGCATTGCGGAGTAGGTGTTAGAGCATGAAGAATAGGGTTCCAAGAGCAAAGAAATTGAGAACCAGGGAAGACAAAAGCCTGAACTTAAGTGAACTTACCAAAGACGGATGACACTTGACCCATTTCACATAACAGTGTTGGTCTCAGAACAGAGTGGAAATCTGAGACTGCAGGATCTGCAGGAAGAAAAGTAAAAACAAAGAGACAGAGAGAGAAAGTAGGGGGAATGGAAGTTACCTTGTCTCCTACTTCTCTCTCTTGCAATCTGCTTAGCAATTTCTTGATAAAAGAATATGGATAATTCAGTTTTTTAAAACAGGAAAAGAAAAAGAACATATTTGGTAATTTACTAGGTTTCTCACTGATTTCTCAATATTATCTGTACTCAGCAGACTTAGCATATTCAGATTTAACAGGTTTAACACAATTTTTAGAGAAAAAGTTGTTGCCATAGTTTTGAGATTTGATGTACAAATCCATATACATGAGTACACATGAGCACATGCACATACATATACCTGCATTGTTTATGTATGTACTTACAATGTTATTTCAATTTAAGAATCTTAAATTATGAGATTCTGCAAAGTGTAGGTAATCTAGGCTAAAATTCATTATTCTTATAGCCAACAAGTTTACTATAGTTAAAACATCTACAAACGGTATATTAACACCGATTTCTCTTGCATCTGCAGATATTGTCACTCTTGGTGATTCCTAAAATAGTTAAAAAAAAAACCTAATGAGAATAATTAATAGTCTCCACAAGTTTCAGTCTTCTTAAAGTTACAAGCTTTTCCACAAGTGAAAAAAACACATGAGCTATTTCAGTTCAGGCACATTTACTATTCTAGAATCCAGTGCTATAGAATTGTGAGATACTTAATTTGGTCTAGATAAGATTTATAATTTTAGCTTAATTTCATATCAATTGTCTTTGCATAAAGACATAATAATATTTCACATGATTTTTTAAAATCTGTATTTTCATAATCAGAGGAATTCAGGATGCTAGATGATCAAGCCAAGTGCCACGGAGTGAAAAATTCCATAATAAGACTAATAATTCTGAATATTAAAATTATAAGAAAAAAGAAAAAGGTAACATTTTATATCCTATTAAAAAGAATTTTAAAACAAAATATTTCTATAATTTCAGACCTTTTTTATAGAGAAGAAAGATCTTAAGAACTCGGTTTTTAACAGACCCAAGTCATCACAAAATATCTATAATTTGATGAAATTCTATTTGCAGTAGCATAAGTATATTCACTGAAGAATGCACTTTGAATTCTAAAGCCATTTTTCTTAGTTCTCTTAAAAATTTTAAATAACTAGGCAATTAACATTTTAAAACACATGTCACATGTACTCTTTTTGCATTCCTTTGGCAAAACTCTCATAAATAGTTAATACCAGTAAAGAATATATGGCTACCATTGTTGGATTTACGGTTTCAGGAATATATTTGCTTTTCAATGCATACGATGGGTATCAGCATAAACAAGGGTGCTAGCTTCAAGGTCCTTTACCAGTGTTGTCCGTTTACAATTTTAATTTGACAGGTGAAATATAGTTTTAATTTATTTGATAGCTAATTTTCTTATTTACCAGAAGCTTATGCATGTCATCATCCTGTACATCAAATTTAGAAATATTACCATTGTCAAAATTGTGACGAATATCTATACATATCTGCTGTACATTTTGAACAATGTTTTTCAAAGAGAAGTCCATAGACTACCTACATCAAAAGAGTTGTTAATGCAGTCTCCCTGAGAATTTTCAATAAAATAAACTTCAACAAAAACATTTATTGTGAAGAGTTTTTTTTTTTTAATTATACTTTAAGTTTTAGGGTACATGTGCACAATGTGCAGGTTAGTTACATATGTATACATGTGCCATGTTGGTGTGCTGCACCCAGTAACTCGTCATTTAGCATTAGGTATATCTCCAAATTCTATCCCTCCCCCCTCCCCCCACCCCACAACAGACCCCAGTGTGTGATGTTCCCCTTCCTGTGTCCATGTGTTCTCATTGTTCAATTCCCACCTATGAGTGACAACACGCGGTGTTTGGTTTTTTGTCCTTGCAGTAGTTTGCTGAGAATGATGGTTTCCAGCTTCATCCATGTCCCTATAAAGGACATGAACTCATCATTTTTTATCACTGCATAGTATTCCATGGTGTATATGTGCCACATTTTCTTAATCCAGTCTATCATTGTTGGACATTTGGGTTGGTTCCAAGTCTTTGCTATTGTGAATACTGCCACAATAAACATACGTGTGCATGTGTCTTCATAGCAGCATGATTTATAATCCTTTGGGTATATACCCAGTAACGGGATGGCTGGGTCAAATGGTATTTCTAGTTCTAGATCCCTGAGGAATCGCCACACTGACTTCCACAATGGTTGAACTAGTTTACAGTCCCACCAACACTGTAAAAGTGTTTCTATTTCTCCAGGTCCTCTCCAGCACCTGTTGTTTCCTGACTTTTTAATGATTGCCATTCTAACTAGTGTGAGATGGTATCTCATTGTGGTTTTGATTTGCATTTCTCTGATGGCCAGTGATGATGAGCATTTTTTCATGTGTCTTTTGGCTGCATAAATGTCTTCTTTTGAGAAGTGTCTATTCATTTCCTTTGCCCACTTTTTGATGGGGTTGTTTGTTTTTTCTTGTAAATTTGTTTGAGTTCATTGTAGATTCTGGATATTAGCCCTCTGTCAGATGAGTAGGTTGCAAAAATTTTCTCCCATTCCGTAGGTTGCCTAGATTGCAAAACTATTTCTCTAAAATTGTTTAAAAAATTATTAAAATATTATGAAGTTATGATGATAATTTGGGGTAAAAACTTCTTAATGAGCATTTTTAAAGTTTATAGTAACAAACTTTATAGTAAAGTTTAAAGTAACAGAAACTCAACTGTCCCATAAAAATACAAATAATCTTCTGACATTTAAATTAACATCAACTACCCCATTCCCCATTTTGTTTGTTAATATAAAAATTACACATTTTAAGGGTGATTTTCCAAGAAAATATAACATATGAACCCTGATCTGTAGACAAAATCGCACATAAGAAATTCAAATTACTTCCCAGAGCAGGGGAAGGAGAATGACACCTCTTTGTCCTCAACTCCTACAACTCTTGCCTTTGCCCCTCTGCACCAGCCATGCTGGCTTCCATGTTTTGGTCTCATACTTGCCAATCATCTGAGCTTGAAGGGCTTTGTACTATATTACACCTCTCCCAAGAACACTCTTCTGCAGATACCCAGATGGCTCAGAATCCATTTTCTTTAGAAGTTTGCTCAAATACTACTTTATCAGGTAGACTCCCTCAACTCTGGCACCACTTCACCATAAGTCTATAACTTTTATATCAGTATTTTATTTATTTGTTTCTTCTTGGTCCTTATCATCATATTACATTACAGTTATTTATATATGTGATTATTTTCTTGCTCATTGCTAAAGTGTGAGCACCACAGAGGCAGACTTCTCTCTCGTCTATTTACTTTGGAGTCTCCAATGCTTAAAAATATATCTAGCACACTGTAAATACTCAATATATGCTTGTTGAATAAATTAATACAATTTGTAGCTGGAATTCTGCAGAATCCAATGCTGTGTGATCTCCAGTAGATCTTGTCAATAAAAGATCCCGGTAGGAAATTAAAAGGAAGGGGAGAAAAGGCATTTTTCCCCTCTTCTGCTTCTGGCTCTGGCAACAGAAGCAGAGCTAGTTCAGCAGACTCAGCAGCACAGTGCTCACTGGCTCTGACTCCAACAACAGACAATGCAGTAGTAACAACTGAAATGTGGACTCCATCAATAGCCTAGATGAGTCCAGGAGCTTCATTCAGCCTATGGGTTCCAAGGTTCCTGTAGCATCAGGAGGTGTGTGACTCAAGGGTTGCTGAAATATGGAAAGTCAGTAATTTGAAGAGCCGAAGTGGCCACAGCAGCATGCCATAATAGGGCTCTGGGTCACTGCTTTCCCTTTTGCCCCTCCAGCCAAAGAGGTAATAGTAGTTTCCAGTGGTAAGTGATAATTACATATAGTCTCTCCCCCTTTTACTCCTCCATCATTCTAATACTTTGGGAAAAAATTTCATGTTTTAAATACTTTCTGTTTGAATTAACTAGGATGTTTCTGTTGTCCTGACTAGATAAGACTGATGATACATTGCTTTAAAATTAATTTTCTGCCAAATATCTGCTCTTTTTAACAAGTATACCTGCTCTTCACAATGCAGCAATTTCATAAGATGTTAAATAATGCCAGCAGTCTCCATCGTCCTTGTCCTTTCCATGGCCTTGTCTCACCTTTCCCTTATCTTTCTTATTAGCAACATAATAGGCTGACACTGTAAATTAGTAATAAGTTTTGTGAAATTGGTGTAATTACCCCCATCCTCTGTAGTAAGCCAGAATGATATATTTAAGTTCCTGTGACTTATTTGTAAGCACAATAGTTAAAAAGTACCTTCAGGAAAATATTTAACCTTTCTACTGGTACTATATATCTCACATATTTAATAGATGTTTGGCAGAATTGGCACATTAATGCATAATATCAATCATATCCAAATAGTTGATAATAACATCATTTCTGTGACTTGTTTGAAGGAGAGTAGTGGCAACCTGAAAAGTCTTAAGAAACATAATTATACTTGCAGGGTCTTGCCCAGAAAATGAAGCAGGGATCCTCTTTGTTCTCCTTGGCAACAGTAATTTTGTTACACATCCCTCTTTCCTTTTTTTAACCTAAGGACCAACACACCACTCTCAGCCTTTTGGCAACAAAGAAGACTGTTCTTCCTTCATTTTGAATGTTATACATTATGTAATTTTATTTTTTATCATATCTGTTATGACAAGTAAGATTTTAATAATTCTGTCCCTTTCTGGAAGTTCAAACATCTTCTACAGAATATCAAGTAAAAAAAAAAAATCTTTTCCCAGATTTTCCCATCTTTTCTCAATCCAGTCCTGAATCCAATAAGTCACAGATTACTACAGTATAACCAGTTGGAAGGCAATGACAAAATATATTTCTTTGATTGTATGTATATTATACATACATGTATAGTCCCCAAAACTTTGTAGGTATTGTTGTTACAAAAATCAGGTTATTTTATACATATAGTCCAACATAAGATTTTTTTTCATTTATCCATGTTAATTTAAGGTACCCATGGCATAGAGCTTCAAAATCTGTTGGCTAATGAGAGTCTCATAAGTTAATAAAAACTATTGTATATTACTGAATGCCTCATTCTCCATGAATTTTAGTCTCTATTAACAGGTTGCCCCCAAAGACCAAATGTCATAATTTATACAATAGAAATAATATTAGCTCTTTTCTATTCCCAGCAAAATGTGTAGATAGAACCAACACTGATCACCACTTCCTATCTAGCCATGAAATCAAGTTTAGTTTCAATATGTGGCTTGTTAGGTTAATGTATTTTCAGGTCAAAGATTCAGAATGAGGAAATCCATGGATATTCCAGTTGTTCCCATGTTTTCATACAAACACTGTAGGTTTTGCATAAGAACTACAAGACTCAGTAACGATGCCATTAATCATTTGTTCTTCAAATGTTTCCTCCTGTCCTCCTCCTCATAACAAGCAATTCTTTGAAAACAGTCTTTGAAGGGCCATGACTGACAGAGATGAATAGGGTGCTTAATCGCATTGGCACATGCCAGAACCTATTTCTGTGGCAAAAACAATCCATGTGAATCTTCTTATTCAGTAACACTCTGTAGATAATAAGGGATTTCCAAAATCAAACGTCTCTTTCCATGCTTGCTGTCACAGCCGTATTCTCTGTTCCTCAAAAGCTCCCTCTGTTGCCTTTAGTATTTCCTATATAATTGGCCCTCCCTATCCATGGGTGTCAGAGTATTTTCAATGATATTCTGATGATTTTCAGTACCACTTAATTTTATTTTCAGTAATCCATGCAATTGGGAAAAAAGATATGTATGCAAGAATAATGTTTAATTCATTATATGTGAATTTTAAATTAAAGACAGTAGCTTTTACATTTTCTTCCAAATTACATATGTAGTTTCTTCCCTCTATGGGATTTCACAAAACAGGTAATACCATTTTGCATAGTCATCCCACTGCCTTAGTACCTTTCTTCTCACTAGTTCAATGGCTATGAAACATTAACCATGACTAAGAGAAGTCATGTCTGATCATTACTTTATTCTGTGATGAGGCATGTGAGAGAAACAATTATTCAAATTAGCAATAAAAAGATCAGTAGGTTTCTAAATAGCTAGGAGGCTCAAGTGTCCTCTTTATACCTATTGTCCCAGGGTAATTAATAATAATTCCCATTTCAACCTTAAAAGGAAACGGCCTGTGTAATACTTTACTTTCCCATGGTTCACAGTACAGAATAAATCAAAGCCTCCCAGTAGGGAGCACCTGTAAGATCAACAGAAATTCACAGAAAATCATTACATGTTTTCATCACTTCACAAACTTTCCAAGATCTATATAAGGCTGTTAGAGGTCACATCTAAAGTGTGAATTAAGATTATTTCCTGAAATTGGAAAAAAAAAGTGTGCAGATTTCCAAAATCCCTATGTTTTTATTCTTCTCTGTGTTGTATTTAACAGTATTCCTCAGATTTCACTAAAGACAGCACCCTCCATGCAACAGGACTACTGCTTATAAATAAAATACTAAAAACAGAAAACAAAACAGTTAATTGTTTTACCAATATATAACTATCACATATTTTTTACTAGTGCTATGTATTTAAATCTACTTAGATCTCCAAATACTTCTTGATGAGAATGAGTTCACCCAGATGTCAGGTGTTAACCTTGAAGAAAGGGACACACACTGATCAAAATTAATGACTTCATATTGAATTAGTCTACATATTTGATTGTCACATGGCTCTGCTTTAAATCAAAAGTAGAAATTTTATATCATTATAAAAATTAATATGCTGACTTGTAGTAGTTTTTCCCAAAACTTCATGTTCCCCCTAGAACTGGTAAAAATATATTATCTTATTTTGAAATAAAGTCTTTGCATATGTAATTAAGATAATAATGAATTAGGGAACTCCCCAAGTCCAATGACTGATGTCCTTATAAGAAGGCTGTATGAAGACACAGATATACATAGGGGGAAGATGGACATGTAAAGATGGAGGCAGAAGGTAGAGTGATACACCTATAAACCAAGGGATGCCAAGGATTACAGGCAAACACTAGAAGCTTAAAAGGGGCAAGAAAAATTTTTTTCCTAAACCTTCAAAGGGAGCTTGGTCTTGCCAATACCTTCGTTTCAGACTCTTGGCCTCTAGAACTGTGAGGCAATAAATTCCTGTTTTTTTTTTGTTTGTTTGTTTTTGTTTTTTTTTTTGAGATGGAGTTTCGCTCTGTCGCCCAGGCTGGAGTGCAGTGGCGCGATCTCAACTCACTGCAAGCTCCGCCTCCCGGGTTCACGCCATTCTCCTGCCTCAGCCTCCCGTGTAGCTGGGACTACAGGCGCGCGCCACCATGCCCGGCTAATTTTTGTATTTTTAGTAGAGACGGGGTTTCACCGTGTTAGCCAGGATGGTCTCGATCTCCTGACCTCGTGATCCGCCCGTCTCGGCCTCCCAAAGTGCTGGGATTACAGCCGTGAGCCACCGCGCCCGGCCAAATTCCTGTTATTTTAAGCCAATCAGTCTGTGATTATTTGTCACGACAGCCCTAGGATACTAATACATAACAAAATATATATGATATATAAGAATTCCTGATTGGGTTATACTTTTAACTAGTCATAATGGGTTACTGAAATTATCTACAAATTATATTTCTTGCATATATACACAAAGATGTATTAGTCATATATATTATTTAAGTAATTTATGAATGGGTAAGCACTGAGAATAAAAGCATCTTTTACAATTTTGAATGATAATTTTGACTCCCAGGTCAGACAAGTGGTAGCTGGAATAAGGAAATCGGGGCAGGAAGGTATTGCTGAGGTCGTAAAACTATCCTCCATTGTTTACGCTAAGACATATTTCTTCTATTCGCTATGTTTTCCCCATTTCAATGAAAATCTATTTCTGATCCTTAGCATGGTTCCTCATAATAATATTTAAGTCACACTGCAAATACTAGAAAGTAATTATATAGGTAGAGTTCACTGCTTTAATATTTTTCAAATAGTTTGGATAATGAGACAACATATGTAAATGTTGCCTTTCATTACCAGACATTGTCTCAGTTAAGGGTTAACTTTCAACTATGCATCACAGTTTTAATAGGTGTTTTCCATGTTCAGTAATATTTGCAACAAAACAGACAACTTCAACAACATTGATTTCTTAAAACTGAAGCAAATATTATAAAATCAATATTTTCTTTTTTCATTTTTAGGTTTTAAAATATTTAAGATTTAAAATTACGCAATGAGGGATAAAATATTTTGCCTTGATAACTCTCTGGCACTAAATAGCAGCGTTAACTAGTTCACCAATGAGGACTACTTCATTCCCTTATATTATACTTTCCATAATCAAAGGAAGGAATTGCCAAATTCATATATTCTGATAGGCCAAGATGTGCTGAAAATGTCTGTTACATCATTCACATTGTCAATCAACATACTCACAGATATTTAGAATTTTGCAATGCATCTAGAAAAAAATTTTACATAAAGTCACTAAATTGCACTTTAATTTTAGTTAGCACCTCTCCCTTTTTATTTTGCTGTTTTCTCTATATATGTAGCTGCATTCGACTTTCTGTTTATACTTGTTAACATCTGCTCAGGGACAAATGACACATTTAGTTTTATACAGAAGGAAGAGGCTGCAAAAGAGCATATTTTGAGGACATTAAATGAAGACTGCATTTCTAAACAGAGAGTGAATCTCTGAACAGACGACTCAGCCTAGGAATGAGAATACATAAAGATACATTTATGATTCAATAACAACCTCTCTTCTTCCTAAATGTAAACCTGAAAAGCCAGAAGAAAAGTATAGCTTGCTTCTTGACTTTATCCACTATGGTCAGGTGTTAGCACCTACCAAGATTTGCTTGCAAATAAATAAGAAAATGGGTTATACTTGTCATAAGAAGAAATTTGGTTTGCTAATAGACACATGGCAAGATCACTATATAGCATGAACAGCCTTGATAAACAGTATGTGTGTGTGTGTGTGTGTGTGTGTGTGTGTTTGTATATACACAGATATATAGATATATATGTGCATATGTATGTTTACCTGAAAAGTAGTATAAAATACATAAAATAAAAATATAATTGGCATGAAATTCCAATTGATGTTTGTACAAACACTTTGTTAAAGATGTATTAGCATGTATAGAGTCCTTAACAGTGAATTCTAATAAAATATATTTCTAAAGATCATACTATTTTTATTACAATAACACCAAACTATGTTTTCATAACAATTTTTCCTGAAATACTATAATAATATTTGGGAAAATAGCTGTTTTAATTTTGTGGTAACTTTTTTAAGAATTAAGGGCAGAAGTTTCTAAAAATTTAAACAGATGGCTTACACTATTCAACTTGAATGGATAAATGAAAAATTTGCAAAACCTAACAGGCATGTAAAAGGCCCTCTAACCAATAGGTAAGTGAAGAGTCTTGCTTTTTGTTATGTTGAATTTCCCATTAAGGTGATATCATAATTCCTTGCTTTGATGGCCCTTCCTTCCCAAGATAGGAAAATGATAAAATGTAGTAGAACTCAAAAATCAAAATTACATAGCCAGGATAAAAACAACATAAGAGCTCCTTAGAAGAAAAGTAACACCAATGCAACGTGATGGAGACCTGATGCCACAGGCTTGCTGAGACTTGTGGCTGGTGGTTTTAACTCTTACGGCAGGGCAAAGAACTAAAAATCATTAATGTGAGACTGAAGACAGGGACCAGGCTTACTGCTTGAATCCAGACTTTTTACACCATTTCATTGCCCACTTTAACAGAAGAAATGAAGTTAAAAAACAAGTAAACAAAGAAAGTGCTGTGCAGTCTGCAAACTTAGTTTGGCAATAAGGAATCAAACAGGCTGAAGAAATCCAGGTGAGGAAAGTAAGCAGATAAAACCAACATCAGAAACATAAAGTAAGCATAAATGAAAATTACATCCCTATGTAGTCTAAAAGGATTCACAAGTGTATTTAAGATGTTAATGTTATAAATGAAAGGAAAACCTCATTGATGAGAAGAATAAAATAAAGGCGGAGGACAGAGTAAAAAAGGCAAAAAGGAGAGGATAGCAAAAAATACTAGAAATGTATATATACTGTCACTGTCATGCATTGCTTAACAACGGGGATACATTCTGAGAAATGCATTGATAGGTGATTTCATCATTGTGCAAACATCATAAGAGTATACTTACACAAACCTGGATGATAAAGCCTACTTCACACATAGGCTACATGGTACAGCTTATTGCACCCAGGCTAAAAATAGGTACGTGGTCTTACTGTAAGATAAGATCATAATGAATTAGGTTACTCCTCAAATTCAATGATTGGTGTCCCTATAAGAAGCCTGTGTGAAGACACAGATATACACGGAGGAAAGATGGACATGTAAAGATGGCAGATCAAAGTAGAGCGATGCACCTATAAACCAGGGGATGCCCAGGATTACAGGCAAACACTAGAAGCTTTAATACTCTGGGCTATTGTAACACAACAGTAAATATTTTTGTGCCTAAACATAGAAATGGTACAACAACAACAACAAAAAACAGTATAAAAGATAAAAAGTAGCACACCTGTATAGGTCAATTACCATGAAGGGAGCTTGCAGAGCTGCAAGTTGCTCTGAGTGAGTCAGTGACTGCGTGGTGAGTGAATGTGAAGGCCTAAGACATTCCTGTAAGGTACTATAGACTTTATAAACTCTGTACACTTAGGCTACACTAAATTTATTTTAATTTTTTTCTTTCTCCAATAATAAATTAACTTTAGCTTACTGTAACATTTTTTGATTTACAGACTTTTAATTTTTTAAATGTTGGCCCTTTTATAAAAATATTACTTAAAATACAAACATGGGATAGCTGTTCAAAAATACTTTTTTCTTTACATCTTTATTCTACAACCTTTATTATTTTTTATTTTTTTAATTTTTTGTGAAAAACTAAGAAAAAAAAACAAGATTAGCTTAAGTCTGCACAGATTCAAGATCATCAATATCACTGTCTTCCACCTCCTTATCCTGTCCCACTGAAAGGTCTTCAGGGGCAAAAGCAGGCATGAAACTGCCATTTCGTATGATGGCAATGCCTTCTGGAATACTTTCTGAAGAACCTGCCTGAGGCTCTTCCAGAGGAGGTGTCACACTTTTCAGAAATTGTCCATGGTGGTTTGCTTGGTTTGTTTCTTCTATTCATCACAGATTTGCTTGTAAGTAGATAATACACCATGAACATTCTTCTCTATTAATGAAAACCTTTTGGTGTTGGGGGTCCATGTTTCCAAATTTTTAGGAAGCTTGTTGAGGTCTGCAAAAGCTTCTACTAAACACTTGTGAATTTTCTGGGGGTTCTCCTTTTTCTTTTCCTGCACTTTCCTTTGCTTTTGTTTCTTGTTCATCTATGCATTCCTATTCCACTCATCCTTAAGCAATTTCTCAGGAACCACCTATAAGAGGTCCTCAATGTCATCCTCATCCACGTCCACATTAAAGTTGTTTGCCATCTCAACCACAACCTTGTTGATGTTTGCATCATATACATTCTCGGTATGTCTTCTGAAATCACGGACAAACTCGATTGTCTTCTTCCCTATGCCATTCATACCTTCTTTGCTGACATTATCTCAAGCCCAAGCAAGGTTCTTCATGCAGTCATCCTTCCAGAATTGAAACAGTGTTTTCTCGGTGTATTCCTTGGTTGTAGCAATAGCATGGACAAAGATCCTCCTAAATTGCAGGCCTTAAAAGCTGCTGTAATCCATGATCCATTGGTTGGATCAGAGAGTTGTCTGGAGAGAGACACATGATTTTGTTATTGAAATGAAGATCACCAATAAAAGGAGGATATGCAGGAGCATTATCAATAATAAGCAAAAAATTTAAAAGTATGTTATTCTTCAAACAGTATCTCTCCATTTCACTGGCATAGCAGCAACTCAGAAGGGCATCTTGAAAGAGAAGGTGGGTCATCGATGAGTTCTTATTGTTCTTGTAACACATTGGCAGTGTGTTCTTACTGACATACTTGAAGACCCTGAGGTGTTTTCTGTGCCAGATCACAAATGAATTCAATATGTAGCCCATAACACTGCCCCTAAGCAAGACTGTTGTTCTGTCCTTAAAAGTCTTGAAACTTAGCATTGACTTGACCTCATTTTGGATGAAAGTCCTTCCAGGCATCTGTTTCCAGAATAGAGACGTTTCATCCATATTGGAGATTTTCTATGACAAGTAATTTTCCTCCACAATCAGCTTATCTAGAGTTTCTAAAAATTCTTCAGCTGTCTTCACATCAGCATTCATAGACTTACCATCACTTTTCCATCATGTAATGAACATCAATTCTTGAATCATTTAAACAACCCAGAGCTAGCAGTAAATTCAGCATCATAGACAGGTCAAACCTTTGCTTTCAACATAGCAAACAATCTTTTTGCTTTAGTCATAACTGTCATGGTGCTGAGAAGGCTAGACTTCTGTGTCTGGTCTTCATGCTAGATCACTGCAAGTTTCTCCGTATCTGATACAGGCCCTTCTCCAATTCTTGTTAGTTTTGCTGCTTTCAATGAGCAGATACTTTAACAACTCCTATTACTTTGTTCTTGTCATTCAAGATCATAGCTATGGTGGAATGGGACACGCCTGACTGGTGTGCAATAATCATCATTAATTTCCCACCTAAATAATCCTTAATCACTTTTGACTTTGTTTCCAGGTTGGTCACTCCACATGGCCTCTTACTGAGAATATTAGGTATGGATTTTATATGGTTGGGGTCATAATGAATAAAACAACACAAAATTAAATCGATGCAAGATAAAATGATGTAATCAAGAGACACAATAAACATGAGATGCAAGGCATCTGTCCACATAACATGATACACTGTTTTACAGTAAACTTTTTTATAAGTAGAAATAATGATGAAGAGGGTAGTATAGTAAATACATAAACCAGTAACACAGTCATTTATAATGTTCAAGTATTATGTACTGTACATAATAATATGCACTATACTTTTATATGACTAGCAGCGCAGTAGGTTTGTTTACATCAGCATCACCACAAATACAGGAGTAATGCATTGTGCTATGATGTTATGATAGCTACAACGTCACAGGCAAGAGGAATTTTTCAGCTCGATTATAATCTTACGGGACCATCATCACATGTATGTGGTTTTGTGGCACATGACTTTGCGCGCGCACACACACACACACGAACACACACACACACACACACACACACATATATATATATATAAGTTGGAATCAGGCTAGGCTAAACACTAGACTAGATAAAAAGTGACTAATAAACTGGAATATACATAGACATATGTTACTGATAATTTATCCTTATTTACCTACAAGAAACAAAATAATTAAAAATTATGAAAGACTTGTTAAGAAATTCAAGGAACAGGTTAAAAGGTTTCAAACTTTATCTCATCCCATGAGAGAATGGAATGCATGAGCAGAAAATATTTATGAATTTTCTTGAAGAGAAAAAAAGCAACCACCAAGAAAACCTCATGAGTTCTAAAATTAAAAGTAGATTCCGAGATTTGGGCAGTCATTACACAGACAATAATACTCACCAATTATTCCTTGAATTTCCCTCCATATCTGAGTCCCGATGATATCACTAGTTCTGGTCAATGCAACAATAAGAAGTGATCTTTTGGCCAGGCGCAGTGATTCATGCCTGTAATCCCAGCACTTTGGGGGCTGAGGCAGGTGGATCACTTGAAGTCATGAGTTTGAGACCAGCCTGGCCAATACGGCGAAACTCTATCTCTATAAAAAGTACAAAAAAATTAACCAGGAGTGGTGGTAGACACCTGTAGTCCCAGCGACTCAGGAGGCTGAGGCAGGAGGATCTCTTGAACCCAGGAGGCAGAGGTTGCAGTGAGCCGAGATCACACCACTGTACTCCAGCCTGGGCGACAGAGCAAGACTCTGTCTCAAAACAAACAAACGAACAAAAAACCAAATAATGTTTCATAACTGGGCCCAAGCACAGAGAGGTGTGTGTGTATTCTCTGCCTCCTATGATGTGGTATCTCTCTATATGAAGTCAATGGCTGTAGTTTCTCAAGTCAAACATGAAACTGACCAAAGCCTACCAAGCTTTTAAAGAAAATGTTATTTACAAATAAATCATATATCTGCAATGAGTAAGTCTTTCCAACTCTAAAGCTGTCTGTGGGCCTCCAAAACTGCACCAATAGGCAATGTAACCTGTTCAACTGACAAGAATAACTCTCCAAGGACCACTTCAGCTGTGTTTATGGATGAGAAAAATATTTTCTCAAAAGCATAACCAGAAAACACAGACACAATTCAAAAGGGAGTTTCTCCCAGGGAACAGAACAAAGTATATGGCTAAATGTACAGATCGATAAATTTTTCTCAAATGGAACAGACCCATGTAGCTATCATCTATGTCAAAACAGCATATCACCAGCATTTATTTTTATTTTTATTTATTTATTTTGAGACAGTTCCACTCTTGTTGCCCATGCTGGAGTGCAGTGGTGCGATCTTGGCTCATTGAAACCTCCGCCTCCCGGGTTCAAGCAATTCTCTTGCCTCAGCCTCCCAAGTAGCTGGGATTACAGGAACCCGTCACCATACCCAGATAATTTTTGTATTTTTAGTAGAGACAGGGTTTCACCATGTTGAAGGCTGGTCTCGAACTCCTGACCTCAAGTGATCTGCCCATCTCGGTCTCCCAGAGTGTTTTACCAGCATTTTAAAAGCCTGATTTCTGGCCCCTTCCAGTCACCTTTATCGTGACCTCAAAGACTATAGATTAATTTTGCCTGTTTTGAATTTTACATACGTGGAATCACACTGTATGTGCTCTTTGGTTTCCAGTTTCTTTTGTTCAACAATATTTGTGGCATTCATCTATAGTGCTGTATAAAAACAGATTTTTTTTCAGTTTCTTTGCTTTATAGTATTTTTATGCCTAGACAACCATTTATTTATATATTTTACTGCTGATTGGCAGTTATGTCCACGTTTCTTTGTAAAGATGTATACACATTTCTACTGTGCATATATCTAGAGGTAGAATAGCCAGGTTGTAGCTATTGTTTGTTTGCTTGTTTGAGATGGAGTCTCTTTCACTCTGTCACCCAGGCTGGAGTGCAGTGGCACAAGTTCTCAGCTCACTGCAACCTCCACATCCCAGGAATAATTCTCCTGCCTCAACCTCTCAAGTAGCTGGGATTACAGGCATGTGCCACCATGCCTCGCTGATTTTTTCTATTTTTTGTAGAGACAGGGTTTCACCATGTTGGCCAGGCTGGCCTTGCACTCCTGACCTCAAGTGATCCACCTGCCTTGGCTTCCCAAAGTGCTGGGATTACAGGCATGAGCCACCACATCTGACTGGGAATGTGTGTATTAAGATTTAATAGATATTGCCAAATAGTTTCCCAAAGTAGTTATACCAATTTTCACACTCACTAGTGGTGTATGAGAGCTCTACTTGCCCCATATCCTCTTCGAAAATTGACATTTTATTTTGTTTTCAGTTTAGTCATTTTTTTATGTGCATATTGAAAATTCATTCTGTTCTAAATATTATTCCAATATATTCATGATAACAATTTTGGAACCAAAAAAAGAATAAAGAATTTTACAATGACAACCTTATATGTTCCACATAAATATTATATGTACCACATAAATATGATACTATTCTAGTATACATTTTTAAATAACATATCTATCAATCCTTCTAATCTTCAAGTTTTAATGCATTTTAAAGATTAAGTTCCTTTTCATATGTCTATTGACTATTTGGCCATTCTCACTTCTCAAATACTCACATAAGACTTTGGGTCCATTTTTTCTACCGTGTCATCTTCATCTGTCTTCTTGTTGGTTTGTGGGAGTTCTTTAAATATTCTGAATATAAATCCTTTTTAAAATAACTGTACTGCAAATATAGTCTTCCAACCTGTGTGTTGCCTTTTGCTGTTCTTACTGGTTTCTTTTAATGAATAAAAGCCTTTAATATTAATGTAGTTCAATATGTAATATCGTTTATATTTTTATGTTTTTTTTTTTATTTTGGGGGTTCGGTTTAATAAATATCTACCATTCAAAACTCATGAAATATTTTTAGCTTTATAATTGCATCTTTCAGATTTAGAGCTCTAGTTCATTTGGCATTGACTTTTGTGTATAAGGTATAAGAGGTCAATATATATATGTATTCCAATGTGGATATCCTGCAAGCCCCAGATTTATTGAAAAATGTTTTTCTCATATTATTGCAATACCATCTTGTAAATCAGGTCACTTAATAAATGGTGGGTCTGCTTTTAAATTTTCTAGTATTTCCTGCTAGTAAATTTGTCTATCCCTGCACCAATATTGTACTGGGGTATATACTATAGCATTATAATAAGTTTTCGTATTTTGTGGTGTAAATGCCTCAGTATTCTTCTTCTTTCAGATTTCCTTAGCTATTCTTTGAATTTGCATACAATTTTGGAAGTGACTGATATTGTTTGCCTCTGAGTCCTCACCCAAATCTCATCTTGAATTGTACTCACATAATTCCTACATGTTGTGGGAGGAACCTGGTGGGAGATAATTGAATCATTGAGGTGGTTTCCCCCATACTGTTCTCATGGTAGTGAATAAGACTCACAAGATTTGATGGTTTTATAAGGGGTTTCTGCTTTGATTTCTTATTCTCTCTTGCCACCACCATGTAAGAAGTGCCTTTCACGTTCCGCCCTGACTGTGAGGCCTCCTTAGCCACACAGAACTGTGACTCCAATAAACCTCTTTTTCTTCCCAGTCTCGGATACGTCTTTATTAGCAGTCGGAAAATGCACTAATACAGTAAATTGATACCTGTAGAGTGGGGTGTTGCTGAAAAGATACCCAAAAATGTGGAAGCAACTTCGGAATTGGGTAACAGGCACAGGTTGGAACAGTTTGGAGGGCTCAGAAGACAGGAAAATGTGAGAAACTTTGGAACTTCCTAGAGACTTGTTGAAAGGCTTTGTCCAAAATGTTGACAGTGATATGTACAGTAAAGTCCAGGCTGATATGGTCTCAGATGCAAATGAGGAACTTGTTGGGAACTAGAGCAAAGGTGATTCTTGTTATGTTTTAGCAAAGAGACTGGCCGCATTTTGCCCCGGATTTGTGGAACTTTGAACATGAGAGAGATGATTTAGGGTATCTGGCGGAAGAAATTTCCAAGCAGCAAAGCATTCAAGATGTGACTTGGGTGCTGTTAAAGGCATTCAGTTTTATGTGGGAAGCAGAGCATAAAAGTTCAAAAAATTTTTAGCCTGACAATGTGATAGAAAAGAAAATCCTGTTTTCTGAGGAGAAATCCAAGCCAGCTGTAGAAATTTGCATAAGTAACAAGGAGCTGAATATTAATCACCAAGACAACAGGGAAAATGTCTCCAGACCATGTCAGGGGTCTTTACAGCAGCTCCTCCCATCACAGGCCCAGAGGCCTAGAAAGAAAAAGTGGTTTCCTGGGCCAGGCCCAGGGTCCCTGGTGCTGTGTGCAGCCTATGGACCTGGTGCCCTGCATCCCAGCCACTCCAGGCATGGCTGAAAGAGTTCAACATAGAGCTCAGGCTGTGGCTTCAGAGGATGCAAGCACCGAGCCTTGGCAGCTTCCACGTGGTGTTGAGCCTGCCAGTGCACAGAAGTCAAGAATCCGGGTTTGGCCAGCAACCCCGAGAGGACCCACAGACCCTCTGAGGGAAGCAGACTGCTCCTGCAGGACCCAGGTGACCCCCAACTGTGGAAGTGGAAAAGGGAGACCCTCCTCTCCCCAACATACACCCCAACTGGTGAAGCTGAAGGTCTGTTTGTGGGAGAAGTTTCTGACTTTTTCTGGAGCTGAGTCAATTTGGAGAGCCGAGCGAAATACAGTGGTAGGGGAAGCAGTAGAAAGGCCCTGTGAGCTCGCTGGGTCGCCAAGCAGGCCATTCCTGCCTGGCACCACAGGGATTCAATGGGAGAGGAGCAGGGGGTAAAATTCCACAGGGAGAAGGAAAACGCTAGCTGAACCTTCTAGCAATCTAAATGGGGTGAGAAGCTTCCTGGCCAGAACTTGGGGGAGGGTGCAAATCCGGTGTGCAGACTCCACAGGTGGGGGAAGAGTCAAACCCTTTTCTTTCACAGCTGGGAGGTGGGTAGCCTGGGGCAGGTTTTCAAGCCCACATCACTCTCCACCTAGAAACAGACTGGGAGTTGTTGTGGGGGCACAGTGGGAGTGAGACAGGGGCCCTTTGGTTTGCGTGGGAGCTGGGTGAGGCTTGTGACTGCTGGCTTTCCCCCACTTCCCTGATAACCTGCATGACTCAGCAGAGGGAGCCATGATCCTCATAGGTAAACAACTCCAGGGACCTGGGAATCTCACCCCCATCCCCAACAGTAGCCACAGCAAGACTTGCCCAAGGAGAGTCTGAGCTCAATACACCTAGCCCCGCCCTGACCTGATGGTCCTTCCCTACCTACCCTGGTAGCAGAAAACAAAGGGCATATAATCCTGGGAGTTCTAGGGCCCTGCCCACCCTGGTTCCTCCTGATACCACCACAGCTGGTGCTCTCTGGAGAGCATAACCTCCCGGCAGGAGGCCAACCAGCACAAAAATAGAGCATTAAACCACCAAAGCTAGGAACCTTCAAGGAGTCCTGTTGCACCCCTGCTCCCTGGCCACCTCCACTGGAACAGGCACTGGTATTCACAGCTGAGACCCATAAATGGTTCACATCACAGGACCCTGTACAGGCAACACCACTACCAGCCTGGAGCCGGGTAGACTCACTGAGTGGCTAGACCCAGAAGAGAGAAGACAATCACTGCAGATCGGCTCACAGGAAACCACATCCATAGAAAAGGGGGAGAGCACTACATCAAGGGAACACCCCATGGGACAAAAGAATCTGAACAACAGCCTTCAGCCTTAGAACCTCCCTCTGACAGAGCCTACCCAAATGAGAAGGAACCAGAAAACCAACCCTAGTAATATGAAGAAACAAGGCTCTTCAACCTCGCCCCCCCAACCAAATCACACTAGTTCAGCAGCAAGGGATCCAAACCAAGAAGAAATCCCTGATTTACCTCAAAAAGAATTCAGGACGTTAGTCAATAAGCTAATCAGGGAGGGACCAGAGGAAGGCGAACCCCAATGCAATGAAATCCAAAATATGATACAAGAAGTTAAGGTAGAAATATTCAAGAAAATAGATAGTTTAAAGAAAAAACAAAAATTCAGGAAACTTTGGACACACTTTTAGAAATGCAAAATGCTCTGGAAAGTCTCAGCTCTTTTACCAAGAACTGGTAAAAGGAGCTCTAAATCTTGAAACAAATCCCAAAAACACATCAAAACAGAACATTTTTAAAGCATAGATCACATAGGACCTACAAAACAAAAATACAAGTTAAAAAGCAAAAACAAAAAACAAACAAAAAAACAGCAAACAGCATGAATGCAATGGATCCTCACATCTCAATACTAACATGGAATGTAAATGGCCTAAATGCTCCATTTATAAGATACAGAACCACAGAATGGATAAGAACTCACCAACCAACTATCTGCTGCCTTCAGGAGACTCACCTAGCATGTAAGAACTCACACAAACTTAAAGTATAAGGAGTGGAAAAAGGAATTTCATACAAATAGCCACCAGAAGCAAGTAAGGGTAGTTATTTTTGTATCAGACAAAACAAACTTTAAAGCAACAGCAGTTAAAAGAGACAAAGAGGGACATTATATAATGGTAAAAGGCCTTGTCCAAGAGGAAAATATCACAATCGTAAACATATACACACCTAACACTAGAGCTCCCAAATTTATAAAACAATTACTCATAGACCTAAGAAATGAGACAGATAGCAACACAATAATAGTGGGAGACTTCAATACTCCACTGACAGTGCTAGACAGGTCATCAAAACAGAAAGTCAACAAAGAAACAACGGACTTAAACTACACCTTGGAACAAATGGATTTAGCAGATACATACAGAATATTTCACCCAACAGCTGAAGAATACACATTCTATTCAACAGCACATGGAACTTTCTCCAAAACAGACTATATCAAGCACTCTCTCAAACCACAGTGGAATAAAACTGGAAATCAACTCCAAGAGGAACCATCAAAAACATGCAAATACACAGAAATTAAATAACCTGCTCCTGAATGATCATTGGGTCAAACAAGAAATCAAGATGGAAATTTAAAAATTCTTCAAACTGAACAACAATAATGACACAACCTATCAACACCTCTGGGATACAGCAAGGTGGTGCTAAGAGGAAAGTTCATAGCCCTAAATGCCTGTAACAAAAAGACTGAAGGAGCACAAACTGACACTCTAAGGTTACACCTCTAGGAACTAGAGAAACAAGAACAAACCAAACCCAAACCCAGTGGAAAAAGGGACGTAACAAAGATCAGGGCAAAACTAAATGAAATTGAAATTAAAAAAATTACAAAAGATAATGAAAAAAAACCCTGGTTCTTTTTAAAGATAAATAAAATTGATAGAGCACTGGCAAGATTAACCAAGAAAAGAAGAGAGAAAATCCAAATAACCTCACTAACAAATGAAACAGGAGATATCACAACTGACACCACAGAAATACAAAAGATCATTCAAGGCTATTATGAACACCATTACACACATAAACTGAAAACCTAGAAGAGATGGATAAATTCCTGGAAAAATACAACCCTCCTAGCTTAAATCAGGAAGAATTAGATACCACAAACAGACCAATAACAAGCAGCGAGATTGAAATGGTAATTTAAAAAATACCAACCAAAAAAAGTTCAGGACAAGAGGGATTTACAGCAGAATTCCACCAGACATTCAAAGAAGAATTGGTACCAATCCTTTCGACACTATCTTTGACAAGATAGAGAAAGAAGCCACCCTCCCTAATTCATTCGATGAAGCCAGCATCACCCTAATACCAAAACCAGGAAAGGACATAACCAAAAACAAAAACTACAGACCGATATCCTTGATGAACATACATCCTAAAGTCCTTAACAAACTACTAGCTAACCAAATCCAACAACATATCAAAAAGATAATCCACCATGATCATGTGGGTTTCATACCAGTGGTGGAGGGATGGTTTAACATACACAAGTCAATAAATGTGATACACCACATAAACAGAATTAAAAACAAAAATCGCATGATCATTTCAATAGATGCAGACCAAGCATTAGATAAAATCCAGCATCCCTTTATGATTAAAACTTTCAGCAAAATTGGCATACATGCAATATACCTTAACATAATAAAAGCCATCTATGACAAACCCACAGCCAACATAATACTGAATGGAGAAAAGTTGAAAGCATTCCCTCTGAGAACTGGAACAAGATAAGGATGCCCACTCTCACCACTCCTCTTCAACATAGTACTGGAACTCCTAGCTAGAGCAATCAGACAAGAAGGAAGAAATAAAGGGCATCCAAATCGGTAAAGAAGAAGTGAAACTGTCACTGTTTGCTGACAATATGATCGTTTACCTTGAAAACCCTAAGGACTCCTCCAGAAAGCTCCTAGAACTGATAAAAGAATCAGCAAAGTTCCTGGATACAAGATTAATGTACACAAGTCAGTAGCTCTTCCATATACCAACAGCGACTAAACAGAATCAAATCAAGAACTCAACTCCTTGTACAATAGCTGCAAAAAATAATAATAATAAAATACTCAGGAATATACCTAACCAAGGAGTCAAAAGACTTCTGCAAGGAAAGCTATAAAATGATGCTGAAAAACATCACAGATGACACAAATGAATGGAAACACATCCCGTGCTCATGGATGGGTAGAATCAATATTGTGAAAATGACCATGTTGCCAAAAGCAATCTACAAATCAATGCAATCCCCATCAAAAAACCACCATCATTCTTCAAAAAATTAGAAAAAACATTTCTAAAATTCATATGGAACCAAAAAAGAGCGCACATAGCCAAAGCAAGACTAAGCAAAAAGAACAAATCTAGAGGCATCACACTACCTAATTTCAAACTACACTGTAAGGCCATAGTCACCAAAACAGCATAGTACTGGCACAAAAACAGGCACATAGACCAATGGAACAGAATAGAGAATCCAGAAATAAATCCAAATACTTAAAAGCCAACTGATCTTCGAAAAGCAAACAAAAACATAAAATGGGGAAAGGACACCATTTTCACAAATGGTACTGGGCCTGTAATCCTAGCACTTTGGGGAGGACAAGGCAGGTGAATCATCTGAAGTCAGGAGTTCAAGACCAGCCTGGCCAACATGGTGAAACCCTGTCTCTACCAAAAAAATACAAAAAAATTAGCCAGGTGTGGTGGCGGGTACCTGTAATCTCAGCTGCTTGGGAGGCTGAGGCAGGGAGAATTACTTCAACCCAGGAGGTGGGAGGTTGCAGTCAGCCAAGATCATGCCACTTTACTCCAGCCTTGGTGACAGAGTGAGACTCTGTCTCAAAAATACAAAACCAAACCAAACAAAATGGTGTTGAGATAACTGGCTAGCCACATGTAGGAGAATGAAACTACATCCTCATCTCTCACCTTATACAAAAATCAACTCAAGATGCATTAAGGACTTAAACCTAAGACCTGAAACTATAAAAATTCTAGAAGATAACATTGGAAAAACCCTTCTAGACATTGGCTTAAGCAAGGATTTCATGACCATGAACCCAAAAGCAAATGCAATAAAAACAAAGATAAATAGCTGGGACCTAATTAAACTAAAGAGCTTTTGTATGGAAAAGGGAACAGTCAGCAGAGTAAACAACCTACAGACTGGAAGAAAATCTTCACAATCTATACATCTAACAAAGGACTAATATCCAGAATCTACAACAAACTTAAATCTGTAAGATAAACAATCCCATCAAAAAGTGGGCTAAGGACATGAATAGACAATTCTCAAAAGAAGATATACAAATGGCCAACAAACATATGAAAAAATGCTCAAAATTACTAATGATCAGGGAAATTTAAACCAAAACCACAATGTGATACCACCTTACTCCTGCAAGTATGGTCATAATCAAAAAATCAAAAAACAATAGATGTTGCCATGGATGCAGTGAACAGGGAACACTTCTACACTGCTGGTGGGAATACAAACTAGTACAATTGCTATGGAAAACAGTGTGGAGATTCTTTAAGAACTAAAAGTAGAACTATCATTTGATCCAGCAATCCCACTACTGGGTATCTACCCAGAGGAAAATAAGTCATTATTCAAAAAACATACTCGCACACGCATGTTTATAGCAGCACAATTCACAGCTGCAAACTCATAGAACCAACCCAAATACCCATCAATCAATGAGTGGATAAAGAAACTGTGAGATATATATCACATAGATTGATGATTGACTATACACACACACACACACACACACACACACACACACACACAGACACACAATGGAATACTACGAATCCTTAAAAAGGAATGAATTAACAGCATTATCAGTGACCTGGATGAGACTGGAGACTATTATTCTAAGTGAAGTAATGCAGGAATGGGAAACCAAACATCGTATGTTCTCACTGATACATGGGAGCAAAGCTATGAGGACACAAAGGCATAAGAATGACACAATGGATTTTGGGGACTTGGGGGGAATGGTGGGAGTGGTGAGAGGTGGGAAAGGGATAAAAGACTACAAATATGGTGTAGTGTATACTGCTCAGGTGATAGGTGCACCAAAATCTCACAAATCACCACTAAAGAACTTACTCATGCATGTAACCAAATACCACCTGTACCCCAATAACTTACGGAAAAATAAAATAAAAAACAGAATTAGGACTTAGGAACCTCTGCCTAGATTTCAGAAGATGTATGGAAACACCTGGATGTCCAGGCAGAAGTTTGCTGCAGGGGCAGGGCTCTCATGGAGAACCTCTGCTAAGGCAGTGTGGAAGGGAATCCAGCAGGGCAGTCAAATCTTAAAGTGCGGAAGGGAAATGTGGGGTCAGAGCCTCCACACAGAGTTCCTACAGGGGCACTGCCTAATGGAGCTGTAAGAAGAGGGCCACCATCCTCCAGATTCCAGAATGGCAGATCCACAGTAGAAAGACCATACACCTGGAAAAGCTGTAGACACTCAATGGCAGCCCATGAAAGCAGCCAAGAGGGAGGCTGTACCCCGCAAAGCCACAGGGGCAGAGCTGCCCAAGACCACAGGAACCCACCTCTTACATAAACATGACCTGGATGTGAGACATGGAGTCAAAGGAGATGATTTCGGAGCTTTAAGATTTGACTGCCCTGCTGGATTTTGGATTTGCATGGGGCCCGTAGCCCCTTTGTTTTGGCCAATTTCTCCCATTTGGAATGCCTGTATTTACCCAATGCCTGTACCCAGGAAGTAATTAACTTGTTTTTTATTTTACAGGCACATAGGCAGAAATTTGCCTTGTCTTGGATGAGACTTTGGACTCTGCACTTTTGAGTTAATGCTGAAATGAGTTAAGACTCTGGAAGACTTTTGGGAAGGCATGATTGGTTTTGAAGTGTGAAGACATGAGATTTGACAGGGGCCAGGGGCAGAATAATATGGTTTGGCTCTTTGTCCCAACCCAAATCTCACTGAATTGTACTCACATAATTCCCACCTGTTGTGGGAGGGACCTTGTGGGAGATAACTGAATCACGGAGTCAGTTTCCCCCATACGGTTCTCATGGTAGTGAATAAGTCTCAGGAGACCTGATAGTTTTTTAAGTGGTTTCTGCTTTGGCTTCTCTCTCATTCTCTGTTGCCACCACCATGTAAGAAGAGCCTTTCATCTTCCACCATGAATGTGAGGCTTCCCCAGCCAAGTGGAACTTTGACTACAATAAACCTATTTTTCTTCCTAGTCTTGGGTATGTCTTTAACAGCAGTGTGAAAGCAGACTAATACAATGATTTATCAATTTCTACATACATTAAAAAAAGAATAACCAAAGGGAAAATAACAAGCATTGGTGAGGATAGGGAGGAACTGGAACCCTCACACATTGCTGATGAGAACACAAAAATAGTTCAGCCACTATGGAAAACAGTTTGGTGGTTCCATGTAAAGCTAAACACAGAATTGGGATATGACCCAGAAATTCCTCTCCTAAGTATATATCCAAAATAACTGAAAGCAGGAACTCAAATAATGTACACACATGTTCACAGCAATACAATTAACAGTAACCAAAATGTGCACAAAGCCCAAATGTTCATTAATATATAAATGGATAAACGAACTGATATATACATACAATGTAATATTATTCAACTATAAAAAGGAAGTACTGACACATTATACAATGCAAATGAAACAAAACCACGCTAAGTAAAAGAAGCCAGACACAAAAAGGTCATATATTGTTCGATTCAATTTATATGAAATACACAGAATAGGTGAATCCACAGAGATAAAAAACAGATTAGTGTTTGCCAGCGCGTGAGGTGGGGGGAGGAAGAATGGGGTGCAACAGATTAATGGATATGGGGTGATGAAATATTTTCACTCTAAATAGAGGCAGTGGTTGTACAATATTGTGAATGTGCTAAATGATACTGAGTTGTTCACTTTAAAATGGTCAATTTTGTGATATGTTCATTTCAACTCAATTTTTTTTAAAAGGGGGGAAAATATTAGCTGAGGTGTTTCCTTTCATTACATTTACAGGGTACTGAGAAATTTGACTTGTATTTTAAACTGATTCTTCCAATACATGAACAGGTATATCTTTCAATTTCTATATGTCTTTATTTTCTTCAAAGGTTATTTGTAGTTTTCAATGCAATGTTCTCGCACATCTTTTCTTAGATTTGTGATACTTTAAGTATTTGTGGGTTTTTTAATTAACTTTATTTTGTTTTAAATTGACACATAATTATACATTATTTGTGGGGTACAGTGTGATGTTTTGATACATGTATACATTATGTAATAATCAAATCAAGGTATTTAGCAAATCCAATACTTCAAACATTTATCTTTTCTTTGAGGTGAGAACATTCAAAATTCTCTCTTATAGTTATTTTTTTAAATTTTTTATTATAATAGCTTTCGGAGTATAGGTGGTTATTGGTTACATGGATGAACTGTATAGTGGTGAAGTCTGGGCTTTTAGTGTAGAGGTCACCCAAATAGCGTACATTGTACCCAATAGGTAGTTTTTCATCCTTCACTGCCCCCTCCTATCCTCCTCGCTTCTGATGATATCATCTTATACCTAGAAAACCCTAAAGACTCCTCCAAAAGACTCTTGTATTTGATAAATGAATTCAGTAAAGTCTCAGGTTACAAAATCGAGTACACAAATTGGTAGCACTCTATGCACCAACAATGACCAAGCTGAGAATCAAATCAAGAACCCAATCCCTTTTATAATAGCTACAACAATGAAACAAAATTCCTAGGAATATACTTAACAAAGGAGGTGAAAGACCTCTACGAGAAGAACTACGAAATGCTGATGAAAGAAATCACAGATGACACAAACGGAAATCATTCCATGCTCATGGATGGGAAGAACCAGTATCATAAAAATAATCATACTGCCAAAAGCAATTCTAGTTCTTTTGAAATATGCAATATTATTGTAACCATAGTCACTCCACTGTGTAATAGGACACCAAAACTCTTTCCTCCTAACTCTAACTTTGTCCACATTGACCAATGTCTCTTTTTCCCTCCCCTGTACCTTCCCTATCCCCCACTAACTGCTATTCTACTCACTAATTCTATGAGATCAAATTCTCTAGACTCTGCACATGAGTTCATGCAGTAAAAGTGTGTGTTTTTGATGTGTTGAAAATGATATGTTATACATTTTTATTTTTTGTTTGTTTATGGTAGATAGAAATAAATTTGAATTCATATATTGATCTTGTATCCAGCATTATGTTCATAAATGTTATCCAAATTACGTTTATAAACAAAGGCAAAATGCTAGAAATGGATCTTTAGTGAAATAAAGAAATACAGTAACATTCATAGTTTCCCTCTGAAGTGTTTTATCTTCTTTTAAGATTTTCAGTGAAATAATGAAAACATAATCCTACAAAGTCTTAAACCTAATAATAGACAATATTTCAATTAAATTAGGCAGAATGTGGACACCATATTAAGTGTTCTGTATATTGCGTGAAATATATCTTTCTACAATAATTCTAATACTCAAAATAATAATCAATTTATTCAGTTTTCACTTAAGTGATATTTATTGATGGCAAACTTAGTGCTATCAACTAATGTTAAATATTGAGGATAAATCAGTAAAAGTATAGACAATATTTGTGAATATTCACTTTATATGTTTTTCACCATTCAACTTTTATTCCTTCTCTATGACAAAAGAATTAAAATTGGAGGCTTAGAGATTTCAAATCTTAAAAACCTATTCAAAACCATCATATAAATAGTAATTTGTAAGGAAGACGGCCTTGTTGGAATGATACAGATTGTATATCTAGATAGACATAACATAGCTGGGGGCTGTGTGATAATATTTAATGACATTAGCTCATAATAGCTTTTGTTGTCAAATGTACAATATTACATTCAAATATTCAACTTAATAGTCTGCATCTAGACTATTAAGTTCCTTGTGCTTGGGTTGAATTTTTCTAACTATTCTATCTGCATTCAATTACAGTAATCTTTTCAAAATGTTAATTTGCTTACTACTCTCTAATAAATTACACTGAAATTAGGATAATAATGGCATGCCTTAGCATCACTTACAAGGCCCTTTTATCTGTTTTTCCTTGACACCTCTCTTTCCTTCTCTTGCTTGCTCTCTCTTTCTCTCTCTCTCAATCTTTCTGTCTCCCCCTCTCTCTCTCTATTTTCCAGGCATATGGGCCTCCATTCATGTCTTCTAATGTGCCTTGCCAATTCTGTTCCCACTAGGGCTTATGGTCATCCAAACGATTAGTATAATGCTTATCAACAGAAAGAATACAAATTAACTATAATATGGTGGCTGTACATATTTATTTACTATGATATTTATAATGAATATGAGAATTTCTTATTTTCACTGGTAACCATAAATAAAATTCCTTCTAATGTGCACCAGAAAGCATTGCATTTAAGGTAAGCCTATAATTTGTTTAATTAATCACATTATTAAATCAAACTCTCTAAATTAAGAGGACAAATTTCATTTTATCCTCCCAAACATGGCCTTTAGGATGCATGAACATCCAAAGGAAAAAAAAAAAATATATATATATATATACACACACACATACTATATACACACGCAAATCCTAACTCCATGCTTTTGATGAAAGACTTCTTTAATTTCATTGAAGTATTTGCATATACATTGCTAATTATGGGGAAGAAGAAGACTAAGTTAAGCATTATATTTATTAGCACAACAGGTTTTGCTTTGCTAAAATAAAACCAAGTCAATTCATTTTAAGAATCGATTTTGCTGACTATGGTACATTAATTCAAAATACTAATGGCATGGATACAGATTACAAAAACCTATTTAACATTTAACGCCAACCTGTGTTTTTTGAAAGTTTCACTGGTTAGTATTAATTCTCTAAAATTTGCGGTCCATCTATCACTCATTAAAAATCCATATGTTCTATTTTTTATTCTCATCTTAATTACAAGGTGCAGGATTAATAACCACCTGGGGTGAATAATTCCCAGATGTGATTCAGATCATCAACTGTTCTAAACCGGTCATTAATTCTTTGAAAGTATATTATTAAGTCTTGATAGGTATTACTTAAATGGCTTATAGGCTATTTTGTAGTCTTTTTATTTTGTAGGTCAATATCTTTCCATTCCACCTTTAAACTTCTATTTTAGTGAGAGAATAGTGAGAAAATGGATTGTCTAAAATACAAAAAATGAGAGCAAATGTATACACTTTCTACCTGTACTTAAGACTAACGATGAACAAGAACACAGTTCAATTTTCACAACCATTTAGTCTTTTTTCCACAACTGATTCTGCCCAAAGTTAGTATCAAATTATTCCAGCTCCAATGAGAGTTGCAAAATATAGCCTTTAAACAATATCTTATTTAAAATAATTTGTTACATGTACATCTACTTAGCTATCCAGCCAACTTTTATTGAGCATCCCTCATATAGCACTTACTATGCCATCTACCTGACCCAGAGACACAACACCCAATCCATTACTGCAAGAGTTTACAATCTGGTAAAAGATAGACATTTAAGTATTGTGAGATAAATGCTATGATATGCACTGAGTTTCAGGTGGTCCCAGAAAAGGAGTTTCCTAATTCAACCTTTGGCAATATAAGTCTTCCAGAAAAGGCAGAAAATTTCTGTCTTAAGAGACCAATAGGAAAAAGTGAGATAGAGAAAGTGGGGGTTGGAGTGAAGAGAGATAAAAGGGAACATTCCAGATAGACATAAGCATGGTCCTATATCCAGAGACAAGAGAAAGCAAGTCATATGGAAGAAACTACCAAAAAGGTCTTTTTTGAAAAAGCTGGAAAGTGGAGGTGGCTGAAGATCAGGGAATGTTAAAGATGAAGATCAGAAGAGGCAGCTGTTGGCCACAGGTTAAACGGTAGGAAAGGAGAGGAGGGGTTTAGTAGAGTAGTGACATGGACATAAATTGATCTTCAGCTTAGAAAATCAGTTCTGGCAACAGGATGAGGGATGGGTTGGAAAGGTCAGAAGAAGGGGCTGGAGAAAGACCCAAAGCAGGTAAACAATCTAGGATGCAACTATGGTAACTTGGAGAGGAAATGATGAAGAGTCAAACTGATGATGGAGTGACAGATGAAGCTGATGATATAGGCTGATTTGAAAGAGCTTTTGAAGGTTGAATCAATAGGATTTGGTAGTTGTCTGTAGAAAATAAGAGTAAATTTATCACTTAAAATAGAAAATAATTAAATTTATAAAAATGTCTAGGCCAGGCATGGTGGCTCATGGAGGATCACTTGAGCCCAGGAGTTTGAGACCAGTCTGCACAACATAGCAAGACCTCCCCATCTCTACAAAAAAAAAAAAAATATATGTATTTTATTAATAATATGTTAGGGTTTCCTAAGATAATTTAGCATTTGTATGTGCTTGCTCTGGATTTAGATACAGATTATTTTATTTATAAATAAAATAGTTTATAAATATTTTAATGACTCTAAGTAAAACAATTAGAACTTGCTGATAAAATCAGAATCTTAGTTTATATTTTACAATATAGGAATTTATTTTAAAAGAAATAACCAGAAACTTCTCTTGGAAGTAAAGACTGAAGTTAAAGGTTTGTAAGTAACAATGAAAAAAATAAAGATAAAATGAATAAAAATAAAAATAAATAAAAGACTGTTTTATGTAAGTCAAGAAGATTTGACTTAATGAGACCCATACCTTTTAAAGATGTGTGTGTTTGTGTATGTGTGTGTGTGTAATGTGTATTATACATCTACATATTTTTACAGAAAGACATCATCATGGCTATTCATTAAAGAACAGTGGGGATACTGAAAAATGAATTCCATACATACTTATTTTTCAGCTGCCCAGAGAATACAAGGGTGATTACATATTCAGGAACATCAATAAATACTTCACATCTGATTTATTAAATCATTGTTACCTGCTTTTCTGTTACTTTTCTTCCTCACCATAGAATTTCATCATTCTACAAAACATGCTCTTTCAACTAGTGAAAAATGAGGCAGCAATACATTTTCTTTTGCAGAGGTTGCTGTACAGGAAGGAATATTCTGAGATAGTGGAGAAAGAAGTGACACAAATCATAGTTGCTCGAGTATTAAATATTTAAAAATTTAGGGACTCTATAATAAACTATGCATATTCCTTCACCTGTTTCTCTGCACTACCTGGATGTAGGGGAGGTCATTTACCCATGCATGAGCTGATAAAAGAAAGCCATCAGCTTTGGATGATTCATGTGCCTGAGTTCTCCTCAAGGAAATTCTACCTTCCACGATCTTTCATGTTTCCTGTTCTGTCTCAAAATGGTGCTGGTGTTTCACTGTTATTATTATTATTATTATAAGTACAATCTGTATTTACAATCTGGCAGCCCAGATAAAAGGAATTTAAGAAAAACTAAGAATTGGACCTGAAGATTCAGCAGAAACTTGGTCATCTCTACAGGTGCTAACTACCTTAATCTTTCCTTTCTTCATGGCTTTTCCTCTGCATCTTCTATGTTCTCCTCCTACTACTGAATGGCCTCCCTTTAGTTATTGGATTTTTTTCCTGCTCTCCTAGAACTGTTACTTGCACATGACTTCAGGTCATCAAGTCCCCCTACTCTAACCCTTCTGCATGTATCTTTCAATGTGTCTTTACGGCAGATGTTTCTGGCTGCTATTTCTCCTGAACTCTTAACATAGAAATCCTAAATTCCTAAAAGAGGAGTCTGATTGGCTTAGTCATTTATGGAAATCCCCATGAGAGGTGACAGGAGCTGGTCAGTCATTGAACTAGTTGTCTTTAGATTATGTGTCCATCTTTGTCTCAATAACATATGGGCAAGGGAGTAGGGCACCGTGTCACTAACTATAACTGGTATCCCTTAGCAAGCCCCTTGCCTGGACAATTTACTTTAGAAGACATTTTGAGAATGACAAGTACTCTATCATTTCAAATGTAATTATTTCTATAAGTTTTTTGGACTAGACTAGTCCATATTTTACACTTAATTAGCCTACAGTCAATAACAGACATGTAAAAGACACAATTATTGAGGCACAAATAAATGAAAACAATGTCTCTAAAAGAGACACACTAAAGGAATATTTCTTTAGTTCCTTTCTAAGATAATTAAATATAAAAACAATCTAAAACATGCACCAGATATTCCTAGGCTTTTAACTAAACATTTGTGAATAATTAAGCATCCTTAGTTTGATTATTAAGCTTCAAAGGAAAATTAATCTTTACAGTACTTTTCAATAACTATGTATCCTTTTAAACAAAATCGGTCTTTCTAACAACACTGTAACTAGATTAAGTCTGCTCTTGGTCAGCCTTAAGAGAGTCCTTTCACCCTTCACTGCAGTCATCACAATGTTGAAAATCAATTTGTGGTTATAGCTATACCGTAATGACTAAAGTCTTGGCTTTGGGATTGACATGACCTGTTTTAATACCAGCTTCTTTGGTCATCACAACCATGGGTAGGTTCTGAAACTCTTCTCAGGTCCAGTTTTTTCATATATAACGTGGTAATAAAAATATTTACTTCACATAAATATTATTGAGATCACGAAAAGTATGTAAAATGCTGAAATGCTGAATTGCAGTTCTTTTACAGACTCATGACACATTAATAATCTGAATATTCAGGGACAGAAATGTACATGGTTATTCTTATGAAGTCAAGACATACAGAATTAAATCTCTAAGAGCACCTGGGAGTTTCATCATCTACTGCTCAACATACATACCACAAGAAAGCTCTGAAATCTTCCTTTACCGATTTGTAAGGAAAAATAGCAACAATGTCATGTAAAGGGATAAAAGCTTGATTTATTGTTTAGATTGAATGAAGAAAATAAAGCCAATTGCTACAGATAGTGATTGATACAAAGAGAAAGTAAATATTTCAGGACCGTTCATTGCAAGAAAACAGAAGGCTAAGGAAAATTAAGTAGAATCATAATTTGTAAAACTGTTTAAGCAAATGTTGCAACCCATTACATAATGTTTGTGACAGTTGAAAACGTATTATTTTGCCTGGTCCAGCAAATAAGTAGTTTAGAATTAGCTTCTCCATTGTAACAAGTAAAAAGCTGAACAAACTGAAAAATGAACAACTCCACTTAGATCAGCGGGTAAAGCACTGCCCCAGAATTGGAGAGATGGACTGGTGGATACACAGAATCATAACTTTTTTTTTTTTTCTGAGATGAAATCTTTCTCTGTCTTCCAGGCTGAACTGCAGGGGCATGATCTTGGCTCACTGCAACCTCCACCTCCCAATTCAAGTGATTCTCCAGCCTCAGCCTCCTGAGTAGCTAGGATTACAGGTACCCACCATGCCCAGCTAATTTTTGTATTTTGAGTGAAGACGGGGTTTCACCATGTTGGCCAGGTTGGTCTCGAACTCCTGACCTCAGGTGATCCACCCACCTCGGCCTGAGAATCATAATTTAAGGAAGCAGAAACCCAACAGTTTATGTGTAATGGGAATATCAAATGGGGAAAAAAAGAGAAAGGAAGAGAGCAATATTTAAAGCAATAATGACACAGACATTGCTCCAAATTATTGTCAGGCTCCAAACCACAGATTCGGGAAGCTCAAAGAACACTAGGCAGGATAAATGCCAGAAAAACTATACCTACATATACTGTATTCAAACTTCAAAAAATATTTTCACATCAAATTTAAAAAAAAAGCAAATATAAAGAACCTTGAAAGAATCCAGAAGACTCAAACACCTTAAGAATAGAGGAGCAAGGATAAGAATTACATACAATTCATCCTCAGAAACCATGCAAGCAATAACAGTGGAGTGAAATATTTAAAGTATTTAGAGATTTGTTAAAGCCCACCAACCTGGAATTCTGTACTTTGTAAAATTTTCCCTGAAAAGTGAAGAAGATATAAAGACTTTCTCAAACAAAATTCAGAGAATGTGTTGCCAGCAGACTTACCTTGCAAGAACAAGAAATGTTAAAAAACATTCTTTGGAGAGAAGAAAAATGAAATAGGTCAGAAATTTAAATCTACATAAAGCAAGGAAGAGGAGAGGAGACAGCAACTTTGGAAGCCACCCTCCATAAACACAGGAGGCTTCTATCCTACAATGTGTTCCTTTCTGCTTGTCACAGGAGCCACAAGGAGATCTCCAGGCAATCATGAGCTCACCTGTGCTGACATGTGCTTCAACAGGGACAAGCCCCTGAAAGGAATGGTCTCAAGAAACAAACGCTGGCTTTGCAGATTGTGTTCCTCCTACTGCAAATGATTATAAGAGAAAGTTTGGGTACTTAACATGACCATCTTCAAATATGCTCAGCTATCACATAAGATTTTGTGCAGGAGGCTGTTCATTTGCAGGCTGATCTTTTAAAATATTTGACTCATCAAACCAAATGAAGAAATGTAAGAATTATGTCTCGCTTATCTATCGCTTCCAAGTGAGTATCCAGGTTTACTTTTCTTTTCTAGGGAAATGCTTTCAAGGAACTTAACACACTGGCCTTCAAATTCTATCTCCTGGTTAATTCGATTCAGCATCTTTTAAGAGGCCGTTACCACACTGAAATCTCACATCTAGGGTCAATGAGTCTTTCTATTATTACTGCCCATATTTGCTTTGGCAATTCTTGGTTATGAAGCTAACTTAATAAAATATAACATATGTTTTGATTATATATCAAGCAAACCTGGATATAGTATTCACAGCTAAAGATCATAACTAGTACTAGATCCTAAGAGGGTTCATATATTTTTGTAATGACTGACCATGTCCACCACCACTTCCAGTACACAAAATAGCATTTTTCACATAATGTGCGGTGAAAGATTAAATAAATGAGTGTACATGTATATTTTATTTATATTTAAATGAAAAAAGTACTCATTCTACATTTTTGCCTTATTAGTTAAGTAAACAAAGGCACAAAAATATAATTGTGGTTCAGAAAAAAAAATATTTGATACATGATAAAACATGATTCTGGAAAAAGCAAAGAAACAAATGGTCTATATAGAAGTCTGGATTTTTCATTTCTTTAAAATATTTGGGGTTCTTGCACTACTCCTAATGATAATATTTATGTAATGTTTATTATGAACCAGACATTGTTTTAACTTCTTTACATATATTACATAATTTCATCCTTCTAATAATCTAATGATATGAGTACTATTATCAAGTCCTTTCCCTTATGTGGATGGCAATTAACACCTCACAGCTATAAAATGTCTTACAAACATGGATATTAAAGAAATGTACACTGATAGAATTGATTAATTAACAAAACCTAATGCATTTCTTTGAAATATGGAACAATATAATTGAAATTAACATGACGGGTGTTTAGAACATTACCATATATGTTGTGAAGTTTCTAAGAAGAAAAAATATTTAAATATCAGTTTGAAAACAGTAACTATAGCACTCCATATTCACCAACAGAAATTATCACCAAAATTTACATTTTCAGAACTTGAATATGCACATGGTATAGTTTTGGATAATTTCAATTTTAGGATGAATCAAAATGTAATACTGAAATCTTCTACTATGATGAATTACTTCTTACTATATGAAATATATAAATTGCATTATAAAAACAAATGTTTATTGGTAGTTACTCCATTCTCTATCATAGTACATCCAACCTTTGATTTTCACCTTTGGAAAAATTATATTAGGAAATGATGGGCTCCGATTAATGGAATAAAGTATCTTTCTACAGAGGTTGATTGTAATCTCTGCTTCTTTTATTATAAAAATAAAAATCATTAGTTGTTAGGTTTACTTACAGCTTTTATTTACACATGAATGACATGTTTATTTTCCTAACTGTGATGGTTAATTTTATGTATCAACATGACTAGGCTAAAGATAACTGCTAAAACATTATTTCCAGATAACTGCTAAAACATTATTTCCAGGTGTGTGTGTAAGGATGTTTCTGGAAGAGCTTAGTATTTGAATCAATAGATAAATTAAAGAATATCTGCCCTTCCTCACTAATGTAACTTGACCTCATCCAATCCACTGAAGTGGAGATAGAATGAGAAAGATGTAGAAAGGACAAATTTGCTCCTTCTTCTTAAGCTGCGACATCTGTCTTCTCCCGCCTTTAGAAATCAGAGCTCCTCGTTCTTGGGTCTTCAGACTTGGGAACTGATGTCAGTACCCACTCCCCGGGCCTTTGGACTAGGACTAAATTACACCACCAACTTTCCTCGTTCTTCAGTTTGTAGATCATGGGATTTCATGTCCTCCATAATCATGTGAGCCAATTCCCAAAATAAATCTAAATCTCTCTCTCATTAGGTAGAAAAACAGATATAGATATGTGTAACAGATACAGATATATTTCCTATTAGTTCTTTTTCTCTAAAGAACCATGACCAATACATGAAGTATTTCAGGGTAAGTTTCCTAATACCAATTCACTATGTCCAACAGATAAGATCACATATCTTGTACTATATTGCATTGCTGAAGCCCTAGTGATCATCTAAGTCAGAGCACACAAAAATTATCTATAAAATATGATATTCAAAACCAATATTCAGTATTAGAGAAACACAAAGATTTCTAATCTCCAATTGCCATTAAAATAAAATGTGATGTAACATCCAACAGCACTTTTGTTTTCCTAACATCAATTTTGTCTTAATGTTTAATTAACAGGTACTCCACTGTTGAAAATGATATCTGATTTTATATACTATAGTGGCTATATCTAAGTCCAATACAACTATGTAACAAAGATCTCATCCACTATGTACACATTAAACATAGGTTTTAAAAGTTAACTTACTGATGCAGAGATATGCACTATCTACCTCAACTTAGTGAAATTCTAAGTCTTGCAAAATGTGGTTTAGCCTATGATTACAGGTCCTATTTCTCACTGTATACCTCCACTCCAGCCAAATGATTATTTCCACTGCAACCCTACAGGCCAAATGATTCTCAGCATTCCTAAAACCTGATACATACATGAAATAATTCTGTGCCTTTGCTCAAGCCACTCCTTTCGCCTAGAAGTTGCCTTCTCCCTTTTTTTTCAAGGCCAATTCCTTCACGTTTTTTTTTTTTTTGAAAGAGCTGACATGCAACTTCTTATTCCCAATTTTCCTTGACCAGAATTAACCTCTCCTTTTATTATTCTTTCACAAAACATTACTCAGAACAACCTGAAGACACATTCTTTGGCCTAGTGATTCTGTATAATTATCGCTGTGCTTCAATACCCCTTGAGGGTAGAAAAATCTGTCTTAGGCACAATAACAGGGTATTTGGCATAGAGCAGCATAAAACAGAAGTTTGTTAAATTGAATTCAGGACAATGCTTAAAAGAAAAAGTATATTTTAAATGTTGGCACAAATGAATTGATAAGCAAGTGTTTTAGAAAATTCATAATTCTCTTTTCATTTCTGTAAGCCTAAAACGTTATTTGTTCAGACTATTCATCCTTTTTCCATAATTACTAACCACCAGAGATGCTCAATTTTCCACTGAAATGACTATTTATCAGTCTGTTCACAGGCACACTCTGAATGCCTAATTCTGTAACTATATCAGCATGATATTACTAGTGGAATGATGAATTTAAGTAAAAAGAAAAATCTATGGAATCAATGATTAAATTACCTATATTTTATGTAGCACATTATACAATTTCAAAAATGTCAATTCTTTATAGGAAGAGTTTTTTTCAATTAAAAAGTTATTCCTGAGAAATACATTATTTATAATACCAAACATACTTTACCTCATATATTGCCAATTATATTGTCTACATGTCTCTTCCACCCATGACATATTTGTAAAATCAATTGAATTAGTGTCTATGTAAAAGTGTAATTGTTAAAATGGTCAATCAAATGAGCATGCCTCAGTGAAACTGAGTACCTGAAAAATTTATATGATTTCAACTGGATATAATTACAATTTTAATGTTTCGATATAAATGCTGGTTTACATGTTATAAACTGATTAATGGTTCTGGTGGATTTTAAGTACTGTAACCTATATTGATACCTAGATTATTTTCATTCTTGGCATTTTCAGTAGCCTCTTTCCCAAGTTCTTCATCCTTACTGAATAGTTCCTTATTTTAACCTATAAATAGCATTAAGTAAAGCTCCATTAGTACCAGTAATCTATCCTCTTCACTAAAAAAGAAAAAATAAATAAATTGCATATTTTTAAAATCTTATTTATACCACCTATCCATTCTACTGTTCATAAGATTAGACACACACACACACACACACACTCTGTCTCTCTCTCTCTCACACACACACACACACGCACACACACAAAAGGTATTTTAGAAAAGTTTCATTCATTTCTTAAAAGTAAAAACATGACCCACTTAATATACTCAACAATACGAATGTTTATTCATTTTAATGGAAATAAGACAATGAAGATAAAAGCATAATCCTAGTTTAAGATATATACCTCAGAAACAGTTTGATAAGAGCTCTAGTAGAATAAACAAAAATTTCAGAAAAATAAACTCGCAGTATATAAAACTTACAAATTTAAAGAAGCAAATGGGCTGTTAAAGAGAGGAAGATTTCACTCTTCATAGGATATTTTAGTTGAAAATACACACTTAGTGAATAACTGTTGTTGTAAAATGTCAAATTCAAACAGCAATATGTGAAAGATTCTAAAAGAATAAAACATATTTGGATCAATTTCTCCTTTGAGGTTTAAATTTGAAGATATAATAGAAGAAGCAATGTGAAAATGTCAACTAAGAATGTGATTAATAAGAAAATTACCATTTCTAAGGAAAAAAAGGAAAGCTAACCCAAGTGTATCTGAAAACATGTGACTGCCTCTATTATTCAATATTTTGATTAACTAGACAAAAATCAAAGCAAAATGCTTTAGAAACCACCCTTTTATTTTAGCTCAGTGTGAAAATGAGAAGTAGACATATATTGTAATATGAAAATGATGCAAAATATATAAAAATATATAAAAAGTCAAGTACAACCATAGCTAAAATGTTGGTCCATGAAAAACTATATTTTGCAAATTACACATCCTTAACAAGCCTTTAAATACAACTATTTCAGTTAACAAAAACCTAATCACCTTGTATATTTTCACCAAGTTCAAAAATGCATAATATTTTAGTAGACTTGTATTCTGTATTAAAAACCAAATTGTTAATATTTGCACAATCCATTTATACTACAGTAGTTTAAAGTTTATTTATGCACAAATACTCATCGAGGTTATCAAATTTAACATAAATGTAACATATATAAACTTACACACAGAAATTTATATTTAAGGAAAATATTTATATGGGAGATATTCTAATGTCACTATGTATAAACACAGTATTAAAGAATAATTACTAATTTAGGAGAGAGGAAGGAGCTTTACATATCATTCCCACTGATTACCAGTTCTAATTGTATTTTAACCTTTTCTATGGGATGTAAGTTATATGTCAAAATTCATAACAAGTAGGGCCCAAAATTCACTGTTCCATCAACTATTAGGAGATCTTAAAAATCTAAAAAAGACAGCAATTTTTCAGATATTTAAACTTACCCCATTTAATGGATATGTTTTCCATCCTAGCTCTCCCAGTACAGTTGTTGTATCAAGCAACACAACTGGAATTAAATAGAAAATAAAAATTCCATGAATTTCTCAACTAATGCAAAAATATATTAAATTATTAAAGTTATAATAAAAATCATTAATGTCAATTACACTTACTATTATTCACTGAATTAAGTTTAATGAGTTATCTTCAGAAATTTACATATTAAATATTAATATAAAATAGTATTAAGTAATGATAAAATGCATAAAGTATTTAGAAATTAAAGTATGTATATTTTTGTTAAACAATGCTAAATGAAATTATTAAACAGAATTAAGTCTTTTTAATAGCAGATGTTTAAAACTGATAAAATAACTACCTTTGCTTTTCCCCCACTTTCATTTACAGTATTTTTAGACCACATTCAGGAAGAAAATCCTGTATTAAAGCAGATTTCTTGATTCTCTTTTTGTGCTATTAAATGTCCTTATATATTATCAGCCAAGTATTAAAAAAACTCATTTTGAAAAATCTTATAATCTTTAAAGCACTGACTACATTATTATTATATACACTAGGTAGTTTACTTATGGCTATAAGATGCGAAACCAAACGTAAAAACCATCTATCTCTTTTCCTGACCAAAAGTAATTCATAATCTTGTCAAAAAAGCAGACATGTAAACACATAACAACATTTTCTGTTAAGTTATAAAAGTGAAGATTATATTAACATCTTAGCAATTAAGTTAAGCTAAAGTTGGGTTGGCAGTTCTGGGAGAACTTCACAAACGGGATCCAATTTGAACTGGTCTAGGATGAGGGGGTTTCAATCAGATATGATAAGATTTTTTTTTATTTTAGAATACTTTCTATAAACTAACTGAAATATGACTAAATCAGTTCTCAGTTGTAGGGGTGGAGACTACTTGGGGAAAGTTAGATGATAGAAACGATTGGGAAAGACAGATGGAGATCAACTAAGGAGGGTTTTTGTAGCGTTTCTGGCAGGTAAATGTGGACAGCTCATGATTCAGCAGATATTTATTTTTAACTACTACCTCCTAGGCCTCCAGATGTCAGTAGGCCATGAACCTCACTCTGAGAAACAATGCTTTGGTACCACATCATTAATTTTGGTTTTTCATCTTGTTAAGGAAGTGAGATTTCTTTTTCCTTTTTTTTTTTTTTTTTTTTTGTTTGTTTTTTAAAGAGACAGGTCTTGCTCTGTTGCCCAGGTTGGAGTTCACTGGCACAATCATACTCACTGAAGCTTTGAACTCCTAGACTCAAGGCGATCCCCCTGCCTCAGCCTTCTGAGTAGCTGGGACTACAGGCACGCACCACTGTGCCCAGCTAATTTTTTCATTTATTGTAGAGACAAGGTCTTACTATGCTATGCAGACAGGTCTTGAACTCCTGGCCTCAAGTGACCCTCCCACCTTGACCTCCCAAAGTGCTGGGATTACAGGTGTGAGCCAAGGCACCTGGCTGGGGGTTTCTCATCTATAATTTTTTAAAATGCAATTGTGAGTATGTTATTTGGCACCTGCTGTTTGGTGTCTACTCTAAAGATTCTGAGGTTTTACTTAGGTGAACCACTGTGATAAATTTTATTGATACATTTTTCAGATATGAAAGTATCCTTAAATTCCTGGGTTAAACTCTACTTACTCATTGCAGAATATTCCTTTAGTATTGTTAAAATCTATTCACTAAACATACATTTGTAAAACTAAGTCATAAATTTTAATCAATTTTTATTGTGAGAAATTTTCAAATACTTTTTGAAGTAGTAAAAAACAGTACAATGAACCCTCACATACTCATCACTCAGGTTCAATAATTACCAATTAATGTCCAATCTTGTTTCTTGTATACATTTTTACCTACTTCCCCACTATAAGATTTCATTTGAAGTAAATTTCAGGAATCTTATCATTTCACCTGTATAAAAATTCAACATGTATTTCCAAAATACTCTTTTAATATACTTACAATATCTTAATTCATTAATATAAAAATTCCTTAATGCAATGACATATCCAGACAGTGTTCAATATTCTTTATTGTCTCATTTGAAAAGAAGCCGAGATTCAAATAAATGCTAATAAGTTAGTTGGCATTCCTGTTTAAGTGTTTTTTTTAAATCTATAAGTTTCCCCATGTCTTATCAGTTAGATTTATTAAAATTTGTTTGACTCACAACAAATCCACCCTCTTTAAATGTACATTTTTGTAAATCATGACAAACTCCTACATCCATGGAACCATGGCTACAATCAAGCTAGAGAATACGTCCATTACCCTCCCAAAATTTCTTGTGGCCCTTTATAAGAAATCCCTTTCCTACCCCATCCTCTGGTAACCACTAATCTGATTTCTTTCCCTGTAGCTTTGTCTTTTCCAGAGTGTCAAATAAATGAAATCATATAGCATGTAGCCTTTTGAGCCTGGTTTCCTTACTTCACATATGCATTTGAGATCCATCTATGTCACTGCATGTTTCAACTGTTCCTTTTTGTTGCTGAAACCTATTCCACTGTATGGAATTCCCTAGTTGATGGACATCTGGGCTATTTCCAGTTAAGAACATTATACATAGGCCACCCTAAGCTTTCCTATACAGATTTTTTATATGAACCTATGCTTTTATTTCTCCAGGGTTAATAACAAGGAGTAAGATTAGTGGGTTATACAGAAAATGTTTGTTTTTTAAATAAACTATCCATCTGGATTCCAAAACTGACTGCTGTGAAATTTTAGATTCACAATAGGGAAATGTATGGTTTTCCCATTCCTGTACAAACCAGGACTTGGTTTTGTCCAGTTTTTTAAAGTCATTCTATCAGGTGTGCAACAGTAACTCATTATTGTTTTAATATGTACTTCACTTAATGGAGAGAAACATCAGTATTTCTTATGGTGATTTTTAAATGTTCATAAGTTTTATTCTAATTTTCTCATCAAAGATTTCTGCAGAAAATTCACTGGTACAACCTACAAATCACAACATTCAAATCAAGGCTTTCATTAGAGCTAAGTGTCTAAAATCTCTAATGCGTATTGAAATCTATCAACAGCTATTTCCTTTTTATAAGTTTTATATAGGAATTATGACCAATAAGTTAATTCATTAATTCATTTAATTATTGTTTCTAAAACATATTAAGCCTGCTTTGTTCTCAGTATTCATAGTTGTAAACTGTGAAGTATATTCACTTCAAAACAAGTAAAAAAGGAAAATATGTATGTACCTATTATAGTGCAAATGCTTAGAAAACATTTTTTGTTGTTTCTTAGTATCTTCCAGAAACAAGATTGACCTAACTGCTTTATTTGATTAAATTGCAATGATACCTCTTAAAAATTCTTTAAAAAAATAAGATTCCAAATTTGCATTTCAGACAGGTGAATTATATTTCAATATTAAAATAAAATTTAGAATTTTAGAGATATGTAGTAAATATTTTAATTTTATCATTTGTTTCACATACAAAACCCCCACAAATTCAGGTTTTTCAGGCACACTAATTACGTTGAACACAGCAAGGTGAGAGCTCCTCCTGCTGGCTCCAAACAAAAGTTACCTAGTCCCTACCAGACAGCAAAAACACTGTAAACTCAGTAGGAAGAAAAAAAATTACATCAGCATTAACATCAGTAAAAAAGCCAATACTTTTCCATTTTTAATATAATAGCAATGTTTAAATAGGAAGATTAACACCTATTATTTATGTAAAGAGTACAAATGAAAATACAATTATTTATTCATAGCATAAATTGAGAAATTGAATAAAACAAAAAAAATAGCCTGGGGGCAATAAAATAAAGTTCTAAAAATACACATTTTGTTTTGTAAGCAACATAATGCATAGAATGTGTCTGTGTAACTGCATACAATTTTCCTATTAACTTTTAGAAAAAAATTTTCAGCATATTATATTTCTTTCTGAACATGTCTTTTAGTGTATTAGAGTTGCCTTTATTCATGCTTTTGGAAATTATAAGAAAATTTCATAATGTTTTAAAAGACAATATCAAATGATAAACACAAATTTAATAGTACTGGATTAAATCTGAAAGTTATGATTACCTAAGAATAAAAAGCTAAATATTAACTTCTTGCCTTTAAATATTTTATCAAGTCTTTATCTACATCATTTCAGTAAATCTAAAAGGTATTAGTTTAAAAACAATTAGCATATTGATTTATAGTATATAATAGAAGATCATCTTTATTCAGATAGCACAGTAAGAAAAGGATGAGATTTTATTCATATATCACTTTGAAAAATTACACAAGGAAGAGATAAATCAAGCCACTAAGAAAGTAGCTATTCTTTTAGGATAATTTTGTTGTAAAAATTTAAGTCAATGTCATGTAAATTGAGTCCAAAGATTTATCAATATGTTTTAAAGTTCAGACAATCATAAATACATGTTTGAGAACTTTCTCTAACAAACCTTATGAAAAAAAAGTAAGGGGTTTCTTCCTAGAATCATTCAATTTAGAAGCTTTAAGGCCCAGCTTAAGGTTCTGAGTTACTAAGTAAAGTTACTAAGTCACTCAGTAACAGCACATCAGTAGAGGTTTATGATGGTTCTATGTTCCACTAACTGTAACACTCTACTACCTCCAATAGCTCTTAAAAAACACCAATAAACAAAGACAATACTTCTAACATCATGACCAGATACAATCAGAGAATACTTCGAATTATAGATATATAAACAAACATGTATCTTTATACGTTACATTTTAGAAGCAGTCCATTTAAATATAATACTGTTTAAATGCTTTAAACTGACATTTAGATTATCAAATTAATCCAGTTTTAACATCACTGTATATTTCTGAAAGGTAAGAACCAAAAATTTTTACTTTCAGATATATATAATATGGGTAACTACCCTCACACGGAGTTGCAACCATATTTAATTCTGAAAAAAATCTAACATAGATTGCTTTAAATCAACACTGAATTATGTTGACTCCTGGTATGGTCCTCTCTGTACTTGGAATATTTTAAGATAAAATCTTCTAAAGAGGATCATACTTTCTTAAAAACAACAAAGCTACTTTTATCTAGAACCTGAGATCAATTATTTGTTTAGTAGGTGTACTTACAGCATTTTGTTTTGTTGTGGTGGTTATTCTTATTTTTTGTGGTTTTTGCTTGTTTCCATGTTTTTAACATAGAGGGTGTTCATTATTTTAATTTTATCTATCCCTTCAGTTACATCTGAGATTGGAAATTCTATTTGTAAGTATAAGGTAATATGAACATAGTGATGTTAGCTTTTTCTAATTAGAGAATAAAATCAAGTCTAGAACTTTTGAAATTACACCTTTCAGTTTTCTACTCTGCTAGAGAGTATCTTTTTCAGAAAACATTCAAATATCTCTGTCCCTTCTTAAAAATAGATGATTCCCTTAGTTACTAAAATAAGGTATAAAAATAAAAAATTACTTTTCTTCACTGTTATCTTAAATAGAAAAAAAAGGGCAAAACACTCAAGCTATATAATTTTCTACCTAACTAAATTACTTTCAGGATAAATCAAGTGAAGCAGTTTGCTATTACTTAGAAAGCAAGTTATACTCTAGAGCAAGAACTATCACTGAAAACCTTATCCAAATAATGAATGGTTAATAGTTGATTAAAATATTACTAGAAATGTTCATCTTGACTTTCATACCTTCTTATTTCACTCATTCCAAGAACCTCCAGATCCTTATCCTGACTGACAGAGCTATATTTGCTTCAGCCTTATAATCATTCCTAAAACCTGCTATTACCAGCACTTACCACAGAGACCAAAGGATAACTCGGGTGTGGATGTGATCTATCACAAGGTCACCAAACTACAGGTTCCCTCCTGGGCTCCTGAGCAAGGTCATTGATATTTATTAATGAGTTACCTCAAAAGTTGTGCTTTCCTATAAAATTGTTCTGTTATCTGTGTGGTTAAAAATGAGTAAAAGAAAATTTGGCATGTCCCTAATTAATAGCAATTAGATGCTTCCTCTATTTTGACATCTTCAGCACTTCGTAAGCAAATTCAGTTGAGACCTATATTATTTACATTTGTCTCAATTACTCAGGGATTAAATAGGTAGAAAAGACTATTTGGCTATAGTCTTAGATTTTCTAGTCTTATATTTAATAAATGTTGCGAGTCTCTCATCTCTCACAAAGAAGTGCCCCATTTAGCTCAAACCATTGAACATGTTCCCCATTGCTTACACAGCATCAAACATGTGTCTTGCCTTTCTAGTTCTAACCTTTCTTATGTTCCCACTAGTCTTTTATGGGCTTTGGACATTTTCCAATTTTTTGAAGAATATTATGAAACTTAAGGTCTGAAATACACTTAAATCATTGGTTTAATGGTCCTGATAAAAGAGATTATAACTACTTACTTGTAAGTTATATCTACAATATAATGGCCATCTCAATCCAAAACCATTTCTATATAATGGAAGAAAGGTCTAAAAGAAACTACTGAAACCGTTACTTTAAAAAAAAATAACAGTGGCTTTATATTGGAAAGGAAAAAAATAACTTTGAGTCTGTGAAAAAAATTATGAGAATGAAAGTTTAGTCTTTTTTCTTGAAGATGGGAAAATTTTTCTTCCTGCAGTTTTGTTTGTTCCCTCCATTACATTTACATGGACATAATGAAAATAGATGTTAACTTCCCTAACTAGGACCTAAGCAGTCAAGAAATGTTACCTGATTTTACATCATACATTTTGATGTTATTTCAACAAACATTTCTTAAGTCTCTGTTATATTTAAACTCTATATATTGGACGCTATAGGATATAGAAAGTCTGTAAGTTACAATGCCTACCTTCAAGGTATACCAGTTTTCTACTTTAACTTTCACTACTAGGATTTTTGTGTCAACTCACATGCCATAGTTTATAGCATATATAGCAGAACAGATTAAAATGCCCTCATTTAGAAGGTGCAGACAAAAAATGACTGCAGCTATTTAGTAGACTGTGTAGTTTAAATTGCTCTTCTAAAAGGGCAGACATCCCATATCACATCTTCAAAATCACCATCAAAATTGTCAGTAATTGTACCACTTATCACACTTTTCATAAATGTGCCAAGGACTAAATGCATCCCAGTAGACAACAGAAAGGGAAATAATTTCCTACCTGTAGGATACTCTCCAAAACAATCCCAAATACAGGAAATGTCTGCTAAATTTGTCCAAAGAGATATTGTTTTACATAGAGTGGGAGATGTTTTAAAAATGAATTAAACAAGCCTAAGCAACATACCAAGACCCTATCTCTACAAATTAAAAATTAAAAAATTAAAATTAGCCAGGTGTGGTTGTGTGTGCCTGTAATCCCAGTTACTCAGGAGGCTGAGATGAGAGTATCGCTTGAGCCCAGGAGTTCTAGGCTGCAGCAAGCCATGATTGCACCACTACACTCCAGTCTGAGTGACAGAACAAGACCCTGTCTCAAAAAAAAAAAAAAAATTAACCATTATCAGAGGTAAACACTTTAGTAATCTAACCTTTAGTCATCAGAAATAAGAAATTATCAGATAAAAATTTTAATTGTGCTGCCATAATTTTGAAACAAATACATATTAAACAACTTAAAATTAAAGAATTCTTTTGTCCATTGACATTACAGCCAAATCAAGACAGCACAATTATAACTATTACTTTAACATGTGTGTGAGTGTGTGTTGGGGGGGTGTTTGTGGGTATCTGTTGAAGAAAATGAATGAATGAGGTAATCAAAAGGGATCATGAGCAAGAAATGTATGTCTTAGAAAAGAACATTCTTAACCAACTATTGGAAAAGCAGTATAGTGTAAGCAGGAAGGCAGGTGCTGGATAAAATTTAAACGGCTACTGTACTTGGTTTGCGATGGAAAAAGTCAAGGCCTATTTACATATGATCTTCTGAGATGTAGTTAAGAGGCAAAGTGGTCTCTAGAAAAAATAAAATCGAAGTGGACATTTGTTTTGAGCACAGAATGGGTTATGACAAAACACACATTTGTATCTTTTGGAGTCGTCTTCTCTGCTCCAGCTTGGCCCCAACCCCTGAAGCACTGACTGCCCTCAGACTGCTCACTCTCAGTCCAAACCCTGGACATCTATCCCCATTTCTGACTGTGTACAGTGTTCAAATTATCCCCCCTACTATCTGATAACCAACATCCATCATACGAAGAAAACAATTTAACTGAAATAGCATACAAATATGCTTATGAATAATCATTTCTTCTCTTCCCTTTTGCATTATTTATTTATCCAAGTTAAATTTGAATTGATAACAGCGCCTTTCAGGTAACACTGACTTGGGACTTTTTCATGGCATACCTAATATCACGACACACAAGCAATTTTTCACAGAAATATATTGAAAGAGACTTCCTAAATCTCCAACTTCTATCATGTCCCAAGAAACTTCCCACTGTTTAGATTACATCTTTTCCTATCTGCTTCCTGGGTTCTATACTTTGCTTTAATACTGTATGCTTGGTCAAGTCATATTTCTTATTCTACTAATTGCTGGGTGTTGCTCTACCCTAAACCATGTAATTCTCTAAGCGTAGTATCAACCCTAACTTAGCTCTCAATAGACTCTGATCTTCTTAGCCACCCTACTAGGGTAGCATGGCTACCCTATATATGACAAGAAGAGTAACACAAAAAAATTTGCTTGCTGTGTCATGGGTCATGATTGCCTCTTCTTCAACTTTTGAGTCTCTCTTGTTAATTAATCCACTTGACGAGTATTCAAGAGAGATCTAAGAACAATGGTGTTTTTTTCCTTTGATTCCCCCACCCCCTTTCTCCAGCTGATTTCTGAAATATTACCTATACTCTAGTTCCTTTAGACGCTAAAAAAGGTAGAGCTGAACTGCCAATATTCTTCAAGCAGCCAACTAAATTCTATTCCTGAACATTCAGATTTCACAGTCACCTGCTCACAAAACATGGTTATTGGGTCATTAAACCGGACACAATAATATACATTCTGAGGAGATGCTACAAAAATAATTTAAATGAAAATCTTATTTTCTAATCATTTTCCCACATTTTCAACATCTTTGACTGCCTAAAAATTATGTGTTGTCTTCTGTATAGCTAAATTGGATTGTAGTAGTTTAGTAAGTAATACTGCCTGTAGAACAGAGTAGTCTATAATGAGAGAAATGGGCAGGAAAAATGTGAAGACTTAAAAAAAATATTAAGACAACCAGTTGTCATATCATTTACACATTAAACAGCTCTTAGCACAATTATTTGATAAATAAAATCATGAGAATTATGTAGGACAAATTCCTACTGGAAACTACTGAGGAAATGTCACAGTGAATGTGATGCCAAATTTAGAGACACATGAACTATAAGGCAATTAATCTTTTTTGGCATATTTCTCTATTGCAGAGGAGTTAGGAGGAGGAATGGTTCATAAATGAAACATTTACAAATGTGACCCATGCCAAGAGCAGCATGGCTTCAATATAGAGAAAAGAATGACAGATGGAAGCTTTATGGTTGGCATAAAATATAAAATACAATAAATGCATTATTATCATTACCCTGTAGGGAAGCAAATCATTAAGTACTATTGTCAAATTGTTTATCATCAGAACTTTCTGCAATAAAGTAAATGCAAAAGAAAGGATAAAGACATTTTAACATCTAGGCAAATGGAAAATATTTCATTCAACATGGGTTCCCTAAGTATAATTAAGCATAAGACAGCAAATGTAGGTTTGATAAGACATTGATCAGTTTTCTTAACTTATTGATTACCCAAGATACAGATTATGGCAATGAAATCTATAATGTTCCGAAACTATTAATATTTTGATGACAAAGTGAAATAATCAGGTTCAAAATTCAATCCTTAGCTTTTGTGACTGAGAAGATTAATATTTATCCTTCCAAAGAGGCATAATCATATTTTAGGAGACTGGTTCTTGTTAATCAGGCATACAGGAGACTCATTTATAAATGAGATTGACTTATTCACTGATGATTTGTCTCCCCAGGGAACCTCCTTCCCTGCAGGTAAATCCATTCAAAAGACCAAATTACAGATAAAGATTTCTTAAAGAGTACTAAATTACTAGAAAGGAGTGACCCTGTTTTACTTTTTAAAAATCCTCTAGATCTATTTCCACTTAATAAATGAATGATTGTATCTACCCATTTTAAAGCTCTTAAATTTGAACAGCACTGAAGAAACACAGATAAATTTTCTATTTACAGGAATTAATTTTCGAATATAGGTATTGCCAACTATAACACTAGTATTTAAGACACTATTTGCAAAATATGTTATAGTTCCCATAGTTATTGCCTATCCTTTATTGGCTAAATTTTAGAAGGCCTAGTCTTAATTTTTTGGAAAGAAAAATAGTTCTATCTGTAGATTCACTTGATTTATAAACCAATATTTTTTTTCCAAGGTTTCTTACATGTGAGTAAAATTCTGATTCTATAGATTGATTTTATTTTCAAATAAGGACAATGACATTTGCTGACCATGACCCATGATTTGAGGAAGAAGCTAAAATTTTAGGCATAGAGTCCAATATTAGGTGGCCAGGTTGCTTCTGTCATAAACTGCCCATTTTTTTTTTTAATTTATGAGACAGGGTCTCCTCTGTCACCCAGGCTGATGTGCAGTGGCGCGATCTCCGCTCACTGCAACCTCCACCTCCCCTGCTCAAGTGATTCTCCTGCCCCAGCTTCCCAAGTAGCTGGGACTACAGATGTGCACCATCATGCCCGGCTAATGTTTGCACTTTTTTCTAGAGATGGGGTTTGCCCATGTTACACAGGCTAATCTTGAATTCCTAGGCTCAAGTGATCCTGAGCCACCTTAGCCTTGACCTTATGCAACCCTGGCCTCCCAAAGTGCTGTGATTACAGGTGAAAGCCACCCAGGCCAAGTCTTAAGTTACCTTTTACAGAGGTAAATATACTGCAGTTCTAATTTTTACTGATGAAGAATAATAAGAGTTGTATAGACTTACAACCATTGATTTATCAATGAAAATTAGTTTCTGTGTAAATTATCTTAATATTTTTATTCTACTTCAGTTGCTCATATTTCATATTCCATAAAACTGCCATATTTTGAAAAATGCAAAATTTTATGTTCTTCAGGAATCTCTTCTGTATTTTCTCTGTTTTTTTTTTTCATTTTCAAAGAAAATTTATCAGTTTAGGGATTTCAACTATTATTTTAATGCTGTCAACCTCCAAAATAGTATCTCCAGCATAAATTTCCCTCTATGCTTCAGATACAATTCGGAGGCCTCTCAAATGTAACATGTTCACATCTGAACTCACTGTTTTCCCATTAAATGGGCACCACCTCCTGATTTCTCTGTTTCAGTAACTGTTACCCAGCATCTGCCCAAGTACACAAATTGTGAACCAATATCCTATCCTTAACTCATCCCTCAATATTAACTACAAATCTATCAGTTTGCAAACTGGATGTCGTAAGCAGAATAATATGTCTGTCTCCCAGGTTGTCCATATCCTGATCCTAGGAACCTATGTATATGCTGTTACACGGAGAAGGAAAATTAAGGTTGCAGATGGAATTAACGTTGCTAATCCACTAAGGTTTCTAATCGCCCTTAAAATAGGGGGATATTTTATATTATTTATGTGGGCCTGATGTAATAACAAAGGTCCTTAAAAGTAGAAGAGAGAGACAGAGAACTAGTGGAAGATGTGACTCCAGAAGAAAGGCAGAAATGCAATATTGCTGGCTCTGAAGAGAGAGGAAGGCAGCCGAGGAACATGGGTGGTCTCCAGACATTAAAAAGGGCAAGAAAATGGATTACCTCCTAGAACCTCCAGAATGGAACGCAGTTGCACTAACACCTTGGTTTTAGCCTAGGGATATCCATGTCAGACCTCTAGCCTACAAAACTGTGCAAATAAACGTGTGTTATTTAAACCACTGAATATGTAGTAATTTGTTACAGCAGTAATAGAGAACAAATACAGTAAGGTTTTTAAATCACCTTCAAATATATGACTTTCTAACCCCTACCAATTCCATTTAACTCAACTAGGGTCTCTTCATCTTGTTCCTTTCATTGAATTCAATGCAGCCTCAGTGGTCTGTCTGAAATGAAAATCTGATTTCTCCATTTTCTGTTCAAAACTCATTTTCTCTTCAAATTTCTTCTTCTCATTTACAAAACTCCAAAAATATTTGCTATGAATGTATATTTCTTTTTTTACACACACACATATACATATATAAAAACAATCCACTAGGTTCTATGTATAAAGTTGGATCAAAATAAACATAGGCTTTGCCTTCAGGGTGATTACAATCTCATGTGAAAAACAGAAAACAGAAAGTATAAAGTAAATATATAATTATATATTATGATAAGTGCTATAAATCTAATTTAGATTTCAGGCTTATAGAAAAATCTCTTAATAAAGTCAACGGATTGAGACCATCCTGGCCAGCATGGTGAAATCTCGACTTTACTAAAAATACAAAAATTAGCTGGGTGTGGTGGCGTGCACCTGTAGTCCCAGCTACTTGGGAGGCTGAGGCAGGATAATCACTTGAATCCAGGAGGCAGAGGTTGCAGTGAGCTGAGATTGTGCCACTGCACTCCAGCCTGGGAGATAGAGCGAGACTCCATCTCAAAAAAAAAAAAAAAAAAGTCATGATTAAACAGAGTTGAAGTATTCTATATATCTTTTTTTAGATCCATGATGTAAATTATATAATAATGAATTGGAAAATATATAAAATATCACAATTATGAGTAGGTGAGGAATTTATAATAACTAGATACACATAACTGAGAGAACACAAACAAAAAACACAGAATACTTTAAGTATTCTGGCTCTGAAGAGTTCTTATAAAGCAACTATAAGAAAATCTTTAAGTAGTTGCAAAATACTGAGAAGAGTACATTGGAGAGGGAATAGCTAAGTCCCTGTGATTTTATAAATCCAATGTTCTAAAAACAATAAATAGTAACATCAACTTCATGCGTTTGTATCACATTGTGTCAAAGGAAGTTACTAGAGTAGGGTCAAAGCACTGACAAAGCCACAATAATAAACTTGAAATCCTGATCATAAAGGGAAGGAAAAAGAGCAGGAAAAAAAAATGATTAAAAGGAAATTATAATGATTCAGGAGTTTAAACAACTAAAGCAAAATAAATTTTATTAATTTTAGAATTTAATGTATTCATATTAGTTTTCTTTATATATATGTATATATACCTACATATAACTAATCTGAAAGAATCCACTCAAGACTATTTCAATTATTTTTTAAAAACCTATGAAAAAGAAGCACTATCTATTCAGAATAAAACAAATCAGATGGTGCTCTCCACACAGAAACAGTCAATGCATTATGGCCACTGAGTTTGGAGAATGAGGGGAAAAAAAAACATCAAATGGCATTTAAAAGCATTTAAAAAGAGCTATAGTTGTGGCTATAACATCTTTGAAGTTAAATATAGGGATCCCACTGATTAGACACTTCCATCTTGAAGTGGCTAGAACGATACCTTCTACAGACCTCCTATTTGGTTGGGTTTTCATATAAATTCAATATTTCTGTAAAGTTTCTGTTCTATTAGATACTAGATCTATTGAAACCTCAGAAAATAAAACAAAATATTGAAAAACCTTTACACCTATTATTGCTCTCAAGCTGTAATTATACATTTTGATAATATGCCTTTATGCCTTAGAGGAGCAAACTGTGAATATATGGAGGTATGGAAGCCTCTATAGGCCAAGACTGCACATTACTGCTGGCTGAAGAGTCCTCTCTTTTCTGAATGCGGAAGTCAAAATGACATGAACAAGACATAGGTTACTCTGACCACGGGGTAAGTAGCAATTATCTGGTATATCCTCTGATATAAGGACAGTTATATCCTAGTCACCTTATTTACAAAGAAATGGATGATATTATCTTTAAAAAGTTTGGGACCTCAAAGAAAATGTATAAAGCAACTATAAGAATATCTTATTAGCTGAATACTTCTGTCCAAGGTCCCAATCCCAGGTGAGGAAGCTATTTATGTGAGAAACACCAACAGATGCAGTTATTATCTGCATCTGCATCTCCTCATCACCTTTGTCAATCATCTGTTAAGTACTCTACACCCAATAACTGCAGGGGACACTCAAATAAATATGGAGTGGAGGGCAACAGGTTGAAGGGGAGCAAGCCATTTTTACACCAGGAAGTTTTTTTTTTTTTTTTTTTGGATAAGATACTTCAAAAACTTAGTAAGATACTGTACTATGTACAATTCTGAAAACCAAGGTAACTGAGAACACCTAGCAAACGGATCTAAACTTATAAAGGAACTTATGGAGACAATTTTGACCTTATCCTGTCCAGAAGATTAAACTTCACTTTTTTTATTATTATTTTCTGGGACAGAGTCTCGCTTTTGTCACCCAGGCTGGAGTGCAATGGTGCCATCTCAGCTCACTGCAACCCCTGCCTTCTGGGCTCAAGTTATTCTCATGCCTCAGCCTCTGGGGTTTTACCATGTTGGCCAGGCCAGTCTTGAACTCCTGGCCTTAAGTGATCCGCCCAGGTCAGCCTCCCAAAGTGCTGGGAATATAGACATGAGCCACTGCACCTGGCCCAAACACCCTCTTGATGTAGCACTGGACTCACCTTAAGAAAAAGAGGCATTTCCATTCTTTTCTTAGAAATTTAAAACTCCAGTTGCTCCAGATCAACTCCAAAATATCACACATTGTACTGAAATGGTCCTACCATATCACCATTAATAATGATGAAACTGAGCTAAAACATCTGGTCAATTCAAAAAAACAAAACACAATTTGCAAATATGTACTGTATTTATTCATTAAGACTTTCCCTACATTTCTCTTAAAGACGATATTTCTCCAGTATTACCTAAAATCAACAACTACTCTGAGCAACTCTCAAGGGACCAACATGACGCTTCTGCGTCCCTGCAAGATCTTGGTTTTCATCCTGCAAGCGTTTTTTTTTCTCACCATTCCATCCCTCAAGCGCAGCACTCCAGGCCGTACTAAATTTATTTCAAGTTATGAAAAACATCAAATTCTTTGGGCCTTTCCATAAGCTAGTATCTTCTCATCTCAGTGACTACCTACTCACCCTTGGGCTCAGCTTAAATGACAGTGCCTGTTAGAAGCATCTTCTGATATCTTTCACCAGGTGGGGAAGTGGCAAGTTTAACGGGTCTCCTTAAACTAATGCACATTCCACAATCAAAAGGCATGACTTTATTGTAACTATTGATTTATCTCCCAGGAAAGACTGTTTCATATGTTTAGGGACCTTAGTCACCTGGTTCACCAATTTTTCTAGAACCTAGCACAGTATCCTATCAGAAAGCTATTCTAAGAGTCCAGATGAGAAATGATGGTAGCCTTGGCGTAAAAAATTATACTAACTGATCAAGGCCACAGTAAATTCTCATCCTCTAAATATATTTAACCTGTTTAAGTCCAGTTTTGCTTCTAATTGGAAACTTTGCATACATTTGTTTATATTCCCTTTACATTTCTTTATTATTGGAGTTTATAGTCACTCAGATCCATACTGTTACTTTCTGAATAATATAAAATAACCTTCTTTTAAAGATGAGGAATAGGGAACCCTGGAAAGATTAGGAAACTTACTTAAGATCACTCAGATAATTAGCATTAGCACCAGTTTAAAATCCACTAAATTGTCCCCAGACACACTGCCTTTCCCACCATGGCATAATAATTCCATATTCTTAATTAGCACTCATGCTGGTAGGGGGAAACAAGACATAGAATATATCTCCTCTAACTACATCACATAGTTGTTAATGGCATATTTGATTATACTAAGTGATAATTATTTTTAAAATACTTGAATTTTAATATTATTTTAATATATGTTTTGCATTTTCATTTGTTTTATTTATGTATATTTTTATGTAATTTTATTTTCTGCCACTTTTACTTACAAAAATCTCTGTGAGCTAGTTTTATCCCATCTTCCAATGAAATCTGATAGTAACATTAATTTTCCATGCCTTCTTAGTCATAAAATGTCCTCTTTCAAAAATTTAGACTATTTAGCTCTAGAATAAAACAAAATTCTAAATTCATACAACTCTGTTCTTTTCTCCACTAATTTGCTTTTGCTTAAAACCTGAAACCTTGCAGTGTGAAAGAATATGTCTTCAGATTCTGTTCATAATCTGCCACTCACCAAAGTCAAGCCAGTGAGATGGGTGAACTGGAAGATGGTCAAAGCTGACTCTCTCTTACGTGACCACCTTAAGAAAATTCTGCTGGAAAATTCCAGTTTTGTGCCTCTTCCAATTAGTCATTTTCAACTTCTTCCTCACGTCTTAAGATCACATCATGCCACCAGGAAGCCATCTGAGCATTTGAGACAGTACCCTTTCTAAAGGCTTCTAGGACAGTTCCTTTCTTCATGGCGCACTTCCAGGCGATGAAATATGTACCTCCGACCCCTAAGCGCTAATTATTGGGCTATCTCCTGGTGCAGTCCAGCTTCTGACTCTGCTCTCCTGTCTCAGGCCACCTAGCTACAAACTCTCACATCCTCATGCTCCCCAAATTACAGCAAACATGAATTAAACTCTGAATTCATCCCCTTAATGTCCCCTGCACTAAAGTAGCCCTTCTCCACTCCAAACCACAGCTCCTTCCAATCTCCCCAAAATAAATCACTTACAATAGTTGAAACTGGACATCTCTAATGCTGGAAAGATAGGTTTTTAAAAACTTTTAACTATGAGCTATACAGGAACAGTCTAGTGACTCACTTTAAAATTTGTAAGTACTGGCACCCATATATTGTTCTTGAGCTTGGAATTTCATCTCAGTTTATGAATCTCATTCTAAAATCCTGTAACGTAATATAATTATTTTAGCTGGCAATTCTTGAATGATTCCTGTATGTCAGGCACTCTGCTAAGCATGCTCTAAGTGCATTACCTCATTTATTATTTATTTCAAATTTATTTTTTTAACGGCCTTATTACAAATCCCACCTTACCAGTTGAGAAATCAAAGTCCTGAAGAGGTAAAGAACCTCCAGTCAGCACAGCTAGTGAGAGGCAGGACCATTTAAATTTAAGTCCAGCCAGCTGGGCCTTAAAGCCCAAGTTCCTAACCACTATGCCTAAGGCCTCTCTGATCTTGTGAATGACAAAAGAATAGGAAAGTTTAAGAATAAGAGAAATAAGAGCAGCTTATAGTGCTAGAAGAGTGAAAGAAAAGTAATTTCTAAGATTTGACATTTTGAAGGGATCCTGCATTCTCCTGGTTTCCCACTGAAGGATTCTACCAAGCAACTATAAAAAATTAACACAGCAAGACTTAAAAGTTAACATGACGTTATATGGAAGTTTTCCTGACACAAAGCCCAAAAATAATTCTCTATATATTTATTTAGAATTCTAGAAATAAAATACTGTAAAACTTGATTTTAAATTAAATTGATTTTATAAGAGTCCCATCTTACTGCCCAAACTCCCACAGTGTTAATGAATAAATACCAAGTCAGAATCATCCACATTACTACTGATCAATAAAATATTTAAACTGGCACTTTTTATGCTATTACCTTTGAGTTTTATAATATTTAAGACCTAATCAGCTCAACTGGACCAAAGTAATCAACAAACCTTATGACAAAAGGCTATGGACATTTTTATTTGGTCAGCAATTTCTAAATTAAAGCCTGCTTGGAAGCTAAACTTCATGTCTTATTTACTTCAGCTTTGAAGGCTGCTCCAGAAGACAGCTCTAACTTTTGATAAGCATATATTTTCCCCTAGGAAATTTCCACTTTTTTCAAATTGTACTGGAAAAAAAGCAGTTACTGTGTTAAGTTACATAGACCAAAAAGCCAAATTACATCTATGACTGTAATTTTGTATGACTGAACCTCGATGTTTTCATATGTGTTTAAACAGGATTACAAACCTCAGAAAATTTTATACAAAATATAAGCATAAAGCTATTCAGATGACCTAAGAATAAGGAAAATGAGTAAACTCTAGTCTGGAATGAAAAACATCTTATTTTTTAAGCATATAAACATGACACATTTACCCTGTCTCAAAGGATTCCAAAACACTCCTAAATTATTTAGCATTTTATAGCAAAGTATATAATCAAATTTTCAAATAAACGTTTAAAATATGAAGATTTAATTTTTTTTAAATAGACGGAGTCTCACTCTGTGACCCAAGCTGGGGTGCAGTGGTGAGATCTCAGCCCACTATAACCTCCATCTCCTGGGTTCAAGAAATTCTCTTGCTTCAGTCTCTCAAGTAGCTAGGATTACAGGCACACTAACACACCCAGCTAATTTTCGTATTTTTAGTATAGACGGAGTTTCACCATGTTGGTCTGGCTGGTCTCAAACTCCTGACCTCAAGTGATCCGCCCGCCTCAGCCTCCCAAAGTGCTAGGATTACAGTAAATATTTTTATAACAATTGATTTGGTAACTAATAATTTTCACAAATCTTTATTTCAACATATTTTCTTGCATTTTCTTAGACTTGGACTGGACCAAATTTTTATTAAAGTAGAAATATTAAAAATAACTGAAAACTTAGTCTAGGGTTGTTATCACATTTAGAACTTTAATATACATTGGTATAATTTCACTAAGTAAAACAAGCATATTAAAATTAATAGTAAAATCTAATTTGTAAGATACATTTAATGAAATATATGTATAAATAAGACTGTCAACTTATACCCATGCAAACATTAAATGATTTTGAAACTTTAATTTCAAGCCTATGTAGAATGAATGAACACATTTCCTACAGCTAACAGTACTGCAAGTGACTATTACTTGCTATGTCCAACAAAACTGTGAACGTTATAAAACATGTCCCAACAAACTTTTCCATCTTAACATTGGCTTTTGATACAATGACTATCTAATAAGCTACTGATAATGTGTACTGAATGAATGAACATGATCCTTTCTACTCTACCTACCCCTAGATTACTTGCCCAAATTGTGAGTGACCTGCAATAACTTTACTTCATACCTTCATAGGGGAAACTGAATTTTGGCTTCCTATAAAATTGTACCGTTCCAAAGTATGCAAAAATACATAAATATTTTTTCATACAATTTATTCCCTAGTTAGCAAAAATAACTTCTTGTATAATTCTCTTCTTAAAGATTACAACCCTAGAATCTAAAGAATCTTTTTAAATGTTTCGTTTCATAAATTATAATTCATACTGATATACCTGTTTATTTAAGCATAGCATGACCTATCGATTCTATAATAATACATTTTCTTTCTTCTTAAGAGAAACATTACTTTATTTTGACAACAGCAATGAAGAAACATTAAAATATGGCTTGAATGTAGGGGATTCCTTAGAGTTCTCTTTGGATCATCCTACCATTTTGGAATAGAAAAAAAAATGAACGTGTCAGTCTATGTTTTGATAAATATCCAAAATTATTTAACAATTATATCTTCCTTCAGGAGCAGGGCTGAGAAATGTAAGAAATTACTGACTACTTAGGGTTAATTCATGAGCATTAAATTTTACCAACAATTACACATAATATTTTATTAATGGGACCTAGTTATAATTATATTTTTGATTTATATACAGTAGCAAATGCTGTTGTCTTATTAAATATAAAAAAAATTGAAGCAAAAATAAATAGACTTTCACTCTACTGGATTTAGAAGAAAAATGAGAAATAAACCAGGTTTCTAAAAGATACCAGTTAGCATTTTCTGATGGACAGGCGCCAAGGCTGGGGTCCACCCTAATAGAGCTCAACCAGCATCCAGGAAGACAGACTGTTACTATTGCTACCATAAAGATGCGAAGTAAAACCCAATATACTCCCACTGACACCTTGATAACTAAAAGTCAAACAACCAAACATGAGACTCCAGCAGCAGTCTGGACATGGTCTAAGAAAAGTTACCAAGATTATTTTCCTTTCCAGCTACAGTAATGGTAAGGAACAATAAATCTCTCTCAAGACAAGATAGAGTAAAGGGTGACTGGAGCTACTCCATAGTTTCTTTCATAGGAAACCATGGGTTTCCGGCAAATAGTAAATACACCCAGTAAATAGTCCTCTCTTAGTTTATTCTAAGTTCATTTTTTTCACTGAACCAAATGGGAAGTCTAGATGGATTAGTTAATTGGAATTTCTCAAGCTATTAAAAAAGCTATTGCGCATCTATTCTACATATCAAATATACAAAATTACTTAATGATTTAATTCTATCTTATTTTTCCAAGTATGTTTGGCTTATTATAACAATTAGAATAGAGATTCTCCACTATTTTCACAAGCACATGGATTTTCAAAATGTAACATAAAGATTACCTTCTTTAGTGTTATTTGGGATATCTGTTAATAAAGCATATTCACTGGACTCACCTCAATCCGAGTGGGTCAGAATCTTACACGGTGGAAACACGTAATCTGCATGTTTCATACATTTTATCTTATTTATCTATTTATTTATAAACAAGCTTCTCAGGAAATTATTATGCACTGTGTGGTGAATTCTTAATTTACTACATTTTGAGAATTACCGCTATGGGACAGTGGCTTTCAATCTTCCTGGCTACTCACAATCAAAATACAGTTTACATTAGGGACAAGGATATACAGAAAAGAAGCAAAATTTCACAAAATACTTGCCTTTGATTTAATTTTATATTTTCTATTCCCTCGTTTTATTTTTGTGTTTATCTTATTCATTAACCCATTTGGCTCACAACAGGCATATTGAAAAACACTGTTTAACAGATGTAAGCATTGTGATTTTGTATTCTTCAAGTATTCATAAATCTGTAACTTTCTATAATTCTATTCTAAAATATGAGTGGACTCATCATATTCTAAATATGGGTGGATTCATCCCCCATATTTCAAATAGATGTTCTAATACATCGTCACTACTCATGACAAGATTAGCTAACCATTCCTAGATTTCACAATATATCCCGGACCTATAATTGCAAAGTTGAGCCAGTTCTGAATCAGGGAAACAGATGCTCCACAATTCAATGAATCCAGTGGAATCTTACCCTTCATATCAACAAATTCCTTCAAGGATATACAGAAATGTGCTAGGTTCCCCTCTTTCAGCAATCAAATCAAGAAAAACCTGATAAAGTGATAATATAATTAACACATTAGTTTTCCTAGCAAGTAAAGATTAAAAATACATCATTTAAATTCATTGATGGGTGTCAGGAAGTTAAGACAGGCAGAACAAACAAGGAACTAAGACAAAACCAACCAACCAACCAAAAAACCTCAGTAATCCATGGAGAGCAATTACCGAAACATGGAGACCAACATCAGCAGCGAGGCATCATCAGAGTTACTGATGTGAGGACTTTATTGCATTTCTAGCTGGATAGGATAGTAAGTCTTTGTATGACAGCATATGAGCCACACTGCTGAATAAAAGTTAATTGGGCACAGCATGAGACTAGCCCCAGCACAACTGCTCACCAAATAAATAAGTCTCCTTTAAGGCTCCACCTTGAATTCTTACAGACTGATTGTATTTGAAGAAATGCAACTTACATTTTTTTACATGCTGCCACTTAATTATACTAACTAAAGAGAAGAAATCCATTAAAATCTGGAAATTAATTTTCTTCTTTGATCATAAAACCTGCTTTCCTAAAGTCATTCTTTCCTCGTTTAAAAAAAGAACTCATTAATCAAAAAATATTTATCTTATCTTTGGACTAATATCTATGTACTTGGAAAATAGTAGTGAACATGACAAAATAAATACACTTTCATGGGATGTACAGGATATCTTATTTTTATTTCTTTTATCTACACATGTTCAAACTTGGTCTAAATAATTTTACAATTTATATATAATTTAATCATTTGTTCTCACAAAGACTACATGAATTGAGGATCAGCTTCTTTTAGAATACAATTATGCCTGCTGGGATCATCCTGGTTGACTTTTTATTTCAGCTGTATTTCCCTTCTTGACATCTGTCTTGATCACACACTTTCTACCTCTTCCCTCCCAGTACTATCATATATTTTTCTCTAATTCTTTCAAAAGTCAAGTTCAGTTGGAATTATCATCATGTATACCCAACCATTGATTACAGAAAGTATTCATCTTTAGTCCTCATGAGATGTTCTGGCACGATTATATTTCATCATAATTTCACTGTTTTCTGATCAAAACCATGCTACACGTCTATACTACCTCATCATAACTCAGATATTCCATATTAACCCTCTTATCATATTTAACATCTCTATAAGACAAAAGAGATACAGCAAGACCTTTATTTTTGAGAGGTGGAAGCAGTGAAAGAGCATAATTATTAGAAAAAGTAACATATGTCCACAGGCTATTTTTATTTTAAATGTGACTAACTTAGAAGGGCAAAGAAAGAATGCATGACATACATTTTTGTATGTTGTCACAGAGTCAGTCAGGGGAAGTTTAACTAATAGTACACAGGGAAAACCACAATCACTGAAACTTGAGGTACACAATAACTTCAACAGGGCAGGTGACTGAGGTTCATGTTTATAGACAGACACATAGTTTGAGGAAATCACTAGATTTTGTTCTTAGGAAAAAGACAAAGACACTTAAAGATTAGAATGAACATTTAAGATGAACCTAACACCAGAACTACAGGTGAGCTGATACTCCTTGTGGCAGTTTTAAAGTATACACCCCAGAATCTTTTCTACTAAGTAAACCTACTCCTCTCCTCCAGCCTAGATGGGAACTGTGTTAAGACAAGGGACTCAAAATGGGCCTAGGTTCAAAGAAAGAAAGATTTAGTGGGAAATAACTGCATGGTACCAATATGCTTTGTACATTTTACATAAATGTAAATATATTCAAATAAAGTATATCTACTGAGTAATATTGGGTTTTTTTCAAATAATAAAAAGTACAAGTTAGAGAAGGGGAGAGTTAAAAAAAGAATATTTCTTATTATTGTTAACTATTGTCATTGTTAAGGCATACTTTTCTTTAAGGCGTCATATAAACAAAGGCTGTTCCATGATATACTCACAGTGATAATCCATATACCCTCAAGTTAGCTCATTTTTGGCTGGCTGCCAATTCAAGTGATAATTTTACTTACAACATTCCTTGCTCCTCGCTCCAACACGATCCTTTTATTCTGTATATCTGGAGCCAAATTTCTCTTGCTAGGAAAACGAATTCTGCAGGCTCACATCCAACTTCATTACTCCTATTGCTACCTGTTCACCGCCACCTCGCTGACTGAATTCCCTCACAAAATTGACAAACATGCTCTTCCTAACTAACCTAAGCTAAATATCACTTCCTTAAAGAAAGGGTTCTGTAAATGTTCCAAATCTATATTTTAAGAGTCTTATTTAAGTAAACATGTATTTAAAACAACATATATCATACAGATACTCCATACTCCCTTAACTATCAAGTCCCAAAATAATTTCATTAATTTTCATTTCTAGCCAAAAACCAAACCCTGAGTCCTTACTCTTACAACATTAAAACAAAGCAAACACCTCTTTAGTTAATAGGTAAAGTAACAGTAACAGCTTGATCAAGAATATTCTATCCAAGTCAACCTCTTCACACTGTATTTTTATTAACAAATATATAAGAGCAGTAATAACCCCATGTACAAATATCTTTACTTGGACAAGCTGAAAACAAGAGATGACGTTTTCAACTTGCAGAAAGGAAATCCTACACATAGACACAGATGCACATTAGAAATTAAGTATGAATTCTGCTATGAAGAAAAGACATTATCTGTTTTTTTAAATTATGGTTATCATAGAGTACCACTTTAAATTTTCTGACTGTACCAAATTTTAAAGACACTGAGTTGAAAACTGCAGCTGGGAGAAAAGCTGGCATAGATATTTAAAAATATACATCAAGAGTAAACAGCCATCACATGCAAACCAAAATACCTTCTATCCAAGGTGTTAATAGATTTTAGAGCTGTAACATTCTGATCTGGACAAAATGATGCTGCTGATTTTATTTTTCTGGGGGAATTTTCTCTGCTTATATGGAAAATGAATAGAGTAGGAAGGTAGATCTTGAATAAAATTAAAGAGTTCTTAAGGGAAGAAATTAAAACCAGTTAAAGTGTAATTAACCCTTAAAGGTATTAATACCCATCACTATATGTAATAGATTAATTACTGGGAGAATGTCAGCATAAAGCTGAAATTTAGGGTGTACCTCTATTTTAATCTAAATTCAATCTGAGCCTGTTTATAAGATTAGAGTTTGAATGTAGTGCTAAAGAAATAATTAGAGGTTACGGAGGGAAGCGATACTTTGCAGGAACCTAACCTCTCGGATATAATCTGGAGAGGAACATCACTTTGTATTTTTTTCTCTCATCATAGAATACAGCTCTAACCCTTGCCCTCCCACACCAATTAGAGAATTTAAAAGACCAGGTAAAGGGCAGTTAACAGTTATCCTTGTTTTAGTAGAAACAATCTTGGTTCTTGCAAGTATAAACCTTATTAATTCATGCTGAGGACTAGGATGAGATTTTCCATGTTATTGTATGAAATTGAAAGCATTTCTAGTTCTGTCATGATTTGACTAAGATTTTCAGATATGACATTTTCATACCGGCGAACTCAGACCTAGAGTACTGCTCTTGCCTGAATCAGATCTTCCTTTTAGGAAGAAATCTCAAGATGGATGGGAGGCTGCCTCTCACCAGGGAATCTGAAGAAGGGTAGGTATTTCCTCTCCTGGCTTCGTGGCAGCTGCAACACAGGTGCATGATATAAGAGTACTCAATACAATGTTCCATCCCGGGACTTTTAATCTGGAGTGGATGATGGTAAGAAGAATAGACAGAATTAATTTCAACAGTGGTGGCAAGAGCAGCAGCTTTACTGTTTTCATGGCAGTGTTGCCAGAATCTGGTACTAAACCTTCCTCAAAAGAAATGCAAATTAATACACTATGATGCTTAAATCACTTTTACTCAACATTTTAGAAAGATAAAAATTTTTATGTATACTTTTGTTAAATACATAAAAATAGGCTAGGTATGTTATAGAAAAAAATGACAAAAGTTCAACATGCTTAAAACAATAGATCTTGATTTCTCTCTCAAACTGTATCTCCGTTATGGGCTGACAGGTAGTGACTCAGAAACCAAAGCTGAATGAGGAGCCACCAATCTGACTGCTGCTGGTCATCATGGGAGTGGGAAAGTGAGCCTTTAGAGAGGGTCACACTGGCACTTAATGTAACACACCCATTTCTTCTGATCTACATTCATTGGACAAACTAGTCACATGGCCTTTCCCAACCACAAAGCCGGCTAGAAAATTTGATCCTAACACGTGTTTGGAAATCGAAAGATGGAAAGCTTATACAAACTGTGAAAGGAAAATTAATCATGGGGCCCCAATACCACTAAGTTAAAGGGAGAAGTCAAGCGGGAAACTGCTTAGGGCAAACCCGCCCGCATTCTGTTCAAAGTCACCCCTCTAATGCACTGAGATAAATGCATATCTGATTGCCTCATTTGGAAAGGTTAATCAGAAACTTAAAAGAGTACAACCATTTGTCTCTTTCTACCTATTACCTGGAAGTCCCCTCTCCACTTCAAGTTGACCAGCCTTCACCTCGAGTTGTTCCACCTTTCTGGACTGAGCCAATGTACATCTTACACATATTGATTGATGTCTCACATCTCCTTGGAATGTATAAAACCAAACGTTCGCCTACCACCTTGGGCACACATCATCGGGACCTCCTGAGACTATCACGGGCACATGTCCTCAACCTTGGCAAAATTAACTGAGACCTGTCTCAGATTTTGGGGGTTCACAAAACAATATTAATTACTACCATAATTTTTGTTTTTACTTTTAAAGCTCTGGTAGGTTCCCTTGAAACTTTAAAACAAAAATGAATAGATTTTTTTAAATTCAGTTTTGTCAACTCCATTGCCACAGTAAGGCCAAAGGAAGTACATCTCCATCTTTTTTCTCTAAGCAGTCACTGTAATGACTCAACTTTACTAAATTCAGATTTCTGTCCCACCTCAAGACACCGGCCGGTAATCAGGACTCAGTACTTTCTTTGGTTTGAATTGGCAGTGTTCTTGCCCACTCCAGAATTGTACCTTCACCCAGTGTGTCAGCTCTGAGTTAGGCAGAGAAATCACACTGACATCCTATACATAGGTAGTGGTCAGACAGCAAGTCATTCATCTCCTCATCTTTTGCTCAGATCTCTAAAACTGCTGCTATCACTCTTGCTCACGACTACAGGCCCAAGGTCCAGAATAACGAAGGCATTTTAAACTTCCTGTGAGAGTGGTTTGGACTACTGACAGACTTGCTGAGCCAATAAAGATGAAAACAACGGCACCTGTGTGAAATCTCTCTTGACTTCATAGAAATCAAGAGTCAAGAGAAAAATAAATAATTCTGAGTAAATCAAGATTACAGATAAATAACAGATATCCCAAATCCACCCCCAAGAGGTGTATATATTTTGCCAACAAAAGGCAGAATTAGTTGGGTATCTGGTTACCAGAAGAGCAAACTGAGAAAATCACTATTATTGTTCACAAAATCTCCAACTTTCAGGTACATGGTACAACTGCACTTCTTGGGCCCTGATGATTGGGACCAGACATATTATTAGCTGTAGCCAGTGAGTTGTGAGCTAAGTGTCACTCATTACCTGTGAACTGGAGCACTTATCAGCCAGCACATGTTCCTCTGAAATCCATCAACTCTTTCAATACTCTTTGGCACTACTCTAGTCTAAATTGCAATAATTTCTTCCCTGAACAATAACAATAGTGTTCTAAATGGTCTCCCATTACCAATTCCTGCCCTCTCTAACCACCATTCATCCTGGGGCCAGAATTATTATTTTTTTAACTGGATTACTTAATCATCCTTCCCCTAAAACATACTAATAATATAATAGATTTACTGCTGTGCTAACAAATGCCTAGTAAGTATCTACAACATCAACAACCTGCCCAACAATAAGGACCAAACTACCAAATTTTAAGAAAGCTTATAAGGTTTCTCAGAAATCTTTTTTTCACATTCCTAGTCTATCATAACTATTTTTTAACTAACACCTCTGACTCTAGTCTCCATAGCATTCCTCATTTCCAGGGTAAGCATTCTAAAATATTAATTCTTATTAATATTAATATTATTTCTCATTTCTTAATACCTATTAATGGGTTGTAATCAACTACAATAATAGTTCCCAACTAAAGTCTTCCAAAACCCTTAGGTCTTTAGGGCAGCGGTCCTCAAACTTTTTGGCACCAGGGACCAGTTTCATGGAAGACAATTTTCCCATGGATGACAGATGTGGGGCTGGAAGCAGGGGAATGGTTCCAGGATGAAACTGTTCCACCTCAGATCATCAGGCATTAGTTGGATTCTCATACGGAGCACACAACCTAGATCCCTCACATGTGTAGTTCACAATAGGGTTCACGCTCCTATGAGAATCTAGTGCCACCACTGATCTAACGGGAGGTGACACTAGGCGGTAATGCTTGCTTGCCCAATGCTCACCTCCTGCTATGCAGCCCGGTTCCTAGAAAGCCATGAACTAGTACCAGTCTGCAGCCCAGGGCTGGGGACCTCTGCTGTAGGGGATACTAAGTTTAAATGTACAAATAAAAAAACTTTTACCTTTGGATTTCCAATTTATAGTTTTTAAATCACTACATAAAAACTCAAATAGTTTTGCTTTAAAATGGAAGCCATAAAGATACAGACTAATGTCAGTGTAGCCTCTTTCTCAGCTGGGAACCACTTGCTAGGTAAAACTGTTCATTCTAAGTCACATAGTATTAAATATCTACCAAGAAATGACCACTAGTTAAAGTGAAAAGCATGAAAAATACTGATGTAGAGCTACAATAAAAATATAAAATATAGTAAACATTATATTTATTGGGGGAGGGGCTTTCAACACAAAATGTACCATTCACATATAAGTACTTGAAACTGCAGTGTGACCTCTTCTTTATGTTGTTATTTAGAACTAGGGTATGATCACTGTATAAATGAACCACTAAGAATTTTAGTGCAAATTTGTTAAATTTCAAATATTGAAATACTAAGAAGTTTTTATGTCATATTAAGCAGAGACCTTTTAATTGATATATTAAAATATACATTTGAATTATAGAAAATTATAATTATTCTGGGTACCACTAAAAAGTCAAAAAACACAGATGCTGCTGATGTTATAGAGAAAAAGAAACACTTTTACACTGTTGGTGGGAAAGTAAATTAGTTCAACCATTCTGGAAGACAATGTGGTGATTCCTCAAACACCTAGAGGCAGAAATACTATTCAACCCAGCAATCCCATTACTGGGTAAATGCCCAAAGGAATATAAATCATTCTATTATAAAGACACATGCCTGTGTACGTTCACTGAAGCACTATTCACAATGGCAAAGACAGGGAATCAACCTAAATGTCCATCAATGATAGACTGGATAAAGAAAATGTTGCACATATACACCATGGAATACTATGCAACCATAAAAAGGAAGGAGATAATGTACTTTGCATGGACATGGATGGAGGAGGAAACCATTATCCTCAGCAAACAAACACAGGAAAAGAAAGTCCAACACTGCATGCTCTCACTTATAAGTGGGAGCTGAATGATGTAAACATATGGACACATTGGGTGGGGGGCAGGGGGGCGCAGAACAACACACACTGGGGCCTGTCGGAGGGCCATAGGTGGAAGGAGGTAAAGGACTAGGAAGAATAGCTAATGGATGCTGGGCTTAACACCTGGGTGATGGGATGATCTGTGAAGCAAAACACCATGGTACATGTTTACCTGTGTAACAAACCTGCACATCCTGCATATTTACCCTTGAACTTAAAGTAAAATTTGGAAATTTAAATAAAAAACTCCAAGATACATTAAGTTAAAAAAAACTTGAAAGATTATTCTTTAAAGTATGCATTAATTCTCAAATAAAAAGATGAAATACTGCCTTATATTTTGTTTTAATTTTGATTTTGTTATACGTATTAATAATATAATCAAAATGTCTCTGCCTAAAGTTGTCATAATACACCAAAAATGATTAAATGAGCTATTATTTAAAGGTATTAAAGACATCGTACTGAAAATGGTCCAAAAGTAAGATATTATTGAAACATGTTGACCTGGTAAACAGTTTAGGACTGCCTCATTTTTCAATTGCTCCCCTGTCTCCAATCTGTCCTGGCCCTCTAAATGACACCTGTACCAAATTAGTTGCACTTTCATAGACATACAAAATTCGTTCCTTGTCTTTGAATGATCTCTCCCATGTTTTAAAAATGCCCTTTACTGCTGATTCTCCCTCATCATAAACAATGTTGTTCAATACTCTGAACAAACATTATGTCCTGTGAGAAGCCTTGCTGACCCCTCTATGCAGAGTAAGTCACACCACACTTCCTCATCTCCCAGGAAATCCTGTGCACATTACTACCAGAGAGCAATTACCACACAGAATTATGATAACTAGTTTATGTATTTCTGTACTCTGTGCTCGTGACATCTAAGCTTTTCAGTTACAGAAGCTATGTCCATCTGTTTCTAGGATATAACTTGAGAATGCAGGGCACACTTCTATTTGCTCTACAATAGCCAATATGAAAAGTCACCTCCACCTCCTGACCTTTGTATCAAGGAATTCCTCTTGGCCTCCCTATCTTATCACTCAGTCTAGATGCCCTCACATAGTGCCATTTTCTTTTTAAGTTCTCATCCTATCTGAGTGTTTTCGGGTAAGTTACTTAATCTCTGGGTGTCTCACTTTGCTGATTTATAAAAAGGGGAATAATAATGGTATCTACCTCATAGGGGGTGAAAGGAGGATTAAGTGTGTTTATCTATGCAGAATGGTAGACTTACTTTCCCCTTTTTGCCCTATTTCAATCTAATAACCCAAGACAAGACTATGTGTGTTGGCAGCACAGAATAAGGTGCACTGTCAGATGCTGCTGCAGGACTGAAGTGTGCACAGGCACAATAATGGTGACACTTGGATACAACTGGCTTATCTGCCCTTCCTTTTACTGTTCTCTTCTTTTTGACTCAAAAGGGAGGTAGAACGGCTCATCTGTTTAATGCCAACATGAATCACAGTTTTTGGAATTCAATTAATGTTTGTTCAGTAAATGTGGAATGAATGATTAAATGACTTGATTGGCAATGTTTACAGATGTCAGCATTGCTGTAAAACAGTATGTGAAAGAATACAATTGTTGAACACTTCACAATTTTCAAAACGTTTTGACAAACAGTATTCCATTGCTACAACAACCTTGTAAAATAGAACCTTCAAGGATTATCAGCACTTTACCAAGGAGGAAACTGTGACTGAAAGAGATTAAAATATCTGCCCAAGGCCACAAAAAGACCAGTGTTAGCCAACCTAGTTAATCTGTCTGGTGCCAACCTAGGAAAAAGGTTATTATTTTTTAAGCTTCTTCATATGTTTCCCCATGGTAGCAATAAATTAGCAAACTTCAGGTTAAATATTAATGGACTAAATAATTTTGCCAGATAGTTATTCATGCACTAGTATGATGCCAAGAAAAGTGATTTTGTGATTTGAAGGAAGGAGAAAAGAGAATACTGTTTATGAAAAAATTCACAGAGATGAAAGCTACTTGTCAAGTGCTGCATACCTCATGTAGTAGCCAAGTATTATCTCTAGATTATATTTCAGAGTTTCTTCCTACATAAACCAAATAGAACCTAAGATGAATTTTATACAAGTAATGTGAAAAATAATCATCATTGATGCTTATTTCCCCTTAATACTGTGACATTCTTGGCAATATTTTTGCATAATTTTTCTTGCCAAAGTTTACTATGCATCTCCATTCAGAAATGACGAGATTCATTCCACCACATTTGTTAAGGAAATAAACAATACTTATGTGGGTCTACTACATACTTAATAATTAAGAGTCTTCACAAGAGTAAGAAGAAAGGTATCCAAAATTCATTGCAAGTCTTGTTTACAGAGATAAATCTGGGTGGGACTCAAATATGGGTGTTTTTTCAAAAATCCCTATAATGATTTTGATATGCAGCCGGGGTCAAGAACTTTTGGCTTCTTGATAAAGCAAAAACCACTTAGCATAGCATTCAAGGCTCTTCTTATCCTCAACGATGCATGTGTATTTTCCTTCATTATTTGCCTCATTACCCCTCACAGTCTTTATCTATTCCCAACTATTTGCCAGTCACCTCTCACCCTGCCCCATATGAATTTTCCATCCCCTTGCACTTGATACTCCCTCTGCCTGGAATGATTTGTACTACTAATTATCTGATGAGCACCCACTCATGTTTCAACCTGTATCTCAAGCTTCACGTCCTATACAAAGTCTTTCTTGAAACTTGAAAGTAGATGTGACCACCACTTCCTTTGAAGCCTTTGATAAGCTGTACATACTTTCATCACCACATCTATAACACTTTTCTCTACACATTCAACTGTCTCTTTGTATTAAACAGTAAATTCACAGACGACTAAGACTAAATTTACTCATATTTGTATCTCCAATGCAGGGCCAATAGTTATATATTTAATAAATGCTGATTGTGTTCGTGAATTCCAAAGGTAGGGAACTAGGTTTGATTTCCAAATCTACAACTTACTATCTTTTGACCTTGAGCAAATTACTCAAACTCATTATGTCAGTTTTTGAAGTGTTGTTGAATTAACATGAACTATTTCTTAGTTCAGATGTGATGACTGAATGAAATAAAGACTAAATTGCTTAAAACATGGTAATAATTTGATTAAGGTTGGGTATTACACCATTATTATTATAATTGTTGTATGGCCGGACACCTGCTCATAAACCCCATCTATAAATCTTCAAAACAAAAATAGTGTCTTTTTTGCTATTCGATAGATAATTAAAGGAAAGCCTAGATATTACGCCATTTTCCAATAAATTCATTGTTAATAAGGGATGGAACTGATATTCAGTTCCAGACCTATTTGATTATGCAGCTTTGAATGAGTAAAAAATTAAAGAAAAATATAAGGAGACACAAATCAAGTACCTTACTGACCAAACTTTAACAGTAAGCTATCTCTGCTTTAAAAATCACCATCTCCTCTATTGAATCCCAGAAAACTCCCCTTAACTCATTTTTAATCACTTCTTAGAGTTGGAAGGAAAAAAAACAACAACAGGGCTTCCAGGCTTTTATCTATCCACCCTTAGCAATTCAGAGCAACTCCGACGTCTTGAGCTTTTCATTACTGCTAATATTTCAGAGCTGTGGTATCAATACACCTTCAAAATACTTCCTACTTACTTCTAATTCTTCTTTCACTTTTTGCCTTTTATTCCATTCTTCTTTTTTAACAGGAAAACCTAGGTTACACATGACTTTTCCTTAATTCTCCAGCTACCTATTTTAATGAGAAAAGGCATGGGCAGACCATGCAGATTCCCCATTATGGTCACTATGCATTGAGAATCACATTTTTCTTTCATTTTTTCCTGTGTAATGCACTGGTACTCAAAGTCTGGGTTTATGCAAACGTTACATACTCTGTAAACTGAGGTATATGTAAATGGTCATCATCCACAAAGGAGCTACCAAGATCTTCCTTATGGTTTTCTTTTAGTCTTCCTCCAGAAATTTATCAAGGGAGATGCTTTTTTTGACATTTAAATCAACTCAGATTAATTTATACAAATGTATAATTGATAGTTAAAATCTTAGATTATTTTTCCAAGCATATTTAGTCATAGTTATTACTGTTTCTTTTGTTGTTGTCAGTTAGCTTTGGGAAATTTTTTTAATTTTTAATTTTATTAGGGGTACATAATACTTGTATATATTTATGAATTGGAATGAATAAGGTCTAGTAATTTGTAGCACAATAGGATGACTACAGTTAACAATAACTTATTGCATATTTTAAAATAACTAACAGTGGAATTGCAATGTTCTTAATGCAACAAAATGATAAATGCAGTTAGTTTTGAAGGAAAGCAGTACCTTAGGCTCCTTTCTCACACAACACTCTTACAATGAGGCACTTCAAGCTTCAGGAAAATGTTATTAGCTCTCTTACTCTGGTTTAACTTTCTTCAGCTAGATCTCTTTTATATTCTAAGAGATGATATATCCACTCCATCTCTTACCATTACACAGACACCATAGTTTACTCCTTAAGAATGCAAGCTTTGGAGCCACAATGCCTAGCTATAAATCCTTACTCTGTAAACTAGTTTGCTAGAGCTGCTATGGCAAAGTACCACAAACTGGGTGACACAGAACACAGACATTTATTGTCTTACAGTTCTAAAGGTGAGAAGTCTGAGGCTGAGGTTTCACAGAGTTAGTTTCTTCTGAAGGCTATGAGGGAGAATCCATTCCATGCCTCCTTCCTAGTTTTTTGTGTGGCTTTCTGGCAATTTGTGTATTCCTTAGCTTGTAAATGCATAACACCAATACCTGTCTTCATCTTCACAGGTCATTCCACTTGTGTACATGTCTGTGAACAAATTTCCCCTTTTATAAAGACACCAGTCATACTAGATTAGGGGTCCACCCTAAAACAGTAAGACCTCATCTTAACCATGTACATCTGCAATAACACTATTTACAAAGAAGGTCACATTCTGAGGCACTAGGAGTTAAGGCTTCAACATACGAATTTTGAGAGGACATAATTCAACGCAGAAGATACTGTAACTAATAATCTTTAACACTGGGCCAAGTTACTTATTCTGTGTTCCAATTTTCACACCTCTAAAATGAATATAATAATGATAATATAACTTTAAAGGGTTGTGAGGATTACATAAATATACTAAACTACTTGGTATAGTATCCAACAAAGAGTAAGCACTCAAAAACTCATAGTTTATACTACTGCATGTGGGAAGGTAGCCCATGGAAAAGTAATTTTCTCCTTAAATTTTTCTTAGATGAAACATTGGCAGTCTTAAAATCCAAGTTGCTTAAAATGTCAGTTACTGGTTATTTAAAAAATATTAGACTTAGAAGTATATTGATTTTGTTACAGAGTTTAAGAATCAATTTATTTTTAAAAGCATAATAATTGTGTATGGAAGCCAAACCAATATTGGGCACAATATTGTGTGGCACAAGTTTTCTCTTTTAACCAGGCCAATGGCAATAACCAAAATATTATACAGTATTTTGAATGTACTGAAATTGTGGATTTAGCATAAGCCATTTGCTAAAAGTCAAATTTCTTTTACAAGAAAGGTTAGAAGTTCAGGCCACCTACATATTTCCTTACTGTCTATACTGCAGAATAAGAGTTTTATCAGGACAAAGGATGTTACAAATTACACTTGGGGAAAAGAAAATATATGCTATTCTATTGGGACTTTAGCTTCATGATTTTATTATAATATGCATTCTATATTGTTAATATTCTATCGATGGTAGTAGTAAAATTACACCTAACCATCCTAGGCTGAACTGTTAAACTCTATAGACTCTTAGTTAGATAAAGTCATATTCACTTCTAAATCGAGTTTTTAAAATAAGGGCTAAAATCTGAAAGAAGTTATTTCGATAATTACATGAGCAGTGAAGTGATTAGATATACGCTGAGTTTTGGCCATCCATTACCCATTCCACTTGTTTTAGTGACAGCATTTTTAAGGAATTACTTTTCCCACATAGCGTCGAGTCATGGTAAGGTTGTCAATAAAAAGACTCTACCCTTTCTATGATGCAGGGGCTTGACCCACTCAAGGCCAATCAGATTTCCTCTTGCAGCATTGAGAGTTTTCAGCTGAGTTATACAAGGAGAAGAAGCAGAGTTGAAATCAATTAAACCCAAGGGGACTGATGAATAATTCCGGATGCCTACATTCCAGGTGTTGCACTGGTTGATGGCAATCATTTTCTAAAGTTGTTTTCTAAGATATTCTTCAATTCTGTGGACTATCTAATATCTTATAAGTAATTTATTTTCTGTTTATGTTAGCTAGCTTCAATTCCTATTGCTTGCAAAGAACTTGAATGATACAGATAAGGATGTCCAAGTCAGGGTTTCTCAAACCACCTGCAAATAAATCATATAAGAATGCCTATTAAAAATGAATATACCTATGTGACAAGCCTGCATATTGTGCACATGTATCCTAGAACTTAAACTATAATAATAATAATAAAATACAGGAATGGATCATCTTTATTCTTAATAAAAGTGTCAATTGGCAAAAAAAAAAATGAACAATCACAAACACTGTCTCATAGACACTAAATCCAACTCATTGGAGTGGGCTCAGCAGAACAAGTTCTGCAACAATTCTTACAGACACTAAGACTTGACAGGTGCTGTAATAGATGCGAATTGGAAGAAAATCAAAAGTAGCCCACGTGGAGGAGGATCAGGGGCTGATGACTCAAACTGTGTGGCTTCTCAGTAGGTACTTAAGTTTTCATTACTGCTCATTAATCAAGACAGCTTATATGGTGTTTAGCACACAGTTTAAACATACAGGACAAATTAATAAACAGGTGATAAATGAAGAAGCAAAATCACATAGTAAATGGTTTTATACCCACAAAAATAATATACATAAATAAAATGAGAGTAAAAATGACAATATTACTTAAAATCATAACTATTAGCTTCTGATTTTAAAAATATCGAAGGAATATAAAATACAGGGAAAGCAATTATTTTTCTTAAATCAGCAAATAAAATTGTATTTATCATGTACAACATTATTTTTTGAAGCATATATGTGTGTGTGTGTATATATATACATATAAAATGGAATGGTTAAATGTAGCTAATTAACAAATGCATTACCTTCCATAGTTATCACTTGTGCAGTGAGAACACTTAACATCTACTTTATTATCATTAACTATGCTCACCATGCTGTACAGCAGATCTCTTGAACTTTCTTTACTTGTCTAACTGTAACTATATACCCTGTGATCAATGTCCCCCCCATTTCCCCTTACCCCTAAGAATTGTTCTCCAAATAATCTTTCTATTATTTTTAAAACAGATTATTTATAAAAGATATAGATTCAATGTGCTTACATATTTTCAAGACTTAAAGATAAATAATATTTAAATGTAATATATTTACATTTTAATATTCTAGAAGTTTTCCTGAAATTCTCTTTCCCATTTGTTAATAGAAAGTACATGGATCAAACAGGCTTAAAATCTGCTTTCTTTTTCCTTTGTGGTTACCAATTTGCCCTATCAGCTTTGCCAAGTAACTTAACGTCCATATAAATTCCATTAGTAAAATAAGTACAGTAATTTATGCTACTTACTTACCTTAGAGAGGTGGAATAAAAATGAAAAAGTGGTAGAATTAATATACACAGTTGAAAAGTATTTGGTATTTTCTTTTTTTCTGGTATGTCAAATCCTCCATCAACTGGAGATACATTTTTATATGCGCATTAGTGAGAAAGACTACTGAATATAAAACATGTTCGAGTTTTTCAGGGAAATATCCTCTGTAAGCACAAAGACCTGATGTTATCCATTTGTTTTGAACCTAAATTAGAATTGATATTCCTAATAACTACAGTCTCAAGCAAGTTATATTCAGAATACTTAATGTAATATGACCTGAATTATAGTAGAAAAAATAAAAATGTACACATACTTTAAATTTATAGTTCTTTTCATTATAGCACTAAAATGCGATACTTAGGATTATGTGAACCACTGCACTCTAGTGAAAAAGAACTTAAGTTTATGGAGCAAATAGCATACCATTTCTGTGTGTGTGTGTGTGTGTGTGTGTGTGTGTGTGTGTGTGCGCGCGCGCGCACATGCACGTGCATGTGTATACAGACAGTATTAGCTCAGCATATAAACAACTGCCTGAAAGTTTATAAGAACTACAGTAATAGCTAGGTAAGCTATTTTGAAATTTTAAGCAAAATTCAGTAACTCAATATATTTCCATTTCCTATGTATTAATAAGATACTCATCAGCATTTAATACAGAATTTCAGTCTTCAAGTCAGAATGTTGAAAAGAACAAGGTGATAGGCAGCAGACGCTACATCTAATGCTAAATCTATTTCCACTTGGGACTGAAAGAGAGCTCCTATACTGCCATAAATTGCTGCATATATAAAGAAGCACTAATTGTTGAATACCAAAATGTTTTAAAATAATCAGTAATTCCCAAGAAGAGGAGGGCAAGGAAATGACCACACCTCTTTTCCTCTGGGTACTTATGAAGGGCACATATTCCTCCTAATCCAGCGATTTCTATACAATCTTATTGGAAAAGGAGCATCCTGTAGTGAGGGAGAGCACATATTTTTTGACAGGAACTAAACTGTCTGGAGTTCAAATCCTGGGTCTGCTTCTGGTTATGTGACCCCACAGTAATTATTTATTCTCCCTAGGCTTCAGTTTCCTCATCTGTAAAATGAGATGATTATGTATTTAACTGTACTCCTTACCTTCTGGACTATGTGGGGTAATTTTTTTCCCTTTTAAGTTTCCAAACATAAAACGAATGATTCTCCTCTACTCCCATCAAATTTCTTTTTAAAAAGGAACTTTCATATATTTTAAGCAAAAGTTCTTGATAAACAGATGATCTTTATCAGTCTAAGATAAAGTATGAAGTGCTTGTTCTTCATACCTCAGTGTGCCCTTTCACAACCATTATAAAGTTGGGCTGAGACAGCTTCCAACCTCCAAAACAAAGTCAATAAATATGAGTCTGGAACTTAGTCCATATGTAGAAATCTTGTTCCTGACCCTAGGCACCCCAACTTTGTATAAGTCATTATTTTTACATTATCTCTAGATCTGCAAGTATTGCCATTCAAAAATGGAAATTCATTTGTCAGTAACAGCATGTGATAAAATTAATTATCTGGTTGCTAAAAATCAAGAGGATGTGTAGTCAGCTCTTGGCTGGATATCAGGCAGCAAGGACAGTCTAGACTGGTGGCTGTGCAAAACCACCAAAACGTATTAGGAAGCTCAGAATGATGGAGCTGTGGAGGTGTTGGGAATGGAACAGTGTTGATCATCCAGGAAAATGGAGATGGAGAAAGACACAGCCTATCTCTTTCACTTTTGCTAAAATACTTCCCCATTTTAATCTGGCCAGAAACCATGGTCGAATATCTGATTCCGGGGTTTATTTCCAGGAACAAAGGACAGGTGGACAAGCCATTCCTAAGCACTCATAAAAACAAAGGTGGAGCTGGTGTGTCTAAAGCATATGAAAGTGGATTCCATATCCTTAAGGTTACTTTAAGATTTCTTTTCCATCTCTAAACACCACCTCTCATACTCTTGACATGAGTTTCCTGATAAGAGAAAGAGCACACATCGTGGACACATAGGTAGTTTTTTAAATTTTCTTTCATTCCTTTGCTCTTTGTAAATTCTGTGGGAATGCTGTCATGTTAGATAGGTCCACGTTATCTCCTCTGAAGGAATTAGGAACTCATTTTAGTATCAGATGGGAATAAAATTCCTGACCCAGCTGCTGTTCTGAACAGCCTAAAAGGATAGGGCAAAAGTTTAGTAGAACCCCAATTAACTAAACTCTGATATGTTTAGGAGATCTTTTTTTCTTTTTTCTTTTTGCAGGGATGGGGGCAACTGATTTTCTTTTCTCAGAGAACTTTTATTTCTCTCTTCTATATGCTTATTTTTCCAGAGTATAACAGACTGGCGAAAGTTTCAAAGTAAAGATGTTGGGATGAAGAGGGAGTTAACATCCTAGCCACAAAGACAACCCGAAATAGAACAATAATCACGAATTTTTAACTGTCTTCTTAGCCACTCTAAAGCAACCCCTGAATCTCCATTAGACTGTTCTTGCAAGCCTTCTTTCCTTATTCTTCTGTCAATTCTCTTATATTCTCTCTTAGCAGCCAAACAAGTCTATCCATTTAATTCATGCAAAGGAATTTGGGACCCCTGTTGATGCACATGCCCTTGTTGAAGAATCTTTTTTTCAAATAAAGAAAGTTATCTCTGTAAAAATATTTTCCTATTTCGGGACATTTGATTCCAATTCTCCCATTTTATAAATAAGGCTGAGATGAAAATCCTTGGATATAATTATTGGCCTGCCTTTTCCTTGTCATTTGTCTTGAATTTAAATTCATAAAAGTGGAATTAATTGATCCGAGTATATGAACAGTTTTCACTATTCTGTTTAATTGCTTTCTAGCACACTTCATATCTTCAGAAGAAATACTTGCCATCATAACATCCTCTGAGGCATGATATATTAACCTGAAGCCATAACATATCTAGAAAATGAAGTTAAATAGGATGGGCAAGTGTTCTCTACACATTTTTTTAACTCAAAAAATTAACAAAAAAGAATAATACACATTGTTCCATAAAAATCATAAACTCCTCCAAAAATATTCAATGTTAAGGAATGAGGGCTGGAAAAGAAAACTTCTTTGCTTTCACATGGAGAGTCATCCCAGTTCTTACTCAACTTCTCAACTTTCTTTCAACTGCTTTCTAGCTTTTCCCACTCAAGAAAAACTTTCTCAGAGCTGGACAAATGAGAAGACTATAACGTGTGTGAGGCTTTAGGATCAGTGCACACATGCAGTAAAGCCAGATGCCCATTCTTTTGTGTCAGCCTCCATCCATGTAAATGCTCCTCCTAAGCCTGACTTTACCTTCCCCACTCTCTGGCATCAAACTACACCCAGGTAGGTGTCAAACACTCTTCTTCATATGTATATTAGGTGACTGAATTTAGGCCGTTTTAAATTGGAAGATAAGGAACCCCACTTAGGAATAAGTTCCATTAGTCATAATTGTACAACTGACCTATTATCAAGGAGCTTATCACTAGTATATGAAGTACTTATTCAGCTGTTGGTAAATGGGTATTTTATTTCACAATTGCCTACCGACCAATGTGTGCATGAGTCTTCAGAAGCAAATCTCAAAAGGAAAAGAAAAGTGAAAAAACTTGAGGGCTGAAGCAAATTTTGTTTTTGAAACTGTAATAAACACAATTAAAAGACAGCTTGGGAAAAATATTTGGAAATAACGTGAGATATATAAGGACTATATAAAGAACTTAGACATAAAAGCATAAACCACAATCTTTCCAATTTAAGAACAGCTAATAGAAAGACATGGAAAATAGCCAATGCACATAAAATATCCCCTACCTTAGCACTGGAATAGAGCAAGTTCATATTTTAAACCAGAAGTTGAGAGAAACTGCACTGAACAGGATAATCTTAGACTTGGAGAGTAAATAAATCATTTACTAATATACTAAAGAGGAAACTGGTGGTTTTCCCTTAGTTTTACAGGTACCATTTAAGCCTCTTAATATTCTAGTGCCATATCTAGAGTGGAATTTCCACCCAAGCTAGAGATGCATTTGAAAAAATGGGATCTATATCACAAGTGTCTTATGTGTGTAGTACAGTCTATCTAAAATGTTTTAGAATTAAGGTATCAAAACTTTGAAAATATGTCCAATTCAGTAAAGTCTGGTTATAAGTCAGATTCTGACAGCCTAAGTAAATAATCTACTATCAGAGAAAACACATCAAAGACTTATGATATATAATCTGGCATAGAATTAAAATAACTTTTATGACAGCAATAAATAACTATATGCTAGATACTGTATAAAGATTATAGAAGAAATATATTAATCTAACCTTATAAAAATATTTATTTTCACAATTTAAAAATGATGCCTGCAATAGGGTGTTGCAATTATAACAAAAAAACCTAGATGTATTCAAAGTGAGGGATAATCTATTAGCGTTATCAGTAGACCTCTAATTTTTGACTAAATAATTATTAAAGGTCATCATTTTTACCAAAATATCTTTAATTATTATAATTAATTTTTTCCAAAAGGCTATATCACATATATGGGAAGAAGGACCATAAAATGTTTAATTTAAAAATAGAGTATAATTATAATACAGAAACTAGATTGATAGTTTTCACTGCCTTTTGACATTCTAAAAGTACAAATCTAAATGTCAACAGCTAATCACGGGTAATCTGCTATTGATTTTTCTCTGTTTAAAAACACCAAGTTCTGGCAGCAATTTCTAATTCTATGTGCTTCTCAAATATAAAAATAAAGGCTCTATCAAACAGCAATTTACCTAATTTCTAAAGATAAATATTAAAGAACACCAGCAATTCCAAAGTTCTGCAATACTACTAAAAACAAATATTTAATACAGTTAGGAAAGAGAAAATAACAATAAAAATATTTAACATGATAGGGGATGACAAGTAACTATAGGTATTTGAAGAAATATTTTAAATTGGATATATCGTAAACCATACATGTACTGTCAATTTTATGTTCATCTAAAGGTAAAATAATCAATAAACAAAAGCATACAGAATCTAGTAAAATTTAGATTTTGTGTTGTTATATTTTAAAGAAAGCTCTCATCACTAAATATAACATTTTTAAAGGGTAAGATAAAGCTTTAAAAAAAAAAGCCAAGTCACATCACTTATTTAAAAGTTCTATGCTCAATCTAACATTATTCACTTGGATATTAATTTTTTATCCTTAAATGCATAAGTTTTAATCTTTAAACGCATAAAAACTAATTCAGTTACTTTAAAATGGAGGTCTCTGGAGTAGTCATTCATCTTAATTCTCTAATTATTTTCATATATTCATGATGATAAATCCTGATAAATGTGAGACTCATTTTCATTTCCCATGTATAACTCAAGCTTCTCAAGTTCTCAGGCTTATTTGTATGTAAAGTTTATATCATTTCTCTTCATTTTATCCATCTTATATTGTATTTTAATTTCAGCTATACCTCTTCAATTTTATAACACTGTCCTTTGCGGGAGGGCAGGGGCGGGGGAGCTGGCAGATCTTATTTCATTTTAAGGAGTCACACAAATCGTGGCTAACATATGGTCATGACCAATATACTAAATGAATATTTATTCTCAACGTCTCTGTATATTAATTCCTATATCCTTAAGAACAGTACTTTTCATTTCTGTAAACAATAGTTTGTAGATGGTAACTTACCAACTGTACAGCTGAATACATGTAACTTTGATATTTAAAAATTGTTTTAATTATTTACTGATGTCATTAGCTAAACTGTAAGCTCTCACAAGTTGGGGCAGTGGCCTGCCTTTGTGTTTCCTGTTTCTCAACACACCAAACATAATAGGTGTCAAAATATTTCATTTAAAAATTGGATGAATATTTGCTTATTGCAGAACTAGTTTGAGAATTCCAGAAAAAATGTATATTATATATAAAACCTATGAGATTAAGAACCTAAATGTTTATATAAAAGGAAAAAAATTAAAATGAATAAACTTTAAAAACCCAAAGATAACTACAGATATATTGCAATGACAAAATATTTGAGAAATTTACAATAGAAATATGTTTAAAATTTTATCTGATTTTAAGGCTTGGTAGCATTTAAAATATATATATACCATTTAGCTTTAATAAACCTATTAAAACTTTAGATTACTAACCTTAAAATAAATTATTAAATTTAATTCCACATTTCTGGTTAATAGGGTTCTTGAAAAATCTAAGAAAACAAATAGATTGCTGGTCGTAAAGTAGTCAATATTATACAGGTTCTTATATGTGTAATTTTTATTAAACAAACTAGCAAGCTGTTATTTTAATAACCTAGGTGAACTACATTTTTTCTAACCTATAAAATGAAGTTATTATACCATAACACAGTAAGACAATAAGTTATCATACTATAAGTACCTTTTTGCTCTACTATGGTATCGTAAAAATAACAATAAAATTGGAGTATGCTAATTTCCACTAATTTTCTAACCATGTTAAGCAATGTGCTACACCAACAGTACACATTTCCAAAGTTGTTCTGTTTCTTTTTCAGATGAAAATGAAGATCTCTTTCTGACTGCTCCCTCATTAAATTGAACACATGAAATAGCCTAGGTGACAATGAACTTCTCTCATTAAATGTTCTAGTATTCTACAATTTTCCAAGATATTCCAGTCTTTATTTTTTGATGAGGCATTAATGCTGATTGCTAGCAAGTGGACCAATACATAGATTTCATTTTATTTCAAAAATTGATACAATTCTTTTATGACTTTGTACAATGGAATCTGCTGCTCGACTATTTCTTATCACACTTCATGGCAACTACTAATTATTTTCACTTGCCTTCACAAGATAAATACTATTTAAGTATGCTTTAACTCAAGAGAAAGAAAAGAAGAGATTTTTAATATTAAAAAAAGTTTTAGCTAAGATTGTTTGTCAGCAATGGACACTTATATACTGGAATAAATCAAGGGACCTAGGCCAGAGTATGGTTGAATATATACAGCCAGAGAGAATCCTTAACAAATAGAATCATTTAAACAATACTGCCATGGATCAGCTTTTCTCCTGACTCTGTTTTTCTTTAATCATTGGTATGTTTATAGCTACTTAGCTACTGCATTGTATTTAAAAATCAATTTTACTTGTGTGAGATATCAATTCTCAGAATAACTAATTTATTGGCCTCTACATACTTAAATTCTCTATTTACTCATTTAATTTCAATTATGTTTTGCAATATTAGTGTCATTTTATATCAACATATGGAACACTATGCCTCTCTTTAAAAATAAAAATTAAGGTGCTACCAAGACTAATTCCACTCAAATTTGGGGGCAATCATATCAATTTTTCTTAGATAATTCTTACTTAGAATATATATTAATGAAACTTTTTTATTTCCTAGTACACAACATTTATCTTTATTAACTTGCTTTAAATACATCTAAATATAATTACCACAAGTAGGCAAGTTTCTATACTTTTTAAAAAGTTATGGATCTTTTTTAACATTAAAAGTTAGTGCTTTTCCTATTTCTAGGTGTTATACTCTATACACTACCTAAGAATGTGATTCTCTTTGCAACACTCATGTAGCTCAAAATACAAGTATATTATAGTACAGTCACCTGAAAGAACACATAATTTACTGTTATTAGTGAATTAACATAATAAATTATATATAAAATTATTTAAAATATACTTTTAAATTATATATAAAGTATCTTACTTTTTATCCAGATATCCACATAGATACCTAACATTACAAGAGTAAAATAATAAATTAAATATTTCTATCTCCTTAACAACCATTTTCTAAGGCAATGTTATTTCATATTTCCTCTGATCAAAAAGTACGTCTTTTACATTTGAAGTTACGAAGTAAAATAGCAGGAAGCATAATGAGTTGTCAATTACATCTATCAAGCACAGGTCACCAAATAGGCCAAAAGCTGGAGGACTCAGAATCCCGGGAAACTAGCTCAATATATTTTTCAGGAACTGGAGTGAAAATACACACTTTCATCCCAATTCTCACAAAGCTCAGTTAAAACATACAATTGCTACGATTTGAAATTGGAAACTTAGCATCTTCAACATGAATTAGTTTTTAATAACTAACCCACCAAAAATAAGCACACCAGAATAGGCCAGTCTAACATATTTTGAACAAAAGCTCAACTCACACATCCATCCACGATGTCATTAAATGTGTGAAATATTTATTTTTTGTACATATGAACATGTTTGTAAAATGCATATTTATACATTTTTATGTAATTAAGTAGAATATCTGCCAATCCATACAACTAACATCAGAAGAGTCTTGTGAAGCAATTTACAAATAAAACACATATGGTACACAGCAATTCTTTACTCTCTTCCCTTTCTTCCATGCAACATCATTTACTGTAAAATTCTTCATCTTATAGAAACCACCAAGTAATTGAAAAATAAATATCAATTACTCAAAATATAAAATGCCAGTAAGCAAACTGAGATTCAAGAGAACAGAATATGAAGATAATCTTTTTGTAACCTCAATACTTAGCATAATGCCTGATATTAAATCTATGGTTGCTGAGTGACTTATTATCTTAACTTTAAAATAAAATGTAATAAAATAATAGATATTTTTAAATAAATCTTTACATAAATCTTCTTTATTGGGGTTAATTGGTATACACTGTCATATAACAAATACATTTTTAAAGCTTTTATACTTGATTATTAATTTGATTTTGAGAAAACAAATTTTTCCTATCAGATCTGGAAACAGACTGTAAACTCTTTACTGGATCATATATTCTGGGAGAAAAAAGTTCTCTTTGAACCTTTATGTATGGCAAATACACTGCCTAGTCATATAGCAGGCAATAAATATCTGCTTAAATAATCATTTTGTTTTAGAGAATTTATAATTGAAAACTGAAACTGTATAGCCCATAAGAAGTTATATAGTTTATTTAAATGAAATAACTATAAAAATAGTATTTTCCAGAACATTCTAAAGCACTAAAGTAAAATGTAAGATTTACTGCATTTGGATATATGTTTAAATACATTTAGAAACATTTAAATGAAGTATCTCCAGAATATGAATTTTCTAAAAAACAGTGTGTAAGAGTGTTAAGAATTTTTATGTTCTCTACATTTAATAATTATTTTCATGTAGTAGTATTAAAAGGTAACTCAAAATAATCAGTAATTGACTGGTCATATAAAATTTTTAATTGCATAAAATTTACCGTTGTTTACTTAAAAGTATAACAGTTTCTTCCCTCACTCCATCCCCAAAAATATCACATATCCTGAAATCTCATTTTCTAGGTCTTGCTGAACATTTCTTCATTTAAACAGAACAGATAAGTATAATTGAAAGTATCTGAAAACACATTATTTTATATCTAGTATCACTTAGAATTTGTGTTTTCAATAACAGTAATTTGATCATAATAGAGATGAATAAAACTGGTACATATGTCAAATCCTCAAATATTGCTCCTTATTAGCCAAAACCTAGACTCTGCTGGCTTACTATGTTGCCATATGAAGATGTCCCTACATACTTGTACAGTCGTTCGCTGACAAAAAATAACTACATATAAAAAGTTACCATGTCAGAAATGAATCAAATTGCATTTGTTGATCCAAATGAGTTTACCTTATGTACAATGGTTTGAAATAACAAAACTGTTCTATTAAAATTATATTTTAAATTATTGTTTGAACTGAATCAAGTGGAAAATACACATCTCAGCCTTGCTACATATTTTTGTTCTACTCCATCTTCCTTATCCCTTGCAATTATCAATATTTAGTAAGGTAATTTCAATGAAGAATAATGAAAAATTAATCTGGGCTTCTTGCATTTATTTTTCTATAAAGACAAGATGTTCCCATAAATTCTATTTACAAAACATATTTCAAACCCATCTTCTTCTCTCCAGCTCCACCGACATCACTCTATGCCAGGCCACCATACATCTTGCCCGGACAACTGCAACTGACTCCCAATTCTACTCTTGTCATCTCCCAATTAAGTTTTTGCTCACTAGTCATGGTGCTACTAAAATGTAAATTGGTTTATTTTACTCAACTGGTCAAAACCTCCCTATAGATTCATGCTTTATCTAGGATAATATAAAAATTCAGTTTCTTAACATGAATCTTATTCTACTCTGAGGACTCTGGTTCCCGACTATCTTTCAGACTTCACTTTCTGCAACTCTCTTCCTTGCAAAGTAAGTTCCAGTCCACCCTGGACTCAGTTTTTCAAATGTGTCAAGCTCATTTCTCTTCGAGACCCTTGCTCAGTCAGTTTCCACTATATGTTACGCACTTCTTCCCACTCTGCAGAATGAGCTCTTTCTCTTCCCTGAGAATGAGGTTTCAATGTCACCTTCAAAGACAAGTCTTTCCAACTGTCCCATTTCAAATAGCACATCTCTCCTGTTACTTTCTCAGTGTCTTTGTTGCTTCATCCATATATAATTTTTACAATCTTTATTGTTTTATTTACTTACCCAAATATCATGAGTTCACATGCCTTATCTTTCTTTTTAAATCCATAATCCAAATTTTAGTTTACAAAACACAATACTCAATAAAATAATGCAAGAACAGAATGTATCTTCAGTTTGTTTAAATGTCAGTCTGATTAAATTACAAGTTGAACAGAACACTGTAGAGATACGCAATTTGATCCTGTATTAAATTAGTTTGATTACAATGTATGTTGGACAAAGTCAAACTATTTTGATCACCTAACTATATATATTGATTTCCAGCATGTTTGTAAACCCAAAATGGTGAGTCAAGGGTACAATGAAAAAATTTCTATTACTGTTGGGATTTGGTTGATGAACAGTGTGAAGTGGGATCTATTCTTTCACCATTTAGAACAAATGGAGCATGCAGTCAGAAGCATTTGTGTATGTGAGGTGGGAGAGAGAAAGAGAGAGAGTTACTGAAATTGTGATAGGGAAAAAGGGTTGGTAGAGGGAAATTTATATCTTTTGTACTTAAGTCATTTATACTAACAATGATTAGTGAAGAAACAAAGAAGCAAAAGGCTTTCTACTCTAATATTTTTTAATACTTATTTTGTGATGTAAAAGTAACAAAAAAGTAAAAGGATGTAATTTAATCATTAATTTCCCCTGTACCAATAGATATATACTTTTCCCTTAGGAAATTCATATAAAAGTGCTATAGTCATGAATACTAAATTAACTTCAACTATATTCATTTAAGTTATTTTTTGTTTGAAGAAGAGTTCCTTAAGGATTATGTATAATTTTTGTGCAAGAAATTTTCTTTTAGATATAGTATTATCCCAAGACCAGAACAAACAACAATTAGATGATCACTGCTGGAACTGCATAAAAACATTTTATCTTTGTACTTTGGATGCTAATCAATAATGACTAATTATACAATTACTTATTTTATATTGTAAATGTATAATAAAATTATATTCTAAGTTGTATTTATACTTATGTCTAACAAGAAGTGATGTGATAACAATCTCTGGAACCCTTACAACTATAAATAGTTTATCCTCAAAAACTAATTTCTTCTAAATGAATGGTCTTTCAGAAACATTCTAAGTAATCCAGTGTTCCTAATTTAACAAAATTTTTAATATTTTCAGCATTTTAATGTTTACTTTTGAAAAATCTTTAAAAATTTCCTCAATGTCTCCATTTCTATAAATATAAGAACAATATTCAATCAGAGTTTGTGAATAAAACATATGGATAAAACTAATTTTAGGCCATGAATTTTGTTAAGCAGATGTTTTTCTGCTTAGATATATTTATTTGTATTTATATACAACTCAGTGGATTATGCAGTTGATTCGCTCAAATTAATAAATTTAATGAAATCAACCAGCCACACTATTGTTTTGCTTATTTTGTTTGTCACTGAATTGCCTGGGGGGAAAATCGATTCACAAAGTATTGCTAATAAAATAAGTTCACTAGACTAACTTACCCATACCATACTTTGACTTAATTGAATTATTTGAGTATGCAATTGATTATTTGTAAAAGCATGAGCCACACCCTTAGATATGCATCAACTCATTTAGGCTATAAAGTAGTATTTGCTGCAGAATAATCTTTGAATGAATGGATCCCTGGTGTCTACTGGCCACTGTGATACACGGTAAATGGTTAACTTATACATGAAGCAAGATTGTGTTTTATATTCATATAAGTGTATAGTACAGAAATGAAAGGCTATATTCCTTGAAAAGATGAAATGTTTTTAAAATAAAAATTTCCAACACTTAATTAATACTGTGGTTTTAAATACAGGGAAAATTAATTGACTATGAGAGAGATTTAAACACAATTCATGTTTCCACTTACTTAATCAGATGAAGTGATCTAGGAAGAACCTTTACTTTCTGATCGATTCAAGGAGGTTTGGTTCATAGGAAGAGAGAGTCAAATTGATTTATTTCATCTTTACAGTCAGCTTCACACTCAGTTAAAAGACAAGAGAAGAGATCCTTTCTATAGTCAAGTTACTGTTTGCACCACGTTAAAAGAATGAGGTAGTTTACTTTTTTGTCATTATCATCATCATTTTACCTTGCTTATGTATGGAAAAATGGGGATTGGGGTGGGGGTTGTGGGAAAGGTGAATCCATTCTTTTCAGCCATGAAGGATGTCATATAATTTGGTAAAACAGATATATAACATTAAAATTTTATTTTGTGAATATCTTTAATCAGGAAGAAGTTACATATAAATGTAATTTTACCCTCTATAAAATAACAAATTTCAAAATTAAAACATTAATTCCATTAGCCTTTAAAGTGAAAATTATTGGACAATTAAAACTATCTTCTCAATACTAAATATGAATTATATTACTGTTTATTTTTATGTGTATAATAAATCAAATTTATATTTTACATTTATCTTTCCATGTTGAATACATATGATAATTCTATAATGTCCCATTTTCCATGTTTAAAAATAGATGCTTTATTTTATCCATTATGAAACTACGAGTAAGGAAAATATCCCTAAAATGTTATTAAGAATAACATTTAGAAACCTAGCATTTTATTAACCATTAGTGTGATGATTTCAATATTTGAAAGTTATCTCAACTTATTATCAGGAAAAATTTCTACTCACTATGACTTTAGGCTGTAAAAAGCATCATTTTATAAGTAATAATTTGTGTCTGATAAAAATTCTGATTATAATGTTCTTTTGAAGAAGTCACCTAAATTTTATCCAATTTAACCTTCAGGTACTATTTTGCCCACTGTACTCTTATGCACAGCCTGTGTTATCGGTATATCAATACAAATTCAAATTAAGAGTTTAAGTAGACAATCTTTAATGCTTCTATTTAACTGATGGGAAAATTGGATAATACTCATTCACTAAGTTTAGCTAATTAATAAAAATAAATAAATTACATATGTTTGGCATATATTCTAGGTCAAACATCTGTAAATACTATGAGAAAGTCATTAAAATAGATAAGCAAATAAAAATTACTGGAAGAGGTTAATAAATAACATCTCGATGCTTTTAAATTTACTATGAATGTCTGAAAGGTCATGCTTTAACAGGACATATTTTGGCAGAATGGCACTTTAGGGTCATTTGTAGATTCAGATATCTGTTTTATTTATGTTAGTATCCCCTGGGCCTAGGGTAGTTACTGATGCATCATAGGTATTTAAATAAATAAACATTGTTTGGGGAAATTATTGCATGGGAACAACTGTTACAAACTTCTAGTACACTTGACTCTCAAAGTATTCATCTCTAGTATCCTTACTTACTATTATAAAGTACAGTATCAATGTCTGACTTTCCAATTATTAAAAATTGTTTTGTCATAATAAAAAAGGGTAATCGTTACACGTTTTTTAACAATCTTCTACCTTCACAGAAATGAAGTTAACTACCTATTCAATATTTTATACCCACAGTCTTTGAAAATAAATGAGGGATGTAGTGTGATGGTATATACCACCACAGCAAAACAGGACACTGTAACTGATATCTATTATGTGATCTATCTTCAAAGCCATGAAGGTTATGTATGGTTTCCAAATTCACCTACACATTTGTGATTGCATTCTGTCAGTTTAAAATAACTGTAATAATTAGGAAAATATGCCAAAGTACCACTGTATAAATGAGAACAATTTAATAATTATATTTTATTCTGATTCTGAACATTTCTAAGTAAAATGGCCATATATGTTGATGACAAAGAAGAATGCTGTGTTGTTTATCTTCTCCCTTAACCTTCTCCTCACACAAAAAGTGAACACTTTCAAGCCATCTGACCTCCATTTTTATACCTGCAAATTACTTCGAGACTCTGAAACATATGCCTTATGTGTTAAATGATAACTATAACTGACTACCACACATAATATTTGAAGGGACATATCGGTTGGTCATTACAGCACGAGTGAGAGAATATCTAGCCAGATACATGCTGGGAAACTTTTATGGTTGTTTCATGCTTAGTCTGAAAGGACTTAGAATATGCAGGTGGTACTTTTTATAGATCTTTATGCACAGCAGAAATACAAGGAGATATATTTCATGAAGATTGTATGAATAGAAAAAGGGAAAATGCTCAAATATTCCAAGGGCTTTCCATCACTTTTTAACCACTATTTACCTTCACTTTACCACTTTACCCACCGAAACAAAGTCCTCCAAGCAATCTGTCAGTGACTTGACTTCATGAATAGGGTATTCACAACTTGGAAATTCACCCTAAACCCTTTTCTACTCCCTGCCCGCAAGAATATGAAACCCCTACACAGATCTGGAGCATCTGGTCTAGGAAGAATTTCGAGTAAGTCTACTTCGGTGGCCTGGATGGTAGATGAAGCATGGGGACTGAGGCTGGGCGAGGGCGGCAGTCACCGGAGGGGTGGGGAAAGACTGATAACTGGTCACGGGGTACAGCGGGAGCACCCTGCCTTTCAAGAAGGCATGTGGGAGAACCACACGTTCCCCTGAGAAGAGCGACCACCAAAGAGCCAGAAGTCTCCATTAAGTCTGTGCCACGGAGCCTGACTTCCAGTGGAGACAGCGCAGCGGGGAGCGGTCCCACGGCCGCTAGCGGTGGGACCCAACTGCAGCTGATGCTCACGCTACCGTTTAAAGACATTTAGAAACACAACGGATCCTAGCCTGTGGAGTCACCGTCCCGGGCGGTGTAAACAGGGCGCTAGGGTAAGGGGACATCCTCGATCCCCTCGTGTGGCGAGCCAGGAGACTCTGACCCCTGTACAAAGTTACCTGCAGGAGGCAACCAGTACCCTGGTTCTCCAAGCACCCTCCTCCTCCCACCCACTCCCGCTCCTCCGCCCCGTCCCTTACCTTGGTTGTTGGAGACGTGACTGCAGTCGCCTGGCCACGCTGTCAGCAGAGGCAAGAAGAAACCAAATTGCAAAAGAAATTCCCGGACTTCGCAGCCCCCCATGGTTCTCCTAGGCTCTCTTTTCCTCTCCCTTAAAGAGAAGTGGCGGCAGCGCAGGCAGGTGTTCTGGGTAGGATGGGGGTCCTTGTCCACGTCTTCTTCCTCCTCCTCCTCTTCCTCCTCCACCCGGCCCGCAGGGGGTGTCCCGGGGCGCCCCCTGCGCGAGGTCCCGGGAACAGGGCACGAGGGTCCAGGCTGCCCAGTTGCAGGTGCAGCTGCTTCGGAGGAGGACGCTGCCTGCGGCGCCGGGGAGCTCCTCGCGGCTGGAGGCGAGGGGAATTGCATCCACCACAGTGTCCCGCTTGCGCGAGGACTATTCACTTGGGCCGGAGAGAGCGCGCGCGCGCAAGAGCGAGCTCGGGCTGTGGTTTGGGGGAGGGGAGCGAGGGGGCGGGGAGCGCCTCACCGCGAGGACGGGGGCGGGGACGGACTGCCAGGTGGGGCGGGCAGTTGGGGCGGCCCGAGGACCTCTCCCGACTCAAGTGGGCACTTGCGGAGCCAAAAGCAGGGGAGGCGCTGCAGCTGTGAAGAGGCGTGGGGGCCGCGGGAACTTTCCTCTGGCCGGTGCGATGAAAGCCGGGCGGACGAGGTGGCTCAACGGGGCTGAGAGTGGTTCGGCCGAGGCGCGGGCTGAGCCCTCAGCACCTGGCCTGAGCGGCGTGGGCAGCAGCCTGCACCGCGGACACCTCCAACTCTGCCGCGTCTGCGCCGCACTCTGGCCGTGGCAGCGATTTTCCGGGCATCTCTGAGGCCGCCCTTAGTCCCACAAGCACTTAGCCGCCCATTTCAGAGCAGCGGCGCCGACCGTTTTAAGAGGAGTCAGTTCCCGACACCGCCTCCCACTTACTTCTCCACATTTCCACCGCTGGAGGGGGTGAGTGCCGTGGACAGGCGCTCCCGTCCGGGGACAGCTCAGCGGCGGCAGTCAGCCCGACCCTCCTCCGCGCGGGTCGCCCAAACTTGACCAGCAGAGCGAGCGGCTCAGCGCAGTAGCCGCCTTCGCGGCTTCCAGTTGTAGAAAAGCAAAGCGCCGGGAGGAAGCAGCAGAGGGGGGGTTACATGAGGCTGGAAAGTGGCGGGTGTACGGCGCCCGGGATCGCCGAGGTCCTTGCGTCGCCTTGCGGAGGTGACTTCGCGGTGGAGGTCACGAGCATCGTCGCAGCCTTGACGCTGGGATTCAGGGGTCCCCGAGCGTCCACGGCGTGGTGGCGTCGGGCCGCGCTCTCCTAGCAGTCCAAGGGCCGAGTGGCGCGTGGCCACATCCACAGCAGCGCAGGGGCGCCGTGGGCTGACGGCTCTCCCCGCGCGAGCCGCCCCCTCGCGGCACCCACTCCCTCCCCGCGCTCGGGTCTCCCGGAAGCCGAGGCGCGGGCCACTTGGTGGGACTCCGCGGCCCCCGCCCCAGGGCCGGGGCAACGCGGCGTGCTGACTGGGAGGACCCTCGGCGTCCGCGGTCTCCACCACCTCGCCCCGCGGCGGAGGCGGGCGCCCAGGGCAGGGACGGAGCCCGGAGCGCTGCAGAGCCCGGCCAAGCCCAGCCTTCTCCCGGCCTGGCAGCCGCGGCTCGGATGCCGCCAGTTCGGCGCTAGAGGGGGTTAGTCGACAACAAAAATGCCTGCACCGCTCGCAGGTGGAGGCGGCTCATCAGGCCAGGAACCGAAAGGAGGGAGGGATGCTGTCAGGCTAAACTTAACGCCTTGGTTAAGGGCGCGTCAAGGAAACCGTATCGCTTGGGTGGGGATTTCCGTGATACTTTATTTGTTACTAGTATTTCCAACATCATTTTTCTTTCTTGAAGGGACTTCGGCTATCACAGTCGAGGGAGGTTGAAAACCCCACTTCAAAACCCGTCGGAATGTTTTGAGAAAATGTGGATGGTAATGGAGAAATGTGAACAGAGGAGAGAAAGTAGCGGTCTTGTAAAGGATATACGATATTTTCCAAGTGGGCAGAAAGCACAGGAGGGAAATGGCACAGTGACAAGAGGTCAGGGGAGCGGGAGATGGAGCCAAGGGTCGGCGTTTGACGCTTACAGAGTTCTGGAAGGGAAAGGACCCTTCTATTCCATGCATTCCTGCGCTGCGATGTTTTTGTGCCACACACCATAGCTGAAGAAGTTTCACTTAATGCCTTACAGTAAATTGGAAGGAAAGAAAGAATGAGAGCAAGAAATGTCCCATGTCAAAAATTCTGCTGCGTGGAGAGAAATGGTGAAATACAAGCGATTTGGAGAATGTGAGGAAGGGTTCTGATTGGTGACTATACTCTCATTCTCATTAGGAATTCATACACCTCTGCCTCTCTTTGAAGGTGTGTCCACACCAACTTAAATGTATGCAAATCATTTCTAAAAAGATACCATGTGTGGAGTTTATATATCGGCACTTAAGAGTAAAATCTGACTTTGATACTCATTTTGCCACTCTTACTGATATTGATTGACCACATGAGCATTTGCAAACTCATTTTAGAGTTTATAAACTCAGTTACAAAATAAAAAGACTACATTATCACCATTATAATATAAATCATTGTGTCTAAATAATGTTCTTAGAAATTTCTAATGATTCATTATCTGATAATTTTATTCAAAATCTCTTTTTATATACTGTCAAAAATATGTTTCCATGACCTTTTATAATTAAATTTTCATTTTTAAATGTTGGCTTACAGTAAATCTATAAACTTCATTAATAATTCACTAAAAGAAAAATCGTTCAAGAAAGTCCTTATAAATTGAAGGAATGTATAATATTATTATTTTAAAAATATAAACCATGTGAATCTATTTCTATACTTTTACTTTTGAAATTAACTAGACTTGCAAGGGAAACATTTTTAATGGAACATCACCAAAAAGAAGTTATTTCAGTATAATTCCTAACATAAAATATTTTAAAATCAAAGTTTAAAATCAAGTTCTGATGTTTTACTTGAGTGTTGCATTTTAGAGAATATGTTATAAAACACCAAGAAGTTTCACTTAAAATTAGACTAGAAGGCAGTACTTTTAGTGGAAGGAAGGGGAAAAGGCAGAAAAAAAAAAGGAGAAAGAAATAGAGAGGAAAACTTAGATTCATTTCTAGGATTCACGCTTAGTTAGAAATCATAGCACAGTGCCTGAAACATAACCTGTTACTTCAAAGTAACAATAATCCGCTTAATTAACCTGAATTTCTAGTCCCCCCATGCACTGTACTTACAATTCAGCTACAGTTCATAATTTGTATTTGTTTAAATGAGCCAAAGTCAAGCTTGACATATATATCTGGTTAGATAATTGATAGTCATATTCTTGTCTTGGCTTTTAAGAAAAAAATATTACAAGATTTTTCTCAATATTAAAACATACTTCACATGTTTACGTATGTTTGGATGCTATCTATTGCATGCCTAGAAGATAATGACATCTTAAGTAAAAACTCATCTAAAAAATGAGTTAAAATATGATTATCATTGCCTTTGACAATAGCAAGATTCCATGAGTTTGACATGATTATTAATGTTAAAACATGATTGTAAAAAAGAATTACCATGACCGTTTGACCATTTATATGTTTATATATATATGTGATATATATATATATATACACACACAAAGATGCACAAATATATATGTGCATGTCTCTCTAAAATATTTGTTTAGTTCTTTTTATGTGCTAAATTCTCTTCACTCAGGGAAGAGTTAATGGTAAACTACTTTGTGTAACAATAATTTCTTTTATTAAGCTAACATTTTATTTAAAATATAATCATGGTTATCTATGTAAGCTAGATGCAATTACACTTAGAAATGTACTTCCTTTTTGATTTTCTAGCAGTGTTGATATATTTGCTGACATGTGACAGTTTCAAAATTATAAGCTACTCAATGAACCAGATGCAATATTCATGTAGATTTATCTGCACTTGTCTGTTTGAATCATACCCATACTCAGAAAAGCATTCATGTCTCATTTTTCAGAACTATATTGTTCAGAATTCTTCTGTATTCTCTCAGACTATTGTTCTTCACGATATATGTGGTCTGGATTCAGGTAAGAAATGATGAAATTTTTTATTAAATAAAGGATATATGACATTAAAAACTGGTGTGCTTTTATTTATAGTAGAAATAATAGTATTCATAAATATTATTTGCTTTTTAAAATGATTAAAAGAGGAGAGACTTAACCTGCAATTACTTCCTTTGAGAAAAAAAGAAGGATTATAATGTTTAATACTCAGCATGTTTCAAGACTTGAGAAAGTCTTAAGTATATTATTCTGGTAAAAGAGTAAATTAATCCATTCACAGCAGCAATTTGCATTCTCTAAGGTCAAGGTAGAAAAAACATAAATAAAAAGAATGTTGATCCTCAAATATGACAAAATATCAGGTCTTAAAAGATTAGGTATGTACTTTGAAAAGAACAAATTGCATAAATCTTTTTTGATAATATAAAATGTAAAGACATGCTGTAGGCAATAATATTATCATATTCATGCCATCAACTTTAAAATATGTTAGTTACAAGATTGTATTCTATGTGTTTCAGCATTGAAACCGCTAAAATAAAAATAAAATCCACAATGTCAAATATAGTTAATTTGAGTCTCTTTGCGTTTAGGAAGTATGTAATTAGGGGAAAACATACACATTGTTTACTTCAGAAATTTTGCTTTGGTGTTAGGAAGTAGATAATAATTTTCTGGAAAAGAACATTCAAAGCAGTGAATTCTAAGCATATCATATCTTAGAAACCTTACAGAAAAAAATGCAACTTGAAGTTACATAAAATGTACTATTGTTGATTCTGCTGTGATAATTGAATTTTGGTTCTTGTGTTACATTCAGTGAAAGAAAAATATATGCACATATGTCATATACATATCATATTACCTATGTGTGTGCATGAAATTCAATAAAAACATTCTCTCTAGTACTTTTCTAATTCAGTAACCGTTTGCCAAGCAAGATTTTCACATCCATTTGTGCTGAGCATCGTAAAGAAAGTACAAAGATTACTTGGATTTAGTTCTTACCTCTCAGAAGTTTATATTACATTACAGTACAAAAAACAAAAAAAAACTATTCCAATTAAAATCAATCTCTGTGTTCCTACAGTGGAGTTCCAAATTATTATACTTATGTAAGAGGGAAAGAATCATACCGTCACCTTCTAAGGCATGGATTTCTTAGTTATTTTCTTGAGTTAAACTCACTCTTGGTATGCATTGGTCCATCTTCTAAAGGCTAGTACAAGAACTTTTACTAACATTAAAAACAATACTAAAGGTTATGCACAATGACCTAATAATTTAACTAGATTCAAATAACTTGCAATATAATAAAGTTGACTTAACAGTCTGTGTGGCATCAGGTATCCACAAAAAGTAATTTTACTAAATTATGTAGAGACTTTTAAAGTTATAAATTTAAATTTATTTCAGTTTTACAAGTTGTATATTAGTTTATCTTTCATTCCTCAAAGTGACCAACTGGGTCAAAACAACTGCTTTCATTGATTTATAATAAATACCATTAAAGAGCATATTCTAAATATCAAGTAGGTAACAACTGATAATAGAAGTAAAACTGCCTCTAAAAACCCCTATAAATATTGAAATATGTGTGATTATGTCCATCATAACAAATACCACAGGAATATTGCTATTAATTTTATTCAAATATTCAAAATAAAAATCTAGTCCAAATATATTTGGTATTTTATCTTGAACTATTCCTGCATCATGATACTTTGTGCCTTGTTTCACAAATATGCAAAACAAGAGGACACTTGGGCATGTCAAATACTTAAATGTTAAATTTACTAATAATAATATCCATATGAATAACAATTATGCACTAAACATTTCAATTATTTGATACCAATAATACAAAACATGCTTTTTTTACTGCATTCAAACTGGGGTAAATTAAAAGTATCAGATGAAGATAAGTGACTACTTAATGCATCACTTAAGCTGGACTTTATGGGTAAAGTTTTTTCATAAAAATGTTTTTTACATTATTTCAGTTCAGTTTGCAAGCACATACCACGTTGACATTTTTGAAATTCTAGGTTTTGTGTTTTTAAATTAAAAAAAGTTAAAGGACAAGTTTTGAGAGAATGACAACTGAATAAAAACTTAATATGCCCAATGTTTACATTTTATGTAAGGAGTTCTATATCATCATACTCATAGTGGATTTTTTTTTTCTGCTGTGCCTATTAAAATGTTTTCATGGAATATAAATATGTTTAATATTATCTTCTAATTTAATAATGATTAATAAGTATATGGAACTGACACCAATCATTTGACAATTAGCATATGGTTATTCATCTACTTGCCTAACTTTGATACACATATCTAATCTTTTCGACGATCCTGAAAAGTCTTCAAAGAACAGAGAATGTATCCTTTACATCTCTACAAAAAGCATTTACTGAATAATTATGTATTTAATATTTATCTTTAAATTTTTGGTCAAAATTTGCCATCATCATTAATTTTTTTCATAAAGAATAATTGAATACCTACATAATCAGCTGTAAAAAGTACCTAATTTCTCCTTTTGTTTAAGATCATTAAATATTTATATTGCTAATATTTGAGTCAATATAATTTTATAAATATTATATGTGAATAATATATATTATTACATGTATGTATGTTGCATGCATATTGAGCCTATGCGGAGTTGTTATGAAAATGGTCTTTTAGCTACATGGGAACTAAACCTGCTGTAGAGTCCATGCGACACTCTGTTGATATTTCAGTGTTAAATTCGATATATGGTCTATAGTATTAGAAGTATACTGAAATTCATAGTACTTGGAATTAGATTGTGATATCTTTGCTATTTTTATGGGTTAAAAAATTCTAAATTAATGAAAAAAGCAGGAAAGCAAACACTAGGTTGACTTAGATTGGTATTAATTTATGATCATCCTAATTTACATTTAATTGCTCCTGAGTTATTTTGCATCATGACTTAAAATATGTAAGTAATGGGAAGTGTACCCATGCTTATTTTTGAATTTTATCCAATGTGAAAAAATAAGAAAGTTCCTTACTCATTGAAAATATGTAGAATTTTTAAAAATATTTCAAATTATTTATCTAAAATAAATGCTACTGATATATGAACACTGCCTAATAGAACTTTTTGCAATGTTAGACATAGCCTGTATCTCTGCTGTCTGATACAGTAGCCACTAGCTATATGTAACTTTTGAGGGTTTGAATGTATCTAGCATAGCTGAGAAACTGAATTTTTAGTTTGAGTTAATTTTAATAAATTTACATTTAAATAGCCATATTTGGCAGTGACTACCGCACTGGTGAGCGCATATCACCACTTTTCAATACCTTCACATTGATAATATAGAAATTTTACCTTACACAGTCATGTTTAGCAGTCTTGTTTATCATCAGCAAAAATGAAGCTCACCTTGGACAATAACTCTGTTATGACATGTGTTTACACTGTTTTCAAAACTAACTTGATTTGACATGTTTTTTGCATATTACACTGAGTTTGTCAGAAGGCATTAAACAGGCACTGATAGAAACTCACATATCTTTAAGAATTAATTATCAATAGACTTACCTAATGTGCCTAATTTTGGATGCTACTATTTAAAAAATGGTTTGGAGCCATTTGTCATCTTAGTTCTGCCCACTATGTCTGCTACACTGTCCTGGGTCTCACAAAATTATAGTGACATAAGGAGCTCAATAACGGTAGCGGAGGTTCCAAAATTAATACCGTTTCCTAGAGACTCGACAAAGAGGCAGTAGGATTTTTCCATTTAGATGCTAGCATTTGCATTTGTATTTTGTTCCCTTTCTTGTGTTGTTTTGTTTTTCCCCTTTTTGACTTTTTGATTTACATGTAAAAACATTGTTAGGAACCCTTTTTCATGTCTATAGATTTTTTTTTAATATAAGGATGCACATGAAAGCCAGAGAACCTATTCACCACTGTTCCATTTATATTATCTTAAATTGTCACTTGATGGTATCTTTCTATAGATTTAGTTTATCACAAATGCTAAAGTAAAAAACAAATCTAATAAATATATTATCTCCTACAGAAATCTTGAAATATGATTAAAGAAAAAATTTTAATATTTATACTACTTAGCAAACACTTACATGGTGTTTACACTATCCCAATTACCAATATTAACTTCAGCTAATAATTACAAATACTAATTACAAACATGGATTCAATTAATCCTCAAAACAACACTCTAAAGTAGGTGCTATTATTATCTTCATTTTATAGATTAGAAAGCTGAAGCACAGAACTTTCCCACTGTCTCCCAGCCAGTAAAGTGGTAAAACAGGGATGGATGGGAGCCCAGGCAGTCTGGCTCCAGAAGCTGTGCTTTTTATCACTATGCTGCTTCACTTGTATCCCTGAATGTTCACCCAAATATACACAAGCATGCACATTTATAGTTTGCATGTATCTGTGTATTCATTCATATAAATTTTATCTAATTCCTTAAAATTAAGCTCAAATCACAAAATATTTTCAGTGAATCTCCTTCCCAATTGTGACGAAGTTCCTGAATGACCACATTCTTTTTTCTCACTGCCCAACATTTTGCACACTTCTGACTCTTGCAAGATCCACTTTCCCTTTTTTCTTAAAAATCTTTCTCTTAAATGACACCTGTCTCCAAAGCTACTAGCTTGTATTTATTCAGCTATTATGTTTTGTGCTCCATCTGGAGCGTCTTTGCAAGGCATTGAGTATTAAAGTGATGAATAAAACAGATAAAGGCTTGCTCGCACAGAATCTACATTCTAGGGTTAATTCAGTGCTTACCATGCATCTCACATTGTTCTATGTGCATTAAACATCCTAGCGCATTTAATAGTTACAGCCCTATAAGATAGATACTGTTATTGTACCCATTTTACAAATCATGAAGCCAAAGTATATACAGTATATACTAATTAGAAGAAAAGCAGTTATTCTTAGGTTTAAAAAAGTCTCTGTCTTCTCTTTGTAATACAGGTAAGGGTATAATCAGAGAGATTATTGGAATTTATTGGGATGCTGACTTTCTGTTCATGAGGATAAAGGCTATTTCTCAAATATACTATATGTGACAGAGAAGCTTTTAAGAAAAGAAAACCTTGAGGCTATAGCACCTATCCGTATTTTACTTCCTTGCCATTATGAAAATGATAACACATTCATACCAAAAATCTAAAGAATGTTTGAGTAGGTTGATATCCTTTGTTGCAAATTGAGAATATATTTTTCTCTTTAAATTACTTGTTTACATTGTAAAAGTCATGTAAAAATATCATAAAATAATGTGTAAAATTGAAAAGAAAAATAACACCTTTTTATTTTGCTACTCTAATATGATTACTCTTACTGTTTTAGTGTATTTTATTTCAGACATCATAACCTGCCCCTCCCTAATATATAGTCTAGGTGCTTGAAACTATATCATGCATTCAGATATATATTGCATTTCTATTTCTCCACTAACTACTTGACTTTAAAGCATTGTGGGTTTATTTATATAGAGATGCCCTTATGATATAAATTTGGTAAAATGATACAAAAACAACTAGTAAAGACAGGCATTGCTATGTGAGGATGATGATGCAAATTTGATAAATTAAGTAGGATTTTTATAATTCTTATAATTTTCAGAAAACTATTTGAGACTATAAACATATGATAGCATCAATTCAGAATTTCAAAGTGTTGAAATGAGTTTTGCTGTTGTTGCTATTTTTTTACAAAAAGTTTTTACAATATTATCTCGTGTGGGGAAAAGACAATGCAATGCTTTTCTTAAAGAAAGAGTCTTAACGTGCTACTACAACAAGAATAAGAGGATGATTCCCTGAATTGTATATTCTAGACAAAATTGCAAAATAATTTAAGCCAGTGCATTTCTTTTACTATGTCTTTAAATATTTCCTTTGTGTACCATTCCTCCTTTTAGTTACACAATCTGATAATCCAATTTTATCTGTTTTCCTTATAAAAAGAAAAAATGTAAAGGAATTATCTAATGATATATGAAATGAAAGCAATTGAAGCCATGCCATCTTAGACAGCACTGTTTCATCAATGGCTTACAATAGAATAATAGTAACAATATACATTTGAAAATGTGAAGCTCGAAGAATAAACTGCCGAAAATCACATGGGCAGTAAATGTCTCAGCATTTGCTTATACTCTTCGCATTTAATCTGATTTTGGGCTGACAACAAATACTTTCTAAATAATTTTATTTATCATTACCCATTCATGTGGGTTTTTTTAAATTGCCTGTAATGTAGTGGCATAAAACCAGAATTTCATCATAATCAAGGTATCTGTGGGGTAGAAATTCTGATAGGGCACAGAAGAAAACAAAGCTTGTCTCTCATCTACAATGTCTGCTTAGAAAACTCAAGGGCTGTGGAAAACTCAAGGATCTTCACTTAGATGTTTGTAAATTGATACTGGCTATGACCTCAGCTAGGAATTCCAGTCAGAACTTCCATACCAGATTTCTCCATGTGGTCTGGGTTTCCTTGGAGAACATATGGCCCACATCTCAATGGGAGGAATATAAATATCATGTTGTAAGAAGAGTAAATGTGATGGAAGATCTTTTCATGGCAATTTTGGAAAATATAACCTATCATGCCTGAGAAAGCCTAAGTCTGTGAAAATAAGATAGGTGTGTCTGTAATGAAAGCAGCCAGAACCTCCATTTGTTGGGCAAGAAATGAGAGAGACACATCAAAGAGAATATTCCACCAGGTCATCTAGAATTCAGTTTCAGTTTCATAGGGATACTCATGGGCTAAGGAATCCCAGCAATGCAAAACAGGACAAAAACATCAGTCTGTAGGGAATGTGGAATAAGTTACAAAGGTCCGATTGAAATGAAAATGTATCTTCTCAGCTCAAAGGAAATAACTGCATGAGAAAGACTGACAGAGATGAAAATCTCTGAAAAGTTACAATAAGAGCTTATGAGAAAGAAAAAGGTAATTGATAAACCCCAGAACTAGAAATGGAGAAACCAACATCCATGTAAAATTTTCTTTTTTTCAGGGTTAACCATGAAAGTTGAGTTGGAGGAGGAAATAAATATTTAGGAACCCATACCTTTGAAATAATTAATGCTTAATTAATATTTGATGGATATTATTTATTCTAAATTGAGTCTGTGACTATTAGGTTAAGTGACTATCCATTGTCTAAAACAGTGTACTCATGGGATATGCACAGGTTTTTTTTTTTGTTTTGTTTTGTTTTTTTTTTTAAATTGAGTCTTGCTCTGTCACCCAGTCTAGAGTGCAGTGGTGTGATCTCGGCTCACTGCAACGTCAACCTCCTGGGTTCAAGTGATTCTTCTGCCTTAGCCTCCTGAGTAGCTGGGATTATGAGTGCACCACCACGCCCGGCTAATTTTTTTTTTCTTTTAGTAGAGACAGGGTTTCACCATGTTGGCTCAGGCTGGTCTCAAACTCCTGACCTCATGATCTGCCCTGCTCAGGCTCCCAAAGTGCTGGGATTACAGGTGTGAGCCATTGTGCCCGGCAGGATATGTACAAATTTATACTTAGTGCTGGGGAAGATTTGATTCCTAAAGGGGTAGGAGGAAATCAAAATAGATTTTTTGTTTAGATGATATTCCTTAAGTCATATGTTTAAGACACCAGTAATGTGTGGCTTAGTTTGTTCTGGTCTATGCATTCGTCTTCCAGAAATCCATCCACATTCCTATCTAGCAAATGGCCTGACTCTGGTACTGCTGTTAAATTGCACACTTTTATGCTTTATTACTAGCAAGGAGAGAAAACAGGAATTTTCCATTGAATCTAAATCCCAGACAAAAGAAAATCTATAGTAAGTCTGGTATTGAAATTGAGCACCAGATTTGCCAACCATTTTTATCTCAAGTTGTTATAATTTCTTTTTTAAAAATAAGATTTCTGTTACCATCCTGCTGATTTTCTGTTGAAATTTTTGCCTTGCCCATCTCCTTTCAAGAAAGGTAATTCTTTTTAGGACAAAAGTAACTCATTCTATGTGATAACTGGTTCACATGTATTGAAGATATCACTTTATACTAGAGTTGATTTAGGAATTATGGAATGAACTATGGGCTAAGGAATCCCAGCAATACAAAACAATAAGCTCCTGTCACTTCAACTGAGGCTATTTGACCTATGCACTGCTGTTCAAATTACAGGTTCACAGGTCTGACCTTATCCTGAAGAACTGGAACAGTATTCATCAGGTGATAACTTGACAACAATAGAAGCATTAGAAGCATATACAAAGCAATCTAAAAGTTATCACTTTCTGGAGAGTCAGTCAACTGGTTTGACAAATGAAACTTTCTAACTGCTGAAGTGAGCTGTCTAGCATTGTGGGAATGCTTTGCATTTAATAGTTAAAAAACAAAAACTCTATTAATATTATACCAACAAAATAATAAGATAAAATATTAACTTAATAATCCTATGAACAAATTGTAATTGCAGTGCTAATTTGCATTTTAAGGGTAGATAAATTTGTTGATATTTAGCAAGAGGAAAGATATTAGGATGAATAAGAGAATATTTGTAGGTATGGGACATAGTAAGCATGTTGAAAATATGCTTGAAAAGGAACTTTAATAGGATTGCTTATTTAAAAAAATTTTTCACATAGAGAGATTTTCACTATTCTTAATAGTAACTGATAAGACCTTTGGACTGAAATAATGTGAGCCATAAGTTATTGTGATTTTCTATCAGTGTTTGAAAGATAAAAACATTAATATGAACAGCAGATCTTCAAGATAACTAGGCAAAGGAAGTATTGATATAACTGAGGGTATTGCTGCGTGCTGGGGAGCTGTATGAAATGTGATGGAGTTGTTCTTAAAATACTAATGGAACAAAAATTCTCTGAAATAAAACAACACAACTATTTTTCATGTTATTTTTAGCTTTCTACAAGAGAAAGCACTGAAATAAACTTATCAGAATATGGTGAATAAAAACCATATATGCAGAAAGGGATATTCATCTATGTTTTTAGCATCTATATGTGTAGAATAAATGCTTAAAACATGTTTATTTTATGAAAATTTTATGTTAACTAATAATTATCTTGATAATCCTGTTTTAATTGAAAGTAATTGGTCAATGGTTAAAGTAATAAGGTAGTTGAGAAAAATATGACAAAGAAAATCATAATGGGAATTGGGCCAAGATGGCCGATTAGAAACAGCTACTGTCTGAGGCACTCACAGAGAGGAATGAAAGGGGTGAGTGAATACACCACCTTCAACTGAAATATCCAGGTACTCGCGCTGGGACTGATCAAGGAAACAACTCGACCCACAGAGAATGCAGAAAAGCAGGGTGGGATGATGGCCCTCCTGGGAGCAACATGGAGCCAAGGGAAACCCCACTCCCAGCTAAGGGAAGCAGTGAGTGAGTGTGCAACTCGGGGAAACCATGCTTCTCCCATGGATCTTTGCAACCTGCAGATCGGGAAGTCCCCTCATGGGTCCACTCCCTAGAGCCTTGGGTGAAACACACAGAGCTGTGTGGAATCTTGGCAGAGCAGCTGCTAAGGCAGGCACAGAGACCCAGGAGTTTTACTTACTCCGTCCCGGGATCCCCAGCAAGGGTGTCTGCAGCTTAGGCAAGGCAGGAGGGCTGTGCATACCCACAGGTAGGGGACCGAATCCAGAGAGCTGAGCAGCATCAGTCTGTGGGTCTCACTCCGATGACACCTCAAAAGATAAGACCCACTTCCTTGGAATCTGGAGAGTCCAAATGGTTGGGACGAGGAAGGGGTTCCCCAGCACAGCACAGCTGCTTTGCCAGAATGTGACTAGACTGCTTCTTTAAGTGGGACCCCGATCCATTCTTCCTCACTGGGCAGGACCTCCCAGCCTAGGCCTCCAGCCACTCCTGCCCCCGTTCTACAGACAGCAGAGTTCTAATTTCTCCCTGGAATGGAGTGCCCAGGACGCGGGACAGGCTGCCTTCTTGGCTGTTTAGGTGCCTCAGCCAGTTCAATCTGTGAGCCTTGGAGAGCCCGAACCGATAAAGGGCTGAAGGGATCTCCAAGCAGCACAGCTGCTCTACCAGAAAGCAGCCACAGTGCTTCTTAAAGCAGGTCCCTGGTTCCATTCTTCCTGAATGGGTGAGAGCTGCAAACTGGTGTCTCCAACCACCTCCTGCAGGTGCATTCAGGCCAGCAACAGGTCAGTACCCACCTAGAATGGAGCTTCCAGAGGTCGGACAAGGCTGCCATCTTTGCAGTTTTGCAGACTTCACTGGTGATACCTCCATGTATGGGAAAAACCAAGGCAACTAGGGTCTGGAGTGAACTCCCAGCAAAATGCAGCAGCCCTACAAAAAAAAGGCCAGACTATTAAAAGAAAAACACACAATCAGAAAACAACAACAAAACCCACAAGAAACCCATCCAAATAGGAGCAACCTTAAATATTGAAGGTAGATAAGCCCACAAAGATGAGAATGAATGAGTGCAAAAATGCTGAAAATTCAAAAAGCCAGGGTGCCTCTTTTCCTCCAAATGATCGTGACATCTCTCCAGCAAAGGAAAGAATTCCCTGTTTAATAAATGGTGCTGGAATAACTGGCTATCCATATGCAGAACATTGAAACTGCACCACTTTCTTATACCATAAACAAAAATCAACTCAATATGGATTAAATACTTAAATGAAAACCCAAAACTATGAAAGCCCTAGAAGAAAACCTAGGCAATACCATTCAGGACATAGGCATGGGCAAAGATTTCATGATGAAGACATCAATAGGAATTGCAACAAAAGCAAAAATGGACAAATGGGATCTAATTAAACTAAAGAGCTTCTGCAAAGCAAAAGAAGCAATCAACAAGAGTAAACAGACAACCTACAGAACAGGAGAAAAATTTTGCAATCTCTTCATCTCACAAAGGTCTAATATCCAGCATTCATAAGGAACTTAAACAAATGTATAAAAAAACAAACAAACAACCCCATTAAAAAGTGGGCAAAGGACATGAATAGACACTTCTCAAAAGAAAACATGCATGCAGTCAACAAAGATATGATAAAAAGCACTACATCACTGATTATTAGATGTATGCAAATTAAAACCACAATGAGATAACATCTCACATCATTCAGAATGGCTATTGCTAAAAAGTCAAAAAATAACAGATGCTGATGAGGTTGTAGAGAAAAGAGAATGCTTAGACACTGCTGGTGAGAGTGAAAATTAGTTCAACCATTGTGGAAGATAGTGTGGCAAGTCCTCAAAAACCTATAAACAGAAATACCATTAGACCCAGCAATCCCATTACTGAATATATGACTAAAGGAATATAAATAATTGTACTATAAATACACCTGCATACATATGTTAATTACAGCACTGTTTACAATAGTAAAAACTTGGAATCAACCTAAATGCCCATCAGTGGCAGACTGGATAAAGAAAATATGGTACATATACACAGAATACTAGGCAGCCATAAAACAGAGCCACATCAGGTCCTTTGCAGGGACATGGATGGAGCTGGAGGCCATTATCCTTAGGAAATGAATGCAGGAACAGAAAAGCAAATACCACATTTTCTCATTTATAAGTGGGAGGTGAATGATGAGAGCACACAGACACATGGGGGAAAACAACACACACTGGGGCCTGTTGGAGGGTGGAAGGAGGGAGATCGTCAGGAAGAATAGCTACTGGATGCTGGGCTTAATACCTGGGAGATGGGATGATCTGTGCAGCAAACCACCGTGGCACACGTTTACCTGTGTAACAAACCTGCACATCCTACACATGTACCCTTGAACTTAACATAAAAGTTGGAAATTTAAAAAAAACGTAATAGATTGATTTTTTCACTTCTATAAATAAAAACAATATTAAGGTTCTTTAAAGTGAAAGTAAACAGATTGTAACAATTCATTTTCAAAATATAAAGGGTAAATGCATCGTTACTGCATTCGATAGAAAGAAACTTATTAGTGGTGATTAATCTAAGTTACAATTTTATTTGCAAACTTCAACAGACCCAAAACTACTTATTTAAGAATGTTTTGGATTGATGTTTCCCCCTTAGCCCATATCCATGCAGTTGTGGGATTAGTTTTTATCTTTGTGAGAATTTGGGTAGACCTTTCAGAACATAGTATCTACTGAGATATGCCATTAATTTCTTCTTCCTGGAATACACATGCTTTTCCTCATATCACAAAGTGGAGTTTAATTCCTCATCCCCTTGAATCTAGACTGGCATTAGCACTTGTTCGGACTATCAGAATTCTGTGGAAAGGATATTCCAGGACATCAAAACCTAAGGTCATAAGAAGTCTTTCAAGTTCTTCCTGGGTCTCTTGGAATGATTAGGATTCTGCCTGTTGGGACATGGTCACCATGCTACAAGAAGGTCAAGCCACATGGGGAGGCCATTGTAGGTATGCTGGTTGACAGCTCCAGGTGAGCTCTGAACTAACAGCATCAACCAACAGCCATGTGAGTGAGCCATATTAGTTGATCAGTCAGTTGATCTGATTCCAGCCTCAGCCACATGAGAGGCCCTAGAACAAATTAGCCAATAGAGCCCACTCAACCCATAGAACCATAGGTAAAAACAAACTGTTGTTTCAATAATTTGAAAGAATAATAAACTGCTGTTTCAAGTTTCTAATTTCTTAATGGTTTGCTGTTCAGCATTAGAAAACTGCAACAATTCTCAATGAGCATAGTTTGGTATCCAACACATAGAATTTTTCCTCCAAACACTGACAGATATAACATTGAGACAGTCTATGTTGGTCAAACAAATATGACATATGTAGCAGGTTTAACATTAGTTAATTTTAAGCCAATGATGCTGCTTCCCTAACTTTACAAATCATAGGCACAAAAATACAATAATATGTTTACAAGTTTATACATATTTTAGGGAGAAATTAAAATTATATTTATTAATAAATTTTTCTCCTCATAAATTAAGAACCCATCCTGAGCTAGATGTTAACAGGGCTACTAGTGTATAGGCCTCAGCTGTAAGGTTAGCATTTACATCTTAAAACATCAGTCTGTTTTAGGAAATGATATGGTTTGGTTCTGTGTCCCCACCCAAATCTCACCTTGAATTGGAATCCCCATGATCCCCATGTGTCAAGGGTGGGACCAGGTGGAGATAACTGGATCAGGTGGGCAGTTTCTCACATGCTGTTCTTGTGGTAATGAGTGAGTCTCATGAGGTCTGATGGTTTTATAAGCATCTGGCATTTCTCCTGTTTGCACTCATTCTCTCTCCTGCATCCCCGTGAAGAGGTGCCTTCTGCCGTGATTGTAAGTTTCCTGAGGCCTCTCCAGCCATGCAGCACTATAAGCTAATTAAACCTCTTTCATTTATAAATTACCCAATCTTAGGCAGTGCTTTATAACAGCATGAGAACGGACTAATACAGGAAACATAACAAAAGAGGCAACAATTATTTTCATTATTTTCCAAGTGTCTGAACGAACAGACTTGTTCATGTTTACAACTTAAAACAAAATTATTGCCAATATCCTGAAGAAAGATACATGTTCTGTTGCATTTTAACATTTTATATGCATTTGGGGTTATGTTTATTTACTTCCCCAATTGCCAAGAGAATAGTATTTTCACTTTAAGGTGAGGATTTTACCATTGCATTCCTTAAAAATTTATATCTAAGTTTTGGAAAAGTAAAATTTGGAACCCTTCCTAATTTTCTACCTTGTTTATTTCCCCTTCTTTTTGTTTCCTTTTTGCCTCCATTTCTTCATTTGTTTTTCTGATTTGTCACTCTTTCCATTTCATCTTTTAGTAAGGTGGGGTAAGTAAAGCACAGTATTGAGAGTCAGATGACCTGATTTCAAATCTAAATTCTGTAAGTAACTATATCTTGGTCAGATCACTTACAATCTTGAGCCCTAAATTAATTCCTCTAAAACTTTAGAGGATTAAAATAGATTAATTTTTCTAGCTCTTGCTACTTTAAAATTACACAATTTCAAAAACATGTGGAAAACAAGGCAGTTACAAGGTAAACACCACAAACTAATTTGGAGATGATATAACAATGTATCAAGCACTTATTATGAGCTACCCCAATGAACTAACATCAGAATAAAAAGATAAATTACTTTAGGCTACATCGTTCTCATAATACAGTAAAAGAAAGCATAAAGTTTCTCTATGAAATAAATTTCTATTCAATGACTCCTAGGAGAAATAAACGTAATTCCCATGTACATATAAGGAATATTGGGTAACATAATTGAAACTGTATTCAGTTATGGTATTAAAAGTAAACCTTCTTTGTACTTCCATAGTATCAGGGACAGACATTCCACAATTATGAATATACCAGAATATATATTTATATATTTTAAAATGTATATGTATATTTATAGCATATATTGAAGCTGTATAGGGGTAACTGACCTTGTCTTTTTCATTTTTTTATTCCTAGCACCTCCACAGTGTGTGGACTACTCAATAGGCCCTCATTAACTTTTTCAGAATGAAGAGGCATAGCTGGCATGGTGGCTCAGTTCTGTAATGTCAGCACTTTGGGAGGCCAAGGTGGGAGGATGGCTTGAGACAAGAAGTTATAGACAAGCCTGGTCAACATAGCGAGACCCTGTCTCTACAAGCAGTTGAAAAATTAGCCAGGCATAATGACATGTGCCTGTAGTCTTAGTTATACAGGAGGCGGAGGTCGAAGGATCACGTTAGTCCAGGAGGTCGAGGCTGTAGCTAGCAGTTGTGATCACATCACTGCACTCAAAGCCTGGATGACAGAGTGAGATCAAGGTTAAAAAAAAAAAAAAAGTACAGAATACATCTTCAAATGGATATTTCTGATATAGTTACTTAAATGATAACAAAGACATATAGTTACTTTGTAATTTAGAAAAGATATGGCTGTATAACTCTAATACAGTCAGGTAAGCAGCTTTGTGTTGCCTTAAGTATATGTACAAAAATTCTAACAAAATGCAAAAAAAAAGAAAAAAAAAGACCCTTAAAGAGCATTTTCCCAATGATAAATATCTCATTTGAGTTTATGACAAGTACCAGTTTTCAGTTTTCAGTAGATTCAATATTATAATTGACAGTAGTAACTGTAGTCCCATGTTTTACATTGTTGACTATTGCTATGATTTAAAATTAGATGGTAGAGGTAACATCTTCCATGGCAATTTACAATTCTGACATATGTTATCTCTCAAGTGGAGGCTTGTCTTATTCTTTATCAGGTTGGATCAAAAGGATTCTTGAAGCAAGATTTTTTTCTCAGAAAATTGTTTAAACCTTTCCTAAGAATTATTCAAAGGGATGGGCTTCAACATGGCTGACTAGACGCATCTGTTCTTTACCTCCTCCACTAAGAAGAACAAAAGTAATGAATAGATAAGTGCATCTTGAACATATCATCCAAGAGAGAACACTGGAATTTAAGAGAAAAGTGACAGGGAACTTCTGAGGCAAGGAAGGACAGGGAAGTGAGGCAGCCTTTTTGGATGGGAGCTGGGAGCAACTCCCAAGTGCAGACAAAGGGTAAGGGAGAGATCCCCAGCAGTCCTCATTCCCTCTATAGACTCCCATAATCCTAGCCATAGGAGAGCCCATCAACCCTCAGGGGCCCTGAAACTAACATAGGGAGTTACTAGGAAACCGTGTGATGGCACTGCTCGAAGGAAAGAGCTTGTGTGTGGTCCAACACATTCCCTAAGACCTAAGCAGCTACAGCAAGGCACCATTTTAGAGCCCAGCCCCAAACAGATGCTCACTGTCATGGGGTCCAGCTGTGCCAGGACTAAGACATGAGTCTTAGCAAGGCACAGGCTACCCTTGCTGTGCTGAGGCACAAGTATGGCAAGCGCTCCCCACCTGCTGGCCTATGCAGCCACCACTGATGATAGGCCTACCCTCCCCCATGGCAGGGTTGTAGCAAGGCTACTACAGCCCTTACCCAAACATTCCACTGCAGGCCTGTGGATTGATTGCTTGGCCCCTGCCTACCGTGGCTGGCACCTGCCTATCTTAGGGGGGCCTGAGGACAAGCCTACCATCCCAGCTTTGTCCCTCACTGCTGTTGTGCCAGAGCATACAGTTTGGTGAACTGGGGATTGGCCAGTGCAGTCTACCACTGTTGACACCTGAGCACTTCTCCCAGAGGCCTGAGGTTGGGCCTACCCACCCTGCCACCACCACCATGACTGGCACCTACTTGCACATGCCACCTGTGAGTCTGGAAACTGGCCCATCCAGTCCATCACAGCCACTACCAATACCAGCACACACTTCTCAGGACACAGAGGGTTGTCCTGCTAATGCTATTGCCATTGCCTATACCATGTTGGCTGTACAGGGGATGGAGAACCTATCTACTTGCTAAGCCCAACTTTGCCACTACTGGCATTCAAGCAAGCTATGTAGAGGCCCAAGAATCAGCCTGCCTGGACCTGCTAACACTAGTGCAAGTGTATACCATGCTGGAGCCCAAGAATAGCCACACTCTCAACCCACTTCCACCATCACTGGAGCCTTAAAACTGAGTCATCCAGCATCCCAGTACCCAGGAACACTTCACCACAGCATCCATTAATAACCAAACCCTAAGCCACCTAGGAAATCACAGACACCACGGACACTGTTTATAGCCAAAGAAATCACACAGACATTGCCCCCCTACATGCACTCAGTTTCAAAGCCAAAGTGCCCTACCCAACCAGTAACATAGATACATCTTCAGGAGAAAATCCTTTCTTATGAAAGCAAACTCAAAAAAAATAGAAGTGATTATTACAGCAGATGTGCAGATATCAACATAAGTATAAGGGAAACATCAAAAAGCAAGAAAATATATGACACCTACAAAGGAATGCATTAATTCTCTAGCAACAGATCTCAATCAAAAACAAATTTGTAAAATCCCAGAAAAAGAATTCAAAATGCTAATTTTAAATAAACTCAGCAAAATACAAGAGAATACTGAACAACAATACAAAGAAATCAGAAAAACAATTCAGCATATGAATGAGAAATTTGCCAAACAGCTATCACAACAAAGAACCAAACACACTTCAGGAAATTAATAATTTAAATGAAATGCAAAACACATTTGAAAGCTTCAACAATAGACTGGATCAAGCAGAAGAATCTCCGTACTTGAAGACAGTTCTTTTGAAATAACTTAGTCAGACAAAAATAGAGAAAAATGAAAAAAAAATGACCAAAGTCTAAATGACATATTGGATACCATAAAGTGACCAAACATTCAAATTTTCAGTATCCCAGGAGGCAAAGAGAAAATGAAAGATTTGGAAAACCTATTGAACAAAATGATAAGTTAAAACTTTCCATGTCTAGTAAGAGATTTAGAAATCCATATACAAGAGCCTCAGTGATCCCCAAACAGATTCAATACAAAAAGGGCTCCCTATAGTACATTATACTTAAACTGCCAAAAGTTAGACACAAAAAGAAATTATGTAAAACATCAAGAGAAAAGCATCTAGTCACCTATAAAGGATCCCTCATCACACTAACAACAGACTTTTCAGCAGAAACCTTACAGGCCAGGAGAGAATGGAATGACACATTCGAAGCGATAAAATATAAACAAAACCCTATTAACCAAGGGTACTATATCCAGCAAAATTATCATTCATAAATGAAAGACAAATAAAGTATTTCCTAGACAAGCAATAGCCAAGGGAAGTCATCATTCTGATCAGCCATACTTAAGGGAGTGCCATACCTGAAAGTGAAAGAATGATATTTAGTACCATTAAAACAAAGGAAAATATAAAAACCACTGCTAGAGAAAACACACAAGCAAGAAAGTGTAAAGATGCAAGTGTTACCATGACAGAAAACCACCAAACAACAATGATAAACAATAAGAGAGAAATGAAGGAACAGAGGACATGCAAACCAATAAAAAATAATTTAATAAAATGACAGGAATAAATCTTCACATATCAATAGTAACCGTTAATGTAAATGGGTTAAATTTTGCACTTGAAAGATATATGCTGACTGAATAATGTATGAGAAAAATGGACCAACTATAGAATGCCTATAAGAATCTCATCTCACCTGTAAAGACACACATAGACTGAAAGTAGAGGAATGGAACAAGATAGTCCAAAAATACAAACAAACAAAAAACAAAACAAAACAAAACCCCAAAGGGAGCAGAAGCAGCTATATTTATATCAGAAAAAAATATACAACTTCTATCAAAAACAGTAAAAAAAAAAAGACAAGATCATTATGTGATGATAAAGGGATCAATTCAACAAGAGGATTTAACAATCCTAAACATATATGCATCCAACACCAGAGTACTCAGATATATAAAGAAAATGTTATTAGATTTAAAGGGAGAAATAGGATTCCATACAATAATAGCTGGGGACTTCAACACTCCAATCTCAGCATTAGATATATCATTGAGACCGAAAATTAAAAAAGAAACATTGGATTTATATATTTAGATCAAATGGACCAAACAGGCATTTATATAACATTTCATCCAATAGCTACAGAATACACAATTTTTTCATTGGCACATGGAACATTCTCCAGGATAGACTATATGTCAGGACACATAAATCTCAAAAAATTTTAAAAAATCAAAATTATATCAAGTATCTTCTTGGGCCATGGTGAAATAAAACTAGAAATAAATAATAAGAGACACTTTAGAAACTGTAGAAATACATGAAAATTAAACATGCTTCTAAGTGACCTTTGGGTCAAGGAAGATATTAAGAAGGAAATCACAAAAGTTCTTGAAACAAATGAAAATCAAAACATAACATACCCCTGGGAGCAGTGGCTCATGCCTGTAAATCCCAGCACTTTGGGAGGCCAGCTGGGGTGGGCAGATCACATGAGGCCAGGAGTTTGAGACCAGCCTGGCCAACATGGTGAAACCATGTCTCTACTAAAATTACAAAAATTAGCCAGGCATGGTGCTGTGTGCCTGTAATCCCAGCTACTAGGGTGGCGGAGGCACAAGAATCGCTTGAACCCAGGAGGCAGAGGTTGCAGTGAGCCAAGATCGTACCACTGCACTCCAGCCTGGGTGACACGGTGTCTAAAAAAAAAAAAAAAAAAACATGATGGACAAAATCTAACAATACATTAAGGGACTAGAATAGCAAGAAAAAACCAAACCAAAAATTAACAGAAGGAAGTAAATGCTAAAGATCAGTGTAGAACTAAATGAAATTGAGACTGAAAAAATACAAGAGATCAAAAAGATAAAAAGTTGTGTTTTTGAGAAAACAAACAAAACTGACAATCTTTGAGCTAGACTAAGAAAAAAATAGAAAAGAATCAAATAAATAAAATCAAAGACAAGAAATAAGACATTATAACTGGTACCACAGAATTAAAAAAAGATCACTAAAGACTATTGTGAGTAACTAAACTATGCATCAACTTCTAGGTTTGACATTATAACTGGTACCACAGAATTAAAAAAAGATCACTAAAGACTATTGTGAGTAAGTACGCATCAACTAATTGGAAAACCTAGAAGAAACAGATAAATTTCTGAACATTTTTCTATTTCTATACAACTACCTAGATTGAATCAGGAAGAAATAGAAAGCCTGAAAAGACCAAGAACAAATAATGAGATCAAAGAAATTAAAAAAAAATTCCTGACAGAGAAAAGGGGACTGGATGACTTTACTGCCAAATACTACCAAACTTTCAAAGAATAACTAACATCAGTTTTCCTCAAATTATTCTAAAAAAAATAGAAGAGAGAGTTTCCTCAGACATTCTGTGAGCCCAGCATTAGACTAATATCAAAACCAGACAAGGATACAACACACAAAGAAAACGGCATACCAATATCTCTGATAAACCTAGACAAAAAAATTCACAAAAATTCTCAACAAAATAATAGCAAACCAAATCCAACAGCATATTTAAAAAACATACAGCATGATTAAGTGGGATTAATCCCAGGGATACAAGTACCGTTCAACATATGTAAATCAATAAACATGATATATCATAGTACTAGGAGTCCTAGCCAGAGCAGTCAGGCAAGAGAAAGAAATAAAAGGCATCCAAATTGGAAAACAGGAAGTCAAATGGTCACTCTTTGCTGATTATATAATATTCTTTTAGACTCACCTAAGGACTCCACCAAAAAAAAAAAAGTTAGATCTGATAAATTCAGTAGCATTTTTATACACCAACAATGAACTGGTTGAGAAAGAAATCAAGAAGGTAATCACATTTACAATAGCCACCAAAAAAAAATGCCTAGGAATAAATTTAACCATGGACATAAAAGATTTCTGCAAAGAAAACTACAAATACTAATGGAAGAAATTGAAGAGGACTGAAACAAACGGAAAGACATCCCATTTTGACATTCATTTTTTTGATCCATGAGCGTGGGAAAGACATCTCATGCACATGAATCAAAAGAATTAATATTGTTAAAATGACCATACTGCTCAAACCAATTTTCAGATTCAATGCAACCCCTATCAAAATACCATGTCATTTTTCATGGAATGAGAAAAATCAATCCCCAAATGTAAATGGAACCAAAATGAGCCCAAATAGCCAAAGCAATTTTGAGCAAATAAAACTAAACTGGAAATACCACACTATCTGACTCCAAAATATGTTAAATGGCTATAGCAACCAAAACAGCATGGTATATCTATCTATCTATATCTATCTATCTATATCTATCTATCTCTATGGATATCTAGATAGATATCCATAGAGATAGATAGATATAGATAGATAGATTTTTTTTTTTCGAGACAGAGTCTCGCTCTTGTCACCCAGGCTGGAATGCAATGGCACAATCTCAGCTCACTGCAACCTCCGTCTCCCGGGTTCAAGTGATTCTCCTATCTCAGCCTCCTAAGTAGCTGGAATTACAGTTGCCTGCCACCACTCCCGGCTAATTATTGTACTTTTAGTAGAGATGAGGTTTTACCACATTGGCCAGCCTGGTCTCGAACTCCTGACCTCGTGATCCGCCTGCTTTGCCTCCCAAAGTGCTGGGATTACAGGCGTGAGCCATTGTGCCCGGCCAACAGCATGATATTAACATAAAAATAGATATATAGACAAATGGAAAAAAAATAGAAATAAATTCATGTATTTATACCAAACTGATTTTTGCAAAGACACCAAAAAAAAAAAATGCACTGCGGAAATGACACAGTTTTAAATAAATAGTGCTGGAAAAATTATATTTCCACATGCAGAAGAATGAAATTTGACCCCTATCTCTCACCATTTATAAACATCAACCTAAGATAAAGACTTAAACATAAGACCTGTAAGTATAAAACTACTAGAAGAAAACATAGGAAAAACAATAAAACAATCCAGGATATTGGTTTGGACAAAGATTTCATGAATAAGACCTACATATAAGGCCTGCATTAAGCTAAAAAGCTTCTGCTTAGCAAAGGAAATAATCAACAGAGTGAGAAGACAATCTGTCAAATGGGAGAAAGCATTTGCATACCATTCTTCCAACAATGTACTAATATAAAAAAATACGTGAAACTTAACAGTAAAAAAACAAATAATCTCATTTAAAAGTAGGCAAAGGATATAAACAGACATTTCTCCAAAAAAGTTGTATAAATGGGCAACAGATATATGAAAAAATGCTCAATATTACTAATCATCAGAGAAACAAATCAAAATCTTGATGAAATATAATCTTACTGCAGTTAGAATGGCTATTATTAAAAAGACAAAAATAACAGACACTGATGAGGATGTGGAAAAAATGTCTCTCTTGTATACTATGGGTGGGAATATAAACTGGTCCAACCATTATGTAAAACACTATGGAGATTTCCCCAAAAATGTAAAATAGAATTATCATACAATCCAGCAATCCCACTACTGGAATTTACCCAAAGGAAAATAAATCAGTATATCAAAGGATAAATGCACTACCATGTTTATTATTGGTTTATCATTAGCAGCACTATTCACAATGGCAATGATGAAATCAACCATTATGTCCATCAATGCAAGAATGAATAAAGAAAATGTAGAATATATACACCATGGAATACTATTTGGCCATAAAAAAGAATAAAATTATGTCATTTGCAGCAACGTGGATGGAACTGGACGTCATTATATTAAGTTAAATAAGCCAGGCACAAAAAGGCAAGAAAAATAAAATACTGCATGTTATCACTTTTAGTAGGAGATAAAGTACTTGATCTCATGGAGATGGAGAATAGAATGATAGATACCAGAGGCTGGAAAGGTGGTGTGGATAAGAGGGGGATGAAGAGAGATTGTTTAATGAGTACAACATACAGTTAGAGAGAAGAAATAAGTTCTAAAAATTGATGGCAGGCTAGAGTGGCTATAGTTAGTAACAATATATTGTATATTTCAAAGCAGGTAAAAGAGAGGACTTAAAATGTAACCAACATACTTAAATAATAAATACTCATAGTGAGGGATACTACAAATACCCTAACTTGATCATCACACATTCTATGCTTGTAAATACTACCACATAACCCATAAATATGTAAAATATTATGTATTAAAACAACAAAAAAGTCTTCCAAAGCAGTAAAACAAATTACAGGTTAAGTTTGGATCAGAAGCAGAAAATTCAGGGTCGATGGCATCAATTGGCCATAGCTTGATAAACTGTGGATTCCATAGAAAACCTGATTATGATAAGGCCTACAAAGCTGTAATCTGCAATATTTATTCTCTGCCTCTCACAGCTCCAGTCTCTAAAAGAGCTGATACACACATTTAAAATTTGATATATTAAGTTTAAGAATGTTGGCAAAATTTAAATATGTTTAACTATGATACTGATGATTCTATGTGAATATTTCAGGTAGTGCTTAACCAATATTTTAAGCTGATTTTTAGGGAGAAACATTGTACGGCAATATGATCTTCCAATTCTAGGTTTCCTATGGATGAAGCATTGGCAGAATTGTGACATTTGAGTTTCTAAAAGTTATTTTCAACTAATGGCTTCTTGGATTATGGATATAAAGTTCAGCAGCTGCCAAATTGGTTCTAGACATCTGCTGACTTTCTGTGCTCATTAGTGGAATAAACAACTCTCTTATAGATTAATCGTATAGAATATATAACCAGGAAGATTTTTCAGCAAGTTTCTTAATGCTTCAGAAATATATGTCTTCATTATTTAAGCCAAATATTTTAGAATTTGACTTTTAATAACAACTAAAATTAGTATAATTACCTTTATATTTGGCCCTGATTTCTAAAAGTGGGATATAAATAATATATTAACTCTCTATATATTAGCTCTAATATAGTAACTCTAATATATTAACACATAGAAAAGTTAATATTATAAAGAATTAGTTATATAGACAGAGCTTGTGAAAGCATTAATGGAATTTTAGAAGCTTGGGTGATTTTTTTACTCTGGGTTTACCATTGTTCTGAGTTCTAGGAAAGGAGCTTGACTTTGATAAGTTTAGTAAAAAATAAACCCCTCAGAATCATAAAATACAATAGTTTCTCTTGATTCTTTAGGTTGTGTGGTCTAACAGTGATTTCTTATTAATATTGCTGGGGTAGGGCAAGCTTAACTTATAAAGATAATGATTGTGATTAGCTGTTCTTCTAATAGAGGTTAAAAAAAATGGAGCCTTTATAATACACTTGAAAAATTCTGTACCACAAGATTGGATGCCTCAGAGATGAAGAAAACGATGATGATTCATGAATGGTGACATTAGGATCAGATGAGGTGAGGATTAACAACAGACTGCATTAGGAGGCATTGGGATGCATGAGGCAGAAGGTATTAAAATAAACCTCACTGAGTTAGGAAAGTGACTACTGTCAATGTTAGTTCTTTAATGTTCATAGAGAAAAGTAAACATTGATCGTTGGATAATCAAGCAAAAGTTGAACAGAATGGTCCTGCAAATTGTGAAGTCTTGAAGGTTAAATTGTCAATAAATTTCAAAATGCTTTGGACTAAAATTAAAATCTATCACGTCACTCAGTATTCTTTTTTTCAAAATTTGTCCAGGTTAATACCAGTGCTATGCTGTTTATCCTTACAAAGCTATACCATATAGTCTTAAATATTGTGCTTAACTATATTTCATACTTCAGGTATTCCTTTGTTATGAGGTAGAAATGTAAAATAAGCAGAGTGATTTCCAGGAGATTATAGAATTCTCGTCAGGGCATGGTTATTATTAAAGGTGACAATGATATTTGCTATTCAAAGTCAGCAAATATATATCTTTCATTCCACAAACTTAGGTGCAGGACATATAATATTTTTTAAAACTCAATTTTGATTTCAGGTTTCTATTTTGTCAGAAATATTATCTTCTTTTTAATTTCAACAATGTCCTCACTCTTCTCCAGGGTTATGGCTCTGCTTGTAATAAGATTTTGTTATTGTTGGTGATGGTGGAGGTGATGTTAGGGATATTTAATCTCAGTGTTGTGATCAGAGAGATCTGGTCTCAATGTTGTCTGTTAACACTAGCTTCAGCAGCGACATATTTCATCTTGTGTTCAATTGTCTATTCATTCGCATCGCAACCAATCCATCCTTTATTCTTTATAAAGGTATGATGACTCTCTAAGCTATGTCCCTATTACTCCTAGTTGCATGGAACTCATTTGGCTACTCCAAGTCCACTCTGGGACATGAAAAACTTTATGAATGTCTAAGAAAATGTATCTGTTGCATCTGCTGGGTCCTTTCAATTCGGCTAGGTCTCCAGTCAGACTACAGGTGAGATAGCTGCATAGCTTTGCGTAGCTTTTGCATTATCCAAAAGTGCTCAGTTAAGAGAGTGGATGGATGCTGAAATTCACCCTGAGCAGTCTGCTTGCCAAGCCTTTCTGGCACAGGGGAAGATGTTCCTTTTACTTTGTAGAAAAGCATTGTGTTTACCCTAAGATAGCTGCCTTCATATTCCTAGAGAAAGCAGTTTTCTAATTCACACGAAGTTGACATGTGGTAGCAGTGGCCCTGCATTCAGGTTTCCTTTGCCCTTGCAACTCAAACCATCTGAGAGACTTGATGCTTCCCATCCTTTAACCCTATTACTAAGCCTTGGGAGCTATCCACAAAACTGGGCTCTTTTCAGGACCCTATTTGCTTTTAGAAGCTTATCGTTTTCCCCATGTTATTTTTGCCACATTCTAAGAGACTATTTTTTCTGGAAAAGTAAGAAAAATAATAGATATAACATTTTATACTCCTACTATTTATTATATATGGGTATAAATCTCTAGGATCTGAGGACATTTTCTCCATGAGGTTTGAGACACAAAACCAAAACCAGGCTCATTTTTATTTTTATGTCATATTAATTTCCACAGAAGTAAGTAGAGATAGGGTAATGTATGAGGGGTGGAGTTGGTATACACATAGTCAACAAAGAATTAAACAAAGGAATCAACAGTTTATACAAGTATTCTAACATATTTTCTTACTATAAAAGTAAATACACTGTTACCTGGTTGTTTTGGAGACTCAATGGGCTCTCCCTGGGTTGCTTTTTCAGTATAAATATTTCATATATTACATTCTCATAAATAAATATGTGTGTATCTCTCTCTCTCTCTCTCTCTCTATATATATATATGCATTATTTATTTTCTTATTAGAGATGAGGTCTCACTCTGTCTCCCAAACTGGAGGGCTGGAGAGTAATGATGTGATCACAACTCTCTGCACATTGACTTTTCAAACGCAGGTGTTCCTCCCACGTCAATCTCCCGATTAGTAGAACTACAGGCATAAACAACCACACATGGTTACTTTTTGCTTTTTTGTAGAGATGGGGTTTTATTTACCATGTTGCCTGGGCTGGTCTTGAATTCCTGGGCTCAAGTGCTCCGCCTGCCTTGGTCTCCCTAAGTGCTGAGATTACAGGCCTGAGCCACCGTGTCTGGCCTTGCCTGTATTTTATTTCAAAATTCAGAATGTATATTTTATGGCCTGTATTTTTTCTCTTAATATAACACGGGCACATATTTAGGTCAGGAGATACTGGGAAATAGCATCTTTAATGATTTCACATTATTCTAAGACACGGATATAAACTCATTTAATTAACCCTTTGCCTTTTGAAGAACATTTGTATAAGTTCTTAATTTTTATTCACCAATAATCTTATGGCGAACATTCATATAAAGTAGATCTTAGTAAACTTAACTTTTCATAAGAAAAGAACTTGGGTTGTGCGGTTCCTAAGACCTTCCTTATTGAGAATACATGTATGTTGCTGAACAAGAAGGCCAATAGGCATATAAAAAATGTTCAACATCATTAATCATCAAGGAAATGCAAATGAAAACCACATTGAGATATCATCTCATTACAGTTAAAATGGTTATTATCCAAAAGACTGAAAATAACAAATGTTGGCATGGATGTAGAGAAAGGGGAATGCTTGTACCCCAAATCAATTGGTGGAAATGTAAAGTAGTAAAGCCATATGGAAAAAAAATAACTAAAAATAGAACTACCATATGATCCAGCAATCCCACTCCTGGGTATATATCCAAAATAAAAGAAATTAGCATTAGTATATCTACATGTTTATTGCAGCACTATTCACTGTAGTCAATATATAAAATCAACCTAAGTATCCATTAGTGAATGAGTGATTTTAAAATGTGGTATAGATACACAATAAAATATAATTCCTTCATAAAAGAATGAATTATTGTCATTTCCAGCAATGTGGAAGGAACAGGAAGTCATTATGTTAAATGAAATAAGACAGGTACAGAAAGACAAATGTCACATATTCTCACTAATGTGTGGAAGCTAGAAATGTGGAACTTACGGAGGTAGACAGTAGAATTACCAGGGGCTGGGAAGGAAAGGGAGGAGAGGGGCTGAAAAGAAGTTGGTAAATGGGTACAAAAATATAGTTAAAATGGGTAAGTTGTAGTATTCCAATGGTAAAGTAGGAAAATTATAGTTAACAGTAATTTATTGTATATTTCAAAATAACTAGAAGAATTTTAATGTTCCCAACACTAAGAAAAGATCAATGTTTGAAGCAATGGGTATCCCAGTTATGCTGGTTTGATCATTATACATTATATACATACATCAAAATGTCACATGTACTCCCAAAATATGTACAGGTATTTTATATCAATAAAAAAATTTTAATAAAAATGTTTTAAAACTGATTGTGGTAATGGTTGTAGAGCTCTGAGTATATATGGAAAACTACTGAATTGCATAATATAAGTGGATACATTGTATGATGTGTTTTATTTCAATAAAACTGTAATATAAAAATAAAAAATGTATATATGTAAAAAAATTATATGATGATGAAAGAAAAAATTGAGTTTGCATTGCATGAGAAGAATTTATTTAACATTGGTTACATTTATGTCATGAAAATACAGTTTTTTTTTATTTTGCACTTTTAAAATTGTACTATATACAGCCAGACACGGTGGCTCACGCCTGTAATCCCAGCACTTTGGGAGGCCGAAGTGGGCGGATCACCTGAGGTCAGGAGTTTGAGACTAGCCTGGCCAACATGCTGGAAGCCCATGTCTACTGAAAATACAAAAATTAGCTGGGCACAGTGGTGCACAACTGTAATCCCAGCTGCTTGGGAGGCTGAGGCAGGAGAATCGCTTGAGCCCAGGAGACGGAGGTTGCAGTGAGCCGAGATTGCACCACCGCACACCAGCCTTGGCAACAGAGTGAGACTCCATCTCAAAAAAAAAAAAAAAGAACATATATATATATGTACACACTATATACAAATATAGAAGTCTTAATTGTGACTGAAGTAGAATGTAAATTTTGTCATACTTGAAAATGTAAAATTACAGATAAGAGAGAATGTAAGGTTGAAAAGGCAGAGATAAAATGTGAAAGAAAATGTCAAGGATCAAGATATATTTTCTAGTTGATGGAATTAAAATAATCTTACTATATTATTTAAGTATATCATAGAGAATTATGCATCAAAGGAAATAAAATATTAATCTAATTATGTTTAAAATATGGAAAATGAAACATGAGTGGGAGAAGAGGGTAAGAAATGCATAGTTTAAATGAAAGAAGATATACCACCACCTTTCAGATCAAGGAGAAAATAGATAAAAGCATAAGTTCATGATAAAAAATAGCATTATAAGCATATGTTTCAGAGATGTGGAAATAAACAATAGAAGAACCAAGAAGAGAAACAGTTTAAAATGTCTGATAAAAGACAAGCATAGGAAACAGTGAAATATATTGCTTTTTTATTATAAGCTCCTAATATAGTATTTTAAATTTTGTAAGCGAGGGACATTTATTGCAAATGAAAAAATATGATCACAAAGAAAATTCCTCCAGCTCATCACTTTCTTTAAAATAGTACTAAAGAACTACCATTATTGAATTCTAAAGGTGAAATTATATGTATCATCAAGAATTTTGAGTTCAACTATATTAAGTCTTCATGGAAAACTCTATTGCCTTGTTTTGAGAAATACCTATTCAAGGCTTTTGCCCATTTGTGAATTTTGTTTGTTTGTTTGTTTTGCTACTGAGTTGTTTGAATTTCTTGCATGTTCTGGTTATTGATTCTTTGTTGGATGAATACTTTGAAATATTTTCGCTCATTCTGCAGGTCATCTCCTCACTTTGTTGATCATGTCTTTTGCTTTACAGAAGCGTTTTAGCTCGATATAATCCAGTTTTTCTAGTTTTGCTTTTATTGTCTGTGCTTTTGAGGTATCATTCAAAATATATTTGCCCAGGCCAATGTCGTCAAGCATTTCCTCAGTGTTTTCTTCTAGGACTTTCATAGGTTCAGGTCTTATATTTAAATCATTAATCAATTTTGATTTGATTTTTTTATATAGTGGGAGATAGGGGTATCTCCTATCTCCCACTATATAAAATGGATAGGGATATCTATTCTGTGTATAGATATCCAGGTTTTCTTTATGGAAGAGACAGTCCTTTTCCCAATGTATGTTATTTGTACCTTTGTTGAAATGAGTTGGGTTGGTTATAAATGTGTGGATTTATGTCTGGCATTGGTATATCTGTCTTTTTTGTTTTGTTTTTACCAGTATCATGTCATCTTGGTTACTACAGCTTTGTCACAAAATACTTTTATCTTGACTTCTTTTTCAGATTATTCACTGTTCATGTGTAGAAATACTACTGATATTTATACATTAAATTTGTATTTTACAGCATACTGAATTCATTTATCAATTCGGACAGTTTTTTTGTTAGTCTAGGTTTTTCTTAGCAAAAGATCATGATATCTGTGATTGAGGCTAATCTGACTTCTTCCTTTCCAATTTGGATGCCTTTTATTTCTTTCTCTTGCTTAATTGCTCTGGCCAGGACTTTAAGTGTTATGTTGAATAAAAGTGGTGGAAGTGGGGCATCCTTGTCTTATTTCAGATCTTAGAGGAAAAGCTTTGGAATTCTCCCTGTTCAGTACAATGCTTGCTATGCGTTTGTCTTATATGGTCTTTATGATGTTGAGGTATGTTTCTTCTATGCTCAGTTTGCTGAGGGTTTTTCTCATAAGGCAATGTTAACTTTTATCAAATGCTTTTTCAGCATCTCTTAAAATAATGTTGTTTTGTTTTGTTTTGTTTCTGAGACAGAGTCTTGCCCATGCCAGAGTGCAGTGGTGTGATCTCGGCTCACTGCAACCTCCGCCTCCCAGGTTCAAGCAACTCTCTTGCCTCAGCCTCCCGAGTAGCTGGGATTACAGGTGCGTGCCACCATGCCCAGCTAATTTTTGTATTATCAGTAGAGGCGGGGGTTTTGCCATGTTGGGCAGGCTGGTCTCAAACTCCTGAACTCATGATCTGCCCACCTCGCCCTCCCAAAGTGCTGGGATTACAGGCATAAGCCACTGCATCCAGCCGATCATATGGCTTTTGTTCTTGGTTCTTGTATTAGTCCGTTTTCATGCTGCCGATAAAGATACACCTGAGACTGGGCAATTTACAGAAGAAAGAGATTTAATGGACCTGCAGTTCGATGTGGCTGGGGAGGCTTTGCAACCATGATGGAAGGTGAAAGGTGCATCTCATATGGTGGCAGACAAGAGAAGAGATATTTTGCAGGGAAATGCCTGTGTTTTAAACCATCAGATTTTGTGAGACTTATTCACTGTCACTAGAACAGCACAGGAAAGACCTGCCCCCATGATTCAATCACCTCTAACCAGGTTCTTCCCAAGACACATGGGAATTGCGGGAGTTAAAATTAAAAATGAGATTTGGGTGGTGACACAGCCAAACCAATCTTTTTGCCCATAGCCCCTTCCAAATGTCATGTCCTCAAATTTCAAAACCAATCATGCCTTCCCAACAGTCCCCCAAAGTCTTAACTCATTTCAGCCTTAAGTCAAAAGTCCACAGTCCAAAGTCTCATCTCAGACAAAGTAAGTCCCTTCCACCTATGAGCCTGTAAAATCAAAAGCAAATTAGTTACTTCCACGATACAATGTGGGTACAGGCATTGGGTAAATAACAACCATTCCAAATGAGAGAAATTGGCCAAAACAAATGGGCTACAGGCCCCATGCAAGTCTGAAATCCAGTGGGACAGTCTAATCTTAAAGCTTCAGAATGATCTTCTTTGACTCCATGTCTCACATTTAGGTCACGTTGATGCAAGAGGTGGGTTCCCACAGTCTTGAGCTGCTCTGCTCTGTGACTTTGCAGCCGGCTGCTTTCAACGGCTGTCATTGAGTGTCTGCGACTCAGGTGCGCCCTGCAAGCTGTCAGTGGATCTACAATTCTGGGGTTTGGAGGACAGTGGCTCTCTTCTCACAGCTCCACTAGGGGGCGCCCCAGTAGGGACTCTGTTGGGGGGCTCCAATCTCACATTTCCCTTCTGCACTGTCCTAGCAGAGGTTCTCCATGAGAGCTCCCCCAACCTGCAGCAAACTTCTGGCTGGACATCCAGGTGTTTCCATACATCCTCTGAAATCTAGGTGGAGGTTCCCAAACCTCAATTCTTGATGTCTGTGCACACACAGGCTCAACACCATGTGGAAGCTGCCAAGGCTCTGAAGTCACAGCCCAAACTCTATGTTGGCCCCTTTCAGCCACAGGTGGAGCGGCTGGGAAACAGGCACCAAGTTCCTAGACTGCACAGAGCATGGAGATATGGGCCCAGCCACTTTTTTCCCCTATGCCTCCAGGCCTGGGATAGGAGGGGCTGCCATGAAGACCTCTGACATGCCCTGGAGACATTTTCCCCATTGTTTTGGGGATTAACATTCAGTTCCTCGTTAGTTATGCAAATTTCTGCAGCTGGCTTGAATTTCTCCTCAGAAAATGGGATTTTCTTTTCTATCACATTTCAGGCTGCAAGTGTTCTGAACTGTTATGCTCTGCTTCCCTTATAAAACTGAATGCCTTTAACAGCACCCATGTCCCCTCTTGAGTACTGCTGCTTAGAAATTTCTTATGCCAGATAGATACCTTCAATCATCTCTGTGAAGTTCAAAGTTCCACAAATGTCTAGTGCAGGGGCAAAATGCTGCCAGTCTCTTTGCTAAAACATATCAAGAGTCACCTTTGCTCCAGTTCCCAACAAATTTCTCATTTCCATCTGACACCACCTCAGCCTGGACTTTATTGTCCATATCGCTATCAGCATTTTGGGCAAAGCTATTCAATAAGTCTCTAGGAAGTTCCAAACTTTCCCATATTTTCCAGTCTTCTTTGAGGCCTCCAAACTGTTCCAACCCCTGACTGTTACCTACTTCCAAAATCACTTCCACATTTTTCGGTATTTACAGTAGCATCCCATTCAGCTGGTACCAATTTACTGTATTAGTCCATTTTCATGCTGCTGATAAAGACGTACCTGCAACTTGGCAATTTACAGAATAAAGAGATTTAATGGACTTACAGTTCCATGTGGCTGGGGAGGCCTCACAATCATGGCAGAATGTGAAAGGCACCTCTTACATGGTGGCAGACCAAAGAAGAGAACTTGTGCAGGGAAACTCCTGTTTTAAAAACCATCAGATCTCATGAGACTTACTCACTACCATGAGAAAAGTACAGGAAAGACCCACCCCCATGATTCAATCACCTCCCACCAGGTTCCCCCCATGACCCATGGGAATTGTGGGAGTTACAATTCAAGATGAGATTTCAGTAGTGATACGGTTTGACTGTGTCCCCACCCAAATCTCATGTTAAATTCCCACATGTTGTGGGAGGGACCCAGTGGGAGGTAACTGAATCATATGGGGGCAAGTCTTTCCCATGCTGTTCTCATGATGGTGACTGAGTCTCATGAGATCTGATGATTTAAAAAGAGGAGTTCCAAAAACAACAAAAAAGCACTATTCAAATAAAAAGTTAACAACAACAACAACAAAAAACAAGATTATTCTCTCCCTCACCCCTTCCCCCACTTGGTGGACCCCAGTTTATGGTTGAATTTATTTTGTGGTTACCTCAGAATACAACTAAAAGTTTAAATTACAAATCACAGCCCTACACAGATGATCTGAACACATCAGTTCTTTTCAGCGGTGTGTTCCAGGAAGTCTAATATAGCCACAGCCTACTACAGACAGTATTCCATAAGGGTAGGGGACAGGACAGGTTAATCAAGGGCACTTAAGTCTTCATCTTTTACAGCGCATCAGAGCCCAGATGGCTGATTTTTTATGTAGGATCTCTGATAAGAATCCAGAAGAGTTGGTTTCAAGATTCACATCGACACTTAATAACTGTAACCTTCTTATCAAGAAGTTGTGATCCACATGAAGTCCACAATGAGTGCAGCAAATCTGAGGTAGTCAACCCTTACGAAGGCTCAGTATCTGCACATAAAATGATTTTGAAATGATCACTGGCTACAGGTTTGGTTTTGTATTTGCAGAGCAAATATGAAGGAACACTGTTGAAACTAGTTCACACATTTATATAACAATGAAAATTCCCCTAAATCCAATATGCATAAAGCAGTCATGACACTTTAACTTCCACAGTGAAATAGGGCTGGTCATGAAATCGACTGATCTGCATCGGTGTACACAGATCCAGCAGAGATCAGATCATGAATGGCTGTTCGTGGTGGTTAGCTGTAGTCTATTTATCTCAGAAGGTTTAGCAAAGCCCATTCCTTCATTGTATTGTGAGTGACTCCTTTTCTGATTTTCAAGCACAGCATACTGGTTGTCTAGCTGAAGTTTAAGGGCCTGGTTTTTTGAAACTTCATCCCTACCTCTATTTTTGTGTCTTATTACTTGAAAGCTCTTCTCCATTTCTTTATCCTTCCAGCTTTCTATGTGCTTGGCAGTTGACTGCAGGGATGGGAACTGTGTATTGCTGTAGATTTCTGGTGGTCCTTGTGGTGTTTTCCTTGTTGTGGTTAACCTGGCCCCAGGAGGCCTACACACACACACACCACTAGTCATTGCCAGTTCTGGGGTTTCTGTAACAATTACTGGAGCAAGAGGTGCTTGTACCAGAGCTGTTTTATTCCAGGGACCTGAAGATTTTTCTGTATCACCACCACCTCCGCCTTCTTCCCAGTTATCACCTGGATCTTGTCTCTTCAATATCTTCTTCCTTTTCACTTATTTGCATTGCCTGAACCCCCAGGCCTCTGTAATCAACCTCTTTTTACTCCAAGCCTTTCCATTCTTCACAGCCTTGGTGGTGGCCCCTGGGCCCGCAGCCTCCGCACTCGCGGTCCTGCCTTCGCCCAGCCAGGTCCCTGCGCCCGCCCCGCCGCCCTCTAGAATGCGGAGCTCCACTGCTCCCGCCGCGCTGCCTGCTGCGCCCGCGGAACTCGCCGCCCGGTTGCTCTGCTCCTTCTTCTTCTTGTCCCGATTGGCAAAGAAGTTGTGCAGGCTCCGCTCCTCTGTCGCGGCCATGGCCTCGGCCTCCCGGACCCGGGTGGGTGGAGCCGGCGGCGGGCGCGGCCCGCGGGGCTCCCAGCTCGGGGTCGAGGCCGGCTCTGGCGACGCCTCAGCCGCGCGGGGTCTCCGCGGCGTGCGCGGCGGGGCAGGGGGCCCCCCCTGCGTTCTGGCTAGCGATTTTTGTTCTACATTAAGGCCTTTTTTACTTTAACTTGAAAGAAGTTCTTTGACAGAGTATGTTGCCTGGTTAAGTAACTTGAAGTATGCGTTAGGATTGTGAAATGTCTCTTGAGTATGCCAATCCTGAAGGTGGAACCAAAAAGCCTTTGATGTAAAGGACAGTGGATGCTGGAGGTTCTACATCAGGTGCTGCTAATGCCTCATCTAATTAGGTCTAAATTGTATAGTAAACTGCAGCCGGAAGAATATGCTTTCTGGTGAGGCTAAGGGGTTCACTTAGCCTTACAAATTCAGAGCAACATGAACAGACCCTCAGCTGAAACCCATTTAAGTGTCATGGATTGTGCATGATGTTTAAGAATTCCTTATATACTTCTGCCCAAATTTTCAAGGTGTTGGCTGTTCTATAGATGCAGTGATTGTCCCAGCTAGCTTTGTTTTCAACCTTTTGGTGTGTCTTTATGTTCACTTCGAGAGTCAGGGCGAAAGGTGATGTAGCACTTCTGTTTTTAATGATTACAGTTTAAAATACCTATTAATAGTAGTTTTTGGTCCTTTAAAGGGAGTTGAAGAAGCTACGCAGGATTACAAAAGAGTGTCCACCTAGTGAGATAGTCTGGCAGTTTCCTAGTTTTGTATCTTTGGTTCAATAGAAATATCTGAAAGTGGTAACGTGACCACTTGATGTAGAGTACGTGTTTCTCTATAATAAATCCCTTTGCCAAATGCATGAGTTGCAGACTTGCTACTGGCAAGAGTGAAGCAAGTGGGTGAGTAAAACTATTTTGATGTGGGAGCATTTTTGGATAGGAGTTTAGTCTTGATGAAAGTGTCCGTGTAGGAATTGGACTCCAAGGAGGGTTACAGTATCTCCTGACGGGACCTGCCGCCCACTTCTGGGCAATAATGTTGATATTTGAGGTGGCCGGCACAATGCCTGCTTTCTAATGTGTTTGGGTGAGTAGCTGAGCCAGCCAAGGGGAGGTTGAATGATTAAATCAGAAATGGGATTCTTGGTTAACTGAAGACTTTATTTGGGAGCCAAAAACCTTAAAAAATAGTCTCTTCATTGTTGAACTGCGTATTTTCCATGAAAAGTATGCATTTTTTTCCCAGCAAAATTTTGTTGGCAGTTATGTTACTGAAGAATGAACAGAGATGAATAAGTGGAGGTCTTATGTAAAGGCAATACTGTACTCGAAATCTGAAGACTTGCAGCAGATTTAACTTGCAGCAACTTCAACTCTTGGTATAACTTTTTAAAAGATTGTGAAAATATCAAAATGTACATGAATTGAGTTTTAATATCCTGTATGATAAGTGGATGAGGCTGTCCATTGTACCATTTGTTTGAATTCTCAGGCATGGTTTGGCAGTGCAAGAACTCTGTAACATTAATAAATTCAATAAAAAGTAAATGTATGAAAAAAAAAATAGGAGTTCCTCTGCACAAGCTCTATCTCTTTGCCTGCTGCCATCTGTGTAAGACGTGACTTGCTCCTCCTTGCCTTCCACCATGATTGTGAGGCTTCCCCAGCCACGTGGAACTGTAAGTCCAATTAAACCTCTTTCTTTTGTAAATTGCCCAGCTGGCAGTATGTCTTTATGAAAATGGACTAATACAGGTGGGGACACAGCCAAACCATATCAGTTCTGTTAATGAAATGTATGTTTATTGGTATGCATATATTCAACTATCATTGCATCCCTGGGATGAATCCCACTTGTTCATGGTGAATGATTTTTTAAAAATGTATTGGTGAATTTAATTTGCTAGTAGTTTGCTGATAATTTTTTTGCACCTGTGTTCATCAGGCTATTAGGACCTGTAGTGTTATTTTGTTGTTGATGTTGTTTACTTGTCTGCTTTTGATATCGCAGTCATGCTGGTCTTGTAGAATGAGTTTGGAAGTATTAACTCCTCTTCAATTTTTGGAAGAGTTTGAGTAGAATTGATAATATCTCTTCTATAAGTTTTTAGTATCATCCAGCAGTAAAGCCGTCAGGTCCTAGGATTTGCTTTGATTGGAGGCCTTTTATTCCTGTTTCAGTCTTTCATCATCATTATTATTTTTATTTTCATTTTTTTAGACAGGATCTTGCTCTATTGCCCATGCTGGAGTACAGTGGCATAATCATAGTTCACTGCAGCCTTGAATTCCTGGGATTACAAAGTCTTCCTCAGCCTTTGGAGTTGCTGGGATTACAGGCATGTGCCACCATGCACAGCTAATCTTTTATTTTTTGTAGAGACAGGGCTTTGCTATATTGCCCATGCTGGTCTTGAACTGTTGACCTGAAGCCATCTTCTTGCCTTGGCCTCCCAAGTGTCAGGATTACAGGCATAAGCCACCACACCAGACCCCTATTTCAGTCTTATACTCGTTTATGATTTGTTCATATTTTCTGTTTCTTTATGGTTAAATTTTGTGTCCAGAAATTTATCTTCTAGGTTTTCCAATTTGTTGGGGTATAGTTCTGCACATTAGTTTCTAATGATCATTTGTATTTCATTTTTAATGTCTCCTTTCTTGTCTTCAATTTTATTTAGTTGGTTCTTCTCTCTCCTTTTTTATGTTGAGATCAAGAATTGTCATTTTGTTATCTTTTCAAAAAACTAACTCTTTGGTTTGTTATTTTGTGTTATTATTTAAGTTTCAATTTCATGTAGTCCTGCTCTTATTTTTATTAATTCTTTCCTTATGCCAATTTAGGCTTAGTTTGTTCTTGTTTTTCTAGTTCCTTGAGGTGTATGGATAGGTTGTTCATTTGAAGTCTTTCTACTTTTTATGTAGGCATTTATTGCTATAAATTTCCCTCTTAGAACTGTTTTTGCTGTATCCCATAGGTTTGGTATATTGCAATTTCCTTTTCATTTGTCTCAAGGTATTTTTAAATTCCCCATGTAATTTCTTCATTGATCCATTTACTGTTCAGGAACATGTTGCTTAATTTCCATAAATTTGTACAGTTTCCAATGTTCATTTTATTATTGATTTCTAGTTCTATTCCATTGTGGTCAGAAAAGATACTTGACATGATTTAGTCTTTTAAAAAATTGTTGACTTGTTTTGTAACATAACATATGGCTTGTTTTGGAGAATATTCCATGTGCTGATGAGAAAAATGTGTATTCTGGAGCTGTTGGATGAAATATTCTATAAATTTCGGTTATATTCATTTGGTCTAGAGTGCAGTTTAACTCCAAAATTTGTTGATTTTCTGCCTAGGTGATCTGTTCATTGCTGAAAGTGGGGTGTTGAAGTCCTCTAATATTATTATATTGCAGCCAGTCTATCTCCTTAGGTCTATCAGTATTTATTTTATATATTTGGATGCCCCAGTGTTAGATGCTAATTTATTTACAATTGTTATACCCTCTTACACCATTGTTTCCTTTTTCATTATATAATGGCCTCTTTGTTCTAATTACCATTCCTTATTAAAGTCCATTTTATCTGATATAAGTGTAGCTACTCCTGTTGTTTTTAAAATTTCTATTTGCATGATAAATCTTTTTTAATCTCTTCTGTTTTAGTCTGTGCATATCCTTATAGGTGAAGTGGGTTTCTTGTTGACTGCATATAGCTAAGTCTTTTTTAATCAATTCAGCCACTCCATGTCATTAAATGAGAAAATTTAATATATTTACATTCAAGATTATTATTAATAGGTGAATGTTTACTACTGCTATTTGTTACATGTTTTTTGGTTATTTTGCAGATCCTTTCTTTCTGTCTTACTGTTTTCCTTTGTGGTTAGGTACTTTTCTCTTCTGGTATGATTTGATTTTCCACTATTTATTTTTAGCGTATCTGTTTTAGGTTTTTGCTTTGCACGTATCATGAGGTTTACATTATCATCTCATTGTTTTATCAAGTTAAACAGATAATAACTCAACTTTAATTGTAAAGAAAAAAAGTAAAAATACAAACTATATACATTGACACCATCTCCCCACTTTGACTTTTTGATGTTTTCATTTGTGTCTTTTTATTTTGCCTATCTCTTCTTATTCAATTTTTGTAATTATTTTTGTTTCAATAGTTTTGTATTTTACTCTTAATATTTAAGATGTAAGTGGTTTACTTACCCTATTTACATTATTAAAGTATTCTAAATTTGTCTATTTTCTTTCTTTTACCTGTAAATTTAATTTCTCTAGATTTTGTCCTTGTTGTTACATGTTAGCCTTCTTTTTTTGTGAGGGGGTTGAAGAATTACCTTTGGCATTTTTTATAATACAGGTTTGATGTTGATGTTGTGAAAGGAAAATATCTTGGGGCCCAAAATCACTGAGAAAAACTCAAGTTGGAAACTGCTTAAGGCAAACCTGCCTTCCATTCTATTCAAATTTATCCCTCTGCTCACTGGGATAGATGCATATCTGATTGCCTCCTTGGAAAGACTAACCGGAAACTCAAAAGAATGCAACTGTTTGTATCTCACCAATCTGTGACCTGGAAGCTCCCTCCCACTTCGAGTCTTCCTGCCTTTGATTCAAGTTGTGCTACCTTTCCAGACCCAACCAATGTACTTCTTCCATATATTGATTAATGTCGCATGTCTCCCTAAAATATACAAAACCAAGTTGTGCCCTGACCACCTTGGGCACATGTCATCAGGACTTCCTGTGGCTGTGTCACAGGCATGTCCTCAACCTTGGTAAAACAAACTTTCTAAATTAACTGAGACTTGTCTCAGATTTTCTGGGTTCACAATGTTTTCCCTCATTAAAAAAAAAAATTTGAACAAGTCTTCGTCTCTCCTGTTTGAAAGAAAACTTTGCTAGATACAGTATTTTTGGTAGACAGCTTTTTTTTTTCTTCAGCATTTTGAACATAGCATCCTAACGTGCAATGTTTCTGCTGAGAAATCTGCTGAAAGCCATCTTGAGGCTCTTTTGAATGTGTTATGTTTCTTTCTCTCTCTGCTTTAAGTATTCTTTTTTGTCTTTGATTTTTGCTAATTGAATTATGATACGCTTTAGAAAATCCCTCTTTGAGTTGAATTTGATTGGTGATCTCTGAGCTTCCTGTATCTGGATGCTGTTATCTTTCTCCAGTTTTTAGAAATTATCCAACATAATTTTTTAAAATATGCTCTCTAGGTCTTTTACTCTCTTGTCTCCTTTGGGGATCTCTATTATGCTGAGGTTAGTTTGCTTGATGGTGTTCCGTAATTCTTACAGATCTTTTTCATCCTTTTTAATTCTTTTTTCTTTTTGATCCTCTGATTGGTTAATTTCATTTGTTCTGTTTTCAAGCTGGCTATTTCTTTTCTCTGTTTGATTATGTCTTCTGTCAAAGTTTTCTAATGAGTTTTGTTCAGTTTGGTAATTGCATTGTTTATTAATGCAATTTATGTCTTTAAAAAATTCAGTTATTTATCAAATTTGTCATTTTGTTCCTGGGTTATTCTCCACATTTTTAGATTTTTATTTGTATTTTCTTGTGTTTCTCTGAATTTTTAAAAGAGAATTACTCTGAACTCTGTCAGAAATTGTATGGGTCTTCAACTCTTCTGGGCCTATTGCTGGAGTTTTATCAATTTCTATTGGTGGTGTCATATTTTCCAGAGTTTTCACAATCCTTGTGTTTTTACATTTATGCCACTACATTTGAGAAAACAGCCACATCTTTCAGGTTTTGTAGGCATTTTTTGGTCATCCTAGAACTTTATTACTTAGTGTTGCAACTTAAATGCTAGCCTGTTGTCATAGCTCATTCAGGGGGTGAAGTGGGGGACACTTAGAATGAGTTCTGGAGGTAAAACCCTGCACTAGAGCTAATTGTCTTGTCATTGTTTCCTCATCTGCCTTGCCATTGTTTCCCCATCACTTACAGTGAATTTTGGAACTTCAACACTGCTCTGGAGCTACATCACTGCCCTGCCATTTTTTTCTCCAGCATCCAAAAGACTTATAATGAACACTGGAAAATAAATGCCGTATTAAAACTAAATTACTGCCCTTCGGATTGTTTTCTGGTCTGAGGAAGACTTAAGTGGGCACTTGAACTTTATCCCAACTATTTAGTTTTCTGCAGACCAAAGGAACACTCCATACAAACCCTTGGGTTTTGTGGAAAATTTGGCCAGGGATTTGAGCTTTCCTGTGGTCTCTTCCACATGGTGTCCCTGCTGATTGAAGTGCAGAGCAGCTGCCAAGATCCACATGCCAGTCACCGTGTCCCCAATATACTTCAGGTAGTTCAGCCCTTCTATCGCTTCCAATGATTCCCATGGGATGCAACTAGTGTGGTATTCCTGTGAAAATTCTCATACTAGTAGGAAGATAAACCTCCACCTCCAATTCTCTTGTTTCACCTCAGAAACAATAGATCTAGCGAAATTCTGTTAATGGCATATGCCAACTTGAGGGAGGAAGTAACACAGCCTGAAAGTACAGTTTCTCTTAAGGGTCATTGCTTCTCTTGATTCTGAGCCCAGAAGATTTCTCCATTACTCTCCTGGGTTCATCTGAATTCAGAGTAGTATTCTTGTCGTTGAATCATTTCTAGTTGTGTTTTTGTGGGGAAAATGATGCCAGAGAATCTTCTATTCCAAAATCTTGATGATTTCATTTCAGAAATGTTTTTAATTCTTCTTTAAATGTTTGGTAGAGTTCACCAGCAAAGTCATCTGTACTTGGGCTTCTCTTCCTGGGAAGTTTTAAAGTCATTTATTTCATCTCTTCTTTTGATATAGCCTATTAAGCTACTTATTTTAACCCTTCTTTTATTATAGCCTATTCAGATTGTTTATTTCTTTCTGTGTCAGTTTATGTAGTTTGTGTCTTTCTAGTAACTTGCTCATTTCATCTATGATAATTTGTTGGCATACAGTAGTTTATATTATTTCCTTATCATGTATTGCATTTCTATAAGCTTGATCCCAATGTCCATCCCTGCCTTAAAAATTTCAATATTATTTCTTTTTTCTTGCCCAATCTAGATAAAGATTTGTTAATTATGTTGATCTTTGAAAATAACAAACTTTTGTTTTTATACTTTTTATATGCAGTTTTCTATTCTCGATTTCATTAATATCTGCTCTAATTTTTATAATTTCCTTCTACCTTATTGTTTCAGATTTAGTTTGCTCTTATTTTTTCAGTGCGTTTAATGGAAAATTTTTTGTTGTTCTTATTTAATAGAAGTGTTTCAGCTGTAATTTTCCTCTCTAAGCACTGTGTTATCCATGTTTCATAAATTTTGATGTGTTGTATAGATTTTTATTCATCTCAGTGCATTTTCTTTTTTCTTTATTTTTATTTTTTTTTTTGAGACAGAGTCTCACTCTGTCACCCAGGCTGGAGTGCAGTGGCATGATCTTGGCTCACTGCAACCTCTGCCTCCCAGGTTCAAGCGATTCTCCTGCCTCAGCCTCCTGAGTAGCTGGGATTACTGGCCTCTGCCACCATGCCCGGCTAATTTTTGTATTTTTAGTAAAGATGGGGTTTTGCCATGTTTGCCAGGCTGGTCTCAAGCTCCTGACCTCAGGTCATCTGCCCACCTCGGCCTCCCAAAGTGCTGGGATTACAGGCGTGAGCCACCATGCCCAGCCATCATCTCAGTGCTTTTTCTGAAGACCCTTTTGAATTCATCTTGGACACATTGGTTATTTTGAGTGTGTTTAATTTTGAGATATTTAAAATTTCTCAAATACTTGTCTGTTATTGATTTTTTTTTTACTTAGCCACATTGTGGTTAGACAGCATATTTTATGTGCCTTCAATTCTTTTACACTTATTGAGGCATATTTTATGGCCTAGAATATTGTCTAGCCTGGAAAATGTTCTTTTTACTTGAGAATAATATGTAGTCAGCTTTGGTTGTTATTAGATGTCTGTTAGGTCTAGTTAGCTTATAGAGTTTTTCAAATATTCTATTTTCTTCTTGACCAGATGCAGTTTTACTGTTCATTATTTAAAGTGGGGCACTGGAGTCTCCAACAGTCATTGTTGGATCATCTATATCCTCCTACATTACTGTCAGTTTTTGATTCTTGCTTCATGTATTTTGGGGCTCTGTTATTAGGTACATATATGTTTATCATTGTTATGGATTCCTGATAGATTGATACTGTTGACATTGTGAGATGTCATTTTTTTTTTATTTCTAGTGACACTTTTTGACTTAAAGTCTATTTTGTCTGATATTAGTATAGCCATTTTGGCTTTGTTGTGATTATTGTTTGCATGATACATCTTTCCCAACTTTTTACTTACAACTATTTTTAGCTTTAAATCTAAAATGTCTCTCTTGTAGACAGCATTAGTTGGAACTTTCTTTTTATAATCCAGTTTGACAATCTCTGAATTTTATTGGATTGTTTAATTCCTTCACATTTAAAGTTATTGATATTGTTGGCTTTACATCAAACATTTATTTTACTTAATGATTTCTGTATATCTTATGTCTTTTTTTGTTTCTCTGTTGTTCTTTTACTGCCTTCTTTGGCATGAATTGAATGTATTCTGGTGTAACATTTGTATTTCTTAATAATTTTTTGAAATGTTTTAAAGTTTTCTTTAGTTGTTACTGTAGAGCTTACAATATATGTATTAACTTACTAGAATCTACTAGATTTATAACTTAATTCAATTAAATACAGAATCATTATTGTCATATATACTTCTTCCTTTTATACGTTTTATGCTATTATTTTATAAATATGCTATTATTTTATAAATATTATACCCATGTATGTTAAAAATCCATAATACATTGCTATAACTATTACATTGTACCATTTTAAAAAATAGCTGAGGATAATAGGATAAAAAATATTTATTTATAGAATTTGTTAATTTACTAGTCTAATTATTCTGGGTCTCTTCATTTGTTCCTGTGCATTCAAATTATAATCTGATATCATTTCCTCACCCTGTTATAGCTTTACTTTCACCTGCCTCCTTTGTGTTATTATTGTAAAATTTATCACATTTCTATGTGTTATAGGCCCAAAAATGCTCATAATGATTTATATAATTGCACTTTAAATCAATAGAGTGAAGAAAGGAGAAGAAATATGCATTAATATCACCTATATAATTACATAATTACTTTTAGAGGTGTTCTTTGTTATTTGGTGTGTGGATTCAAATTCTGTCTGGCATCACTCACTTTGTGAAGAATTTCCTTTAATGTTTCTTGAAAAGAATGTTTTCTAGTAATAAAGTCTAAGCTTTTATTGATCTAAATGTCTTATTTTACCTCCATTTTTTGAAAAATACTTTTGCTCTATGTAAGAATTTTAGTTGACTGTTTTTCCTCTAGCATTTTCATGTCATCCTACTGCCTCTGGCTGCCATTATTTGTGATAAGAAGTCAACGGTTGATCTTATTGTGATTCTCTTGTCTGTATTGAACTGTTTTTCTCTTGCCACTTTCAAGGTTTTACTCTTTGTCTTCCAACATTTTTACTACAATGTTTCTGGATGTGGCTCTATTTGTAGTTTTGGGTGTTGATTCTACTTGGAGTTCATTGTTTTTCCTGGATATATACATTAATGATTTTCATAAAATTTAGGAAGTATTGGTCATTATGTCTTTGAATTTTTTTTCAGCTCTTTTCTGCTCACTTTTCTCTCTTTTCTCCTCTGATGCTTTCATTAGGGGTGTGTTGGCACAGTTAATGGTTTTCTACATATCTCTATGGTTCTGTTCATTTTTCTTCATTCTTTTTTTTTTTTTCCTTTTCTTAATCTCTGTCAATCTGTTCAAGTAGGCAGATAGCCAGACACGAGCAGGAGAAAAATGTCCCTGAGAAAGGAAAAGTCTGGGAAGGCTCACGCCCAAGGGACCACCCAAAATTTGCATATTACTAGCATCTCTAATGCTGGAGTGGGTGGGGACTTAGTCAAATGTGGGTAGGAAGGAGAGGAGGTACCTATGCAGAAAGAAATGACCCAAAACACCTCATTCACTCTGCAGTTAAGATGTCAGAATATTGCCAGCTACATGCTTTTGCTGATAAGAAGGACAAAAGGAACATTCCTAAGAAAAACCTGGCACCATAAGTACAGATTAAGTCAGAGATGGAAATTCTAAAGAGATCTGCAGGTGCAATAGGTATAGATTTAACCACTATACAACCTTCCTGGGGTGGCGATAATGAGCAGGGTCACCATCAGGTAGAATTCATCTTGATCACTGGCCCTTGCATGTGCATTAACCAACAGTAAAGGAGGGTCCCACAAGCCTAGGTGGGGGCAAAAGTAGGGACTTAAGACAGGAACTGGAAAAACTAGACAAAGAAATAAGGCAGAGACTTGAGATGAGTCAGGAATTTAAAGAACACGATAAAACTCCTTGTGCAGACACCCTTGGGGCAGTTTTCCTATAGGATCAGCCTGATCCTCCCTTGAGGCATACTTATTTTTATTATAGGCACTTTACACTATATTTCCTTTCAATAAAGCTATCTTTGTTCTGTCTGTTGGTTGAAATCTTTCTTCCAAGTTAAGACAGGAACTGGGACACCTGCTGTCTCTGGTAACGAATCTTTTTGCACATCGGTGATTCTTTTCTTAGAATTCAAATCTATTGTTGACCTTTCTAGTAAATTTTACTTAAATTCTTTTACTTTTCAATGGTGGAATTTTAATTTGATTCCTTTTTAAAATGTCTGTTTCGTATGTTTATTCTCTATTTAATTAGACAGTGTCATCATATCCTTTATTCTGTAAGCATGGTTTTCTTTAATTTTTTAACTTAATTTTATTAGCTGTTTTGAAATTTTGTCACCTAACTTTATCTTTCTTCCTTTCTCAGGCAGTTTGTTTTGCCTGTGTTTTTCCTGTATATGAGCCACATGCTTGTCTATGTCTTTTCTTATTTCATAACAAATTTGCTAAAACATGAACATTTTAGATAATATATTTTAGCAGCTCCAGTTACTGATTCCCCTACTTCATGGCTTTTTTTCTAGTAACTTGGCTGCAATATTCATTGAAGTATTTTTTTGTTCAGTGTGAAATTTCTGATATTACTTATCATAGAGTCCCATCCTTGAGTATGTAGCAAGTCACACTGAGATGACAGTGGTTTTAGCAGTGCTCTCTTTGTTCCTTTCTCTGATCTCTCTGTTAAGCTGTCTGCCTCAGTTGGTATTCACTGTTAGGTGAATTAATTGGTTTTGATTGATTTATCATTTTCAACAATGTCCTGGTGCATATAATTTTCTGAAGTGTGATCCAATTAAATATGGGACACTTTATTGGGGGTAGTTCTGAACACAAAATTTTGGGGTTTGTTTTGACATCGGGAGAAATCTCTGATTCTTTCTTAAAACGTAGCTGGCCTACAGTATAGCTTGTTGCTCTCACGGAGCTAGTAGCCTCTTCTTTATTGGTTACTACCACAATATTCTTTGATTTCTACAGTGCCATTAGGCTTGAATTTCCCCCACAGTTTGTTCCAAATAAAGTCAGTTCCCTTGGGGAGACATTTAAGCTCCCATTATTATGGTTAGCCTTTCTCAGACCGCAACCTTAATACCACCTTCTTTGATCCAGCTGGAGGGGGAGACCCTATCCTGTACCAACACCTATTTTGATTCTTCGGTCACCCCGAAGTCTATATCCTCATCCTACTGGGCTTCGGGATAATTTCCCACATCGTAACATACATGCCACTGCTCTGGAGCTTTGGACAGAGGCAGTGGCTCACTTCTTAAAGAGTGATTTTTAAGACATACTATAAATCAAAAGAGTGGAATATTGACATATATATATAGACAAAGATCAATGGAGCAAAATATAGAGAACAGAAATAGACTCATAACCACATGGTCAATTGAATTTTGATAAAGGTATCAAGGTAAATTAATGAGAAAAGATAGCTTTGTTCTTTTCAAAAATAATAGTGCTGAACAATGGGAGAATACTTATATGAAAATAAATAAACCTTGTCCTTTATATATAAAAATTAACTCAAAAGGTTATAATTGTAAAAATAAAATCTAAATCTATAAAACTTCTAGATATCATAAAGATTAGATGTCTGGGGACACCATAATGATTTTAAAAGTTAAATATTTTTATTGTGGGCACAACAAGCAATAGTATAAAAGAGAAAAAAACTGATAAGTTGGATATCATTACAAAACTCACTTATGAAGTGATGTCCCTGAAATAAATTTGAAATGAAAATTAGAAACAAGTTGATATTGATCATTGTATTAGTTTGTTCTCACACTGCTAATAAAGACACCTCCGTGACTGGGTAATTTATGAAGGAAATAAGTTTAATTGACTCACAGTTCTGCATGGCTGGGGAAGCCTCGGGAAACTTACAATCATGGAAGAAGGGGAAGCAAACACGTCCTTCTTCACATGGTGGCTGTAAGGAGAAGTGCTGAGCAAAGGGGAGAAAGCTTCTTATAAAACCATCAGATCTCATGAGAACAGATTCACTATCGTAAGAACAGCATGGGGGTAAACATCCCATGATTCAGTTACCTCTCACTGGGTCCCTCCCATGACACATGGGGATTATGGGAACTACAATTCCAGATGAGATTTGTGGGGACACAGCCAAACTGTATCATTCTAACCCTGGGCCCTCTCAAACCTCACGTCGTCACATTTGAAAACACAATCATGCCTTTCCAATAGTCCCTCAAAGTCTTAGCTCATTCCAGCATTAACCCAAAAGTCTTAAGTCCAAAGTCTCACCTGAGGCAAGGCAAGTCCCTTCCGTCTACGAGCCTGTAAAATCAACAGCAAGTTAGTTACTTTCTAGATACAATGGTGGTACAGACATTGGGTAAATACAGCTATTCCAAATGGGAGAAATTGGCCAAAACAAAGGGGTTACAGGCCCCATGCTAGTCTGAAATCCAGTAGGGCAGTCATTAAAACTTAAAGTTCTAAAATGATCTCCTTTGACTCCATGTCTCACATCCAAGTAATGCTGATACAAGAGGTAGGCTCCCATGGCCTTGGGTAGCTCCAGTCCTGTGGCTCTGCAGGGTACAGCAGAACCTCTACAGAGGTACAGCTCCCCTCCCACTGCTTTCATTGGCTCACGTTGAGTGTCTGCAACTTTTCAAGGCTCGTGCTGCAAGCTGTTGGTGGATCTACCATTCTGGGGTCTGGAGGATGGTGGCCCTCTTCTCACAGCTACACTAGTAGTGCCCTAGTGGGGAGTCTGTGTGGGGGTTCCAACCCCACATTTCCCTTCTGCACTCCTCTAGCAGCAGCTCTCCATGAGGGCTCAACCCCATAGCAAACTTCTGCCTGGACAGTCAGGCATTTCCATACTCCTCTGAAATGTAGGTGGAGTTTTTCCAACCTCAATTATTGACTTCTGTGTATTCACAGGCTCAACACCACATGGAAGATGCCAAGGCTTGGGGCTTGCACCTTCTGAGGCAATGGCCTGAGCTGTACCTTGGCCCCTTTTAGCTATGGCTAGAGCTAAAACAATTGGGACTCAGGTCACTAGGTCTCAAGGTTGTACAGAACAGGAGGGCCTGGGGCATGGTCCGAGAAACCATTTTTCCTGGCCTGTGATAGGAAGGGCTGCCATGAAGTTCTCTGACATGTCCTAGAGACATTTTCCCCATTGTCTTGGTGATTAACATTTGGCTCCTCATTACTTATGCAAATTTCTACAGCCAGAAAATGTGTTTTTCTTTTCTACTGCATTGTCACGCTGCAAATTTGCCAAACTTTTTATGCTCTGTCACCTCTTGAATGATTTATTACTTAGAAATTTCTTCCATCTGATACTCTAAATTATCCCTCTTGAGGTCAAAGTTCCACAGATCTCTAAGGCAGGGGCAAAATGCCAGTCTCTTTGCTAAAGCATAGCAAGAGTCACCTTTGCTCCAGTTCCCAAGAAGTTCCTCTTCTCCATCTGAGACCACCTCAGCCTGGACTTTATTGTCCAGGTCACTATCAGCATTTTGGTCAAAGCCATTCAACAAGTCTCTAGGAAGTTCCAAACTTTCCCACATTTTCCTGTCTTTCGAACCCTGCAAACTGTTCCAACCTCTGCCTGTTACTCAGTTCCAAAGTCACTTTCACATTTTCAGGTATCCTTATAGTAGTTCCTCTTTCCCTTGGTACCAATTTACTGTATCAGTCCATTCTCATGCTGCTAATAAAGACGTTTCTGAGACTGGGTAATTTTTAAAGGAGAGAGGTTTAGTCGACTCACAGTTTAGCATGTCTGGGGAGGCCTCAGTAAACTTACAATCATGGTGGGAGGGGAAGAAAACACATCCTTCTTCACATGGCATCAAGAAAGAGAAGTGCTGAGAAAAGGGGGAAAAGCCCTTTATGAAACCATCAGATCTCATGAGAACTCACTCACTATCACGAGACCAGCCTAGAGGTATCTGCCTACATGATTCAATTACCTCCCAAAGGATCCTCTCCCATGACACATGGAAATTATGGGAACTACAATTCAAGATGAGATTTGGGTTGGGATACAGTCAAACCATATCAATCATAAATTGTATCTTCCCAGGGGAAAAGTTCCCTCAATGAAAAAAATCAAATGAAAGGGAGAGTAAGAGAATAAAGAAAAGGAAGAAGAAAACAATATAAATAAAGGAAGCCTAATGGTAAAAAAAAAAAAAAAAAAGGCTTCAAAGAACCCACTGTTCTTTGAAATCCATCCTCAAGAAATGTCAAGGCAAATCAAAAAGTGAGATAAAATATTTGCAATCATATTTGAAATCATGTATATGTCAAAGGAACTGCATTCATAATATATGAAGAACTCAGTAATAAGAAGACAATACAATAATAAAATGTGAAAAAACATTTGAACAAATGTTTCTAAGAAGATATATGTGTGAATGATAAGCTCCGAATGATATTCAAAATCTTTGAAGTTTATCTAATGTTCTTTTTTTCCCCTAGCTTGGGCTGAGGTTAGAGAGAGATAGTTTTTACTTATTCAGTTTCTATAGTCCCTAGCCATTACCAGCAAATATAAGTAAGGGCTTTTAACACATGCAGTTTGGGGAATAAAAGGAGAAAATAGTAAGGGTTTTCATTATTGCATTCTGTTGAATGTATACTTTCTCTCTCTTTCAAGCAAATTAGAATTGGCTTCAAAAATGGGGAAATTTGATGATCTTGTTGGAAACAATACCCTTGTGTCTTTAGGCTGGGAGGTTTACTGAAGCATCCAGAGTCATTACAATCCAGGCTGAGATTGAAAAATTTCTGTACTCTTAGTGGCTAACTATGAGTATTTTCCATAGATCAAATATGGGCTAAGGAGACAAAAACAACCAGATTTTGTCTTAGATTTTATTTAAAATGACCACCTGGATGGTCTGAGAAATGACTGCTGAAACAAGTTGGAGTTATCAGCTCAAAGTCCAAAGGGATTGTTTGCAAACAGCCAGCGAAGATGTATACCAGATCAAGCACACTTCATATGTAGTAGTCGTATAAATAAAAGGAAAATGGTCAGCTTTAAACATCTGCCACATCCAGGGACAATGTACCCCAGACCTATTCCCATAGACTGAGAATGTTTCTGTGAGCGGCAGCTAACTCCAGATCTTATTTGTGATGTAAACCAAAAAGTGTCTGAGACAAGTCTCAATCAGTTTAGAATTGTGTTTTGCCAGGGTTATGAATCATAACCTGTGGCACAGCCTCAGGAGGTTCTGAGAACATGTGCCCAACGTGGTTGGATTATAGCTTGCTTTTATATGTTTTAGCGAGACATAAAACATCAATCAGTACATGTGAAGTATACATTGGTTTGGTCCAGAAAGGCAGGACAACTCCAAATAGAGGCTTAGAGGTCTTAAGTGGATTCAAAGCTTTTGTGGTTGGCAATTGGATGAAAAAGTTAAGTTATTACCTAAAGACCTGGAATCAATAGAAAGGAGTGTCTAGGTTAAGATAAGGGGTTGTGGAGACCAAAGTTCTTATTATTTTGATGAAGTCTCATAGATGGTCACCCCCAGGGGCAATAGATAGCAAATGTTTCCTATTAAGACTTTAAAATGTGCTAGACTCTCAGCCAATCTTTTCAGGATCAGAAAGAGACCTGGAAAGGAAAGGGATTCTGTAGAATGTAAATTTCCCCCACAAGAGTCAACTTTGCAGAATCATTTTAAAATATGTCAAAGAAACATATTTTGTGGTAAAATATTTTGAATTCCTTAAGGGCCCTGCTGTCTGTCATTTGATGCTATTCTATAGCCAGGTTGGAATTTAGTATCTTATTGCTACAAAGAGTCTGTTCTACCAGTCGTAGGATCTCTGTTTTAAAGTTAATGCTGGTTAGTTATGCGCCCAAACTCCCAAAGGGAGGAGAGTTTATGAGCATGTCTGATACCTCCTTCACCTCATGGTCAGAAGTGCTTTCTCAGGTTTAGTTGGGCTCCCTTGGCTGATAAGAGGGTCCATTTAGTGAATTGAGGGTTTAGAATTTTATTTTTGCTTTACAGAGATTTTACTTCCCAGCACAGAGAAAGATCTGGCATCACAAGGATAGTTTTAAAATAAGTGATACTATGAAAATGTTAAAAATAAGCAATACTATGAATATATTATTTTTTCATTGCTTCAAGGACTGTCAGTTTTGGGGCACATTGTTAATGAGCAAATGTTAAATCTACCCTTTTTTTTTTTTTTTTTTGAGACAGAGTCTCGCTCTGTCGCCCAGGCTGGAGTGCAGTGGCGCGATCTTGGCTCACTGCAAGCTCCGCCTCCCAGGTTCACACCATTCTCCTGCCTCAGCCTCCGGAGTAGCTGGGACTACAGGCGCCTGCCACCATGCCCGGCTAATTTTTTTGTATTTTTAGTACAGACGGGGTTTCACCACGTTAGCCAGGATAAATCTACTTTTAAAAGGACATGATACTAAAATATTACTCAGACCTAGTAATGTGAATAATAAATAATAATTCAGAGGTTACACCTTAAATAAAATATAAAGCAGAATTGTAAACAATTTGATATTTTGTACTTCGTTTTAGGAAAATTGGGGGAAAATTTTCAAAATTGGTATTTCACATCTCCCATGCAACGATACTTCTTTTTGTTGGCTTCTTAAACTAAAAATCAAGATTGTGATAAGAAATGTCCTATTAAACAAATTTTGTATATTGTATTTGCATCTGGACATGGAGTGATATTGCTTACCATGAGGTATCACTTATATCATTTCAACTGAAATCAGAGTGTGAATAATATAAGTACAGTAAACTAGCTGATCAAATTCAAAATTTCATTTAAAATGAAACAAAATACTTATCCATTTACCTTTCAGTAAGATATAGTTTGGTTAAGAAGAAAAATGTGTGAGAGAGTGAGAGAGAGCTAATTTAGGTACATCAAAATTCCTGAGATTTAAAAACCTCTTTTTGAACGATTCACCTTCTTACAGCTTAGTATTGCCCTTCTACTTGTCAGTTTAGAATTAGCTGTCAAATTTTTCTGGTTATATGCCAGTCTTTCTTTTCATTTTTAAACAGTTATATTTTAAGTGAAATGTGGAGTAAAAAATGGCTTAGACAAATCTGCACATGAGCTCTTTGCTCTGTCACTAATTAGACAGATGACTTATAGAGTTTTATTGTTTTCTGAGTTTTATTTTCTTTAAAGTGGAAGTGACAAAATCTGCTCTATAACCTGGTTGTTGATCAAATTTAATGAGTTAATAGATATAGCACATAGCACAGACTAGGTGCTCAATAAGTACATTTCCCTCTATCGAACTATCCCTTTTAAGTAAGAAAATGCAATATTCTTATTTATCAATTTTAAAATTAATTTAAGACAATAAATATATGTTACATATCATAGTGAATAAATATTACAACAAATTAATGACTGATGGTACTATCATTTCTAAATTTAATAAATTTGTAACTGTCTTAACATGTTTTCTAAGCACTAAAAAAAAAACACTTTTTATATGTATTACAATGTTCATATCAGATGCCACTAGAGGGACTTGTATTATCAAAAGTGTCTTTCAGAAGCATCAATTGAAAATGTAGAGGAAAATTTAGTAAAGTGGAAATGCCAGATAGTGATTTCTATATTTAAGATTTCAACATGTTATGAAAAATGAAACTATTTTCTGCATTAATTCATTTCACTTTTAAATACTTTATTTCAGAATAAATAATATTTTCTGTATTATTGAGTAAAATATTTTTCACTTAATTTAAGCCATTTAAAATAATGATTTTTTGGACATGACACCAAAAGCACAAGCAACAAAACTAAAACCAATGAAACTATATCAAACTAAAAATTTTCTGCCCAATAAAAGAAACAACTTAAGAAAATGAAAAGGCAGTCTATGGAATGGGATGAAATATTTTCAAATAATTTATCTCATAAAGGTTCATCAAAATATGTAGGAAACTCATACAACTCAACAGCAAATACCTAAAAAACCCAATTAAATAATGTGCAAATGACTCCAAAAGAAATTTTTCTAATGAAAACATACAGAGGACCAGTAGGCATATGAAAAGCTACTCAACATCACTAATTATCATTGAAGTACAAATTAAAATCACAATGAGATATCAGCTGACATATGTAAGGATGGCTATTATCAGTGCAATGAAAAATAAGTGTTGGTGAGGATGAGGAGAAAAGGGAACGCTTATACATGTTGGTGGGAATGTAAATTAATACAGCCATTATGGAAAGTATCATGGAGGTCCTTCAAAAAACTAAAAATAGAAACACCATATATATGATCTAAGCAATCCCACTATGGGGTACATATCAAAAGGATATGAAATCAGTATGTTAAGAGATGATTTCACTCCCATGTTCATTGCAGCATTATTCACAGTGGCCAAGGTGTGGAATCAATCTAAGTGTTCATCAGTGGATAAGTGGATAAAGAAAAAATGGTATATACACACAATGGAATATTCTGCAGCCTTCAAAAAGAAGAAAATCCTACCACTTGGGATTATATGAATGAAGCTGGAAGATGTTATGCTAAGTGAAAAAAGCCAGACACAGAAAGACAAATACCACCTGAAATCACTTATATGTGGAGTCTAAAAAAGTCATCTTAATAGAAACAGAGAGTAGAAGGGTGAATATAAGGGGCTGGGGGTTTTGGGTTGGAGGTGGGGGTGGTAGAATGGGAAGATGTTATTCAAAGGGAACAAACTTTTGGTCATAAAATAAGTTCTGGAGACCTAATATATAGCATGGTGCCTTTAGTTAATAATGTGTACTTGGAATTTACAAAGATAATAGATGTCAAGTATTCTCATCATACACACATGGAGTTAACAATGTGAGGTGAAGGATGTGTTAATTGGCTTTCTGGTGGTAATCATTTCATAATGTATATACATTTCAAAACATCACATTTTACACCTTAAATTTATATAATTATTTGTTAATTATACCTCTAAAAAGCTGGAAAAGATAATGTATTAAGAAACAATATTTCAATAGTTTGTGTTTGTATTGTTACGAAAGGAACTCTTTAAAGTGTCAGGTAGCTTTGCCTTATTTTGTCAGTTTTGTGGCATTGCATTGTCAAAATAAACTCTTCACATGTTTGCACAGTTGCTTAAATGAAGACTAAATCAGTAGCTCTCTTAAAATTACATTTAATGCATGGCATTCCCAGTAATACTTTGATCTCAAGTTGTTATCCAATGCAATTGTTTACATATTGATTAAGCATCTACTACATTGAAGGGACTCCGCTCTAGATACAAAGATGAGGAGAGGCACAAGATATGGTCTGTGTTATTATAAAAATGACAATTTCCTACATAAGCATATCACTTGGGATACAAGAAGGAGATGGCACACTCAAATTAGGATAAACTAATGTTTAATTCACAAAGCTGCTTATTAGAAAGTAGTGGGCTAATATAGGGGAATCTCAGAGTGAGTAGCTCAAGATTACAATGAGGAATAAAGGAAGCAACTACAGTAAGTTTTGGTAGAGGCTTATGGAGGGGCCTGTCTGGACAGCAGCAGTGACCTCAGGTCAGAGAAGACAGCCAGCCTGAGATGACCTCACAGGGCAGAAACTAGGAGGATAAATACCTTACTTTGCTTTCTTTTCTTTCCTTATCTGCCAGCACTCCCCATGAGGGAGATCGCTGATGGAAAGTTTCAGTCCAGAGATCAATGAAACCACAGGGACAAAGAGAAAGTGTTAGGCAAGGAAATAAAGACCAAACTGTTGTACAAAACAATATTTTGAATTCTAAGCATAGGTGTAAGTAACTTTATATGAGAGTTTAGATTTTTAAGAAAATCAATTTATTATGTATTTGGAAGAGCTAAGAAAACTTGAAGGAGGAAATGGCATGGCATGTGAGACAGCTGAGTGGTAAGGTATAAATTGTTCAGAATAAACAGAAGTGATGTAAAAAGTGTAGTTTTGTTTGTTGTTGGGAAAATATTTTGGAGTGAGAAAAGAGCTGGGCTTATTACATGTTTTCTACGAAAATATGTGTGTAAGTATTTTACTTTTCAATGTAATTAAAAAGGGAAAAACAAATAATCTTACTCTCATGAACTTAATTTTTTTGTTAATTTCTTTTTCAGTTTGTGTTTTTGTGTAGTCACAGACACACAAAAAGAGAAAGGACGTTAAAATACGACATAGGGCCCACATGAAGAGTATTTGATTTTCCTTTTAAACTATTTTTGTTTTTTTAAACAATGTTTATTCAAAAGTTTACTCCAAGAAAAAAAAAATATATATGAAAATTACAGCATTAAACCTGGCACCTTAGACCAAATCACAACCCTGTCTTCAATTCCCCTTCACTCTAAGCCTCTTTCAAATTCTCTTTCCTGACTAGAAGATCAGTCAAATGCTCGTGGGGTCAGCACCATGCCATATTCCCAGCAGAGCCACTGTATACCTTTCTTTAAGAGTGCATGCCACCCCTCCCCCTACCCCAACTCCTTGTTCTAAAGGATTTAACACATCAGGAAGTTGTTTTGAAATATCAGCCAAAAGGAATGGGGCAGGGGCGAGCCAGTCTTCACTTGAAAGATCCTTTTCCTGCTCCAGTCCTTGGCAAGGGTTATAGAAAAGGCTAGCTGCCAGCTTTCCATGAGTCCACTGGAAGCTCTAAGCCCAGCCCCGCCCAGGGCATCTCCTGCAAAGGCAGGGTGCTTGGTGCTGCCTTCTCAACCTTCTTGGTGACTACACAACAAAGGAGACCTCCAGGGTACAAGAAACACAGATCCCTGAGCCACGTTCCAGGAAAGAGATATGTTCGGGGAAGCCAATTAGGCCTTCACATGGAAGCTTGAGTCGGAGATGGTGCTTTTGTGGTGATTTGGACAAATTAGGTTAGTTTAGCAAAGCTCTGAAGTTGCAGAAGCTTCTCCCATGACTCCTGATTGAACATAGGACAGTAGAGATGAGTACATAGTCAGATTAAGTCTTAGAGAGATGCAGGCTGGTTTCCTGCCACAAGGCCTTGGGACTGGCCCAGACAGATACTGCTAAGTCCCCTGCAAGGGAAGAAGTCACCATAAGGAGGGACTGGGTGGAAAATAGAGAAAAAAGCAACAGCCAAGTCATTTTTGGTATTTTAACATGAAGACAATGACAAGTGGTAACAAAAAAGCAATAAATAACTTGAAAAGACCAATATTTAACTTGCCCATCCACCCAAGTCTCACACTTAAGTTCTATTCTCATCTCCCCCAAAAGCACCACTGAATTAATTACCTTAAAGCAACCAAAGCAACCCAAATTCTCTGGAAACAAGGACCCTCCAGCCAGAGGTGTTTCCTCTCTTGAGCTCAAGTGAGTGGAGGGTTCCGGGAAGGGCACCTTGTAACTAATGCTGCACAGCATGCACTGTGCCAAGCTCCAGCACAGGGCACTTGACTGGGATACAGGTAGTGGTCACAGCATCAGTGCTGACAAGTGAGGAAAGGGACTCTTCAGTAATCCCAACTATTTGGTACCAGAGCCAAGCAAAGGAGACCAAAGAGAGCTGAGTGAAGAGCACTACTCCCAGTTTCAGAAACAGGACGGCCAGTACTAGTCAGTGTCTGGGTTGCGGGAAAGAGAGACTGAAGCCTAAAGGCAATAAAGACTGATGCATAAAGTGCTGATCCTTCTTGTAAGGACCAGAGAATGCACTTGACAGCTGGCAAATCTCTAACTGGCAACTGCTGTGACAAGGCTCTGGCTGGACAGGGAACTATAAAGAGTTTGGTTTCTGGTCCCTGCAGGCCAGTTGCCTGAATGTTGGCAACGGGGCCCCAGCTGGTGATGCTCTTATGCAATGATGTTGCTCTTCTCACAAGCCAGGCTCCAGATTCTCCAGCCACAGAGGTTCTGCCCTGCTTTGGGGTACATGGTAGACTCACAGGAGGTGTTGGTGGCCCCTCAGATAAACAGACCACCCACTTCACTGCCAGCAAAGAGCACGTGTAACCATCATAACCAGCATAGATCTGGGGGCACCCCACGCCCAGGGAAGTCAAACAGCTTCACCTGGCGAGGGGGAACAGTCTCAACTTTCTGCTCCACGTGGCCCAGCCAGCCATAGCCAATGAAGCCCTGAGAAGACTTGCTTCTGGGAGTCCAAAACCAGCGTGTAGTTAGTGCCACAGGCTGTGTCTCATTCAACCATTTGGTACAGGCAGAATCTGTCCATCTTTTGTTTTCTGGATGAAGACAGCCAATCGCAGGGGCACCAGTTTTCAGTAATATTCTAATGGCTGCATCGGGGTGATGAACTTCCCATCCAATTGTTTCCCAGCTGACCATATTCAGGGCACCCAAAGGAAAAGAGGTTTCCTTTGCAGTCCATTATCACACTGAATTCAACTCCACAGGTCATTTTGGTAATGGGCTGGCCTTTATACCTTGTCTGTGCCAAGCTGTGGACAGCATCTGTCTGGTTACCACGACCCAGCTATGCCATCTTGTTCTCCCCAAATGTGAACAAGGAGCTGGTTTCTGTCAAGGTCAGTGTGTGGTTCTGCCCACATGCTGCCGGCAGGATCACTTCATGGCTAAGACCTTTGATGAGTCTGGGAGCTTCCTCTCTCTTGGTGTTGTCATGTCCCAGATGCCCCTTCTCTTGTCCACAGCAGCTCCACAGCTTCCCTTCTATGGTGATGAGGAGGCTGTGAGCAGCACACTAACCAGAAACCACTGCCCACACCTGGGCACTACCAGGTACCCACATATCTGAGGCCCCTCACAAATTCTGACTGAGATTGCCGTAAGCAGCTTTTGCTGTTTAGGCACTTCCTTTCAACCAGTCAAGTCCCAGTTGACTGCCCTTCAAATCAAAAGTTGCCCATTGTACTTCGACCCTTCAAGTTTGATGTGTTCCTTGGTGTACTTAGGCTGAGTGATGACCACAGCCACGCTGCCCGCCCTTGCCTGCTGCTGCATGCCTGATCCCGTCTCCACTGGGGGCCCAGTGGAGCTCCAGACCGTCCTCAAGGTCGTTGCTGCTGTCCTTGCCGCTGCTGCTGTTGCAGTGCTTCCGCCGCGTGTGCCTCTTGCTGGAAGTGCCTGCTTCATTTCCTGGGCCCAGCAAGGCAGAGCCGTTGCCCTAGGGAGGCTTCTGACAGACGGCAGCCCCCGCCTTCTTCCTGGATATGGTCATGGCTGGAGGGAGAAATCTAAACTATTTTGTATTAATTTTCTCAAAAGAATACATGTAATTTAAAATGTCAAATAACACTAAAGGCTGACAATGAAAATAAGAGTAAAAACAAACAGCAATGATCTGATCATGCTCTATCATGTTCCATCCCAAAAGCACATAGTCATCACTTAGGAAACTTCTCACAATATTTACCTACATATACTTATGCTATGAAGAAACTATATCTTTTATGTTCAATGCTTGCAAATTACATGAAGGGAATTATATACATGCTGCTTTATGTTTTGATGTCATCTTTCTTTTATTTTTGTATTTTCTGTATCTCTATTTCTTTTTTCCCCTTAAATTTTTTTTTACCACCCCTAACATCTTCCACCTACTCCAATAAAAACCCCTGTCCTTCCCTCCTTAACTTCTCCCCATCCCATGACCAAGCTCTAATCCATGCTAAAGAACGAAGGTTTGTTCCTTCCTTTTCTTCTTTTGAGTTATGTAACTCTCTACATGTTTGTATGTGTTTATATGGTATATATATATGTGGAATGTTTTGGTCGTGTTTTGATTTTTTTAAAACATGAAGATAATATTTCACACTTTAACCTGTATCTTTCTATTTTCACTCAATAACACCTGATGGAATTACTTTAAATCATTTGGAATAATCATTCTTTTAAATGGCTTAATAATGTTGCATTTTTGAGATAAGTCGTTGTTTATTTAACCATTCTCTTATTGAAGGACATTCACTTTGCAATTTTTGTCAGTATGAAAATTTCTACTCTCTATGTCTTTACATATATATCCAGATGTACTGCTGGTTTTATAGCTAAATAGTGGTTTACATTTATATAATATATATAGAGTTTGAACAAGATTGTCATTAACCTTTTGGTGAAAAAGTCTACTGCTATCTTGTTTAGGTGTTTACTACACATATTTTCAGCATAATCAACTGTCATTTTGGCATTGTCAATGTAATCATATGTGTTTTCTCTTAATTTGTTGATGAAATAAATCTATTGATAAATTGCCCACCATTTAAAGATATTTGAATTACTATTTTAAACAGCTCATCTCAGTCACAATTCTTCCTTGCAAATAGCAGATCCACTTCTGAAAAGTTTAAGCAGAAAGAAAATAAATTTATTGTAGTGTATTAGCAATTCAGTAAGTCTCCAGTAGAGTTCAGAGCCTTTCAGATTGAAAAATGCACAAATTTCATCAACATTCTGCTTGCAGGTGTGGGTCCAATTAAGCTGGGCACAGATATGGAAGAAAATAAACAATATTCTGATGATGCTGAACAAAGGGACTTTCTTTCAGGAGTTTAGCTACTTTAGATTTTATAACTTGAAGTCTCTTTCTCCTTCTCCCACAACAAAGTGAAATTTGTATGCTTACGCCTTCTCTTATGAATCAAAGATTCCTATAGGTGGAAGCCAGGGAGGCTGGTAGGTAAGCTCTGCTTTCTAAATGGAGATTTGAGCTATTGACTGTGCGAAGTTACCAGGATAGAAGACAAGTGTGCCAAAGGTGTTGGCTGCTACTGCTATGACAATTGTCTGTGAGAGTTTTAGAATGATATTATTTTCATAAATTACTATATTCAGTTTACTGATATTTTACTTGATATTTTTTGACTAACAGATGAGATTAGTAGTTTTATTTTTATACCATTATAATCTAGTTTTGGAATTGGAGTCATACTAGTTTGGAATTAAAGTAATATGGGCTTGTTAAAGTGAAAGTATTGTTCTCATGCATGTAATCCCAGCACTTTGGGAGGCTGAGGTGGGCGGATCAACTGAGCTCAGGAGTTTGAGACCAGCCTGGCCAACATAGTGAAACCCCGTCTCTACTAAAAATACAAAAATTAGCTGGGCATGGTGGTGGGCACCTGTAATCTCAGCTATTTGGGAAGCTGAGGCAGGAGAATCACTTGAACCTAGGACGCAGAGGTTGCAGTGAGCCGAGATTCTGCCATTGCACTCCAGCCTCCTGGATGACAGAGTGAGACTCTGTCTTTAAAAAAAAAAAAAAAAAGTGATATTATCACGGAATCTTTGGGTGTCACTTTTCTGGCCACAAACCTCTGTGGCCAGTGGCACCTCTGCCCAAGTTCTTGTCCTGCATCCAGGAAGAATGAGGTATGCAGACAAGTGGAGGGTGAGCAAAATGAAGAGGAGATTTATTGAGTGTTAGGAGTGCTAGGAGGAGACCCACTGTAGTTAGCTCTTCTCTGTAGGTAGGTCATCCTGACGTCTGCAGCTTTCAGCAGAGAGGAGGCCTGGAGAGGGTGGCTCCTCTCTGTAGGCAGGTTGTCCAGATGTTTGCAGCTCTCAGCAGAGAGGAAGCCCTGGAGAGGGTGGCTCCTCTCTGCTGCTGATCATTCCAATGTCTTCCCAGCTTCTAGCAGAGAGGAGGCCCTGGAGTGGGTTGCTCTTCTCTGTAGCTGGTAGTCCTGACATCTCTGCAGGTCTCTGAAGCTCTCAGCAGGGAGGGTAGCTCCTCTCTGCAGCTGGTCCTCCTGTCATCTGCTGAGCTCTGGCTGAGCCTGGGGCCTTTATGGGCCTCAGATGGGAGGAAGTGCATGTCAATTGGTCCATGGGAGGCAATGGGCTGGTGGCAAACGCACCACAAGATCCCACTCTGGTTGTGGGACTGGCAGTCTGCCCCCAGCCTTCAGGCCCTCCTTGGCCTGAAAGTGGGGCCTCACCAGGGACCCTCCCCCTTCTGCCCAGGAATCTGCTTCCTGCTGCCTTTATGGTGCCAAGGTTCACCAGACTTTGCTCCCAGATTAGAGTATGCCCTTGAGCAAGCACTTCTCAGCCTGCAAAGGCAGAGTGAGGGAGGCAGTCCTGGCTCCTGTCTGCTCTGTGGAGCAGGAGGCTCAAGTCTGCAGCCATGGTTTGGGCAGCTGCAGCTGGGCCAATGAGGGCAGGGTTCTGCCTGCTCTTGGTCCCCCAGTAGCACAGGGAGGTTTGAATCTGCAGCCACAACTTGGGTGGCTGTAGCCCTGCCCAGAGGGATGGGGGTCCTGCCTGCTCTGTGGAGTGCGAGGCCTGGGTATGTAGCCAGGGTTTGGGTCTGCAGCAGCACCCATCACCTGGGGAGCTGCTTCCACCTCAGATTGGAAGAGGTGGGGCTTCTGCTTGTCCCCAGCTCCCACTGGTTCCATGGAGCGTGCAGCCCTGGCCTCCCTGCTGCAGCTGCTGTGATGGCAGTGGCAGGCCATCTGGAGCCATCACTGCCATCAGTATTTAAAATAACATAGAGATATTTGTTTTAGAAGTTTAGAGAGATATCAACAATTCAAACTTTCTTTTTCAAAAAGAAGTTTGAATTTCTGTCTGTGTGTGTTTTGTACTTGAATCTTCTTAAGAATTACTGTTAAATTTTTGTTCAAGTGTCTCTATCTTTTCAACAGTTTTATTTTATTGCCATTATATTTGGAATGATCCTAATGAATTTTTTTTCTCCTCTGGATGCTGGACCTTCTTGAGTGTGATGCTGTTTCACAGTAATTTCTGATTTTATTTTTCTATCAAACTTTAGGCTAAAATTTTCAGTGTACTATCTTAATTAAGGGAATAATTTAGGCAGTTTTGAGTACTTCCTCTATTCTTTCAGCCATTAGAGACTTTTTTTGTTATATACCCTCATATTTTATTAGAAAGTTCCATATAAAATGATTTTTAACAGATTTGTGGTTTTCTATTGATGCACATGTTTGCAAAAATGTTTTCATAGTGAATTTTTATGCCCCTCACTTAAATTTAAGCCCTCTTTCTGATATCTGCTCTGCAGAACAAATTCAATGAAAGGGCATATTCTTGACTGGCCTTTAAAAAAATTAAATGTTTTCATTCCTCAGTTTTCACCACTAAGAACTGCAACAGATTCAATAGGATGTTATTATATGTTTAGTCATATTAAGATTCGAATACGAGTACCAGTGCATTGTAAGAAGATGTTGTATCTATACTTATGGATAATTTAGAAATAAATTCTATTTATTTCTTTGCCAGAGACAGCAAAAGTTACAAGAAAAAATTATTTGCATGCACAATAGCTGAGCTAACTTGCATTTAATAGTAAGAAGATCAATTAATTCTCAGTGACACAAGTGTTTGTGTGAAGAATGCTCTAGTACAAAACAAATTTGAGATTTAATAGGTTTGATCTTCAAAGACAAGATCAATATAGATCCGAGTCCACCAGTCCTCCTAAGAATACTAATGTATGTCTACTACTATAAACTTTAATATTCCAAAGGAAAGACTAATTTAAGGAATAAATTTAAAAAAACAAAACTACTGGAAAATCAGTCAAAAATATTAAATATGAACTGTTACAGCCAAAAGGAACCTGAAGAGAAAAGACAACGAAATGTAGTGAAGGCATCCTGGATGGGATCCTGGGATAGAAAAAAGACAATAGGTAAAAACTAAGAATACCTGAATAATGCATAGACTTTAATAATAATGTAACAATATTGGTTTCTTAATTTTAATAAATGTACTACACTAATATAAGTTGTTTATAATAGGGAAAGCTGTTACAATTTTTTTTTAAATCCAAAACTGTTCTAAAATTTGAAAATATGAAAAACGAATTGACCAGCTTTGAAACTTCAATAATACAACTTTTTCCTCCAATATTTACTGTGATATTAAGTTAAAAACTTTTGGAAATTGGGTTTAGTCTTTTAGGATTTAGAGTTCTACAAGATAAGTTACAATTTCATTGTATTGAATTGTCCAGAATCTGAGAAAATTAGTAGAGTATCATTTTACCATTGCCTTACTAGAAGAAAGTCAATACCAGTGATTAAAATTATGCTGACATTATAGTTTTGGAAGACATTCTTATGAGAGGACTAACATAACAGATTTATGGAAATATACTTGAATTTAAAGAGATTCCCTTAGAAAATAAATTCAAATATATGAATCCCTCTTTAATACTTGAACTGTTAACAAGCTAAGTGTAAATGAATTTTCTGTATATACTCTCCTGTCTTACAGAGTTCATTATAAAATTTTACTCTAGGGAAATTAAAAATTGTTCACTTAAAAGGCTGAATTAGGATAATAAAGCAAAATAAACATTTCACTATAAATTTTTAGAGGAGTTATAATTCATCAATGAATGCTGAGTTCCTGATACTATTTCTATGTTTGATAGAGCATCTCTAAGATTCACAAGAAACATAACAGTGTATTAAACAAAGTACAACTCTATCCATCAAACATCTAGCTATGGGTTTAAAATATGCTTATCCATTGTTTTCATTGGTTATGTTTTTCGCTCCATTACACTGGCTAATGAGATTTCAAATATCTAATACCTTAGAAAATGTACAGCTAAATCCATTTTAGACATTAAATATGGAAATAGATAGATAAATAATAAATTTCTGTCATATAGAAAGTGTTTACTTGGTGTTAGACATCATGCTAAGTGCCTTATATGCAAGACGTATTTAATCCTTAAAACTCCTGTGAAACAGTGACTATTATTAACCCTCTTTTAGAGGTAAAGGAAGTTGCAGTTTTGGGGATCACAGTAATCAGGAATCATTGATTCACAGTAGGAATCTGTGAGGGGTCCCTAAGGCAAGACAGTATAGAGTCACTTCTCAGATCATAAGGATGTTTATAAGAATTACAGTTACATGTGCATTTACCTCGGGGGCAGACTTTTGACAAATACATTTCAGTGTATGCATTCTGTCATTGACAGAGATGTGTGGCTACATCATTGTTCATTCATCTTATTGTGCATTATACCTGTAGAATAAGATATATAAGTACATAATGTACTGAATTATAAATGAACAAATAGTGTGCTTTATATTATATAAACATTATTATCTATTAAACAGCAGTATTTTATGTACAGATGATTTGATGGAAACTTATTTTGGCTTTCTTGACACAATACTGATATCATCAGTTGAAAAGCAAAAGTATCAGTTAATCAGGTTATCTCAACCTGCAATCTAACAGTAAATTTTACCAAGATTTTCTTTCTTTTCCTCCTCTTCTTCCTCCTCTTTTGCCCTTCCCCTTTCCCTTTGTGTTTTAGTCTTCTTGGGCCGCTATAGCAAAATGCTGTAGACTGGGTGGCTAAAATAACAAATATTTATTTCTCACAGTTCTAGATGTCAGGAATCCTAAGATCAAGACATTGGCAGATGGCAGAGTCAGTGTCTGCCGGAGTCTCTTACCTGGCTTGTAGATGGCTGCCTTATCTCTGTGTCCTCATATGGCATAGAGGGAGAGAGAGCACTGGTTTCTTCCTCTTCTCATAACAACACTAGTCTTATCATGGAGGCTCCACCCTCATAACTTCATCTAGGGCTAATTACCCACCCAGAGGCCCCACCTCCAAATACAATCACATTAGAGATTAGGGCTTCAACACACAAATTTTGGGTAACACAAACATTGAGTCCATAGCACTCCTCTTTCCTCTTCCTTATTCTTCCTCTTCTTCTCTCAGATCGGTTTTGTTGTTTGGTCCTTATATTCTATAGATGGAGTCTCAGCATGTATCTAACTCCAAATGTAATACTCAGTAGTAAGGCATTATGTAATTAATTGTTTAAATTTATTTCTAAAATTTTTCAAAGTATACTGTATTATAAAAAGTAATATGCTTATTTAGGCTTTAGCATATACATTTATTTCTAATAAAGAATCTCTTTAATGATGTCTCAGGACATACTGACTATACTAAACAATGTAGCCAATAAAATAACACAAAGGTAAAACCAATTCAAATATTTGGACATTTCTGACTATACCAATGTAGCCAATAAAATAACATGAAGTTAAAACAAACTCCAATATTCATCACTTTTGGGAGATGTCATTTTGAAAGATTAAATTTTTTAATGGTCCAGATGCTTTAAGGTTTGCACAAAAGTTTCAGAATCAACTTTATATTATTTAATTTAAAATTGACCACCAAATTTAACTTTCAGCTATACTTATTAAATATATATATATTTTGACATTCCAAAAATATTATAAATATAATGCTGAAGGTACCCGTTATGAGGATATTTAATTACTTACAGCAATTATCTTCCAATGGGTTTAGCATTCCTTCAAAAGCATTTGTTATTGAAATGTTTACATTTTTATTCTGCCATAGTGAAATATAAAACAAGTCGATGAAACAACATTTTAATCTAGGAAATAAGACATTTCATTAAGCATAAAGAATTAATAAGTGCTATAGACATTTTATATGGAATATACATTTACTCATGAATAATCATTTTCTAAATACATGATGTTATCAAGACAAATGCAATATTTTACTTAACATTGATATTACACATTGAACCAATTTTGGGATATATATGTTGTTTAAATGTTTTGTCATCTATACTTAATTTTCTATGAAATTAAAATAACTTGTAAAATTTAATATTTCTTAGCATGTAAATAGACTTTTTTTGAACTGAAAGATAGTGAACTAAGCTTGCCATGTTAGCATTTTTTAGGATATAAGTCAACTATTATGTAAGAGTAAAACCTCTTGAAAAAAATAACAGAGTAAAATAATTCTCTACTCAAACCCCTTAGACACAAAATAGCACTAATGTGTTAAAATGAGTTTTCACAATGTGTTCAGAAAAAGTCTGCTTTATAAGACTATATATTTAGAGATATTATTTAACATTAATTAGTGTTATGACCTTGTATAAATCACTGAATTATTCTACTTTATTCTGCTGATTTGTAAAGGGAACCCATTTACTTGAACAACTGCCAATCTCTTTCCAATAACAAAACTCTGAAATTCTAGGTACTGTACTTACCGATAGAAGAGATCAATAGCAGGATAATCAAAAGCAAAGTGCTTGATGAGATTTTTTTTTGTTTTATTCAAACCTTCTATAGTTAACTTTATATTTTATCACAGTTTAATTATGATTTTAAATTTTATGATTAAAATATTTATTTGCTTAGCCATTAATGGAATTCTAACATATAATGGCAATTACAAATTTTAATTGATGTGTTAAGTAAAAATGAATCTCTTTATTTCCCCAAAATGAAAAGTCTTAGGCACATTTAAAGTTGTATGATTTATAATATATTCAATCAAATTATACTTAGGCATGTAATTCACATGATTAAGGTGGCTTTCAGTGTTATTCATAATTTAAGAGTGGAGATTTTATACTTAATTTACATGTGTCATAGTTTATTATCTTTTTCTTTTATTACATACAATAATCAGAAAATATTCTGAACTAGTTTCTTTTCCTCTTCATTTTTTGAAATTGTATAAATATATTAGTTTTTTAAAATTGCTACTAGATAGCTCTTTTGTTGTTGTTTTAGAGCTGAAAACATTGCCCTAACTCTATATCTTGACTCATCTGTATCTTGAGTACAAAGTATTCATATTTATGGCCTAGTAGGAAAATGTTAGTAGATTTATTAAGATTTTTCAGCCAATGGACATTATAGTATTGATGCAATGTGGTGGTTAATAACTGTAGTAAATAGCCACTAGCCCTCCAAAGATGTTTGCATCCTTATGTTTGGATCCTTTGAATATATTAACTTCTGTAGCAAAAAGTACTTTGCAGTTGTGATTTAGTTAAGGACCTTGAGATGTGGAGATTATTCTGGATTATATGGGTGGTCCCAATGTAATCACAAGGGTTATTAAAGTGAGACAGGAGGATTAAAGTATGATGTTGTATCACTCAGAACCAGAGGTTGGAGTGATACACTTTCAAAATGGAGGAAGGGCCTATGAGCCAAAGGATGCAAGGGGCCTCTAGAAGCAGAAAATAGCCTGAAGACTCCAGAAGGAATGTAACTTTGATTTTAGACTTCTGATCTCCAGTAATGTAAAAGAAAACATTTCTATTGTTTTAAAACAATAACTTTATAGTGCTTTGTCACTGTAGCAATAGAAAACTAATACAGTAGCATCTTACGTGTTGTTCCTTGATGTCTGTATTTTATCCCTAGATCTCTTGCCCATGGTTTGGATTCAATCTAATGAAATTACAGTGAAATTAAATGTAATGAATGTAATGAAAACCCAATATTTCTATTATTAAGCATAGTATTGCTATTTGATATTAAAAAACAAAATGAAGTAAACTAGTTACTTCCCTAATATAATTCTGTAAACTACTTTCCCCACATAATAATATATCATGGATATTATGGATAGTAATTTTCTAAATACGTGGTGTTATCAAGACAAATGAAATATTTAACTTAATATTGATGTCTTACACATTGAACCATTTTGGGGCTATATATGTTGTTGAAATGTTTTGTCATGTGTAATTACTTTTCTATGAAATTAAAATAGCTTTTGTAAAATTTAATATTACTTATCCTAGATGTGAAAGCTAAATGCTTTTACTCCTTTTCCATTCCTCATAGTTTCAAGGCCCTGGATTTCACTGAAACCTATTTTTAAGCTTTTCCTGAGTGTGTCTAATTTTTAAAGAAACTTTATTTTAAAGCACTGTTACAATTTCCCAATCATAATAGCATTATCCATTTAGAGTCAATTACATAAATTGCAGAGACATTACCACCATTTCTCCACTATGATTTTAATCTTTTACGATGTCTCAGTTCTGATTTAATTGTTGTTTGGTTATTGTATTTTCATGATTATTCTCCTCAGAACACATTGCTGATAGAGTTTCTGAATCCATGTATTTCTGAAAATGTCATTCCTTTACTCTGATGGGTGAATAGTAACTTGGATATCTCTCCTTTTGTCTCAGTAGATAATATTTCATTAACTGGCTAAGTTTAATATTATAAAGAAGACAGATATGAGCCAGATTTACTTTCCTTTGAAAATTACTTCCTTATAGAAGCTTATAAGACTTTCTATTTACTGTTGGAATTCAAAGTGTTCACAAGGATATGTCTCAATAAATGACCTTTTTTATTAATCGTCTCTGGGACTCAGGGAACCTTTTCAATCTTCAGGCATACATCTTTCTTCAAACAAAAGAAATTTTCTTTATTTGTTTAAATATTACCTCTCTCTATCACTTTTTAATTTTATTTCAGGATTTCCTTTTATACACATTAAAATTCTCCTGTCTGCTTTCAATAGCTCATCTCTTCACTAGCGATTGCCGTCATTTATGCTGTTTCTACATGTTTTGGAATTCTTTCAATCGATCTTCCTGGTCAACTTTTAATCATAACTATTATTTTTAGTTTATGGAAACACTTAAGTTGAAAAGTTTTTTTCTTGTTTTTGTTCCACAAATTGTTTTATACCTGATATACTTGACAGATCATATTTCTTTGTTTATTTATCTCATCCGGCATTTCCATAAGTTCTACTTCTTGTGAAATTGCTCTTCTTTGTTTTCTTCTCTGTTTTTTGCATCTTCTGGTTTTCTTTGATCGCTCTTGCTTTCGAACACAATGATATCCAAGCAATAATAATTCCTGCTAGGACACATTAGACACTACAGGAACTGGGAGTAACTCAGCCCAGCATGGCAGATAACATTAATGGCTCTCCAGGATTTTTAAGCATCTCACTCATGATAGCAAGTCAGTTGGAAACTTTCCCTTGTGACACTCAAAATTCTCCATTAGTTTAATCATATAAGAAAAGTGCAGGCCCTAAAGGTCAAATCAAACCTATTCTAGATTTGAGAGATATCTTGACCTGTGATAGATAGCATTCACCCTATTTCTCGTAAGAACCCATGTTCTTTTGCTTGTTTGCTGTCTCTCTCTTTTAAAAAAAAATAGAAAATCTTCTTTCCACTTTTGAGTCTATGTGGTCTGGAAGAAAATGCCCCCACACCAACTTTCATGTGAGGGTGTTTGACTGAATCCATAGTCCTCTGCACATTCTCTTCTAGGTGACTCTATTGATGGACTCAAATAATGATTACCAAGCTGAATATAGTCTGTTGAGGAAGAAGACATTTATAGAAGGAGAAATTTAGTCTCTTTTGAATTTATATTTGAAAGGAAAGATCTACAATGCCTGGAAGTACTCTTTGCACTACACATAGCTTTGTAAATCAGCACAGAGGAGAAAAGGGCGAAAACACAGGCAGAGTTTGTGTTCCTGAGAAGCAGGTTGTCTCCAGCCTTGTACGTAATCTGAATTTTTCAATTATGTGAAAAAATAAATGTATCTCTTTGCTAAGAAGTTTAAAAAGTAATTTTTGAAATATCACAAATAGTGAATTTTTATAATCTGAATAAACTTGCATAACTCAACTGTAGATCAAGAAAGAGAACATTACCATCACCTCAGAAGCTCCTTTCATGCTCCCTTCCAGTCAATCGGTGACATTCAAGGGAAACCACTATCCTGTTGTCTAACAGTATACATTAGTTTTGCCATTTTGATATTATATATGAATGGAATATATGACCTTTTTGTTCTGAATTCTTTAGTTCAACATCTTGTTTTTGCAATCCATTAATGTTGTCCTGTGGTTACAGCTTGTTTTTTCTTATTGATATAATGGATTCTATTTGTAAATATAACACAATTTATCCATTTTTCTGCTGATAAGCTTTTTTTTAGTGAACATATGTATGCATTGCTGTTGGTGTATACCTGAGCATGTAACTACCAGGTCAAAGGGTAGGCATATTTTCAGCTTTAGAGTATGCTGACAATTTTCCATAACATTTATAATAATCCACTCTTATCAGCAATACATGAGAGTTCTATTTCTTCCACATATTTGCCAACACTGGTATTTTCATTACAGACTTTTAAAATGTTCAGTTTTCTGTCACTTGTAATCATTTTTTTTTTTTATTAAAAGCCTTCCTGTTTTATTAGCTTTCTTGCCCTGGCTGTTAATTTATGTTACAGAGGAAATTGAGAGGGAAGATAGCTCATTTATGTTAAACTCAAACCTCTACCTTTTTGGGAAAATTGAAGTACTCTATTCTTTTCAATATAAGCATAGAGAATACATACATATATATATATATATACACACATGTATATACATAATATTTAAACAATATACACAAGTATACGTATATGTGTATATATACACACACAGATGTGTGTATCAAATATACACATATAAACACTAACTCAAATACACATACACACGCACACACATATTCACTGTATCTAATACTTTTCTCTCATTCCAAAGTTAAAGTAAATATATAGAGTTTATGTACTTATTTTTATTTTAGTTCTTAACCCAAAGTAATTAATCAAGTTGCAGAGTTACATGGTCAATTGATGAAGTGGGCTTGTTTCATCAGTCACACATTGATCCTGTCCTGTCTTTGATTAGAAATAAATTTAGACTATATACTAATTCTGTTTTCTAAATAAGAAATTAAAAAGAAACAATTATGTCATAATTGTCTGTTTCAGAAGCATGTGATACAAAAATATTTTTTTCTTTGGGTCTTGAAAATCAATGATATTATTCTAGTGTAATTTTTATTTCTTAAAGTGGCATTAATTATGTAACTATTATAAAATAACATGCGTAGCATTATTGTTAAACATGTAAATGGAAAAGTAAATGTTAAATGTGTTGCCTACAACTGAGGTTAAAGGAATTTTTTGGTAACTCTGTCCCCAGATCACTTTGGGACTTGGAAAACTTTTAAAAGATATTCTCAATAAACAATGAATGTAACATTGAAATGGAATTTCAATGTTTATGTTGAAATTCTTGAGTCTTTAGCCTTCTTATCTACTGCTGCAGAACAATTAAAGTTGGAACTGTCCTCAGAAGAAATACTTCCTCAATCATGGTTGTTGCTAAGTGCACATTTGAGATCAACAGATAGAAGAGTTACTAATTATCCGCTAAGGACTTAGATGCCAAGGAGATGCCAAGGACTTTTTCTCCTGGCCTTTTCAAGTACTGCTTATTCCTGTATCTCAGTTATAATATATACCAAGCATCCTTACCATATCTTGGACTTAACTGATTTAATTTGTGGTGTTGATCACTTCCCAGAGATTTTCTAATAAAAGATAAAATTTTATCACATATTATAAGCTTAGAGTTTTTTTTTAATTTTATTATTATTATACTTTAAGTTTTAGGGTACATGTGCACAACGTGCAGGTTTGTTACATATGTATACATGTGCCATGTTGGTGTGCTGCACCCATTAACTCGTCATTTAGCATTAGGTACATCTGCTAATGCTATCCCTCCCCCCTCCCCCCCACCCCACAACAGTCCCCGGTGTGTGATGTTCCCCTTCCTGTGTCCATGTGTTCTCATTGTTCAATTCCCACCTATGAGTGAGAACATGTGGTGTTTGGTTTTTTGTCCTTGCGATAGTTTGATGAGAATGATGGTTTCCAGCTTCATCCATGTCCCTACAAAGGATATGAACTCATCATTTTTTATGGCTGCATAGTATTCCATGGTGTATATGTGCCACATTTTCTTAATCCAGTCTATGCTTGTTGGACATTTGGGTTGGTTCCAAGTCTTTGCTATTATGAATAGTGCCTCAATAAACATACGTGTGCATGTGTCTTTGTAACAGCATGATTTATAATCCTTTGGGTATATACCCAGTAATGGGATGGCTGGGTCAAATGGTATTTCTAGTTCTAGATCCCTGAGGAATCGCCACACTGACTTCCACAATGGTTGAACTAGTTTACAGTCCCACCAACAGTGTAAAAGTGTTGCTATTTCTCCACATCCTCTCCAGCACCTGTCGTTTCCTGAGTTTTTAATGATCGCCATTCTAACTGGTGTGAGATGGTATCTCATTGTGGTTTTGATTTGCATTTCTCTGCTGGCCAGTGATGATGAGCATTTTTTCATGTGTTTTTTGGCTGCATAAATGTCTTCTTTTGAGAAGTGTCTGTTCATATCCTTCACCCACTTTTTGATGGGGTTGTTTGTTTTTTTCTTGTAAATTTGTTTGAGTTCATTGTAGATTCTGGATATTAGCCCTCTGTCAGATGAGTAGGTTGCAAAAATTTTCTCCCATTCTGTAGGTTGCCTGTTCACTCTGATGGTAGTTTCTTTTGCTGTGCAGAAGCTCTCTAGTTAAATTAGATCCCATTTGTCAATTTTGGCTTTTGTTGCCATTGCTTTTGGTGTTTTACACATGAAGTCCTTGCCCATGCCTATGTCCTGAATGGTATTGCCTAGGTTTTCTTCTAGGGTTTTTATGGTTTTAGGTCTAACATTTAAGTCTTTAATCCATCTTTAATTAATTTTTGTATAAGGTGTAAGGAAGGGATCCAGTTTCAGCTTTCTACCTATGGCTAGCCAGTTTTCCCAGCACCATTTATTAAATAGGGAATCCTTTCTCCATTGCTTGTTTTTGTCAGATTTGTCAAAGATCAGATAGTTGTAGATATGCAGCATTATTTCTGAGGGTTCTGTTCTGTTCCATTGGTCTATATCTCTGTTTTGGTACCAGTACCATGCTGTTTTGGTTACTGTAGCCTTGAAGTATAGTTTGAAGTCAGGTAGCGTGCTGCCTCCAGCTTTGTTCTTTTGGCTTAGGATTGACTTGGCGATGCAGGCTCTTTTTTGGTTCCATATGAACTTTAAAAGTAGTTTTTTCCAGTTCTGTGAAGAAAGTCATTGGTAGCTTGATGGGGTTGGCATTGAACCTGTCAATTACCTTGGGCAGTATGACCATTTTCATGATATTGATTCTTCTTACCCGTGAGCATAGAATCTTCTTCCATTTGTTTGTATCCTCTTTTATTTCATCGAGCAGTGGTTTGTAGTTCTCCTTGAAGAGGTCCTTCACATCCCTTGTAAGTTGGATTCCTAAGTATTTTATTCTCTTTGAAGCAATTGTGAATGGGAGTTCACTCATGAAGGAAACCTGTTTGTGCAGGAAATAGGAGAATTGAGAGACTATAAAGCAATTTTAAAAATGTAATCAGAAAGCTTTCAAGGGAAAAGAAATATTAGCAAATTTCTAAATAATAGAGATTATAATCTAGATAACTAAGCTCAGACCTCCTTCATGGCAAATTATGATATTTTCAGATAAAGTATTATTTATTCATATTTATTTTAATCACATTTGATATATAATTTTTAAACTATAAGCTTTTTATTTTAATGTACAATGTTGCATTTTCATTTGAAATTACAAACAATTGCCTTTGCATTTTTAAAATTATGATAGCTGCTTTATATAGTTTGGATGCCTGTCCCCTCCAAATCTCATGTTGAAATGTAATCCCCAATGTAGGAGGTGGGACCTAGTGGGAGGTGTTTGTGTTATGAGGGCTGATCCCTCATGAATGCCTTAGTGCTGTTCTTGTGATAGGAAGTGAGTTTTCATGAGATCTGATTGTTTAAACGTGTGTGGCACCGCCCCTCTCTCTTTTGCTCTCACTCTTGCCACATGAAGCACATGGCACATCCCCTTGCCTTCCCCCATGATTGTAAGATTCCTGAAGCCCTCCCCAGAAGCAGATGCTGGAGCTATGCTGGTAGAGCCTGCAGAACCACTAGCCACTTAAACCTCTTTTCTTTATAAATTACCCAGCCTCAGGTATTTCTTTATAACAGTACAAGAATGGCCTAACACAGTGTTACTAGTGCTTGAAACCAGCCCGTTATCCTTCCTTTCCCTGGCATGTTGGGAGCCTATATTTCCTCAGTACCTTGCTATTAGACAGGATCATATGCCTAATTATGGGCAAAGGAATAAAAGCTGAAGTGACACTTCTCCAATTTTTCTCTTTCCTCACTCTAATTAGTGTGCCAGTCTCATGTTGAAATGCTGCAGCTATTAAATAAAAACAAACGAAGTCTTGGAGTCATAGAGTGCAACTGATCTAGAGAGTTGTCTGGACTAGTAAAAACTTGTTGAAAATTCAAGAATTTAATTTTTGCTTATTTTAACTAATGAGATTTTGAGATTGTTTCAAGCTACAATATACCCCATCCTGCCCTAACATGTAAGTCAATGCAAGTACAGAATAACTAATAACTTTTTGAGAGTTCATTTTTTTCCTTATATTGAGACTGTTATGTGAAGTACACCACTTCTTCTAATTTTTATTAATATATCATTGTATTATTGATGATATGGCAGTCAAGCTAAGGAAAACTTTACTGTATTACATTTCTTTAGTGGTTTATTAAATTTTGTTTATTGTAGTTGAAATTTCGGAATATTTGAATTGACACCTATTTTAGCATTTTTTAATTGAATGAATAAAAGAAATATCTTATGCTCCTGAAGTATAGAGGTACAAATAAAAGTTTCTAATATAAACCTGATGTCAAAATTTTATTTCTGATTAATCAAAAACAATAAAAATCATAATGGGTAAAATTTATTGAGTATGCTATATGCTGGACCCTATTAATACTTTACACATACTATCCCATTTAACTATACCCTGTGAGGTAGGTACCATTACCCTGATCATATACATGGGAAAGCCGAGGCACACACATATTACTTTATTTACCCAAGGTCAACCACTAAACAGCAAAAGCAGAATTTCCACCCAAATTCCAGAGACTAAGATCTTATGTGCTATGTTAAGTCTCTAAAGATAACTACTAAAAGCTTAATTATGTGAGAAATATCTAAGTAGCTTCTTACCTGTATTTTAAAAATCAGTTAGTATGCTTTGTATGTCAAGGTATGGGAAACAAGACTCAGATTTATTGATTCACGTTACTTAAAAATCTAGGAAGACGTCTGACTTTAGGTAAAGCTTTTAAATTCAAACTGAAGAAGTATGACTGGGCCTCAGATGTTCTCTGTTCAGTTCTTGACTCTGTTGTCTCTCAGTTCCATTTTCAGGCAGGTTTTTCCTGGGATCAAAAAGTGATACTCCAGGCCCCATGCTGTTTCCTATGAAATGAATGTCTATTCCAATGGCTTTCTCAGAAGAGGAAGGAAATTTTTCTCTCCTGGAAGCAACACTAAGGATGTCCTTTGTTGCAGTTGTACTGTGATCTGCTAATAGGCTTAAGCCCTTCCTTCCCACCAGTCTCTAGAGCTGAGGGTGGAGATGATCTCATTCAAACTTTCTGGGTGAGAACTGAAGAAGAGTGAACTTGTCAACAGGAAATTTGAATATCAAGGATGGGACAGGAGAGAAGCTGATATCAGGGAAGAACTAACAATTGTCCATCCCAGTATCTTGCTTGTATTTAAAATTTTATTTTTCAACACTAAAAAAAGTGAAATTAATGGATAACCACTTTTTTAGTGCACTTCTAGACCCCTAGCTAGAATTTCCACTTCAATTTTATATTCATCGTTTACTCAAAATGTATTTTAAAACATTAAAAATGAATGAATATTTCACAATTTAAAGTGCCAGAAAAATTGCAGAACTTCAAAATAAACACCCATATATGAATTTCTACAATGCTGTCATGTTGGCATTTAAATACAAGGATGGTGTTCTTGTATTTTAAGGATCTTTATTTCCCAAATTATTCAAACATATAAAACAATCCAGCATAACCATGCCTAAAATAAATCTGGACAAGTGTAACAAAAATTAAGCTACAGGTATCAAAACAACTAGGTTTGTTCTCTCTTCTCATAAGAACACAGTTTATAGAGGTAGTTATGATACAAATATCAATTTCCAGTGTTATGTGTCTTTAAACGTAGTGATTAGGGAGTAAGGGAGAAAAAATAACAGAATAGTAACATTGATTGAATATCTGCTGTCTTTCAGAACCTGCACTATGTAATATGATGGGCAAATTCACATATATTATTTAATTATATCTTCACACGAGGTCTTCGGAAGTTGATATGTCTTAGAGAGTTACACTGCCTGCCAAAATGAACAAAACTGGACAGTTGTAGATCAAACATCTAAAAGCAAGTCTGTAGAAAACCGAAGTTCTTTTCAAGGCAGTTTATATGTTTAGCTAGCCATCTATTTGTATGCTTGTTAACTGTTTGGTTATTTGCTTTGTTATTTGAACATAATCTAAAGAAAGTTAGGAAAGAGAATTACTGAACTCTCATTCCTTTGAAATATATGGTAGTTGAGCTAAAATTAATTTTTATGTTACTAATACTTGTAAACAATGAATACACATATTGTGTTCAGGATGTACAGATGCATTAGTTTGACAAATATTAGAAAAGAATATCAGAAGACTCTCGGGAAAAAATTATGAAATTATATATGCTAATTTTATGGTTCATTTTCTAAAATGAATACTATTCTGTAGCAGTCAGCTCTTGTAACAATATTCCTGCATGACTAGCTATTCAAAAACTCAGAGGATTTGAATAATAAACATTTAATTTTACACACAGGACTCTGTGAGTTGGTTTCAACTGTTATTATCTAGGCTTGACTAGCTCAGCTCCAAGCTGTCAGTTGGCCTCATGTCTGTCCCATGTGTGTCTAATTCCTCTGAGACCAATATAACTTGGGATATGTATGAGAGGAATGAATGGAAGTTTAATGCTGCCTAAGGTGTGGGATCACAAATCTTTGCTTGTTAGAGAAAATATGGTGCTCATTGATTAAATATCAATCAAAATCTTCACAAGAAATTGATGCCTTATGTGATGATGCGTGCACTCCTCATAATTTCCTTCAAACTGTCTTCACTGCTTTCAGTACAATAAGCAGATTAAATCTTTGTAAGGCCTAAAGAGGAAATGCCTATCCTTGCTGCAGAAAGAAAGTGATTGTTCAGTGAAAGAGCTGTTGCCTCTGGCTAACACACAACGGCAATAACTAACATACCATGTTTGGGAATATGGCTTATGGATGCTTGACCAGGGAGGAGTGAATATATGACTGGATAAGAAAGATATTTTGCAAATTTGAGTACTCTCTTATAACTCTGTTAAAGGAAACTGTTTATAAGCTATTGAAGTGAGGCAATTCAAAATTTGAAGTGAAAAAATGAAGGCCTATGGTAAAAGAGGTAGACTTGCCAGAACTGTTTTGGAACAATATCAAAGAAGAGCTCAAAAAGTCAGAAAGGTAGATTTGTTAGAATTGATTGATTACATATGACCAAAGAATAAGCCAGTTGATTCAGTTTGTTTCCTGAGTCTACCCAGAGAACACTCCTATGGCTGAAATGATAAAGAATGTGCTAATCAAAGGGGAAACACTTGCATCATTGTGTAGGTCAGTGATTTCTTCTGTGGGCCAATTCCAATGATAGGGAATGCTGTTATGAAATTAGTCTCTCTATTGTCATTGTGGATTATAAGTTTCCAAAATAGCAGAGGGTAGATGGCAGCATTTAATTCAGTGGCAAGGTGAACATAACTGTATAATAGACCATAAGGTTAGAAAGACTTTGACAGTAGCTAATAGACCTATGTCAATAACTAATAGACTACAGTGTTCCTAAGGACAAAACAGATGAGCTGCCAAGAATTATATTGCTTGACTTATATAACCCGAAATAATCAAGAGCATGCAAGCAGAAAGCTGATGTCAGACATCACAGTGGATAATAAGCCCTTCTTAGTTTTCAGACCTAATTCAATTGACAGACACAAAAACCACTAATTGAAAGGGAAACTGTGACCATTGTGGGAGAAGCCTGACATGCAATACAAACACATTCAATAACTATTCATCCAATGTTTTGCTAAATGGACCAAATATATTTCCAAAAACTACACAATAGGGGAAAGAGAAATACCAGTGTCATTTCACAGCCTTTGGATACTGGCTGTTAGCTGATGTTGACACCAGAGAACACAAAATGCCATCATAGCCCCTTGTTAAAAGTGAGTTCGTACAATAGTAAATGGCAACATGGCCTCCATTCATCTTATGGTGGGTTTAGTAGGCCCATAGGTTTATATTGTGGTCATTTTCCTAGTTCATGAGTACAAAATCAGGATGAATATAATTATTGGCTGGAAAGATATTCATTTTGGCTGCCTGCCGTATGGAGTTTGAGCCATTATAGAAGAAAAGTCTGAGAGGGAGCATATGAAACTATCACCACTGGACAGGTTAGTAAACAATAAACAACACTCCAACCCAAGTAGAAGCAGAAAAATATATGACACACTCAAATATTTGAAAAATTCAGATGCTTCCCTCTATTATTTAAAAATGTAGAGTCTTTAAAAATTCCAATTCATTGTTATGACTCTTGTAAAAACCAGAAAGACTATGGCTGCTGCTAATGGACTATCAGAAACTGAACCACGTGCAGCCCAGTCACAGCTTCTGTGTGAATGTAGTATCTTTATTAGAGCAGACCAACACAAACACTGGTACTTGGTTTGCTCTGTTGATCTGCATAATGTGTTCCTTTTGATTTCAGTCAAGGAAGAACCAAAGCATTTATATTTACTTTAGAAAGATAGCAATGCACAGTCAACACATACCCTCTAAGACTACGCTCTGCCCTTATTTCTCAGCATAACAGGCAAACAGGTAGAATAGATTATTTACTTTATGTAAAGTTGAATACTTTATATCCCTTACACTCTAAAAGGACAGCATCTTAATTAAGATAAATATGATTATCTTGACTCTCCAGAGAGCATCATGCAGGTATACCATATTGGCGACAGCACTTTAATCGGACCTATAGAGCAGGAAATGGCAAATACTTCAGGTGGCCTGATACGTTACAGGCAGGCCAGAGTAGAGGTGTAATCCCTAAGCAGATTCCAGGGCTTGACATATTAGAAAAGCTTTATAGTTCAATTATCTGGACATGAGAGAATATTCTATTTGTCCTAGCTGGGGAAGTTCTACTTCATGCTATTATTTGTCTGGGTTTGACTACTGGCCTTATTTTACTCTTTTTGTCTTACTTGGTGTGTCCAAAGTTGAAGGAAAAAGTAGTATCTGGGTATTTTCTTTTCTTTACAGAGTTTGGAGGTTCCCAATGAGGTGAGCAGAAATAACCTATGCCATTTAAGTCTTTGATATGGCACACTGTAATCTCCACCTATATTCCATTGACCAAAGCAAGTCATATGGATAAGCCCATTATCACTGGGGTAGAGGAAGGGGTGCTGGGGTCTACACCTCCAGTGGAAGTTGAAGAGAGGAAATAAGTATTTGCTAAACAATTTATACCACATTCTCCAAAGTAAAGAAATTATGGCATCACATACCTTCTACTACTTAACAAAAGGTATCTTTGGTATTCTACTTAAGGAAAACAAAGGTATCTTTTACTTCTATATATCTGTGTGCATGGGGGCATAGCATATGCCATAATTGAAAATACTGCTTTGCTTCTTTTATTGAGTATTTTAGAAAGTTAGCAGTTTTTCATTGGGGCCCAGAACATGAAAGAAATCTGTGGTAGGTTTAAGCAGCGCCTGAGTCAGAAGACCTGCCAAATATAATGTAGGTAAAGATGCCACATGAAATCTCTAGCAAGCTCCAATAGGAGAATAGCAATGCAGATACTTTGGGTTGTGGAGTAAGACAGTACCATCTGTAGCAGAGAATTATTCACAAATAACAAATTAACAAATCAGCTTTTGTTTCATTATATTGCCTAGTAGAGATTGGATGCCTGAATATGGGATATGAAGTGGCGTGTTATCAGAGCTGTGCATTCAGAAGTATTGTCAGCTCCACCAAGTCATATGGTTTTGTGGCACAACAGCAATACATTTTCTGCAATGGTACATTAAGTTGGGACATCAGTAAGTACAGGGTTTAAAAGAAGATACAGTAACAGATGAACTGCACCCAATATCACACAAATTTATTGCATGAATGCATTTTTCTCAGTGTCTACCACAGGCATTATAAGACTTTCCCTATGACCACATGGTATAGGTGAAAACAAACAAAATCAAGTTGATTCCTAGGTGTGTCAATGCTATCTGCTATTGAAAGATAAACATGGATTTCTGCTGCACTACACTTCAATCAGAATTAGTTATGAGATATGGTAGTGAGAGAAAAGAATTTTGAGCAATATACTTGGCCATCAATTATGCAAGGTATACAGACCTTTGAGCAGTTTACTTAGCCATCAATTGTGCAAGAACAGAGAATTGTTTGTAGATAAGCATTTTCAGATTATTGGGCAGTGGTGATTGATTTATTGGTTGGTCAGGAGCCTGGAATGATTATGATGGGAAGATCAAAGAAAGAAGGTCTTAAGAAGAAGCATATGATTGAACCTATGGGAGAGAACAGGAAGAGTTTAAGTATTTGTGTCTCCAGTCAACATCCTGTAGAGCACATTCAATGAAGGAAATAAACCAAACTGACTGATGAATAGGGTAATTTGTCCAGTGTACATCAGCCAGTCTCTGTCCTTGGCCACCCGATGCTTGCAAAATGACCCACATCATGGTGGCAGATGTAGAGGATATAAATGGATATAATTATGTGAGATCCTTCTCACCAAGCATGGTTTAGCTATTGCCAATGACAGATGTTTAAACTGACAGTAGCAAAGACAGAAGCTGATTCCTCAATATGATACAAACCCTGGAAAGATCAATAAACCATAGATTGGCAAAGTTGAATACTTTACATCCCCTTTACCCTAAAGGACAGCATTTCACCCTTGCTGTAATTGATACATATTTCTGATAAGAGTTTCCCTTTTCTGCCTACTGCCTCAGCCTGGACCACTATCTGAGAGTTCACAGAATGTCTTATTTAAGTAATGGGATCTTGTACAACATCACTTCAAAACAGGAAACCCATTATATGATGAAGGGCACATAAAAGTGGGCTCCAGTAGCCTTATAGTGTACCACATCATCACCCAGAAACTGCCAGCCTGATAAAAAAGTTGAAATGGCACTTTTAAAGGTGTCACCCTGGTGCCAGTTTGGGCCTGGCTTCCTATGAATTTAGAGTGCAAGTTTTCAACATGTAGTATATACTTTGAATTAACAGCCATTATATAGTGTTATGTTCCTGATAGCTAGAATTTGAAACTACTGCTCTGCCTTGTTCCTGGGGGAGGAAAAAAAAAGAAGCAAGGCTCTACAATAAATGCTTAGAATATGTGGCTCAGCCTATTAAGTAGGCTAGAACATAATTTTATTCACATCTATGTGGAAGGCTAGTTGCTCTAGATCAAAATATGAGCAATGAACCATTGATGGTGGCTATTAATAATAATGATAATAAGAATTATGTACTAGTAATAACTAAAAGATATGGTAACAATGGCATCACCTGAGATACAGAACTTCAGAAGTGGAGGAAGCAGGGTAAATGATATTGAGTATTGCTCCCTTAACAGCTGTGCTATCTTGCCAGGGCAAGTTACTTATTATTTCTACGTCTCAGTTTCCTTTTTTCAAGAAAGGAAGGAAATAGCTCTAATTCATGTGTGATTATTTTCAGAATTAAATGCCTGTAAAATACTTAGCACCGTGCCCACCCTATGGCAGCAGTTTGTATATTTTGTCTCTCCATGCATGTATGAATCTATTGTCATTATTACTATTTTTGAGCAATAGTGCCTTTACTTTATTAAATTATATTGAAATAATTTTTAAAAGGGGGATGGTAGTATGTTTTATAAAATTCCAGTGCTGTTGCTGTAGATTTGGGATATTTAACTCAAAGTGTTCAGCTTTTTAAAAAATGTGTAAATTACTTCTCACTGTGGGTTGTGTCATATCATATTTCTTTAAAATACAGTAGCTATATCATGACTACATCTACATGATTATAATTAAATATCTTTACCCTCCTAATGGGTCAATATAAAATCATTAAAAAGTCATTGTGGCCATATTTTACAGACATATCTGTATTCTAGGATGAAGCAATTCCAACAAAATACCATATTTTTTTAGCCTGTCTGTGCTCTCCTCTCCTTCTAATGACCCACAGGTATTTTTTTTCTAGGAGTTAGGTTGCCAGGCAATCTGCATGCTCTGCAAGGTTTGGATTGATGTTTTACTTTCTTCTGCATAATGTTCAGCGTTAACATTACTCACATAGATAATGTGGACCTTTGATCTAGTAAGTGTTTTAATATAGTGTAGAATTTTGGACATCACTCAAGGTAAAACACTCTTCATGATAATTATTTATATTGATTTGAATTCACATTTAACCTATACGAATATGTGCATTATTATTTTACTTAAGCCAGATGTTATAAATTACTGGTAAATAATGTTATTTGTTATATGGTTGGAAAAAATGCACCATTTGTCATTCGTCCATGTAACTTAACCAATTGAACCTGGTTAAGTTACAGACATAAAATGAATAACAACTTTTTGAATAAAATTATGCAAAATAATACATGGGGGCATGGTATACCTTAAACATGCCATACTTCTGTGTAGTTGTCAGATAGTGAATTCAAAATAGAAATGCAATTAGGCTTTTAGGATAGTAGAGGCAGAAGCATCCCTTGGAGAAATCTTTCAGCATTTCAGCAAATATTGACCATTAGCATATTTTCCCCCTCTAAAATTTTATTATGACTATTCAAGACATTGTTATAAAGCTATATAGTTATTAGAGCCACGCTGCAAATATGTCCCAGTAAATAAAAATCTCTTGCTAATATAACGATCATTCCTTCAATGTGCTTGTTTCATTCAGAGTTCTTAGTTGAGAACAATAGAAACCAATTCTGTCTCAATTAAACAAAAATAAATTTATTGAAAGGATATCAAGTAGTTCAAGTAATCAATGGAAAGTCAAAAGAATTAGGCTCTGAAAACCACCAGGATCTAAGAATCTAGTCTTTACAACCAGCCAAGGAAACCTGTGTTTTGGATGCTTAGCTGGTCAGCCAATACTGCTGAACTCTCGACTACACTACAGCCAGACTCCTGCCATGACCACCACATTGAGTCATTCTTTAACCATATATTTTGCCTTTACATTATTTCTTCAGTATGTAAATTCCAGGGAGGTTTATCTAAATGGCCTCATCATGCTTTGGCTGTCACAGAGTGGGAAGATGGAATACCTGGCTAGAAGAATTTTAGCACCATCAAATCTTTTCAAAGCCTGGGCTGAGATGGCATGCAAATAACAGAGGTTCCCTTGATTTCCAATGTATCTGAGGATACTTATAAAAGAGGATTGTACAACCTAAATAATTCAAGATTACTTATGTTGCGTTCTGAATGCCACCATTTTATATATGTCTAGAAGTGTCTTCTTTACACTAAATACCATTTGTGTTGTGGCACACAACAGCTGGTTATGTTCATGAGGTCTGATTACTTATCTGGATATTGAAACAAAAAGCAGTGATAATTTATAATAATAATATAATTTTATAAGTGAGCATACCTGGTTATACTTATAAAGGTATGGTTACTTATAAAGCACACCTTTATAAGGTATAACCAGGTATGCTCACTTATAAAATTATATTATATGCTTACTTATAAGGCATACCTTTATAAGTAAGCATAACGGTTTACCACTTAATTATATTTTCTGTTTTTATAAGCACTATTGGTTTTGACTTAATAACTAATAATACTCTTGTGGATATTTAAATCTTATGAGTCAATATTAAATTATTAGCCTATATATACTTCTTAATAAGAGATAGGTATTACAGTGATGATTTACATCTAGATTTACGTTAATAAAATTGTTTATAGAGAGAATTACAAAAGTAACAAGTTACCATGATATTTAAAGTTTGTCTATATAGAAATATAAGCCATTTATTCTGCACCTAATTAATAAGCATAAATTTTGCACAATCCTGTGATACAGTGGGCTGAGATCAAACACATACGGCAATACTTCCATCAGCACAGGTGGTGTACAAGCTGTTGGTGGAGCCCAAGGCTATCACATATGGTTGTGCAGTTTGTTCATAGCACAAAGGAACCTTGCTGAGGGAACTAGCAAAGGCTGACATCTATCCCCACTGCTCACCAAGCCATGTCCCTCTGGGGAACATTCAACTACTTTTAACAAGAGGCGGTGGTCGGAGGGGCAGTGTTGAAGTCATTCCAGGGTCTTGTATATATCAGTGGTGGACTAATAACTTTAGCCCCTTTCCAGTGTGCACATTGTTCCATTTGTGTTGTGGCTGGACAAATCGGTGTGTCAGGATTTGTTCCTTGTATGCATAGTGTGGAGGTTTGGCAGAAAATCCAGGTTAAAAATTTTATCCTAAGTGACTCCACTGACATTTAGCAAGAGTCCTCCTGCAGTTGATCCTTTCCAAATGAGACACTGATAGAATGATATTGATTTATGTAAATGAAAACATTTATGTTTTCCCTAGAGTGTTATTTTTTATTTGACTCCTTGCCTCTGCTCCAGGACATAGGGACATTTTTTCCCCTTTCATGGATTTCCTAAAATCAAAGTATGGATTCTAAACTTGTCACTTAAAAAAGAGAGAATTGTTATTTTTTTAATGGAAAAGATCTTGCTTCAGCAAAAATAACTTTACATGTCAATAAATATATCATGTTTTTTTTTTGGCCTCTGCAGACCAGTCCTATGGAGTTCTTCCTTTTTCAGCACCGTTGCACGGCTTTCTGTGGTCTGAAATCTGGCCTCTATAGTAGAATCAGGAGATAAATCACTCTCTAATTGTAAGTTGAAACCCAAGTCTATAGTCTCAGACACTGGTAGCGCCAACAATTTCTTTGCAAATAGAAAGTCTACCACCCAGATGATTTTCCAAATGAGTTATATTTTATCCTCTACTTGTTAACAAGCCAAGAGTGGAGCAGTGATGAAATCATCTGTGGGCCAATCTTCCAGAAGAAGGAAGAGGTTGATAGTAGACAGAGTTCTTGGAGATAAACACTATGAGGAAAAACAGTCTTAGAAAACAATTATTTCATGATTTCACCTTTTGTTGGGATAGCTAACAAGTGTCTATTTTGTCACCGTAAACCAGGGGTTTTTTTCCTTAGTAGGGTAAATAGCAGGGTGACAATGCCATGCAATGATGCTCTGTGTAAGTGGGGAAAGAGTTTTAAGCATTTGGAATATGACTTATAGATCACTCCAAGAAATCCACTTGCTCTAAAAAACGTTTTTTCCTTATGTTGGACTGGCAATCATACTAATAAATGTCTCTTAATTTTGGCAATAAAATGAGGTAAAGAAGTAAATTTGGAACTTTAAATGTCTAACTCAACATGAAGCACATATAGAGGTAAAGACACTGTATTTGTGGGACACAACTTTCTCTAAGTGCAAATTTGGGCATGGATATCTTTAACTGAGAATGAATTTGTTAACTCACACAACTGTCACAGGTTTTCGAAATTATAATATGCTTTGAACAGACTGAAAATTTAAGGGACTCAAAATCAAAGATCTTGACTTCTTAGAATTTACAATCTTAATCAGACAACTAAGATAGCATAAATAGATAAAGAGTTTAGGTTTTAGAATTATGAAAATATTAATGTATTAGCAGACTATAAGGTTTCTATTTATGCCACTTTCAGTTGGTGTTTCACGGTAATTATTTTTAACTGTTTAATATCAGAATACTAATATGAGAGTGAATACCTTCTCACTTCCTTTGAAAATAATCTAGAAAAATCATTTTTCTCTATACTTTTTCCTTATTTGGCAATATAAATCTGTTTTATTTTTGGTTTTGTTTTATTTTGGAATTTTGATAGCAACAGTTTCTTTAAACAAAGATTATATTTCTCTTTTTAGGAAGGGTCAAAATTAAATGGTTATGTCAAAAACAGCTGCTGATAAAAGATTGAGGATAGGTTTCTTGACCTGACCTGAAGACCTTCATATCCCTCATTTTTCCCCCAACAAATTAATCCTTACCCATTATCTTTGTCTTTCTACCTCTCAGGCAATACATTACATCTAATCTTGAAAGCAAACGCCACAGATATGTGTTCTTACCAAACTTACTACGATCACTGGCTATTACAGAGGAATGCAGGGTCCCTATTCTGTGAGTTCTTGATTTTCATTCATCCTCTTTTTTATCTCCTCAGTTTATTATCACACACTTTGTTTCATGAATGTAATCATTTTGAATGAATATCAGAACTAACAAGACTGGAGAAAGAAAAAGCAGGATATTGTGGCTGCAGGGATGAAAAGGTGTAGAGGCAGTCTGCTTTGCCTCTGTGGCAATGAAGATGGGTACATATTTAAAAATAGTCAATAATTATTTTTTTAGTATCATCATACTGTCTTCTTTCCTTTTAATGCAGGCTTGAGTCGCTGTTCCTCTTGCTTCTTGTTCCAGCATTGCATTTGATAGGGAAACAAGGAGAAGTGCTCCAAATATTTATGAACTGGATTGAATACATTGAAAATGGGGACCAGGGCATTCTTTACTTGAGTCTCTGTTTTTCTTATCTCTGAAATTAAAACTTAGTGGTTTAATATTCTTACCATTGAAATTTGAAGGAAGCAAAGAGACTCTTACATTATATCACATTTAATCAGTTCCAAAAATTTGGTCTGTTCTATTTTTTCCCCATAATAAACAACAAGGCACTACTTTTTAAAAGTCTGCATATATTCAGAAGAAATGAAAAATTGAGGAAGATTCAGACTCAGTGTTGAAACATTAAAATTCTGATTTTTATCTTTCCAAAGAAGGTGAAAAAATTAATGAAGGAAACCATGGATATCAGCTGGTTGGTCTCATCTGTTCATATACTAGCAAGTTATATCCTCTTAACCACTGGGCATGGCTATAGATTATTTTTCTGCTAAAATAATTCCTTGAAGGTATATGAATACATAAAAGGTCTTGTAAAGTGTTGAATTCTGGCTCCCAATATATCACTAACATAATCTGTCCATAAGACAGATTTGAGTTTATTATTTATCACAGTAAGAGAGAAGACCACCACAACAGAACTTTGGAAGTGTCTCCTAGGGGATGGGCAGGATTTGTTTTTATTGAGAAGTGGCAGTTTGATATAATGTGGGTATTTCATTGTTGGAAGTGAGGAAGATCAATTAGAGTTGGGTAATAATCATGATGGAGCACTTGGGGACTGTTAGAAACAGCAAAGCAAGGCTTTGGGGCTAGGGGATCAAAGACTCTTAGGATGTAAACTGTTGATGCTTTATACTGAAGAGGTGATGCATCTGCGTCTTTCATGAAGTTTTTAAAATAAATTACAAGTTTGTTTGCTTGGGCAAGAGGTTTTCAGAATAGTAAAGTTATGTTAATGAAGGCAATGAAATAAAATTATTTTATTTAGAAAATAACTATTTGAAAGAGCAGATGGTTTAAATCCTCAGTGCTCAAGCTATAATTGTACCTACGATTTATTTACAAACATTTCGTTATTTTCTTGCTATGACTTGATTATTGTTATAGTTGAAGCTGGCTTTGACCTCATACTATGGGGCCCAAAGTTATATAATTTTGTGAGCTCTCTTATAGAAAAGGAATATGAAATTATGGAATATAATTAGGTACATGGCTTTGAACAATTCCTTTTTCAATAATACTCTATTACTGTCAGGGTAAATTCATTTTAGAGTAGAATTATATTAGAATACAACAATTAGAATTGTCCCCCTGGGTTGCAACTTCACAGATGTAGAGTCAGGAGCCTCATCTGGGGAGAATGAGGTATGTCTGGAAAAACCAGACCTGTGTTAGTCTTGTGAGAAAATTAATCCAAGGAAAATGAAGACATAGACAAATTACGGTAAGGCTAAAGCTCAGTAGCAAATTAGAGTCTACTGGTCCCAGGGTCAGTACTGAAAGAGGATTAAAAACCAGTGTGACAACCGAAAGCAAAAAGGCGACAGGTAGGTGAAACTGGACTGCCAATCAGGATTAGAAAATCTTAAAAAAAAAAAAAAAACGTGAAGACAATGAATTTGTTATTTGGATAAGCAGTATGGAGCTGTGAAGATGAGGAAGAGGACAGAAATTTCTTCTAGGATAATCTCTCTTTGTGGTCTTCATATACTATTATGAATAAGCCCTTGATCCTAAGGGAGTCTTGCCAAGCTCTAGGTTTGATATCTGCATTATATGTCATGACAAATAATGAACAACTTTGTCTCCTTGGATTTTCAATGGAATTTCTCAAATTTTATTCTCTTTCATACCACTTTTACAGTTTTGTACACGTCCAGGCATTTCCTATAAGACTGTTCAGCTTTGATTAAATCAAAATTTTAAGATATATATTATTTTGAAAATTTTGCATTAAAGAACACTATCACAATAAATAGACAATAACTGTGCATAAATTAAAACAAGGTAAGGTTTTAAAATTTGAGCTAAATACTGTTTTCTAACAAAGGTGCCAATAACAAAGCCTGCTTTGTCTTTCACTAAATCAGATTAGTAGGTATTAGTGGCATGTAAAAGGCATAATAACAGCACATTGACATTATCTTTGATTTAATCAGAAGATTTGAATGTGCTTGAATAATTTTTGACTGTGTGTTTTAGTGTTATTTCATGCATGTCAATTGTATGCCCATGTCCCTCCTTGCAGAAAACACTTTAACAGGTAACCTTAATTACCAGGCAATAATGACATGGTGAGATTTTAACCTTAACCTAAAATGGTGTATTTCCTTTCATGCTTTTAGCCCACAGGCTGCTAGAGATGTAATTTTCCATGGGCCAACAAAATAAGTGGTGTTAAATCACAGATATTAATTTTGATTTTATACTTCAATGATCCATTTCAATGAACACAGCATTGCCAGTGTTTCAGTACATTCAGGCTAGTATAGCAAAATACCATGAAGTGGGTAGCTTATAAACCAGAAAATTTATTTCTCCAACTTCTAGAAGCTGGGAAGTGCAAGGTCAAAAGGCTTGTAGATTCAGTTTGTTGAGAGACTATTTCCTCACAGATGGCACTGTCTCCCTGTGTCTTCACATGGAAGGGGAAAACAAGTTCTCTGGGATCTCTTTTATAATGGCACAAATCCCATTCATAGGGCAGATCCCAGGATGCACTGAGCCCAAGTGCCCATATGAGTCTCTCTCCCCGCAGCTAGGTGAAGGTGTAGAAGGTGAAGAAGCCAGAGTATGAAATGGAATGAATGTTCCTGTTCTGGGAAGCACGCTTGTTGTAATTGCATCTTTTGGAATCTTTTTTTTTTTTTGCAAGGGGTAGGGATTTATGTATTTTATTTCAAAGATTCTCTAGCCACAAGTTTTCCCCAGGGAAATTCTGAGAAATCCACAATTTATTACCAGATAAAACATGAAAAGTTTGCCGTTAGTCCCACTCCCCTCCCCTCCCTCTTTTTAGTTTTAATTTATTGGTTAAACTGATGGTGGCAATCCATGAGGTGTGACAAAGAGTGTACATATGTATGTGTGTATATTGAATGCTAAACATATTACCAAGAGACACATTTTAATAAAGATTTCTGTCATAATTAGAAAAAGAATACCTCCAAAGTTTGCATCTCTGGATACCATTGCCTTGGGGGTTAAGATATCAACATATGAATTTTGAAGGGACATAAACACTCAGTCCATTGTAGTCAGGGAGGTTAAGACTAATCTGATAATAGAGCCCTACTTCTGCCTTCATATGACACAAGAGTCAACAAATAGTTATTACGCACCTATTATGTTGCAGGCACTGTTCTATCAATAGGAATATAGACAGCAAAAGATAAAACTAGCATTAGGAGATATACCTAATGTAAATGACGAGTTAATGGGTGCAGCATACCAACATGGCACATGTATACATATGTAAAAAACCTGCACGTTGTGCACATGTACCCTAGAACTTAAAGTATAATTTAAAAAAAAATAGAGACCATTCCTGTGCTCTATATGACATTGAAAAACTTATACCCACTACACAAATTGATTATAAGAAATATAAATTAGATGAATAAAACACATTATAAAAATATAAAGATAATACGCACAAATATAAAAACATTTATACATATAAGTACACAAATATATATAATAAATAAGTACAAAATAAAAAAGAAAATAAACACAAATACAAGGTTATGTATCACCCCAGATACTACACAATATCATTACCATTTACTGCCATGGTGAATGTAGATATCTACCTACATTTTGTCTGATCTATAATATTTTGACCATTATCTTCTATTAGCCCCATCCCTAGTATTCTTACATGCTGATTGACATAATTTGCAAAACACATCTGCTGGTACAAGGTTAGGCACATTGACCAATGATAGAAAGACAATTAAATGCTTAAGCCTGTATCTCAGTACACTAAAAAATTGATGGTAGAATCTTCTGCTCCTACCTTTCTCCATCTCTGAAGATTTCATAGAATCTAAGCTCTTAAAGCCAGGAACTCTTTCTTACTCATACTTGCATTCCTAATAAATAGAAGATAAAGCTCTTGTCACGTTGTAGGTCATCAATAATTGTCTTTTAATAGAGGAGTGAAGGTAAGACAAACATCTGTATCACTTACATGAAGTGTAAACTCACTATGGCCAATAGAATAAACTATTTAGGCCTTGTTAAATTCCTAATGCTCAAGAATTTAGAAAATTTTTAGATCCAAATGTCCACTTCAGAATCTCCAAACTATAGAAACATTGTCCTTGAACATCAAATATTGCACCTCTCTAGGTCAAAGTGTTACCAAAGTAGTTAGTAACCATAGCATACTTTTATTTTTATATGCCATATTTTATGATATGTTTTTAACTTAAGAGAGAGTAAGCCAAATGGTATAAAGCCTAAGCCTTCAGAAGAGTCTTGCCATGGAAATATACAAACTCTAGGACTTCTAACATTGTAGCTTGGTCTAATTGCTCAGTACCTAAGCTTTGGTCAAGATGCTTTGCTTTCTTGTCCTAGGATTGTATGGTTTTGCACTTGAACTGAAAGTTATTCACTCCAGTTGAATCACGTTGTTCTAAACTTTGCCTGTTTCCATCTGATTGTGAACTGAGATATAATTTCTCACTCTGATCTTATCTTGAAAGTGATGCTCTGATTCACTTTCTGATTCCTGTCTTTTATTACCTAGTTGCTTCTCTCCCAACTTCATATCTTTAAGTATATTATAAGAGGCATACATGGCTATAGGATTAATGATAGCCATAAGGCCCACACAAGTATCTTGCAGGGCTGACACTACGTGTCACTTAGCAGTATGATGCAACTTGGTCCGGGGTTTTCCTGGAGACAAGACCATCTCAGCACAGATGAAACTCTCATAAACCTTAAAATAAAGCTCACACAATAGTTTAAACTCCTTTAGTAAAGGAAACACCTGGTAACAACAGTAAAGTTTGCCACATTGATTGTCCTTTCACAAAATATTTCTCTGCAGCATGTGATGCGTTGGATAGCATTTTATGCAGGGTTGAACTCCTTTCAAAATTGAAGTCAATCCTTTCAAACTCTGCCACTGCTTTTTGAACTAAGTTCATGTTATATTCTAAATCCTATTTATGATTTCAGTGATGTTCACTGTATCTGCACCATGGGTATTTTCCATCTCAAGAAACCACTTTCTTTGCCCATCCATAAGAAGCAATTCCTCATCCATTAAAGGTTTATCCTGAGATAGCAGCAGTCTTCAGTCATATCTTCAGGCTCCACTTCTAATTCTAATTTTGATATTTCCACAACTTCCTCCACTGAAGTCTTGAACACTTCAAAGTCTCAAAGGTCGAGAGTTGGAATCAACTTCTTTCAAACTCCTGTTAATGTTGATATTTTGACCTCCTTTCAAAAATCACAAATGTTCTTAATGTTATCTAGAATGGTAAATCTTTTACAGAAGATTTTCAATTTATTTTGCCCAGATCCATTGGAGGAATCTCTATCCATGGCAGCTATAGCCTTATCATAAGTATTTCTTAAATAATAAGACTTGAAAGTTAAAATACTCCTTTAACTCTGAGCTGTAAAATGAATACTGCATTAGCAGCCATGAAAACATTATTCTCCTTGCATATCTTCATCAGAGCTCCTGGGTGACCAGATGTATTGTCAGTGAGGGGTGATATTCTGAGGAGAAGTTCTCAACAGTGGGCTTAAAATATTCAATAAACCATACTAAAACAGATGTGCTGTCATCCATGCTTTGTTTTGCCACTGGAGCATAGGCACAGTAGATTTAACACAATACTTAAGAACCCTAAAATTTTTGGAATGGTAAATGAGCATTGGTTTCAACTTAATGTCACTAACTGCATTTGACCCTAACAAGAGAGTCAGTCTGTAGTTTGATGCCTTGAAGCCAGGCAATGATTTTTTATATCTAGCTGTGAAAGTCTCAAATGGCATCTTCTTCCAATATAAGGCTGTGTTTTGTCTATACTGTTGTTTAGTGTAGCCACCATCATCAATGATCTTATCTTGATCCTCTGTACAACTTGCTTCAGCTTCTACATCAGCACTTGCTGCTTCATCTTGCACTTTTATGTTATAGAGACGACCTCTCTCCTTAAACCTCAGGAACCAACCTCTGCTAGCTTCAGACATTTCTTCTGCATCTTCCTCACCTCTCTCATCTTGGGTCCTCATCCAGGATTAGGCTTTGGCTTATGGGGATGTTGTGGCTGATTTGGCCTTCTATCCAGACCACTCCAATTTAGTTCACGTAAGCAATAAGGCTGGTTTGCATTTTTATCATTGTGTGTTCACTGGAGTATCACTTTTAATTTTCTTCAATAGCTTTTCCTTCGCATGCACATCTTGGCTAACTATTTGGCATGAAAGACTTAACTTTCAACCTGTCTCGGCTTTTGAAATGCCTGCCTCAGTAAGGTTAAACCTTTCTAGCTTTGGGCTTTAAATGAGAGATGAGTGACTCTTCCATTTACTTGAACACTTATTGGCCACTGTGAGGTTGTAATTGGCCTGATTTCAATAACGTATCTCTGGGAATAAGAAGGCCTGAGGAGAGGGAGAAACAGCGGAATGGCCTGTTATTGCAGCAGTCAGAACACATTCAACATTTATAGATTAAGTTTACTGTCTCATATAGGCACAGTACATTGTGCCCCAAAACAATTACAATAGTAACATCAATGATCACATATCACATATCACCATAACATATATGGTGATCATAACGAAAATGTTTAGAAATATTGTGAGAATTACCACAAAGTGACACACAGACATGAGTGAGGACATGCTGTTGGAAAAAGGGCGCTGATATACTTGCTCAATGCAGGGTTGCCACAAATCCTCCATTTGTAAAAATCACAATATCTGCAAAGGACAATAAAGGGAAGTGCAATAAAATGAGGTACACTTTTAGAGTTTTTTTTTTCTCAGTTCTAATCTCCTTGATGTTTTCCCAATGTATAGAAAGATATAATTTGATGTTAACTGTTGACTTCAGAATGTGTTTGCTTCGTAATCCTATCCTCAGAGATATCTTTTGTAGATTTGATTGCTGACATTTACAAAAATCTTTGAACTCTGGTAATGTCAGATAAAAGAATTTAGCATTAGATTCCAACTACTGAGATTAAGTATTTTAGGGCTTTCTTTTCTCATAGAGCATCACTACAAAATTTTGGTATCTTGTTTTTAAGAAAAAAGGGACACTGAAGATATCCAAGGTTTTGGGGATATCTTGTTTTTCTCCCATTAAAAGTTTTATTTCTTCTTAAGAACATTCTCTTATCCTTTGTAAATTCAGCATATACATTCAATTATACATATATATATATATTTTAGGTGGCTTTTACTCATGCTTTTAATGTGCAATCAGACACATACAACACTGAATTAATTTTGATAGTGTTTTCTTTGTTTGAAGAATTGCTTTATTCAAGTACTTTTATTAATATTATTTTAAATTGAAAACAATTTTATATATTAATGGGATACAATGTGATATTTCAAAATGTGAATACAATGTAGAATGATTAAATCAAGCTAATTAACATATCCACCCCCTTGCTTACCTATCATTATTTTATGGGGAGACATTTAAAATTCACTCTCTTATTCTCTTATTTTGAAGTACACAGTACACTGTTGTTTGACTATAGTCACCCTTCAGTACAATATATCTCAAAAGTTATTCCTCTTGTCTATCTGAAACTTTGTACCCTTTGATCAACAATTTCCCATTTCCTCTCTCTTCTGCAAGCCATCATTTTACTTGCTACTTTTATGAGTTCAAATGTTTTAGATTCCACATAAAAGTGAGATCATATGGTATTTCTTTTTCTGTGCTTGGATTCTTTCACTTGCATCATGTCCTCCAGGTTCATCTATTTTGTAACAAATGACAGGATATCTTTCTTTTTTAAGACTGAACAGTATTCCATTGTGTATTTTTATTAAATTTTCTTTATCTCTTTATCCTTTGATGGACAGTTAGGTTGATTCCATAGCTTGAATATTGTGAATAATGCTGTCATAAATATGGGAGTATAGGTATCACTTGAATATATTGATTTCAATTCCTATGGATATATACCCAGAAGTGGGATTACTGAATCATATGGTTGTTCTATTTATAGTTTTTTGAGCATCTGAATATTGTTTTCCATAATGACTATACCAATTTACATTCTCATTAACAATGTACAAGTGTTCCATTTTCTCTGCATCCTTGCCAACATGAGTCTTTCATCTTTTTTCGAAAAAAGCCATTCTAACAGGTGTAAGATAATACCTTATTATGGTTTTAATTTGCATTTCTCTAATGATTACTGATGGTGAGCTTTCTTTTTATATACCTATTAGTCATTTGTATGTTTTCTTTTGAGAAATGTCTGCTCAAGTTCTTTGCCTGTTCTTAAATCAGCTTGTTTCCTTGATATTGAGTTGTTTGAATGTCTTATATAACTCAGATATTAACCCTTATCAAATATATGATATGCAAACATTTTCTTCCATTCTGTGTGTTGTCTTTTCACTTTGTTAATTGCTTCTTTTGCTGTGCAGAAATGTTTCAGTTTAATGTCATTCCATTAGTCTGTTTTTGCTTTTGTTGCCTGTGCTTTTGGGGTCATATCCAAAATTTTTTTCTCAGACCCATATTCTGGCACTTTTCTGTATATTTTGTTTCAGTGGTTTTATGGTTTCAGGTTTTATGTATAAGTCTTTAAACCATTTTGATTTTATTTTGTGTATGGTGTGAGATAAGGATCCAATTTATGTCTTCTGTATGTGGATAGCCAGTTTTCCCAACAGGATTTATTGAAAGACTGTCCTTTTCTCATTGTGTGCTCTTACCCTTGTCAAAACTCAATTGACTATAAATGTGTGGGCTTATTTTTGGGTTATCTGTCCTGTTCTATTGGCTAATGTGTCTGTTTATGCCAGTAACATACTGTTTTTATTATAATCACTTTTGAATGTGTTTTGAAATCAGGGAGTGTGATGCCTCTACTTTTTTTCTTTTTCCACAAGATGTTTTGACTATTTGGAGTCTTTTGTAATTTCATACTAACTTAAGGATTTTTTTTTATTTTTATGAAAAAAATTGGAATTTTGATAGGGATTGCATTGAATTTGTAGATCATTTTGGATAGTATGGACTTTTTTATTATATTAATTATTTGTTGCTTCATTTTCTTTCATCAGAATTTTATAGTTTTCAGTATGCAACTCTGTTACACTTTTTTTTTTTTTTTTTTTGAGACGGAGTCTCGCCCTGTCACCCAGGCTGGAGTGCAGGGGTGTGATCTCTGCTCACTGCAAGCTCCACCTCCCAGGTTCATGCCATTCTCCTACCTCAGCCTCCCGAGTAGCTGGGACTACAGATGCCTACCACCACGCCCGGCTAATTATTATTATTATTATTATTATTATTATTTTTTTTTAGTAGAGATGGGGTTTCACCATGTTAGCCAGGATGGTCTCCATCTCCTGACCTCATGATCCACCCGCCTCGGCCTCCCAAAGTGCTGGGATTACAGGCATAAGCCACTGCGCCCAGACTCTTGTAGCTTCTTGGTTAAATTTATACTTTGGCATTGTCATTTTTTTTGTTGTTGCTATTGAAAATGGGATTGATTTCTTAATTTCCCTTTTGAATAATTTATTAGAATATAGAAACACCACTTATTTTGTACATTGATTTTATACCCTAGGACTTCACCGAATTCATTTATCAGTTCCAGCAGTTTTTTTGGTAGAGTCTTTAGGTTTTCTGCATATAAGCTCATGTTGTCACCAAATGGAGACAATTTAACTTCTTCCTTTCCTACTAAAATGTATTTTATTTCTTTTTCTTGCCTAATTACTCTGGCCAGGACTTCTGGCACTATGTTAAAAAGAAGCTGTGAGAGTGGGCATTCTTGTTTTGTCCCTGATATTAGAGGAAAAGCTTTCAACTTTTCATCTTTGAAGCTGATGCTGGCTACAGGTTTGTCATATATATCCTTTATTGTGTCAAGAAACATTCCCTCTATATTTAATCTGTTGAGAATTCTCATCAGGAAGCAATGTTGAATTATGTTCATTTTGTTAATGTAGTGTATCATACTTATTGATTTGCATATTTTGAACTATTCTTGCATCCCAGAGACAAATCCCACTTGATCATGGTGAACGATTCTTTTAATGTATTGTTTTAATGTGAACATTTTAAGTTCTCTCAAATCATTTATATTTTTCTCCTTGGAAGGAAAATGAATTGAGAAATGAAATGCACATGAAGTGTGGTTGCATATAATGTGAACATAATTCTCACATAAAATTTGAGAAAATCATTAGAATTTTAAAATAGAGAACCCATATGACAGAGTGGAAAGGTATTAGGTAAGAAAGACTTTTTGTGTAGGAGGAATGAGTGTGATTTCTATAGGACTAAAAGTGCAAGGTGGTATGATGGAATAGACATTTGTCATGATCAGTAATTATGGATATTGACAATATTAATGGACATGAAGTGGTAGAGTCATAGTCTAGCTGTTTTGTAGGGGGAAGGTAGAAGCACTGTTTGGCTAATATTTATTGAGAATTTAATTAACTCAAATTTCCAGTTGAATGCTGGTCTCTATAAAGTTATTTTTTTCTGTGTTGGGCTCTCTTGCTGATGGCAAAATCTAATATAATATAGCATTTAAAAAGTAGTGGGGAATTCAGAATTTCTGTATAAAATAGGCTTATGTGTATCAACCTGGTTGGGACAAGTGGCACACTGGTCTTGAAGCTCAGTTTACATGAAGCATGCTACTTTTATTTATTGTCTATATTTGTTTGGATGCTGGTATGTGTTTTGGGGGTTCTTATGAAGCCTATCGCAGAAGCTAAATCTTCAGTAGGTTACCCTTCCTTGTTAACCATGCTGAGGTACCTGATTGGTCAATGAAGAAAACATTTACTGCCAACTAAATTTAACATCTAGCCTAATTCTTGTTACAACATACAAGACAGTCCTTTATTTGCATGGTTCTGATATGAACAGATTTTATTTACCATGATTTATTTAACTTACCCTAGCCCTCTACAACCACAGTTCAAATTTCAATACCCCCTTATATTTACACTGAGAAATTGCATAATGTACAAACTTGCTACTTCTTCAGTCCATACATCGCTATGTAAAAAACAGACACACATCATGATCAGTGATGAATCTTGTCACTTCTTTCAAGATCTGTTGGTGACTGGCCACCATGCATTTGTTATTCACTTCACACTCAAAAAGCAATGCTGCCGTTGTATTGCCTCCTTCTCTCCCCTGATAAATTCAGGAGCTATTTTACAAAGATAGATAGTCAAAAGAGGGAATTGACCAATAAAGATGAAAATGCAGCAAAGAAACAAAAAGCGATCATGCTGGATATAGAATTAGAATCTTATGTAAATTGAGTTCTAGAAGAAATAGCTTAAGGGACTCTGGAGGAGCTGAGTCAAGGCAAACGTATTGACCTAAATTAGTACGGTGGTTGCGGTGAAAGGATGAAAATATCTCAGAAGAATTGATGCTGGCAAAAAACCTTCACTTTAAAGGAACTTTGGAGAGATTTCCTGACATTGAAAGTGAAAAGGATAAAATGTTGGAAGTTGATCAAAACTTAGGAGTATAACAATTTTCCAAAACATAGAGAAATACTCCATATTGTCAGTTATACCATGAGAAGGCAAACCCTGTTTACACTATTCTTTACATGTTTTATGAAAAAACCTACTTTTATTCTTAAAGTTTCTAATGTTTTAAATTAGAGTATAAAATAAATATTAACTTTACTTTTTTTTCCATTTCTTTTTATATCTGTAGATAAGAGTAAGAGAGTTTTAATATTTTGACAAATATTTTCATGGGCCATGTCTCATTTATAATGTTTACCACGTTTTAGTAAGATCACTTGGCACTGTTTACTTACACAGTCATTTTTACGATACTGCATTACTGTTTACAGTGATGACTGCCTGTACTTTTAAAATCTATAAATATTGGCTAATGTCAAGTTTATATTATATTACAAATTAAGGCTTTTGCTTTCAAATCAAATATTAATAGCTGATGTTAATGAGTTGGAGATTGGCAGATAAATATCTTGAAGAAAACCTATTATTAATGCCCCTATGTATTACAAGTAGTGAAACAAATTACTAGGCTTTACCTTGTAGAATACATTAAACAAAACATAATTATGTTCTTTTTATCCTCGCTGTTTCCCGACATATTTTGGTTGAATAATTTGCTTTTACTTATGCACAGTTTGAAAACACTGATGAGCTTTCATAAACAAGGGCAACAAATGTATGCAATTGGTAATATTTTTCCATGTGTTCTGTAACACAAGCTTTAGTGGCAAAATATAATTAAGGGATGAATACAAAAGATAACAATTTTTGCTGCCCTCTGAAAATCATCCTGTTCTACCACTTTTACTGATACCACTGTTCTCTAGACCATTTCTTTAGTTGCTCTTTCTCTCTCTCTTTCTATAAATATGATTCTGACAGGCATACTGAAACAACCACCAAACAGAAAAAAAAAGCAGAGCAAATCTTCTTCAACAGCACACATTTGGATTCTGTTTAGTATTTTTTAGATTTGTTTGGATGGTCAATGAAGCAAGGACTAAGTCTCAAACTTCATTCACATTGAAATCCTGAGTTCCCCTTTTTTCTACGGAGGAAAGGGACTGAGATCAGCAATGTAACCCCCTGTTTATCAGCATTAGGCAATTCTTTTCATTCTCCCTAATTCTAAGCTTGATTCCCAAGATGGAAAAACACAAAAACCTAGAATTAGGGTAATAATTCTGTAGTCAACTAGAGCAACCTCTCTGCAGAAGCGGAATTGGTTTCTTGCTATGTAATTGTCTCTGGACTTTGGGCCCCATCTTATACAGCTTGTAAACAGTAATGGGAGCCCTTCAGTGAAGTTTCCACACATCTTTGTCGGGAGCTATGGTGAAACTTTAAGGTATTTATGGGTTTACAGTTATAAAAGAAAACTGAATTTAAATTTTCAATATAAGCATATTTTGTTAAATATCTGGGACATATTATATTTTGTTAAATATCTGGGACATATTTGTATACAGGCTTCAGGTTTCTTTTTACCATGCCCTAGATTACTAGATTATTTGAGTAAAACAGAAATACATTCTCTAATCAACTTATACTAATTCTTTCACTTGCTCATTTGAAAACACAGTCAAACAATGGATGGTGAACTTGAGATGCAATAAATGTATAAGGTCTCTCTCTATATATATATACATATACATAATACATATATAATGCATATTACAAAATATATATTATATAAAAACTAAAAGTATAGTCTTAAAATGTAAGCAAGTGAACATTGTATTTAATATTTATTTCTAAAAATGCATCATGTTACTTCCAAAAAAATTTAAAATAGTTGAACTTTTCATTTTCAAGTTCACTTTAATTAATTTAAATTAAGTTTACTGAATTGAAAATAAATGCTACAAGCCTACAGTAACCAAAACAGCATGGTACTGGTACCAAAACAGAGATATAGATCAATGGAACAGAACAGAGCCCTCAGAAATAACACCGCGTATCTACAACTATCTGATCTTTGACAAACCTGAGAAAAACAAGCAATGGGGAAAGGATTCTCTATTTAATAAATGCTGTTGGGAAAACTGGCTAGCCATACGTAGAAAGCTGAAACTGGATCCCTTCCTTACACCTTATACAAAAATTAATTCAAGATGGATTAAAGACTTAAATGTTAGACCTAAAACCATAAAAACCCTAGAAGAAAACCTAGGCAATACCATTCAGGACATAGGCATGGGCAAGGACTTCATGTCTAAAACACCAAAAGCAATGGCAACAAAAGCCAAAATTGACAAATGGGATCTAATTAAACTAAAGAGCTTCTGCACAACAAAAGAAACTACCATCAGAGTGAACAGGCAACTTACAAAATGGGAGAAAATTTTCGCAACCTACTCATCTGAAAAAGGGCTAATATCCAGAATCTACAATGAACTCAAACAAATTTACAAGAAAAAAACAAACAACCCCATCAAAAAGTGGGCAAAGGACATGAACAGACACTTCTCAAAAGAAGACATTTATGCAGCCAAAAAACACATGAAAAAATGCTCACCATCACTGGCCATCAGAGAAATGCAAATCAAAACCACAATGAGATACCATCTCACACCAGTTAGAATGGTGATCATTAAAAAGTCAGGAAACAACAAGTGCTGGAGAGGATGTGGAGAAATAGGAACACTTCTACACTGTTGGTGGGACTGTAAACTAGTTCAACCATTGTGGAAGACAGTGTGGCGATTCCTCAGGGATCTAGAACTAGAAATACCATTTGACCCAGCCATCCCATTACTGGGTATATACCCAAAGGACTATAAATCATGCTGCTACAAAGACACATGCACACGTATGTTTATTGTGACAGTATTCACAATAGCAAAGACTTGGAACCAACCCAAATGTCCAACAACAATAGACTGGATTAAGAAAATGTGGCACATATACACCATGGAATATTATGCATCCATAAAAAATGATGAGTTCGTGTCTTTTGTAGGGACACGGATGAAATTGGAAATCATCATTCTCAGTAAACTATCGCAAGAGCAAAAAAACCAAACACCACATATTCTCACTCATAGGTGGGAATTGAACAATGAGAACACATGGACACAGGAAGGGGAAGATCACACTCTGGGGACTGTTGTGGAGTGGGGGGAGGGGGGAGGGATAGCTTTAGGAGATATACCTAATGCTAAATGACAAGTTAATGGGTGCAGCACACCAGCATGGCACATGTATACATATGTAACTAACCTGAACATTGTGCACATGTACCCTAAAACTTAAAGTATAATAATAATAAAATAAAAAAAGAAAATAAATGAGGCATTCACTTAAAAAACAAATAAAGTTTAAATGCATAATTATCTCATACTTTAAAAATAAATTAAACCCTATAATCATAAGCTTTATGATTGAAGCTTAGTATGAAATAAGCTTTAGGAAATATTCTCATTTAAAATCAAAATTTGAGAAAAGTAATTTTAGAAAACTGGATCTATATTTGCAACTTTTGAATTCAAATTTTTAATTGCTTTTGCCATGATTATGACAGCCAGGTCAAAATTGTACTTCTACTATTTTTCAGAGTCAAAAGAAAGTTGAGACCATTTGAAATTCACTTTAGGACTTGGGACTACAACAAGCATTTGATTTCTTGCTCTGTTTTTGAAAAATTTTATGCCTTTTTGATTATTTGAGAATTAGCGGTATTCATACTTCTGGTTTTTCTATGTCCCTGTTAAATTTCCCATTCTTTATTTTGCTGGCCTCATTTCTCACCTTCTGAAAAGCCTTGTGACAGATTGCTTGTAGTCCATCAATATTCAGTCTTCTTTTTTTCCATAATAACACTTGTAATTGCCACATGGTTGCTTAAACTAAACACTTCATTTCTTAATCTCCCATGCATCTGGATATGGATATTTGATTAAGTTATTATCACTAGAAAGCAACAGAAGTGCTTTGAGCCATCATTAGGTCCTTTCTTTAAAAGGAATGAGCATGTGCTTCTTAATTCCTTTCTTTCTTCTCCCTGTCTGGCAGGTGATATTAAAAGGCATAGTTTGCTTGGACCCCAAAAAGGAAATTATGTGTTCAAGCATGACAGTACCACTCTACTATGCCTGGGCCACTTATTGCTAGGCTTTAACATAAGAAAGAAATAAACTTCTATTTAGTTTAAACAATTAGTATATCACCTCTGTTTAAAGCAGCTTAACCAGTATCCTAATATATGTACCAAATATTTGACTATAACTTTACTTCAGCACTTAGGTAGAACCTCATAGGCATACCTTCTTGGAATTCATCAGATCTGAGGTCAATAGGAAGGATATTCTTTTTCTGTAAACACTATCTTTTTAAATTCTTGCTTTTGGTCTGAATATGGAAAAATTGGTCAGTTAATTGGCCACCACAATTTTCACTGCCATTTAGGATAACTTATTGGGGTTTGCTTTTTCTTCCCTTGATAAACGTTCATAGTTCCTCCTGCAGATACATGTGTTAATGTGACCCAGCCCCTGATTTATAACAAAATGACCCAGTAGATAACTCCTGCTACAACCTCCTGCAGATTCTTCCCTGGAAATTAGAAACTTTGAACAGAGTATCTAAAAAAGAAAGGTGTTGAAGTTGGGTTTGTGCATTATTTCCTTGGATTGGTGAGTTTCCATTGTCATCTCCCACTAATTACTTGGTTTTGGTGACTTACAACTAAATCAGAATGAACGCATTAAGACCAAATTCAATGTTTTGTGATGTGTAGGAAATCTTAGCCCTCTTTGCACTATGTGTGTTTCCTTTAACAGTGGTGATGCTCCTCTAATGTGCTCTCAGATACCATCTCCTGAGACAGAAGGGCTTTCTAGACAAGTATCCATGTACCTTTACATTCTGCTATATTTCTTCTCAGAAAGGTGACTGTGCTGTACTTGATCTCCTTGTTCCCATCTCACTTCCCTTATAGGAGTCTTCTATTTTATATATCTTACATGATTTTAAAAAGTAGACATTGAAATTTCATTGAAAAATAGTTTGAAATAAGAGATATTTTCAACTTTCAGAATAAGTTTCATGACATCGGATTTAACATATTTTAAATCTTAGATGATAAACTAGCATGTGTAAAATGAACGTGTGAAGAAATAGAAATAAACTCAAATATAATCCTCTTACGTTGACAATTTTTTAAAAAAGAAATGAAATACCTGTCATACAAGTGGGACTATTTTTAATATTATTCTTATAATAAAAGGATGGAAAAATATTTTGTGGGTTCATATTTAATTTTTCTTTCAATTATGGGACTTGCTATGTTTGAGCATTATTATAAGATTAGAATAAATTAAAAGGGATGTGATGTGAAAAGATTCCAAAGCCATATGCAGTAATGAGCAACATTAGTCAAAAATACTTTGTGCTATCTCAGATAAGAAAAGGGCTTCCTATTTCATATTGTCTAATGGTTCACATATAAAATATATTACTTTTTTGGTTAGCTCCTACTTTAATTTTAGTTTAAATGCTTACCAATCTTTTACCTTTTTGTAGTATGGAAATTTAAAACAATAAAGTAGCAGTAAATCTGTATATTTTATTCCAAATTAATGGCAGTATGGAGGATCAGAGTAATCATTATATTGGAATTGGCCACTGTATTTCTGGATTCTTATTTTGTATGAATTATTAAAAACATAAAAGTATTAGACTAGTGTCTTTGTAATCTATATATATTTCATCTAATCCTCAAACCCTGTATGTTAAATGATATCATAGCTATTTAAAAGCAAAGGATGCTAATATATTTTTTTTTTTTTGAGACAGAGTTTTTACTCTGTTGCCCAGGCTGGAGTGCAATGGTCCAAGCAATTCTCCTGCCTCAGCCCCCTGAGTAGCTGGGATTACAGACATGCGCCACCACGTCCTGCTAATTTTGTATTTTTAGTAGAGGCGGAGTTTCACCATGTTGGTCAGCCTGGTCTCGAACTCCTGACTTCAGATGATCCGCCCACCTCAGCCTCCTGAAGTATTGGGATTACAGGCGTCAGCCACCAAGCCTGGCCCAGAGGATGCTCATTTATTGGAAGAGAGAGCTAGAGTTTAGATGTTCAAGTAACTTAACTACATAATTAAGAAATGGCTAGGTCAGGATTTGAACACAAGTTGTTCTTGCTCCAGTGATTCCAGGTTAGTATGAAATGATACACCACAGGATTTTAAACCAAGTGTTGTGTTTATTTGTCTTCCACATCAAGTTCAGAAGAACAATTGCTGTCTATCATTCACCTCTTTCTTTTTTTTTAAACCCAGAGCATAGTGAAATACCTAGTACTTTACTCAATAAATGTTTTAATTGAATGTATGCATGAAAACTTGAATGCATAGATGAATGATAAATATGTTGTGCGTAAATAAGAATGAATCATTTATTCCAGATTTTAAAATTGTTTTTAAAATCATTGTTAGATATTTGGTCATATTTCAACAGTGATAGCAGCTAAACCCACTTATCTTGTTTAAGGCATTTCTACTTTTGAGATTAGCCAAGCTCACTTTAAAATCAACATCTGTCATCTAGATTCTGAGACCTAACAAGATTGCAAAACTTTTAATTCTGTTTATGCAAGTTCTATTGAGTGCAAAATATGAATGGGGGTTATGATTGTTAAATCTCTGTAAAATACATGGAATGCAAAACATATTATAAACTCAGACAGGAATCAATTCAAGATAATTTTATGGAGATGGTACAGATAAAGTGAGTGTTCTTATAAAATAAAACTTCTCTAGTTACTATAGTAAGAGAAGGTGAAGAAGCATTGTGAAGAATATTTTATGCTCAAGGAAACTGATACTCCCTTGCAAAATGTTCAGATGATTTAGATAAGCAGTCCAAATTTATGAAATTGTATGCATTTTCAATGATTAAAAGTATTCCTTAGAAAAATGGTCTTTCTCAAATTGTGCTTACTAGATGCCAGGCTTCTCAACTTCTGAGATAATAAAAATTGTATTTATAAATTGCACTAGGTAAACATTACCGGCTTTATTTTTTAGCTACATGAGTGCTATAAAAATGTCACTGAAGTGTCCCTTACCAGAATATTTTAATAAATACTTACCGGATGATTCCACAGCACTAGCCTTAGAGATTTATACTAGAGATGATTATAGTTGTGGTCTGGACACTATCTGTCATGCTGCTGCCATCAACATTGGTGTTTTGATTTTGGCTAAACTCATATCACACTACTCCAAGATCAGAAGCTTCACTGTATAGTTTCTGCCTGCTTAGTGTCAATTACACTGGGTATAAGTTGTTTTTACTCTTGTGCCAGATGTGAAATGGGCATCATAACTACTCATTTCTTTTTCCCTAGTTAGTAGTCTCAGTGCAGGATTGTGACCACACCTAGTTTTTTTTTCTGTCATTAAAGTGAAAACCCAAAGAGTTTTATGCCGATCCACTGTTCTTACTTCTTTTCGATTTGTGTCTGCATCAATCAAGGAAACAGTTCAAACTTTATCCATATAAAGATTATACTCTTGCTCTGTTATAAACTCTTTGCAGGTTTAAAATATTTTCTTCAGAATATATAGCAAATCTTTTGGAGAATAATATGCAGTTGAATAGTCTTTTAACAGAAGATGTATACTATCTCTTTAATATGGGATGAGTCGTGTTTGTGTGTGCGTGTGTGTGTGTGTGTGTGTGTGTGTGTGTGTGTGTGTATCTAAAACCTTCCCCAGAAATATCTGGGCATTATAAATGAGTTTGTTGTAGGATGGCTTTCATTTATTTCCTCTTTGCTGGTCTCATACCACTCTGTGGGAATCGGCCCTTTGTCAATAGTCATCAGAGAAATATGAGAATCTTTTATGGTATAATCCCTTATTTACAAAGGGAGTATGAGTAAGAGCTCAGTCTCTTTTGAGCTTTCAGTACACTTCCATGATTTCTAGTACTACCCCTCAGCTTCTTACTCACTACTTAACTCAGATTCAGAAATGTGATCAGAAGTGTGTCTTTTTTATCTGGATGAATATGTTTAAGTTTTTTATTTGATGTCTGCCATGAGTTCAAGTGCAGACGGACAGAGTTTTTCCAATCATTCCATGAACAATAGAATATTTTGGAGAATCAATTTGTCTGCTTAGGTCTTCACTATGTTTCAAGCACATACAGCAGCACCTGGCTTAATAGGCATTGAATATTAAATTAATGAATAAATGAATTAATGGAAGTGGAGCTAAGAGAAGGAATTACATAATTCAAATATTTATTAATATCTTGTGACAACCCAGTGTTATGCTCCATTAAAGAGCCATATGGCAGGTAGAGTCTAAAAGCCATGAAATCTGCCCCACTGTGAAATTCTGAGAACTAATTATAAATCTTTCCTCTGACTATGTCCTCACCCTCTACTCCTTCCTTATTTACCAATTTCCCCTTCTGTTGATAAAATCTTTGTTTAAAGTTATTATGGCTTTATACTAGACTAGTTTCACACACACATATTTTTGAACAAGCACCTCTTTCTGTGTCTGTCTTTCTGTCATCTATTTCAGCTGACTCTCTTTTTCATCTATTTTTAAATAATCTATTGAATCTATATGTTATTGAGCTATAGTTAGATGGGCAGCATGTGATAGAAGTAAAGAGCACAGTTGGGGCAAGATGGCAGAATAGAAGCTGATACCATTCGTCCCCATGGCTGGAGCACCAAATTTTAACATCTATCTGCACACAGAAAAACACTGTTGCAAGAACCAAAAATCAGGAACAATCTCAGCCACAGTGGGTAGAGCAACAGGTAGGCTCTTGGGATCCCCAAGTCCAGGTCAAGGCCCTTGAACAGCATTTATGGAAGCTGCCCTGGGCCAGAGGGGAGCCCACTGGACTGAAGGGTTTGTACAAGGCCTGGCAGGATTCACCAAAAGCAGATGGAAGAGCCTTGGGCTTTAAGCAAACATCAGAGGTGGTTTTGGAACAGGAAAGGTTCCCTTGTCTGCCTCGCAGGGCATGTGATGGGGGTGTGCCTCGCTTTTTCAGTGCCCTGTTGCTGAGCATACACAGACGGGCAGGCTGTGGGGCAGTGACCCCACTGCAGTGTCTAGGGGTGAATGTTGACAGCCCCTGAAGCCCCAGTGGGGGTGTGTCACAGGGTGCTCTCTTAGTTTGCTGTTTATAGGTAGCTTGTGTTAACCAAGTCAATTAGACCCTCTACCTTGTCACAAGGACAGAGGGCTTTATGTATCCCAGGTTCTTGGCTTGGTGTACTGGAAGAATTGGATCACACATGGGCTTCGAGAATGAGTGCAAAGTTTTATGAAGTGAAGTGGAAGTCGCTCTCCGACAATGGGGGAGCCTGAAGGGAGATGGTTTTCCCCTGGAGTTGGGCCCCTTGGTGGCTCTGGCTCTTCTCTGACTACCCTGGCCAAACTCCGCCTTGTACCGCTGGTTGTTGGGCTGCCGCTGTGCATCAGCGGTAAGTGTGCTCTTTCACCAGCGTGCTCCCTCTACGTCCTCGCCTCTAGCCACTTGTGTCTTCTTCCACTGATGTGCTCCTCTCCATGTCTGGGCGCCTCTGTGTTTGCCCACTAGGATCTCGGGGTTTTATAGGTCCATGGAGGTGAAGCCCTCGCAAGGGACTATCCCTTTCTCTACCCAGCAATTCCCTGAGCCCTCCCCTATCATTCCCCACTCTGAAGAGGTATATCTAACTGCCATTAGAATATGAACGATGACTGGTCTTAGCTGCTTCCTGCTGAGAAGGGTCGTTGTTCTGGGGAAAACAGCAGTCAGACTCCTCTCAGAGGTCCGTCTAAATGTTCTTAGCAAAGGGGTACCATCTCTGAAGCTCTGGTGGCCTGGCCATTTGGAGTTTGGTGGCTTCTAGGCCGTGAGAGAAAAAAAGTTTTATAAGGTTAAGATTGCATGAGTTAAACGTGTATTATACAAAAAAAAAAAAAAAAAAAAAAAAAAAAAAAAAGCCGGGCGCGGTGGCTCACGCCTGTAACCCCAGCACTTTGGGAGGCCGAGGCGAGGGGATCATGAGGTCAGGAGATCAAGACCATCGTGACTAACACGGTGAAACTCCGTCTCTACCAAAAATACAAAAAATTAGCCAGGCATGGTGGCGGGCGCCTGTAGTCCCAGCTACTCAGAGGCTGAGGCAGGAGAATGGTGTGAACCCGGGAGGCGGAGCTTGCAGTGAGCCGAGATCGCGCCACTGCACTCCAGCCCAGGTGACAGAGCCAGACTCCATATCGAAACAAAACAACAACAACAACAAAAAGAATTTAGTGCCAAAGATTACAGAGATAAGAAGTGAAATATACTAATGACAACATTGTACCCCAAGCTGTTTCACCCTGGTGAAAGAAATTAAACTTTGTATGGGAGCGGATAAACTGTAGAAGAGAGATAACTGTTCTTGCCATATCTTTAACAGTTAATAGCCCACTGGGAATACCTGTATTTCCTCTCTCTTTCCCAGTCCTCCCTGTCTCTATTATAAAAGTCCGAGGTAGCCACTTTCAAGAAGTCCTCTAATGTACTTTCTTGTCCCAGGGCCCATTTCTGCAACTTCCTCCTGATATCAGCAGAAGACTGAGTAATAAATTTATCCTTTAGGATTAGTGGTCCCTCGACTGAATCAGGAGATAGAGAGTTGTGCTTTACCAAGTCCTCTCAGCCTTTCAAGGAAGGCAGTGGGATTTTCATCAAATCCCTGGTCCATGATGGACAACTTAGTATAATTGAGAGGCTTGGCTTGGTCTTAGTCCTGTGTAAGCCCTCCATTATGAACAACTAAAAGTGTCTCCTTTTCCAGTCTTCCACTTCATCATTGGGACCCCATTTAGGGCCATGCATTGGTACTGCTTCTCTTCTGGTTGGATAATATTTGTCCCCATACCTGATGCTATATGTGATACAATCCTCAACCCCATATCTCTGTGCTGCTTGCAGAGCAGACTGTTTCTCATTGTCTGTCAGGGTCTGATTCAAAAGTAACATAATGTCTCTCAAGGAGAGTTCAAATATTTGGGAGAAATTCTGGAAAGTCTATATATCTATCAGGGTCATCTGAGAACTTGCCAAGGTCCCCCTTAATTTGTTTTAAGTCCTTTAGGGAGAAGGCGACCTGGACCTTACTGGGCCCAAATTCACTAGGCATCTGTTGGAGGGGGAAGAGCGAGACTGGGGCTTATTTGGAGTGAGGATTTCTAGGAGGGGGAAGTAAGAGGCTGAAGCTGGACAGGGAGGTCAGGGTTGACCCAGAGGATCAGGGCTGGAGGGAGCTATCTTCTCTGCTGAGGGTGTCTCTGGGACTCATATCTTTAATTCCTTGGACTTTCCCCTTGTAGCCTTCCCTGAGATGGCAAACAGAAGGGCTGGATCAATTCTACATTGTCGGCAAAGGTCTGGATTGCCTTGCAAGGTATAGAAAGACTGCACATATGGGGCCTCAGACCATCTGTCCTCTCATCTACAGAAAAGTTCCAACAGCCGGATGGTATCAAAATGAATGGTTCCTTCCTGGGGCCAACTCAGTCCCTCATGCAAATCATAATTTGGCCAAACCTTTGTGCAGAGGGCTATGAGGCATTTTTCCTCCAGATTCTGAGGGTCAAAGTAGTCCCAGTGATTCAGGATATGCTCCAAAAGAGTATACGCTGGGTGGGGAGGGGGGCGGGTAAAGATAACTGGTTGCCTATTCTGAAAGACAGGGAGTAGAGGTGTCCCTCATTCCCTTCCTTCTTTCAATGAAAACTCAGGGTGTGATGTAGAGAGAAAGCAGGCATCCTCCTTTCACTCTCCACCCCTTATCCCTGAGCCCTGGTGACCTTGGCAGGTGCTGGCCATGGGTACTGGTGCGGTATGTACCCATGCAGCAAGGAAAACCTGGAGAATAGTAATTAACCGCCCTCAGCTACATCTCCATTTCTCCCTATTGTTGGCAAACTTTGAGTTCTCTTGGCCAGTTTATGCCTTGCAGCATGGCCTCTTTCTGTGAGGTGGGAGGTTTAGTCAGCAGGAATTGGTTTTGGTTATTTACATTGGGCCTGTTGCCTGGCTTTGGATCCCTCAAACTTGGTTTTTCCTTTTAAGGCCTCTGTCTGAAGCTTGGAATCAAGTTTGGGACTTAAAAGGCCTTTTAGAGGCTGTTTGTATCTGTTTAGAGTGTTTCAAATGTGCCCTGTGGAATTTGCAGTTATCAGCCAGCAGGGGCCACTCCTCTGTTAACTTCCCTATCAGAAACAGAGTGGGCAGGGGGAGCCCTCTCACTTGGAAAAGGAAAAAAGAGAAAAACAGTTTAAGGGGAAAAGGGGAAGATTCTGGAGGAAGAATCCCTTGCTTAGTGCAACTGGGCCTTTCTAATCCTTATATCTTTTCCCCAGTTCAGACCAGACTGAATTCCTCAGCCTGGGAATGAAAACGTTCATTGGTGCACAGGCAAGAAGTGCCCATCCTTTGGCCCTGTGGGGTCGTGGATACAACTGCAACTTTCTGCTGCCCCCACTTATGGCTGTTGGGCTTGGCCTTTGCCTGCTCAGACACACCCAGGTGCCCGGGCTGGGAGGGGCACCTCTAGGAACAATTGGTCTGATTTGCACCTTTGGCAGCTGAGCCTAATGCTCATTTTACTTAGTAACATTGCCACAGCCTGTAGCAAAACTCTTAACATTATGAAGGAAGAGATAAGAGCCATTTTGAACTGTGTGTGAGAGAGAAAAGAGACAGTCTGGGGGTTTTTACTGGCAGGTTAAGACAGAGCTTTTGAAGGGAAACAGAAGCTCTTACCCGCAGGAAAGAGAAAGAGGTGGCAGGGTTTCAGAAGAGAGACAGACCCGACAGTTTCACATTTGTTCACATTCACCTTCCAGGATCCCTGATGAGCCCCCAGTTGAAATGGGTTAAGTTCCCTTGTCCCCCTTGCAGGGCATGCTATGGGGGTGTGACTTGCATCTTCAGTGCCCTGATGCTTAAACCTCTAGGGGAGCATAAAGACAGGCAGGCTGTGGGGCTCCAACTCCACAGCAGTGTCTAGGGGGAATGTTTACAGCTCCTGAAGCCCCAGTGGACATGTGCTACAGGGTGCTCTCTTAGTTTGCTGTCTATAGGCAGCTTGTGTTAACCAGCTCAATTAGACCCTCTACCTTGTCACAAGGACAAAGGGCTTTCTGTATCTCAGGTTCTTGCCTTGTTGTACCAGAAGGATCAGTTCACACGTGGGCTTGGAGAATGAGTGCAAAGTTTTATTGAGTGGCAGTAGCTCTCAGCAGATGGGGAGTCAGAAGGGATAGGGTTTTCTGCTGGCGTTGGGCAGCTCGGTGGCCCCAGCTCTCCTCTGAGTGCCCTGGCCAAATTCTGCCTCATCCTGCGGGTTGATGAACTGCTGGTGTGCCAACGTCTGTTGGTGTGCTTTTCTACCAGTGTGCTCCCTTGATGTCCTCTCGCTGTTCAGCCGCTTGTGTCTTCTTCCGCTGATGTGGTCCTCTCAACATCTGGCCAACTGTGTGTCTGCCCACTAGGGTCTTGGGTTTTTGTAGGCCCAAGACGATGTTCTGGTGGGCCAGGGTGGTCTTGGAAAATGCAACATTTGGGTGCAAAGGCAGGAGTACCTGTCCTCATCTAGATCTATAGGAGTGGAGCCCTAGCAAGAGACCACACCTTTCTCTACCCAGTACTTCCCTGCCCTACTCCTGTATCAGTTTGACAGAATACCCCATGGACCATTGGTGGTAGTGGCTACAGGGAAAAGCTTCTCTGCCTATGGAAAGAGGAGGGAAGATTGGTAGGGACTTTGTATTGTGGCACAAGTGCCATCTTAGTTAGCCTCAGTAGAATAGAACATCAGGTTAAATTGCTATTTATTTATTTATTTTATTTTTTTATTTCAAGCCGTGGATCCCAGATAGCATCTCTGGATATGTCCAGGGCCTGAGGGAACTCATTACCATGAGAGAAAGGGCCTTGGCCAAGTCTCAGTGCTGTGCAAGCTTCAAGTCTGGCCCAGTGCAGTCTCATTGGTGGTGGCCCAAGGGGTGCTTGCATCACCACACCCCCCCACTTTGAGGCGTGTCAGAATAGAGAGAGACACTCTACATTTGGGAGAAAGAAAGGGAAAAGAACAAAAGTTTCTGCCTGGTAATATAGAGAATTCTTCTGGATCTTATCCAAGACCACCAATGAGTCTGCAAAAATCACTGCATTATTAAGGTTGGGGCCCAAGTCCCTTTGAACACCTGGAAAGCCTTCCCAAGAAGGACAGGCACAAACAAACCCAAACTGTAAAGACTACAATAAATACCTAAGTCTTCAATGCTCAGATACTGACAAACATCTATAAGCATCAACATCCTCCAAGAAAACGTAATCTAACCAAATGAACTATATACAACACCAGGGATTAATCCTGGAGAAACAAATAATTCAAAACAGCTATGTTGTGTTAACTCAAAGAAATTCAAGATAACAGAGAAAGAATTCAGATAAATTTATCTACCAGATAAATTTAACAAAGAGAACGAAATAACTAAAAAATTGTAGAATTGAGAGATGCAACTGACATGCTGCAGAATGCTTAAGGGGCCCTTAATAGCAGAACATATCAAGCAGAAGAAAGAACTATTGAGCTTGAAGACAGCTTACTTGAAAACACACAAGCAGAGGAGTCAAAAGAAACAAGAATTAACAACAATGAAGCATACCTAGAAGATCTAGAATATAGACTCAAAGGGGAAATTCTAAGAGCTATTGGCCTTCCAGAGGAGGTAGAGAAAGAGAGAGGGGTAAAAACTTTATTCAAATGGATAAAATCAGAGAACTTCCCAAATGTAGAGAAAGATATCCACATTCAAGTACAAGGAGGTTATAGAGCACCAAGCAGTTATTAACCCAAAGAAGACTACCTCAAGACATGTAATAACTAAACTCCCAAAGGTCAAGGATAAAGAAAGAAACCTAAAAGAAGCAAGAGAAAAAAAGCAAATAGCATATAATGGAGCTCAATATGTCTGGCATCAGATTTTTCAGTGGGAACTTTACACACCAGAAGAGAGTGGCATGACATGTGTAAAGGGCTGGAATAAAATTACCCTTGAATAGCATATCCACTGAAAACATCTTTTAAGTATGAAGGAGAAATAAAGACTTTCCCAGACAAATGAAAGCTGAAAGATTTCATCCATACCACATCTGTCCAACAAGAAATGCTAAAAGGAGTTCTTCAATTTGAATGAGAAGGATGTTAATGAGATAAAAGCAATCATCTGAAGGTGCAAAACTCACTGATAATAGTAAGTACACAGAAAAACACAGAATACTGTAGTACTATAATTGTGATGTTATGCAATCAGTTTTAAGTTGTAATCTCTTTAAAATAATGGCTTATAAGATGGTATTGGAAAGTCTCATGATAACCTCAAATCAAGAAAGATACAATGAATACACAAAAAATAAGATGCAAGAAATTAAAGCATACCACCAATGAAAATCACCGTCACTAAAAGAAAGACAGGAAATAAAGAAAGAAGGGAAAAAAGACTGAAAAGCAACCAGAAAACAAATAAGAAAGTGACCAGAGTAAGTCCCTACTTATCCATAAAACTCTCCAAGACATAGTGTCTGAATGGATCAAAACAAAACCCAATGATTTGTTGTGTACAAGAAACACACATCTGGGCACAGTGGCTCACATCTGTAATCCCAGCACTTTGGAAGGCCCAGGTGGGTGGATCACGAGGTCAGGAGATCGAGACCATCCTGGCTAACATGGTGAAACCCCGTTTCTACTAAAAATACAAACAAAATAGCTGGGCATGGTGGCAGGCGCTTGTAATACCAGCTACTCTGGAGGCTGAGGCAGAAGAATGGCGTGAACCCAGGAGGCGGAGCTTGCAGTGAGTGGAGATCACATCACTGTACTCCAGCCTGGGCTACAGAATGAAAATCTGCCTCCAAAAAAAAAAAAAGAGAAGCACACATCACACATCACCTGTAATATACGTATAGACTGAAAATAAAGACATGAAAAAAGATATTCCATGCCAATGGAAACCAAAAAGAGCAAGGGTTGCTACACTTATATTAGACAAAATTGATTTCAAGGCAAAAACTCTAATAAAAGAAAAATAAGGTCATTATCTAATAATAAAAGGGTCAATTTAGCAAGAGGATTGTATTAGTCTGCTCTCGCACTGCTAATAAAGACATACCCAAGACTGGGTGATTTATAAAGGAAAGGGGTGTTTAATTGACTCATAGTTCAGCATGGCTGGTGAGGCCTTAGGAAACTTACAATCATGGTGGAAGGGAAAGCAAACATGGCCTTCTTCACATGGTGGCAGGAAGGAAAAGTGCCAAGCAAAAGGCGGAAGCCCCTTATAAAACCATCGTATCTTGTGATAACTCACTAACATGGGACACATCATGGGGGAACTGCCTCCATGATCTAATTACCTCCCATGAGGTCCCTCCCCCAACACATGGAGATTACAATTCGGATTACAATTTAAGGTGAGATTTGGGTGAGGACACAGCCAGACCATATAAAGGACATAACAATTGTAAATATATATACATTCAACACTGGAGCAATCAGATATATAAGCAAATATTATTAGAGCTAGAGAGAGGGGAACCCCAATAAAATAATAGCTGCAGATTTCAACACCCCACTTTCAGCATTGGACAGACCTCCCAGACAGAAAATAAACAAAGAAACATTGGACTTAATCTACACGATAGAACAAATGGACCAATTAACTATTTACAGAACATTTCATCCAATGGCTGCAGAATACACATTTTCTTCCTCAGTGCATGAATCATTCTCAAGCATAGACCATATGTTTGGTCACAAAACAAGTCCTAAAATATTGAAAAAAATTGAAATAATATCAAGTGTCTTCTCTGAATACACCACAATAAAACTAGAAATTAATAAAAGAGGGATTTTCAGAACTATACAAATATATAGAAATTAAACAATATGCTCCTAAATGACCAGTGAGTCAATGAAGAAATTAAGAAGGATACTGAAAAATGTTTTGAAAAAAATGACAATGGAAACACAACATACCAAAACCTATGAGATACAGCAAAAGCAGTATTCAGAGGGAAACTTACAGCTGTAACTGCCTACTTCAAAAAAGAAGAAAAACTTCACATAAACAACCTAACAATGCATCTTAAAGAATTAGAAAAGCAAGAGCAAACTGTATCCAAAATTAGTAGAAGAAAAGAAATAAAGATCAGAGAAGAAATAAGCAAAATTGAAATTAAAAAATACAAAAGATCAATGAAACAAAAAGTTTGTTTTTTGAAATGATAAACAAAATTGACAAACCTTTTAGCCAGACTAACAGAGAAAAAAGATGGAAGACCAAAATAAATAAAATCAGAGATTAAAAGAGACAAATAATACCACGGAAGTTAAAAGGATCATTAGTGTCTGCTATGAACAAATATATGCCAATAAATTGGAAAATCTAAAAGAAATGAGTAAATTCCTAGACACAAACAACCTATCAAGTTTGAATAATGATGAAATCCAAAATCTGAACAGACCAATAACAAGTAATGAGATTGACACTGTAATAAAAAGTCTCCCGGTAATGAAAAGCCCTGAACCCAATGGCTTCACTGCTCAATTTCTACTAAACATTTAAGAAAAACAATACCAATCCTACTCACATTTTGAAAAAATAGAGATGAGGGAATACTTCCAAACTCATTCTATTAAGGCCAGTATTACCCTGACACCAAAACCAGATGAAGACATACCAAAAAAAAAAAAAAAAGAAAACTCCAGGCCCATATCTCTGATGAATACTGATGCAAAGATCCTCAATAAAACAGTAGCCAACTGAATTTAACAATACATAAAAAAGATTATTTATTATATCCAAATGGGATTTAGCCCAGTGATGCAAGGATGGTACAACATATGCAAATCAAACAATATGATATATCATATCAACATAATGATGGACAAAAACCATATGATCATTTCAAGTGATTCAGAAAAAGTATATGGTGAAGTTCAATATCTCTTCATGATAGAAACTCTCAAAAAACTGGGTATAGAAGGAATATATTTAAACATAATAAAAGTCATATATGACAGAGACACAGATAATATAACACTGAATGGGGAAAAACTGAAGGCCTTTCCTCTAAGATTTGGAATATGACTAGGATCCCCCCCTTTCACTGCTGTTATTCGACATAGTACTAGTAGTCTTAGCTAGAGCAATCATACAAGAGAAGAAAATAAAGGACATCCAAAATGGAAAAGAAGAAGTTAAATTATCCTTGCCTGTAGGTGATATGATCTTTTATTTGAAAAAACCTAAAGACTCCACGAAAAAACTATTAGAACTAATAAACAAATTCTGTAAAGTTGTAGGATACAAAATCAATATACAAAAATCAGTAACATTTCTCTATGTCAAGAACAACCAATCTGAAAATGAAATCAAGAAAGTAATCGCATTTACAATAGCCACAGATAAAATTAATTTCCTAGGAATTAACCAAAGAAGAAAAAGACCTCTGCAATGAAAACTATGAAAGACTGATGAAAGAAATTGAAGAGGACACCAAAAAAAGGAAAGATATTTCATGTTGATTGATTGGAAAATCAATATTGTTAAAATGCCCACAGTATCAAAAGCAATCTACAGATTCAATGCAATCCTTATCAAAATATCAATGACATATTCTGCAGAAACAAAAGAAATAATTTTAAAATTTCTATGGAATTACAAAAGACCCAGAATAACCAAAGACATCCTGAAAAAAATGAACAAAACTAAAGGAATCACATTACCTGACTTTAAATTATACTATAGAGCTATAATCACCAAAACAGCATGGTACTGGCATTAAAAAGGACACATAGACCATTGGAACGGAATACAGAACCCAGAAACAAATCTGAACACCTACAGTGAACTCATTCTCATCAAAGATGCCAAGAAAATACGTTGAGGAAAGGATAGTCCCTTCAATAAATGGTGCTGAGAAAACTGGATTTCCATATACAGAAGAATGAAACTTGATCACTCTCTTTATCATATACAAAAATCAAATCAAAATTAATTTAAGACTTAAATTTAAGAACTCAAACTATAAAATTACTGCAAAAAAAAGTAGGAAATTCTCTAGGGCATTGGTCTGGGCAAAAAATTTCTTGAATAATACCCCACAAGCACAGGTAACCAGAGCAGAAATAGACAAATGGGATCAAATTAAGTTATAAAGCTTCTGCTCAGAAAACAAAACAGTTAACAAAGTGAAGAGACAACCCACAGGATGGGAGAAAATATTTGCAAACTATCCCTCTGACAAGAGATTAATAACCAGAATATATAAGAAGTTCAAACAAAAAACTCCATAGGAAAAAAATAATAATAATCCAATTTAAAGAGGGCAAAAATTTAAATATACATTTCTCAAAAGAAGATATACAAATTGCAAACAGACATATAAAAAAGTGCTTAACATTATTGATCACCAGAGAAATGCAAATCAAAACTACAGTGAGATGTCATCTTATCCCATGTAAAATGGCTTTTATTCAAAAGTTAGGCAATAACAAATGCTGGCGAGGAAGTGGAGAAAAGAGAACACTCCTACACTGTTGATGGGAATGTAAATTCATACAAGTACTATGGAGAACAGTTTGAAGGTTCCTCAGCACACTGAAAATAGAGCTATCATATGATCCAGCAATCACATGGCTGCGTACATACCCAAAAGAATGGAAATCGGTATATCTAGGAGATATCTGCACTCCCGTCTTTGTTGCAGCACTGCAATATCCAAGATTTGGAAGCAACCTAAGTGTCCATCAACAGATAAATGGATAAAGAAAATGTGGTACGTATACACTATGGAGTACTATTCAGCCCTAAAAAAATAAGATTCTGTCATCTGCAACAATATAAATAGAACTGCATATCTTTATGTTAAATTGAATAAGCCAGGCACAGAAAGACAAACAAATATTACATGTTCTTCCTTATTTGTGAGATATAAATATCAAAACAATTGAACTCATGAAGATAGACAATAGAAGTATGGTTACCAGAGGCTGAGAAGGGTAGTGTGGAGTATGGGGGAAGGTGGGAATGGTTAATGGATACAAAAACATAGTTAGAAAGAATGAATAAGACCTAGTATTTGATAGCATAATAGGGGGACTACAGTCAATAATAGTTTAATCTTACATTAAAAATAAAGAGTATAATTGTATTGCTTGTAACATAAAGAATAAATGCTTGCAGGAGTTGATACTCAATTTTCCATGTTGGGATTATTACACATTGCATGCCTGTATCAAAATATCTCCTATACCCAATAAACATATACACCTAGTATGTAACCACAAAACTTGAAACAAAAAAGGAAATAAAGATCAGATATCTTGGAGCCTAATTTCTTCTGGTTCAATTCCCAGGACTGCCATTTACTAGCTGTTTGAAATTTGGCAGTATCTCTGTGCCTTAGTTTTCTCATGGATAAGTGGGGTAACAATAATACATACATTACATAATAATTAAATGGGTTAACATGTACAAACCCCTTTGGATATGACATAAAACTATAAATGAATGATGTTAGCTACTTCTGTTTTTATGTATTCATTGTAAACTGTTTTTTGAATCTAATTTTAGAGATTTGGGCAGATTGTCAAAAACTATATATATACAGCCCTAACATTTTTTAGAAATGTGAATACCAGTCCTAATAATATTAAATTTATGTAAACCTTTGTGTAAAATTCTGAACCTTCTGTCATTAGCCCTTTACTCCTAAAAAAAACCTATAAGTTAGATACTATTATTTATATTTGACTAAGGAAACTGATAGTTCCATAATGTATATGAAATTTAAGCTTAGATCTGTTTATTAAAAATGCACTTAAGTATATTGATATATGCTTAATATAATTTATTTCTATGATAAAGAGTATGTTTAATCATATGTTAGGTATATCATAAGGATCATTGCTGCATTTCAAAACGTTTTCCCAAAATTATGTTTTAATGTTCACAACCCAATTTATATAGAGTTTCATTCATACTATAGATCAAGTTATGCATTATTTTCAAAATATAAATTTACAGAATACATGTTATATTACAAGTTTTATTAATATATGTTTATCTTTCATTAACATGAACTCCATGGTATTATCAACGTATCATCTGTTCAAAATTGTTTTAAAAATCAGCATATCTATGTGTTTATATCAATATCATCTATATCTATATATCTCTAGCTATCTAATCTCTCTATACTTTGATTTTGTAATTGTTTATAGTTGAGTATTAGTATGGTCTATAGGTAAATATTTTGATACATTAACTTCCTCTTGTTCATTGGTTATTGCAATTTTCCTTTAGTAATATGCTTACACAATACATGTAAACAACAGTATATATCTAGAGGTTTTTTTCCCCTGAAGTGTGTGCTAAAAATCACATGCAAATAAATAGCAAAAAAATGTCAGGTTCAAAAAGAACATTACCATGTTGAAGACATTGAGAACTGCTGCAAAAAAGAAATCATCTATCCCTTAATTTTCAACCATTTTTCATCTAAATACTATTTCAGAGTTTCACAAGAAATAGCTTATGGAATCCACAGAGAATTCTGGTTCAGATGTTTGTTACCAGGGATATATTGTTATCATAAATGGACTTTAATATTATTGATATGCTAAGTACCTGATCTGGTTAGAATCATGATTTTGAGTTTTAATAATATAATTTTAAGGTTGATTTTTACTCTTCACTATATGAAAATATAGTAAAATGTGAGGTATTTGAATCAAGTTTAAAAAATCATAGAAGGATTGCACTTTTCAGAATGTAAAATGTCAAATCATTAAAATACAGAAGTTGTGATAATGTAACAACATAAATTATTAATATTTTGTCTACTCAAAAAAACAGTTGCTGAGCTTAGAATTTATAAATAGGACATAAAAACATTTTAGGGTAAAATCAATGATTTCTTGAAGCTCAGTTTATAAATGATATTATGTATTAATGAGATCTCACAGCTATCAATTTTGGTAGACCTGCTATTTCACAGGTACTGATTTTATTTTATTTGAGAGATACTTTATAAATTCACCAGATACTGTTTATAGCAATGCTTTGAGGATATTAACTCTCCCTTGTTGAAGACTTTATAGTAACTTCAACTCAGGCAGTATCTTAGAAAGGAGAATGCATATTTTTCTTAAAATCAACCACCTTTTATGGTCATTTGACCCATAACTGGGGTGAAATCTCAGAATGCTTCAGGATTACAAGTATAAATATTCACCCAGGAGGATAAGGCTTAAACTCCAAAATAATTGCAAATATTATCATGTTTAGCTCCATAATGTTAAGTATCATCTAAAAGCATATTATCTCAAAATTGTTGTTTTCACTAGGAACTGTCTCTTCAGATCCAGCTATGTGCTCATCATCTTTACTTGTATTTTACTAAGTGTGCCAAATTTCTCAAACAGAACATGTCCAGAACCAAACTACTTATTTTCCCCACCAAACCTGTTCCTCCTGTAATCTTTCTCATCTCAGTATATGGAAACTCCCTTCTTCCAGTTGGCAAAGGGAGAAAAACACTTATATACATCCTTGGCTCCTTTTCTTTCATACCTAACCATTAAAGGGTATGGTTTAATGGTTTAATGGTTTAATAAAGGTATGCTAAAGGTAGCATACCCGGTCTACATTCTGTTCAAAATAAATCCACTATCACACCATTCAGCACTAACACTCCTACAGTTCTACTACTTTTCACTGGCATTTATTGTTTGAATTGTTATTTGAAAATTTCCATGTGGCTTAAAAAATCTTGATGTTGCACAAATAAAAGACCAAACATGTTTAAAAGCTATTTTGAATACTATCTTTGATGGGGTTATGTATATATATAACAGTGGTTATTAGTAGGATGTGAAAAACATGATCAGTGTGTTTTATAAATCATATAATCCTATATTGAGCAGGACTCTCAGAATCAGAATATTAGGGTTCAAAGCAACTGTATTCAGACTTCAGTGAAGTGCTAAATGAAGAGATATATTTAGCTTCACACAAAAAGCAGTATTTTGTAACATCACTAAGAGAGTATTCTCTGAGGACTGCAATCACCAGTGGTTGCAAGCCTGGAACTCCAGAGTTGAGTATAGAGTTGGACCAGCTTAAGTCTCTGCCCCACACAGATAAATTGAAGTGAAAGCATGGAGGCATAGAAGTGGCCAAAGTTATAACTTGGATTAGGGTACAATCTTCTACACCTATCCAAATGATTGTACTTTCCTTAAAATTTTCAACACAGGTTAAAATGAGTGTAAGAGAGATTGTCAAAATGTGGAAATTTGCTACTAGGATATTTAGAAACTATATATCATATGAGCTTTGAATTTGGTTAGGGCATAATGAGACAGAATTGATACCTAATGCTACCAAATTTTGAAGTAAATATATCAATCAGCTTTATCTAAAATAATATGGTGTCACAGACTGCCCCAAATTTATGTGGCACACAAAAATCCACCCAATTTCTTGCCTGAAGAAGACAAACTTTGAAATGCTGATTTATACACAAAAAGTTCCCCATGGCTTCAGGCTGATTCTCAGGTTTAAAATTGCACTGTGCTCAGTTTTGTCTATTTTCTTATCCTACTTCCTACATTCCCTTGCTGTTCCCTCCCAGAAGTACTTCCTTCATAAATCACTTATACCTAAATGCTTGACTCATAGTCTGCTTCTGGGAGAACAAGATCCAAGAAGCATCACCTTGATTCTTTTAGAGGTGATGGCCACACCACCTTTGATTTGATCTATGCTTCCAATTGCATTTATTGGACATGACCTTGACTTGTTTGGCCCCCAGTACTTGTATTAAATTGAATCTTTTATTGAAGTTAGAGAGCACTTTTATTTTCCAACCAAGTTCTAGATTTTTCTGAGCTTTCTATATTATCTTCCAATTTTTGTTTTCAAAACAAATTTTCTGTTTTCCTCTGAGTTTGTTCTTTTTAAAAAATTATTAAAAAATTATTCTTTCTCAAATGCAGCTAGTAGGAGCCAGCTGATGCGTTCAACAAGATCATTAGCCATATTTCATATTTCCCAGTTTATTATAGGTGATACTTTTAACAAATGTTTGACCATTACATAAGACATGTCTCTGCTTTTTTCAATATCCTTTAATAAGGTTTAATCTAAATTTTTGGTCTTTTATAACAGTTACTTTGTCCCCTACTAACCTTACACTCAATGCTACACATTTTAAATTTTTGCTGTGAAATTATCCCACTTCTGGATATTAATGTTGTCACTGACATCTGTATTCCTAATAATGCATTGTAAAAAAAACACTACAAAGCTCAGTAGCATGCAATAAGAGGCTTTTATTTCTCACTTACATCTCTGCGGTTTGGTTAGGATATAAATGTGAAAGTTAAGCTCAGCTTGGTTGGCTCTAGGCTGTGGGTTTCTGACTTAATCATTCTTCGGTGACCAATGGACTTTCTGGGGCATGATCCTTTCATGATAGTGGCACATGCACTGAACACAAGCTCAAATACATGTGCACATTTCAGTCCTCTGCCAAATCCTGTCTACTGTCATGCCATTGGCCAAGCAAGTCATATGACAATACCAAATATGTTACCTCTTGTAGGAGGAAATGCAAAATAAAATGACACAGGGCATAGAGAAAGAATGAGGTAAATAAATGGGAAAAATAATTTTGTCTAACATAGAAGACTACATTGCTAACATATCTTCAAGTAGAAATGATAGAAACTGGATGATAATTCAGTCCCTTGGACTCCAGAACTCTCTCAATAGAATTACTAAATTGATCCTGTTCCAGAAAGACATCTTGCCTATGTCTATGCCAGCTATGGATGGCCATGGAAGACAGTGAACAAGGGCTATTCTTCCAGACAGCAAAGGTGGAAGTTTCCAGATTGACTGACCAAATAATTCACTATACCACCAGGTCAAAGAGTCTCTGCATTTCTGTCCATTAATGTGTGCTGTGGTCAATGGGCTTTATGTATTCTGTTCATTCCTTCCTATTTCCCCAATGTGAGCTATTACTGACATGATTATTACCATGGAATAGTGTAAAAATTGTAAGAAGATGAATGTACATTTAACCAAATACCACTAGGCCATGAAGAGGCTCAGGAAGAAGTTTGACAAAGAAAACTGAGTATTTCTGAGCACTTTAGACATGAGCATATAGATATAGATGTTTAAAATTTTGAATTGTCTCCTTTTTGGGAGAAATAGCTTGGTTTTATAATAGCTCAGGTACTTCTAAGGGCTAGTATATCTTCCAGTGGATTCTGCATACCTTAGTAACTTCACAAGCTTTCATATGTTTATGAGGTCTGTAAGATGTCGACTTACAGAGTTGAGTATAGCTCTCTCAGTGACATCCATTCTATCCTAATACATTAGTTCCATGATCTGAGTAGAGTTAACACCACTGTCAATTTCAGGATTGGATCCTTATTGGTCTATATCAATTAGGTTAATTGCAACCCACTTTATCTCATTGCTAAATTCAGAATAGTTGTTTAATCTATGTGGTCTATGACCACATTTAGGAGTCTTGTTCAAAGGTTATGGGTAGAGGTACATTCTTTTCCTGGTAGCAGATGAGAAAACATTTACATCCAGATTGTTTCAGAAACCCCAGATGAAGAAAATGTTAATATGGGAAGAACACAAAGTCAACATCATCAGAGAGAATTGAACGTGGACCTCAGATCAAACTTTGTCTGAAACCTGACCTTTACCAGGTCTTTTTAGTTAGAAAAATCAGTATATACCTTTTATTGTTTAAGGTATTTTAAAAATTTATTTGTATTTCAAAACAACTCAAAACAGTACCCAGACAAATATGATTAAAAATAAATACTTATGTTTTATGAGTTATAAAAATAAAATTGTTTCTATTTGTGAAGTAGTCCAGTACATCAAGGCACTGTAGAAACAATACCAAGAGGAAGAAAAAATAATGTGCAGTGGATAGTCACATGAAATACAGAAAGAAAGTCCAACACTATGTTTTAAATTCATGGATAGGCTAAAATCTCAAGTGAAAAGCTGACTACATAATATGTTTATTTGTGTCCTGAGAGATGTAGCCTCTGAGCAATGTTAGTAAATTGTGATGAGATGTTGATATGGAAAGAAGAAGTGAATAGCAAATTCAGTCACACATCAGGTGACCAATAATTGTGAGGCATGGAGAAATATCAGAGAAGGTTTGTAGAGACCTTATATCTCCATTATACATGAGGCAGACTCTCTACTGAGTCATAAATCAGGGCCACTTGGCAGCTGGGAGGAGAGGCAGAGCAAGATGACAGAACAGAATACTCCACCAATAGTCCCCCACCTCTCTGCCACAAGAACACCAATTTACAACTATCTACACAGAACACACACACACACACACACACACACACACACATATCCCTTTATAAGAACCAAAAACCAGGTGAGGCCTAATAGTACCTGATTTATCTTTGTATTGCTCAAAACGGCTCTGAAGAGATATAAAAAACAGGCTTGAATCACTGACACCATCCCTTCTCCACCCCTGGCAGTGGCCACATGGTGCAGAAAGTGTCTCTGGACACTGAGAACACAGCAATTGTGAGGCAATGAATTCAGTGTATCCTGTTAGAGCAGAAAGGAACACTGGATCAAACTCAGCTGATGCCTGTCCATGGAGGGAGAATTTAAACCAGCCCCAGACAGAGGGGAATTTCCAATCCCAGTGATCTGAACTTGCTGCAAATCTCATCACTGTGGGCTACAGTGCTCTGTGTCCCTGAAGGAACTTTAAAGGCAGTCTAGGTCATAAGGACTCTAACTCTTAAATGAGTCCCAGTGCTGAACTAGGCTGAAAGACAGTGGACTGTAGGGGCAGGTGACATAATGAGACACCAACCAGGGCAGCTAAGAGAGTGCTGGCATCACCTCTCCCCTAACCTAAGGCTGTACAGCTCACAGCTCCAAAAAAGACCCCTTCCTCCCACTTGAGGAGAGGAGAAGGAAGAGTGGGGTGGACTCTTTCTTGCATCTTGGATCCCCGCTCAGCCACAGCAGAATACGGCAGTGGCAAAAGTTGTGATGCCCCCATTCCAGGCCCTAGCCCCCAGATGACATTCCTAGACACACCCTGGGCCAGAAGGGAATCCACTGCCTTAAAGAAAAAAACTCAGTCCTGGCAGCATTCATCACCTACTAACTGAAGAGTCTTGTGCGTATGAATAGCTAGCAGCTATATGCAAATACTATGCTGAGTGCCTTGGGTGAGCCTCTGAGACTCAGCACATTACCAGCTATGGTGGTCATGGGGCAAAAGTCCTTCTGCTTGAGAAAAGCCCAGGGTAAGGTAAAGGAGACTTTGTCTTGCACCTTAGGTACCAGCACAGCCACAGAGGGATTGAACACCAAGCAGGCTCCTAGGGTCCCTGATTCCAGGACTTGACTTTTGGTTAGCATTTCTGGAGCTGCTCTGGGCCAGAGGGGAGTTCACTGCTCTGAAGAGTGGGTCCCAAGCCAGGCAGCATTCACTACAAGCTGATTTAAGAGCCGTTGGGTCTTCAGGCCTCAAGGAAACATTGACAGTAGTCTGGTAGTACTCCTCATGACCTGTACTGGCAGTGGCTATGGAGTAAGGCTCCTCTGCCTTTGGAAAAAGGAGGGAAGGTTGTGAAGGATTGTTTCTTGTGGTTTGAGTGCCAGCTCAGATGCAGCACGATAGAACACCAGGTAGACTCCTGAGATTTTTGGCCCTAGTCACTAACTCCCATACAGAATTTCTGGACCCACCTGGAGCCTGGGGCACCTCACTGCCCTGAAGGCATTGACACAGCCCTGGCAGGCTTTGTCACTGGTTGATTGTAGAGCCCCAGGGCCCTGAGAAAACATAGGCAGTAACCAGGTAATGGTTACATCGGACCTCGGGTGAGAACTAGTGCTGTGCTACCTTTAGGTCTTACTCAGCTCAGTTATACTGGTGGTGCCCACAAATGTACTTGTGTCACTCCATCCCAGCTTTATGTGGCTCAGAACAAAGAGAGAGAGAGAGAGAGACTTTGCTTGGGAGAAAGTAAGGGAAGAGAATAAGAGTCTCTGCATGGTAATCCAGAGAATTCTCCTGGACTTTGTCCAAGACCGTAAAGGCAATACCTCTACAAAGGTGCAAAAACCACAGCATGATTGGGCTTGGGGTGTCCTCTAGAACAGACACAGATTAGATCACAACACCCAATTCCTTTCAAATACTGGAAAAGCATTCCCAAGAATGAGTACAAATAAGCTCAGACTGTGAAAGGTGAAAACTTCAATGCCCAGACAGCAAAGAACATATACTAGCATCAACACCATCCAGGAAAATATGACCTCATCAGTGAACTAAATAAGACACTAGAGACCAATTTGGGAAAATCAGAGATTTGTCATCTTTCAGATGGATAATTTAAAACAACTGTATTGAGGAAACTCAAAGAAATTCAAGATAATACAGAAAAGAAATTCAGAATTCTGTCAGATAAACTTATCAAAGAGATTGAAATACTTTTAAAAACTCAAAAAGAAATTCTGGGGCTGAAAAATACAATTGGCATATGAAACAATGCATCAGAGTCTTTTAATTACAGAGTTGATGAAGTAGAAGAAAGAATTAGTGAGCTTGAAGACAGGCTATTCAAAAATATGCAGTCAAAGAAGACAAAAGAAAGAATTAAAAAAAAGTAAGCATGCCAACAGGATCTAGAAAATAGTTTAAAAGGGGAAATCTAAGAGTTATTGGCCTTCAAGAGGGTAGAGAAAGACATGGGGTAGAAAGTTTATTCAAAGGGATAATATTAGAGGACTTCCCAAACCGAAAGAAAGATATGGATATCCAAATACAAGGTTATAGAACACCAAGAAGATTTAACCCAAAGAAGACTAACCTCAAGGAATTTAATAATTAAATTACCAAGGGTCAAGGATAAAGAAAGGGTCCTAAAAGTACTATGAGACAAGATAAAAATAATATTCGATGGAGCTCTAATACATCTGGCAGCAGATGTATCATCAGAAACCTTACCTGCCAGGAGAGAGTGACATGACATATTTAAAGTGCTGAAAGAAAAATATCTTTTACCCTAAAATAATATATCTGGTGAAAATATCCTTCAAACATGAAGAAAAAGTAAAGACACTCCCAGACTAACAAAAGCTGAGGGGTTTTTTCAACACCAGACGTATCCTACAAGAAATGCTAAAGGGAGTGCTTCAATCAGAAAGCAAAGGATGTTCATGAGCCATATGTAATCACCTGAAGGTACAAAATGCACTGTCAATAGTAGGTACACTGAAAAGCACAGAATATTAGAACACTCTAAATGTGGTGTGTAAACTACTCTTATCCTAAATAGAAAGACTAAACAATAAACCAATCAAAAATAATAACTTCAACAACTTTTCAAGACATAGTAACTACAATAAAATTAAATAAAAGAACAAAAAGATTAAAAGCAGGGGGATGAAGTTAAGGTATAAAATTTTTATTTGCTTTGTTTTTGCTTGTTTATGGTTTGTTTGTTTATGCAAGCAGTGTTAAGCTGTAACCAGGTTAAATTAATGAGTTATAAGGTAATATTTGCAAGCCTTATGGTAGCCTCAAACCAAAATCATGGAGACACAAAAAATAAAAAGCAAGAAACTAGATCATAGCACCAGAGAAAATCACCTTCACTAGAAGAAGACAGGAAGGAAAGACAAAAGGAAGAGAAGACCACAAAACAACCAGAAAACAAGTAACAAAATGGCAGGAATAAATCCTTACCTATCAATACTAATATTAAATGTTAATGGAGTAACTCTTCAGTCAAAAGACACAGACTTGATGAATAGATGAAGAAAACCACTGACCTGTTGCATACAAGAAACATTTCACATATAAAAACATATATAGACTGAAAATAAAGGGATGAAAAAAGGTATTTCAAGCCAGTGGAAACCAAAAAAGAGCAGGAGTCACTATACTTACATCAGACAAAATAGATTTCAAAGCAAAAGCTATAAGAGACAAAGAAGGTCACTATAGAATGATAAAAGGGTTGATTTAGCAAGATAATTTAACAATTTTAAATATATATGCACCCAACACTAGAACACCTAGATATATAAATCAAATATAATTAGAGCTAAAGAGAGAGATAAGACCCAATACAATAATAGCTCTAGATTTCAAATTCCACATACAGTATTGGACAGATATCCCAGACAGAAAATCAACAAAAACATCAGACTTAATCTGCACTATAGACTGACTGGGTCTAACATTTATTTACAGAACTTTTCATCCAAGAGCTACAGAATACACACTCTTCTTCAGCACATGGAGAATTCTCAAGGATAGACCATATGTTAGTTCACAAAGCAAGTTTTAAAACATTTTTTAAAAACTTGAAATAATATCAAGTATCTTCTCCAACCACAATGGAATAAAACTAGTTAATATCATGAGTAATTTTGGAAGCTATACTAATACATGGAAATAAAACAATATGCTCCGGAATGACCAGTGGGTCAATGAAGAAATTAAGATGGAAATTGAAAAATTTATTGAAATAAATAATAATGGAAAACAAAATATTAAAACCTATGGGATATGGCAAAGCAGTACTAAGGGAAGTTTATAGCTATAAATGCCTACTTCAAAAAAGAGAAAAACCTTTAAATGAACAATCTAATGATGCATCTTAGGGAACTAGAAAAGCAAGGCAAGTCAAACTCAAAATTAGTAGAACAAAGAAATAATAAAGATTAGAGCAGAAATAAATTAAATTTAAATGAAAAAATACAAAAGATCAATGAAACAAATATTTGGTTTTTTGAAAAGTTAAACAAAATTGACAAAACTTTAGCCACACTAACAAAAAAGAGAGAAGATCCAAATAAAAATAAACCAGAAAAAATGAAATCAGAAAAAAGAAGGCATGACAACTGATACTGCAGAAATTAAAAGGATCATTTGTGGCTATTATAAGCTACTATTTCCAATAAATTAGAAAATCTAGAAGAAATGGACAAATTCCTGGATACATACAACCTACCAAGATTGAACCACAAAGAAATCTAATCCTGAACAGACCATGAACAAGTAATAAGATCAAAGTCATACCTGATGGATTCACTGATGAATTCTACCAAATATTTAAAGAGGAATTAATACCAATCCTCCTCAAACTATTCTGAAAAATTGAGGCAGGAATACTTCCAACCTATTCTACAAGGATAGTATTACCCTGATACCAAAACCAGACAAAGACATAGCAACAGAAGAAAACTACAGGCCACGCTGGGCACCAAACCCAGACAAAGACACATCAGTGAAAGAAAACTACAGGCTAGGTTGGGTGCAGTGGCTCATGCCTGTAATCCCAGCACTTTAGAAGGTTGAGATGGGGGGATCACTTGAAGCCAGGCTTTCGAGAGCAGCCTGGCCAACACAGCAAAAACTCATCTCTACTAAAAATACAAAAAATATTAGCCAGGCATGGTGGCAGGTGCCTGTAATCCCACCTACTTGGGAGACTGAGGCAGGAGAGTCACTTGAACCCAGGAGGCTGGGGTTGCAATGAGCAGAGCTCTCACTGCTGCACTTCAGCCTGGACAACAGAGCAAGACTCTGTCTCAAAACATAGCAAAACAAAAATCTACAGGCCAATATCTCTGATGAATATTGATGCAAAAATCCTTAACAAAATACTATCAAACCAAATACAACAATACATTAGGAAGATCATTCATCATGACCTAATGGTATTTATCCCTGGGATGCAAGGATGGCTCAACATATGTAAATAAATGTGATACATAATATCAACAAAATGAAGAATAGAAATCATATGATAATTTCAATTGATGCTGAAAAAGCATTTGATGTAATTTGACTTTCCTTCATGATAAAAACCCTAAAAAAAATTGGAGATAGAAGGAACATACCTCAACATAATAAAAACCTTATGCAACAGACTCACAACTAGTATCATACTGAATGGGGAAAAACTGAAAGCCTTTCCTCTAAGATCTGGAACACAACAAAGATGCCCTCTCTCACCACTGTTATTCAACATAGTACTGGAAGTCTCAGCTAGAACAATTAGACAAGAGAAAGATATACAGAATATCCAAATTGGAATGGAAGAAGTCAAATTATCCTTGTTTGTAGATATGATCTTATGTTTGGAAAAAAAGACCCCACAAGAAAATTATTAAAGCTAATAAATAAATTCAGTAAAGTTGTAGGATACAAAATCAACACACAAAAATCAGTGGCATTTCCATATGCCATCAATGAACAATCTGAACAAGAAATAAAAAGGTAATCCCATTTACAATAACCATACATAAAATTAAATACCTAGGAATTAACTTAATCAAAGAAATTGAAAGATCTCTATAATGAAAATTATAAAACATTGATGAAAGAAATTGAGGACAGTAAAAAAATGGAAAAATATTCCATGTTCATGGATTGAAAGAATCAATATTAGGAAAATGCTCACACTACACAAAGCAATCTACAGATTCAATGTAATCCTTTTTAAAATATCAATGATATTCTTTATATAAATAGAAAAAATCTTTAAATTTATGTGGAATTGCAAAAGATTCAGAATAACCAAAGCTATCCTAAGCAAAATGAACAACAACAACAACAATAAAAAACTGGAGGAATCACATTATGTGACTTCAAATTATACTACAGATCTATAGTAACCAAAACAGCATGGTACTGGAATTTAAACAAACACATAAACCAATAGAACAGGCTAGGGAACCTAGAAACAAATCCATACACCTATAGTGAACTCATTTTCTACAATGATGTCAAGAACATACACTGGGTGAAGGATGGTCTCTTCAATAAGTGGTGCTGGAAAAAATGGATATCCATGTGCAGAATGATGAAATTAGACCCCATGTCTCATCATATACAAAAATCAAATCAAAATGAATTAAGGACATCAAACTATGAAACTACTACAGAAAAACTTTTGGGAAAATCTACAGGATATTGGTCTTGGCAAAAATTTCTTAAACGATGTACCAAAAACATAGGCAACCAAAGCAAAATGGACAAATGGGATCACATCAAGTCATAATACTTCTGCACAGCAAATAATACAATCAACAAATTGAAGAGGCAACCCATAGAATGGGACAAAATATTTGCAAACTACCCATCTGACAAGGGATTAGTAACCAGAGTATATGAGGAACTGAAATAACTCCCTAGGAAAAAAATCTAATAATCCCATCAAAAAATAGGCAAAATATTTTAATAATTTTTAAGAGAAGACATACAAATTACAAACGGGCATATAAAAAGGTGTTCAATGTCATTGATCGCCAGAGAAATCCAAATCAAAACTATAATGAAATATCATCTCATCCCAGTGAAAATGGCTTGTATCCAAAAGGCAGGCAATAAAAATGCTGGTGAGGATGTGGATGTGTTCACTGTTTTTGGGAACATAAATTAGTAAAACCAATATGGAGAAGAGTTTGGAGGTTCCTCAGAAAACTAAAAATCGAGCTACCATGTGATTTAGCAATCTCACTGCTGGGTATATACCCAAAAGAAAGGAAATCAGTATATCGAAGAGATATCTGCACTCTTATGTTTGTTGCAGCACTGTTTTCAACAACTAAGATTTGGAAGCAACCTCAGTGTCCATCAACAGATGAACGGATAAAGAAAATGTGGTACATATACACAATAGACTACTATTCAGCAATAAAATGTGTAAGACTCTGTTATTTGCAACAACATGGATGGAACTGGAGATCATTATGTTAAGTGAAATAAGCCAGGCACAGAAAGACAAACATCTGTTCTCACTTATTTGTGAGATCTAAAAATCAAAAGAACTGTACTCATGAACATGGAGAGTAGAAGTTATGCTTACCAGAGCCTGGGAAGGACAGTAGGTGGGGAGGCCTACAGTGGTGGTGGGGATGGCTAATGGGTACACAAACATATTGGTAGTTAGAAAGAATGAATAAGATCTGCTATTTGATAGCACAATAGGGTGACTATAGTCAATCATAACTTAATTGTACATTTTAAAATAACTTAAAGATAAATTGGATTGTTTATAACTCAAAGCATAAATGCTTGAGTGGATGGATACCCCATTCTCCATGATGTGCTTATTTCACATTGTATACCTATATCACAACATCTCAGGTACCCCATAAATATATACTCCCACTATGTACCCACAAAAATTTTTGGAGAAAGTTAACAAAATGTCAGCTGGTTACAGACATACATTGTTAAGTATAATTTATTATTAGAAAAAATTAATAATTGGAAATAAATTAGTTTTTCCCGTTGTCTAATCGCTATATGGCAACTAGTACATAATTTTTATGATATAATTTGATGTGTTACTAGTTATTCAGTCATTGAAGCAACATAGTATTTTTCATTAATATTTAGTAGATTGAGTTCAAGTCTGAGCAGAGTGAACCCTTGAAATGTATTGCAGGTATTATACATTCCTTATCATACACTTCTGCTTCCAACTTTTTAACTGATGATAAATTTGTGTAACTCGCAAATCATTAACATAGAATTTGAATGTAGTACAGGTGAGCATCTCTAAATCAGAAAATCTGAAATTCAGCCTCTTCAAGTCTGAAACTTTTTGAACATTGATATGACGTCACAAGTGGAAAAATTCATACCTGACCTTACGTGACTGTCACTGTCAAAATGCAGTCAAAAGTTTGTTTCAGGAACAAAATTATTTAAAATATCATATAAAATTATCTTCAGGTGATGTATTATATCTAAAGTATATATGATAAATAAAAGGGTTTTGTTTTTGGACTTGGATTTCATCCCCAAGATATCACATTATGGACTATATATGCAAATATTTCAAAATCTGAAAAAAATCCAAAATCTAGAATCTGATCTCAAATATTTTATATAAGAAATACTCAACCTGTGCTTATAGTTAGCATAATTGCCAAAGGCAAATGAGGTAATTAATTATGGGGCTTATTTATTTTAGCATTTTATGTATTTTCTTAGGTTTTTTTTAATTAAAAATATTTTTCCAGTTGCAAGATTTACATAAAGGGAAACAAAATAATTTAAATGTGTCAACTCTAATCACAGATCTTTTCAAGTTAATTAATTTTATGTTATAAGAAGCTGTTGCTATAGTTTGGTGTAAGTCATCTTACCTTTGCTGTAACATGATTGAAAATATAATTTTTTAATCCTGACACAACCTATGCCTGTATATTATTGCAGGGACCAATCAGTTCTTTGTTACTTAATCACAAGTGCTAAATATGATGTTAGATTGCTTTCTTAATAGCCATGCTGTTGTATCTAAATAGGATCCTTGTAAAAATTTCTGCTTCTGCTTTAAAAACAAGCTTTATTGGACTCCCGACATGACAATTAATTAATAAGAAGAATAATAACTATAACTTGGTGTCCTAGATTCAAAATCACAGGCCAAAAATGTCAGGCATGTAAAATAGTGACTTAGTGTTTTTAGGAAAACTACCTAATTTTAGTCAGTTCTGGGTAAACCTAGTCATTTCAGATTTATATTGTGTCACCTTAGTGTATTTTCCTTTAGTTCCTACACCCAGATAGGTTTTTAAGGTCTGTTGGTCTAAGATAGCTTTATGGCATTATGCTGGCAAGAAGTTTAATTATTAGCCATTCATACAACTCCAGTTAGCATGCATTGAGATACTTCTGTTCACTATCAGCCTCTGGGTATATGGCCCAGATGGACTTGGTTGTTTCCCTTGCCATAATTGTGAGATGCCTCTAGGCTATAAGCACTTTCTTCCTTTTAAATTACTTCCTATACTTTCCTCCAAAAATTGGGGAAGTTTGATTGTTCTCTAAAACTACTCTGTGCTCCCAGGGTATTCAGTGGGACAACCCCTCCTCCTCCTGTCCTCAGCGTTTCAAACAGCTTTTCCAGGAGGCACTTTGCTTTACTGCTTCCTGTGATAATAACACTGGGACCACAGTGAAACTGCTGCTTCCCAAACGTCCAGAGGTGAAGCAGGCACTCATTCCCTTTAATCTCAGGTTTCTAAAGACTTTGATTGACCACTGACACTTTCCTTGCCCTCTAAATTCTTTGCCTCCTCAATCTCAATGTAAGAAACAGTCTCTCAGGTGAGATACACTGGTACAGTAAGCATTCTTCCAAACCTGTCTGTCTGATATCAGGTTGTGATTTTATTAGTTCACTTTGTAGTCCAATAATGTGATGTCTTTGCTTGGTCAACTACACCAAGTTTTCCTTAGGACAATATTTACCACAGCATGAATGGTGAATGGGGAATTGTTAGGAATAAAGCAATAAGTGCTTCTAAAAAGATCTGGTGCCTAGTGATTCCTGTGTGCAAGGCACTGTGCTACTGCATTTGTTCCCTTACTTACTCTTCACAACCACACTATGTACACTTAGTGTGCACAGTAATTAGTTTTGTAGATTTCTGCTTCCTCTATCAAACTTTTAACCTTACAAACATAGGAAGGTTTAATTTATTTACCTTTGGACCTCAGAATCTTACACCCAGGTCTGGCAATTTGAAGATGCAAAATACATGTTAAATGAGCAAAAAACTACCAAAGTTAGCTCTCAAGACTAAAAATTGGATGTTAATATCAACAGAGCTTATGAGCATTTGTTTAAGAACAATGACTAGGACAGATTTTTTTTTCATATAAGGTAAAAAGGAAAAGGTTTATTTTTTAATTGGAAAAAGAGGGAAAAACAGATAACCTGCTATTAGTTTATGCTGCATTAATTTACAACTCTCTCTGAGTTTCAGTTTGATGTTAAAACATTTACATATTAGGATTATATGTGTGTACTGTTTCCCTCACTAGATGAAAATGTATTAAATCTTTAACTAAACTCCATTAAAAACACTATTAGACACTTGAGAATACACAAATATCAATTGGGCATATGTCTTGTCCTTTCCATTGTAGTGTCTTCTGATTTATTCAAAGCAGAATTTTAATTCAGTTACAAGTAGATGCTATAACTACATTATTCTAATGAGGTTAATAAGAAATGGATTTCAGCAGAATACTGAAAATACTAAAAGTGATGTCTGCTAGTGACTTTTGAGAGTATGTTATCTAGCATGATCTGAAACACCCAGTAGGACTTGTTGAGAAATTCCTCTGAATGTAATGACAAAACTGTTACTAAATGCCAGCACTCCTGGCTTTTTCCAGGACCTACTCTTCTATACCAGAAGCTTTCAAACTTTTTTTCTCTTTCTAGGGAGAAGATCACATTTAAAAACAGGTAAAATTATACTGGTTTGGGTTGAAAAGGAAAAGAGAGGGCTGTTTTCAGATTGAGGAGGCTCAAAATGTCCTATGACACCCACTGAATCACTTCTGAAAGGCCACATTTTGAAAACTCCTCTTGACTAAAGCCATTCCTTATGAAGGAGAATGAAATGGCAAGTTTGTGGAATTCACTGGGACAAATAGATAACATATGCTACTTTAACTGTTATTTCCCATAATTTCAGTCATGAAATATATTCTGGAGCCTCTCAATGGTAGGAGGAAATGAATGAAGTAAAGAAAATAACATTCTTTTAATTTCTGTTAATGATATAACCAGGAGTGGAGTTCATTACCAGCTAATTGGCAATTTTTGAGAAAAAATTGTTTTTGCAAATTTTGATATTTCCTCTACTGATTGCTTTAACCATGATGAGGGACAGGACTAGCTGGATTTCCTAGGCCGACTAAGAATCCCAAAGCCTAGCTGGGGAGGTGACCGCATCCACCTTTAAACACGGGGCTTGCAACTTAGCTCACACCTGACCAATCAGGGAGTAAAGAGAGCTCACTAAAATGCTAATTAGGCAAAAACAGGAGGTAAAGAAATAGCCAATCATCTATTGCCTGAGAACACAGTGGGATAATGATGGGGATATAAAACCAGACATTCGAGCCAGCAACAGCTACCCTCTTTGGGTCCCCTCCCTTTGTATGGGAGCTCTGTTTTCACTCTATTAAATCTTGCAACTGCACTCTCTTCTGGTCTGTGCTTGTTATGGTTTGAGCTGAGCTTTCGATTGCTGTCTACCACTGCTGTTTGCCACCATTGCAGACCCGCTGCTGACTTACATCCCTCCGGATCTGGCAGGGTGTCCGCTGTGCTCCTGATCCAGTGAGGTGCCCATTGCCACTCCCTGTCGGGCTAAAGGCTTGCCATTGTTCCTGCATGGCTAAGTGCCCGGGTTTGTCCTAATCGAGCTGAACACTAGTCACTGGGTTCCTCGGTTCTCTTCTGTGACCCACAGCTTCTAATAGAGGTATAACACTCACTGCATGGCCAAGATTCCATTCCTTGGAATCCATGAGGCCAAGAACCCCAGGTCAGAGAACACTAGGCTTGCCGCCATCTTGGAAGCAGCCCGCCACCATCTTGGGACCTCTGGGAGCAAGGACGCCCCCCCTCCCCCGCTGCTGGTAACATTTTGGCAACCACGAAGCAACCTCCAAAGCAGTGAGTAATGTTGGACCACTTTTGCTTGCTATTCTGTCCTAACCTTCCTTGGAATTGGAGGAAAATACTGGGCTCCTGTTGGCCCATTATAAACAATTAGAGTGGCTGCCAGACTTAAGACTCAGGTGTGTGGCTATCTGTGGAAGGGCTTTCTAACAACTCCCAACCCTTCTGGGTTGGGGATGTTGGTCTGCCTGAAGCCAGCTTCCACTTTCAATTTTCTTGGGGAAGCCGAGGGCTGACTAGAGGCAGAGAGCTGTCGTCCTGAACTCCCGGCATTAGCCAGTTGAGATCATGGAGCAGCCAGAAGTCTCTACTCAACAGTCGCCCATGCGTGCACCCCTACCTTTCCTTCTGACCCATACCTCCTGGGTTCCGACCACGACTTTCTTGAAAGTGTAGCCCCAAAATTCTCCTTACCTCTGAATCTGCTTCTGTGATCCCTGCCTCCTAGGTACTAATGGTTCAGACTTTCATTTCCTCCAGCAAGTTGTATCTCCAAAGGGATCTAAGGAAGCTCTATGCTGAATCCTTAGGCATCTAGGCTCTAAACCCAGAGAGTCTTATCCCTGGTGTCCCTCCTGATTTAGGTATACAGCTCTCGACATGGGCAGTTATGTGGGACCCGTTCCCCACCACCCTTGCCAGGGCCCCAAGTTTGTAATGGCTAAGAGAAAGAGAGAGAGAGACAGAGGAGAGAAAGAGAGAGGGAGGAGAGAGATGGAGGACAGAGACAGAGAGACAGAGGAGAGAGAGAGAGAGATGGAGGAGAGAGATAGAGAGATGGAGGAGAGAGAGAGATGGGAGAGAGATGGAAGAGAGATAGAGAGATGGAGGAGAGAGAGAGATGGAGGAGAGAGAGAGATGGAGGTGACAGAGAGAGGTAGAAGAGAGAGAGAGATGGAGGAGACAGAGAGAGAGAGATGGAGGAGAGAGAGAGATGGAGGAGAGAGAGAGATGGAGGAGAGAGAGAGAATGGAGGAGAGAGAGAGATGGAGGAGAGAGAGATGGAGGTGACAGAGAGAGATAGAAGAGAGAGAAAGATGGAGGAGACAGAGAGAGAGAGATGGAGGAGAGAGAGACGGAGGAGAGAGAGAGATGGAGGAGAGAGAGAGAATGGAGGAGAGAGAGATGGAGGAGAGAGAGAATGGAGGAGAGAGAGAGATGGAGGAGAGAGAGATGGAGGTGACAGAGAGAGGTAGAAGAGAGAGAGAGATGGAGGAGACAGAGAGAGAGATGGAGGAGAGAGAGAGATGGAGGAGAGAGAGAATGGAGGAGAGAGAGAGATGGAGGAGAGAGATGGAGGACAGAGAGATGGAGGAGAGAGAGATGGAGGAGAGAGAGAGAGATGGAGGAGAGAGAGAGAATGGAAGAGAGAGAGAGATGGAGGAGAGAGAGAGGTGGAGGAGAGAGATGGAGGACAGAGAGATGGAGGAGAGAGAGAGATGAAGGAGAGAGAGAGAGATGGAGGGGAGAGAGAGAGATGGAGGGGAGAGAGAGAGAGATGGAGGAGAGAGAGAGAGACAAAGAGGGAGTCAAAGAGAAAAAGAATGAGAAAGAAATAGAAAAAAACAAAACAAAACAAAAGAGTGTGCCCTATTCCTTTAAAAGCCAGGGTAAATTTAAAACCTGTAATTGATAATAGAAGATCTTCTGCATGACCCTATAACACTCCAATACTACCTTGTTGTCAGTGTAAACAAGGGCGTAGCCTGAAAATACTGAGACCACTGACAACCTGTAGCCTTCCTATCAAAAATCCTTAACCCAGTAACCCAGGGATGTCCCAAATGCATTCAATCTGTAGCAGCAACTGCTTTGGTAAAAGAAGAAAGTAGAAAAGTAACTTTTAGAGGAAACCTCATTGTGAGCACACCTCACCAGTTCAGAATTATTCTAAGTCAAAAAAGCAAAAAGGTAGCTTACAAACTCAAAAATCTTAAAGTATGGGGCTATTCTGTTAGAAAAAGGTAATTTAATGCTAACCACTGATAATTCTCTTAACCCAGCAGATTTCCTTACAGGGAACTTAAATCTTAATTACCATACAAAGCCCCAACCAGACCTAGGAGGAACTCCCTTCAGGACAGGAGATAGATGGTTCCTCCTAGGTGACTGAGGAAAAAACCACAATGGGTATTCAGTAATTGATAGGGAGACTCTTGCGGAAGCAGAGTTAGAAAAATTGCCTAATTGGTCTCCTCAAAGGAGCGAGCTGTTTGCACTCAGCCAAGCCTAAAATACTTACAGAATCAAAAAAGACTATCTCAATCCTGACTCAAAAGGTTACCTACAGCCTCTCTGAAATGAATTTGCATGAGAACTGTTGTTTATGGGAATGCATCTTGATGGGGCAGCTGGGGTTGTTATGAAATACTCAGGAACCCAGCCCAGCTCTAGGACTCACCCCTGAGCACAAAGGCAATATTGGGCATGCTGGTAAAGGACCACTAGAATCCAGCAGCCCAGACCCCTTTCTTTGTGGTAAAGAAAGGCGGGAAAAGGGGTGCAGGACTGCTACATTGGTGAGCATGACTAATCCGATAAGCAGAGGTCCATGGGTGTTTACACACCCTGGAAAGGAATAAGCATTAGGGCCATAGAGGACGCTGTATGACTAATGCTCATCGGAAAATGACTAGGGGTGCTGGCATCCCTATGTTCTTTTTTCAGATGAGAAATGTTCCCCCCAAGGCAAAAGTGCCCCTAAGATGTATTCTGGAGAATTGGGACCAATTTGACCCTCAGACGCTAAGAAAAAAATGACTAATATACTTCTGCAGTACCGCCTGGCCATGATATTCTCTTCGAGGGGGAGAAACCTGGCCTCCTGAGGGAAGTATAAATTATAACACCATCTTACAGCTAGACCTCTTTTGTAAAAGAAGGCAAATGGAGTGAAGTGCCATATGTACAAACTTTCTTTTCATTAAGAGACAACTCTCAATTATGTAAAAGTTGTGATTTATGCCCTACAGGAAGCCCTCAGAGTATACCTCCCTACCCTGGTGTCTCCCCAATCCTTACCCCACTAATAAGGACCCCCCTTCAACCCAAACGGTCCAAAAGGAGATAGACAAAGGCATAAACAGTGAAACAAAGAATGCCAATTTTCCCCGATTATGCCCCCTCCAAGCAATGGGAGGAGGAGAATTTGGCCCAGCCAGAGTACATGCACCTTTTTCTCTCTCAGACTTAAAGCAAATTAAAATAGACCTAGGTAAATTCTTAGATAACCCTGATGGCTATATTGATATTTTACAAGGGTTAGGATAATCCTTTGATCTGACATGGAGAGATATAATGTTACTGGTAAATCAGACACTAACACCAAATAAGTGCCGCCATAACTGCAGCCCAAGAGTTTGGTGATCTCTGGTATCTCAGTCAGGTCAATGGTAGGATGACAACAGAGGAAAGAATGATTCCTCAAAGGCCAGCAGGCAGTTCCCAGTGTAGACCCTCACTGGGACACAGAATCAGAACATGGAGATAGGTGCTGCAGACATTTGCTAACTTGCATGCTAGAAGGACTAAGGAAAACTAGGAAGAAGCCTATGAATTATTCAGTGATGTCCAGTATAACACAGGGAAAGGAAGAAAATCTTACTGCCTTTCTGGAGAGACTAAGGGAGGCATTGAGGAAACATACCTCCCTGTCACCTGACTCTACTGAAGGCCAACTAATCTTAAAGGATAAGTTTATCACTCAGTCAGCTGCAGACATTAGAAAAAAACTTCAAAAGTCCACCTTAGTCCTGGAGCAAAACTTAGAAACCCTATTGAATTTGGCAACCTTGGTTTTTTATAATAGAGATCAAGAGGAGCAGGTGGAATGAGACAAACAGGATAAAAAAAAAAGCCACTGCTTTAATCATGGCCCTCAGGGAAGCGGACTTTGGAGGCTCTGGAAAAGGGAAAAGCTGGGCAAGTTGAATGCCTAATAGGGCTTGCTTCCAGTGTGGTCTACAAGGACACTTTAAAAAAGATTGTCCAAGTGGAAATAAGTTGCCCCCTCATCCATGCCCCTTATGTCAAGGGAATCACTGGAAGACCCATTTACCTAGGGGATGAAGGTCCCCTGAGTCAGAAGCCACTAATCAGATGATCCAGCAGCAGGACTGAGGGTGCCTGGGGCAAGCACCAGCCCATGCCAACACCCTCACAGATCCTCATGTATGCTTGACCATTGAGGGCCAGGAGGTTAATTGTCTCCGGGACACTGGTGCAGCCTTCTCAGTCTTACTCTCCTGTCCTGGACAACTGTCCTCCAGATCTGTCACTATCTGAGGGGTCCTAGGACAGCCAGTCACTAGATACTTCTCCCAGCCACTAAGTTGTGACTGGGGAACTTTACTCTTTTCACATGCTTTTCTAATTATGCCTGAAAGCCCCATTCCCTTGTTAGGGAGAGACATTCTAGTAAAAGCAGGGGCCATTATACACCTGAACACAGGAGAAGGAACACCCGTTTGTTGTCCCCTGCTTGAGGAAGGAATTAATCCTGAAGTCTGGGCAACAGAAGGACAATATGGATGAGCAAAGAATGCTCATCCTGTTCAAGTTAAACTAAAGGATTCCACCTCCTTTCCCTACCAAAGGCAGTACCCCCTTAGCCCTGAGGCCCAACAAGGACTCCAAAAGATTGTTAAGGACCTAAAAGCCCAAGGCCTAGTAAAACCATGCAATAGCCCCTGCAATACTCCAATTTTAGGAGTACAGAAACCCAACAGACAGTGGAGATTGGTGCAAGATCTCAGGATTATCAATGAGGCGATTGTCCCTCTATACCCAGCTCTACCTAACCCTTATAGTCTGCTTTTCCAAATACCATAGGAAGCAGAGTGGTTTACAGTCCTGGACCTTAAGGATGCTTTTTCTGCATCCCTGTACACCCTGAATCTCAATTCTTGTTTGCCTTTGAAGATCCTTGGAACCCAGGTGAGTTGAAACATCTCAAATCACCTGGACTATTTTACCCCAAGGGTTCAGGGATAGCCCCCATCTATTTGGCCAGGCATTAGCCCAAGACTTGAGCCAGTTCTCATACCTGGATACTCTTGTCCTTCAGTATGTGGATGATTTACCTTTAGCCACCCATTCAGAAACCTTGTGCCATGAAGCCACCCAAGCATTCTTGAATTTCCTCGCTACCCATGGCTACAAGGTTTCTAAACCAAAGGCTGAGCTCTGCTCACAGCAGGTTAAATACTTAGGGCTAAAATTATCCAAAGGCACCAGGGACCTCAGTGAGGAATGTATCCAGCCTATACTGGCTTATCCTCATCCCCAAACCCTAAAGCAACTAAGAGGGTTCCTTGGCATAACAGGTTTCTGATGAATATGGATTCCTAGGTACAGTGAAATAGCCAGCCTATTATATACACTAATTAAGGAAACTCAGAAAGCCAATACCCACTTAGTAAGATGGACATCTGAAGCAGAAGCAGATTTCCAGGCCCTAAAGAAGGCCCTAACCTAAGCCCCAGTGTTAAACTTGCCAACAGGGCAAGAGTTTTCTTTATATGTCACAGAAAAGAACAGGAATAGCTCTAAGAGTCCTTACACAGGTCCAAGGGACGAGCTTGCAACCCATGGCATACCTGAGTAAGGAAATTGATGTAGTGGCAAAGGGTTGGCCTCATTGTTTATGGGTAGTGGTGGCAGTAGCAGTCTTAGTATCTGAAGCAGTTAAAATATTACAGGGAAGAGATCTTACTGTGTGGACATCTCACGACGTGAATGGCATACTTACTGCTAAAGGAGACTTGTGTCAGAGAACCGTGAGGAAAGTAACTAAAATCGTAAATCCCCATAGCCCTCCCTTATCATATTTTTCTCTTTACCATTCTCTTACCTGCTTTCACTCTCACTTCACTCACTCCATGCTGCTGTATGACCAGTAGCTCCCCTTACCACGAGTTTCTTGGAGAATGCAGCTTCCTGGAAATATTGATTCCCCATCATATAGGAGTTTATCTAAGGGAAATCACACCTTCACTGCCCACACCCATATGCCCTACAACTGCTATAACGCTACCACTCTTTGCATGCATGCAAATACTAATTATTGTTCATGGAAAATGATTAATCCTTGTTGTCCTGGAGGACTTGGAGCCACTGTCTGTTGGACTTACTTCACCCCTACCAGTATGTCTGATGGGGGTGGAGTTCAAGATCAGGCAAGAGAAAAACACGTAAAGGAAGTAATCTCCCAACTGACCCTGGTACATAGCACCCCTAGACCCTACAAAGGACTAGATCTCTCAAAACTACATGAAACCCTCAGTATCCATACTCTCCTGGTAAGCTTATTTAATACCACCCTCACTGGGCTCCATGAGGTCTCGGCCCAAAACCCTACTAACTGTTGGATGTGCCTCCCCCTGCAATTCAGGCCATACATTTCAATCCCTGTACCTGAACAATGGAACAACTTCAGCACAGAAATAAACATCACTTCCGTTTTAGTAGGACCTCTTGTTTCCAATCTGGAAATAACCCATACCTCAAAACCTCACCTGTGTAAAATTTAGCAATAGACACAACCAACTCCCAATGCATCAGGTGGGTAACTCCTCCCACACAAATAGTCTGCCTGCCCTCAGGAGTACTTTTTGTCTGTGGTACCTCAGCCTATCGTTTGAATGGCTCTTCAGAATCTATGTGCTTCCTCTCATTCTTCATGCCCCCTATGACCATCTACACTGAACAAGATTTATACAATTATGTCATACCTAAGCCCCACAACAAAAGAGTACCCATTCTTCCTTTTGTTATCGGAGCAAGAGTGCTAGGCGGACTAGGTTCTGGCATTGGTGGTATCACAACCTCTACTCAGTCCTACTACAAACTATCTCAAGAACTAAATGGTGACATGGAACAGGTTGCCAACTCCCTCGTCACCTTGCAAGATCAACTTAACTCCCTAGCAGCAGTAGTCCTTCAAAATCAAAGCGCTTTAGACTTGCTAACTGCTGAAAGAGGGGGAACCTGTTTATTTTTAGGGGAAGAATGCTGTTATTATGTTAATCAATCTGGAATTGTCACCGAGAAAGTTAAAGAAATTCAAGATTGAATACAACATAGAGCAGAGGAGCTTCAAAACACTGGACCCTGGGGCCTCCTCAGCCAATGGATGCCCTGGATTCTCCCCTTCTTAGAACCTCTAGCAGCTATAATATTGTTACAACTCTTTGGATCCTGTATATTTAACCTCCTTGTTAAGTTTGTCTCTTCCAGAATTGAAGCTGTAAAGCTACAAATAGTTCCTCAAATGGAGCCCCAGATGCAGCCCATGACTAAAATCTACTGCGGATCCCTGGACTGGCCTGCTAGCCCATGCTCCAATGTTAATGACATTGAAGGCACCCCTCCCGAGGAAATCTCAACTGCACAACCCCTACTATGCCCCAATTCAGCAGGAAGCAGTTAGAGCGGTCATCAGCCAATCTCCCCAACAGCACTTGGGGTTTCCTGTTGAGAGGGGGGACTGAGAGACAGGACTAGCTGGATTTCCTTAGCTCACACCTGACCAATCAGGGAGTAAAGAGAGCTCACTAAAAATGCTCATTAGGCAAAAACAGGAGGTAAAGAAATAGACAATCATCTATCGCCTGAGAGCACAGTGGGAGGGACAATGATCAGGATATAAACCCAGGCATTCGAGCTGGCAATGGCTACCCTCTTTGGGTCCCCTCCCTTTGTATAGGAGCTCTGTTTTCACTCTTGCAACTGCACTCTTTTCTGGTCTGTGTTTGTTATGGTTTGAGCTGAGCTTTTGATCGCTGTCCACCACTGCTGTTTGCTGCCATCGCAGACCCGCTGCTGACTACCATCCCTCTGGATCCGGCAGGGTGTCCGCTGTGCTCCTGATCCAGTGAGGCACCCATTGCCACTCCCAATTGGGCTAAAGGCTTGCCATTGTTCCTGCATGGCTAAGTGCCTGGGTTCATCCTAATCAAGCTGAACACTAGTCACTGGGTTCCACGGTTCTCTTCCATGACCCACGGCTTCTAATAGAGCTATAACACTCACCGCATGGCCAAAGATTCCATTCCTTGGAATCCATGAGGTCAAGAACCCCAGGTCAGAGAACATGAGGCTTATCACCATCCTGGAAGCGGCCCACCACCATCTTGGGAGCTCTGGGTGCAAGGACCAACCCCCACCCCCCACTGCCCCGGTAACAATGACATGTGCTATTATTTACACTTTGGCAGCTTTGATTCATCAGTGAGAATTATTTTTGGCATTTAGGTACATGAAAACCACCTCTACTCCATGCATTCAAAAACTCACAATTATTTCTGAAAGAATGTAACATTGTAGTGGGGTATGTGTGTGCATGTGTTTTACTATGAATATTAGGTTGGTGCAAAAGTAATTGCGGTTTTTGCCATTGCATTCAGTGGCGAAAATCACAATTACTTTTGCACCAACCCAATAGTAATCCTGGGTAATAACTCTTGGAATAGGGGAGAATGAGGTCAGCAGGTGAACTAAGGGGCATGAGATCATTTATTAGGCCTTAGACTCAGATTTAAATCATAAACATAGATATCTGAACCAAATGAATCTTAATTATATTAATAATCAATATTAATAATATTAGCATTAATGATAATTGATAATACTAAAAAAAACCCACTGACTTTGGGCACCTTTATAGATAAGCTTGTGCTGCTCTTTCTCTTCCATGTTTTCCTGCCATTAAACTTTAGGTATGAAGCTGAAGTCAAGGAGAAAAACTTACTCCTTTTATTCTAATACATTGTGGGGAGAAGAAAGATGTCACCGAAAAGAAATGAAGCCTTCAGACATATGTAATAAGTAATTTGAGGGGAACGTGGCAGGTGACCTTTACCCTATTCACATTTCAGACTCTTGGAAGACATGGCATTTTGAGTGTCCCTGCCAATACCTCTTACCCCAATTCAACCGAAGGAGTGTCTGCACCAAATTTTTTGGCTTTGAACCATGGGTAGGCAGGGAGGAAAAAGGAGTGTAATGTTACCAAATTTCTCTGGAGTATTGTTAAGTGTGAGAAGGGAGTAGACTTAGATGCCTGCAAGCTGTTCTTTAGGCATTCCAGGGCAAAGAGTGAGGTGACTCCGTTGCAGAGGCTGTAAAACGGTTCAGTAGTGAGCCTTGGTCTAGAGCGGAACTGAACCTGAGTCAGGCACAGAACAACTTCAGGCTCTGTACAAGTTTAGGAAGAACACATTGTCGATTAAACCGGCTCCTGCCTGGGCCATGGATATGAGCAGAGCAAGATGAGCACAGGTGGAAAAGCTGTTACTTCAAATATATTTTTTTTCATTTTCATTGTTTCTGTCTTCTGGTACTCCAATAATTTGGTAGTTACACATTTTGAAATTGTTCTACAGTTCTTGTATATTTTTCCTTTATATTTCAGTTTGGGAAGTTTCTATTCATCTATCTTCAAGCTCAGTGGTACTTCTCCGGTGAACCCATCAAAAGCACTCTTCATTTGTTACTATGTTTTTTATTTCTAGTTTTACTTTTGATTCTTTCTTAGTATTTTCCTTTCTCAGCCTTTGTAACTCATCTGTTCTTGCAAGTTGTCTGATTTTTCCATTAGAGTCCTTAGCATTTAATCATACTTATTTATTTATTTTTTTTGAGACGCAGTCTCGCTCTGTCGCCCAGGCTGGAGTGCAGTAGCGCGATCTCGGCTCACTGCAAGCTCCGCCTCCTGGGTTCACGCCAGTCTCCAGCCTCAGCCTCCAGAGCAGCTGGGACTACACATGCCCGCCACCACGACCGGCTAATTTTTTGTATTTTTAATAGAGACGGGGTTTCACCGTGTTAGCCAGGGTGGTCTGGATCTCCTGACCTCGTGATCCACCCGCCTCGGCCTCCCAAAGTGCTGGGATTACAGGCGTGAGCCACTGCGCCCGGCCACTCATACTTATTTTAAATGTCAGATTTGATAGAGCCAATATCTTTGCCATATATAAATCTACTTTTGATTTTTGCTTTGCCCCTTCACATTTTTTTTTTCTTGCCTTTAGCATGCTCTGCAGTTTTTTGTTGAAAGCCAGTTATGATGTATCAGGTAATAGGAACTGTGGCAAGTAGGTGTTTAGTGTCAGGTTTTATGCTAGAAGTTGGGCTGTTTTAACGGTTCCTGTAGTTTTAGGTATCAGAGGTCTCAGTTTCCTCTAGTGACTTTTTTGTTTTCTTAATTTCTCTTGTAATTTTTTTGAGATTCTCTTGGAGTCTGAGCCTTCTGGCTTTTTCAGCTGTAATCTACTGATATTATACTGGGTCCGTGTTGTGGTGATAAGGTGTAGGGGGAGAAGAAGTCTAGAATTCTCTGATTAAGACTCGTTATTTTAGTGGGTCTGTGACCTTACAACTGTTTCACAGCTTGATTTCCCCTCCCCTTAGGTAATACAGGACATTCTAGAGTGGCTATAGTTGGCTAATTTCCTTTCCCCCATGTCAGCTAAGGCTCTGGTAAATTTTTCGTCTTACTGGGAAAGCCTTTGTTATGACTGATATACTCTGGGCATTTTCTCATCCTTGCCCCAACAAAAAAGGGTTTTTTTGCCTCTTTATTATAAGAATGCAGTGGGGTTACTGAATTTTAAAATTATTAAAATGTGAGGGCTCCCTAAGGATGTGAACCCCAGGGGATTCTCATTCTCACGTAAGTCTCCACATACCTCTAGCAATTTGTCAAAGTTACTGTTTAAGTGTTTCTACCAATTTATGGTTCTGATGGCTTCTGGTTCTTATAAGCCGTTGCTTATAAGCTGTAATTCACTGTATTTGTCTATCTCTAAAGGTGTTGGGTTGGGGTTTACACTGTGACCTCAGTTCCCTGATGAGTCCAATTTAAGTGGCTGATTTTGTTTTTTAGCCTTTTACTTGATGTAAGAAGGGAATGATGACTACCAATATCTTTACATGTTGGAGCTAAAACCAGAATTCAATGCTACTTGTTTTTGCAAAAAATAAAAGTCTATATTTTGCTAAGGCATTTAGTTTGGTATTACTGTTTAATATTACTCTAAATAATATTTTGTTCTACTAATATTATTAAAGAATGAAAATGCAGCTGGGACTGTGTAAATCTAAGGCCTAGTCTGCAAACACCTTTGGTTATAGGTTGCTCAAAAGCAATTATAAAATGCCTATATAATAACTCATCTAAGATTTATATACACTTTTAGATTGAATTTAAATCTGATGTGTCTAATATCTTCAAAAAATCATAACAAATCCTACATTTAACTGAATCATTCATTGATTGTATTGCCGTTATTGTTTTCTATTAGTAAACATACCAAAATGCCAAACTCATTTATTTTTTCTATTTTGAATGAAAATGGATAATAGAAAACATAGATTGACCTGAATTTTAAAGTCAACACATTGAACTATTAAATAATAATATAAATAATTTTCATTTGTATCAAATTACTATATAAATGCCTGTATATAATCATATTACTATGCTTATTAATCCAATTAGAATATTTAAACAAACATCTCTTCAAAAAGTTCATTTTTTCTTATTTTTATTATTAAATCACTAATTCAATTGTATAGATTTTTACATGCTATCTCTGAAAAATCTTACTATGCCTATAAATAGTCTAGTATTAGAGTTTTTAACTTAAGACATTTGAAGAAGTAGTCTTGGCAAAATGGTAGAAAAATAACTGACATAAATTGAATTTAAAGTGCTTAGTAAGTCATTTGAAATTATACTTTTTAAAGCTTTGAAATTCAAGTAACTATAATTAGTTAACATTTCTAAATACTAAAATATATCATTGTTTTATCTGAGAAAGCATTCAGCTTGATGTATTTTCATTGTATAGCTGATATATCCAAGTTACTTAGATGCCCAGAGATAATTATTGGTGTGAGGTATGTTGGTCCACACAGTGCTTTCCTGGACTAGATTTCGTCATGCAGCAGATCAGGTATGACACTGTGTAAGTTGATGTTTTTATGCTTATGATTTATAATGCATTGAAGTTTTCCTACTGCTTTTATGTAAGCTCTCTTAAAACAGGATTTCCTTTATTATTGTGGAACAAATATAATATAAACAATGATATTCATTGCAATACTGTTTATATATAGTTCTTGAAATGGTTTTTTAAATCAAGGTTAAGAAGATTATAACAGTGAGCATAATGTAAGAAAGGGAATATTTTGTTTATTATATTCATTTGAATGAAATCTAAAATAAGGGAATTACTATTTTAACAACATTTTAAAATAAGGCATAAAAGTCTACTTTATTACAATATAATAGGCACTACAGTAAAAGAGTGTAGATTGATCAAAGAAAAAAACCTTCACAGATTTATGGTACCTTCCTGTTTTCGATTAAGTCAAAAGCAGGAGGAGATGGAGAGAAAGAAAAGAGAGGTTTACATTGAACACATACAAGATACACATTCATCTTCAACCTGCGATAATATGACCATGACTATTACATGAAGTAATATAAACCAGCACATGGCTGTGACATTTTGAGTTTAGTAGTAGAGTCTTTAGATTACAGAATTCTAGTGGGGGTACAGCTTCAGTATCAGTACAGGAGAATGCAAACAGAATGCTCATGCAGTCCATTATCATAATTATGGGGGTCATCTTTTATACACACATACACACACTCTCACATGTAAAAGTGTATATATAAGGAATTCCATATACTTACAAACACATGTTCATATTGTTAATTAATTTGAGTTTATTCAATACATAATTATCCAGTAGAACTATATTCTAATTCATATTCTGCCTTCATAGTGCTTATATTTTAGTGAGAGAAGAGTTAATACACAAGCAAACAAAAATACATGGAATTATTTCAGTGCTTTAAGGGAAATATAAAAGACAATGGATTGGAGAGTTGGGTCTCTTCTAATTTCTGATTTTCCCTTTTTTTAAGAAAGGGAAGACATGATGTAGGTGGGTTAATGGCAGCATATTTTAGGATCAGTGCCTTGGTATCCCTCTCTTTGAGTTAAACCCATTTTGGGATTCTTTTATCTTTGCATACAAGAAGGGTTTAGATAATCATGGTTTATGTCAGTTCACAGGATTCTCTTGATGTAGAAAGAAGTGATTGTGCACATTTGGCCACTTATGCACTAAGTTTTAGAGAAATATTCTTTGTGGCACATTTGCTTTAATTTCCCTCACATTGCTTTTCCTTTCTCTCATATAACTTTGTCATTTGTGAAGTAATGAATGTGGACCTGGGTAGAAAGTGTAGGTTATAATCAGTCATGTTCTGCCTTGGCAAAAGATGTTCCACAAATATTCTAGAAATAATATCAATGACTTTGGGGGAAAAATACCCTTTGCTAGGCTATGATACATTGCCGTTTGGGCATAGACTTTTCCACCTGTAATTGTGGACTAATTGAATGTCTAAGTATCCTGGGTACCAGATATTATCTCAATTCATCTCAATTTCAGATGTTTGACAAACAAAAAATATAGTAACACATTTTTATGGTATCCATTATTTCATTTAAAAAATTTTAGATTGTATTAGAGAGTTAAATCATCCTTTTTTGTCTTTTAATTTATTAGAGCACATTTTTTCTTATTGTAAAGGTAATATTTGCCCCTTGTAGAAACTATAAAAGTATCACTGCACCAGAAGACAAAAAAATGTGACACATACCTCTACTTTCCAATATTAATCTTGGTTAAATTTTAGAAAATATTTAGATCTCTCTACCTGTCTGGCCATCAGGTTGTGATTGGAATATTATTATTTTGTAATACAATTTTGTAAGGAAAAATTAGGAATGCCCATTTCCTTTTAAATATTCAAGAATTCCCTTAATTTCTTCTTGGCCTTTCCACCCATTTTACAGGCAAATGTCCTGAGGAAAATTATTATTTGTTATTTAATGAAATGTCTATCAACAATTTAATAAATGCAGAAATGGTCAGAAATATTGGAGATATAACAATGATCAAAAGTCTCTGCTCTTATAAAATGTGCATTATATTGAAAGAAGACATACATTGAATGGATAAATATATGCATATGGAAATTACTAGAAAATAACATGAAAGTAAAATTAGTATTTTGTTACCATCTGGAGTTTTGGCATCAAGTAACAATATTATTAAATTATGGTGAATCATTGGAGAACTGTGAACTGTCTGATATAGTTAGCCCTAACTAATCCTCTTTGTTAGTAATGAAACAACAACATTTATTGAGTATTTACAATATGCCATTATTTTAAGCATTTTACTGGGTTGAAGTCTCACAATAATTCAGTGAGGTGGGTAAGTAGAGAAGTTAGACTGTTTGCTTTCAAAATCCCTGCTTAAACACCATGCCTCAGGCTCTGTGGATAGTCCACTGTGTAGAGTAATACTATTCAGAAGTAATCTATTTGTATTGGAAGAAAAATTGTAAAAAGTTTAATTAATAGAAATGTAATAGAAATTTTGATAGGAATACTACTGAAGCTTTAATATAATAAAGCAAAATGAGGTGAGTATGATGTGGTTAACAAGATTTTTCTAGTAAATAAGATTCAAAAGAAGCCTATATTATTTCTATATGTCTGTTTCTTTTAGAGTGGGGTTAGTGAGCTAAGCAGATTTGGGAATAAAGAACTATGGCAAACACTTCTGCAAAGATTGAGCTGCAGTGTACCATTACCACAGTAACAACTTACCTTGGTTTAGTGGTGGACGCAAGTGCAGCTTTCAGTTCCATGAGACTATCTTTAAGGGTAACACACTTATAGACTTAATCCTTTAAGTCATTAATACTTCCAGACATAGAATAGATTAAAATATTTGCTCCTAAAGTCTGTATAGTATATTTCTTAAATTCCATTGTCTTTCCAGAAATGTAAGGGTATTTCTCAAAGATCATATAAAACACTGAATATAATATGAATACAGTATGAAGGTCTAAGCATTTCTTAAGCTATTTCAGAATGAATGATTTAGCCATATTTGACATTTATTTATCTAACAGTAAAACATCTATATCTAGAATTCTAATACATTTAAAGCATCCCAAAGCCTGTAGCCACGTCAGATTCATATTATTACTATGTAGTGCAAATACTGAGGTAGATTTTGGCAGAAACATTCATGTTAAGAAAAGATTCGATGATCATCTAGCTGTATTGCTTCCAATCATTTCCTAACTTAGACACCTATTAAGGAAGTGGATATCAAATTCTCTATGATCCCTTGTTACCTATGGCAAACAAGACATTGGATGTACCTAGGGGTTACTTAATGTAAGAACACTGTTAGAAAAATGCTCAGGAACAGAGAGCTCCCTTTCTTGGTTCTAGTTTTTAGAAAGTTCTTTACCTTCTCACATTTCTTTATAAGTTTTAGTTAAGCAAAAGTCAGATAGATAATAATGTTAGGTTGGTTGAATGATATAAGTATTCCCTTTCTTTTAAAATATTAGATTGAATGAAAGCTGAAATATTAAATTGAATGAAAGCTGAAGTACCTTAATGGCTATGAAGGTCAATTACTTCATAATTTCTTAAACTTTTAAAATATTAGGCATGTTTATGCATGTCCATACCCAATTAGAAGTAAGCTTTGTTGAGACATAATTCAGATGTTAATGAAAACATAGTTGAGACATAATTCAAATGTTAATGAAAGTAAAGTCTCCATTATCAAATAAGTTTGGGAAATAAACATAATCTTGTCAATGTGCCCTCCACCCAATGCTTAATAAGGCACATGAGTATGTAAAAGGCTTTGAGAATTCCTATGGACCTTAAGCCTATCTAAATTGTTTAACCCAAGATTCCAAAATGCATGTGACCAGAAAACATTTTTAAAGATATGCATAGCAATTAGCAATTGGAGAGGCATCCATTACACTCTGGGAAATGCTGCTTTAACTATCAAAGCTTACTTCATTATTTGGTGTGCCCACTCTAGGTACCAGTATTTTGACTTCAGTTGTCAGTTCTAATCAACGAGTTCAGAAATATAAACATACTATTTGAATATATTGTTTTAATTGGAAATTTCTACATTAAAAAATAGTTAAGAATGATTGGTGATTCAAAGTAGATGGAGAACAATGTCTAATTTTTGTTTTGTCAATATTATACTGTGCCAAGGTACTAAGCCTGCAGTCAAATTAAAAACAAGCCTTAGTAAGAAATTAATGAAATCTATAGCTACAAGTAAGTGAATTATTTTTGCTATATGCAGTCTATTTTTGTTTTTCTTTCTAGTCTTTAGGCTATTTGACCAGCAATGTGCAAGCAATTGTCTAACACAGGCATTTGCTTCCCTTTTGATTTCTTTGCTCTATCAAGTTAGATGAAAAATCCCTCATTTTTGTAATTGTAATAATCTGTACTTAATAAAAGCATTTATCATATATTCTTTATTTACTTTTGTGAATTTACAAATAATATGCCTCCGATGAGTGGAGGAACACCAGAGCTCTTGTCTCACGTTGAATTAGATAAAACAACATGGACATGCGGGGAGTGGTTTTAAGTAGCTGAGAGTTTAACAGCCAAGAAAGAAGGAAAAAGACAAAAGGAAGAAGCTCCCGGTACAGACACAGAGAGAGGGGGCTCCAAAGAGGAAAGAGGAGACTCTGCATTTGGAGGATACCAGCCAGTTTTACGTGATGGCTGGAAGAGGCGGTGTCTGATTTCAAGTTCCATGGTTCAGGGGATTGGTTTGACCTGGCATGTCATTCACGTTGGCTGTGAAAAAACTGGCCCTCCCACAGTCCTTTAATATGCAAATGCAGGGCGCCATAATGTTCTACACACACTTGGGGATATGTGGGCGTGGCCATGTTGTCAGGCACATGCTGGGGCAAGGGCAAGAGGACAAGGGTGGGAATCGCCATGTTGGGTGGACCCAGTTTCTAATGGTCAGCTTTTGCGTATCACAGGTTGCCAGTCTGGGTCTAAGAGCCAGGGCTTTCATGCTAGACAAGAAATATTTTTGGAGCTGCAAAAAAAACCTTTCAAGGACCTCTTTTCCTCTCTATCTAAAATAATTTTTTTTTTCTTTTTTTTGAGAAGGGGTCTGGCTCTGTCGCCCAGGCTGGAGTGCAGTGGCGCAATCTTAGCTCACTGCAAGCTCCGCCTCCTGGGTTCTCGCCATTCTCCTGCCTCAGCCTCCTGAATAACTGGGACTACAGGCGCCCACCAGCGCACCTGCCACCATGCCTGGCCAATTTTTTGTATTTTTAGTAAACACGGGGTTTCACCGTGTTAGCCAGGATGGTCTCAATCTCCTGACCTCGTGATCTGCCCGCCTCCATCTCCCAAAGTGTTGGGATTACAGGCTTGAGCCACCACGCCCAGCCTCTAAAATAATTTCTTAATAACTACTACCACACAATTCCTCTGTTCTGACTGGATTATAAATTATTTTATTCTTTAATTAAACAATTACAGGACTTTTGTTTTCCATACAACTCATAATAATTTAGTGGGATGCATCACAATGTTTGCTTTTTGATGGTTATGCCTTCCAATAGACACGTTATTACTTTTTCAGTTTATATACAATATTATAATATTTGCATTTTAAATTTAAGTGTGGATTGTTTATATTATAGAAGAATATGTTCATCTTTTTTCTTAATAATACAATTTTCAATCACAGTTTAGTGCTTCTGTATCCATTCCTGAACACATTTGCTTCTCTCTCACCCAGAGATAGCTAAGATCATAGATTTGCTGTTTATAATTCATATTCACTTCTTCATAGTGTAACTGCCCAGTAGGTTATACTTGCTCACTGCACAGATAGAACTGATTTATTAAGACTGGGAAATTACAATAGAGAAAGAGCTTAATACACATAGAACTGGCTAAAGGGGAGATCTGGAGTTTTATTATGACTTAAATCAGCCTCCTGAAAAATGTGGAGGCTAGGATTTTTCAAAGACAGTTTGGCGGGCAGGGGATTAGGGTATGGGAGCTGCTGATTGGTTGGGGATGCTGTCATAGGGATGTGCAAAATGGTCCTCCTGTGCTTAGTCGGCTTCTGGGTGGAGACCACTGAGGAGTCGCTGGTCTAGGTGGGGTCATCTGGTTTTCAGAAATGCATGCAAAAGTCAGAAAAGACATCTCAAAAGGCCAATATATATATATTTTTTTCTTAGACGGAGTCTCGCTCTGTCCCCCAGGCTGGAGTGTAGTGGCGTTCAAAAGGCCAATCTTAAGTTCTACAATAGTGATGTTATCTACAGGAGTAACTGGGGAAGTTACAAATCTTGTGACTTCTAGAATAATGGCTGGCAATCATTTAACTATGTATTCCGGTTCCTCTCATCCTCCTAAACTTGTGGTCTTTCATTAGTTTTACAATAAATTCCTCTTAAAATTAGCTTGACCTGCATCCAGGAATGATGAAAAGTAGTTTGGAGGTTAAAGGCAAGATAGAGTTGGTTGGATCTCCCTTACACTGTCATAATCTTCTCACTGTTAGGATTTTTGCAAAGATGGTTTCAATAGTTTTCTGTATAGGTATGGATTTCTTAATCATTATGCAAAATTAAATTTATTTTATATGAATAGAATATACTGATGCATTTTTCTTCCATTTGCTGTTAGCACAATATTATGCTTGTGAGGTTTATTTGTTTTTATGTATAGTTCTAGTTCGTTGGCTTTCACTATTATATAGCATTAAGTAGCATACATATGCTAAAATGTGTTTAACTCCTCTTGATAAACTGTAACTTTAAGCTTCTTTGTCCTTTCATTTTTTTATTTGTGTATACATATATTCTTTTGCTATTTATGAACAGTGCTGCTCTAATACTCTTGCACATATCTTCTTGTATGCATTTATGGGTTCTCTTGTTTATGTAACCACTCAACAAGTTCATCTTGCCTGCTGCCTAGACAGTGCCAATTTACAAGACAGCAGAATTGCAATAGAGAAAGAGTAATTCATGCAAAGCTGGCTGTGTGGGAGACTGGAGTTTTACTATTACTCAAATCAGTCTCCCTGAGAATTTGGGGACAGAGTTTCTAAAGATAATTTGGTGGGTGTGGTGCCAGTGAGTCAGAGTGCTGATTGGTTGGATTGGAGATGAAATCATAGGGAAATCAATCTGTCCTCTTGCGCTGAGTCAGTTCCTGGGTGGGGACCACAGGGGAGTCACTGGTCTAGGTGGGGCCATCTGGTCTTCACAAAGGCAAAAGCCTGAAAAGACATCTCAAAAGGCCAATCTTAGGTTCTACAATGGTGATCCTATTTGCAGGAGAAATTGGGGAAGTTGCACATCTTGCGACTTCTGGAATAATGGCTGGCAATCCAGATGAGATGAGTTAGTTTATCAAATCAGATGAGCCAGTTTATTGATCTGGGTGGTGCCAGCTGATCCATTAAGTGCAGGGTCTGCAAAATATCTGTAACACTCATCTTAGGTTTTACAATAATGATGTTTTCCCCAAGAGCAATTTGGGGAGGGTCAGAATCTTGTAGCCTTGAGCTGCATGACTCCTAAATCATATGTTCTCATCTTTTGGCTAATTTGTTAGTTCTACAAAGGAAGTCTAGTCCCCAGGGAAGAAGGGGGTTTGTTTTGGGAAAGGGCTGTTATCATTTTTGTTTTAGACTATAAACTAAATTCCTCCCAAAGTTCGTTTGATCTCTGCCCAGGAATGAACAAGGACAGCTTGGAGGTTAGAAGCAAGATGGAGTTGGTTAGGTCAGATCTCTTTCATTGTCTCAGTTATAATTTTGCAAAGGTAGTTTCATTTATGGAGTGAAATTGTCAGGATTGTGAAGTATATATTAAATTGTACAACATATATTTAATTTGAGACATTGTTGTTAAGTTTTTTCCTGTGTGGTTATATTTTATATTCCAAATCTAAAATCTGTATTTGTTTTAGAAGGAAAGCATTCATAGCAGACCAAATTCAGTCCTTCCCTACTTGGGTGTACATAGGGGAATGAATGGCATTGACCAAACGATCTTACAAATTGCCCATGATTTTGACCAGAAAATTTTAAAAGCAATTTAATAATATTTATTAGCTGAAATATACGGGGAGTTGCTATCTAATAGATTATATTAGCAGTATATATGCATTCTGTATTTTTTATTATAAATAAAATAAAGATGTATGGATTTTGGGGTTATGAATAGTCAAATTATTAATTGTACATCAAAGAGTATAACAAAGGAGCCTCCAAACCAAAATGGCTTCATTTGAGACAATTTTTCAGATACATTATTCAAAACTGAATTAATCTAAAATCAAAATACAATCTAATGCAGGAGGAAGAGTACACTTTTGGAAGCTGCAACTAACAGTTTAATGTTCCTTCAAAAAGGAGTTCTGGCTGTACCTGGTTCTTACCTGTACTGAGTTTTTTGTAAAGTTAGGTACTGGGTAAAATCTATGATTAGTGTAGTCTCCTTTGACTAGTCAGTCTTTGATGTTAACACAAACCTATTTCTGCTTTTTATTTTTTTCTGGTATCTTCTGCTTATAGTGGCTTATGCTTTCTTGTATGTTATGGAATTTTTTATTGTGAAATCAGAACTGGCTAAAATTTATATGTAAGAAACCTAGAAAATCTGAATAGTCCTGTATGTTTTAAATAAATTAATAATTAAATCCATTTGATTAAATCCATAATTAAAACTATGAATAAACTAATGCAAGAATAAAATACGGGCCTAGATAGATTCGCCTATGAATTGTCCCTAATATTTCAGCAAGAAATACTACCAATATTGAAACCTCATAAGTTACAGGGAATTTAGTCAAGTGTTTATGAAGCGGCATCATTTATCTGGGGTAATACTCGAGGATTGTTGCTTCAGGCCAAGGAAATCAAGGACGCAGACACACAAGGAATGAGTTTAAGAGCAAAGGTTTAACAGGTGAGAGAAACGAGAAAATTCTCTTTCCTGCAGAGAGAGAGGGGCTCCTGAGTGGGTCTTCTGGTCCCTGGTGAAGTGGAAGAGTTTTTACAGATGAGCTTGAGGAAGTGGTATGTGATTTACATATGGCTCAGAAGATTGGTTGGGCCAGGTGTGTTACTTACATAGTGCAGGAAGAGGCTGGCCATCCCACCCTAATCTTTTATTATGCAGATGGCATCTCTATCTGGCTGGCGCCATGTTGCCTGCTTTTTTAATGCACACATAGCAACAATAAAAAGAGAAGAGGGATTCCCTCCTTGTTGAACATACCTGGCCCCCAGCTAGCCTTTTCCTAGTGGCACAGCTGCCAGCATTTACCTATGCAAGCTTCCAGCTTGCTTATTTATGTCTGTAGCTCGATTTTACAAGCTGGTCTTTGTTAGAAAAGAAATAATTTGGAGGCTGCTTTTTGCTAAAAGGGAAGCTTTATTGAGGACTCTCTTACCCTCACTAACTGCCTAAAGAATTTCCTTTTAACTCCTGTATCATTTAGAATAATCTGGCTTCAGTAGTGGAGAATAACTAGCACTCACGTACATCCTGTTTGGGTCCTGATTAACAAATCTTAAAAGCAAGACCCAAATAGATAAAAATGATTTCAAAGAACTTATCTACAATACAGAAAAAATCTCAAGGATATTTAAAGGAGTACAAAAATATGCTATAGACAACAAGGTAAGATTCTCTCTATTGTATCCAATGAAAATTACCAGAAATACAACGCAGCAGTAAAAAACCACACATAATCAGCCCTAAATCAGTTGAAACCAATGCAGAACTGAAGATATTAGAAGTAGCAGACAAGGACATTTAAACTTAACATAATTGTATTCCATATATTCACAAAGTTAAGTAGATCTAGGGAAGACTGAAACAAAACTCCATCCTCTAGAGATGAAAAATCAATGCGTGAGATAAAAATACACTGGATAGAATTAATGACAGATATGATACCATACCATAAAAGTTTAGTAGAGTTGAAGACATAGTAACAGAAACTATCCGAGATTAAATACATAGAGAAAAGCAGAATTATTTAAAATGAAGATCTTTAGTGAGCTTTGACTGACCTAATATTTGTGTAATTGGGAGAGAAGAGAGTGATAGGAGGGAATAGAAAAAATGTTTAAATAAATAATACTTAAATATTTCCAAATTGGTGAGAACCATAAATCCATTGAGCTAAGAAACTAATGAAGTGAAGCACAAGAACATGGAATCAAACTACACAAGACATATCTTAATCAAATTGCTTAAAACCCATGATTAAAAAAACCCAGAAACTTAAAAGTAGCTAAAGAGGCATGTTATACAAAGAGAATAAAAATGGCAGTGATTTCTCATAAAAATGCAAGTCAGAAGATACTTATTTAAAATGCTGAAAGAAAAAAACTAACAGCCACATATTCTGTATAGCAAAAATATTTTTCAAAAACAAAGGTGAAATAAAGACCACAAAAACTGAAAAAATTCATCACCAATAGATTGCCCTATAATAAATGTTGAGAAAATCCCTCAGGCAGAAGGAAAATAATCTCAGATGGAAATATGGCTGTATAAAAACAATTGAAGTGCACTGCCTATGGTAACTACGTGGGAGAATATATAAGAATTTTTCAAATTACATAAGTATTTTAAAAGATAATCAACAGCAATAAAAATGTATTATGGGGCTTATAACATGCATAATGCATGATATCAACATCATAAAGACTGATAGGGAAAAGTGGAAATTAAATTTTATAAGGTTTTCATACTATATGTAAAATAGTGTAATAGTACATTGATATAGACCATAGTAAGTAAAAGATAAATGCAATAAACCCTAAAGCAGCCAATAAAATGACAAAACAGTGACATATAGCTAATAAACCAACAAAGGAGATAAAATGTGATCATTAAAAAAATTTTAAAAAAATGGAAACAGATGGGACAAATAGAAAACAAATAAAATATAAATGTTCTAAAGATCCCAATTATAAGACATGCACTTTAAATATAATGATACAAACACATTAGATGTAAATGGAGGGATAAAGGCATACCACCCAAACACTAAAGAAAAATAAGTTGGAAGGATTGTGATAATAGACAGAGTAGATTTTAACACAAAAGATATTATCAGGGATTTAAAAGAGCTTTCATAACAGAGCCATCAAGAGGACATAATAATTCTAAACATGCACTTAATAATAGAAATGCTTGAAGTGAATATTACAACTTCTTGCCATATAATTTCTTGTCCATAAATCAAGTATCAATACATTTAAATGTATCCAAGTCATACAAAGTATGTTCTCTGAATATTACGGAATTAAATTAGAAATCACTATCAGATATCTGTAAATTCTCAAATATTTAGAATTCAAGTAATACACTTGTAAACAACCAAGGGCCAAAGGAAACTCAAAAGGACAGTAAGTAATTTTAAATCAATGAAAATGAAAACACAGCATATCAAAATTTGTGAGCTTTCACCACAGTGATACTTAGCATAAAAGATGAAGTACTTAGGGATAAATCTGACAAAGAATGTGGAAGTCCTGCACATTCAAACCTATAAAACATTTCTAAGAGAAAATCAGACTTAAAGGGTTTAAAAGTTTCAATATTGTTAAGATACCAGTTCTTCCTATACTGATCTCTAGATTCAATACAATCTCAATCAAAATCCCAGGAGGCTTTTGTTTAAAAAATATGTTGAGAAATTGAAAAGTGATTAAAAAATTTGTATGGAAATGCAAAAAAGCTACAATGCCAAAACTACTTTTATTTTTTAAAAAGGACTATTATGAAGGATTAACACCTCTGACTTTGAGGCAGGAGAATAGGGTCTGGAGGCAGAGAACATAAGTCTCATTCATGCTGACTTCCTAGAACTAAATCAAATGGAAACACTTCAAGTATGACAGGAAATACCCTCTCCATTTACATAGGGCATACAACAAGTAAATGACTTTGTAATTTCACTCCATCCTTTTCATTTACATATGGCATAGACCAGGTAACCAATGGAATCCTCTAGAGGGTATTTAACCCCCAGAAAATTCTGTAACGGGGCTCCTAAGCCTCTATGCTTGGGTCCGCCTCCCACCCAGTGGAGTGTACTTTCATTTTCAATAAATCTCTGCTTCTGTTGCTTCATTCTTTCCTTGCTTTGTTTGTGTGATTTGTCTGCTTCTTTGTTCAAGACGCTAAGAACCTGGACACCTTACAACCAGTAACAGCTTCTATATCTATTATAAAGCTACCCTAATCAAGAAATCAGGATAGCCAAATAGATTAATGGAACAGAATAGAGATTCCAGAAATAGACACACACACTTATAAATGACTGGTTTTGACAAAGATGCATAGATGATTGACTGGAGAAAGGTACAAAGGGCCACAAAGAAAACTTGGGAGTAGTAGATATTGTCACTATTTTATTGTGATATTTTCATTGGTGCATGCATATGTCAAAACATCACATTTTTTACTTTTGATTGTGGTTAAGTGATGATCAATTAAAAAAAAATGATGACTTTACAACAGAACAATGAAACCAGTGTATGTGGTGGGTTAAAGACAACTGACAATTCTTTTTCACTCACCTTATTGCATTGTAAAGTTTTTCATTCCGCTCCTTGAAAATGGGCTCATCTTGGAACTTTGTATCAAGTAGACTATGTCAGAAGAGATGCTCTGCCTAGTCCAAGCATAGCTTTTAAGAGAACTAGCAACCTCCACATCACGTGGAGGACATGTGCTCTGGGAGAAGACAGCAACTGCATAGGTACTGCAAATTCCCTGAGGCAAACATTCAAAGAGCAAACTATCCACATGGAGAGGCTGCATAAAATGCGGAAATACAGAAAGAGAAAACGAGTATCCAGACCCCATCTCTTCTAGCCATCTTTGAAAAACAAAAATTAAAAAATTAACACCCACATGGGATAAAACATTCCTAACACCAGTATCTGATAAAAGTCTTTTAATAGAATATATAAAGAATTCCTACAAATCAACAAGAAAACAAAAACTGAATGATAAAAATGGGAGCTAGAATCTTAAACAAAACGATACACAAAAGAATATACAAATGGCTATTCAACATATTAAAATGTACTTAATTTCATTAGTCATCAGGGAAGTGCCAGGCATACCACATTGAGATAGGACTGTACATTCAGCATAATGGCTAAAATAATGGAGGCAGATTCCAAGTGTTGGAGAGGACATGGAGCAACTGAAAATCTCATACACTGCAGATAGGAGTAAAAATTGGTATATCTATTTTGGAAATATATTTGGCATTATTCACTAAAGCTGTTTGTATGTATATACAATTAGCACAGACAGATACACAACAGAAATGTGTCCTTATGTCGACTATCTTTCATGTTTTAGAATGTTTATAGCAGCAATATTCTCTATGATATTATAATGGAATTCAACACATACCCATTTAAAATAGTGTGAATAAATAGATTGTGGTATATACCACTATGAAATATTGTACTAAGATGAAAATAAATGATTTACAACTACTAACAGTAATGTAAATCTCAGAAATAAAATATGGAATTACGAAGCAGAACAGTGAATATTCTAAAGGATTTAGAAATATTGACAAAAATGAGGCACAAGGTGAGTTCTTGTGGTGGTCTTGGGATTTCTTGATCTCTTAAATGATTTTTAAAATAATTTGCATTGCTAACCAAAGATCAGTGAGCTCTGCAGAGGCAAAGGAGAACTTTATTTTCTAAAAAAGGAATCTGCAGATTAGGGAGCTGCAGCCCTGGGTGCAAAACAAAAGTGCACTCTGAAGAACAAAGGGAACGTCTGCCTTAATTAAACAAGGACAGTTGTCACCCAGGTTCTCAATCAGATTCATTTCTGCAAATGAAAGATTCAAACTTGTTCAGTTCTGATGGGTCAAAATAGTCAAGCCTTGCTTGGGTGGTTTCCAAGCTCAAAACCAGAGGTCTCCCTCAGATGTTACTTTCCAATGGCTGGTGGTGGGTTGGGGGTTCCCGCTGCAGTTTATCTGGATTCTGTTCATAGGAAGTGTTCTAGTGCAGAGATGTAAAGCAGGATGCTTGTCAAGACCTGCTTTTCCCAAGAACCCAGGATGTAACTGCTGTTTCTCACCCTGCTATGGCTGCCCGGTTGTGCTTTTAAATTTAGAGCATTTCTATTAGCCACAGGGAGTCTATCTCATCTGGAAAGGTTGAGGTCTTATTTTGCTTTTTATTTCATAGCATACATTAAGGTTCACTCTTTGTGCTGTGAAGTCCTATGGATTTTGACAAATGCATAGGGTCATGTATCCACGATTACAGTGTCATACAAAATTGTTTCACCACTGTAAGCACCCTCTCCCCTGCACTCCTGAAATCACTGATCTATTTGCAGTCTCTATAATTTTGCCTTTTCAGAATGTCAGATAATTGGAATCATACAATATATAGCCCTTTCAGATTGGGATCTTACACTTAGCAATATAAATTTAAGATTAATCTATTATGTTGCATGGATTGATAGATAATTCTTTTTATTTCTGAATAGTAGTACAGTGTATGGATATAACAAGTGTGTTTATCAATTTACCTGTTGAAAGATATTTTTGTTGTTTACAGATTTTGGTGGTTATGAATAAAGCTTCATTCAATTGCAGGTTTTGGTGTGGACATAAACCTTCAAACCAGTTAGAGACTTACCCAGGAGTGCAATTGCTGGATCATATAAGATTATGTTTAAGTTTATAAGAACCACCAAATTATCTTCCAATGTGGCTATGCCATTTGCATTTCACCAGCAATGAGGAACAGTTTTGTTGCTTCTAATTCTCACCAGCAATTGGTATCATCACTTTTGAAATTTTAGCTATTCAAATAGGTTTGTAGTGGTATGCTGTTGTTTTAATTTAAATTTCCCTAATGACAAATGATATTCAGCACCTTTTTATGTTGCTTATTTGGCACTTGTATAGCTTCTTAAATTACATATTTATTCTGATCTTTTGCCCAATTTTTAATTGGGTTGTTTTCTTATTGTTGATTTTTAAAAGTTATTTGTTTATTTTGAATACAGTTTTTTATTTTCAGGTATGCAGTTTGCAAATATTTTCTAGAAGTCTGTGTCTTGTTGTTTTATTCTCTTAATGATGCCTTTTCCAGAGTAAATATTTTTAATTTTAATAAAGTCTAATTTACCAATTTTCAATTTCATAGATTATTGCTTTCTGTGTTGTGTCTATATAGTCATCACTAAACACAAGGCCACACAGATTTTCTCCTATATATTCTCCTTGATGTTTTGTAGTTTACATTTAACATTTAGGTAAATGATACATATTAATTTAACTTTTGTGTTAGATATGAGGTTCATTTTTTTCCATATCGACTTCCATTCTTCCCAGCATCATTTATTGATAATATTATTGTTTCATCTGTATGCATTTTATACTTCAATGGATTTCCTAAAAAGCAGTTCAAACCGTAAGCAAATTGGAATTGATTTATTTAAAGTTACAAATTTTTATTTAACAAAGTGCATCATGCTCATCATGGAAAATGTTAATAGATGATGAAAAGTAGATATTTATATTGCCCCAAACTGTCAAGGGATTAATATCTGTAATGTAAATGAAATTCTTACAAATTAGAAACGTCAGCAGCTACAATAGAAAAATTGCCAACAGTTATATGCAGAATACATAAAAGTGGGATCTCAAACTTTTGAGTGTAATAATGAGAGGTGACAATTGAGAGGTGACAATGTGCTAGCAGCCCTCGCTGACTCTCGGCACCTCCTCAGCCTCGGCGTTCGCTCTGGCCATGCTTGAGGAGCCCTTCAGCCCCCTGCTGCACTGTGGGGGCCCCTCTCTGGGGCTGGCAGAGGCCGGCTCCCTCTGCTTGCGGGGAGGTATGGAGGAAGAGGCACAGGCGGGCACCGGGGCTGCGGATGGTGCTCGCGGGCGTGTATGGGTTCCAGGTGGGCACGGGCTCCACAGACCCTGCACTCGCAGGCGCTAGCCATCGCCTGCTAGGCTTGATGGGGGGACGAGCTCTGGGCTGCCGGAATGCCCGGGCTAGGTGCCCCAAAGTCCCACAGTGAGTGCCAGTGCGAAGTGAAGCTGGCTGGGCTTCTAGGATGGATGGGGACGTGGAGAAGTTTTCTGTCTACTGAAAGGATTGTAAACGCACCAATCAGCACTTGGTGTCTAGCTAAAGGTTTGTAAATGCACCAGTCAGCACTCTGCATCTAGCTAAAGGTTTGTAAACACACCAATCAGCGCTCTGTGTCTAGCTAATGGGGTAGGGAACTTGGAGAACTTTTGTGTCTAGCTAAAGGATTGTAAATGCACCAATCAGCACTTGGTGTCTAGCTAAAGGCTTGTAAATGCACCAATCAGCATTCTGTCAAAATGGACCAATCAGCAGGATGTGGGTGGGGCCAAATAAGGGAATAAAAGCAGGCCACCTGAGCCAGCAGTGCAACCAGCTCTGGTCGCCTTCCATGCTGTGGAAGCTTTGTTCTTTCACTCTTCACAATAAATCTTGCTGCTGCTCACCCTTTGGGTCTGCACTGCATTTAAGAGCTGTAACCCACACAGCAAAGGTCTGCAACTTCACTCCAGAGGCCAGTGAGACCACGAACCCACTGCAAGGAATGAACAACTCTGTTCCACCTTTAAGAGCTGTAACACTCACTGGGAAGGGTGCAGCTTCACTCTTGAAGACAGCAAGACCACAAACCCACCGGGAGGAACAAACAACTCTGGACAGGAGAAATGAACAACTCTGGACACACCATCTTTAAGAACTGTAACACTCACCACAAGGGTCTGTGGCTTCATTCTTGAAGTCAGCGAGATCAAGAACCCACAAATTCCAGACACAATAAGGGAAATGATCATTAAAACAGTCATGAGATATAACTTTACTAAGTCTGAAAAACAAAAATGTTAGAGAATTCCAAATGTGTGGGGATATGGCATTATAAATATTCCCTGGTACTGCAAGTTGCATCCCATTCTGAAGCAAACTCTGGTAAACCAAGTAAAATTGACTTATGCCTATCCTCATTAGGACTTAACAGTTCTAGGTATTATGCAATGGAAATTCTAACACAGCACTGTCAGTGGGCACATGTGAGGATGTTCAAGGTTCTATTATTTGTTGTTTTAGCAAGTTAAAAGGCAACCTGCATGACTCTGAGTGGAAAAATGTGCTGTTTTCAAGACTCAGAGTATTATTCAGAGGTTTAAAACAACCAATTAAGTGTTATATTGATAGTACAGAAAGACACATAGGCTTTAATTAAAACAGCAAGAAAAAGAATTAGATGCATAACACAAAATTATTTATGTAGGTTCAATTTTATGCTCAAAATACAACACATATTTTGTGAAAACACCTGCAAGCCAGAAGATACATATTAAACTATGAGAGTTTTTGCTTAGGTGGAGAAAGGAAGGACTGAGACTGGGATATGACAAAAACAAATAAATAAATAACTATAAATAATAGGTAGGGGAAAGTAGAAAAAATGAGATTCTCTGGGAAGCAATGTATGAGTGTGTGCATGCACATGTGTGTGTGCATGCACATGTGTATGTGCATATGGGTATTTATGGAGTTGCAGAATCTTTTTTGGTGTTAATGCTAAATGTAAGGCTCTTCAGAACTTCAGATCAATTTTATGCTTTGAGATGTTCAACATAAATAAAATTGATTACTTGAGGGCTGCAAAGACAAATACAATGGGAAAGGAAACAATGTACTTTTGTTCAGTGGCTCTTTCACTTTACCATATGGAAACACCATTTTTTATTAAGCTAAACTCTTTATACAGAATATTTTCCAAAGCTATATTAGCCCTTAAGATGAAACCTGTTTGCTCAAGGATGTATTTGCCCTTTCAAATCTATATCATTCAATAGCTATACAAGGATTGCCATCATTTTAACTTATCAATCTGCTTTTTATGTTTGGATAAATATGTTGACACACTTAAAGGTTGCAGTGTAAAAGAGCATAGGTGTCTTAGTTGGATTTGAGTCAACATTTCAGCACCCCAACCTTTACTAACTTCATGGAAGAAATAATAAGACTTAAGCTTTCTCAGCCTGTTTTATTTTCTGTCAAATTCTGTGCAAATAAACGGGAAGGTACATGTTAAGGTTGCAAACCACAATAAATGTTAATTCTTGCCCTTTATCCTCAAATGGAATGGTCTAGTTACATTTATTTATTTATTTGTTTATTTATTTATTTATTTTGAGACAGAGTTTCACTCTTGTTGCCCAAGCTGGAGTGCAATGGTGTGAACTTGGCTCACCACAACCTCCCGGATTCAAGCAATTCTCCTGCCTCCGTCTCCCAAGTAGCTGGGATTATAGGTGCGCACCACCATGCCCAGGCAATTTTTTTTTTTTTTTGAGACAGAGACTCGCTTTGACACCCAGGCTGGAGTGCAGTGGCGTGATCTCGGCTCACTGCAAGCTCCACCTCCCGGGTTCACGCCATTCTGCCTCAGCCTCCTGAGTAGCTGGGACTACAGGCGCCCGCCACCACGCCTGGCTAATTTCTTGTATTTTTAGTAGAGACGGGCTTTCACCATGTTAGCCAGGATGGTCTCAATCTCCTGACCTCGTGATCCACCCGCCTCGGCCTCCCAAAGTGCTAGGATTACAGGCATGAGCCACTGCGCCTGGCCACCCAGCTAATTTTTTTGTATTTTTAGTACAGACGGGGTTGCTCCAAGTTGATCAGGCTGGTCTTGAGCTCCTGACCTCAGGTGATCCTCCCACCTCAGCCTCTCAAAATGCTGGGATTACAGGCATGATCCACAGGGCCTGGTCTACCATTATTTTTTTAAAAAAATTAAATAAAGTTGTAGCTAGCATTTTGTATATTCCAAGTTATGATGTGGTAAAAATTAAAATTCTTATGAATATCTTAGTGGAAAACAGCAATTACAAAGACTTTCTCAAGGTCAATGATAACTCATCTTTTGAATTTAACCTTTTATTTTCTTGTGTTGGTTTAAAGTTATCATCTAAGCAAAAAAATTTTATAGATTACAGTCTAGTAGACTAATGTGTCATACTTCAACACCTCAAGAAATTAGATTGGTATCATATAAATATCTTTAGTATATTTTTGCTAGTTAGCTGCAAGCTGTTTTTATCTAAAGAACATATGGAAAAGTGATAAAAGTAAATTATCTAATGTTTTACTGTTACTTTGTAAGTAAGTTCCCAAAAAACTGCAAAGAACGTTTATCAGTTTTTAATTTATCAAATGTTAGCATAGACTACATTTATCATTATCATGTTTTTGGTAAAAACTCTTCATTTATTCAAAAGATTTTTATTAGCAGATAAAAACTCTTCATTTTTATAAGTTTTAGATTTATGGAAAAATGAAACAACTGATACAGAGTTCCTATATTCCCCTCCCCCTGCAGTTCTCTCCATGATTAACATCTTACGTAATGTTTGTTATGAAAAATTTATTTGTAACAAGTTATTTGTTACAAATAATAAACCAGTATTGATTTATTAATAACATTAGCTAACATATATCATTTATTCAGATTGCCTTATTTAATGTTCTTTTTCTAATCCAGGATTTTATTCAGGTTACCATATTGAATTTAATTGTCATATGTCCTTAGGCGCCTCTTGGCTATGACAATTTCTCTAACTTTCCTGGTTTTTAATAACGCTGACAGTTTTGAGAGTAGAGGTATATTATAACATGTCCTTCCATTGGAATTTATTTTATGTTTTTCTTATGATTAGACCGGGGTTATTGGTTGGTGGGAGGAAGAGCACAGAGATATTTAATACATTGTCATTTTCATCACATCATCAATGGTACATACTATCAACACGATTTATCACTGTCCATGTTAACCTTGACCACGCGCTTGAAGTAGTGTTTGTCAGGTTTCACTCTACAGTGACTCTATGTTACTTCTCTCAGTACTGTACTTCCTCTTTGGAAGGAAGTTACTATGGACAACACACATGGAGTGGGGAGTTGTGCTCACTCTCCATTAGAATGGAATCATTTTTATTTTTAAAGCACTTATTAGAAACTTACAACACATAAAGTTTTTACATGTGTTTCAGAAAAACAATATAAATATCACTTAAGGTGAAGTAAACAAGGGCCAAAGAAACAACAGTTCTTTTAAGGATTTTAATTTTCAAAAAACCTAAGGATCAACAAAATTGATAGACCGCTAGCAAGACTAATAAAGAAAAAAAGAGAGAAGAATCAAATAGACACCATAAAAAATGATAAAGGGGATATCACCACCGATCCCACAGAAATACAAACTACCATCAGAGAATACTACAAACATCTCTACGCAAATAAACTAGAAAATCTAGAAGAAACGGATAAATTCCTCGACACATACACTCTCCGAAGACTAAACCAGGAAGGAGTTGAATCTCTGAATAGACTAATAACAGGATCTGAAATTGTGGCAATAATCAATAGCTTACCAACCAAAAAGAGTCCAGGACCAGATGGATTCACAGCCGAATTCTACCACAGGTACAAGGAGGAACTGGTACCATTCCTTCTGAAACTATTCCAATCAGGCCAGCATCATCCTGATACCAAAGCCGGACAGAGACACAACCAAAAAAGGGAATTTTAGACAAATATCCTTGATGAACATTGATGTAAAAATCCTCAATAAAATACTGGCAAACAGAATCCAGCAGCACATCAAAAAGCTTATCCACCATGATCAAGTGGGCTTCATCCCTGGGATGCAAGGCTGGTTCAATATATGCAAATCAATAAATGTAATCCAGCATATAAACAGAACCAAAGACAAAAACCACATGACTATCTCAATAGATGCAGAAAAGGCCTTTGACAAAATTCAACAACCCTTCATGCTAAAAACTCTCAATAAATTAGGTATTGATGGGACATATCTCACAATAATAAGAGCTATCTATGACAAACCCACAGCCAATATCACACTGAATGTGCAAAAACTAGAAGCATTCCTTTTGAAAACTGGCACAAGAGAGGGATGCCTTCTCTCACCACTCCTATTCAACATACTGTTGGAAGTTCTGGCCAGGGCAATTAGGCAGGAGAAGGAAATAAAGGGTATTCAATTAGGAAAAGAAGAAGTCAAATTGTCCCTGTTTGCAGACGACATGATTGTGTATCTAGAAAATCCCACTGTCTCAGCCCAAAATCTCCTTAAGCTGATAAGCAACTTCAGCAAAGTCTCAGGATACAAAATCAATGTACAAAAATCACAAGCATTCTTATACACCAATAACAGACAAACAGAGAGCCAAATCATGAGTGAACTCCCATTCACAATTGCTTCAAAGAGAATAAAATACTTAGGAATCCAACTTACAAGGGATGTGAAGGACCTCTTCAAGGAGAACTACAAAGCACTGCTCAATGAAATAAAAGAGGATACAAACAAGTGGAAGAACATTCCATGCTCATGGGTAGGAAGAATCAATATCCTGAAAATGGCCATACTGCCCAAGGTAATTTATAGATTCAATGCCATCCCCACCAAGCTACCAATGACTTTCTTCACAGAATTGGAAAAAACTACTTTAAAGTTCATATGGAACCAAAAAAGAGCCCGCATCACCAAGTCAATCCCAAGCCAAAAGAACAAAGTTGGAGGCATCACGCTACCTGACTTCTAACTCTACTACAAGTCTACAGTAACCAAAACAGCATGGTACTGGTACCAAAACAGAGATATAGATCAATGAAACAGAACAGAGCCCTCAGAAATAACGCCACATATGTACAACTATCTGATCTTTGACAAACCTGACAAAAACAAGCAATGGGGAAAGATTCCCTATTTAATAAATGGTGCTGGGAAAACTGGCTAGCCATATCTAGAAAGCTGAAACTGGATCCCTTCCTTACACCTTACACAAAAATTAATTCAAGATGGATTAAAGACTTAAATGTTACACCTAAAACCATAAAAACCCTAGAAGAAAACCTAGGCATTACCATTCAGGACATAGGCATGGGCAAGGACTTCATGTCTAAAACACCAAAAGCAATGGCAACAAAAGCCAAAATTGACAAATGGGATCTAATTAAACTAAAGAGCTTCTGCACAGCAAAAGAAACTACCATCAGAGTGAACAAGCAGCCTACAAAATGGGAGAAAATTTTCACAACCCACTCATCTGACAAATGGCTAATATGCAGAATCTACAATGAACTCAAACAAATTTACAAGAAAAAACCAAACAACCCCATCAAAAAGTGGGTGAAGGATATGAACAGACACTTCTCAAAATAAGACATTTACGCAGCCAACAGTCACATGAAAAAATGCTCATCATCACTGGCCATCAGAGAAATGCAAATCAAAACCACAATGAGATACCATCTCACACCAGTTAGACTGGCGATCATTAAAAAGTCAGGAAATGACAGGTGCTGGAGAGGATGTGGAGAAATAGGAACACTTTTACACTGTTGGTGGGACTGTAAACTAGTTCAATCATTGTGGAAGTCAGTGTGGCGATTCCTCAGGGATCTAGAACTAGAAATACCATTTGACCCAGCCATCCCATTACTGGGTATATACCCAAAGGACTATAAATCATGCTGCTACAAAGACACATGCACACGTATGTTTATTGTGGCAGTATTCACAATAGCAAAGACTTGGAACCAACCCAAATGTCCAACAACAATAGACTGGATTAAGAAAATGTGGCACATATACACCATGGAATACTATGCAGCCATAAAAAATGATGAGTTCATGTCCTTTGTAGGGACATGGATGAAATTGGAAATCATCACTCTCAGTAAACTATCTGAAGGACAAAAAACCAAACACCACATGTTCTCACTCATAGATGGGAATTGAACAATGAGAACACATGGACACAGGAAGGGGAACATCACACTCTGGGGACTGTTGTGGGGTGGGGGGAGGGGGGAGGGATAGCATTAGGAGATATACCTAATGCTAAATGAAGAGTTAAAGGGTGCAGCACATCAGCATGACACATGTATACACATGTAACTAACTGGCACATTGTGCACATGTACCCTAACACTTAAAGTATAATAAAAATAATAAAAAAAAGATTTTAATTTTATTTTGTCTTTGCTTCAGTTTCTTGGATCACATCTTCCTATCTCCATTTTCATCAACAACCTTCAGACTAGTCCTTAACCCAAGTTTTCTCAATTTTAGCAGTATGCATACTTTGAATATGCTATATAATGGTTTGTTGTTGGGGAATGCCCCACGTATCATAGGATGTTTATCAACATCCCTGGTGTCTACCTGCTGGATGCCTGCAGTATGTCTCCTATACTTTGCCTGAGCTGTGACAATCCAAATTTCCTTCAGATATTTCCAAATGGACTAATGAGACATTTGGCAAAATCAACCCACTTGAGAGCCACTGCTATAAACTTTTACCCACCTTCTGAATTAGTGTCTTTTTCTTTAACTTATACATTTAACAAATCTATTCAGATGTCAATAAATATCCCAACTTCAACTTTTCCTATATTATGTATACTCTCCAGCTATGGTCATATTTGAAGATCTTGCTACTCCCTAGAATGGAGAATTCTGCTCTGTGTCCCCATATCCTGAATGAAATATATTAAAACTAACCTTCTGGTCTTTCACAACACTTTCCCACCTCTTCCATTTTTCCTTTATAAAATACCTCCAATTTGCAGGTTAACAAGTTATCATCATACCTCTCTCTCTCTACCTCCTAATTTCAAAATCACTTCTTTGCATTCATTAAGTGATTTGACAGTTAGCTCTCCACCTCAATCTTTGCCTGGTCTAATGGAATGCCAATAACACAGTTGTTATGTGTCAACATAAACCAAACATGTAACAATTTTATGGTGTATATATATTTCATGGTGTGTATGTAGCATATTTGCTTTATCTAACTCACTGTTGATGGGCATTTAGGTTGATTTCATGTATTTTCTATTGTGAGTAGTGCTGCAATGAACATATGCTTGTATGTGTCTTTTTGGTAAAAGTGATTTATTTTCCTTCGGGTATACACAAATAATGAAATTCCTGGGTAGAGACAGGACATAGTTCCATTTTAAGTCATTTGAGAAATCTCCAGACTGGTTTCCACAGTGGCTAAACTATTTTACATTCCTACCATCAGTGTATAAGTGTTTTGTTTTCTTTGCTACCTTGCCAGTACCTGTTTTTTTTTAATTTTTTTTAAATAATATCCATTGTGACTGGTGTGAAATGGTATCACGTTGTGGTTTTGATTTACATTTCTTGAATGATTAGTGATATTGAACATTTGTAAAATATGTTTGCTGGCTGCGTGTATATCTTCTTTTGAAAAGTGTCTATTCATGTCCTTTCCCCATTTTCCAATGGAGTCTTTGCTTTTTGCTTGTTAATTTGTTTAAGTTCCTTATAGATTCAGAATATCAGACTGTTGTCAGATGCATAGTTTGCAATCATTTTTCCCATTCTGTAGGTTGTCTATTTACTCTGTTGATTGTTTCTTGTGCTGTGCAGAAGCCTTTACTTTAATTAGGTTTCACTTGTAAAGTTTTGCTTTTGGTGCAATTGCTTTTGGGGTTTTTGTCATGAAATCTTTGCCAGGGCCAATGTCCAGAATGGAATTTGCTAGTTTTTCTTCGAGGTTTTTTATTGTTTTAGATTTTTAAATTTAAATCTTTAATCTATCTTGAGTTGATTTTTACATATGGTGAAAGGTAAGGGTTCAGTTTTCTGCATATGACTAACCAGTTATCCCAGCACCATTTATTGAATAGGCATTCATTTCCCCATTGTTTGCTATTGTTGGCTTTATGGAAGATCACATAGTTGAAGGTGTGGAACTTTATTTCTGGGTTATGTAACCTGTTCCATTGGTCTATGTTTCTGGTTTTTTACCAGTACCATGCTGTTTTAGTTACTGTAGCCTTGTAGTGTATTTTGACATCAAATAGCATGCTGCCTTCAGCGTTGTTCTTTTTGCTCAGGATTGCTTTGGCTATTCAGGCTCTTTTTTGGCTCTAAAGAATTTTGGAATTTTTTTTCTAATTCTTTGAAAAATGTCATTGGTAGTTTGATCAGAATAGCATGGATATGTATATTGTTTTGGGTAGTATGGCCATTTTAACAACACTGATTCTACCTATCCAAGAGCATGGAATGTTTTTCTATTTTTTTTGTGTCATCTCTAATTTCTATCAGCAGTGTTTTGTAATTCTCATTGTAGAGATCTTTCACCTCTCTGGTTAGCTATATTCCTAGGTATTTTCTTCTTTTTTGTGGCTGTTGTGAATGAGATTGCATTCTTGATTTGGCTTTTAGCTTGGATATTATTGATATATAGAAATGCTACTGCTTTTTGTACATTGATTTTGTCTCCTGAAACTTTGCTAAAGTTGTTTATCAGATCTGTGAGCTACTGGGCAGAGACTATGGGGTTTTCTAGTTATAGAATCATATAGTCTGTGAAGCTAGATAGTTTGAATTCCTCTCTTTGTATTTGCTTGCCTTTTATTTTATGGAACAGTATGCAGTCATAAGAAAGAACAAGATCATGTCCCTTGTGGCAACTGAGATGAAGCTGAAGGTCAATATCCTAAGTACATTAAAACAGGAACAGAAAATCAAATGCTACATGTTCTCTATTATAAGTGGAATATAAACATTGAGTGCACATGGGCACCACAAAGAAGAGAACAATAGACACCAGGACCTATAGGATGGTGGAAGGTGAGAGGAGGGTGAGGACTGAAAAAATACCTAGTGGGCATTATGCTGTTTACCTGGGTGACAAAATTATCTGCACATCAAACTCCCCTTTAACAAACCTGCACATGTGTTCCTTGAACTATACAATAAAAATTAGAAAGTAAAAACAGAAAATGTAGTAATTGGATTTCTGACTGGGCAGGTGTTTTCTCATATAACCACATCTATTTATTCAATTATTCTGTGAAATCTTCTCCATTTATTCATCTAAACTTATCTCTTCCCACATCCTCATGCTTTAGTTCTTATCTCAAACTCTTTCAATGAACAGTCTCAACAACGACATTCCCAATCTTCGTCCCTAGATTTTACACTCCTTAATTTATATACTACTATTCTACTACTCATTAAACTTAATTTATTTACTACTATTCTGCCAGAGTAATGTTTTAAGTTTGATTGGATTTTTACTACAATAAAAGTCTTCTACTGCTTCCCAATGCTTGAAAAGTAAGACCTAATATGGCCATTCAAAAGCTTTTGTAATTTGATTATTATGTAACTGTAACTGTGAGTTCATCTTGTACATATGCTCTCTGACAAACAGAAACCTGGCGTTGCAGCTTTATTTATTTATTGTTTTCTGAGCTGCTTTCCAATGTTTCTTTGCACTTTAATAATACTGTTTTGTTGCATAAAATAAAACTGAACCTTCAGTAAACTATAACTGTAAATATTTATTTCTAACATATGAATTTGTGGGTTGACTTGGCATCTCTACCCTAGGTTATACCTTTTTAAATCTGGGTCTGCTCTGCCTCTCTCCATCTTCTTTCAAGCAATGGGCTAGCCAGAGTACATTCTTCTCATGGAAAGGGTAGAAGCTTATGACAGTGATAAAAAATATATGAGTCATCTTTTGCCATAAGCATTATTGTTTTATCCTGTATTTTGTTAGTTAAATCAAGTTGCATGTTTATGCCCATAGTCACAGATTAGAGAAGCACCTGCTGCCAAAGATGGGACCATAGCAAGCATATACATCAGGGAGGGATGAAGAATCTGGTCAATGTTTCCATCTATCCCAAATTCCATGCACTTTTATACCTCTGTTTCTTTGCATTTGCTGTTTCATTTGCCCCAATAATGTTTCATTGCTACCTTTGCAATCATCATTCAATATGCAGTTAAATAACATCTGTGAAACTACTCTTTTCAAGTAGGCAGACTAAGTTTCTCCTTTTACTGTGCTACCACAGATAGCACTTTATACATTCTTCTTTGACAGATGTTTTAGTAAATCATTTTAAATGTAGAAAAGCTTTTATTATCCATGTACCTGACTCATTCACAGAGAAAACAGGGGATCCTTTAGGTTAGGGACTAGATAGTCCCTTTGTTGAACCCATGGTATGTATCCATCAAAAAGTGCTGAAATACTAGGAAAATTTAACTCCATCTGTTTGGATGGATGGATTTCTGGTCAGATCTGTGAGATATCAAAATCACTATGTATAAGGAGGTAACAGGAAAAATAGAAAGGAACTATTTTTTATTTTTTCTACTGTAAGACTCAAATTAATCATATCATTCTGTATGACTTTTAAGGAAAGAAAAGGCCAAATATACAGAGATAGAGAATATACAGAAATGGATAATAAAACATTAGTTAGTCATCAGGGGTGGTGAGGAAATGGGGAGGGAGAGGAATGTCAAAAGATACAAAGTGGCCGTCATAAAGAATGAACAAGTCTAGAAATCCAATATACCACATGAAGACTATAGGTGACACGATTTTATTTTATTAGGGAATTTTTTTCTTGTTAAATATGTAGATTTTAGCTATTCTTGTCATACACACAAAATAGTAGCTATATGAGATGATAAATTATTTTAATTTGCTTCACTATAGTAACTATTTTACTATCCCTATATATTCTATAACATTGTGTTGTAAACTTCAAATATACACAATAAAATTTATTTTTTTTAAAAAGTGTATACTAGTAGCTGAAGCTTGTCTTCAAATTGATAGATCAATCTCTAAGAAGAGGGCACTTTGTACAAATGCAAAAAGAGAAGTTTTGTAATTATATAAGCTGTCCAGATAGAGATAGGCTACTGAACAGAAACACATGTTAAAATACAGAGAGAGAGATAATTGCTGAAGCTGACCTTGAAACTACATCCTGAAATTCATTACTTAATAAGATAATTCCAACTCTTCTTACTTATCTCTAAACTTTATTAAGGCTAAGATGGCCAGAAAACAATCACATGAATTTGACATTCAAAATAAAATGCAAAAACAACCAGACAAACTCAGAGAGAAGCTGTGAAACATTATGATATTTAGAAATTTTATCACACATCTGTTAAAACAGAGAACTGGACTTTATTGGTTTCCTTTGGGAAGACGATTTCATCTATGATACTGGAGATAAGAGATGAAAGTGAGATGTGGTGCAATTACATTTCTCAGTGAGATAATCAACCTGGCCTATAATTAAGGTGAATAGCTAGTTATATTAATGAAAGAAAAACACTATTAAATTAGTATGCTACGTACTTATGTACAGTGGGTTTTATTTTATTATTTTAAGACATAATTTAGCCTCATGACTCAAAAACTCCACACTCACATGAAAGTGTTTTTTTAAAAAGTAACCAAGCTTCCAGAGACTCTCATTAGCAGTACTGGCACTAAGGAGTAGATGAAATATTTTAAGATTATTCGTTATGTTTACATCATTTTATTCTATTGAATTTTCTATGAAGGTAACAAAAATTTCTCTCTATTTTCAAGTTTTAGATAATAAAACAACATTTTCATTAAATAAGTAGTTTTACTTGAATACTGAATCTGTGCCTACAACTAAATAGATTATAGTCAGGTTGTAAATCTATCAGTAAGTTAAATCAATAAGAACCATGAAATTACTGGATTTATGGTTCTAGCTAATTTATAATGGTACACAGGTGACTTATTGCTATAGTAAGGTATTATATTTACTTCATTATAGGATGAATACATTACAATTAGTTATTGATTTCAGCAAACTTTCATACATTATTTTCTTTTGTTTTAAATGAGACTTATTTTGATCTTCCTCTCTTCCCCAAACCTATATATTATATTCTTAATCTTCAATCTATTGTTCCCTAGACAAATTTTAGAATATAATGAACTATATGTGAAGCAAAGGTTTTTTTAATAATAAAATGCTAAAAATTTGTAACTCATCAAAACTAACAAAAAAACCCTTTATTTTTTAAAGACAAGTAAAGAAATGATACAAGTTAGAAGCATCTCATTAAACTTAATTCTGAGGTTAGACATGTGTTATAATAGTTACTTTTATAATCATCTTTATGATTCCATAGGCAAAATTCTCTAATTCAATGAGAACTAAGAGAACAGTCTAAGATGTTGCATATTTAAATGTAAATGTGAAACAAAAGAGGCACACTGTCTTAGTATGTTTGGACTATAACAAAACACCATAAGCTGACTGCCTTATAAACAAAAAAAAATTTATTTCTCACAATTCTGGAGGCTAGGAAGTCCAAGGTCAAGGATCCAGCAGATGTGGTGTCTAGGTGAGAGCCTGCTTCTTTGTTAATCACTGTCTATGTCTTTCCTCCTGTGGTAGAAGGGGCAAGGCAGTCCTCTGGGCATCATTTATATGGGAAGTAATCCCATTCACAAAGTCTCCCCTCTTATCACCTAATCAACTCTCAAAGGCACCACCTCCTAATGTCATCACATTGGGGACTGGGTTTCAAAACATACATTTTATGGGGACACGAACATTTCGACCATAGAATATGGGGTGAATAAGACTATCACAGTGATCAGTATTCTTGAAGTTTCATCAAACCTCACAGACAATTATTTTCCCACAAAATAAAAGACATTGCTTTAAATAAACCATGCAGTTTTATATATATTACTTCACATGTATTGTGATTGAGTAACTTGAAAGGGAAAATGCCCTTGTAATAGAAAAAAAGTTGGCTATTACTTCTTGACACGTATGATTTCCATAATGATCTACTCTGGATAGATCATTTTTACTCAACCTTTCTACAACTATACTTGCTATGCAGACTTAGTTTTAGTTAGCCAAGACTTTACAAAGCATATCTTTGTCAAATTATGTGTAGTTCATTTAAGCATATTATATACATCTGATCAACTCATCAAAATCTAAAAAAAGGTTTTGTGGTTATTGTTACTTTTGAATTTATGTTCATTAGTTTCCTTTTTACTTTTAATATTCTTATAAATATTTATATATATTTTAAAATGTTTGCAACTGCTTTTTAAAAATATATATATATTGCAACTGCTTTTTAAAAAAATATACACACATATATATCTTAATCTTGGTATTAATCAACATTCACAAGTGAATTAATAGAATTTCCTAAGACCTATTGAAATATAATTTCCCAGCCGAGATGGTGGCTCATGCCTGTAATCCCAGAATTTTGGGAGGCCGAGGCAGGTGAATCACCTGAAGTCAGGAGTTTGAGACCAGCCTGGCCAACATGGTGAAACCCCATGTCTACTAAAAATACAAAAATTAGCGGGGCATGGTGGTTCACGCTTCTAATCCCAGCTACTCAGGAAGCTGAGGCAGGAGAATCGCTTGAACACGGGAGGTGGAGGTTGCAGTGAGTCGAGATCATGCCATTCCACTCCAGCCTGAGTGACAAGAGTGAAACTCCATCTAAAAACAAAACAAAACAAAACAAAAAACAGAAATATAATTTCCTAAGGAAGATACACATATATTCCTGGGGAAACCAGTAATACCTTCATAATAATTTAGAAGCCCATCATTTCAGGAATTCTTAAATGTTACAGAGCTAAGCATTGAGAATATGAGCAGATTTTGAGGTACTGACTCCAGTAAATCAAATAGTTTACAGTATTTAGTTAATTTAGGTGGTCATCTGATATATCCCAATGCCTCTAAACAGGCCTGCATTCAAATAACACAGTTAATTATTTGTACTACTTTTTTTAATCCTAGGATTTCTGCCAGCACCTCAATTAGGATCATGAGCCTCTGAGTGTAATAAGATATGCTGTTTCCTAGAATTACTTACTTCACTTAGTTCACTCTCTGCCTCAATTATGGCCAGTGTGAGGCCAAATTACCAGTTGAAATAAGACTTAATTCAGACCCATGATGATGGGCTAGATAAATACTTCAAATGCCTGAATATCCCAGAATCATCATCTTACAGAGGGTTCAGGCACAGGACTCAATGACTCTCCTTCACCATTTTCTCCCCCCACCAAACTTAGAAGACTTTGTCCAGCCTGAGAGAGGGATCTGGGATGGATGGCTACGTGGTCTTGCTGGCCATCAGTATTACATGTTCTGACTGTAAGAAATGTGTAGATGTCTATTTCACAGGCTCAACTGGATGGAGATGACACCACAGAGCACAGCATAGTCCTGTGACAATTAGTGACTGTATAATGATCACATGTAGTCTTAAGCATTTGTTTATTTAATATTTGAAAAGGTAGTCTAATTTTTTTGCTGGTATTTAGTATGTAGGCTAATTTGTGTTTCATGTATTTATTCACATAAATAGAAAGAGAAATAAACCAGATTATGTAATGACTCTTACAACTTTTGATCATGTGTTGAGTCAGGCCTTATTCACTGTGTCTACAAATAATTCTACCATTACAAGCCAAAAAAGTCTCTCATGGTGCTATGGTTTGCATATGGTTTGTCCCTACCAAAACTCATGTAGAAATTTAGTTTCCAATCTAATGGTGTTGGGAGGTGAGGCCTTTAAGAGGTGATCAGCTTGTTAAGATTGATTGATGTCTTTCTCATGAGACTGGGTTAGTACGCTTGAGACTTTTGTGAGATCAGGTTCTTTTAAAGTGAGTTGGCCTCCTTTGCCCCTATCTCTTTTGCAGGCACTCATTTGCTGCTCTTGCAAGTGCTGCCACCCATGTGATGCCATCTGCCATATGACACAGCATGTCATGGTCCTTTCCAGAGGTGACTACTGCACAATCTTGAACTTACTAGTGTCTAGAACTGTAAGCTAGATAAACTTCTGTTCTTTATAAACTACTCAGTCTCAGGTATTCTGTTATAGCAACAGAAAATGGGCTAAAATACACATTTATGCTTTGAAACCAAGTAAGTAGAAAAGTACAATCATAATATATCCTTGGAATAAGAGAACTGGACATTTCGAACAAACCAAAAATTATTATATAGTATTTGAGTTGGCAGCTTAAACTTTTTGTTAAAAACAATAGTTGCAATTGTTGTTTAGAAAAAATCCTACCTTAGAAAAGAATTTAAGTCACATAGTTTTATAGATTAGCACCAAATTTGTACTTTAATTTTTTGTGGCAGTATGACTATTTAAAATCATCAGGAAATATAATAACTTAGGAGTTTCATACAATTAATTGTGGATTGAAAAGTGTGTCCAAAGCTTATCTCATTTGTTGAAATATTAAAACTTATTAATCATTAATGGATCTTTTTTATATATTTGCAGTTATATAAGCTTTGAAATTATGCAATATTTTCTTCTTTCATAGTACTTGTGACAGACATCATTGGTTAGTTGATCCAAGAGTGAGCTATTCCCAATATCTTCTTAATTGCTAATCTTCAAATATTAATAAAAGATAATAGATGAAACATATTTCTATCTGAGTCGCACCTAAGATTGGCCATAGCCGACTAGATAAATTAAGAAGTCTGCTTGAGAGTTTATGGTTATTTTTCTCTCTTATTCATAAAAATAACATTTCTGGAGAAGAAGCCCTGTTTACTTCTGGCCACTGTTTACTGCTGCCTCTGAATGTCTTCATTAGTCACGATGGTAGGATCTGAAGTCTACTTGCAACCACTGAATGAACACTTTGGAAATGAAGACAGAGAAAAATCTGGACTCCTGTTGATATTTTTAATAGCTGAATGAATGCTCAGTAAAGCCTACCTCTGACTTGCTTTTCAAGTGAGAAAAAATACATCTCCTCCCACCTTGTTTAAACCTCTGTTACTTTTATCCACAAACATTGGTATTGCGTACACTGTTCTCTGGAACAATCAAAATTAAAATTCTCTCTGTAAGCATTTGGCTATTTTGCTGAAACAGAATCATGATTTTCACTAATTTCTAAGAAATGTAAATAGTTTGATTTCCATGAATCAGTGTCTTCCTTGGGGATTTCAGTTTTATCGCAAATTTTCATATATATATAATGTATGTAATATATAAGTAATAGTCATATTACATAGATAATAGAGAGTTAATATTAAAATATCAATATAAATTATATTCGTTGAAAATACTATTTTTTCTTACTAGTTTTATAGACTAAAATAGATATGCATTTCTCTTCTAGAGAAATTGATCTACATGAATATAAGCACTACTTTTTAGTTGCCCCGGCATAATATATAATTGCATTAGTTATATTAAAATACTGAGTCAATCCACAAATACTTGATTTAGAGCGTATTGATCTAGTGCTTCTTCAAATATTTTCTTTGCCTGTAGTGATGTACAAATTGTGTCTTTTTAAAAAGAATACTATTGTTTATGATACAGAAAACAGCCTCCTTTATTCCTGCCACTTGTCTGGATTAGGCTGGCTTTATAGCAAAGCAAAGGATAAACTGGAAAAATCTGGGTTCTTAGTTTGAGCTCCCCAAACATTTTAACTTAAAAATTTTAAAAGCATTTTGTATTTCTTTAGGACATCTATTTTTTTCTGAAGGCTTTTACATATATTACCACATTGAGTGTAAGAAGATGTAATATTTCATGTTTGTTTGAAATATTAACTTTATTTTTCAGGTTAGGAAATTAGAATTTAGAGATGCCAAAAAGTTGCTGAAGTTCATCTAATTAATAAATGGCAGACCTAGACTTGAATTTAGAACTTTTGACTCCCAGGCTCTTTTGATCATTTCCAAAGCAAAAATCATTTTATGAATAAATTATCTGTAGCATTTCAGATTTTCTTTTTGTCTTTGACTTTCAGCATTTTTACTGTGGCATATTGGTTTGTGGGACTCCTAATGTTTACCCTGTTTGAAGTTTTTCAAGCTTCCTATATGTGAACTTAATGGTTTTTCACTAAAGTTGGGGATTTCTCAGCCATTATTTTTTTGAGATTATTTTTTCTTCTCTTTCTCTCCTTCTAGTGGTCCCATTATGAGTTTGTTGTTGTGCTTAATTGTGTCTCACATTACTCTGGGGCTCTCGCTTCTTCCTTGGGTTGCCAAATCTCTATTGCTCTATCTTTAAATTTGCTTATTTTTTTCTTCTGTAAATTCAAATTTACTGAAAAGCCCCTCTAGTGCATTTTTAATTTTCATTGTTATAACTTTTTAACTCCATAATTTTCATTTGTTAGTCTTCTATAATTCTTAACTCTTTATTGATAGTCTTTATTGGATGCCACATTGTTCTCATATCTTTCTTTTCTTCATTTTAGTTCTGTGAACATGTTTGTAATGGCTACTTTAAAGTCTTTTCCTGATAAAATTGACATCTGGTATTTCTCACAGGCAGTTTTGTTGGCTGCATTTTTTTTTCAGTGTATGGGTCTTATTATCTTTACATGTCTTAGAATTTTTTTGGGGGAACTGGACATTTTAGACAGTACATTACAGCAACTCTGGGTACTGGTATCCCCCTCCTCCTCTGGGCTATTATGGTTTGCTTATCTATTTGTTTAGTGACTGAATGGATTATTTTCATGAAATTCATCCTAACTTCCCCACATCCCACTCCGGTGTTCAGCTTCTGCCGTTGTTTCTCAGGAAGATGCACACAGGAAGGACAGTGCCATTGGCAGGTCTGAATTTTTCTCTGAACATACCAAGCCATTAAACTCCACTAATTGCTGGCTGATTGCTACATTGTTTTTGACAATGTTCTTGGGCATAAATTGCTCTGCACACTAATTCATTTAATTCTGGCTCCTTTGAAGAAATAGTTTCTGAAGTCAGTGTTTGATTTTTGGTCTGACTCAGGGAGGACTCCTCTCAGATGTCATTACGTGGCTCTCTCCTACAACTTACCTAGAGTTTAGACTGTATTTTGAATCTCCTCAAAATTGCCTTTTTCAACAACTCTACAACCCTCGGTTTTTGTTGTTGTTGTTTGTTTTTAGAGACGAGGTCTCACTCTTTTGCCCAGGTTGGTATGCACTGGTGCAATTATGGAAATTGATTCGAAATCTTGAGTTCAAGCAATCCTCCAATCTTAGCCTCCTGAAGTGGTGGGATTACAGGTGTAAGCCAACATGCCGGGACTCTGCTGTTCTTCAGAGTACCTTCAGGCTTGAACTTCTCCATTCTCTGTTGCAAATACAGTCACTTTTTAAAAAAATTTTCCTGGGGAGGAGATTAAGAGCAGTCTGTTTTTTATTTATCTGTTTATTTACTTATTTATTTTTATTATACTTTAAGTTGTAGGGTACATGTGCACAATGTGCAGGTTTGTTACATATGTATACATGTGCCATGTTGGTGTGCTGCACCCATTAACTCATCATCTACATTAGGTGTATCTCCTAATGCTATCCCTCCCTGCTCCCCCTAATCTAGGACAGGCCTCAGTGTGTGATGTTCCCCTTCCTGTGTCCAAGTGTTCTCATTGTTCAATTCCCACCTATGAGTGAGAACATGCAGTGCTTGGTTTTTTGTCCTTGCAATAGTTTGCTGAGAATAATAGTTTCCAGCTTCATCCATGTCCCTAAAAGGACATGAACTCATCCTTTCTTATGTCTGCATAGTATTCCATGGTGTATATGTGCCACATTTCTTCATCCAGTCTATTGTTGATGGACATTTGGGTTGGTTCCAAGTCTTTGCTATTGTGAATAGTGCCGCAATAAGCATACGTGTGCATGTGTCTTTATAGCAGCATGATTTATAATCCTTTGGGTATATACCTAGTAATGGGATCACTGGGTCAAATGGTATTTCTACTTCTAGATCCCTGAGAAATCGCCACACTGTCTTCCACAATGGTTGAACTAGTTTACAGTCCCACCAACAGTGTAAAACTGTTCCTATTTCTCCACATCCTCTCCAGCACCTGTTGTTTCCTGACTTTTTAATGATCACCATTCTAACAGGTGTGAGATGGTATCTCAGTGTGGTTGTGATTTGCATGTCTCTGATGGCCAGTGATGATGAGTATTTTTTCATGTGTCTCTTGGCTGTATAAATGTCTTCTTTTGAGAAGTGCCTATTCATATCCTTTGCCCACTTTGTGATGGGGTTGTTTGTTTTTTTCTTGTAAATTTGTTTGAGTTCTTTGTAGATTTTGGATATTATCCCTTTGTCAGATGAGTAGATTGCAAAATTTTTCTCCCATTTTGTAGGTTGCCTGTTCACTCTGATGGTAGTTTCTTTTGCTGTGCAGAAGCTCTTTAATTTAATTAGATCCCACTTGTCAATTTTGGCTTTTGTTGCCATTGCTTTTGGTGTTTCAGACATGAAGTCCTTGCCTGTGCCTATGTCCTGAATGGTAATGCTTAGGTTTTCTTCTAGGGTTTTTATGGTTTTAGGTCTAACATTTAAGTCTTTAATCCATCTTGAATTAATTTTTGTATAAGGTGTAAGGAAGGGATCCAGTTTCAGCTTTCTAGATATGGCTAGCCAGTTTTCCCAGCACCATTTATTAAATAGGGAATCCTTTCCCCATTTCTTGTTTTTGTCAGGTTTGCAAAGATCAGATGGTTGTAGATGTGTGGTATTATTTCTGAGGGCTCTGTTCTGTTCCATTGGTCTATATCTCTGTTTTGGTACCAGCACCATGCTGTTTTGTTTACTACAGCCTTGTAGTATAGTTTGAAGTCAGGTAGTGTGATGCCTCCAGCTTTGTTCTTTTGGCTTAGGATTGTCTAGGCAATGCGGGCTCTTGTTTGGTTCCATATGAACTTTAAAGCAGTTTTTTCCAATTCTGTGAAGAAAGTCATTGGTAGCTTGATGGGGGTGGCATTGAATCTATCAATTACCTTGGGCAGTATGGCCATTTTCATGATATTGATTCTTCCTATCCATGAGCATGGAGTCTTCTTCCATTTGTTTGTGTCCTCTTTTATTTCATTGAGCAGTGGTTTGTAGTTCTCCTTAAAAGAGGTCCTTCACATCCCTTGTAAGTTGGATTCCTAAGTATTTTATTCTCTTTGAAGCAATTGTGAATGGGAGTTCACTCATGATTTGGCTGTCTGTTTGTTTGTTATTGGTGTATAAGAATGATTGTGATTATTGCACATTGATTTTGTATCCTGAGACATTGCTGAAGTTGCTTAACAGCTTAAGGAAATTTTGGGCTGAGATGATGGTGTTTTCTAAATATACAATCATGTCATCTGCAAAGAGGGACAATTTGACTTCCTTTTTTCCTAATTGAATACCCTTTATTTCTTTCTCTTGCCTGATTGCCCTGGCCAGAACTTCCAACAGTATGTTGAATAGGAGTGGTGAGAGAGGTCATCCCTGTCTTCAAAGGGATGTTTTCAAAGGGAATGCTTCCAGTTTTCACCCATTCAGTATGATATTGGCTGTGGGTTTAGGGGTTGCAATCCTAGTCTCTGATAAAACAGACTTTAAACCAACAAAGATCAAAAGAGACAAAGAAGGCCATTACATAATGGTAAAGGGATCCATTCAACAAGAAGAGCTAACTATCCTAAACATATATGCACCCAATACAGCAGCACCCAGATTCATAAAGCAAATCGTTAGAGACCTATAAAGAGACTTAGACTCCCACACAATAATAATAGAAGACTTTAACATTCCACTGTCAGCATTAGACAGATCAACTAGACAGAAAGCTAACAAGGATATCCAGGACTTGAACTCAGCTCTGCACCAAGCAGACCTAATAGACATCTACAGAACTCTCCACCCCAAATCAACAGAATACACATTCTTCTCATCCACACATCACACTTATTCCAAAATTGACCACATAGTTGGAAGTAAAGCACTCCTCAGCAAATGTAAAAGAACAGATATTATAACTAACTGTCTCTCAGACAACAGTGCAATCAAACTAGAACTCAGGATTAAGAAACTCAATCAGGCCATGCGTGGTGGCTCACGCCTGTAATCCCAGCACTTTGGGAGGCTGAGGCTGGCGGATCACGAGGTCATGAGATCGAGACCAAGGTGAAACCCCGTCTCTACTAAAAATACAAAAAGTTAGCCGGGCGTAGTGGCGGGCGCCTGTAGTCCCAGCTACTCGGGAGGCTGAGGCAGGAGAATGGCGTGAACCCGGGAGGCAGAGCTTGCAGTGAGCTGAGATAGCGCCACTGCACTCCAGCCTGGGTGACAGAGCGAGACTCCGTCTCAAAAAAAAAAAACAACAACAACAACAACAACAAAAAAAAAAAAAAAAAAAAAAAAAAACTCACTCAAAACCGCTCAACTACATGGAAACTGAACAATCTGCTCCTGAATGACTACTGGGTACGTAACGAAATGAAGGCAGAAATAAAGATGTTCTTTGAAACCAATGAGAACAAAGACACAACATACCAGAATCTCTGGGACACTTTTAAAGCAGTGTGTAGAGGGAAATTTATAGCACTAAATGCCCACAAGAGAAAGTAGGAAAGATCTAAAATTGATACCCTAACATCACAATTAAAAGAACTAGAGAAACAAAAGCAAAGAAATTCAAAAGCTAGCAGAAGGCAAGAAATAATTAAGATCAGAGCAGATCTGAAGGAGATAGAGACACAAAAAACCCTTCAAAAAATCAGTGAATCCAGGAGATGGTTTTTTGAAAAGATCAACAAAATTGATAGACTGCTAGCAAGATTAATAAAGAAGACAAGAGAGAAGAATTGAATAGACACCATAAAAAATGATAAAGGGTATATCACCACTGATCCCACAGAAATACAAACTACCATCAGAGAATACTATAAACACCTCTATGCAAATAAACGAGAAAATCTAGGAGAAATGGATAAATTCCTGGACACATACACCCTCTCAAGACTAAACCAGGAAGAAGTTGAATCTCTGAATAGACCAATAACAGGATCTGAAATTGAGGCAATAATTAATAGCCTACCAACCAAAAAAAGTCCAGGACCAGATGGATTCACAGCCGAATTCTACCAGAGGTACAAGGAGGAGCTGGTACCATTCCTTCTGAAACTATTCCAATCAATAGAAAAAGAGGGAACCCTCCCTAACTCATTTTATGAGGCCAGCATCATCCTGATACCAAAGCCTGGCAGAGACACAACAAAAAAAGAGAATTTTAGACCAATATCCCTGATGAACATTGATGCAAAAATCCTCCATAAAATACTGGCAAACTGAATCCAGCAGCACATCAAAAAGCTTATCCACCATGATTAAGTGGGCTTCATCCCTGGGATGCAAGGGTGGTTCAACATATGCAAATCAGTAAACGTAATCCAGCATATAAACAGAACCAAAGACAAAAACCACATGATTATCTCAATAGATGCAGAAGAGGCCTTTGACAAAATTCAACAGCCCTTTATGCTAAAAACTCTCAATAAGTTAGGTATTGATGGGACGTATCTCAAAATAATAAGAGCTATTTATGACAAGAGCAGTCTGTTTTGTGTTCTGTTTCTCCCAACAGGTAAAAATCTCTGAGCTACAGCTCTGGAACTAGGGAACAATGGGAAGCTTCTCTCTGAGTGACACAGCTGCTCTAGAAGCTTAGCAATGGGATTGGAAGGAATAAGAGCCTAGGTTCCTTTGTCTTGCTTCTCTGGCATGAAACAAGCACACCATGAGCGTAGCACAGATGGTATGGCCCCAGTATTTTTACCATGCTACACACAAATAAATGAGACCGCCTGTTCTATACAAGTGTTCCACTTCACAATCCCACTTGCCTAGGACCTAGTCTCAGCAACAGATAGCTGGGGGCAGGATAAGAAATCCTGGCATCCAGCTTCTCCCAGTAAGAAAGTCCTCTATCTGGGCACTGGGAATAGAGGAAACCTGTGTTCTTGGTTGCAGCAGTCTGAAGTGGGGTCTTTGGCTCACGAAGTTGGGAGAGGTGGGAAAGTGAATGCTCTTGGTTCAAATACCACAAACTCCTGCCTTTCCTTAAAATTTTTGTGGATGTTATTAAATAGATGTTGCTTCATTTGCTGACTGCCCCTAAGACCATTTCCAGTTGCTTTAAGTAGTTGTAATGTTGTTGTTGTTGTTGTTTCTTCACTTTCACTAGGGAGCAAATCAACCAACAGAGCTCCTCACACTATTAAGCAAGAAGCTGGTTCCTTCTTTCTGTTTATTTATAGGTAGGGCTAAAGTGAAATGAGAAATAATAATTTGATTAGAGGTTAAAATAAAAGCACTCTACTGAACTAGAGTTTTGCATATATTTGTGGTGTGAATGATGTAATTTGTTAACTTAGATATACTTTTATGCTCTCAGTGCAAGTGAAAATACATGAAAATATAAATAGAGCTGGAATATCCGATTATAAATATAAGTATGCAAATTTCAACCTATTTGTGGAAGTTGAAATATCCTGTAATATTTTTGACAAATAATGACTAAGGTAGAATCAATCAATTTCAAATAAAAATTTATCTTAAATGATAATAGATACGTAAAACAAGTGTATTATGTATAAATTTGATATTTTTCTCTAAACTTCTGCCAACTTTTTATCTTTAACTGTGATACCTACAATACTGAAGTACAATCACCAGAAGAAATTATTTAAAGTCAGATTGAGAATTTGGGGGGGGGAGAAATATATATATAAAATATATATAAGTATATATTTTATATACACGTGTATATAAAATATATATAAGTATATATTTTATATACACGTGTATATAAAATATATATAAGTATATATATTTTATATACACGGGTATATAAAATATATATAAGTATATATAAGTATATATATAAGTATATATAAGTATATATATAAGTATATATAAGTATATATATAAGTATATATAAGTATATATATAAGTATATATATAAGTATATATTTTATATACACGTGTATATAATATATAAGTATATATTATATACACGTGTATATAATATATAAGTATATATTTTATATACACGATATTATATACACGTGTATATAAAATATATATAAGTATGTTTTATATACACGTGTATATAAAATATATATAAGTATGTTTTATATACACGTGTATATAAAATATATATTAGTATGTTTTATATACACGTGTATATAAAATATATATAAGTATGTCTTATATACATGTGTATATAAAATATATATAAGTATATGTTTTAATATACACGTGTATATAAAATATATAAGTATATGTTTTATATATACGTGTATATAAAATATATATGTTTCAAATATGTGTATATAATTTATATATAAGTATGTTTTATATATACATATTTTATATATAATTATTATATATAATATATAAAAGATATATATTATATATAAATATATAAATATAAATATATATATAAATTTATAAATATATAAAATATATAAATATATAAAAATATATATTTATATATTTATATAATATATTTATATATAAATATATATCTTTATACATATCTAATATATATCTTTTATATATATTAGATATGTATTTATATATCTAATATGTATAAATATATAATTATATATTATATATTTATATATCTAATATTTATATAATATAATATATACATCTTTCATATATTTTATATAAAATATAAATTATATATTATAATATATTTTATATAAAATATATATTATATATAATTTATATTTTATATAAAATATATTTAATATGTAACATATTTTATAAATTTCATAAAACATTTATATATTAGAAAACATATATTATATATTATATATAAAACATAATATATAAAATATATATTCTATATAATATATAATATATAAAATATATTATATATTCTATATAATATATAATATATAATATATATTATATATTATATATAATATATATTGTATATTATATATAAAATATATTGTATATTATATATATAAAATATATTATATATTATATATATAAAATATATTATATATTATATATATAAAATATATTATATATTATATATATAAAATATATTATATATTATATATATAAAATATATTATATATTATATATATAAAATATATTATATATTATATATAAAATATATTATATATTATATATAAAATATATTATATATTATATATATAAAATATATTATATATTATATATATAAAATATATTATATATTATATATATAAAATATATTATATATTATATATATAAAATATATTATATATTATATATATAATATATTATATATTATATATATAAAATATATTATATATTATATATATAAAATATATTATATATTATATATATAAAATATATTATATATTATATATAAATTAATTAATATATTAATTAATTATTTAATATATATTATATATTATATAATTTATATAATTATATATTATACATATTATATTATATTTATAATTATATAATATATATTATATATAAAATATATAAAATATCATATAAAATATATATTATATAAAATATATAATATATAATATAAAATATATATTATATATTATTTATAATATGTATTACACATTATATATAAAATATATATTTTATGTATCTAAAATTTATATGTAATATATAAAAAAATTTATTTATATCTATAATTTATATATAAAATATAAAAAATATGTATTTTATTTATATGGAAAAATATATATTTATGTATATTATACATTATTTATATAAAAGATATGTATTTCATTTATATATTATATATTATTAATATATTATATATTATTTATGTATAAATTATATATTTAATTTATATATTAGGAATATATATTTTATTTATAAAATATATTTTTAATTTATATACAAAAAGTGTATATTTTATTTATATGTAGAAATATATATATTATATATATTTATTTATATATTTTATTTATATATATTAAATATGTTTTGTTTATGTATAAATATATATACATACATTTTCCTGATTTTATTTGGGGCACACCCGGGCGAGAGCTCTGCCTCTAGAAGAAGGTGTTGGATCTCTTGGTGGTGAAGTGTGGCTTGTGCTGATGGCGCAGGACCCAGTGGGGCAGTGGGAACTGGATCTTGGAGTCCTGGAACCGCTTGACGGCAGGCCGGCGGGCACCTGCTGGCTGCGATCTCCTCCACCTTCATGATCTGGATGGATTGGGCCAGGGCACGGTGCTGGGCGCCCGTGTTTCGGTAGCACTGGGTGACAGCGCCCACGGGGGTCAGGTCCCGGTATTCCCGGTACAGGTTGTGGGTGCCGCTCTGGGAGTCATAGCCCAGCCAGATGCCGAAGTTCTTCACCCGCAGGAAGGACGTCTCAAAACCTGCCAACAGTAGACAATCTCCCCTAAAGACTTCATCTTCTTTAACTGATATGCAAAGTACCGGAAGGGAGACTTGGCAACGACATGATTAGGCGCAAAGATTCGCATGCGGTAGATGGGTGGTCTGTGGCATTTGGGGGCAGACAGACAGTGACCCACCACCTTGTACTCTCCTAGTGTGCCCAAGGCCTTTGTGGTGTCCCGTCTGTGCTCGCTGCCACTCGCAAAAGTGAAAAATATATTTTTATATAGATGTTAAATCTAGTCTGTTAAATGTCAAAAGAGACTTCTCTTTTGAATAAAAAAAATGAAAACTGAGTAATTTCTAAAAAAAATTCAAGAGAACAATATGATCTGATTTTCTTACAGTTTTCTAGTTATAAATTTATTCTAATAATTCAGTGTCTTAGCCATCTTTTATTTAATTTTATTATTATTATTTTGAGACAAAATCTCGCACTGTCGCCCAGGCTGGAGTGCAGTGGCTCAATCTCCGCTCACTGCCACCTCCACCTCCCAGGTTCAGGAGATTCTCGTGCCTTAGCCTCCGGGGTAGCTGGGACTATAAGCACCCGCCACAAACCTGGCTAATTTTTATATTTTTAGTAGAGATGGTGTTTCACCATGTTGACCAGGCTTGTCTCCAACTCCTAATCTCAAGTGATCTGCCTGCCTTGGCCTCCCGAAGTGCTGGGATTATAGGCGTGAGCCACTGTGCCGGCCAGCCATGTTTACACAGCTAACATAAACATGTAATACACAATTCTAAGAGTAAACTGAAAAAATAATTTTTCTATTCTACTTAATGTTCATTTGAAAACCAAATGACTACTGCATAAGAAATTCGTATTCAAAATAAAAGAGCATATAGATTTTACAGTTTATACATAAGGCGTCTTATTTATATAATCTCATTTAAGTTTACCAATAATTACCTTAGTGACATTATTATGAAATACTTAAAAAAATTTAGCTCCCCATGAGGGAGCTTATGAAATTTAAGGGTCGAAGGTGGATTTAGCAGTAAACTAAGTGTAGAGTGCTTAGTTGAACAGGGCCCTGAAGCGCATACACACCGCCCGTCACCCTCCTCAAGTATACTTCAAAGGATATTTAACTAAAACCCCTACGCATTTATATAGAGGAAACAAGTCGTAACATGGTAAGTGTAGTGGAAAGTGCACTTGGACGAACCAGAGTGTAGCTTAACATAAAGCACCCAACTTACACTTAGGAGATTTCAACTCAACTTGACCACTCTGAGCCAAACCTAGCCCTAAACCCGTTCCACCTTACTATCAAATAACCTTAACCAAACCATTTACCCAAATAAAGTATAGGCGATAGAAATTGTAAACCGGCGCAATAGATATAGTACCGCAAGGGAAAGATGAAAAATTATAACCAAGCATAATACAGCAAGGACTAACCCCTGTACCTTTTGCATAATGAATTAACTAGAAATAACTTTGCAAAGAGAACCAAAGCTAAGGCCCCCGAAACCAGACGAGCTACCTAAGAACAGCTAAAAGAGCACACCCGTCTATGTAGCAAAATAGTGGGAAGATTTATAGGTAGAGGCGACAAACCTATCGAGCCTGGTGATAGCTGGTTGTCCAAGATAGAATCTTAGTTCAACTTTAAATTTACCTACAGAACCTTCTAAATCCCCTTGTAAATTTAACTGTTAGTCCAAAGAGGAACAGCTCTTTGGACACTAGGAAAAAACCTTGTAAAGAGAGTAAAAAATTTAATACCCATAGTAGGCCTAAAAGCAGCCACCAATTAAGAAAGCGTTCAAGCTCAACACCCATCGTCTAAAAAATCCCAAACATACAACTGAGCTCCTTACACTCAATTGGACCAATCTATTACCTTATAGAAGAACTAATGTTAGTATAAGTAACATGAAAACATTCTCCTCCGCATAAGCCTACATCAGACCAAAATATTAAACTGACAATTAACAGCCCAATATCTACAATCAACCAACAAGCCATTATTACCCTCACTGTTAACCCAACACAGGCATGCCCACAAGGAAAGGTTAAAAAAAGTAAAAGGAACTCGGCAAATCTTACCCCGCCTGTTTACCAAAAACATCACCTCTAGCATTATCAGTATTAGAGGCACCGCCTGCCCGGTGACATATGTTTAACGGCCGCGGTACCCTAACCGTGCAAAGGTAGCATAATCACTTGTTCCTTAAATAGGGACTTGTATGAATGGCTCCACGAGGGTTCAGCTGTCTCTTACTTTCAACCAGTGAAATTGACCTACCCGTGAAGAGGCGGGCATAACATAGCAAGACTATGTTACTACATACAACTAACATGTTACTGAGCAAGTTTTTCTCAAAAAAGTAGAATGCTAGGATTATAGAAAAATAATTAAAATAATACATTTCACCCTTAAAAGGAGCTATTAGCAAACTGGAAGGTATAGATATACATGAAAAATATATTTTATATACACATGTACAAGTATCAAATAATTTTATTTTAAATGTGTGTGTGTATACACACATACAAGTACCAAATAGTTTTTCGATTTGCATTCTATCTTCTAAACAAAGAACCAACATGTTGCTTTATTGCTAAGAAATGGAAAAAAAATACATAACAGTTAAGATAAAAATACAAACTACACAGAATTTAAACAAATATTTTTCCACTTAAGTCCTAAACAATTGTCAATATACAGTCAACAATAAGTCAGCATGAACCAAATGTGTTTGACAGCTAATAACGGATATTATTTTCAACTTTTCTAATATTAAAACCTCATTTTTCATTCAGAATCAATAAGCACATTAAGAATATTTCATTTGAAACCCAGTAGAAGTATGATGTCAGTCACACTTAGTGAGACTGTATTAAATTAGCAGTTTTTTGAAACTTGATAAAATCATTTTCCATAGTTACAACTTTTAAGAGAAGAAAAACTATAGTAGATCATTTGAGAATCCAAGAGAGCAGAATGAGTTTAAGTCAGTGTCTAATGGTCTATGGTAGGTATGTAAAAAATAAAATACATAAATTGAAAAATATATAATTCACTGTACAAGTACTTATGGAGTATCTATTATGTGTCGCATACTAGTCTAAAATGCATTTATTTATTAGTTACTCTCATTTTCATATACTTTGGAAATTTTATGAATTCTGTGTTATAGTTTGGTCTAATGAGGTCCTTGAGTTCAAGCAATATTTGACTTCTAATCCTATATTCCTCCCTTGCTCCATCAACTTCTGCTTTAACGATAGCACTGTCATTCTGAGGTCTAATATAGGCTGAATTCTGGAAGAAAATAGTGCATTAAACAACGGGGACAGTCCTTTTCTCTTTAGCCTCAGGAAAGATAAATTTCTAACATTTAACTATTAAAAGCTGTTTCCATATGCTAGACATTGCTATAATAGTAACTTTAAAATAAACTTTTAAATAAACTTTAAAATAAAGTCCTACGCTGTGGGTCATAGTCACCCCCCATCTTAAAGAACATGTTATGTAACTTTCCTAAAGCCATACAGCTAATGAATGATGGAGCCTAGAGTCTCTGCACTGCACAGCCTGTGACCTACCACAAAGATATTTCTATGATCCTGGGGTAACTTCCTTGCTTACAACTTTGGAACTGAAACAAATATTTTCATAAGTCAACTTTCCATTTGTATTTGGTAGTGAAACAAACAACAGAGAAGAGTTGCCATCTTTTCACCAACTGCAGCATAACTCCTCCTATATAATTTCTGAATGAGCGGGTAAATATTGTAGACTATGTGTTCATGAAAGGGGACATGGAAGTGGTGGTTATTTCTTGAAATGTGTCAGTGTTGGCACAAGTGGATTTTTGGACTTTATTATTCATGTTGGCTACCTATAAAAATAAAATGTAATCCTATCGCACTATTTTCACATCTTTAACTTTAGTCTAAACCACAATCATTTTTTTCCTGTTGCAGGAAGTCAGGGACCCCGAACAGGGGGACAGGCTGAAGCCATGGCAGAAGAACATAAATTGTGAAGATTTCATGGACATTTATTAGTTCCCCAAATTAATACTTTTATAATTTCTTACTCCTGTCTTTACTGCAATCTCTGAACATAAATTGTGATGATTTCATGGACACTTATCACTTCCCCAATTAATACCCTTGTGATTTCCTATGCCTGTCTTTACTTTAATCTCTTAATCCCATCATCTTCGCAAGCTGAGGAGGATGTATGTCTCCTCAGGGCCCTGTGATGATTGCGTTAACTGCACAAATTGTTTGTAGAGCATGTATGTTTGAACAATATGAAATCTGGGCACCTTGAAAAAAGAACAGGATAACAGCAACGTTCAGGGAACAAGAGAGATAACCTTAAACTCTGACTGCCGGTGAGCCAGGTGGAACAGAGCCATATTTCTCTTCTATCAAAAGCAAATGGGAGAAATGTCGCTGAATTCTTTTTCTCAGCAAGGAACATCCCTGAGAAAGAGAATGCATCCCTGAGGGGAGGCCTCTAAAATGGCCGCTTTGGTGGGGCGGCTGTCTTTTACAGTCGCAGCTGTGGGATGAAATAAGCCCCGGTCTCCAGTAGCGCTCCCAGGCTTATTAGGATGAGGAAATTTCTGCCTAATAAATTTTGGTCAGACTGGTTGTCTGCTCTCAACCCCTGTCTGCTGATAAGACGTTATCAATGACAATGCCTGCCCAAAACTTCATTAGCAATTTTAATTTCACCCTGGTCTTGTGGTCCTGTGGTCTCACCCTGCCTCCATCTACCTTGTGATATCTTATCATCTTGTGAAGCATGTGATCTCTGTGACCCACACCCTATTTGTACACTCCCTCCCCTTTTGAAAATCACTAATAAAAACTTGCTCGTTTTATGGCTCAAGGGGCATCACGGAACCTGCCGATGTGTGATGTCTCCCCTGGACACCCAGTTTTAAAATTTCTCTCTTTTGTACTCTGTCCCTTTATTTCTCAGACCGGCCGACACTTAGGGAAAATAGAAAAGAAACTACGTGAATTATCAGGGGTGAATTTTGCCCGATATTTGCCTGTATTCATATTGTAATAGCCTCCTACTTCTTCCTACTTCCTCCCAGTTCTGTTTTAGACTATGTGCAACACCATTGCTAAACTAATCCTGTCAAGGAAGATAATGTCATTCCTGTTCAAAACTCCACAGTGAGTTTGCATGTCACTTAGGGTAAAATTGGCCCCCTCCTCTCTACCCTGTTCCTCTTCTGCTATCCTCCTTCTGGTTGGCCTCCTTACTGTTCCTTCATACATGCCAAGCATGATCACACTATAGGATATTTGCTCTTTGCCCTTTCAGCTGCCTGGGATGTGCTTCTCTCCAGTATCCACATATCTCAATTCCCTCTTTTCCTTCAAGTTTTAAAGTATCATCAGTGATGCCTTCCCTGGCCATCTCTACCTGAGTAGAGTTTCCATTGCTCTTCCTGGTTCACTTTTTATTCTTAGAAAACATCAATGTCTGGTACAGTATATACTTCTTATGTATCTTGCTTCCTGTCAACTGAAGAATGATGAGGTTCATAAATTTGGAAAGGAGAGCTTTATTTCTCAGAAAGGGTTGCAGCCTGCAGGGTGGCCATCAGGCTAGAAGCCAGAAACAGGTACTTCTAGGGTGGGAAGAATAATATAGGAATTTATGCTGAACAGAGAAGGTGAATATATATATATATATACACATACATACATACATATATATTTAATAAGCTATAAGAGGAGTTATGAACATTTATGAGAGGTGAAACATGTGCATTTGCAGATGATCTTCATGCTTTCCCAAGGGTCCTTCTTCAAAAAACGGCAGTGCTAGCATGATTCAAGGGTGGAGTTTTCTGCCCTTTGACATCCAAAGGTGAAACTGAGGACATGAAAACCCTCACTGAGCATCCTCTGTACATTGGACAGAACCACTCCGTGCTTGGTGGTCTGTTGACAGGAAGGAATGCTGGTTGGTTGTTTTATCACAACTACAAAAGGGAGGGGCAGTCACAAAGATGGTTCAAATCAGTGGTGGAGGAAGTCTTTCCAAAGGGTTAGTTTCTGTCTAACCCTTTAGGAAAAAATAAAGTCTAATGGTGGTTAGCAGGGGAGGAGGTATAAAGAGACATGTCCAGCTTCCCATCTGGTCATGGCCGGGAACTCAGTTTGCAAGGTTTGTCTGGGTCCTCTTGGCTAACAGGGGGCCCATTCATTTAGTTGGCAGCTTAGGATTTTATTTTTATTTCTCATTTCTTATGCATAATATGTTTTTTTTTGGTAGCTGTAGACTAGACATGGAAAACAAAAATTGTCATATAGAAAGAACTCAATAAATATTTATTTGTTGAAAGATCCAAAGAATGAGCCATTGGCCAGGTGTGGTGACTCACGCCTGTAATCCTAGCACTTTGGGAGGGCAAGGCGGGCATATCGCCTGAGGTCAGGAGTTTGAGACCAGCCTGGCCAACATGGTGAAACCCCTTCTCTACTAAAAATACAAAAATTAGCCAGGTGTGGTGGCAGGCTCCTGTAATCCCAGCTACTCGGGAAGCTGAGGCAGGAGAATTGCTTGAACCCGGGAGGCAGAGGTTGCAGTGAGCCGAGATCACGCCATTGCACTCCAGCCTGAGGGACAAGAGTGAGTCTTTGTCTCAAAAAAAACAAAAAAGAAAAAGAAAAAAAGAAAAAAACAGAAAGAATGAACCATGAATCATCAGATGGACAAAACACTGAACCGAGCTGACATACTCTAGGACAAAATATTGCAAATCAATTTGAAAATACCAGTTTTACCCATTCAGGCAAAAAATCAGATTGGTTGTTTAATTCTATTATTTAAAGTACTTTTTAACACTTTCTTGTCATTGTTGACTATCATACTGCTGCTAAAGTTGATATGGACCAGGGAAACACATAGTAGCTATGAAATGTGCTTCTGTAACACCCTAACTGTCCAATATTGCCTGCTGATCCCTTCCCTCTTTAACCTTGCTTACTGAATTTGCACAGGAATCCAAATCTTAGACTCTACCTGTAATAAAATAAATTATTCCCTTCAGTCTATAGAAACCTCTTTAAGGACAGTCTAGTGAATGATACTCTAGTAATTTTTTTTTTCACCCAGCACCCAGTGTTTCCACCCTATTCTGAGTGCCCCCCTGCCAGAAAAGAAGCCAGCATAAAACAAACTGAAACACACACACAAAACCCAGACCTTCCTGTTTTCAATATACACCATACTTTCTCACAGCTACACAACTTTGAACATTTCCTTCCCTCCACCTTATTTCTTTCCCCTTTTATCTGCCATCCCACCAGCTGAGTCTTTTCTGTCAACCTGTGGAGCCGTTGTTGGTTCTGTTCACCACTGGATCCTTAACACTTAGTTCAGGGGCTGGGACCTGGTAGGTGATTAATATTTGGTGAGGCCTTGGGGTGACTTGGGTGCTGAAGTCCTTCTGTTTTGTATTCTGATTATTATGGTTGTAGCAAATATTTTCAGACATTGATTTAAATTCCTAAACTTGAAACTTTTTGAAACAGTGTTTTGTTTTTGTTTTTTGAACAACATTCTTGCTTCACACTGAATGATGAGTAAAAATTACCTAAGTGAAGGAATAAATGTTGGAGTCACATGCAGTGGCAAATGTGAAAGAGAATATATTTCAGATTGTGACAGGAAATTTGTTATCAGGCTGCCTTAAAAAGCAATTACAATAACAAGCATGTTTACATAAAAATATCACTTTCTATGACCACATGTGACTTTCCAGAAAGTGACTGAGTGTATATTGAGCGCAAAAGAAGAAGAAGAAGAAAAAAACCCAAACAGCAGAATAAGTAGGCAGAAACAAAGGGTAAAGATTTAGAATTCATGGAAATATTAAAATGAAAGAAAACAAATTATGGGTCTTGGAACCAAGAACCAAGTGGATAAGGTTTGACATAAAGGGAGTATGACAATCATTCTTTGCGGGAGAATTAAAAAAAAAAAGTCTGCCCAGGTGTGGTGGCTCACACCTGTAATCCCAGCACTTTGGGAAGCCGAGGCAGGTAGATCACAAGGTCAGGAGATCAAAACCATCCTGGCTAACACGGTGAAACCTGTCTCTACTAAACATACAAAAAATTAGCCGGGTGTGGTGGTGGGCGCCTGTAGTCCCAGCTACTCTGGAGGCTGAGGCAGGAGAATGGCGTGAACCTGGGAGGTGGAGCTTGCAGTGAGCCGAGATCATGCCACTGCACTACAGTCTGGTTGACAGAGTGAGACTTCATCTCAAAAACAAAACAAAACAAACAAACAAACAAACCTGTCTATATTTCTCCTATTTAAAAATAAAATGTAAAGTGAGCTGATTACATTTCTATTAACATAATTTTTGGTTTTACATAAAACTAAAAGTTTATTTTTAAGAAAAAAGTAACAATTTTAATTTTTCTATGCACAAAATAATAAAAGTATTATTGTTTTATGGAAAGATCAAGTCTTATGAATAGCATGCTTTATTTTAGCAATATTCATAACATTAATGTGTAAAACTCAAACATTTACTCGTTTACCATTGGGTGTTATATACATTACAGACATTCTTTAGGGTATAGAGGAAGAATTTTTCATTGTGTAGCTGTTTAATTATATACATTCATAAGAATGTTAAAATTATAATTTTACGTAGCGATTTTGAGCAAAACTAAATTCAATATCAGATATGTTTCACACAAATGTTTTAAATGGTCAAAATCAAGTGTTTCTCCTTTATATAATGTTTTTATTTAACGTATTATTAAACAAAACATTTAATTTACTTTTATGCTAAAATCTAAGAATCTTCTCTAGGGATCCAGGCTTTTTTATGAAGCATCTTTTGTGAGCTAAGGCCTGGGTTAGGGACGAGGGATGTAGATAAAAATGATGTAAAGTTCTGGATTTCCACAAGCTCAATTGTTATCAAAAAGAAAAAAAAATGTAGACATAAAAATTGCAATGTAATTTTGTATGTACAAAACTGTGGTAAAGAACTTAAAAGATTTGGGGAACATAGGAATGACCCTGCATAAGTAAAATGAGAAGATCTTTGAGAGAAATCATGTCTATGTTGTTCTTTAGTGATTTTATTTTCTATTATTCATTGTCAAGGAGAAAGGGAGCGTTCTAGACAAAGAATTGCTCAAAATCACTGAGTAAATAAAAGGAGGAGTGTCGAGACTGATGCAAGTACAGGGTTACTCAGAAAGCTACGGTGAGAAGAGGCCCTGAAGACACATTTCTGCAAACTTTAACAGGGCCTGAGTGTCATATGACAGGAGTTCAGTAAACTGGGAGTGAGAAAGCTGAGCTCTGAGGTGCCTGAATAGCCAATTAAAGCAAGAAGCCAAAAATGTGCAAGAAGTTAGGCTTTACTCTTTTATGATGATATAAGCAAAAGGCTAAAATTAGAGAAAGCATGGACCCTCTCTTGCATTTTGCCCTATAAAACAGAGCACAGGTCAGAACAGATGTGAGAGTCATCTTACTACTGAGGGAGTCCCAAACAAAAGGTCTCGCAGTTTTACGGACCTTCAAGTAGTGGAGAGGATGAGGGAGAAGTTCTAAACATGGAAATGTATTGGGCATTGAGTGAGAGTCTCCCCAACCTCCCCTACCCAGCCTGCCACCGCTCCAAGGAACATTTGGCAGGGGTACCTGAGAGGGACCTCAGCCCAGGGGGACTCAGATGAAATGACCTATGAATGGAGGTATCCTACTGGGGCTGTACATGCAAAGATGCAAAGAGCTTGACTGGCCAGGTGGGGCCAGAGTCATTGCCTGCTGCTGCCTTCAGACACTGCAGTGCTGTGACTGTTCACCGCATCTGCGGTGGGGAAGGCAGCTTTTTCCTAAGCCTCCCAGGTGAAGGGTTTATAATCACCAGACTGGATCTGGAAAATTACCCAAAGTTTTTCACTGGAAGCTGGACTCCTCACCATGGTAAGAGCAGTACAGACATCATGATGTAGACAGTGGGCAAGTATAAGTGATTTGGAAACGTGGGAGTGGCATGATGAAATTTTCAGGCTAACAACCCTGATGACAATGTGAGAGTGGACTGGTTGGGGCCTGTTGCCAACAAGAAAAATGGCTGAGAGACAGTCTCAATAGTTCCAGTATGCAATTTTAAACCTCCTGAAGGCCTTTTGTTCAGCTAAGAGATTTCCAGGATAATTTTGAAATCACTAAGTCTAGACATGAGGATTCTAAGCCACCCATCTTTCAACTCCTCTTTATTAAGGAAAAGTATGCTTAGAATTAAGGTATTGGGTTTGCTTCTTTGCCTGCATCTGTACTTGTTGCAACTCTTCTTTTCCATTAATGATTGAGAGGTGGGAACTGAGTCCAGTGTTCTCATATACTTATTAAGGAGATCCCATTTGATCTCTTTCTTGGCCTTCCAGAACTTCTTTCAATATCTGACATGGAAATAGTATGATCAGTGGAGTTATATAGTGTTAGGGCTCTGAGATCCATTGCACAGCTAGCTTTCTAGATACTTGTTCCTGCAGTTGAAATGATCAAAAGTATTTTTGATCAGTGCTCGCTTCGGCAGCACATATACTAAAATTGGAATAATACAGAGATTAGCATGGCCCCTGTGCAAGGATGACATGCAAATTCGTGAAGTGTTCCATTAAAAAAATAAATGAAAGTATTTGGATCGTTGTATGATATTTATTTTAAAATGCAGCAATGTTGCAAATGCTGCAAACTAATTTATTATGAATCAATGTGTTTATGAGTTGATATATTTACACTTCTATTCATATTTGAAGAAATATCAGTGAGTAGTAATGGTCTAAAACCATATAATATGCTTTTAGAGTTGCTATGGTAACTTATTTTCTTGGAAAATCTAATAGATGTTTGGAAACCTGCCATGGTTACTTATCAGCTATTGGAGAAATAGCACTGCATCTTGTTTTTTAAAAAGATCTGCTTATTTATTAACTTTACTGTAAATTTCCATAAATTTTAGCAATATGAACTATTTTTAATTAGTATCAATTGAAAGGATTATAATATTTTCAAATAGTTAAGAAAATATAAATATAAACAAATAATCAATAAAGCATGAAATTAAACATACTCCTAGCATATGATCTAGCAATCTTGCACCTTGCTGTTTACCCAAAGTAGTTGAAAATATACATCCACACAAAAATGTTGATGTTTGTAACAGCTTTACTAAAGATTATCAAAACTTGGAAGCAACCAACATGTCCTTCAGTAGGTGAATGGATAAACTGTGGCACATCCTTGTCATCCAGTGACAAAGAAATATTATTAAATGTTAAAAAATATGAGCTATCAAGCCATGAAAAGACATGAGGGAAACTTAAATGTCCATTACTAGATGAAAGAAGCCAATCTGAGACAGCTCCATACTGTGTAATGCCAGCTACATGACATTCTGGAAAAGGCAAAACCATGGAGACAGTAAAAAGCTTAGTGGTTGTCAGAGTTTAGTGGGGAGTGAGGGGTAATAGGGAGAGCACAGATGATTTTTAGGACAGTGAAACTACTCTATATGATAACTATAATTTTGGGTACATGTCATCATAACTTGTTTCAAACCCAAAAATAGGCAACATTAAGAATTAACCCTTATGTATACTATGAACTTTGGGTGATTATGATGTGTCAATGTAGGCTCATCAATTGTAACAAATATACTACCCTGGTGGGAAATGTTTAAAAAAGATCTGGGAAAATATAGCACAGACAAATTTTTGACAAATATTATTGAGAAAGAAAAGCAGAGAAAAAGTACCATTCAATGAAATTATTAAAACAAAAAACAAGTAGACAGAAGTTAAAATTTAGACAGTTTCTCATTTGTACAAATTTTGAATTAAATAAGACAAAAGCAAAATACCTTTATGAGAAAATATACAATCCAGAATTTTTAGAAGTGATCAAGCTATAAATTAATAATTCAGAAAAAAAAATAAAAATATAATAAAGGGAGGTTCCAAGATGGCCAAATAGGAATAGCTCCAGTCTACAGCTCCCAGCATGAGTGACACAGAAGACGGGTGATATCTGCATTTCCAACTGAGGTACCGGGTTCATCTCACTGGGGCTTATCAGACAGTGGGTGCAGGACAGTGGGTGCAGCACAGTGAGCATGGGCTGAAGCAGGGTGAGGCATCACCTCACCCAGGAAGCGCAAAGGGTCAGGGAATTCCCTTTCCTAGCCAAGCAAAGCTGTGACAGAGGGCACCTGGAAAATTGGGTCACTCCCACCCTAATACTGTGCTTTTCCAATGGTCTTAGCAAGCGGCACAACAGGAGATTATATCCCGCTCCTGGCTTGGAGGGTCCCATGCCCACAGAGCCTCACTCATTGCTAGCACAGCAGTCCAAGTTCGAACTGCAAGGATGCAGCGAGGCTGGGGGAGGGGCGCCCACCATTGCTGAGGCTTGAGTAGGTAAGCAAAGTGGCCTGGAAGCTTGAACTGGGTGGAGCCCACCGCAGCTCAAGGAGGCATGCCTGCCTGCCTCTGTAGACTCCACCTCTGGGGGCAGGGAATAACTGAATAAAAGGCAGCAGAAACCTCTTCAGACTTAAATGTCCCTGTCTGACAGCTTTAAAGAGAGTAGTGGTTCTCCCAGCACAAAGTTTGAGATCTGAGAATGGACAGACTGCCTCAAGTGGGTCCCTGACCCCCGAGTAGCCTAGCTGGGAGGCACCCCCCAGTAGGGGCACTCTGACACCTCACACGGCCAGGGACCCCTCTGAGGTGAAACTTCCAGAGGAATGATCAGGCAGCAACATTTGCTGTTTAGCAATATTCACTGTTCTGCAGCCTCTGCTGCTGATACCCAGGCAAAGAGGGTCTGGAGTGGACCTCCAGCAAACTCCAACAGATCTGCAGCTGAGGGTCCTGACTGTTAGAAGGAAAACTAGCAAACATAAAGGACATCATCACCAAAACCCCATCTGTACGTTGCCATCATCAAAGACCAAAGGTAGATAAAACCACAAAGATGGGGAAAAAAACAGAGCAGAAAAACTGAAAATTCTAAAATCAGAGCACCTCTCCTCCTCCAAAGGAACACAGCTCCTTACCAGCAATGGAACAAAGCTGGACGGAGAATGACTTTGATGAGTTGAGAGAAGAAGGCTTCAGACGACCAAACTTCTCCGAGCTAAAGAAGGAAGTTCAAACCCATCGCAAAGAAGTTAAAAACCTTAAAAAAAGATTAAACGAATGGCAAACTAGGATAACCAATGTAGAGAAGTCCTTAAATGACCTGATGGAGCTGAAAACCAAGGCATGAGAACTATGTGACGAATGCACAAGCTTCAGTAGCTGATTTGATCAACTGGAAGAAAGGGTATCAGTGATTGAATATCAAATGAATGAAATGAAGCGAGAAGAGAAGTTTAGAGAAAAAAGAATAAAAAGAAATGAACAAATCCTCCAAGAAATATAGGACTATGTGAAAAGATCAAATCTATGTCTGATTGGTGTACCTGAAAGTGATGGGGAGAATGGAAACAAGCTGGAAAACACTCTTCAGCATATTATCCAGGAGAACTTCCCCAATCTAGCAAGGCAGGCCAACATTCAAATTCAGGAAATACAGAGAATGCCACAGAGATACTCCTCAAGAAGAGCAACTCCAAGACATACAATTGTCAGATTCACCAAAGTTGAAATGAAGGAAAAAATGTAAAGGGCAGCCAGAGAGAAAGGTCAGGTTACCCACAAAAGGAAGCCCATTGGACTAACAGTGGATCTCTCGGCAGAAACTTTACAAGCCAGAAGAGAGTGGGGGCCAATATTCAACATTCTTAAAGAAAAGAATCTTCAACACGGAATTTCATATCAAGCCAAACTAAGCTTCATAAGTGAAGGAGAAATAAAATACTTTACAGACCAGCAAATGCTGAGAGATTTTGTTACCACCAGGCCTGCCCTACAAGAGCTCCTGAAGGAAGCACTAAACATGGAAAGGAACAACTGGTACCAGCCATTGCAAAAACATGCCAAATTGTAAAGACCATTGATGCCAGGAAGAAACTGCATCAACTAACGAGCAAAATAACCAGCTAACATCATAATGACAGGATCAAATTCACACATAACAATATTAACCTTAAGTGCAAATGCGCTAAATGTTCCAATTAAAAGACACAGACTGGCAAATTGGATAAAGAGTCAAGACCCATCAGTGTGCTGTATTCAGGAAACCCATCTCACCTGCAGAGACACATATAGGCTCAAAATAAAGGGATGTTGGAAGATCTACCAAGCAAATGTAAAACAAAAAAAGGCAGGGGTTGCAATCCTAGTCTCTGATAAAACAGACTTTAAACCAACAAAGATCAAAAGAGACAAAGAAGGCCATTACATAATGGTAAAGGGATCCATTCAACAAGAAGAGCTAACTATCCTAAACATATATGCACCCAATACAGGAGCACCCAGATTCATAAAGCAAATCCTTAGAGACCTATAAAGAGCCTTAGACTCCCACACAATAATAATAGGAGACTTTAACATCCCACTGTCAGCATTAGACAGATCAACAAGACAGATAGCTAACAAGGATATCCAGGACTTGAACTCAGCTCTGCACCAAGCAGAGCTAACAGACATCTACAGAACTCTCCACCCTAAATCAACAGAATATACATTCTGCTCAGTGCCACATCACACTTTCCATTCCAAAATTGACCACATAGTTGGAAGTAAAGCACTCCTCAGCAAATGTAAAAGAAGAGAAATCATAACAAACTATCTCTCAGACCACAGTGCAATCAAACTAGAACTCAGGATTAAGAAACTCACTCAAAACCGCTCAGCTACATGGAAACTGACCAACCTGCTCCTGAATGACTACTGGGTACATAACAAAATGAAGGCAGAAACAAAGATGTTCTTTGAAACCAACAAGAACAAAGACACAACATACCAGCATCTCTGGGACACATTTAAAGCAGTGTGTAGAGGAAAATTTATAGTGCTAAATGCCCACAAGAGAAAGCAGGAAAGATCTAAAATTGACACCCTAACATCACAATGAAAAGAACTAGAGAAACAAGAGCAAACACATTCAAAAGCTAGCAGAAGGTGAGAAATAACTAAGATCAGAGCAGATCTGAAGGAGATAGAGACACAAAAAACCCTTCAAAAAATCAATGAACCCAGGAGCTGTTTTTTTGAAAAGATCAACAAAACTGATAGACCACTAGCAAGACTAATAAAGAAGAAAAGAGAGAAGAATCAAATAGATGCAATAAAAAATGATAAAGGTGATATCACTACAGATCCCACAGAAATACAAACTACCATCAGAGAATACTATAAACACCTCTTTGCAAAGAAACCAGAAAATCTAGAAGAAATGGATAAACTCCTGGACACTTACACACTCCCAAGACTAAACCAGGAAGAAGATGAATCTCTGAATAGACCAATAACAGGCTGTGAGATTGAGGCAATAATTAATAGCTTACCAACCAAAAAAAGTCCAGAACCAGACAGATTGTCATCCGAATTCTACCAGAGGTCAAGGAGGAGCTGGTACCATTCCTTCTGAAACTATTCATTCAATAGAAAACGAGGGAATCTTCCCTAACTCATTTTATGTGGCCAGCATCATCCTGATACCAAAGCCTGGCAAAGACACAACAAAAAAAGAGAACTGTAGACCAATATCCCTGATGAACATCAATGCAAAAATCCTCAGTAAAATACTGGCAAACCAAATCCAGCAGCACATCAAAAAGCTTATCCACCATGATCAAGTGGGCTTCATCCCTGGGATGCAAGGCTGGTTCAACATACACAAATCAATAAACATAATCCAGCATATAAACAGAACCAAAGACAAAAACCACATGATTATCTCAATAGATGCAGAAAAGGCCTTCAAAAAAATTCAACAGCCCTTCCTGCTAAAAACTCTCAATAAACTAGGTATTGATGGGATGTATCTCAAAATAATAAGAGCTGTCTATGACAAAGCCACAGCAAATATCATACTGAATGGGCAAAAAAATGGAAGCATTCCCTTTGAAAACTGGCACAAGACAGGGATGCCCTCCCTCACCACTCTTATTCAACATAGTGTTGGAAGTTCTGGCCAGGGCAATCAGGCAGGAGAAAGAAATAAAGGGTATTCAATTAGGAAAAGAGGAAGTCAAATTGTCCCTGTTTGCAGATGACATGATTGTATATCTAGAAAACCCCATCGTCTCAGCCCAAAATCTCCTTAAGCTGTTAAGCAACTTCAGCAAAGTCTCAGGATACAAAATCAATGTGCAAAAATCACAAGCATTCCTATACACCAATAACAGACAAACAGAGAGCCAAATCATGAGTGAACTCCCATTCACAATTGCTTCAAAGAGAATAAAATAACTGGGAATCCAACTTACAAGGGATGTGAAGGACCTCTTTAAGGAGAACTACAAACCACTGCTCAACGAAATAAAAGAGGATACAAATAAATGGAAGAACATTCCATGCTCATGGATAGGAAGAATCAATATGAAAATGGCCATACTGCCCAAGGTAATTGATAGATTCAATGCCACACCCATCAAGGTACAAATGACTTTCTTCACAGAATTGGAAAAAACTACTTTAAAGTTCATATGGAACCAAAAAAGAGCCCACATTGCCAAGACAATCCTAAGCCAAAAGAACAAACCTGGAGGCATCACGCTACCTGACTTCAAACTATACTACAAGGTTACAGTAACCAAAACAGCATGGTACTGGTACCAAAACAGAGATATAGACCAATGGAACAGAACAGAGCCCTCAGAAATAATACCACACATCTACAACTATCTGATTTTTGACAATCCTGACAAAAACAAGAAATGGGGAAAGGATTCCCTATTTAATAAATGGTGCTGGGAAAACTGGCTAGCCATATGTAGAAAGCTGAAACTGGATCCCTTCCTTACACTTTAAACAAAAATTAATTCAAGATGGATTAAAGACTTAAATGTTAGACCTAAAACCATAAAAACCCTAGGAGAAAACCTAGGCAATACCATTCAGGACATAGGCACGGGCAAGGACTTCATGTCTAAAACACCAAAAGCAATGGCAACAAAAGTCAAAATTGACAAACTGGTTCTAATTAAAGTAAAGAGCTTCTCCACAGCAAAAGAAACTACCATTAGAGTGAACAGGCAACCTACAGAATGGGAGAAAATTTTTGCAATCTACTCATCTGACAAAGGGCTAATATCTAGAATCTGCAAAGAACTCAAATAAATTTACAAGAAAAAAAGAAACAACCCCATCACAAAGTGGGCGAAGGATATGAACAGACACTTCTCAAAAGAAGACAGTTATGCAGCCAACAGGCACATGAAAAAATGCTCATCATCACTGGCCATCAGAGAAATGCAAATCAAAACCACAATGAGATACCATCTCATACCAGTTAGAATGGGGATGATTGAAAAGTCAGGAAACAACAGGTGCTGGAGAGGATGTGGAGAAATAGGAACACTTTTACACTGTTGGTGGGAGTGTAAACTAGTTCAACCATTGTGGAAGACAGTGTGGCAATTCCTCAAGGATCTGGAACTAGAAATACCGTTTGACCCAGCCATCCTATTACTGGGTATATACCCAAAGGATTATAAATCATGCTGCTATAAAGACACATGCACACATACATTTATTGCGGCACTATTCACAATAGAAAAGACTTGAAACCAACCCAAATGTCCATTAGTGATAGACTGGATTAAGAAAATGTGGCACATATACACCATGGAATACTATGCAGCCATAAAAAAGGATGAGTTCATGTCCTTTGTAGGGACATGGATGAAGCTGGAAACCATCATTCTCAGCAAACTATCCCAAGGACAAAAAACCAAACACCACATGTTCTCATTCGTAGGTGGGTATTGAACAATGAGAACACTTGGACACAGGAAGGGGAACATCATACCCTGGGGCCTGTTGTGGGGTGGGGGGAGAGGGGAGGGATAGCATTAGGAGATATACCTAATGTAAATGACGAGTTAATGGGTGCAGCACACCAACATGGCACATGTATACATCTATAACAAACCTGCAGATTGTGCACATGTACCTTAGAACTTAAAGTATAATAATAATTAAAAAAGATACACCTAGTTTGAATTTGTGATATACACATGAATATTTAAATATCAACCAGATAGTACATTATAGAGTAACTGTAGCTGTTTGATCCAAAAAGTAAGTTTAGAATTACATGTGTGTCCAACTATCTACTTTTATATTCCTTTAGCCTGCATACAGATGAATTGACATCAATAACCTATGATAGAACCACCAATGAAATGTGAGTTGTAAAATATATATATACAAATATGTAAAGAAATATATATGCAGATATACTACTTTTGTCTATCTAGACTCACAAGCACAGGGAGAGAGAGAAAGGGAGAGAGAGAGAAAAGAAAGAGAGAAACAACAGAGAGAAAGATGAAGATTATGTGCTTTACTCTCAGGATCATCCATAGCCATACAGAATGTCTTTTACATGGTTTATAAATCTCATCACTATAGGCCCTGCAGGTCCCTTATCCAATTTTTTGATTAAATTGGATAAAAAGGAACAGGTCAAAAAAGGGAAACTTTTTGTCATTGTCTTTTCACCCTTAGCAGCAGGCACATACTTAGGAAAGTCAGATTTCCTGTGTATGATACATACTAGAGTGTGCCCAGGGAAGAAAATCCTATGTGTAGCAACAAGCAAGTAGCAGTGGAACCCTTAGGAAAAAAAACCAAAAAAACAAAAAAACAGAACTAATGGCCCTGGCAGGGTTCTTCACACCCAGAACTCTACCACCATGTGAGGCTAACACTACAAGCCCACACCCCTCATCACATTGTACAGAGCAGTTTCTTGACCCTGTGTGAGAGCAGAAAAGACACCTATGATGGTGAAAAGAAGGCACTGATTAAGGGATTTTAGTATCAGGAAATGAGATGAGGTCAAGGGGATTTGTACATAGAAACTGCAGCTGAATTTGAAATAAAGTAAACCACCAAATGCTTACTTTGTGCTTCATTCAATTGTAAAGAACTAAACATCACTTGTGAGTAATTCAAACCAGAAAGTGAAGTCTTGGATGTCATATTGGTGTTGGACTATACATACATATATTTAAATTCTGTAGCACTGCCAAGTCTAAATTCAAATTAGTACCCTGGAATGGCACTATCAGTGAACTGTGAGACAGAAATAAATCAATATATATATAAGGATATATGAACATAGGAGGAAACAAAAAATATATAATAAAAACATACTCTAAAAATAAGACATAAACATGTAAATGTTCGGATTACTTTTAAAGAAAGATATTTCATTGTGTAAAAGTATTTCAAAACATGGAAACACTGAAAAATTAATCAACTATTTTTCTTTTCTAAAAGCTGATCTTGCTGCTTTTATTTTTTATTTTTACTTTTAACTTTTAAGTTCAGGGTACAGGTGAAGGTTTGTTTCATAAGTAAACTTGTGTCATGGGGATGTGTTGTACAGATAATTTTATCATCCAGATATTAAATTTAGTACCCATTATTTATTTTTCCTGACCTTCTCCCTCCTCCTATCCTCCACCCTTCAGTAGGCCCCATTGGGTGCTGCTCCCCTCTATGTGTCCACGAGTTCTCATCATTTAGCTGTCATTTATAAGTGAGAACATGACATGCTGTATTTGGTTTTATGTTTCTGCATTAGTTTGCTTAGGTTAATGGCCTCCAGCTCTATCCATGCCCTTGCAAAGGATGTGATTTCATTCTTTTTTATGGCTACATAATATTCCATAATGTATATGAACCCCATTTTCCTTATCCAGCCTATCACTGATGGGCATTTAGGTTGATTCCATGCCTTGCTATTGTGAATAGTGCTGCAATGAACATACACATGCATATGTCTTTTTAATAGAATAATTTATATTCCTTTGGGTATAAATTAGGATATAGGCGGGGATAAGTACAAGCTAGAATAATTCAAATCAAAAGACTACAAAGATAACACAAGATAAATTGTTGGCCAAATTAATTTATGTACATAGATTCAATATTCCCAAATAAAATGTCCTCAGATTCACCTCAGGTATTCTCTAAAAGAAGACTATATCCAGAAGTATGATTTGATCTGGAAATGCAAGATTAATCAACATTAGAAAGTCTTACGTGTATAATCTACTACATTTATTAAAAGAATAAATATGTGATAAGCTGCATCCAAAGTATTAACAAATCTAAACATGCATTGATAGCAAGTGCTCTAAGAAACAAGAAATGAGAATGAAGAGACTCAATTTGGAGAAAAGGTATTCAGCAGAAATTAACATCAAATAGTATATTTAGTAGTCAAATATTAGAATCATTCCAGTTAAAGTAAGAGATGAGAAAAAAAGTCACAATTTTTACCAATATTGATGATACAGGAGCTCCTAATCAATGTATTTAGAAAAAGAAAAGATATGTGAAGTATAAACATTGGAGAGAGTTAATATTCTCATTTTGTTCTACAATGTGCTTCTCTTCATAGAAAACTCAATAATATGAACTAACAATGTGACAGGATAGGTCAGCAGAGTGGCCAGAAACAAGGGCAAAATAAGAAAATCAATAATATCCTTAGACAAAAAGAGTATCCAATTAGAAAATATACTAGAGATCCCAAAACAATTTTGAAAAAAATTATAAAGTGCCTACTCATGTGCCTAATAAGAAATATATAAGGTTTTATTGGAAAAATTTATAAAACATTACTAAAGGAGTAAAAGCTGTCATAGGTGAATGGAATCATAATCTACATTTGTAGATATAAAACTTTATATTTTAAAGATACCAGTTATCTTCCAAGTTAATCAAGAGATTTCTTACTCTCCCAATCAAATTTCCAATATATATTTTTTTTAATTGAAGGAAGACTTGAATATGTCTTACATTTGTAGGAGTGTAATTCTGCAAGTCAGGGCCATATATATTTTAGAGGAAAGAAAATGCAAGGCTAGGAAAATGGAGAGGTAGGGCTTGGTCTTCCCAGCTATCAAAATGTTTTTAAATGGCTGTAATGAAAATAATATAATACCTGAACTAATGGAAAAATCAAGCAGTGCAGCTTATGAAAAATCGAGAAACAAACACTATTAGATTAACAATATATAATGAGTGACTTCCAGATTGAGAGATATGATGTATTTAATAAGTAAAATCGGACAACCCATTAAAAGAAAAATTAAAATTATATCTCAATTGCAACAAATATTAAAACCTAGTTTTAAAAAAACTCTGAAGTATTTGAGGGAAAGTTTAGAATATATTTAGGAGATTTAGATTTTGGTCTATAACTTCAAAGAATGAAGACTAGGTTCTGATCTCTATGACGGAAAAGCTCTTACATGAGACAAAAATATTTGTTTAAAAATTGAAAAATTGAAGAGGCAATATAACTTAGAGAACGCTTCATTTTGAGAAGTAGGTAAGTGATGATGTTAGACAAGAGACATAATCTCTATTAAGCTTTAATTTTGATTTTGAATAGAAGATATTCCATAACAATTTAAGTAAAAGAATGAATGAGTGACATTTTGTGTATATCCAGTTTTGAAAATTATCGAGAATGGCTGGAGTTGAAAATGCCCAGGAGAAATTTATTTGTTAGGGTTTTAGTAGTGGAGGAAATTCCATTCAATTCCCCTCTGATTTCTCTAGTAATAATTTAAAAATTATATATTTTCAATTAATCTTAGTAATACTACTCAGTAATACAAGTCATTCATTCTAAAACGGATCCATTCATTTAGACTGTAGACTTAGAGAGTAGTGCAAAAAATTGAAAACAAATAAAAACAAAAGCAATCAGGTGGTATACGGTTCTATGTAGCTTTGGTAATCAGCTCCATTCCAGAATATTCCATTTATCTTAATTTTTAGAATGGATAGTTTCTCTTCAGCCATTGCTAGAAAGCTATTGCCACAGTCTTGGATATAAAGAGCTCTGATTTACCCTGAATTCAGACATGGCAGATTTAAGAAAAAGCACCAGATTTAATTTGATTTCATCTGTTCTTGCTCCTTTCCTGGTTATCTCAATCCTGCTCACTTTTAGCTTTTGGTATGGAGGTGACAAAATATTATTTCTTTCAGCAATTAAATTTGACAGAGGATTGAAGAGAGGTACTCAAAACCCTGAAATTAATATCTTCAGTGATGTTTTCTGCTGTTGAAATGAGTATATGAGTGTTATACCGACTGAGTCAATACTTGATATGATAAATCTTAAATTATTTAGAAATCAGAATAATTAGACAAAAAATAATTAGCTATGTCAAGATTTGACTGGTTTATATTTTAATATCATTACCCGCAATGCGTCAGTCATATGATTATTATGGCTCAGCTAAGATTCCCATAGGCCTCTTTGGCATTATGATTGTCTGTAGCTCATGTGTAGGTAATTGAATTACACTTGAATTTAATGTTTTTGTTGATCTAAGAAAACGTATTTAGTTCACATATGTTGCAACCTAAACTGCACATTTAGATATTAGCTACAATTCTGCAGAGTACGTTTCAATGCAATACTTTTAGTGCAGCTCGCCCCACAGAATCAGTGAAATAAACTGGAATGTTTTGGAATTTAAAAAGCAAGCCAATAGATTATTGAATATATTTGTAACATATTTACAAATATAAAATTTTGACATCACCCGACATAGTACTGAATACCATTTTCTTGAAAGCTTGCCAGTTTTTGTACATTTTTGTACAAATGTACATGATTGTACATTTAGGCATCATAAGTAGTATCAACACCATAAAAGCATATTAATCTTAAGTTTCATATATGCAAAGATATATAGCAATTATAATATGCTTGTAATTGTTCTAAGCCTTAAACAAACATCAACTTAGATAACTATTGTAACCTGTATAAAGTCAGTTCTAGTATCCTCATTTTCTGATGAGAAAGCTGAGGCACAGATAATTAAATAGTTAATTTGCATAGCGGGAAAGTGCTGGTGCTTAGATTACAACCTAGCCAGGTAAATTATCTAGGATCTGCATCTTACATCCTACCACATAATACTGTCTTGTATGTTATACTGGAAAATTTGACAGTTTACATTATTTTCCAAATAGTTCATACATTCTGAAGAAATACTGTAGAATTTGTTTTACGCAGTAATATATTGATTTACTTTTTTTTGAAGGCTGAAGTGCAGTGGCACGACCTCGGCTCACTGCAAGCTCCACCTCCTGGGTTCAGGTCATTCTCCTGCCTCAGCCTCCCGAGTAGCTGGGACTACAGGCGCCCGCCACCACACCTGGCTAATTTTTTGTACTTTTAGTAGAGACGGGGTTTCACCGTGTTAGCCAGGATGGTCTCGATCTCCTGACCTTGTGATCCGCCCGCCTCGGCCTCCCAAAGTGCTGGGATTACAGGCGTGAGCCACTGCACCCTGCCTTGATTTACTTTTTAAATTTAAAAACATTCCAGAAGTTTATTTCACTGCTTCTTTAGGGCTAACTGCATTATCTACTGGATACTCTAGAGGTCACTCTAAAATTTAATAAAATTGAGGAATATATAAATTTCATATACTAATTTTATTTTTAAAGTAATAAGTAAGCCATAGTGTAGAAATTTTATTTTCCATTTAATATTCTTTCTTTTTAATTTTACATATTATAAATGTACATGTTAAATTGATTTTTAAACAGATGTTATAAATGTTGCTTTAATATAAATGTTGCTTTAATATAAGTGCAAAAACATAACCTACAAAGAGCACATGATATGTCTTTCAAAAAACTTTGCAAAAGACCTAGTTATTGTCATTTCAAATGCTGAAATCAAACTGGTGAATATTAGGGCAAATTAATTTTATTTTAAAAATTATATTTCAACGGCGTGACTTATTATCTGTGGTGGGCCTTCCCAGGATCAGGATCAGGAAGGCAAAATGGAGGCCACCAGATAAGGAGTCCATTCCAGATCCTAATTTGTACTCTAAACATTGGGATATCTGTGAGGTTTTTCATACAGGTAGAGGAAAAGACAACAATAAAGCACTTTGGAGAGAAACAGCAGAAAAATATACATTGGGATACTTTTAATGTTATCCTATTGAGTGTCAGAAGGGTACAGAGAGTCAGCATTTTGTGTGTGTACAACACTAATACCACACCTGGGTAAACAATCTATTTATCCTCTTGTGCTCTCTAAGGATGAGATACTAAATGAAGAAAAATAGCAGAATAGAAGCATCAATGTGCTTAAGTCCCTGGAGTACTGAGTCTGATATAGAAGCTGTTGTTGGAAAAGGGAGACATCTCATTGATCAAGGAGAAACACTGCTAAGTTTTTATATAGTACTTTACCAAAGGAGAAATAAAAATAAAAGATAGGACAGAAGCCAAAAAGTATGTTTTTGTCAACCATAGCCATCCCGAGAGAAGAAACAAAATAAATTTTCTCTTTTAATCAATACATTGTGACCACTAAAAATGAAAGAAGGTTATCAGCCACAGTCTGAGTAGCCCACTCAAATATGTTATTAAAGATTAAGGCTGGCTACATAATTTGAGGGTCGGTGTATAAAATGAAAGTGCAGGGCCCCTTGTTTTAAAAGCAGGAAAATGTGTCATTACATGTACTTCCACCATCTCTCTCTCAACCTGTATTGGCATTTTAATTTCCTATTTAATTTCTAAATTAAAAATCTACACACATTATTAGCATTTCTTTTACCATTATAGTGGCAATGCCAATTTCAAATGCAAATATTATACCATTTAACTCACACAAAGAATTACTGAAATTACACAATTTATATTTCATAGCTTGTACATGCGTATGTATTTCTTTCTTAGCACAACAGCGAAAGTGCCACACAATAGTAGAAAGTCTAACTGACCTGTTTTGTTTTTGCTTTTGCTTGTTTTCACTTGATACACACACATTTTACTAAAAACCTTTATCTTTAGCTTACTGATAAGTAAGGAAGAACTGAAATAAAAAACAGCTGTGGGGTTGCCCTATCTTTTCCTTTCCTTCTATTTCATCATTTTCAGCATAAGGGGTGGGTTAATACAGGGAAGTAACAGAAATAAAAAATATGAAAAAGCTTCCTTTATTATTCATGCTTCTGATAATGTCATTGTTTTTCTACATTTGAAGCAAATTCTCATTCTAATGGAAAGTTCGGCCTCTCTGGATTGTTGAGACCTCTGCTTACTCAGCTGTAACAAAAAAAGCAAATCTCATTCTCCCTTTGAATATCACTAAACTCCCATCCATCGTGGGTTCCACTGGAATTTTGTGCTATAGGGACTTTGGATACTATACATGAATAGGGTGGCAAGAAACAGCAGACACATATATTATAAACAAACTTCTCCACTCATGCACATGCTCCGTTGTCTCATTGGAATTCTCTTCAAAACACAAGATAAAAGAGGAAATTATTAAGAATGTCAAGATGATGACAGGAGAGAATAAACCAGGCATGGAACCTTTCTCAGCATGGGGCCTCGTGTGACTGCACAGGTTGCATGCCCATGAATCTAACCCTGTTAAAGATAGTATTACCCTTTCTATAAATGTAGGAAACTGGGTTACAATATTTTTTAGGGCTATGTATTTTATTCTGATATACATTCTTCAGGAACATAATTCAGAATGTTAAGTAAAGACTTGATTGCAATGTAAACATAAATCAAGATAAATGCAAACACATATTGCAAATCAGACAGAATTTTTCTTGGAGTTAAAGCAAAAGAAGGTGGCACAGCTATGGTAGATCATTAGCAGCATTAGAAAATAAGGAGATAAAAAGCCAACAGCAGAAGTACAGGCATGACAGATGAAGCAGAACACCTAAGGCACGGAATACAAAGAGCTATCCCTAGAAATGGAATGGATAACCTAAAATGAGGCAGAGAAGAGTGGAGGCAAGTCCTCTGTTGATCATCACTCGAATCAATGTATGGAGAGAAAGTGATTTCGGATAGACTTTTAGGCAGAAGGCGGGATTTAAAGACAAAACAGAAACACCTAGGGAGGAAGACTAATGGCAAATAGTTGTGAGTACCTTGACCCTCTATTTGGAAAGTGATCTGGAATAACCAGATTGTCAATAGGGTAGGGAAGCAGGATAACATTATAATTCATAAGATGAATGATATGATAAAGAGAGTTGGGAGTGCTGCTGTTGGGATGCCGAGCTAGGGGCTAGAGCTCACTTTGAACAAAACACGTAGTGGATATGGCTAGAGATGAATCCACAGGGTGGCATGGAGGTCGATTTTGGCAGCCACCCAGGAGTTTTGGACTCATAGCTAACTTCATAGCTCTTGGTTCTAGCGAATGTACTTAAATTGTACTTAAATACTTAATTTAAATTGTACTTACATACTTAAATTATAAACCACGAGGTTGATGCGTATAAGGCTGCCTTTACCATCCTACTTAAACAGAGTTGTCTGAATACTGGATATTGCTGTATCCACAGGTGTGTGCTCCATGTGGACACTGACTGCTAAGAAGACAGAAAAGACAGAAAAGAAAACCAAACAACAACAACAACAAATAGGACACAGCATTGAATATTTTAGTCAAATTCTTCTGGGACTGAAGTATCCAGATAAGCACTTTTATGTTTCTCTTCCTTTTTAGGAATAGATGTTGATTTAAGTACACTAGACATTCAATTGGATAAATGGAAAGGAGAAACTATCAGTCCCATTATTGACTCTAATGAATGTTAGATTAATTAATGTTGAAGAAAATAAATACAAAACGTGTTAGAAGTTTTAGAATGCATTTTGAAAATCTTCCTGGAAATCATTAAATAAAAATAGTAGGGGTCTTTGGTAAAGGAAAATGTTTTCGTATACACAGACACATGCATTTTCTAGCTATCTGCTTAGCTCATGTAAGAGAATAAATTAGAATTAATAGTAAATTAAGTTATAATATAAGAAGTTCTTACCTTCTTAAAGGTTCTTGTCATTCAAATAAAGACACTTACACAATGTTATTAGTAATTTCTTTCTTCTTCATCCAGTGAAGGAATTGGAGTAAATTGTCTAATATGTGGAACCTTTGAAAATACCTGCAACTAACATATTTTATCAAATTAAATGTTTCATTTAAATCTTATTTATATGAATATTGCAACTTATCAGTAAAGAAACTGAAGATAAGTTACATAATTATCAAGTGCCAAAAAACAGGATTTATGTCTGCTTATTCTAAAAGCTAGGAACTGTTCATAATAAACTTTGCCTGTTTTGTGATAACATATAAGGTTGTCGATGTTAAATTTACATAATAGTTTATATGTATAAAATGTGCACAAAGAGCAGAAAATAGTCTCAGTGATGTAAGATTTTTGTAAAGAAGTTTTCCCATCTGTCTTGTCTGTGCTAAACAGGATAATGTGGTAGCTGTATTCACACAGAGCTCTATGTAAAACCATTAAGAATTCTTTACTTTTCCCCTCTGGCATATTAGCCTAGAAAATATTCCTATTCAACCACTTAGGCTATATTTCAATAGTCTCTTCACTGTTTAGGATAGAGGGCAACTACTTTTATTGCAATTAATGGTGGGTTATGAGGCTTTGTTTGGAATGTGTTTAGGACAGTTGCTAAGGCGTTTCCTGGGTCGCCTTCTAATATAACTATACCACATACTATCTCTCATTTTTCACATCTCTGTGCCATTCGTTTGAGAAAAAAGGCAGACCATTCTATTGGTTAGATAAGAGAAAACCAATATTTTGGAGAGAAAAACTCTATATAATCAAAGAGAAAAATTTGGAAGAAGCGTATTCCTAACATATTTCTCTAGGGAAAAACATTCCATTCTGAGATACTGCTGCTCAGATTCATATACGCATTCAAAATGTGTTCCCTTTTAAAACATTTTCCAATATGCAGCTATAACTGAATAAAAATCCAGACACTCAAAAACCATATTCATATCTAAGAAATTGGGATTATTATTTAATATCTTTATAACGTCATTTTTATGTAGATGAATAAGAGGCTATATGCCTCAGAGATAGCTGAGGAAAAATTTTCTATTTCCCTGAAGTTTGAGAAAAATAACTAGAAAGGAATTGCACTTTCTTAGTAAAAGAACTTGTGTGATAAAACATAATCTGCATGACAAATTCTATATTTTGTTCCATATATGTATTTTATACTCTAATGAGGTAACTGAGTTTCTAGATTATTTTGAGAGGTTTACGAAGTTAGTGAAAAATTCTAGTAAAAATAAACTATATGAATATTTTGTGGAGGGCATACATAATGATTAATGGCATGGTTATAGAGGTTTTATGTAAGAAAAGCCCAATTTCCCAAACAATTATATAGACAAAAAAATAGGAAACAACAAAATGTGAGTTTATGAACATTTTAATGAAAATATTGGCCTTAAGTTATGGTGTAAACTTTAAGGTATTTGATCTAATTCTTGAAAGCTATCCATTCAATTTTACTGTCTAGGTGAATTAGTCTTGATCTTAAAGACATGAACAATTTTAAATGAAGGATTTTCAAGTGGGTTTCCCAGAATATGTCTACAATTTTAAAGTCCTTGAGGCAATTCTAAGTTTCTCAAGCTTGTTCTAAAATAATTGTCATTTTCATAGGCTATTGAATCACGTCGTTCTGCATTTTAATACAGAGTTAAAATCTTGTTTACATAGAATAGAAAATTGGAATTATTTTGGTCATCTTAGAGAGACAGTACAATACATACTTACATCATGAATTTTTAGAGTTAGAATACAGTGAGATAAATTTGACATAAATTCTATACTATATAATCTGCCATTTTTGATGGCTGTTTTCTTCTGATGATATAATGTGTATAGTATTTGGCAGAAGACTAATCATATACTCAAGAATGTATTTTTTAAAAAGAAAACCTTGATAACTTAGCTACTTTTTTTAACCTGGAAATATCCATTGCAAAATTGTTTCATGATATCATTTAGGTCATCAAATATATTGAGGCTTCCCTATTCTATTTCTTCTATAGTCCTTATTGTCTAGTCTTCATATATCTTCAAGAATATAACTCACAGCACATTACTTCCTACATTATATGTAGGTGTGAATATATATAGTATATGTATTTGTATGTACATATGTGCATATATATCTATTCACCTTTACTTCCTTTGTTTGTCTTTTCCATATTTGATACTGCTACTAATTATCTGAAATCTACCACTTTTTCATTATCCGACTCATTGTTTCATCCATTTTGTCCTTCTTTCCCATATATCATATATCCCAAGTTAATCAGTTACAGTTTTAGTAAAACTATAATATTTACTTTATCTATATATTTCTCTATTTCCATAGTCTATATTTATATAGACTTTTAAGCTACTTTGAATCTTAAAAGCTAAGATAAACTTTTTATTTTTGCCTTGCTGTCTGCTTCAGATCTCAGTTATGTTTCTAGGCTACAGAACGCTTTGGAAGAAAGCCCCCCACCACTTGACACCAACATTTAATTCCTCAACGCTTTTTTATGATTCATCCTTAATACTTTGCTAAAATTTCTTTCTTACAGTTCATGCATAACTACCTAATGATCAGACCCAATAACCTATTTTCAAAGAGGAGGAAGACTAAAAAAAATTGAATAAAGTACTCAACTTCTATAAACAACCTTTGTATAAGTTAGGGCACCACTTGCTGCAGTACTAAACAAACCTGAATCTACACAATGGTTTGAAGATCATAGTGGAAGTTAATTTATTATTCTTGTGAAGTCCAAAATGAGTGTTCTTACTTGGGCTGTGGCTCTCTTTCAAGTCATGACCCAAGAACTCAGTCATTTTCTATCTTGTGGTTATGTCATTTTCAATGCATGGATACAAGGTCACTGCTAACCTGTATAAAGCTGCTGGAAATGCAAAGCACACAGAATACTGTGTGTAAGTGGTATCCATTACTTCCACTCGTATTTTCTTGATTAGAACTTAGCCTTTAGCTACATTTAATTGCAAAGGAGGGTGTGAAATGCACTCTAGTTGCGTCCAGAAAGAATACAAAATGCATTTGATAAGCATGTGCCCAGTTCCTGTTGCATTAAGATTGTCCTTTCCAGCATTTTCTTTCTTCCATCCCCTTCCTTAATTTTTGAATTCCCTAATTAAGTATGAGTATTTCAAATGGGATCCTAACTGTAAATGACCTGAGGAACCTCTTATTATGCCTCTAACATTGAATAGCAAGGAAGAACATTCCATTATAAAGAACAACTAAAACTATTAATGCCAGCTGACTAGTTATACAGAAAGTAATATGTTTTGCAAAATAAAAGTTGATTTTAATTTCAAGTTATCATATACAGTTTGCGTTGATTGAGGGATTCACAAGGGGCTCTTCTGCACTATTAAGTTCTACTCACTAGCCACTAAATGGGCATGAAGCAACTTTATTCTCAAAACCTGGTACTTTCGGACTGATAGCACATTAGCCTCTCTAATATTAGATTAACACACAATATTAGCCTTGCTTCTAAGAGACCTACTTTACCCAACCCCCTTCATTCTATCAGTTTACATATAAAAATTTTGATGCTTGACATGCTGACAGATTAATTCATTTAGTACATTTTAGTATTAGTACTTTCTGATAGAGAAAAACAGTTGTCCTTCCATATACATATGTATACATTTGAAATTTTAGTGTCATATGAGTTCATTCTGACCCACTCTTCTATGGACAAGTAATTCCATTAATCCCATACTGTTAAAAACTCATTTGCTTCAATGTAGAAGAAAGGCATGCATCATATTGCAATTTCTTTAAGTTTTAGAAGATAACTGCATATTTGTCAAATAAATTAGATAATTCAATTATTATATGATTGCTTTAACACTTATAAATATTAAAATAATTTTTAAAATGCATTCCCTAATGCTGTGCTTTGCTAATTATTAAGAAAGCAAAAAGCAACAATATATCAATTTAATTAACTTGATTATAGTAAAAGTCAGTGTCTAGAGCCAAAGTTGATTTTTAGTAAAACTAATCCAGTTAAATTGTTTTCATTGATTTGCCAAGGTTTACAAATCTTTATTTGTATTATTAAGGAGCAAAATACATTGTTAAATTTGTTTCACTTAGAATTTTTTGAAAATAAATGTCATATCTTTATTGTGAGAAAATGAATCCATTTAGCAGTTATTGTCCAAAATTTCTTTAAAAACTCATCACCATAAAATATCAGGATTTTGTTTAACATTTCAAGTTTGAGGAGTTTGATATCATTTAAAAAGGCACATTCTCAGTGATTACTTCTATTGAAAAAGATGTTGAGTGGTTCCATTTCAATTAGATGGTAACTTTTTTTCAAGAAGTTTTCAATTCACCCTCTGCTGCATCTGATATTTCTTCCAAATTAACACTAAACAATGAATGAGTCTGAGATATAGGGATGGTTCTCAAATGATAAATAATAACACTATGCATTTGTGAAAAGTATTTTCATTATGTTAAAGAATCCTATAATTTTAGCAAGACTGGAAATATGCAGCCATAGCATTATATATTTTGGATGCAAAAAGAATATAAATTTTTATCTCTTTATTGACTTCAATTTAGTGGAAGATTCATATACGGTACCTGTGTGCTCATATGTTTCAGAGGTACCAATTTCTATGTGATTACATGATTCAATTTAGCTGTGCAAAATTCATGAGTGAAAAACAATTACATTATGGATTGAATGATCACACAACTTGCTTTACTTTGGAAAGTGCAGGATTATGTTAAGATTGAACTGGTATAATCATTAATAAAGCTTCCCTTTGTTCTCAAAAGGTCCCAATTTGAATACTTTATATACTTATTATTGGATGATGCATTACCTAGCCACCCTGATTATTAAAAAGCCAATTTGAAACAGCTATAAATACTATATTTTATACATAATTCATAGGTTATTGGCTGGTGAAAAATATACTTTATTTCTTATAGATAAAATTCAATATCTCATCTTAATATGAGTTAATATTTCTTATGAACCTATCTTATCCATGATACTATGCTGTAGATATTACATAATTTAATTTTATATCATATAATTTTATCTGTATAGTATCTTTATTAGGCAGATACTATGAATATCCCCATTTTACAGTTGATATAACCGAGGCTGTGAAAGTTTAAATGGTAATCTCACAGTTACACAATTGGTAAATGATGGAGTGGAGATGTGAATCCATTGTAGACACCAGAAGTGGAGAGCTAAACTATTAGATAGGCTAATCAAATATAATTATTAGTTTTATATAGTTCTTAATAATACTATGTAGAATTTTGACCACTAATAACATTAAATTTGAAAATGTATTTCTTCCTATTAATGAAAAAAATAATATTTTTGTTACCACACTCAACTATTAAAGTAAATTTTAGATTGTTTTATCCTATTTTGAATGTTAGTGCTTTTTCTGTATGAGAACCATGTATTTTTTATTCTGGAAAGCTCTGTTATCATTTTTGAAAACTTTTACTTCCATTTACCCCTTCTATTCTTTTCCTCTGAAAAATCTATGAGTCTTATGTCTAGCTTCCAGAGTTTCTTCTCATCTATTGCTCCTATTCCTGTGTTGCTTTCCTCATGGTTAGTAACTATTTGTACTTCCCTCTTAAATGATGTCTTTTATTAGTGGACAACCTATAAATTTTATCTGACACGTTTTGTTTTCTGTAATGATATTCAATTATTTGATGTATGCTGTCTTTTTTTAAATATCTTTGAACCTGGTGTTTCCTCAGGTTTCTGATTTTGTGCTTTCGCTCTATATGCCTCAATGATTTTCTTTCTTTTTTTTTTTTTTTTTTTTGGTCTCACGTTCCTTTTAGTACTAAGACCATAGGCATGAAGATTTTCAGAGGTATAATAGGATTACCCAGGTTCTTGGTTTTACATGGAGAACTACATTTTCACTACATTAAACAATACATTGAGACTCTAGGCTTTGAAGCATATTTCCTATTCTGGTATACCTTTGAGCTATACAGCTTCAGCTTCCAGTTGCATTGGGTAAGGAATATCTTCATTCATTCCTGAGATGGGTAGATTTTTTTTTTTTTGCTTTCAAACTCAAGCAGGTATTATTAAAATTCTTCTACCTGCTAATTTATAAGATTTATAGTACTGGAATGTGTGTGTGTGAAGCAGGTAAATATGTAGTGTATGTGTTTGATATGTGTGCTCGTAGTACTATTTCTCATGTCTTCTCAGTCTGCCATTTGATCTGGAAGTCCCCAAATTTTAAGTTGGATATATTGAGTTTAAATGAAAGGCCTTTAAATCCATAAGTATAATAAGTAGTTTTGGAATGATCATCAGTTTAGACCCATCAATCTTGGATCTTAGAGTAATGCAAGCCAAATAAATTAAATGAAGCATAATTATTGAGGAGATTATTAATGAAAGACAATTTAGCTGATTGTTTATGACTTACCAAGAAGAGGAAGAGAAGACATTAAAAATTCTCAAGAAGAGAGTAAAAATAATTTAAAGGGAGAGAAATTACATCACAGGATCAAAGAGATAAGAGATTTAAAGAAGAAAGTGGTTTATTTTTTTGCAAAGACAAGAAGTAGGCGTAGAACCAAGAGGAAGTCTCTCTTCTTTTGATGATTGGTTGTCTCCTGATTTATAAAGCAGATTGCCATATATCATTGAGAATATAGTTTTAATGAAAGGCTGGCATGGAAGCTATTTTGTAGTAGACTGATTCTTCTGAAGTTGTTTTCACTCAACAAAATATATTTTGGTTGCCTATTTCTCAGATATTGTTCTAGTTGATTAGAATGAAAGAGAAGTGTCTTCCCTCAGTGAACTTACATTCTGGGTAAAAAGACAAACAGTAAGCAGGTATAGCACATATGTATAATGTACTGTTTCTTTGGAAAGTATCATCAATATATAATATGACCACATTACACAACGTAGTGTGAAGGCATAAGGAATAGATAAAGAAGTGCAATACAAATGTAGCTTTCAAAAGATTTATCACAAAAAGTTTAGCTTCTAAGGAGGTGACATTTAAGCAATGCTCTAAATAAAATAGGGAAGTCATTGTGGTATTATGATAAAGATGTTTTAAAACAATGACATCTAGTTTTTTTATAATTATTTAATAAATTTCTGATGCTTTGATTAAAAAAAATCCCTAAATGAAATGTTATACAGATAGAAGTTATTTATTTTTACATTGCTTAAAAATAATCCATTTGTCTTAGTCCAGTTGGGCTGCTATTACAAGTTACCATGGAATGTGTGGCTCACACATAACAGAAGTTTATTTCTCACAGTTCTGGAGGCTAGGAAGTTCAAAATTAAGGTACGCAGATGTGGGGTTTGGGTGAGGGTTTGCTTCTTGATTCATAGATGGCTGTCTTGTTTTTGGGTCCTCACATTGCAGAAAGGGAAAAGAAGTTCTTTGGGGTGCTTTTTATGAGGGCACTAATTCTGATAATGAGGGCTCCACCCTCATAACCTAATCACCTTCCAAAGGCCCTCTTCAAAGGCCTTACCATCACATTGGGGATTCGGTTTCAATATGTACATTTTCAGTGGGTGCACAATCATTGAATCAATAACAGAATTTTTCATTTTTGTCACCAGTTCCTAGGGCCTAAAATTATAGCCAAGGAAGCTATATGAATCCTTGTATTCATAGACTGCCTCAAATTTTGACTTTATCTCCAAATTTGCTGTCAAGATTAAAAGAATAAATTTTTTGTCACATAACTCGTGGTTGGTATTGTGAATGCTCAACTGTATCCAGTTTTCCTTTTCTTCTTGACTCAGAGAAACTGCATTTTCTACTCACCCTTCAGTCATCAGGAATCAGGGCCATGAACTCGTTCTAGACTATGGACTGTAGTGGAAGTTAAAAATATCACATCTGGCCCACACAAAGTGTAATATCTCCAAGAGTACCTTTCCTCCATTGCAACAACCAAGGAATCTACCTATTTCAAATTCTAGAGCTATAAAGTTGTAGAGTTTGTTTTAGCTTGGATCACTGAGTGACAGATTGGGAAAGACACTTTAAGTGATAAACAAATCTGTATGTGTTAAACCACTGAAATATTCTTTGGCACAAGAGCTGTGGTTGCATATAGAAGTTCCATGGATGAACTATAATTGCCCAGATGAACTGTTGAGGAACAGCTTGTAGGAATGAAAAGAAAGTAAAGGGAAAGGATAGGAAGATAAAGACACATGGCAAAGTTTTCTGGATTTTGCCTATCTCATTTTAGACAGTTTACAGAAGGAAATGAACAACAGCCTAATTTTCAAGGAATAGAGATGCCAAAAGAACAGTCAATGAGCATGATAGGTTAAGAACCTTTTCTACTGCTCCCTTCAGATAGATGCAGGTGGGAGCCATTCAGGCAGATGTTTTGGGGAAAGGAGGACAAAATATTGGAAAGCTCAGGGAAAGAAGAAATTTGTTTTCTTTTTCCCCTATGGGAGTGATATTTACTTACATCTTCAAAGTGGGAGGAGTATATCCCTCTTTTGGGTCTTCAAGGATGGTGACTTACTCTTCCTCAATTGGTGGCTATTTTTGAGAGACCTAGTGATCAAAATGCAGGTCTTAGATTTGTGGGCCAGGTTGTTGCTATCACTAATAAGTTATGGAATGGCCTCTAGAAAAAGCCATACCAGTTCTGCAAGTCTCTTTCTATGTGGTCTATAAAAAGATGGAAAAATGGGATTGAGAAAGTACCCCTCATAGGAGATATGCTCTTTAAGACACTCTAACACATTGCTGCTATAAAATCGATTATATTTTGTCATGTGTCAACATGATTTTCTTGGAATCTCCTTGACTTACATATGCCAAATATGAACCATTAATGATGCCCTTAAAAATCCAGTAATATTTTACTTAGGGTGTGGGGATGGTGGTGAAAAACTTATGAAAGGACTAGGCATCACTTTTGAAAGTACTAGGTCTGGCGATCTTGCTTCCTGGTGCTCCAATTTTGGCCTGATTTTACAAACACCGAATATTACCTGAGTAATGACTGAGTAGGTATTCATTCAGAAACAATACCTGTGTGGTAGATTCTAGATGGCTATAATTTTTTTTAATATACTACTCCAGTGAAGAGGTTGGATGAATATTTTCTTTCCTTTAAGCTGGCAGGCTTTGACACTGCTTTGAACATGCTGGAAGTGATGATCTGTCAGTTTCTGGTCCCAAGTCATGAGAGATGGACAGCTTCCACACTTCCTGTGTCTTCTTAACACTTCCTCCTGAAGTTCTGAGCCACCACCTAAGAAGTCCTGCTGCCCAGATGGAGAGACAACTTGGAAGGGGTCTGAGACTACATGTGGATGGACACAGGCCCACTTGATACCAGTGTTTTAGCCATCCCCATCAAACACCAGCTCATCTTAATACATCAGGTAACTAACTAGTCAATACCATGTAAATCTGTGGAATAATCCAGTCACTATATGCTTAAATTCCTGGACCCCAAGTATTACAAACCATAATAAAATGATTGTTGTTTTAAGCCATTAATGTGTAAAGTAACGAAATTCTTTGTTACACAGCAATAGGTAACTGAAATAGCAAGGCTTGCAAAAGGGGAGACTAGTAAGACATTTTTAGGATTAGGAAGGAATAATAATATGTAGGTTTATAAAGGAGAGGAAAAAGCTTGAATTATTAAATTATTAGTAGGAAATACAGCTCATAATAAAAAGAAAACAGAAGTTTTTAGTAAAAAGGACCAACGGTTTTGGTTGTTCAAACACGGAATAATGAGCCATATAAGCTCTAATTAAGAAAAGCTAATAAAAACTGAGGGAATAAAAGACAGGCCCATGTGCACTGTCTTAAAACGTGTATCTAGCTTCAAAGTTTTGAGACTGGGTTAGGAAACAATGTTTCAGGGACTATTAGAAAATAGGAGCCAAATTATAACTGACCTTTGTAGCTTTCAGTAACATCACCATAGTACATCAAGTCAGGAGGATTTAGTGGTGATTTTACACAGTGGCATGAAGTAGAATAGAAATCAAATTTGGACTACAATGACTGTGGTTTCACAGTTGGAGGAGTAAAGAATGTTATGGATAAGGGCCATAAATTTAAAGGTTAGATAAACATTGGAGGAAAGACTATATTGGAATTCACTAGCGGTTCCCTAGTTCCAGAAAAATACTACATTTAAGAGGATGTGATAAAAAGATCTTTTTGCTATTCATGAAGATGTGAGAATTATGTCCTGGTAAACACAAAATACTCTTACAAAACACAGTTTTTCTCACAGTGCACTCTGAAGTATCTTAAGGAGATCTTGAATATAGGCAGTGAGTTATAGATATTTACAAAAGGTGGTTTCTCCGATTGCTGTGTCTTTGAAATGATTATTGTCATTTCATGTCATATGATCTCTCCAAGAGTACCATTCCTCCATTAATGATCATTTGAAACAATGATTATAGTAGAATAAGAGTCTCAGTTACATTGGGAGATTTATTTGACCAATGCCTTTTATCTCTATTTGTCTAATAGAGTAAGTCAACTGCATTTTATTTATTTATTTATTTTACCTACAGTACTTCCTTAAGAGTATTCAAATTCATTAGATTACCACCATAATATAGTATGGAATGGTCAGGAAGTTGGTTTTTATCCTCTCACCACTTTAACTGTATTTCCTGACAGAAGGAAGAAGGATATCAATAAACTCTTGGAAGGGAATAGGGGTAGAAAAGAAGCCCTAAACTGTTCATAGTCTAGGTAAGTCATTCACATTCCAGAAGATCCATGCAGTGGTATGAACACATTCAAAACACAGGACACAAATTCCTGTAATAGTGGAGAAAATAAGCTCAATACTTAATTGAAGTATGTAAACTTTGGAGAATTAAATAAAGTTACATACAAGATATAGTAATTTAAGAAGAATCTCTACAAACCACTGTCCTGAAGGAAATTAAAAATGGGCAGTGCAAAAAGCCCTTGTCCAGAGACCCCATGAATATTACAGAGATACAACTTGGGAGTTTTCAACTGCAATACTCATGTTCTTTAGCATCTGTCACTACAGACCGCTGGGAGGGGAGACATTTGATAGATTCAGGTTTGGAGAAGTCACATCCTTAAAGCAAAGGTGTGTTAGAGACAGAACTTACATTCAGGTTGTATGCACTTATTCAGCCTTAGTAATTGTATTAGTCAGGGTTCTCTAGAGGGACAGAACTAATAGAATAGATGTATGTATGAAGGGGAGTTTATTAAGGAGTATTGACCCACATGATCACCAAATGAAGTCCCACAATAGGCCATCTGCAAGCTGAGGAGCAAGAAAGCCAGTCCAAGTCCCCAAACCTCAAAAGTAGAGAAGATGACAGTGCAGCCTTCGGTCTGTGACTGAAGGCCCGAGAGCCACTGGAAAATCACTGGTGTAAGTCCAAGAGTCCAAAATCTGAAGAATTTAGAGTCTGATGTTCGAGGGCAAGAAGCATCCGCTATGGGAGAAAGATGGAGGCTGGAAGATTCAGTGAGTCTAGTCGTTCCAACTTCTGCCTGCTTTATTCTAGCTGTGCTGGCAACTGATTAGATGGTGCCCACCCAGACTGATAGTGAGTCTGCCTCTCCCAGTCCACTGAATCAAATGTTAATCTCCTTTGGCAACACCCTCACAGACACACCCAGGAATGATACTTTGCATCCTTCAATCCAATCAAGTTGACAAAACATTAAACATTGCATTAATTGTTAAAATATTGAAGTATTTCAATACTGACTCCAAGCCATGTTGTCCCTCTGTGAGAGGGCCTCCCTTTTATTCAGCAATTAAATGGTTAATTTCAGCAACCTCTAAGACTCTGTTCTAGCTCTGTGGCTTGTCTTGATTTTTTTTTTTTTTTTTTTTTTTTGGTCAGTAATTATGTTGTTTGTTATTTATGTTGTTTGTTTATTATCTCCTGAATTCAATACCCCAGGAGATTTCTGGGGATGATTTTGGCAAACTTCTCTAAGTTATCCTAATTTGGAGAGACGTTAGTTTGAATCTATCATTGATGGAGTAGATGTAATCTGGCCAATTTTAAGTAAATTTCTTTGCCACAGAACATTATTTTGAGTTTAAAAGTGATAGCAAGGTTGGTATGCAGAATGCAATACATTCAGTTTTTGTCTTTGAGTGGAATAATTTGCATGTTGCTTATTTCTTTTAATTGTAATGTTTCTATTATTGATGTTTTGCTTTTTAGATTCATCATACTAAATGTCAATTTAAATTAGTAAAGATGAAAACATAATTACCGTGATTTAGCCTCATTTTTAACCTGCTATCCTGGAATGCTATAATTTGAATTAGAGCAAATGCATATGAAATACAGTTTAAACTTTATTGAATTAATAATTGTACAGTGAAATTGTCTTATGCTCCATATTAATTGAAAATCTATCAATAATAACTAGCAAAATGTGTGTTTAAATTATGCTTACACTTTTGTGCCTATAAAATACTGGTGAGTTATAAGAGGATCACTGTAACCTTATTGTTGGAATGATTCTTGTTTAAGTATAAATATCCACTTTATTGAAGTTAATGGCAAAAACATCGATTCATTAAAATTAGATTTGTTCCCAGGCAAAAATACCTAGTGATTGCTTTTGTTAAATGATAGAATGTCCACAAATAATGGAAACAGTAGTGATTTCTTAAAGGAAGAAAAATATACTGGTATTTCTGGAGGCAATCTTGTCATAAAAACTGAATTTACTAGGAGATAAACATGCATATTTTTGCTTTGATGTATTTTTATAGTTGGTTCACATTATCCTCCCCAGATCTCATATTTTTGATTATATTCATAATGCTGACCTTAAGTGAATAATATGTTTTAACCACAGGAGAGAGTTAGAAAGTTATGATATTTTGAAATGAGAATATATTAGTTTTTTCTCCAAAATTTCAGACACGGAAAGCTGTCAGAAGAGCAAACACTAGAGAGATCCGGTAATAAGGAAGAATCACTAGAAAACTAATCTTCAATAAAGTTCACTCAGAAACCATTCTTCAGGGCTCGTTTATTCAAATTCCTTATGAAAAGAAGTGATGACTTTTGTTTGACTATAATAGTAACCTTTTCCTAATGTAGATACAACCATAGAAAGCACCATTGCATTCTATCTGTTTTCCAGTATGGACCACTAAAAATTTAAGTATGCACTGGAAGAGAGATGTAAAGAATGATCACCCTTCTATAATTTGTTATATCTTTGAAAATGCTGTGAACTTTTAAATAAATAACCCTACATTAGAATTGCAATAACAATCATAGCTATTGGAAACACTGTCTGTGTTCCTGTTGTGAAGTAATTTTATATAATTTTATTGTGTAGTCCTGTTATTTCACTCTTATAGTATTTATTTTTTCCAGGGTTATATAGCTTCCAGGGTTATGTATTTTACAAGAATTTTTTCTCCCTATTTCTCCCTCTCTCTGCCCCCTAATAAATATATGTGCTCCCTAATTTCAAATATGTCCTTCTTATAATTTGAAGTTTTTTTCAGTAAGCAATTGCCCTGTTCATCGCTAATTTTTATTCAACTATGTGGTGCTGGAAATATTAAATGACCTTCACATACATATTAATAAGTTTGATTCTTATTTATTCCTCTTGCTTGGTGAAAGCAAAATTTGATATTTATTTGATTTTTTCTTTTGTAAGTTTTACATTGATTAGGTATGTAACACTGTAGAATATAGAAGAATTTTTAGACTTAATCATCACTTTTGTATCAGTTAAGAAATAAGTGATATCATTTTCTATGTTAGGCTATCTTAAGGATACATTCCTCTAAAATTTTCTATTACTGTTGAGGTTAATCTTGGTCACCTGGTTGAGGTAATGTGGGTCAAGTTTCTCTACTGAAAAACTCACCTTTTTCCCCTTTTCCTTTTGGTGCTCTTTGAAAAGAAGTTACTATGCATAGCCTACACTTGAGAAGTGAAGAAGTATGTTCTACCTCCTTGAAAACAGTATCTACCGAAATTATTAATAATCATTCTGGATGGAGATTTGTCTATATTATGATAATGAGTTAACTTCTTCTAAATAAAATTAAAAACATGAATTTTAATTTTTTTGCACTTATAGTTCCTTGAGAAGGAATTACCTGCTAGAATCTGGGCATTTATAAGTGATGCATCTGACTTTGTGAATACCAAACATACTAAATATAAAAATATTTGAAGAAATATCTACCATTTTTCTTGAATCAAATTTTCACTGAGTCTCATTTATCTATTCAATTATTTAACAAATATTTATTGAATCTCTAATATTTGCTAGATGATCTTCAAGAATTTATAAATCTATTATTTTTATAAATGCTCACGCATAGAATTTACATAATAGTGGGTATTACAGAAAACAAATATTTAATTATAATATAGTATGCCACATAGTCCTAAGTGCTAAGGAGAATATAAATCAGAGAACAGGAATAGTGAGTGTTGAGTTGCTATTTTAAGTAGTTGCATTAAGGTAACATTTGTACAGAGAATGTACAAGAGTGATGGAGGAAGTCAGGGACTATCTGAAGAAAGCATTTCAGGCAGTCAGAGCAGTAAGTACAACGACCTGGCATGTTTTATCATTAGCTAGGTGAAAGGATGGCTACAATCGTATAAAACAAGCAAAGAAGGTGAGGCCAAAGAGGTAATGGGGGTGGGGAAGGTAGTGGTGACTACCTTCAACTGGATCTTTAGGTAATTATGAAAATTTTGGATTAAAATCTGGTGAACATGGGGAACCATTGGATTGTATGAAGTTTGTACAGAGATGTGATCACTGTGAGTGTTAGTTGCTAACTAAATGCAGGGGTAGCATAGATTATCATTTAGAAGGCCATAGCTAGAATTTGATGGTAGTTTGATCTAGGGTGACCCCAAGTTTTGCTCTGCCTGGAGTCTCAGTTTGAAGCTGTTTATCTGGCAAATAATTGCTTATGTAGCATTCCTGAAAATGTGTCACTGGGGATGACTTTATGGTGGCCTTATATATAGTAGGATGGTGGTGTTGGAAGTGGTAAGAACTGGTTGTAATCTGTATCTATTCAGAAGCTGATACCAAAAGAATTAGCTGATGCTTTGAGTAAAGACTGTGAGAGGGAGAAATGGGTGAAAAATAACCTCTGGATTTTTTCCTGAGAAACTGAATGTATAAATTTCCCATTTATTAGAGACGTGACGTCACATGAAGAGCAGGAGGGTGTGAGAATTTTAGTCGTGGTGAACTTTAGATGTCCATAAGGGTGTTAGATAATCACTTGTACATAGTCATTACATTTGAGAGTTAAGAGTCTAGTTAGAGATACACATTTGTCAACATAATGTCATGGCAGGAGAGGAAGATCTCTTGGAATTGATTTAATGAAGAGAAGGAGAGTAATTGAAAATTCAGAATAGAGACAGTGCTTTCAAGCAATTTTGCTGTAATAGGTTATTAATAATATTTACCTCATAGGGTTTTTATGAGTATTAAATGTTCTTGGAAATGTGCCAGAGTATTGAAAGAGTCATCTATGTAGATAATATTATAACTAAATGTTATGACTCAGGTAAGCATTTTGACATTGAATTTGAAATTTAAGTTTTGAGAGATTGTTGGCAAGATGGCTGAATAGGAACAGATCCGGTCTGCAGCTCCCAGCAAGATCGATGCAGAAGGCGGGTGATTTCTGCGTTTCCAACTAAGGTGCTGAGGTACTCAGTTCATCTCACCAGGACTGGTTGGACAGGGGTGCAGCCCATGGAAGGCGAGCTGAACAGGGTGGGGCATCGTCTCACCCAGCAAGTGCAAGAGGTCAGGGAATTTTCTCCCCTACCCAAGGGAAGCTGTGAAGGACTGAGCCTGAGGAACTCTGGCACAGATACTGTGATTTTCCCATGGTCTTCACCACACACAAACCAGGAGATTCCATCCGGTGCCTACCCCACTGGGCCCTGGGTTTCAAGCACAAAACTAGGCAGCCATTTGGGCAGACACTGAACTAGCTGCAGGAGTTTTTTTTTTTTTTTTTTTTTTCCATACCCCAGTGGCGCCTGGAATGCCAGTGAGACAGAACCGTTCACTCCCCTGGTAAGCGGTATTGAAGACAGGGAGCCAAGTGGTCTGGCTCGGCGGGTCCCACCCCCACAGAGCCCAGCAAACTAAGATCCTCTAGCCTGAAATTCTAGCTGCAAGCAGAAGTCTGAGATTGACCTGGGACTCTCCAGCTTGATGGAGGGAGAGGAATCCGCCATTGTTGAGGATTGAGTAGGCAGTTTTACCTTCACAGTGTAAACAAAGTCTCTGGGAAGTTCCAACTGGGTGGAGCCCACTGCAGCTCAGCAAGGCTGCTGTGGCCAGACTGCCAGATTTCTCTTCTCTGGGCAGGTGTCTCTGAAAAAAGGCAGCAGCCCCAGTCAGGGACTTATAGATAAAACCCCATCTCTCTGCGACAGAGCACCTGGGGAGAGGGGCAGCTGTGGGTGCAGCTTCAGCAGACTAAAACGTCCCTGCCTGAGGGCTCTGAATAGAGCAGCGGACTTCCCAGCACAGAGTTTGAGCTCTGCTAAGGGTCAGACTGTCTCCTCAAATGGGTCCCTGACCCCTGTGTGTCCTGACTGGGAGACACCTCCCAGTAGGGGCTGACAGACACCTCATACAGGAGAGCTCTGGCTGGCATCTGGCAGGTGTCGCTCTGGGACAAAGCTTCCAGAGGACAGAACAGGCAACAATCTTTGCTGTTCTGCAGCCTCTGCTGGTGATACCCAGGCAAACAGGGTCTGGAGTGGACCTCCAGCAAACTCTAGCAGACAGGTAGCAGAGGGGCCAGACTGTCAGAAGGAAAACTAACAATCAGAAAGGAATAGCATGTCCTCTCAAAGACCCCATCCGAATGTCACCAACATCCAAGACCAAAGGCAGATAAATCCACACAGATGGGGAGAAACCAGCACAAAAAGGCTGAAAATTCCAAAAACCAGAAAGCATCTTCTCCTCCAAAGAATCACAACTCCTCACCAGCAAGGGAACAAAACTGGACAGAGAATAAATTTGATGAACTGACAGAAGTAGGCTTCAGAAGGTGGGTCATAACAACCTCCTCTGAGCTAAAGGAGCATGTTCTAACCCAATGCAAGGAAGCTAAGAACCTTGAAAAAAAAGTTAAAGGAATTGCTAACTAGAATAACCAGTGTAGAGAAGAACATATATGACCTGATGGAGCTGAAAAACACAGCACAAGAACTTCATGAAGCATACACAAGTTTCAATAGATGAATTGATCAAGAAGAAAAAAAGGATATCAGTGATTGAAGATCAACTTAATGGAATAAAGAGAGAAGACAAGATTAGAGAAAAAAGAATAAAAACGAATGAACAAAGCTTCCAAGAAATATGGGACTATGTGAAAAGACCAAATCTATGTTTGATTAGTGTATGTGAAAGTAACGAGGAGAATGGAACCAAGTTGGAAAACACTCTTTAGGATATTATCCAGGAGAACTTCCCCAACCTAGCAAGGCAGTCCAAATTCAAATTCAGGAAATACAGAGAACACCACAGTTACTCCTCAAGAAGAGTGACCCGAAGACAAATAATTGCCAGATTCACCAAGGTTGAAATGAAGGAAAAAATGTTAAGAATGGCCAGAGAGAAAGGTCGAGTTACCCACAAAGGAAAGCCCATCAGACTAACAGCGGATCTCTTGGCAGAAACCCTAAAAGCCAGAAGAGAGTAGGGGCCAATATTCAACATTCTTAAAGAAAGGAATTTTCAACCCAGAATTTTAAATCCAGTCAAGCTAAGCTTCATAAGCAAAGGAGAAATAAAATCCTTTACAGACAAGCAAATGCTGAGAGATTTTGTCACCACCAGCCCTGCCTAACAAGAGCTCCTGAAGGAAACACAAAACGTGAAAAGGAACAACTGGTACCAGCCACTGCAAAAACATACCAAATTGTAAAGAACATCAACACTATCAAGATACTGCATCAACTAAAGGGCAAAACAACCAGCTAGGATCATAATGACAGGATCAAATTCACACATAGCAGTATTAATCTTAAATGTAAACAGACTAAATGGGCCAATTAAAAGATACAGACTGGCAAATTGGATAAAGAGTCAAGACCCATCAGTGTGCTGTATTCAGGAGACCCATCTCACGAGCAAAATGGTGAATATTTACCAAGCAAATGGAAAGCAAAAAAAAAAAAAAAAAAAAAAAGAAGCAGGAGTTGCAATCTTAATCTCTGATAAAACAGACTACCAACAAAGATCAAAAGAGATTAAAAAGGGCATTACATAATGGTAAAGGGTTCAATGCAGCAGGAAGAGCTAACTGTCCTAAATATATATCTGCCCAATACAGGAGCACCCAGATTCATAAAGCAAGTTCTTAGAGACCTACAAAGAGACTTATACTCCCACACAATAATAATGGGAGACTTTAACACCCCACTGTCAATATTAGGTCAATGAGACAGAAAATTAACAAGGATATTCAGGACTTGAACTCAGCTCTGGACCAAGAGGACCTAATAGACATCTACAGAATTCTCCACCCCAATTCAACAGAATATACATTCTTCTCAGCACCTCATTGTTGCAGGAAGTCAGGGACCCTGAACAGAGGCACCGGCTGGAGCCACGGCAGAGGAACATAAATTATGATTTCATGGACATTTATCAGTTCCTAAATAATACTCTTATAATTTCTTATGCCTGTCTTACTTTAATCTCTTAATCCTGTTATCTTCATAAGCTGAGGATGTACATCACCTCAGGACCACTGTTGTGTTAACTGTACAAATTGATTGTAAAACATGTGTGTTTGAACAATATGAAATCAATGCATCTTGAAAAAGAACAGAGTAACAGTGATTTTAGGGAACAAGGGAAGACAACCATAAGATCTGACTGCCTGCGGGGTCGGGCAGAATAGAGCCATATTTTTCTTATTGCAGAGAGCCTATAAACAGACGTGCAAGTAGAGAAACTATTGCTAAATTCCTTTCCTAGCAAGGAATATTAATAATTAATACCTTGGGGAAGGAGTGCATTCCTGGGGGGAGGTCTATAAATGGCCGCTCTGGGAGTGTCTGTCTTATGCGGTTGAGATAAGGACTGAAATATGCCCTGGTCTCCTGCAGTACCCTCAGGCTTATTAGGGTGGGGAAAAAACCCCACCCTGGTAAATTTGAGGTCAGACCGGTTCTCTGCTCTCTGACCCTGTTTTCTGTTGTTTAAGATGTTTATCAGGACAACATGTGCACAGCTGAGCATAGACCCTTATCAGTAGTTCTGTTTTGCCTTTTGTCCTGTTTCCTCAGAAGCATGTGATCTCTGTTCTCCTTTTTGCCCTTTGAAGTATGTGATCTTTGTGACCTACTCCCTGATCATACACCCCCGCCCTTTTGAAACCCTTAATAAAAACCTGCTGGTTTTGTGGCTCAGGTGGGCATCACAGTCCTACTGATATGTGATGTCACCCCCAGAGGCACAGCTGTAAAATTCCTCTCTTTGTACTCTTTCTCTTTATTTCTCAGCCAGCTGACACTTATGGAAAATAGAAAGAACATACGTTGAATATTGGGAGAGGGTTCCCCCGATAACTCATCACACTTATTCTAAAATTGACCACATAAATGGAAGTAAAACACTCCTCAGCAAATGCAAAAGAATGAAAATCATCATAACAGTCTCTCAGACCACAGTGCAATCAAACTAGAACTCAGGATTAATAAACTCACTCAAAACCACACAAATACATGGAAACTGAACAACCTGCTGCTGAATGACTACTGGGTAAATAATGAAATGAAGGCAGAAATAAAGATGTTATTTGAAACCAATGAGAATGAAGACACAATGTACCAGAATCTTTGGGACACATATAAAGCAGTGTGTACAGGGAAATTTATAGCACTAAATGCCCACAAAAGAAAGCAGGAAAGATCTAAAATTGACACCCTAACATCAAAATTAAAAGAACTAGAGAAGCAATGGCAAACAAATTCAAAAGCTAGCAGAAGACAAGAAATAACTAAGATCAGAACCGAACTGATGGAGATAGAGACACAAAAAACCCTTCAAAAAATCAATGAACCCAGGAATTGGTTTTTTGACAAGATCAGCAAACTAGATAGACCATTAGCCAGAATAATAAAAAAGAAATGAGAGAAGAATCAAATAGATTCAATAAAAAAGGATATAGGGGATATCACCACTAATCCCACAGAAATACAAACTACCAACAGGTAATACTATAAGCATCTGTATGCAAATAAACTAGAAAATCTAGAAACAAAGAATAAATTCCTGGATATATACACCCTCCAAAGTCTAAACCAGGAAGAAGTCAAACACCTGAATAAATCAATAACAAGTTCTGAAATTGAGACAGTAATTAATAGCCTACAAACCAACCAAAGTCCAGGACCAGATGGATTCACAGCTGAATTCTACAAGAGGTACAAAGAGGAGCTGGTACCATTCCTTCTGAAACTATTCCAAACAATAGAAAAAGAGGGAATCCTCCCTAACTCATTTTATGAGGCCAGCATCTTCCTGATGCCAAAACCAGGAAAAGACACAACAAAAAAAGAAAATTTCAGGCCAATATCCTTGATGAAGATCAATGGGAAAATCCCCAGTAAAATACTGGCAAACTGAATCCAGCAGCACATCAAAAAGCTTATCCACCATGATCAAGTTGGCTTAATCCCTGGGATGCAAGGCTGGTTCAACATACACAAATCAATAAATGTAATCCGTCACATAAACAGAACCAATCACAAAAACCACATGATTATCTCAATAGATGCAGAAAAGGCCTTTGACAAAATTCAACACTCTTTCATGATAAAAACTCTCAATAAAGTGGGTATCGTATCAATGGAACATATCTCAAAATAATAAGAGCTATTTATGACAAACTCACAGCCAATATCATATTGAATGGTCAAAAACTGGAAGCATTCCCTTTGAAAACTGGCACAAGACACGGATGCCCTCTCTCACCACTCCTATTCAACATAGTGTTGGAAGTTCTGGCCAGGGCAATCAGGCAAGAGTAATAAATAAAGGTTATTCACATAGGAAGAGAGGAAGTCAAATTATCTCTGTTTGCAGATGACATGATTGTATATTACAAAACCCCATTGTCTCAGCCCCAAATCTCCTTAAGCTGATAAGTAATTTCAGCAAACTCTCAGGTTACAAAACCAATATGCAAAAATCAGAAGCATTCCTATACACCAATAACAGACAAACAGAGAGCCAAATCATGAGTGAACTCCCATTCACAATTGCTTCAAAGAGAATAAAATAACTGGGAATCCAACTTACAAGGGATATAAAGGACCCCCCTCAAGGAGAACTACAAGGAAATAAGAGAGGACACAACCAAATCGTAAAACATTCCATGCTCATGGATAGGAAGAATCAATATCATGAAAATGGCAATACTGTCCAAAGTAATTTATAGATTCAGTGCTACCCCCATCAAGCTACCACTGACTTTCTTCACAGAAATGGAAAAAACTACTTTAAACTACGTATGGAGCCAAAAAGTGCTTGCATAGGCAAGACAATCCTGGGCAAGAAGAACAAAGCTGGAAGCATCATGCTACCTGACTTCAAACTATACTTCAAGGCTACAGTAACCAAAACAGTGTGGTACTGGTACCAAAACAGATATATAGACCAAAGGAATAGAACAGAGGCCTCAGAAATGACACCACACCTCTACAACCATCTGATCTTTGACAAACCTGACATAAGCAATGGGGAAAATATTCCCTATTTAATAAATGTTGGGAAAACTGGCTAGCCATATGCAGAAAACTGAAACGGAACCCCTTCCTTACACCTTATACAAAAATCAACTCAAGATGGATCAAAGACTTAAATATAAGACCTAGGACCATAAAAATTCTAGAAGAAAACCTGGGCCATACCATTCAGGACGTAGGCATGGGCAAAGACTTCATGACTAAAACACTAAAAGCAATGGCAACAAAAGCCAAAATTGACAAATGGGATCTAATTAAACTAAAGATCTTCTGTACAGCAAAAGAATCTATCATCAGAGTGAACAGGCAACCTACAGAATGGGATAAAATTTTTGTAATCTATCTGACAAAGGGCTAATATCCAGAATCTACAAAGAACTTAAACAAATTTACAAGAAAAAAAAACTCCATCAAAAAATGTGCAAAGTATATGGACAGACACTTCTCAAAAGAAGACATTTATGCAGCCAACAGACATATGAAAAAATGCTTATCATCATTGGTCATTAGAGAAATGCAAATCAAAACCACAATGAAATACCATCTCATGCCAGTTAGAATGGCGATCATTAAAAAATCAGGGAACAACCGATGCTGGAGAGGATGTGGAGAAATAGGAATGCTTTTATACTGTTGGTGGGAGTGTAGATTAGTTCAACCTTTGTGGAAGACAGTGCGGTGATTCCTCAAGGATCTAGAACTAGAAATACTATTTGACCCAACAATTCCATTCCTGGATATATACCCAAAGGATTATAAATCACTGTACTATAAAGACACCTGCACATGTATGTTTATTGCAGCACTATTCACAATAGCAAAGACTTAGAACCAACCCAAATGTCCATCAATGATAGACTGGATAAAGAAAATGTGGCACATATACACCATGGAATACTATGCAGCCATAAAAAAGGGATGAGTTAATGTCCTTTGCAGGGATATGAATGAAGCTGGAAACTATCATTCTCAGCAAACTGTCACAAGAACAATAAACCAAAGACCGCATGTTCTCACTCATAAGTGGGAATTAAACAATGAGAACACATGGACATAGGGAGGGGAACATCACACACTGGGGCTTGTTGGGGGGTGGGGGGCTAGGGGAGTGATTACATTAGGAGAAATACCTAATGTAGGTGCCAGGTTGATGGGTACAGCAAACCACCATGGCACGTGTATACCTATGTAACAAAACTGCATGTTCTGCACATGTACCCCAAAATTTAATGTATAGTAATAAGAAAAAGAATTTTAAGTTTTGGGGAGGAGACAGTGAGAATGATTTGGATATAGTAATGAGGTATAGGTATGACTCTTCTTTCAAGATAATTTAACTTGAAAGTTTCCCAGGGATTCATAAGACAGAGCCAGTTCTTGGCTGAAAGTAAGAGGAGGGTGAAGATAATATCAAAGCAGTTGAGAATGGAGTTGATTCTGAGTGATGAAGGATTGCAGTTGCAGAAGGAAGAATGGCAGGAAAGGGAAGTTTGGGAGAGGTGGGTTTGGGAGCTATACATGACAGGAAGTATTTGTCAGGTTTGGATATATATGCCAAGAGACAGGAGGAAGGAAAGCCTGGATTTATAGCAATGTCACGATGCATGGACTACACTAGTAGAAGAGAGAGAGCAATTTTAATAGTTGCTATATTGGAAATACTGGGAAGAGAAAAAGATTAAAAAATGATTTTTAGAAACATTTAATATGTAATCAGCTGTGTAAATTCATACTTTCCTATACAATGAAGACCATAGTAAAGATCTAAATTATTAAAAATTCAGATTTTGCTTTTTAATGATGGTACCCAGCTCTATGTGAGTGACACTAAGAAACTCATTTAGGTATATCCAACTGTTTTTTTCATACCTTCCTAAAACCACTGTAGCAATCATAGTGACAAGATCACAGAAGAATTCTATTAATATTTTGAATGAATAGAAAAATAGTTAAATGATTCCTCCTGGTCCCTCCTGTCCTCTATCCTGTATCTCAGACACATGCTTCCTGAACAGAAATCAGTATTTACAATAGAATGTTAAAATTTTTGCTCTAATGTAAAACAGGAAGCTATGCATTGACAAGAAAAGTGAAACACTTGAACTTTTAGTTCAAATAAGAGTATGAAACTTTAACTGAGAAAAGAGGAATACTTAGATTTCTCAGGTTAGTTAAATACTTCTATTAATACCTCAGAGTCTTCCATTTTGCTTATTTGAAAAGACAATTTATCATCAGTTAATAATAAGATATTCTTTTCAGAGACATCTTAGAAATAACAATTGCACAGGATAAAGAAATTCAGGTTCTAAAGTTTTTGTGGTATTGTATCCATGGATTCTGAGATAAAAAATAATTTTTCATCAGTTAATAACGTATTTCCAAAGACATCTTGGAAATAGCATTTGCACATTCCAAATGTGCAAATGGATAAAGAAAGTCAGGCTCTAAAGTGTTTGTGTTATTTATTGTATCTGTGGATTTGGGGATTTGTTTTCTAAGCTTATTTATGAAGCTGAGAATCATTATATTTTAATATAATTGCAGTATTTCATGCAGGATGCTTGATGATCCAGAAGGTTTGCTGTGTCAAATGGAGCACTGTAATGGGCTCCTTCTTGCTCACCGTAAGCCAGATGACTTAAAAACCTTTTTGCATCCTAATTTAATTTGAAATATTCAGAAGTCATAACTTTGGAAGAAACACACTAAATTATACTGCAATGCTGTGAGATTTAAAAAAATCTTTTGGAAACAACATAAAGTCAGAAGCATCAAAGTTCTTCTTTGATGATGTTTCTCAGACATTCTCAAAGTGTGTACACAATGATTCAGAAACTTTCTTAACTACAGAAGGCCCTCTGCAGCATTAACAACCAGACATTCAATAAGTTATGCACACACCACACACACACACACACACACTCACATAAATAAATACATATATACATATATATATGGTTTTTGTTTTTTCAATGGAAAAAGCAGTTTATTCTATTTTAAGCATTTACACAGTTAGTCATGGACAGTAACAGGCCTGCTGGTGAAACAGGTCACCCAAAATGGAGACAGCATCAAACTAGTGGTCAAGGACTAACTTCTAAAAAAAAAAGTCACTCTTGTCAAGGATTAATTTAATTTTAAAAGCAAATACAAGTTATTGACTCACTCTTCTCAACTTGAGCCTGAAAAACTTGTGGATATAGCATAAGAAGAAAAATAATCACAAATAATATTTCCCTTTCTATAGCTCCTTTAGTCGTGGGTTTTCTACTAGAAAATTCCTGAAGAAAATTTCAGTGTAAGACTATGGCTTTTCTGAATCAAGTCCACCCATTAATATTTAGAAAACACCCACTGGTTGGGCTAGTAGCATGACTAGTGGTATCTATTATAGAGGGATATTCATTCAAACAATACTTCCAAACAGAGACTCATGGAAGAGATGACTGGAAGCATCTTTACCATAGTAAAGATCTAAATGGAAGATTACTATGGTAAAGATGACTGGAAGCATCTCTATCTCCAAATACTGCTGTATGCCCTGTAAAGATGGTCTTTACATTCAACACTTTTTCTTCATTTGAAACAGCACTGATGTCCCATAGGCAGATGGTATGGTTATCTGAAGTAATAAGTAAGTGTCCACTGAGATTTGGGTTCCTTAAAAGCCCACAGCCTGCCTTCTGATGTCCACAGAGATGCAAATCTGGAATGCACTCTTCAGAGGGTCTGGTTTAGAAGGATGTTTTGTATAGTCAAAGACAAAAACATCACTGGATGGAGTCTTTGTTGTGATGCTACAAGGGTGTTGGGTAATATATCAGGCCCTGTTTACTTCTTCAGCTTGGTGTTGATTTCTCTTTCAATTTTTCCACTAACCGAACCTCAACCTCCACATTCTCCTTTCTTGCTGTTGTAGTGTGATGCGTCAAGCTGAGCATCATCACTAGGAAGCTGCACAAGGTGGTTTTGTTCAACTGATGTGTGTGTACCCGGGACAAGTCGATGACTGCTGAAATCTTTCCCTTCTGGTCTGGTTACATCTGGAAGCCACTGTGCAGTTAGGCTGGGCCACTCCAGAGCCTGTGTCATCACCAAATCATAAGGAAAAGAGGTGTTATTTTTCCATATTTTGTACTCCTCCTTGATCACATGTTCTTCCACTGCGTTGTCAAAGGCTGCTTCCTTGTTGGTCATGGCAGGCAGGTGAGCCAGGGAAATCCTGGAGTTGAGCATTGTGGGATGGGAAGAGAGGCTGCGGATTATATATAAATGTTAATACGGATGTATAAATTATATTCGCAACTCTTAATTGGTGCTAGTAGCAAGAGAAATAGAAGCTTAAAATATCCAACTATTTAATAAGGCATTAAAGCAGAAAATTTCCATCATTGTAAATAGAGTCCTAGGAATCACACTAGATTTCTTTGTAAGTTAAATTAAAAATAAAAAGACATTACATTGAATAGGCTAATACTAAATTTCCTTTATTAAATATATATGTTTGGTTACTTTTTATAATGGAAGATGTGCCAGCTTATACTGCCCTACATTTTTACTAATTTCACTACATTTATCTAAGTGAATATTTAGCTTTGGAATAGAGCATTCCTAGCCATAATCCAACTTAAATAAAACTACACATTTATCTTTAAGCAATTAGTTATGAAATATGCTTTAAAAACTTCTGAATAATTTCAGACATCCTCCACATTTAAAGAATTCTTGTCACAACAAACCTTAACCTAGACATTTCAAAAGGTTATGCCATTCCTCCAAAAAGAAAAATAATTAAAGCAGTAAATAAACATGTGAATAAAGGAGAGGACTCTATGCCATTTATGTTTCTTTACTGTGCTAATTTGTATTTATCAAGTTTTTGAAACTCATCACAAAATATATTATTATCTTTTTGATATTTGAGTCTTCCTATATATTAATCTGGTTTATCACTCCATTTATTTATTAGGTCTTTTTTACACATGCATTAGTTATTTTTGAAAAATAATTTTATCTATAAAGATCTTGAATATATTTAATTTGATTTATTCCTATATGACACTTGGGATGCTGTTTCTGTGAGTTCGGTTTTTTAAATTTTTATTTTGAAATCAGTTTTGCTAAATATTAAAATATTGATTTTTACATTGATTTTATACATTTTAATTTTGTTTATTTGGCTTTATTTTATCTTTATATTCTATTGAGTTTTCTGTATTGACAATAATTGTAGAAAATTATGAAAATATTTAAAGTAATTCCTTTGCTATTCCTGTATGATTTATTCCTTTTTCTACTTTTATTGGGCTACATAGGACTTCTAGTAAATATCCTGTTGAATAGAATCCATGTTAGTGGGTAATTTTGTTTTGTTTCTTACTTTTAGATAATATTTTTATAGTTATTTTATCACACTGATGTTTGCTACAGATTTTTTGATAAGTAGCTTTTGTTCAATAACATAGTTTTTCTTATAATTCTGTATGTGTTTCATACATGAGCTTTAAATTTTACCAAATTCTTTTATTTTAACTACCACTAAAATCACTTTAAATGATTCATGTATCAAAATTAATTAGATCTCTTTGCATTCCTAGGAATAATTCCACCTGATCATGGTGTGTGTACGTGTGTGTGTACATAAACATATATGCATTTATATCACTGGTATGCTATTATTTTATTTATGGTTTTGTATTTATCTTTACAAAAGCAATTGCCCCACAATTTTCTTTGCTTTCAATACTGAACCATTGATACTAGGTTGGGTAATCTGATTTATTCATTCTACCAATTTAAATATCAATTTTACTTAAAACTCATCCTCACAGAAACACCCAGAATAATGTTTGACCAAATACCTGGGCAACTTATGGCCCACTCAAGTTATAAAAGTAACCATCACAAATGCCCTTCTCTATTATTACTATTACATTCAACTAGATATGTAAAAATACCTGTAATTTTTTGTCTTTCAAAATATTTAACCAACATTTTACATATGACAGAATTTATCCATTTCTTAAAAATCCCAATATATATCAACTGTAAACTATATCATGTGGTCGTGGTGTTATTTTTGTGACTACATTCCTTACTAGTGTTCCATATTCAAGTTATTAGTCTTCTCAAGGAACTAGCATATGATTTTGTTGATAAGATCTATTATTTCTTCGCTTTCCATTTCATCTGTTTCTGCTTTTATGTTTACATTTTCCTCCTTCTTTCTTGGATTTTATGTTGTTCATGAATTGAATACTTAGCTTATGAACTTTAGGTCTTTCCTTTTTTTTTCTAATGTGAGTATTACAGTTATTATACTCTAAGTATCTCTTGCTTCATATCTCAAATTTTTGTAGAATTTCCTTTTCATTTGGAACTGAATATTTAATGCTTTACATTATGATGTTATCTGTAACTTTTGAATGTTTCAATGATTCAAAAGGAGCAGATCAGCAGTGTAGTTTTAAATTTTAAACCATAAAACTCTCTTCGTACTATTCATACTAGAGAAGGCAAAAGTGCTATAAATAGAGAAGCCAAAACTTCATGCTTGCATCCAACAGTCGTTTATTTCTTGCTCAACAGATGTTAGTGAACTCTTCATACGGTGATCATCTGAGAACTCCTCCTTCCATCTTCCAACTTACCTGGGAACTGGTGATTTTAAAAGCTCCTCACTAGTTTTGAAATCACATATTTTACCATTCTCAATCTTACTGTATTTTGTTGTTTTTACAACAGAGATAATATCTATTTCTCAGTGTCATCAAAATATAAAATTATGTGGAAAAAAGTTTGAAAAGCTATAAAGGGTCACATTCCAATTTATAATATATCATATACAGCAGAATTTAAATATACTCTGAGGAGAAAGAAAAAAATTATTTCTCAGTAGGTGTTCTTTCTGTTAGATAGTTAGCTTGTATATGTTCTTGCAAATTTTGTATTGTAATGTGTTTTATTTTTAGTCAATATTTTTCAAATTTTCTTTCCTGTAACTAGTGGTGTAACAAATATTATATCCTGTAACTAGTGGTATAACTAGTGGTATAACAAATATTGTATCCTTCAATATTTATGTCTTTATTTTTGGAGAAGATGCTTAAAGATGGGACTACTGTGTCAAATTGACTACTTGATCAAATTCTAACCAACAATGACTGGGACTTCAATCTCTACTGCACTGGTTGTAATTAGATTTCAGAGCCTAGAAATTCTGGAATGTTAGTTTTCAGTTGTTAAATTTTGTTTTTCAGATTAGTGCTCTGCAAAAGGAGATAGGAAATTATGAATAATAAATGTGCATTCCTTTCATCACTGACCCTGGAGAAGTGACTTGTAGGCACTAATGTTATTTGTCCTCAGCCTATATTCTAGATCTAATTTCCTCCTACTCTTCTGCTCAAATTAATTCAGCTATAAAGGTCTCTAATTGTACCGTTACAAAGCCATTGAACTTTGCTGATTTCGACTAAAATATTACCTCCTGAGAGAGGATTTCCGGGACTACTGTGTTTGTTTTCTAGAGTTGCCATAACAAAGTATTACAGACTGGGTGTCTGAAACAATATAAATTTATTTTCTCACAATTCTGGAGGCTAAAATCTGAGATCAAGATGTTGGCAGTGTTGATTTCTTCTGAGGCCTCTCTCCTTCACTTGTAAATAACTGTCTTCTGTGTCTTCATGTCATCTTCTCTATCTGTGTCCAAATTTACTCTTCTTATAAAGACACCAGTCATATTTGATTAGACCCCACCCTAATGACCTCATTTTAACTAATTACCTCTCTGAAGTCTCTATCTCCAAATACAATCATATTCTGAGGTAGTGGGGATTAGAGCTTCAGCCTATGAATTTGGGGGGAACATAATTCTGCCCATAATAGTATATAGCTCTACCTCAGAGTCATATTATTATTATTGTTGTTATTGTTATGAAATAAAATGACACCTTGAATATCCATTTTCAGAATGAATTATTCATTCAATGGCTTATAACTGTAAGTGGACTGTATCCAATTATTTCTGTAGTTATTTGGACCTGTCATATTTACTAGGATTCTGAATAATAACCATAGTGTTAAATATATTCACCACTTTAGAATAAAACATATTCAGTCAATTCAGCTTGCATTTACATATTGTATGACTAAGATTTGTAATTCTATATCAGTGCTTTAAAAATTCAATTTTATGCAATAATACTGCTCTGACTGGCTAGAAAGATAGGGATTAATAATGGAAGTTCATAAACAGACTTCTTAAACACTAGTTGGAGATATTCTGGAGTGGGTGGAAACTTTAAATTGGGAATTACATCAGATGTTCTGGAGTTTCCTTCTACAGCTCAGAAATGGCTATTTAATTCATCTTCCTATTCCTATATTTCTAAAGTCATATGTGCATGAAATGACTGTTTTCCATGTGCAAAGATTAACTAAATTAAGTCTGGATATCTACCCACCTACCCATCAATAAAACCCTCCACAAAAATTAAGTTTTTAAACATTTTAGAGCTATTAATTAAAAATACACACATACACACACACACACACATAATTATTTGAGTAAGATTACCTGATATTTAAAATGTAGTTGAACTGATCATATATGTCATGGCTTATCCCTAGATATGAAATCCATGTAATGCATTTTAATACTTTTAATATACTGCATGCTTTGTTATACTAACTGCAAATATTAAATGGTATTTTGCTAACTTTCTACTTGTGAGAAAAACATCTAGTACATATGTGAGTGAAATTTTAATTGAACAGATGGTTCTTACAGGTGAAGACTGAACAATACAAAATTCTAAGTTATTCAAGTGGTTTGTGCTATAATATTGGATTACGTTCTTTCTAGGGTGCAGAAAATATTGAGAAATATATACCTTTAGAAGTTTGTAGAAACAGCTTTATACATGAAAAAAATACTAATTTCTTTAAAACTCATTCATTCAGTTGCTTACCAGCAAAATTCTGTAGTCAATTAATATAGCTTAAATGAAGTATTCATCTCTCAGCAATCATTACATTACAAATTAAATTTTAGTACACTTCAACTTGTGTAAGTGCCATCAAAGACTGAAGTCCTATTGGCTAAAGCATCATTGTCATCTCAATTGTATTTTTCCCTTTGGAGATGTGAATTATTCCTTTCTTACGATGTTACAGAAAGATAGATTATGAAATGCTTCATTTTTCTGCATTTTTTTAGTAGTTCACTTTTAATAAATTTGAATTTAAATTTAATCTTACATTGATGTCTGGATGGTCATAAATATGTAGTAATCATAAAACTCTTTTCTTGTGAAGCTAATTTACAAATAAGGAGAATACATTTTATAATTTACAACTTAAACCTGAGGAAGCCTTATAAATATATGCTGCATTGAGCAAAGATTATACTGATGCATTTAAATCACTCAATCTTACTTTTTTATGGCCAAATTCTGAATTATGATCATTTTGAAATTGCAATTTGTGTGTAGAACAGATGTGTAAGGCTTAGTTAAAAATGAAATGTCCATAAAAGTAATCTTAGTTGTCAAGTGACTGCTCACGTACGAAAGGGGTTTTTATTCACGGGAGAGGATTTAAAACCAAGTTAAAGTATTTAAATAAATATTTTAAGTACATGTTCTTATAGCATGCGTGCAAAGCCAGGTTATTTACTAAGAATGGGCATGTCGTTTCCCAAGTGGAGTTTATTATTGACCTAAGAATGAAGGAATTTATGAAATAAATATGCATGCAAATTGTAATCTCTTCGAGTTGATTCTTCTTATGCTAAAAATATAACTTTTTAAAAACTTGATCAAATAGGAAGTAAAATTTAAACATCTTTGAAAATTATCATCATCAAACATTCGGCCAAATGCACTTTTAAAAACTTGACTGAATATAATTGATATATTAGATATAAGAGCCAACACAATTTGGTATTATAAATAAATAATAAATTAATTGAATTAATTCATTGAAAATGTTTCCTCCAGAATAGTTCCAGCTTTGTCTTGCCAGTAGCAATGTATTCTAGTGTCAGGTTCCTCATAGCCTTTCCAGAAGAATGTGAGGTCATTCTTTTTCATTTTCACCAGCATGATAGATGAGAAGTATTATCTTAATGATGTTTTAATTTGCACTTCTCTAATTATAAATGAGGATAAATATTGTTACACATGTTTAAGAGCCCAGTTACATACCTTTAATTTGTTTTCTGTGTATGTCTTTCGCTTAATTTTCAATTTTTTCTTAGTGTCACTAATTTTTAAAAGTTCTTTATATTATTAGGAGCATTAGCCCTTCGTTTGTAGTATATATTGCAAATATTCATCTCAAGTGTTGCAGTGGTCTTTTGAGTATATGGTGTTTTTTAGCCATAAAATTTGCCGTCATTTTTTAGGTAAAGTTACTGATATTTTATTTATATGATTTTTGAAATTTAACTAGAAAGTCTTTTTTTTTTTTACACTGAGATTAAAAAGGAATTCACAGGTGTTTTCTTCCACAACTTGTATGGCTACAATTTTTTCTACATTTAGATCTATAATCCATTTGGAGTTAAGTTCTTGAGTATGATAGTGAAGTATGGATCTAATTTTATCTTTTTCCAAATGGTTAACCAATTGTCCCTGAACCATTTATTAAAATGTCCTTTGTTGCCTTGGTAATTTGAAGTGCCACCTTTATCATGCACTATATGATAAATTTCTGTATATACTTGGGTCTACTTCTGGATGTTTATTCTATTCCAGTGATCTACTTGCCTATTCATATGCCAGCATCTCATAGTTTTAGTTTATTAATAGAGCACTTATCCCAACAGCTTTTCAAATTGATCTTGTTTGTTGCATATGTCAATAGTTCTTTTCTATTCCTGATAGTATTCCAACGTAAGAATATTTCACAGTTGTTTAGCCATTTTTCTATTGATGGCCACCTGAAGTGTCTCCAGGTTTGTTTATATATTGAGTAAAGTTGTTAGGAACAGTCTTGTAAAAATTTTTTTGAGGGTAGATATTTCAAATTCTATTGTTTAAATACCTACAGGTGGAATGACTGTGATGTAGAATAAAAAATTTTGTTTATTTGTTTTGCTTTAGTTAGTTTTCAAGTTTTACAAGAAACTGCCACACATTTGCCAAACATGGTTTACTACTTTATAATCTCACCAATGATGTGAGAGTCCCAATTGCTGCACACCCTTGACAATATTTGGTGATGTTAGTCTGTTTTTCTTTTCTGTCTTTCTGATGGATCTGAGCTCTCATTGTGGGTTTATTTTTTATTTTCCTCATAACAAATAATGTTGAACATTTTTCTAATGTTTATTGACAACTTTTATGTTTCCTTTATGAGGTATCTATTAATTATGATGTTGGCTATACATTTTTCATGCATACCTTTATTAGTTGAAGGAAGCTTTTATATATTTGCAACTGGCTGAGTTATTGTAGGTATGGATTGCATCTTAACAAATTCTTTTTCTAGATTTATTAAAATGGCCTTAAGCTTTTTTTCTTTTAATTCTGTTAATAGTGTGCCTTATGAGAGCAGATTTTCCAATTTTAAACCAATTTTGTCTTAATAGTTTATTGTCTTTTCAATTTTTTATTGGATATATTGGCTAACATGTGGTAAGTATTTTTTCATCTACATTCATAAGGGATATTGATCTGAAATTTTCTTTTATTTTAATATCTGTTAGATTTTGGTTTCAAGTTATGTCAGTCTCATATAATGCATTTGGAGGTGTTCCTTTAACATCCTCAGAAGAATCTCTGTACTACTATTGATATATATTTGATATGGTTTGGAGGTGTCCCCACCCAAATATCACCTTGAATTGTAATAATCCCACATGCCAAGGGTGGGGCCAAGTGGAGAAAATTGAATCATGGGTGTGAATTCCCTCATACTGTTCTCATGGTAGTGAATAACTCTCACAAGATCTGATGGTTTTATATATGGGAATTCCCCTGCACAAGCTCTCTTGCCTGACGCCATGTAAGACATGACTCCTCATTCACCTTCAGTCATGACTGTGAGGCCTCTCCAGCCACGTGGAACTGTGAGTCCATTAAAACTTTTTTTCTTTATAAATTATCCAGTCTCACATATGTTTTATTAGCAGCATGAGAACAGACTAACGCAATATTCACATCATGTTTGTTAGAATTCACCAGTGAAATCATGTGGGCATGAAGTTTTCTTTATGTGACTATGCTTTATAGCAAATTCAATTTCTTGAATAGACTGGGATACTCAGATTTTATATTTCATCATGTGTCAGTTTTTATAAGTTACATCTGTAAGAATATTTTCTATTTGATTTAAGTAGTCACACCCCTTGGGTGAATCCAGTTTTTTAAATAATATTCACTTCTTATCTTTCTAATATCAAAAGGATATGTAGCCATTTTCCAGATTTTATTCTTGATATTGCTAACTTGTGGTGTCTCTCTTTTTCTCTTAATCAGTATAGATAGTTATCGATTTTGTTGATACTTCTTAAAAAATAAATTTTGGCTTTAATGTCAGCTATTATATGTCTGTTTCTGTTTCAATCATTTTAATTTTTTAATTATTTTCTTTGTTCTATGAATTTCAAATATACTTTTGTCTTAATTATTTAACAAAATCTCTTCTTAAGAAGAGATTCAGGTATTTGATTATAGACCTTTCTTCTTCTCTAACACAATAATTTTATTTTATTTATTTATTTTATTCCTTCATCTTTTATTTTAAGTTCAGGGGTACGTGTGCCATCAGGTTTGTTACATAGGTAAACGTGCACCATGGTGGTTTGCTGCACAGATCATCCCATCACCTAGGTATTAAACCCAAAATTCATTGGCGATTCTTCCTGATGCTCTCTCTCCCCCAATCCCTGAAATGACAGGCCCCAGTATGTGTTGTTCCTCACCATGTGTCCGTGTGTTTCATCATTCAGCTCCCACTTATAGGTGAGAACATGTGGTGTTTGGTTTTCTGTTCTTGTGTTAGTTTGCTGAAGTTAATGGCTTCCAGCTCCATCCATGTCCCTTCGAAGGATGTAATCTCCTTACTTTTTATGGCTGCATAGTATTCCATGGTACCATATTTCCTTTATCCAGTCTATCATTGATGAGCACTTAGGTTGATTCCATGTCTTTGCTGTTGTGAATAGTGCTGCAATGAACATACATATGCATGTATCCTCATAACAGAATGATTTATATTCCTTCGGGTACATACCTAGTAATGGGATTGCTGGTTCAAACGATATTTCTGCCTCCATGTCCTTGAGGAATTGACACACTGTCTTCCACAATGATTGACTTAATTTACACTTCCAAAAACTGTGTAAAGGTGTTCTTTTTTTCTCCACAACCTTGCCAGCATCTGTTGTTTCTTGATGTTTTAATAGCCATTTGGACTGGTGTGAGATGGTATCTCATTGTGGTTTTGATTTGCATTTCTCTAATGATCAATAATGTTGAACATTTTTCATGTTTGTTGGCCACATGTATTTCTTCTTTCAAGAGAGTCTGTTTATGTCCTTTGCCCACTGTTTAACAGGGTTGTCTGTTTTTTTTCTTGTGAATTTGTTTAAGTTATAAATGGTTGCTGGATATTAGACCTTTGTCAGATGGATAGATTGCAAAACTTTTCTTCCCTTCTGTATGTTGTCTGTTCATTCTGATGACAGTTTCTTTTGCTGTGCAGAAGCTCTTTAGTTTAATTAGATCTCATTTGTAAAGTTTTGCTTTTGTTGCAATTGCTTTTGGCATTTTTGTGCAGAAATATTTGCCTGGTCCTATATCCTAAATGGTATTGCCTATATTTTCTTATAGGGTTTATATAAGTTTTGATTTTTCATTTAAGCCTTTGAGCCATCTTGAGTTAATTTTGTTATATGATGTAAGGAAAGAGTCCATTTTCAATTTTCTGCATATGGCTAGTCTGTTCTACCAGCACCATTAATTAAACAGGGAGTCCTTTCCCTATTTCTTGTTTTTGTCAGGTTTGTTGAAGATCAGACAGTTGTAGGTGTGCGGTCTTATTTCTGAGTTCTCTATTCTGTTCCCCTGATTCATGTGTCTGTTCTTGTACCAGGACCATGCTGTTTCCGTTACTGTAGCCTTATAGTATATTTTGAAGTCGTGTAGGGTGATGCCTCCAGCTTTGTTCTTTTTGCTTAAGATTGTCTTGGCTGTTTGGACTCTTTTTGGGTTCCATATGAATTTTAAGATAGTTTTTTTTTCTAATTCTGTGAAGAATGTCCAAAAACAGTTTAAATGGGAATAGCATTGAATCCATATATTACTTTGGGCAGTATGACCATTTTTACAATATTGATTCTTCCTATCCATGAGAATGGAATGTTTTTCCATTTGTTGTGTCTTCTCTGATTTCACTGAGCAGTGGTTTGCAGTTTTCCTTGATGAGGTCCTTTATTTCCCTTGTTAGCTGCATTCCTAGTAATACAATAATTTTAAAGCTGTACAATTATAAACACCACAGTAATGCTACTGACTCCCAGCCATATTACTTGAAATCAGGGATTCTCAACAGTATTGATTTTTGAACAGGATGTCTTTGTTTTGTGTAGGGGGGCAAACTTATGCAATATAAGATGTTTGGCAGCATCCCTCACTTCTACTCAGTAAATGTCAGTAGCTCTTCATCTTGTGGTAACAATACAAATTGTTGCCAAATATTGCCAAGTGTCCCTGGGAGGCAGAGACAAAATCATCCCCAATTGACCACTTCTTCTTCATGTAAGTCTTCATACACATATAAATTTCTGTTAATTTTTGTATGATTAATTTTAATATGAATTATCTACCAACAATCACCTGACATTTGAGCAAAGACCACACAATAAATAATATCTTAACTTGGGTTCTCCCTGAAGCAAATTTGAGAAAAAGATGTGAATACAAGCAGTTTATTTGGGAAGTGATCACAGGAAATTCTGATATTTGAATGGAGGAGTAAGAAAAAGAATGGAAAGAAGACTATAACAGTTGGGTAACAGAACAGGTTCTAATTATGGGCAATTTTTATTCATTTTTGCTGAGGATTTCTGGGAGGTTTAAAAATATGAATTGTCCTAACCTAGAGCAAAAGAGCTACATATTTATAATTTACTCCCATCAGTTATTGTTGGGGATGTTTGCTGAGGCATTAATTTCCTGGCATTTCAGCTAAAACTGCCCCATTCGTAAAGTCAGGACTCAGGTCCAGAGATTGTTGACAAGAAAGACACTTGCAAGTGTTTACAACCAGAACCTACTGGAGAAGAAGAGTACAGTGAATGTGGAGAGGATATGGGCAGGGTTCTATTGGTAGAGTCACCAAAATAAACTACCAAAAAAGGGGGGTGAGGAGGACTGAAAAAAGAGAGAAATTAGAAGATATAAATAACTTCAAAATTCTCTACTTGATATTCTCAGAAAGATATATGGTGCTATGGGAAACTCAGAAGACAAGAACAATTTGTTTTACAAATAAATTATTACTGCTGATATATTACAAAAGAGGATTATTTAAATAAAAATTTAAAAATTATTTCAGAGAATAGAACAAGTGAGTGTTTTAAACCCATGAGAGATTAAAAAAAATGTTTGAGACAAAACCAGTATGATCAAAATCTAACAGTACTTTTAGAAAATAAAAAGATAATTAAGTTAATAAGAAAAAATTAAGTCAAACACAAAGAAAGGGAGATCAAAATGATATTGAAAAGATCAACAGTGATACTTGATATTAGGATGCATGGTAAATTCTTTTTTAAATACCGGAAAAAATTATTTTAAATCTTGAATGCCATGCCTAATCAAATTATGTATTACATGGAAGGTGAGAGTGAAGATTTGTTTAAATCTGATATGACTCAAGAATTTATGACCTATATATTAAATCATCATCTTTTATCCATTGTTATTTGCCAGTAGAACAGTGTAGTAAAACCAGAAATAGAAACATATGGGATGAATTAAATAGTGTATTAAACTCAGAAATGCTGCGGAGACAAGTTGAAGTATGACAGTATTTCAGCCACCTAGAGATCATTTGCTTTGCATTAGAATAGCAGAAGATCTGGGAGAAAGACAGTAGCAAATTAAAAGAGAAGGAGGACTTCATAGAATATTTCATATATTTAGAAATTTCAAATGAGAATAGGCAAATGACGGACTTGATGGAAAAATTGGAAAAATTGAAAGAAAAATTTTAAAAGGTATGCATGTAAAATTGAGAAAATAATCTCCAAGAGACTGCAGACTGTACATGACAAGGTAAATGATCAGACAGTATTAATTACATTAGCAGTGAATAATCTTTACGTAATCATTGTATTGATTGAATTGTTATTGACATTAGAATTAGAAGAATGGAGTAGATAAAATAATAGTGTAAGGTAACAAAATTTTAATCTAATACAATGTCCATGAATACAATTGAAATATCCAGACATCATTCTAGCATATAATTTAGAAATATGTAAATAAATATTAGGAGAAACAGCTAAGCTATTAAAAATTATCTTCCTCTTGAGAAATGAATAAGAAGAAATGTATTAAATATTAGTAATTTTTCCTTTGTAATATTGTTAGTATTATATTTTTTATAACTATTTTACTTTCAAGAATATATTGTTTCAGTAAAAAGTAAAAGAAAATATTTAAAGATATATTAATTTAAATTTTTTCTAGCCATTACTGCTAAATTTGATATATTTACTATTCAAGTATTTTTACATAATAGAATAAAACTTTTAATTGAATTATAAGGAACTCTGAAAATATTAATAGAAAAAAACAAAATTAATTTCCCACATTTTATTAAATATTTTATAAACACTTCACCTATTACCTAATATAAGTACCTGATTAAAAACTGATTGTGATGATAATGGAATAAAAAACCTATATTGCAATAAAACCCAAAAAGAGAAAGAATGGTGCCAGAATCAAAAAAATTAAGAAATATCAAGAGCTGATTAGAATTGCATTCATTCACCCAACTGGTTTAAATTAATAAATTTTTCGGAGTGATTTATTAAAAGTTTAAAATTAAACCCCAGATTTTTCATATAATTTAGAAACTCGAGTTATTTTATTTAGTATGACATACAGTTTTTACACAACATTAGAATATATGAATCATTATTTTTCAAAATTACAGTACTTACAAAAAGCCATAAAAGGCAGATGTACACCTAGGACTGTATGTGTGTTTTCTAAGAAATATATCCTAAATACTAGCAGAAATCCTACTGCCCTACAAAAGGTATTTTAAAAATAATGAATGTTATTTTATATGTATAAAATTTACTAATATATCATCTTTGGAATCATTATTAAAAGACGAAATATTTTGAGAAGTCCAAACATTAATTTTGTTTAACTGAATGAATCTTACATTATTAAAATCAGAATGATATTTTAATAAATCATTTTAAACAACGTTAATCCAGTGAACATGTTAATTGTAAACCTTGAACATTTCTTTGAAAGTTTTGACTTAGGGGCAGATAAAGCCATGTGTTAACCACTGGTCAGAGAGTCTCGCAATATAAAATTTAATTTGTATTTTAAACCTTCATATTTGATTGACACTAAATGGAATTTATTCTTGTTTACACATATTGCATGAGTGGTTATTACAGAGCAATGAGGTGGATTCTGAAGAAATATACTGATGCTATGAGAGCTGTAAAAAAGGAAAGGCTGAATGTAATATGGGCAATGAGGAAAGGCTTCACTGTGAAAGGGACATTTGAGCTGAGCTTTGCAGGTTATGTCTTGGATAACTAGTTGGGAGTTTGTAGATAGAAGTACATTTCAGACAGAAGAATCAGCATATACAAAAGTCTTCAAAGATACCTGCAACAACCAAAGAGCTACACAAATGTGTGGTGAAGTACAAAATGTAGGTGGCACACAATGAAAGATGAACCAGCAGTAACACACAAGGGACAGATGCTGGAAGACTTTATGGGAGATGGCAAAGATTTTGGTTTGTACTTTAAGGAAGGGGCTGAGGGTTGAGGAGGGGGAGATAACCCATTTTAAATATTTAAATGGTTTCAGTATACTAAAGAATAGAAGTGCAATGAATAAAAATATCTCATCCCAGCACTTTGGGAGGCCGAGGCAGGCAGATCACGAGGTCAGGAGATCGAGACTATCCTGGTTAACACGGTGAAACCCCGTCTCTACTAAAAATACAAAAAAATTACCCAGGCATGGTGGCAGGCGCCTGTAGTCCCAGCTACTGGGGAGGCCGAGGCAGGAGAACAGCGTGAACCCAGGAGGCAGAGCTTGCAGTGAGCCGAGATCGCACCAGTGCACTCCAGCCTGGGCAACAGAGCGAGACTCCGTCTCAAAACAAACAAACAAACAAAAACAACTATCTATCTATCTATCTATCTATCTATCTATCTATCTGTCTATCATCTCAGTAGTTCACCATCATTTTACCTACAGACCAGGAAAAGACAATGAGGAGGATATATAATGGGAGGCATTCATCAGGGAAGTGGCAGAGAAATACAAGACAAGAGGATGAGTTTGAGAGATATTTAAGAAGAAAAATTAACTGAATTTTTGTGACGTAATTGGAATGTGGGGAAGTGGTACAGTTTTCGAGAACATTTTTTTGGGTTTCTGTCTTGTAAAGTTACGTGCGTGATGGTAGTATGAACTGAGATACAGGGTGCTGGAAGAGGCAGCTTTATGTGAGTGTGTGTGTGTGTGTGTGTGTGTGTGTGTGTGTGTGTGTGTACATGCATGGGAGTAATGACTGAGGAAAGGAATTACAGTTTTGTATTCTAGGAGTGCATCAATGAGGGGTTGTGTTAGGAAACAGAAATAATACAAGTTATTTTAACACCAAGAATGTAATATGAAGAATTATTAACTAGGAATTGAAGAACTGAACAAAATAATAAAAAGAGAATGTCGATGCATCATAGAAGTAGTGACTGTCGGCTATCTCTCCTATGTCTTGTGGAACTAAAAGAAAAAGTTGAATTACTAAAAAGTAAAAACTTGGGAGAGGACACCTTGGAGCTGAGTCACAGACATGAAGAGAGAACACTGCTTGGCCCTTCCTAGTGTTCTGAAGTTGGGGGTAGGAAGGAGGGAGTTATGTGGGGATAGGAGCATGTAGAAGATGCTAGAAGTTGGTTATGTTTTCTCTGAGGGGACTCAGTGAGACTACTTCTGGGATTGTTGGAAAGACAACAAATTGGGATCAACTACTATTGCTGGTTTCAACTGTCACCATCAGGAGGAAAACCCATTGCTAAGATGACTCTGTCAGAAACGGGAAGGAAACAGCATCAATGCTTCCTTCTCTAGCTTTCCAGTCCTCTCCAGCATTGCCAATTCATACAGCCTAAGAGAAGCCAGCTATTACCTTAGCCAATTTTATTTATTTATTTATTTATTTATTTTTGTCAGATAATTATATATTCATAATTTTATCTACTTTTTCTTCAGTATCATGTAAGCCCCATGAAAAAATAATTTTGTTTGTTTCTTTGTTTTATTCACTATTCCTTCCCTACTAATTTGAAAAGTGAAATGTCAATAAATACCTCCAGTCAATAAATACCTCCAGATTAAGGAATGTATGGGACCCATGGATCTCTTTCATGTCAGTTCATTATGCTGGGATTCTGTCCATTGTTCAGGATAGAGTTCTCACCTATATAGATTTCTACCTGCAAGTGAGTTTCTGCTACATACACTATCTTTTTCCATAAGGGATGATAAAATTATCTTCTATCTCATTTTTAGGTACATGTTAATTCCTACTCAGCCTCCCACCATTTTACCTAAGATACCTGTGTAAGAATAACTGAATAGGCCAGGCATAGTGGCTCAAGCCTGTAATCCCAGCACTTTTGGGAGGCTGAGGCAGGCTGATTGCTTGAGCCCAGGACTTTGAGACCAGCCTGACCAACAGGATGAAACCCAGTCTCTACAATAAATATAAAATTAGCCAGGTGTGGTGGCAGGCACATGTGGTCCCAACTACTCAAGAGGCTGAGGTGGGAAGATTGCTTGAGCCAGGGAGGCAGAGGTTGCAGTGAGCCAAGATTGCACCATTGCACTCCAGCTTAGGCAACGAGAATAAAACCTTGCCTCAAAAAAAAAAAAAAAAAACACCAAAGACTGAATAATGAATTTTTATGCATATATGAACTATTATGATATTCTTATAGTGTCTTGAAATAGCTAAGATCATGAATACAGAAAAAAGAAATTTTCTAGATTTTATTTATTTATTTATTATACTTTAAGTTCTGGGATACATGTGCCGAACGTGCAGGTTTGTTACATAGGTATACATGTGCCATGGTGGTTTGCTGCACCCACCAACCCGTCATCTACATTAGGTATTTCTCCTAATGCTATCCCTCCCCTTGTCCCCCACCCCCTGATAGTCCCTGGTGTGTGATGTTCTCCTCCCTGCACTGATGTGTTCTCATTGTTCAACTCCTACTTATAAGTGAGAACATGTGGTGTTTGGTTTTCTGTTCCTGTGTCAGTTTGCTGAGAATGATGGTTTCCACCTTCATCCAAGTCCCTGCAAAGGACATGAACTCATCCTTTTTTATGGCTGCATGGTATTCCATGTTGTATATGTGCCACATTTTCTTTATCCAATCTATCATTGATGGGCATTTGGGTTGGTTCCAAGTTTTTGCTACTGTGAATAGTGCTGCAATAAACATACATGTGCATGAATATTTATAGTAGAATGATTTATAATCCTTTGGGTATATACCCAGTAATGGGATTGCTGGGTTAAATGGTATTTCTGGTTCTGGATCCTTGAGGAATCGCCATACTGTCTTCCACAATGGTTAAACTAATTTACACTCCCACCAACAGTTTAAAAGCATTCCTATTTCTCCACATCCTCTCCAGCATCTGTTGTTTCCTGACTTCTTAAAGATCGCCATTCTAACTGGTGTGAGATGGTATCTCATTGTGGTTTTGATTTGCATTTCTCTAATTCTCTAATGACCAGTGATGATGAGCTTTTTTATCATATGTTTTTTGGCCATATAAATGTCTTCTTCTGAAAATTTATAGATTCAATGCTATCCCAATCAAGCTACCCTTGACTTTCTTCACAAAATTGGGAAAAGCTACTTTAAATTTCATATGGAACCCAAAAAGAGCCCTAAGCAAAAAGAACAAAGCAAAAAGAACAATCCTAAGCAAAAAGAACAAAGCTAGAGGCATCACACTACCTGAATTCAAACTATATTACAAGGCTACAGTAACCAAAACAGCATGGTACTGGTACCAAAACAGATATGTAGACCAATGGAACAGAATAGAGGCCTCAGAAATAATGCCACCCATCTACAACCATCTAATCTTTGGCAGACCTGACAAGAACAAGCAATAGGAAAAGGATTCCCTATTTAATAAATGGTGTTGGGAAAACTGGCCTGCCATATGCAAAAAACTGAAACTGAACACCTTCCTTACACCTTCTACAAAAATTAACTCGAGATGGATTAAAGATTTAAATGTAAGACCTCAAACCATAAAACCTATAGACAAAAACCTCAGCAATACCATTAAGGAAATAAGCATGGACAAAGACTTCATGACTAAAACACCAAAATTGACATCAAAAGCCAAAATTGACAAATGGGATCTAATTAAACTAAAGAGCTTCTGCACAGCCAAACAAACTATCATTAGAGGGAACAGGCAACCTACAGAATGGAAGAACATTTTTACAGTCAATCCATTTGACAAAGGGCTAATATCCAGAATCTACCAAGAACTTAAACAAATTTACAAGGAAAAACAAACAATCCCCTCAAAAATTCAGCCAAGGATATGAACAGATTTTATTGTTTTACCAACTGAAAATTTTGGTAATTTAGACTTGTATGTTTTCTATTGTTATAATAGTCTTATAAAATTTTTAAATATGTTTGAAAAGAATTAAGTATCTTACTTTAATGAATGAGCTCATTTTCTGCCAAAAGACAATGGCAGAAACATCATATAATCATAATTTTATTGTTTCTAGTGTGAGACATTTTCTCTTGAAATATAATCTGTATTCTGAAGGATAAACCAACTCCTCCCTGTGAAACACTCAAAATATACTTCTCTACTAATCATAAGACGTTTTGACAGGCCCATGTTTTATGAGCTGAAGTGAGGCCACACTGCACCAGGATCTATAAAGAAAAGCAGTCTCTGTGGGGGCCCATATATTTCAGATAATGGTGGCAGAATTTATTATTTTCCATTGTGAGATGATATCTTGGCACTATTACTAACCAATGTATAAAACACTGAAACAGGCAAGTTGACATTTTTACTAGAGTTGTATGATCCCATAATTTTTTTCCGTGACAGTACTTCTACTTCAGATCTTTAAAAGGTCCATTTTTTTTTCTTAAATTGTCGCTTTCTCTTAACCTATTACTAATATTGGAACATAAAATAATGTATAAATATTTTGACCTTTTCCTGCCAGGTTCAGTGGGACTTGGCAAGCTGTACTAGGGTTAATTATGTTGCAACTTTTCATTGTTGGAAAGTGGTAAATAGGAGCACTTTTTTTTCTGTCTAAAACTTTTATATTTGTTGGGGCCAGAAGAAAATATTGGCTGTAAGTAGACAGTGTTCTTGTTTTGGGAAAGTAAAACTGTCATTATTTTAGTAAATTGTAGTATTACAAAGGACTATAAATAATAAATACCTGTATTTAAAAATTGAACATATACTATTATACAATCAATTCTCTAATTATCATGGTTTAAATTATACACTATAGAATATTGAAGAGACTATTTTAAAAGTATTTTACTGTCTCTTGCTGCTGGATTTGTGGCTTCTCCTTCAATTTCAAGTGGTACAGAGTTCACTGTAACTCAAAATATGTAGTATTAAGAACATAATAAGCTCAAAATATAGTCATTCATGCTTCCTGTCTTCAAGCAGGTGAATACTGGGGGGTTGGGGAGGGGGCTAATAATAAAACAAGCAAGCAAAACTGTGTAATATAGACTAAAATAAAGAGTTATTCACCAAATAAATTCTGAATAATTTATCATTCCGTTTGTCTAAGAGGACTAGGACTAATTTTCTAGTGTGGTATTTGTGTTAGGACAGGGCTTTGAAAGGCAGACAGCAGAATGCACTGATGTAGGAATGCATCAATAGATTGATATTAAATAAGTAAAGTATAGATAGAGCATATGGGGAGAAATATTATAAGATATAACAGAGAAATAATATCCAGTTTTGATAAAGTAGAGTGTGAATAGGGGGAAAATGAATCTTAACTGATCAAATATAGAAAATGATTCATAAAGGAAAGTTAACATATTTATTCTAAGTCAGTTTGGCTGGAAAAACAGTGGAACCAGTAGCAGTCAGGAAGAAGGGGCTATTAATATATTAGATATGTTCAACAGGAAGATGGAAATTATATTCTGGGGTTTGGGCAAATCAGGAATTATCTGTCAATTCCATCAAAGCCTATGTTTAAATTCATGAGAATTTTTGGGTATAAATTTAAAGAGAAGATTTTTTTTCAGAAAGTATATTTTTTCAGTTTTTCTTTATTTGTTAACTAGACCTGTTGCCTTTTGTTGATATCCTACATTATTTTGTACCACATTTACTAGACATACCATTGTTTGTTTTGCCCCATAATTATTTTTGAATGTAACTCACTATTCTCTTTTTCTGAATGTTTGTTGGGAGAAGAGACATTTACTCAACTCTCTATTTCCCTTAGTGCCTCTAGTAATGTTTTACATGTAAAAGAAGCAACAGATATTTCCAGAATAGAATAGAATAAGAGCATTCTAAGATGGAAATTCAAAGACATACTACTTAAATCCAATTCACCTTGAGTTCACCCATAAACACCTCAGGGCACCAATAATTTTATTTAATTGCACAAGACTGACATTCAAAAGTAGTCCCCTTAACAAATTGAACAAAAGAAGAAATTAGAGAAAGCATGAAATAAACATGAGCAACTTTAGTTTCTTCATTCCTCATCAGCATTTTCTTTCCATTATCAAGTTTCATAACTAACTTGTGCTAGGTGCTTATCATAGGGAAGTTTCCTTTCCTCCTGTAAATATGGCTGCTCCTGTTATATGGATCAGCTGTTACTCTAAAGGAGTTCAACTTTGTGCTTTAATCTTTCCCACTGCCTTCCCAAGTTACCCCCTGCTAATCTAATACCCATTGCCCTCTGAGAAACACTGTTCGCACCCTGAGTAGACATTGATCAGCATCCAAGTGACAGGCTGGCGTGAGAAAGATAAAATGCTAGGTTGCACCAAATCCTGCTGGCTTGCATTTTTTTTTTTTTCTGAACTCTTGGGAACACTTGATTTTGCAAACTTTCCTGCAGTTAGGTGAAACACTGTGAGTGAATAATGGATTGAATTATGAGTGGAAATGCCATAAGGCACTTCTGGGCCACGGCAGGTAAGAGCTAGGGTGCCTTCCTTAGCTTTCTTCTTTTCCTTTAATATTGTGACCTTAGAGAGATGATGTGATTGAAATATTCTAGCTAGAGAAAGACTAGTTGGAGAAATACTTGCCAACTCACATCAGATTGATTTCTGTGTTTATCCATTACATAGCATAGCTTAATTTATCTTGACAAATACATGGAAAAGAATTCTTTTTCTTTTATATTACATCCCTATAAAGATCTCAAAAGAATTATCTGGGTGCCCAAAGGTTTTAATAAATTTAGTACCATACCTTTTACAGCTTTTAATTCCTGTTTCCTGTCTACCATAGGACTGAGAGATTAATACATTGAGGTTTAAACCAAAAGTTAAATCTGTATGATAGTTGTTGTATTGCACACATTTTTCTTTAACTCAGAAAAATAAGACTCAATATTAGGTCAAGTTTGTTATGCCTGTCTCCTCCTACCCGACATTCCTGAATATATAGATTCGTCCTAGGAGTTATGTAGATGTGCCCAAAGTCTCTGTATCTCAGCAGCAAACAGAGCCTGGGTGCCAGTTTTCATCTTAGCATCACAAAGAAAAGCTGATTTACAGTTATGAACATTGGTAAATGAAATATGTCAATACATTGTAAATTAGATTTTGAAGGTCTTCTTAGCCCATGTGAAATTAGAAATTGTAATTTAAAGTATACACACTTTCTTGGCTGGTATAACCTAAAACATTTTTCCATCATTCTGTGAATAACACGAGATGGAAAGTACTGCAAACGAAGTATGACATATATGTCTTAGAATTATTTTACTAGTAGTTTTTATAGTATGTGTTAGCATTTCAGTTTGAGTAAATTTTATGTTCCCAGATTTAAGCCTTATAATTTTCCTTATTCATTTTTAAGAATCTGAGAATATATTGAATTTAATATTTTAAAATTTTGTATTAATACGCTGCATTGCTTCTTGCTAATAATCATTCGAATATGACATTAATGAAACAAGTTCTAGTAATTTTTCTGATTAGGGTAGTTTTTAGATAATCCAAGCATTCTTTTTGTCTTTGATGAAGAGGATTATGGGTTTAATCTTAATTGGTAGTTTAGTAATCTATCCTTAAATAATTTCTCTGGAGTAAAACATCTATTTTCCTTCCTTCCTCTCCTTTCCTCTAGTTACTTTAGATAATAAGAAACTCTCCTCTATTATTTCTTTCTTGGCTTCTACTCTTCCTTTTTTTTTCTGCACTGTATTCTTTGTCTTCTTCCATGTTAATATGCCTAGCATACATTTTGTTTTTTTGAAGCAGAGATCATGTTATATTATTCTTTATATCCCTCAAGTATATAGCTATGTTTGACAAATTGAGCCCCTTATAACATTTTTTTGAAGAAGGAACAGGTGAATTATCACACACATAAATGAAACTTTAAACACTATTTAGGGATCTTTTTGTCATCAATGGTAACTTCCATATTTCTATATCTATTTTGGAAAACAGAGTGTGCAGAATCTAGAACTAAATCAGATTCTTCTGACCACTCACAGAACCATTCTATCACAACATTGGGTTAAACTTGGATTAGTCTAGAAGACACATTAAAACTTGCATGAATCTCAGCTAAATATGAATAACCTTTATTCATCTGCCACTTCAGTAATCTCATTCCCAGGATCACAACCCAGAACTCATTTTCTAAAATCTCTTCAGCTTTTAAATTAGTCTTGCACTCTTGGGATACATGCTCAGATTTTTGCTGCTCTATGACTCTCCAATGTCAATAGACATCTTTTCCGTTTCATCAAGATCTCCAATTTCTTTTCTATTTCTTATTATGCCGCAGTTTTCTTTTTCTTTTCTATCCAGCCCAGATCTCATCATCAATCAATCTCTTATGGTTATACTCAGTTTTATTGCACTTTCTGTCCTTTGTGTTGCAGCTGTTGTGCAATCCCCAGTCAAACAAATATGATGCATCTTTATTCCAAGGTAGTACCTTTAAGTCACTTTTGGATAAAACAATACAACTGTGTGTCTTTACTTTTATGCAACTAAAATTTTTGTTCTCTAATTTTAAGTGGACTATTAACTCCATCTCCTATTGCCCTAGTTTCTCAATACTTTTTACTTTTTCATTAAGGTTTTTACCTCATAATTTCCTCTTTACTTCCTTTATGTAAACCTTCTTGCTGTTTAGGTCATTAGGCAATATTCCCTTCTGCTACCATCCACCAGCTTTACTTCATATTTACCGATTGCCCTATTATCAATAGAAGAAAAGTTTCTTTCCTTTATTCAAAACAAATATATTCACCTCCATTTGGGATGTCATTTCTTCTTGATTTACATCACATGGTTCTGCAACATTCTCTCTTTCATAGATATTCAGATTTTTAATATTTAACCCTTAAATAATAAAATAAAACTTGAAAATTAGAACACGTAAAATTGAAGGCCAGACATGTATCATTTGCAGATATACAAATTCCTTTAGACAACAGCATTATAGGGAATACTTATAATATATATATATATATATAACTTGTGAGTGAAGCTCTATTAATATATATATATATATATATATATATATATATATATATATATATATAACTAATGAGTGAATCTCTATCTCCAAACTGTATCTATAGAGAAAATGACTCAGGCTTCAGTCAATTAGCACATCGATTAGTTTCAGTATTGCCATTTTGCCATTTCAGACACACCAAAAAAACTAGGACTTTTGAAAAGTGTTTTTGTGATTTTCCAACAAAACTTAAATGAGAGAGGATGTAGGTAGGACCTTATGCTGTATGTCTATTTTGAAAGCTGGAGTGGAAATCTGGCTGAAAATAAAAACTTTGGGGAGGAGAAAGGAGATGAGAAAGAGAAAATCCGATGACATAGACATAATTTGAGCACCTTTTAAACCCTCTAAGTCAACCAAAATCTTTTGCTTAAGTCTTTTTTTTTTCTTTCAACTTTTATTTTAGACTCATGGGTTATATGTGCAGGTTTGTTACATGGGTATATTGTGTGATGCTGAGGTTTAAGGTATGAATAATCCCTTTATCCAGGTACTGAGCACAGTATGCAACAGTTAGTTTTTTTTTTAACCCTTTTCCTTCTCCTTTCCTCCCCCATCTAGTAGTCCCCAGCATCTATTATTGCCATCTTAATGTCCATAAGTACTCAATGTTTAACTCTCACCTATAGGTGAGAACATGCAGTATTTGGTTTCCTGTTCCTGCATTAATTCACTTAGGATAATGGCCTCCAGCTGCATCCATATTGCTGCAAAGGACATGATTTCATTCTTTTTTTGGCTATATAGTATTCCATGGCATATAAGTACCACATTTCTTTATTCAATCCACTGCTGATGGAAGCCTAGGTTGATGGCATGACTTTTCTATTGTGAATAGTGTTGTGATGAACATGCAAGTGCATGTGTCTTTTTTTTTTTTTTTTTTTTTTTTGAGACAAAGTTTGGTTCTTGTTGCCCAGGCTGGAGTAGAATGGTCTTGGCTCATTGCAACCTCTGCCTCCCGGGTTCAAGTGATTCTCCTACCTCAGCCTCCCGAGTAGCTGGGATTAAAAGCATGCACCACCACCCCTGGCTAATTTTTTTTTGTATTTTTATTAGAGACAGGGTTTCACCAGGCCAGGCTGGTCTTGAACTCCTGATCTCAGGTGATCCACCCACCTTGGCCTCCCAAAGTGCTGGGATTACAGGCATGAGCCACTGTGTTTGGCCACATGTATTATTTTGGTAGAACAATTTGTTTTCTTTTGATATGTATCCAGTAATGGAATTGCTGGGTTGAATTGTAGTTATGTTTTAAGGTCTTTGAGAAATTTCCAAACTGCTTTCCACAGGGGATGAACTAATTTACATTCCCACTGTCAATGTATAAGCATTCCCATTCTTCCACAGCCTCACCAACATCTGTTGTTTTTTGACTTTTTAATAATAACCAGTCTGACTGGTGTAAGATAATATCTCATTGCGGTTTTGATTGGCATTTCTCTGATGATTAGTGATGCTGAACATTTTTTCATATGTTCGTTGGTAGCTTGTATGTCTTCTTTTTAGAAGTGTCTGTTCATGTATTTTGCTCATTTTTTAAAATGAGGCAATTTTTTTTGCTTGTTCAATTGTGTAAGTTCCTTATAGACTCTGGCTATTAGACTTTTATTGGATGCCCAGTGTGTGAATATTTTCTCCCATTTTGTGGGTTGTGTGTTTACTCTGATGATAAGTGTCTTTTGCTGTGCAAATGCTTACTTTAATTATGTCCTACTTGTAAATTTTTGTTTTTGTTGCAATTGCTTTTCAGGTGTTAGTCAAAAATTCTTTCCCAAAGCACATATCCAGACTGGTATTTCCTAGGTTTTCTTCTAGCTTTCTTATAGTTTGAAATCTTACATTGAAATCTCTAATCCATCTTGAGTTAATTTTTATATATGGTGAAAAGTAGTAGTCCAGTTTCATTCTTCTGCATAGTGCTGGCCAGCTATCCCAGTACCATTTATTGAATAGTGAATCCTTTTTCCATTGTACTTAAGTCATTTTGGTTCCAGCCATTTGGAACTGTAAAGTAGCTCACTGACATAGTATTTAGTATGTAACAGGTACATATTTATACTTTAGATTAATTACTGATTGTTATTTCAGTTGAATCTGTCTCATCATAAACCATTACCATTCAGTTTTAATTACTGTAATTTTATATCACTTTTTAGTATCTGCTATAGTATGATCACCTTCACAACATTTTAAAAAACAATTTGCCAGCTATTTACAAATATTTGTTTTACTAGATCAAATTTATACTCATTTGTTAAGTTTCCAAAATCAACAAAAACAATAACAAAATTTAGAGTAAAGTAAGCAAAAGAAGAAAAGAAACAAAGCAATATCTGATGAAAATCACAGTGGATTTCAACATTAATTTCTTAGGGATTTATGCATTTCCACTTTTGAGATAACTTACAAACCTCTTTAAACCTCATTTATGTATCCCAGTGGATTTTTATAATCTTCTTCCATGTACATATTCACACTTTTAGTTTATTTCATTCTTACCTCTTTTCATAGTGGTGTTATTATAAATAAAACACACTATTTATTTATTAAATGGTTGCATTTAGGAAAACTAGGATTTGTTAGAGGATATGTGAAAACGGGTGAGAGTAAGTGGTTGGGAGGCTTCAGTCTTTACATAGTTGAGAGCTCATGAGTGATTAAACAAGGATATTGTTATAGTTTGCAAAGTAGAATGAAAGATTCAACCAAAATAGACTCATCATAAGTTTTCTCCTCATATTAGTGATATTAGAATGGGCAAAACTTCTTACTCAAAAAAAAATTAAGCAGGAATTGGTGGTGGTTGACCCTACATTGGGCAGATTTTGGATGAGTGAGATTTTTCCTTGTTTTTCATTGAAAAAAATGATGGGATCTAGTGGAAACAGATGTGAGTTATAGATAATTGGGATCATATTAACTTTGTGAGTTTGAATATTTAGGGGTGCAGGAGAACTCTTGTTCTTCTCATTGATGTGTTTTAAGCTTCTGCAAATAAATTAGGTTCTCATAATTTTACATTGTGTTCTTTGCCCTCTGTTGCCATCAAATTAAAGATAGGAAATCTTGGAGTTCATAGAGGTAGTGCGGAGATCAAGGGCATCTTATAAATTTTGAGTTAATTTTTAAGGTATTTCATGTATGTAATTTTTAAGTAGTCTGTGTTTCCACAGATATATAGGTTAATAGAAATTTGAAAAGTTCCTAGAAACGTAAATGTGTAATATGTTATATTTCTAAAGAATATGATTAACATAAATTTTATACATCAACCTAATTCTCAAAACTATGGATATAGTTGGCTTCTTTTATACTAAGTTCCTAAATATAAAAAGAAATCAAATGAACTAGAAGGTAATGTAAAAAGAATTTCCACTTTTTAGGGATATTCAAATTTCATTGATTAAATATCAACAATTTGTGAAGCAATGATATTTTGAATGATATTATACAAATTGTGTTGACTTAAGCTTGATGACATTGATACTGATTTCTAAAAGCATTCTTTGTTGATGGAAATGTTAAATCTAGTAAAGTATAGACAATTTATTTTACTTTTGTTTCTACTTATTTTATGGAATAGAGACCTTTCAATAACTACTAATCATTAAACAAAATGATGGTGAAATAATTTTTCCAGTAATTTGTAAAAGGAAATGTACAGTAATGTTAAAATAGGCACAAGAACATAATATACTGATATGAATTAATTCTTGACTGGCAGTGGAAATAACCTTTAGCACACTGATATTTAATGTGAGAAGTATTGTAAAATAGTAGTTTTATATGTGAATAGGTTACATTTAAAAGAAATTTTTGACTTTATTATTTTCTATGCCTTCTAAATTCAGATATTTCCCTTTTCTTGAGTCTGAATATAAGAAATATCTTGTTGCAAATGGAAAATTTAATTTTTATCTTTTCAAATATAATAACCAATTTTGATCCAAATGCCCAATATTTTTCTTCTTATTTTCTCTAAATGAGTGAGCCTTAGGCAGTTTTCTTAACAAATTTGCAAGAACATAAAAGATAAATACATGGAGAAATGCATATTTCATCATAAAATTTAACCTTTAGAATTTCAACATAATACAGTAACATAGAGATAATTTGTTTATTTCAAGTCAGTATGTATAAAAGAAATCCTAGTGAATAGATACCATGAAACTCAAATTGTAATATTCTTATGTTTTAGGTTTCTTGAGCTTTATACATAAATGTTAATGATGCAAAGAAATTAAATTTGACTTTATGTAATATAGTATAGTCACTCTTGCTTTTTAAAAATTAATGTTTGCAAGGAATCTTTTTCTCATTTTTAAATTTACTTTAAACAGATTTTATAACACTTTTAGATTTACAGAAAAAGTGAGAAGATAGTACACAGAGTTTCTATATATCCTGAACCTAGTTTTTGATATTATTATTTTACATTCATATGGTATTTTATTACAATAAATGAAAAATTTTGATACATTATCATTAATGAAAATTGATACTTTTTTCAGATTATCTTAGTTTTTACCTAATGTTCCTTTTTCTGTTCCAGGGTCACGTTCAGGATATTACATTACATATAGTTATCACATTTCTTTAGAGTCCTCTGGGCTATGACAGTTTCTCAGACTTTCCTTTTTCTATTTATTTGCAAGAATGAGGGAAAGGGAACATCCTTGTTTTTTAATGACTTTGACAATTTTGAGGCGTACTGGTTGAATATTTTGTAATATGACTCTCTATTGGAATTTCTTTTGTGCTTTTTTTCATGTTTATATTAGGGTTAGGAGGCTTGGAGAAAAAGATGACAGAAGTAAAATTTCATCACAGAAGTAAGATTTTCATCACACCATATCAAGTGTGCACACTATCAACATGATTTAAGTACATGCTGAACTTGATGACCTGGTTGAGGTAGTGTTTGTCAGATTTCTCCACTGTGTAGTTACACCCACCTCCCTGTCTAACATTTATTTTGTTTCTCAAATGGTTCTGTTGCAGCCTTTTTGTTCCTGTAGTTTGAGGAGCAGGAGGGAGTGGCCCCTGGAGGCAGAGACTTCACTTCTTTACTCCCTTAGCTCAACTAGGTGAGGGAGTGGCACTCAGTGGCTTCTTCTCTCCTGTTCAGCAAGTGGGAGGGAGGGTTACAGCTTTTTTACTCCTACCACCCATAGCTCTGCTAGCGAGAGGGAGTGGCACCTAGTGCCTTTTTTAATCCCTTTCTGCCTGGGAATTTATCTGTCTCCTGTCACTATTAGTTCCACCTTTTGGCCATCAGGATATCTTTCTATTGGCAGATGTGTCTTTTGCATGCCACGTAAAGGTAGGGTTTATTTATTTACTATTGGTCTCTTTATCCTAGCTCAATAAGATGCTCCAGTCTCATTGTCTATATTTCTTAAGCTTAGAATAAGCCATTGATCTCAACTGATAAAACAAGAAAATATATGTGTGTATAATAATGTGTGTATACATACCTGTGAATGTTTCTATCATCTATATTAATCTAAAAATAAGTTCATACTGATGGCTACAAGTACAATCAATTACCACTTGATCATTCTAATCTCCTCCACTTACTTGTCTATAAATTCCCACTTTAACAGTGCAAATATGGTTTATTCTATTTCCCATACATTTACTTATTTGTTCAATTGCAATGCAAATGCATGAGTACAAGGATTGTTTCCCTATGGGAATAATCTCATTAACTAGAGTGCGTGCTTATTTACAGTTCCTTTCCCTTTAGTTTTTAGCCTTTACACTAGTTTTGAAAGTTGTTTAGGTTAGCTCATTCCCCTACTTTCTATACCTCTTCAATGAGGTTATTTTATGTATTTGTATTATCCTTAGATTGGTATGTCACAGTCTACATTCCATCCTGGGATCCCTCAATTCCCTAAATTATTGTAGAACTGAAGTTTTATTTTTTGTGTGGTAAAGTTCTATGGGTTTTGACAAATGCATAGTGTCATGCATCCACTATTACAATATTATATAGAGTAGTTTTGCACCCTAAATTTCCCTGTATTTCACCTATTGAGCACCCTGGCAACTACTGACTTTTTATTCTGTCTACATTTTTGCATTTCCCATAACTTAACATAATTGGAATCATATGGTATGTTGTCTTTTCTGGCTGGCTCTTTTTAGGTAGAATGTGCATTTAAGATTTACCCATGTTTTTCATGGCTTGGTAGCTCATTTGTTTTTATTGCTGAATAAAATTTCATTATATGAATAGACTATTATTTATTTATTCATTCACTTACTGAAAGACAACTTAGCTGATTCCACCCATTGGCAATTACAAATAATGTTGCTATAAACATGAACAGTCACATTTACGTTTGTGTGGACATAAGTTTTCAACTCAATGGGATAAATACCGAGGAGGGCTATAGATGGATCATTTTAGTAAAACTAAGTTGAGCTTTAGGAGAAACTTCGAAACTGTCTTCCAAACTGGCTGTACTATTTTATGAGCAATGAATAAGAGTTCCTGTCATTCTAAGAAACTTTTTTTTTTAATTTTCAGGCTTTAAAACATTTGTTTCAGTTCTTCCAATAGTAGTGTAGTGCTATCACATTGTTTCAGTTTGTAACTACCTAATGACAAATACTGTTGTGTCTTTCCATATTCTCATTTGCCATAAATTATTTTTTTGCAACCATTAAAATCGTCTGCCCATTTAAAAAATTGGATCATCTTCTTACTGTTGAGTTTAATGAGTTATTTTTATATTTTATATATATTTATGGAAGATGTGTTTTACAAACATTTTTCCCAAGTCATTAGCTTGTCTTTTCATTCTCTTAACCCAAAGTGGTTGGGCCGATGTTTTCTAAACCTAGGTTTTCAATGTTTTTTTCTACTTCTGCTTCGTTCCTTCATGGTTGTTATTGTTATATAAATTTTGATAAATGTACTTTGCAACTCCAGTATGTTTAGCCGAGGAAATGTTTTACTTTTAATAAAGTCAAACTTTCAAACTTTTAAAAATGGCTTGTGTTTTTGATGCTGAATAAAAAAACTCATTATCAAAACTAAGGTCCTCTATTTTCTACATATTCTGGGAGAATATATTTTGCATCTTACATTGAGGCCATTAATTATTTTGAGTGAATTTTATTAAAAGGATAAAGTCTGTGTTTAGATTTGTTTTTTGCATACAGCATGGCTAAGCAATTTTTTTCCAGCATCATTCGTTGAAAGAACTATCCTTTCTCTGTTGAATTGCTTTTGTTCCTTTGTTAAAGATCACTTGACTATATTTATGTTGGTTTATTTCTGGGATCTCTATTCTGATCAAGTGATCTATGTGTCCATCCTTCACGAATGCCATCTGTATTGATTAGGCTTATAATAGGTGTGGAGGTCAAATAGTGTGAGACCTACAATACTGTTATTCTTTAGTATTATTTTGGCTATCCTTAGTCTTTTGCTTTTCTGCATACATTTTAGAATCAATTTTTCAATATCTATAAAATAATTTGATGTATTTTGATTGGGATTACATTAAATCTATTGATCGAGTGGGCAAGAATGGTAATCTTAACAGTATTGAATCTTCCAATCTATGATCATGGAATATCTAGTTACATATTTGAATTCTTTCATCAAAATTTTGTAATTCTTTGAATATAGGTTCTGTACATATTTTGTGCAATCTATCCTTAAGAATTTCATTTTTGGAGTTACTCTTATAAATGGCAGTGTTTTTTCAACTTTCTCAAAATTTGATTCCACTGGTTGTATATAAGATGCAATTGATACTTGTATATTATCTTTGCATACTAACATGTTGGTGTTATCATCTTTTATTTCCAGAAGCTTTATCATCAATTTTGGGGGGTTTTCTACATAGATAATTATGTCATCAGACAAACAGGGACAATTTTATTTTCTCCTTCCAAATTTGTATATTTTTATATCCTTTTCTTCTTTTATTACAGTAGCTCAGACTTCCATTGCAATGGTGAAAAGTAAGGTTGAGAAATGAAATTCTCACCTTGTTCTGGATCTCAATGAGACAGTGTTGAGTTTCTTATGATTAAATATATTAGCCCTAGGTTTATCATAGATGTTCTTTATCAAGTTGTTGAACTTTTCCTCAAATCCTGATTTGCTTACAGTCTTATCATGAATGGATGTTAGATATTGTCAAATAATTTTGCCTGAATTAATTGATATGACCATATGCTTTTTCTTTAGACTATTAATGTAGTGGATTACATTAATTGACTTTTGAATGTTCAACCATCTTGTATATGTTGAGTAAATTTTATATTTGTGGTATATAATACTTTATATACATATTCAGATGAGATTTACTAATATTTTGCTGTGGATTTTGCATCAGAATTCATGGGAGATATTGGATTTCAGCATTCTTTTCTTATAATATCTTTATTTATCTTGGCAGTATGATATGTCACTCTCATCGAATTATTTGGAAATTTTCCTTCTACTTCTGTTTTGTAGAAAATGTTGTGGAGGACTGGTATCATTCCTTTCTTAAATATTTGGTAGAATTCATCAGTTAAACCCTCTGGGTATGAGGCTTACTTTTTTGGAAATTAATTAATATTGATATAATATCTTTAACAAATTTAGAAATATTGTGGTCTAAAAACCCATTCTAACTTGCTTGGCCTTTCTTTTCCTTCTCCTTTCCCTTCCCTCCCTTCCCCTCCCCTCCCCTCCCCTCCCTTTCCCTTCCTTCTGGACGGAGTTTCCTTCTTGTTGCCCAGGCTGGAGTGCAATGGCGAGATCTGGGCTCACTGCAACCTCTGTCTCCCAGGTTCAAGCGATTCTCTTGCCTCAGCTTCCCCAGTAGCTGGGATTACAAACGTGCGCCACCACATCCGGCTAATTTTGTATCTTTAGTAGAGACGGTGTTTCACCCTGTTCGTCAGGCTGGTCTTGAACTCTTGACCTCAAGTGATCCACCTGCCTCGGCCTCCCAAAGCGTTGGGATTATAGGCGTGAGCCACTACGCCTGACCCTGTTTTTCTATCTTTTTTATACACACAACAAACAAATATGCATATACATGTATGCATGAGTAAACAAAAAAATCCACCTCCCTTCCCTTGTATGTAAAGATGTGCCCACATAGCAGTGCAGCTACTCTGTGTACCTCAAATATGTTCATCCGCTCCAAATATGCATCAGACTATTATACCGAAAGTGGTTGGGCAAAGGTTTTCTAAACCTAGGTTTTCAATTTTTTTCTACTTCTGCTTCATTCCCTTGCGGTTGTTATTGTTATATAAATTTTGATAAATTTACTTTGCAACTCCAGGATTTTCTTTTTGTCCTTTCCCCCTCCACCTATCATTTTATTGATATTACTTATTTGACAAGTTATTGTCATCACACTTTCCTCTAGGTCTTTAAACATGGTAGTTTTAGTTCTTTGAACATATTTATCACAGATGCTTTGAAGTCTTTTCTAAGTCCAATATCAGGGCTCCTTCAAAGGCAGTTTCTTTTATTTTTTTGAGACGGAGTCTTGATCAGTCGCCCAGGCTGGAGTGCAGTGGCGCGACCTCGGCTCACTACAAGCTCCGCCTCCTGGGTTCACGCCATTCTCCTGCCTCAGCCTCCGGAGTATCTGGGACTACAGGCGCCCGCCACTACGCCCGGCTAATTTTTTGTATTTTTAGTAGAGACGGGGTTTCACTTTGTTAGCCAGGAAGGTCTCGATCTCCTGACCTTGTGATCTGCCCGCCTCGGTCTCCCAAAGTGCTGGGATTACAGGCGTGAGCCCCCACGCCCGGCTAAAGGCAGTTTCTATTGTCTACTTGCTTTTCTGTGAATGGGTCAAACTTTCTTTTGCCTCGTATGTCTCATGAGATTGTTTCTGTTATTGTTGAAAACTGGACATTTCACAATATATTTTAGAAATTGAGGAGACTTAACCCCAGCCCCAGTCTAGGACTTGTTATCATTGATAATGTATACTTATTATTTTTCTTTATAATTTGGCTTAACTACTTCAATAAAGTTGATTTTTTTTTTCTGCAGAGTGCAGCCTGATGTCTCTCTGTAGATGGTATAGCATCAGGCAACACACACTGTTGTTGAATACCAGCATCAGTGTGGTTGTGGCCGTGCTCTCTTTGACTGCCTTTCCGTGATCTCCCCAATAAGTTTTTACATAATCTACCTTGACTGGTATCACACTCAGCTGTTAGCCTCCACTAATTGCTAGCTAATTGATACATGTTTCTGAAAATGCCTTGTGCATTAATTGCTACACAGTCTGATTAAATTAATGTTAGACCCCTTTTCTTCTTTTTATTTTTTTGTTATACTTTAAGTTCTAGGGTGCATGTACACAATGTGCAGGTTTGTTACATATGTATACATGTGCCATGTTGGTTTGCTGCATCCATCAACTCATCATTTACCTTAGGTATTTCTCCTAATGCAATCCCTCCCCCAATCTCCCACCCCCACCACAGGCCCTGGTGTGTGATGTTCCCCTTCCTGTGTCCAAGTGTTCTCATTGTTCAATTCCCACCTATGAGTGAGAACATGCAGTGTTTGGTTTTCTGTCCTTGTGAGAGTTTCCCGAAAATGATAGTTTCCATCTTCATCCATGTCCCTCCAAAGGACATGAACTCATCCATTTTTATGGCTGCATAGTATTCCATGGTGTATATGTGCCACATTTTCTTTATCCAGTCTATCATTGATGGACATTTGGGTTGGTTCCAAGTCTTTGCTATTGTGAATAGTGCCGCTGTAAACATACATGTGCATGTATCTTTATAGTAGCATGATTTATAATCCTTTGGGTATATACCCAGGGATGGGATCGCTGGGTCAAATGGTATTTCTAGTTCCAGATCCTTGAGGAATCACCACACTGTCTTCCACAATGGTTGAACTAATTCACACTCCCACCAACAGTGTAAAAGCATTCATATTTCTCCACATCCTCTGTAGCATCTGCTGTTTCCTGACTTCTTAATGATCACCATTCTAACTGGTGAGCGATGGTATCTCATTGTGGTTTTGATTTGCATTTCTCTAATGACCAGTGATGATGAGCATTTTTTCATGTGTCTGTTGGCTGCATAAATGTCTTCTTCTGAGAAGTGTCTTTTCATATCCTTTGGCCACTTTTTGATGGGGTTGTTCGTTTTTTTCTTGTAAATGTGTTTAAGTTCTTTGTAGATTCTGGATATTAGCCCTTTATCAGATGGGTAGATTGCAAAATTGTTTCCCATTCTGTAGGTTGCCTATTCACTCTGATGGTAGTTCCTTTTGCTGTGCAGAAGCTCTTTAGTTTAATTAGATCCCATTTGTCTATTTTGGCTTTTGTTGCCATTGCTTTTGGTGTTTTAGTCATGAAGTCCTTGCCTATGCCTATGTCCTGAATGGTCTTGCCTAGGTTTTCTTCTAGGGTTTTTACGGTTTTAGGTCTAAAATTTAACTCTTTAAATCCACCTTGAATTAATTTTTGTATAAGGTGTAAGGAAGAGATCCAGTTTCAGCTTTCTACATATGGCTAGCCAGTTTTCCTAGTACCATTTATTAAATATGGAATCCTTTCCCCATTTCTTGTTTTTTTTCAGGTGTGTCAAAGATCAGATGGTTGTAGATGTATGGTGTTATTTCTGAGGCCTCTGTTCTGTTCTATTGGTCTATATATCTGTTTTGGTACCAGTACCATGCTGTTTTGGTTACTGTAGCCTTGTAGTAGAGTTTGAATTCAGGTAGCGTGATGCCTCCAGCTTTGTTCTTTTTGATTAGGATTGTCTTGGCAATGTGGGCTGTTTTTTGGTTCCATATGAACTTTAAAGTAGTTTTTTCCAATTCTGTGTAGAAAGTCAGTGGTAGCTTGATGGGGATGGCATTGAATCTATAAATTACCTTGGGCAGTATGGCCATTTTCATGATATTGATTCTTCCTATCCATGAGCAGGGAATGTTCTTCCATTTGTTTATCTACTCTTTATTTCATTGAGCAATGGTTTGTATTTCTCCTTGAAGAGGTCCTTTGCATCCCTTGTAATTTGGATTCCTAGGTATCTTATTCTGTTTGTAGCAATTGTGAATGTGAGTTCATTCATGATTTGGCTCTCTGTTTGTCTGTTATTAGTGTATAGGAATGCTTGTGATTTTTGCACACTGCTTTTGTATCCTGAGACTTTGCTGAAGTTTCTTATCAGCTTAAGGACATTTGGGGCTGAGATGATGGGATTTTCTAAATATACAATCATGTCATCTGCAAACAGGGACAATTTGACTTCCTCTTTTCCTAATTGAATGCCCTTTATTTCCTTCTCCTGCCTGATTGCCCTGGCCAGAACTTCCAACACTATGTTGAGTAGGAGTGGTGAGAGAGGGCATCTTTGTCTTGTGCCAGTTTTCAAAGGGAATGTTTTCAGTTTTTGGCCATTCAGTATGATATTGGCTGTGGGTTTGTCATAAATAGCTCTGATTATTTTGAGATACATTCTATCAATACCTAGTTTATTGAGAGTTTTTAGCATGAAGGGCTGTTGAATTTTGTTGAAGGCCTTTTCTGCATCTATTGAGATAATCATGTGGTTTTTGTCTTTGGTTCTGTTTATGTGATGGATTACGTTTATTGATTTGCATGTATTGAACCAGCCTTGCATCCCAGGGATGAAGCCGACTTGATTGTGGTGGATAAGCTTTTTGATGTGCTGCTGGATTCAGTTCGTCTGAATCCTATTTTATTGAGGATTTTCACATCAATGTTCATCAGGGATATTGCTCTAAAATTCGCTTTTGTGTTGTGTCTTTGCCAGGCTTTGGTATCAGGATGATGCTGGCCTCATAAAATCAGTTATGGAGGACTCTCTCATTTTCTATTGATTGAAATAGTTTCAGAAGGAATGGTACCAGCTCCTCTTTGTACTTCTGGTAGAATTCGGCTGTGAATCCATCTGGTCCTGGACTTTTTTTGTTTGGTAGGCTATTAATTATTGCCTCAATTTCAGAACTTATTATTGGTCTATTCAGATATTCAACTTTTTCCTGGTTTAGTCTTGGGAGAGTGTATGTGTCCAGGAATTTATCCATTTTCTTCCAGATTTTCTAGTTTATTTCTGTAGAGGTATTTATAGTATTCTCTGATGGTAGTTTGTATTTCTATGGGATCAATGGTGATATCTCCTTTATCATCTTTTATGGCATCTATTGGATTCTTCTCTCTTTTCTTCTTTATTGGTCCTGCTAGTGGTCTATCAATTTTGTTGATATTTTTAAAAAAACAGTTCCTGGATTCATCGATTTTTTTTGACGGTTTTTTTGTGTCTCTATCACTTTCAGTTCTGCTCTGTTCTTAGTTATTTCTTGCCTTCTGCTAGCTTTTGAATGTGTTTGCTCTTGGTTCTCTAGTTTTTTTTAATTGTGATGTTAGGGTATCAAATTTAGATTTTTTCTGCTTTCTCTTGTGGGCATTTAGTGCTATAAATTTCCCTCTACACACTGCTTTAAATGTGTCCCAGAGATTCTGGTATGTGGTGTCTTCATTCTCATTGGTTTCAAATAACATCTTTATTTCTGCCTTCATTTCATTATTTACCCAGTAGTCATTCAGGAATAGGTTGTTCAGTTTCCATGTTGTGAGGTTTTGAGTGAGTTTATTAATCCTGAGTTCTAGTTTGATTGCACTGTGTTCTGAGAGACAGTTTGTTGTGATTTCTGTTCTTTTACATTTGCTGAGGTGTGCTTCACTTCCAATTATGTGGTCCATTTTAGAATAAGTGCAATGTGGTGCTGAGAAGAATATATATTCTGTTGATTTGGGGTGGAGAGTTCTGTAGAAATCTATTAGGTCTGTATGGTGCAGAGCTGAGTTCAAGTCCTGGATATCCTTGTTAGCATTCTGTCTTGTTGATCTGTCTAATATTGACAGTGGGGTGTTAAAGTCTCCTATTATTATTGTGTGGGATTCTAAGTCTCTTTGTAGGTCTCTAAGGACTTGCTTTATGAATCTGGGTGCTCCTGTATTGGATGCATATATATTTAGGATAGTTAGCTCTTCTTGTTGAATTGATCAGTTTACCATTCTGTAATGGCCTTCTTTGTCTCTTTTGATCTTTGTTGGTTTAAAGACTGTTTTACCAGAGACTAGGATTGAAACCCCTGCTTTTTTTTTTTTTTTTTTTTTTTTGCTTTCCCATTGCCTGTTAGATCTTCCTCCATCCCTTTATTTTGAACCTATGTGTGTCTCTGCCATGAGATGGGTCTCCTGATGGGTCTTCACTGATGGGTCTTCATTCTTTATCCAATTTGCCAGTCAGTGTCTTTTAATTGGGGCATTTAGCCCATTTATATTTAAGGATAATATTGTTATGTGTGAATTTGATTCTGTCATTATGATGTTAGCTTGTTATTTTGCCCATTAATTGATGCAGTCTCTTTTCTTTTTTTTTTATTTTTATTTTTTGAGACAGAGTCTTTCTCTGTCACCCAGGCTGGAGTGCAGTGGAATGATCTCGGCTCACTGCAAGCTCCACCTCCTGGGTGCACACCATCCTCCTGCCTCAGCCTCTCGAGTAGCTGGGACTACAGGTGCCCACCACCATGCCTGGCTAATTTTTTTTTGTATTTTTAGTAGAGATGGGGTTTCACCGTGTTAGCCAGGATGGTCTTGATCTCCTGACCTCGTGATCCATCCTCCTCAGCCTCCCAAAGTGCTGGGATTACAGGCATGAACCACCACGCCCGGCCTGATGCAGTTTCTTTATAGCATCGATGGTCTTTACAATTTGTCATGTTTTTGCAGTGGCTGGTACCAGTTGTTTCTTTCTATGTTTAGTGCTTCCTTCAGGAACTCTTGTAAGGCAGGCCTGGTGGTGACAAAATCTCTCAGCATTTTCTTGTCGGTAAAGGATTTTATTTCTCCTTTGCTTATGAAGCTTAGTTTGGCTGGATATGAAATTCTGGGTTGAAAATTCTTTTCTTTAAGAATGCTGAATATAGGCCCCCACTCTCTTCTGGCTTGTAGGGTTTCTGCTGAGAGATCCTCTGTTAGTCTGATGGGCTGCCCTTTTTGGGTAACCGACCTTTCTCTCTGGCTGCCCTTAACATTTTTTCCTTCATTTCAACCTTGGTGAATCTGACAATTATGTGTCTTGGGGTTGCTCTTCTCCAGGAGTATCTTTGTGGTGTTCTCTGTATTTCCACAATTTGAATGTTGACCTGCTTTGCTAGGTTGGGGAAGTTCTCTGGATAATATCCTAAAGAGTGTTTTCCAACTTGATTCCATTCTCCTCGTCACTTTCAGGTACACCAATCAAACATAGATTTGGTCTTTTCATACAGTTCCATATTTCTTGGAGACTTTGTTTATTTCTTTTTACTCTTTTTTCTCTAACCTTGTCTTCTCGCTTTATTTCATTCATTTGATCTTCAATCCTGATACTCTTTCTTCCACTTGATCAAATCAGCTATTGAAGCTTGGGCTTGCATCACAAAGTTCTTGTGCCACAGTTTTCAGCTCCTTTAGGTCATTTAACATCTTCTCTACACTGTTTATTCTAGTTAGCCATTCCTCTAACCTTTTCTCAAGGTTTTTAGTTTCCTTGCGATGGGTTCAAACATCCTCCTTTAGCTCGGAGAAGTTTGTTATTACTGACCTTCTGAAGCCTACTTCTGTGAACTTGTCAAGGTCATTCTCTGCCCAGCTTTGTTCCATTGCTGGTGAAGAGCTGTGATCCTTTGGAGGAGAAGAGGTGCTCTGGTTTTTAGAATTTTCAGCTTTTCTGCTCTGGTTTCTCCCCTTCTTTGTGGTTTTATCTACCTTTAATCTTTGATGTTGGTGACCTACAGATGGGGTTTTGGTGTAGATGCCCTTTTTGTTGATGTTGATGCTATTCCTTTCTGATTGTTAGTTTTCCTTCTAACAGTCAGGTCCCTCAGCTGCAGGTCTGTTGGAGTTTGCCAGAGGTCCACTCCAGACCCTGTTTGCTGGGTATCACCAGCAGAGGCTGCAGAACAGCAAATATTGCATAACAGCAAATATTGCTGCTTGATCCTTCCTCTGAAAGTTTCATCCCAGAGGGGCACTCACCTGTATGAGGTGTTTGTCAGCCCCTACTGGGAAGTGTCTCCCAGTTCAGCTACACGGGAGTCAGGGACCCACTTGAGGATGCAGTCTGTTCATTCTCAGAGCTCAAACGCCGTGCTGGGAGAACCACTGCTCTCTTCAGTGCTGTCAGACAGGGATGTTAAATTCTGCAGAAGTTATCTGCTGCCTTTTGTTCAGCTATGTCTTGCCCACAGAGGTGGAGTCTATAGAGGCAGTAGGCCTTTCTGAGGTGCAGTGGGCTCCACCCAGTTTGATCTTCCCAGCTGCTTTGTTTACCTACTCAAGCCTCAGCAATGGTGGACGCCCCTCCCCCAGCCAAGCTGTTGCCTTACAGTTTGATCAATTGCTGCACTAGCAGTAAGCAAGTCTCTGTGGGGGTATGACCCACCAAGCCAGGCACGGGAGAGAATTTCCTTGTCTGCCGGTTGCTATGATGTTGGAAAATTGCAGTATTTGGGCAGGAGTGTCCCGTTTTTACAGGTACAGTCTGTCACAGCTTCCCTTGGCTAGGAAAGGGAAATCCCCTGACCCCTTGCCCTTCCTGGGTGAGGCAACTCCCCACCCTGCTTCAGCTCACCCTCCATGGGCTGCACCTGCTGTCCAACCAGTCCCAATGAGATGAACCAGGTACCTCAGTTGGAAATGCAGAAATCACCCATCTTCTGCGTCTATAACACTGGGAGCTGCAGACTGGAGCTGTTCCTATTTGGCCATCTTGGAACGGAACCATTAGACCCTTTTTCAGAGACAAGGTGTTGCCAGTTTGAAGCTTTCTCTCACCACCACCAAGACTTTACTTCTTGGTTGTCTCACTCCTGGTTTTCTTTGTTAAATTTCTAGCTGGTCTATCGTTTTTCTTGTTGTTATTAATATATTGGAACTACTAGTATCCTCTCAATTTCTCACCTGTGTATTTTCACTGTTTTTAGCAATGCGCTTAGGACATAAACTTCACTAAGCTGAATAAATTCAGAACTCTTAAATGGGGCCATGAAACTCCATGTTCTTAATTCCTGCTTTTTCCATTGGGAGAATCTTTGTGTCATGATTCCCCTGCTAACAAGACTCTACAATCTGGGTAAAAGAGACTCTACAGTCTGGCTCACTCTCCTCGTCTTGGTTTGCTTCTTTAGTGAGGAAACTCTGTCTTACAAGCAACTTGAAGTGGAGATGGTTAGAGCCCATACTGTCATTCTTCTTGGTATATAGTTCCTGCCCTATGAATGGAAGTTGGGTAGATGAAGGGAACCCCAGTCTTTTGCCTGCTCATGTCTGTAATAGAGATTCCACATCTCAGAGCTGAGAGAGGACTGAGAAGTACTAGCTGTCATTCTTTACAGGGTACACCATAGCTCTTTATTGTGAGCTCAAAAAAGAGGAAACTCTGTCTTCTTGGCTGCACCCACCTAAGATAAAGCTTCCATCACACTGGGCTGCAAAGGAATATGTGGGGGTTAGTACATAGGAATGTGTTGTAGCTCAAGTACCCCTGACTCACATTCTTCTGAGATTTAGTTTATTTTCATGAATACAAGTTTCTTCATTTGCCATATTTCCTTTAAAAAATTCTGGAGAGTTTATATTTATTATTTTTACCAATTGAGTAGATATTCCTCTGGGGAGACATTTTGCTAAGCTCCTTACTCCTCCATTCTACAAGTCCTTAGCCTTTAGGATTTTCTATGGATACAATCATGCCATTTATGGATAAAGATGATGTTACTTTCTTTATTTCTAATTCTGTGGGTTTTTAATTTTTTTCTGAATGACACTGACCAGGACATATAAACAATGTCAAATATACTTCTGTGAGTGATCAATATCTTTCTTTGGTCCTGATCTTAGGGGAAAGGCTCAGTCTTTCATACTCAAGGGTGTTGTTACCTGTAGGCTTTTATACATATATTTCCTCAGATTGAGAAATTTCTTTCTTCTCCTAGTATGCTGAAAGTTTTTTCACTTAAATGAATATTTAGTTCAATGCTTTTTTTCTGTCTGTTGATATTATCATAAATCTTTCTCTTTATTTTCTTAATAATATGATGGATTTTATCTGTTGATATTTTTGATGTCCAATCAACTTTTCATGTGAGAGGAATTCCCACCTATTGAAAGTTAGTATCTTTCTATATGCTGTTGGATCTAAGTGAAATTTATCATTAAGGATTTTTACATCTATTTTTCATGAAGGATACTTAGCTGTAGTTTTCTTATTCTGTATTGTTTTGTTGATTATGTTGACGCTTCAGATGATTTATTATATATTCAGTTTCTGATATCAATTTATGCTTGGCCCTCCATATCCGTGGGTTCCACATCCATGGGTTCAACCAAACTTTATTTAAAACATTTAAAAAGTTGCACTGAACATGTAAAGACTTTTTTGTCATTATTTCCTAACAGTACAGTATAACAACTATTTGCATAGCTTTTACATTTTATTAGCTATTATAAGTAATCTAAAGATGATTTAAGATATACAGGAGGATATACACAGGTCTTGTGCAATTACTTGATTTTTATACCATACACTTGAATATCTGAAGATTTTGGCATCCACAAGAGGTCTTAGAACAAATCCCCCATGACATTGAGGAATGATAGTCAATTTTGGTATGAGTCAAGATAGGTTAATATATCCTTAATAAAATTAAACTCAAATATAGTGTGCTAAAAGAATAAAAGAAGATTTGCTTACCTTTTCTTTTGTGCAGGGTCGTACAGTGGTTTTGATCACAAGAGTGATCGCAAGAGTATCAAGAGGTAACTACACCTATATACCTGTACAATTAGGGAGCTTTGCCCATCTTCTGAAGGCTTTCTCTGACATTTTTGTTTTTCTTTTCTTCTTCTTTCTATTTTTTGTAATAGCTTAAGAAAACAATTGGATGAGGTTGGGTCAAAATGGCAGACTAGAAGCAACTCATGTATGCCACTTTCATAGAGACAAAACAAAATGGCCAGTGAGCACTGACTCTGCAAGCCAATTATTTAAGCAATCATGTCAAATTCATCAAGGCAGTAAGAGCACACAAATAGCATAGGAGCAAAGCTGGGCAGCAGCTCATCTGGGAAAAAAGTGAAGGCAGAAGATGCTCCCTAACACAGGGAAAGGGTGAGTTCATGAGAGCCCCTTCGAGGATTCACACTCTCCATAGAGACCTGGACAAGTGAGAGAATGGGAGAATGCCCCTGACATCCCCCACCCACACCTCTGAACTAAGGCATGTTTACATACCAATCATGTTCTAGCTGAGCACCAAATTAAGAACACAATATTATTTATAATAGCCACAAAGAAAATGAAATACCTGGAAATCAATCTACACAAGGAAGGGAATATTTCTACAAGGAAATCTACAAAGCACTGCTGAAAAAAATTAGAGATGACAAAACAAATGGAAAAATATTCTATGCTCATGGATTGAAAGAATCAATATGGATAAAATGGTTATACTTCCAAAAGCAATTATAGATTCAACATTATTCCTATCAAAATATCAATGTCATGTTTTACAGAATTACAAACATATATTTTAAAATTTATTTGGAACCAAAACTGAGCCCACGCAGCAAAAGTATTCTAAGCAAAAAGTACAAAATCAGAGGCTTCACACTGTCTGACTTTAAACTATACTCTAAGGCTACAGTAATCAAAACAGCATGGTACTTGTATAAAAACAGACACATAGCTCAGTGCAACAGAAGAGAGAAACCAGAAATAAATCTGCTCATCTACAACCCTATGATATTCAGCAAAATCAACAAAAATATGCAATGGATCAGGGAAAGAACTCTGTATTCAATAAATGGTGTTGGGATAACTAGCTATCCATATGTAGAATAATGAATCTAGACCTCTCACCATATTTGTAAATTAACTAAAGGTGAATAATAGATTTAAAAGTAAGGCCTCAAACTCTAAAAATCCTAGAAGAAAACCTAGAAATACCCTTCTGAACAAAGACCGTGGCCAAGAATTTATGGCTAAGTCTCCAAAATTAATTGCAACAAAAACAAAAATTATCAAGTGAGACATAATTAATTTAAAGAGCTTCTGCACAGCAAAATAAATTACCAACAGAGTTATCAATCTACAGAATGGGAGAAAATGCTTGCATACTATGCATCTCATCTGACTAAGGTCTAATATCCCGAATCTACAAGTAATTTGAACAAATCAACAAGCAAAAAACCAACAATTTGATTAAAAAATGGGCAAAGGACATGAAGAGGCACTTTTCAAAAGAAGACATACAAGTGGGCACAAACATATGAAAAAATGCTCAACATCATTAATTATCAGAGAAATGCAAATCAAAACCACAATAAGATACCATCTCACACCAGTAAGAATGGCTATTATTCAAAAGACAAAAAACGACAGATGTTGGTGAAACTGAGGAGAAAAGGGAATAGTTATATTCTGTTGGAGGAAATGTAAACTAGTTTAGCCCCTGTGGAACACAGTTTGGAGATTTCTCAAATAACTTAAAATAGAACTAAAGTTGAGATGGACTCATTTAAATAAATTAATCCAAAGACATTTCAACTAATACTCCTACTACTGAGTATATACTGAGTATAAACCCAAAGGAAAATAATTCATTCAATTATAAAGACACATGCACCTGTATGTTCATTACAGTTCTATTCACAACCACAAGGACATGAAATCAATGTAAATGCCTGTCAACAGTGGATTGGATAAAGAAAATATCATACATATACACCATGGAATACTATGCAGGCATCAAAAAATGAAATCATGCCTTTAGCAGCAATGTGGGTGGAACTGGAGGCCATTATCTTAAGTGACCTTACACAGGAACAGAATACCAAATACTGCATGTTGGCTCTCACTTATGAGTGGGAGACAAACATTAAGTACACATGAGTGTAAAGAGGGGAACGATAGACACTGGGGATCACTAGACAGGGGAGGCAGGGAGTGGGGCACGGGCTGAGTAACCACCAGATGCGCACTATGCTTATGTCATGGGTGATGGGATTGTTGGGATCCCAAGCCTCAGTGTCACACAATTTACCCATGTAACAAACCTGCATGACATGTACCCTTTAATATATAATAAAAGTTGAAATTTAAAAAAGAATAAAAGCTGATTTTCATTCATGCACAATTCATTGCATAAGTTCTCCTGGCGTCTTCACCTGGTAGTGGCTAAATTGTCCTGGCCCTTTCCATTTGAAACTCTTCAAAGTCCTTCAATGGATCCTATACATGTCTGGGTGCTAAGAGAAGAGGGAAAGAAAAAATAATTATGGGAAATGCCAAGAACATGTATAAATTTCTTCTCATGTTCTATTAGTATTACTAGTCATTTTGGAAAAATATCTAAATTTAAATAAACATATTTGTTGCAAGAAATCTAGACAACTTGACAGACACACATTACAGCTGAACTGGCATATATATCATTCGTAATATCTATGCCAAGTAGATATTTAAATGCAGTCTAGAGATATTTTGGTCAGTCCAATAAATTAAAGCCTCTCAAGAACATGACTGCAGCAGATCAAAAGGTTAAGCAGGGATCCATGTGGTATGTTGGTATGCTTTAAAGTTGAGATAGACTCATTTAAAGAAATTCATCAAAGACATTTCCACAAGAGGCATACCTCTGTAAGACTGTAAATAATAACATTATTCTTAATATATAAATGATGATTTCATATTTATTTAACACACAGTATTCTGTGTTAGGTTGAAGAAGGCTTTTTGAAAAAGAATCAAAGCAATACTTCAATTTTTGGATAGTTGAGCATGTTTCAGGGTCATGTCAATCTGTGCAGATTTCTATAACAAAATAGACATACAGTGCGGAATAAATTACAAAAAATGACAAAACATCATCATTTATAAATTCTATAAAATAAAATTATATGAAAATTAATACAACTCACATTAAAAATAGATCAGGTCAGGTGCAGTGGCCCAGGCCAGACCCTGTGTCAAGCAAACAAACAAACAGAAAAGAAGATCAAAATGTTTTTTAGTTTTTAATTGTTTCTTTAATATTTTATTTTTTCTGAGTACATAGTAAGTGTATGTATTTATGGAGTACATGAGATGTTTTAATACAGGTATGTAATGCAAAATAAGTACATCATGGAAATGAGGTACCCATTCCTTCAAGCATTTATCTGTTAAGTTACAAACAATCCAATTACACCTCCTAAGTTATTCTAAAATGCACAATCAAGTTATTATTGACTCTAACCACCCTACTGCACTACCAAATTGCAGGCCTTACTCATTCTTCCTAATTTGTCTTTTGTACCCATTCACCATCCCTACCAAAATCCCAGGCCCACACTAACTTTTCCATTCTCTGGTAACCATTCTACTCTCTGTGTCCATGAGTTCAATTGTTTTGATTGTTAGATCCCAGAAATAAGTGAGAAGATACAAATGTTTGTCTTTCTGTAATAAACATAATGATCTCCAGTTCTAACCATGTTGCTACAAATGATTGGATCTCATTATTTTTATGGCTGAATAGTACATTATGTATATGTACCACATTTTCTTCATTCATCTGTTGATGGCAAATCTTAGCTATTGCAAACAGGGCAGCAACAAACATAGGAGTGTAGATATCTCTTCAATATACTGATTTCCTTTCATTTGGGTATATATCCAGTAGTACAATTGATGGATCATGTTGTAGCTCAACTTTAAGTGTTTGACGAACCTCCAAATTGTTCTCCATAGTGGTTTTACTAATTTAAGTTTCAACCAACAGTGTACAAGAGTTCCCTTTACTCCACCTCCTCAGCAGCATTTGTTATTGCCTGTCTTTATATAAAAGTCATTTTAACTGGGGTGAGATGATATCTCATTATAATTTTAATTTGCATTTCTCTGATGATCAGTGATGTTGAGCACCTTTTCATATGCCTGGTTGTTATTTGTACGTCTTCTTTTGAGAAATATCTATTTAAATACTTTGCCTATTTTTGGTTCAGATTATTAAACGTGTTCCTATAGAGTTGTTTGAGCTCCTTATATATTCTGGTTACTAATCCCTTGTCAGATGGGTAGTTTGCAGATATTTTCTCCTATTCTGTGATTTGTCTGTTCATTTGTTGATTGTGTCCTTTGCTGTGTAGAAGTGTTTTAACTTGATGTGGTCCCGTTTGTGCGAACAAGCACCAAAGCGAACAAGCTTTGGTTGCCTGTGCTTGTGGGGTATCACTCAATAAATTTTTGCTCAGACAAATATCCTGGAGTTTTTCCCCAGTGGTTTTTGTAGTAGTTTAATAGCTTGAGGTCTTAGATTTGCCTTTAATCCAATTCAATTTGATTTTTATATATGGTGAGTGATAGGGGTCTAGTTTCATTTTTCTGCATATGGATATCCAGTTTTCTCAGCACCATTTCTTCAAGAGATGGTGCTTTCCCCAATGTATGTTCTTGCCATCTTTGTAAAAAAAGAATTCACTGTATGTGTGCACATTTGTTTCTGTTTTTTTTTTCTATGTTTCATTAGCCTATGTGTCTGTTTTTATGCCAGTACCATACTGTTTTAGTTACTATAGCTCTGTTGTATAAAGTCAAGTAATGTGACTCCTCTAGTTTTGTTATTTTCATTTAGGGTAGCTTTGGCTATTCTGAGTTTTTTTGTGGTTCCGGATATATTTTAGGATTTTTTTTCTATTTCTATGCAGAATATCATTGGTATTGTGATAGAGGTTGCACTGAGTCAGTAGATTGCTTTGGGTAGTATGGACATTTTAACAATATTGATTCTTCTAATTCATGAACATGGATTATTTTTCCATGTTTTGGTGTCCTTTTAAATTGCTTTCATCAGTATTTTATAGTTTTCATTATATCATTTCTCTGGTTAAGTTAATTCTGAGGTATTGAATTTCATGTGTGGCTTTCATAAATGGGATTACTTTTTAAATTTATTTTTCAAATTATTCACTGTTGGCATAAAAAAATGCTGCTGATTTTTGTATGTTGATATTGCATCCTGCAACTTTACTGAATTTGTTTATCGGTTCTAATAGATTTCCTGTGGAGTCTTTAGGTTTTTACAAATGTAATCTCATATCATCTGCAAATAAGGATACTTTGACTTCTTCCTTTTCAAACTGTATGCCCTTTATATCTTTTTCTTTTCTGATGCTTTTATCTAGGACTTCCAGTATTATGGTGAAGAACAGTGGTGACAGTGGGCATCCTTGTTGTGTTCTAGATCTTAGAGAAAAGGCTTTCAGGTTTTTCCCCATTCAGTATGATACTAGCTGTGGCTTTATCATCATATATGGCTTTTATTATGTTAAAGTATGTTCCTCCTATCCCTAGGTTTTGAGAATTTTTATCATGAAGGGATGTTGAATGTTATCAAATGCATTTCACCTCAATTGAAATGAATATATAGTTTTTATCCTTAATTTTGTTTATATGATCTATCACATTGATTGATTTGTGCATGTTGAACCATTTTTGCATCCCAAGGGTAAATCCCACTTGGTCATGATGGATGATCTTTCTAATGTATTGTTGAATTCTATTTTCTAGTATTTCACTGAGGATTTTTACATGAATATTCATTAGAGATATTAGCCTGTAGTTTTCTCTCTTTCTTGTTGTGTTTTTGTATCAGGATAATATTGGCCGTGTAGAATGACTTTGGAAGTATTTCCTCCTCCTCTATTTTTCAGAATAGTTTGAGGAGAATTGGTGTTAATTCTTCTTTAAATGTTTGGCAAAATTCAGCAGTGAAACCATCAGGTGCTGCGCTTTTATTTAGTGGGAGACTTTTTATTATGGCTTTGATCTCATTACTTGTTATTAGTCTGTTCCGGTTTTGGATTTCGTTGTGGTTCAATCTTGGTAGGTAGGTTGTATATATCTAGGAATTTGTCCATTTCTTTTCTAGACTTTTGAACTTATTGGCCTTTAATAGTTCATACTAGCCACTAATGATTCTTTTAATTTCTGCAGTATCAGTTATAATGTCTCCTTTTTCATTTCTGATTATAATTATTAGAATCTTCCCTTAATTAGTCTGGCTAATGTTTGTCAATTTTGCTTAACTTTTCAAAACACCAACTTTTTGTTTTGTTGATCTTTTATATATTTTTAAATTCAATTTTATTTATTTATTTTCTGAGCTTTGTTATCTCTTTTCTTCCTCTAATTTTGGGTTTGGTTTGCTCTTGCTTTTCTAGTTCTTTAAGATGCATCATTAGATTGTCTACTTGAAGTATTTTCTCTTTTTTTGATGTAGGCACTTACAGCTATAAGCTTTCTTCTTAGTACTGCTTTCGCTGTATCCCTTAGGTTTTGGTACATTGTGTTTCCGTTATCATTTGTTTCAAAAAATTTTCAATTTCCTTATTAATTTCTTCATTTACCCACTGGCCATTCAGAAGCATATTGTTTAAGTTCCATGTATTTGTATAGTTCCTAAAATTCCCCTTGTATTAATTTCTAGTTTTATTCCATTGTGGTTGGAGAACATGCTTGATATTACTTCAATTTTTTGAATGTTTTAACACTTGTTTTGTGACCTAACATAAGGTCTGTTCTTGAGAATGATCTGTGGGCTGAGGAAAAGAAAGTGTATTCTGCAGCTTGTGGATGAAATTTTCTATAAATATCTACTATATCCATTTGATCTATAATGCAAATTAAGTCTGATGTTTCTTTGTTGATTTTTTGTCTGGGATATCTGTCCAGTGATGAAAGGAGGTATGGAAGTTTCCATCTAATATTGTATTGGGGCATATCTCTCTCTTTAGCTCTAATAATATTTCCTCTATATATCTAGGTCCTCCAATGGTGGGTACATATATATTTACGACTATTATGTCCTCTTGCTGAATTGGTCTCTTTATCATTATATAGTGACCTTCTTTGTCTCTTCTTTTAGTTATTGTCTTGAAACCTATTTTTTTATATAGTTATAATGACTTTTTTTTCTATTTTCATTGGCATGGAATATCTTTTTCCATCCTTTTCTTTTCAGTCTATGTGTGTCTTTATAGGTGAGGTGGGTTTCTTATAGGCAATAGATCAATGGATCTTGTTTTTTCAACCATTCAGCCAGCCTATGAGTTTAGTGCATTTGCATTTAGTGTTTTTACTGATAAATAAGGGCTTAATTCTGCCATTTTGTTATTTGTTATATGGTTGTTTTCCGTTTTTCTCTTCCTTCTTTCTTTCCTTCCCAGCTTCCTCTGGTTAAGATGATTTTATCTAATGATATGATTTATTCTGTTGCTTTTTGTTTTTTGTGGGTCTATTGTATGTTTTTTTGCTTTGAAGTTACCATGAGACTTGCAAATACTATCGTATAACCGATTATTTTAATCTGATAACAACAATATTTGCATAAACTAACAAGCAAAAAGCAAACTAATAAAAACTCTACACCTTAAATTAATCCCCTTGATTTTTAACTTTCTGTTGTTTCTATTTATATCTTATTGTACTGACTATGTCTTGAAAAGTAGTTGTAGTTATTATTTTTGAATGGTTTACTGTTTAGGTAAAAGTTGTTGTAGTTATTATTTTGATTGGTTTACTCTTTCTACTTATGATAAGAGTAGTTTACACACCACAGTTACAGTGTTACAATATTCTGTGCTTTCTTGTGTACTTACTACTACCAGTGAGTTTTGTACCTTCAAGTTATTATTTATTGCCCATTAATATGCTTTTGTTTCTGATTGAAGTCCTCTCTTTAGCATTTCTTGTAGGACAGTCTTGGCATTGATGAAATCCTTCAGCTTTTGTTTACTGGAGACATCCTTATTTCTCCTAATGTGTGAAGGATATTGTCTCTGGATACACTATTCTAGGGTAAAAGTTATTTTTCTTTAGTACTTTAAATATGTCGTGCCACTCTCTCCTGGCCTGTAAGGTTTCCACTGAAAAGTCTGCTGCCAAATGTATGGTAGTTCCAATATATGTCATTTGTTTTGTTTTCTCTCTTGCTACTTTTAGGATCTTTTCTTCATCCTGGACCTTTGGGAGGTTGATCATTAAATGCCTAGAGGTAGTCTTCTTTGAGTTAAATATGCTTGGTGTTTTCTAATTTTCTTGAACTTAGATATTAATTTCTTTCTCTAAGTTTGGGATGTTCTCTGTTGTTATCATTTTGAATAAACTTTCTACCCCTATCTCTTTCTCTACCTCCTCGTTAAGGCCAATAACTCTTAGATTTTCCTTTTTGATGTTATTGGTTAGATCCTGTAGGTGTGCTCCATTTTTTTATTCTTTTTTCTTTTTTTCTCCTCTGACTGTGTATTTTCAAATAACCTGTCTTCAAGCTCACTAATTCTTTCTTCTGTTTGATCCATACTGTGTTGAGGAAACTCAAAGAAATTCAAGATAACACATAAAAGGAATTCAAAATTCTGCCACTGAAATTTAATAAAAAGATTGAAAGAATTAAAAAGAAACAAGTAGAAATTCTGGAGCTGAAAAATGCAATTGGCATACTGAAAAATGCATCAGAGCCCTTAATAGCAGAATGGATTGAGCAGAAGAAAGAATTAGTGAGCTTGGAGACAGATTACTTGAAAATACACAGTCAAAAGAGACAAAAGAAAAACAAAAAAACATAGCACACCTGCAGGATCTAGCAAATAACCTGTCACTCAAACACATAAACTAAACACACAACTTCCCACTCTTCCCTCCCCTTTTCACAGGCAGAGGAGCCTCACCCTATAGCCTCCTGCCAGGCTACCTCTGATCTTCCATTAAGGCCCAAGGTCTCTTAAGTCAGCTTGTCATGAAAGCTGCCTGGCCTGGGACTCACCCTTCAGGGCAATAAACTCCCCCTCTGGCACAGGGCAGGTCCAGAAATGCCATCCAAGATTCAAGTCCTGGAATTGGGGACCCCAAGAACCCACTTGGTACTCTACCCCCTTGTGGCTGTGCTGGTACTTAAGGTGCAACACAAAGCCCCTTTGACTTTTCCCCACTTTTCTCAAGCAAAAGGAGTTTTGACCCATGACCACAACAGCTGATGGTGCGCTGAGTCTCACCTGAAGCCAGAGAGTTCCAGAGGCTCAATCAGGGCCCTCAGGTAGTAACTGGGTATTACTGCTGGTTATTCCTGCCCCAAAAGCTCTTCAGTTAGCAGTTAATGAATGCTGTCAGGACTGGGTCCTTTCCTTTAAGGCAGTGGGTTCCTTTCTGGACCAGGGTGTGTCTAGAAATATCATCTGGGAGCTAGGGCCTGGAACAGGCATCTGATGACTCCGACATGTGCCCTATTCTGCCGTGGCTGAACTGGTATCCTAGACACAAGACAAAGTCTTCCCCCACTCTTCCCTCTCCTCAAGCAGAAGGAAAGAGTCTCTTTTGGATCCTTGAGCTGTGCAGCCTGGTATTAGGGGAAGGGTGATGCCAGCACTTTCTTGGTTGCCCCAGCTGTATGTTCAGTGCCCCCTCAATCCACTACCCTTGGGCCTAGTTCAGCACTAGGACTTTCCTAAGAGTTACAGTCCTTATGGCCTAGACTGCTTTTCAAGTTTGCTTGGAGATGCAGAGTGCTGTGCCCATCGGTGGTGAGGTTTGCAAGCACTCTAACAACTGGGATTGGCAATTCCCTTCTGGCTAGGGATCGTTTAAATGCTCCCTCCATGGGTGGACATGAGCTGAGTTTAGCCTGGTTTTCTATTCTGATTTAACAGAACAGCGCTGAGTTCAGTGCCTCACAATTGCTGTGCTCTTCCTCCTGCAGTACTCAGAGAAACTCTCTGTACTAGGCAGTTGCAGCTGGGGATAGGGGAGTGGTGGTATCTGAGATTCAGGACTCTTTTCCTTATCTCTTCAGTGCCTCTCTCAGAGGCATAAAATTAAAGCCAGGTACTGTGAGTGCTCACCTAATTTTTTGTTCTTTTGAAAGTGTTTTTCTGTATAGATAGTTATTAACTTCATGTCCTTGCCAGCGGGACAATTGGTGGAGCTTTCTATTTCTCTATCTTGCTCCACACTCAACTTTGAAGATCAAAATGTCTCACCTCCCCTCAAATCAAACAAACAAACAAAAACAGAAAGCCCCAATGAAACAAAACAAAAAACTCGAAAAGGTAAAGATTTTTTACCAGGAAATAAAAATATATTTTACACAGTACAGCTTATTTCAGTTACTTCTTACCTACAGACTATTTTTATAATGTTTCAAATAAGGTTATAATTATACTTTATAGGGATTCAAATTATTTCTCATTAGTTACCTACATTGTTCAAGCACACATTATGCATTCTATTAAAATTATATACAAAATCACAGATAAGTGATAGATCTTAGTACGTTTATACGTGAATAAAAGATGGAAATGCGTTATTAAAATTGAAGGAAGCATCATAAATTCTCAAAGTAATATTAAAAGTCTTTTTTGATTGAAAATTTACAGTGCAAAATTAAAATTCTGTTTCCTCACACGTATTAATATGCAATATAATAAAATAATATAAATGATATAGAAACTCTGGAGAAAAGAGTTCAATGGAGAGAGAGTGTAACTATCATGTTTGAAAGCAAATCAGTATGGCCAAACTTGACTGGTGCCAACACTTCCAGCTACATGATATATATTTAACCAACTGTGTTTTTTAATTAGTTGTTATTTGAGCTTTCAAAGAATCTGCCAGTGCATAGTAAACACTATATCTATGTTTGTTAAATTTAAAAACCAGGGAAGAGTTAGGGAGTAAGAAAGAGATTGGGAATCAGGTTTTAAATCAGGTTTACTATTAATTTACAACACAGTAAAAAGGTAAGCAGCAGGTGGAAGAAGTGTGTGTGTGCGTTTTTTTTTTGTTGTTGTTGTTGTTGTCATTGTGTTTTTTTTTCCACCGTATATTCACTTCAGTCCTTGAATCTGGAGGCTTTACCATCCCTGGGTTTCTGGATCTCAGAAGAATCCTTTGATTTTGCTAGAAGATAAGAGAAGGAAGTTAGAAAGGAGGAGGAAACAAAATAATTTTAAAAGCCTCACCAGGAAGTTTATTGATTATTTTCACCCACATCCCACTTATCCCAAACCCCTCTACTTAGAAAAAAAGAATCAAAACACTTTGGCAACTAAAATTCCAAAAAATACTCAAAATAGAGAAAAACTCTTCTTTTTAAAACAAAACAACAATTTCGAAACATGAATCAAATAACCTCAAACAAGCATTCATACTTAAATCAAAAGCCTAAACAAATCTCACGTGAAAAATTCACCACAAATTTAACAAAAGCAGGAAGATATGAAACGATAGTTGACTGAACTTAGAGAACTGAATGGATGAAAAAGACAAAATCATTTAAAATTGAATACTAAATTTCAATATGACCAAATGATAATAGACTTTATTGAAAAATTAATTAGAAGAATTGAGAAAATTAATAAAAATAGCTAACAGAGTAGAAATTTTAAAAAACTTGGGAGGTAAAAAGACTCAGAGAAAATTGTAGATGTAGTGACAACATAAGAATATTCAACATGTGTATCTTGGAGTTTGTGAAGAAGTAAAACAAGAGTTTAAAGATTTCAATTTTCTAGGTAAGATATAAGAAAAATTTTCAGAAACAATAGAAGATCTGAATCTAGCTTTTTATAACAACCCTTCTTGTACCTGGGAAATTTGACCTGAGATAGTCTACTTCAAGATATAGAAGTAAAACCTTTGGGACTTAAAGGTAAAACTTTAATCCTGTGGGTTTCAAAGCACAAAGTTTTAGAAACTTTAATGGTAAAGTAAATTAGGATGGCATCAGAACTTTGAAAGCAACATATAAGACTGGACAAACTGGAGATGCATTTTCAAGAAACTCAAGGAGACAAAATGTAAGTCAACAATTTACTAGCCATGTAAGATATCCTCAATCAGCAAATCCTCAGAAGATTAGTTTTTTCACAAGCAAGAGCACAAGAATTATTATATTCTCCAACTCATACAGAGGAATCTTGCAGAAGATGAAGTTTATTCAATTGGGAAATGAATGGAAAATCATAGTAAAAGAATTAATCTAGTAGGATCTTTGAATTTATATTTATACTTGGCCTTCTTGACTAAAGACTACATTTCTTAATGTCCTTCATGCATAGTTGTAGCTCAGTGACTATTAGGGCTCTCTGGAGGGACAGAACTAATAGGATAGATGTATATATAAAAAGGAATTTATTGAGAAGTATTGTCTCACACAATCACAAGGTGAGGTCTTACAATAGGCCGTCTGCAAGTTGAGGAGCAAGGAAGCCAGTCCGAGTCCCAAAACTGAAGAACTTGGAGACTGATGTTGGAGGGCAGAAACCATCCATCATGGGAGAAAGATGTAGGCTGGAAGACTACACCAGTCTACTCTTTTCATTTTCTTCTGCCTGCTTTTATTCTGGCCTTGCTGGCAGTTGACTAAATTGTGCCCACCCAGATTGAGGGTGAGTCTGCCTTTCCTAGTCCACTGATGCAAATGTTAATCACCTTTGGCAAACACCCTCACAGACACACCCAGGAACAATACATTGGATGCTTCAATACAATCAAGTTGACACTCAATATTAACCATCACAGTAACTAACTTCGAGTGTGTGGTATATAAACAGAGGTGGTGTGTGCCAATTCTATAATGTTATCTATAAAGTGATGGGTTGTGCCCTAGTCTTGTTTATGATTTTCCCATTGTCTGGAATGCCAATGTAATAATAGCTAGAACTGAAGGATCATTTTGGAATTGGTGGATGAATAGGATATGAATATAGAGAACCAAGTCAGAAAAAGCCTATGTACCTGACAGTACAGAACTTTACATGCAGACTCTAGAGTGCCTACATGAATGTGAGAGTTAAATACATTTCCAGCTTTTTAAAGGAGATTTTGTTATTTTGAGATCTTGATACTGAAAGTCAAGTCTAATCCTAGTTAATACAGAGCCAGTCAATGCATGCTTGGCAGGTTATTTATACCATGTTTAAGATTGTTGTAAGTGTAAGAACTTGTATGGTTTTGGTGAAAGAGGGAGGACATTTAATAAGTCGGGGAACAGTCAACGTGGATCAGAACAATTTTAGCCAAATTTACTTTCTTGTTTTAGGGGTACCTGTGGTCCCAAATATTGATCTTATTTGCCAAACTGAACAGGCCACAGGTTTGGCTAGGTTACTAAAACTGACTGCTTGTATCTTGCATGGAGCTTGATCAATAAAGAAATATTGTGCAGGCAAATACTTATAATAGTAATCTATTTTTTATTGGGAGTTTTAACATTAAATTTAAAAATAAATTTTATAAGATTCTATACAATATGTTTGCAATGTGAAAAAGTAAAAATCTAAAGAATTCTTTCATTTTTAATCTTTTTTTTTTTTTTTTTTTTTTTTTTTTAGATGGAGTCTCGCTTTGTCACCCAGGCTAGAGTGCAGCAGAAAAAATCTCTGCTCACTGCAACCTCTGCCTCCCAGGTTCAAGCAATTCTTGTGCCTCAGCCTCCTAAGTAGCTGGGACTATAGGCATATGCCACCATGCCTTGCTAATTTTTGTATAAAAATACAAAATTTATTTTGTATTTTGTAGAGATGGGGTTTTGCCATGTTGGCTAGGCTGGTCTTCAACTCCTGACCTCAGGTGATCGGCCCGCCTTGGCCTCCCAAAGTGCTGGGATTACAGGCATGAGCCACCACGCTCAGCCTAAAATAGTTATTCTTTAAATAGGTAGTTTCATATGAACAGTGTATTACTCTGCCCTCATGCTGCTGTGAAAAAATACCTGAGACCGGGTAATTTCTAAAGATATTTAATTGACTCAGTTTTGCATGGCTGGGGAGGCGGCCTCAGGAAACTTACAATTAGGGCGGAAGGTATCTCTTCAGAGGGTGGCAGGAGAGAGAATGAGTGCAGAGCAAAGCGGGAAAGTCCCTTATGAAACCATCAGATATTGTGAGAACTCACTCACTATCACAAGAACAACATAGGTGAATCACCCCCATGATCAAATCACCCCCACAAGATTTCCCCCCCAGCACACGGGGATTGCAATTCGGATTACAATTCAAGATAAGATTTCACTGAGGACACAGAGCCAGACCATATCAACCAGTAATCACATTTTAACTTTTTCATTATTTCTTGATTTAATTCAATTTGTTGTTTACAATTTTCTGAGCTGTTCTGTTTGTAACACAGAAAAGATAGATCGCTTGGTGGTTTTAGGATTTTTTAAAAATTTAGCAACTTAAAATCTTTGAAATGGCGACAAGAAATAAAGTTTACCTGTTAGTAAAACAAACAAAAAATATAGAATAAAATACCCTGGGTTTCTCTGCAGGGGGGAGACTTTTTTTTTATTTTGGACAATAGATACATTTTATTTTCCCCCTTTGGTATTGAAAGGAGCTTCCTATGCCATAATATTGCAATGCTTTCTAAATTGGGGTTGACAACAAAATAATACAAAAATTCTCAACAAAATCTTGCATTTTTACTTATTTCATCTCCTTTTCCATAATTTCAAAATCATCACTGCTTTTTCAAGAACATTTGTCATGAAATGGAGGCTAACTGGACTATTATTCCATAAAACCTATATATGTACTGGCTTTCTAGATCTTTGGTTTTGATTTATTTGATTATATTATAAAGAGTTTTGTTTTTGAACAACAAAAGAATCACACATCATTTGAAAACAAAGATATTTATAACTTTGTTTAATTTTCAGGTATTTTTAAGACATCAATGAGACAAAGCTTTTAACTAAGAGTCTTGCAATGACTGTTTCTGACATGGTTTAAAAACTCTGTATTCTTTAGCCAAGTCATGATTTTGGCAAAAGAATCTGAATGTAGATGTAACACCGATAGAAGAATCATTTCTGGAGCAATGAGTTAGGAATAAGGAATTCTGGTCAATTTATTTGCAAGAATAACTGCACAGTCTTGGAAACAATGAGAAATGAATAGGTTTCTACATATGGCATTATTTAAATGTTGTTTGAAAATCCTTTCCTTGCTGACATAATCAGGGTCAGTAATGCATATTTTCCTAAAGATAATTTAATCTACACAAGCAAAATGAAGCAAAGTTATATGAATTTAACTTAGCTTTGGAAAAATCTTGTCTTTATCATTATAGGCCATTCCTATGACAACTGTCATATGGTGATTTGGGAACTTTGATATAATTTATACTCCTAATGTGAATTTAAAGTATTACTAAAAATGTTAAAAATTAATTACATGTGAAATATATTATGTGTATTTACATGTCAAAGATCTCCTTGAGCATTCTAGTTTTCAATTCATATCCAAAGTAGTCTTCAAGTTGAATTAACATTGGAAAAAAAAGACTTTTTTGCCAAACTTATATTCTTTTTAATTCATTTTCAGATACTTGACCTTGACTTTTCACACAATAAAATTATTGTGGGAGATAATGTGTGTTTAAAATATATGTTTCACCCAAATAAATAAACACTATGTATACTTCAGTCAAACATGTAGAATATTAAACTTGTGGAATTAAGTGCATTTTTTTTGTAGAGATGTTCATAGATTTTTAATCATATTCTCAAAAACTCTGGAATCTTAAAAAAATTCATGTATCAAAATTTAAGTGCTTTCGTGAGAAGTTTACTTTCTTACTGTTTCCTCTTACTGTGTATTACTGAGCTTATGAGAGGGGATTTCAGAAATCTAAACAAGACTTCAAAAATAAAATAGAATGTATATTCTTCTTTTAAAACACTTAACCCAGAAAAATGACACTGTTTATGGGACTGAAGCATTTCTGCATATTGAGAATGAATTATTTACACTATACATCGATACGAAAAAAATCACAAGAATTTTTCTTCCTCATATTTTCATAGCAGCTGGAGCACACATTTACTCATTACAGAATGCATCTCCTTTGTTTTGTAAAATGTGCACAGGTACAATTTAGTGTATTTAGTGTTTTTCCAAAATTCATATGTGTCCTCTCTAAAATGGAAAGCCTCACTTAAAAGCAGAGCTTTCTTTCACACAATTAGATAAATCGCAACCAATATAAGTTAATTTTGTGATATGCACAAGGTGTATTTATGCAAGACTAGGTATTTTTAAATACAAGAAATGAACTAAAATATTTGTAGAGAGAAAACTGTTTGAATTTCCTGCCATGTTAGCATTTATAGATGGCTTACCTACAATTTTTTTTATAGTTTTGTATCATAAAATGACAGTTGATAGTGTCTTTTTATATACATTATATTGTTAGAAGGAGAAACAGGTTACTATCATATTTTGTTCTAACAGAATATTTTCATTTAGTTTTAAAGGTCTTGACTTCCAAAAGCCATTTGGTGTGAAGAGAAAATAAAAGCCAGAAACCCCAAACATTTATTCTTTATGCTTCTAAGTAATTCCATTGTCTATTACATTAGAGCACTTGAAATGATTAGTCACCAGTGACATATTGGGGGAAAAACTATTTTGTTCTAGAAATTATACAAGATCAACAAAAAGAAACATTTTAAAATCTTGAATAATGATTACTAAAATAATTTTTAAAATGCACAGGAAGTTTATACAAAATTTTATCCCCTTTACATACACATACACATATACACGTAACAGATCGGTATGGTACTCTGCTACATGAGTAAAAGGCCTTATATCTTATTTATTGGCATAATATTATTATTATATCAAAATATGAGTTGTTGAACCATGACTACTATAAAGAATAAACCACTACCTAGGTGATGGGTTGACAGGTGGAGGCAAACCATGATGGCACATGTTTACCTATGTAAGAAACTTGCACATCCTACACGTGTACCCAGAACTAAAAATAAAAATTAAGAAAACTCTATAAATGAAACAATTAGAAGGGAAATAATATTGAAAGCATGCATTAAAAGTGAATGTTAAATGAATTAAAACACAGGTAAAAAATAAAATAATTTATGATTCATTAGTAATTATTACTATTTAATTCATTTTTATTCTTTAAAATATTCTTTAATTAGGAAATAGTAATTTCATATTAGAAAGTCCATTCTTTGATGAATATAATAATACTGAAGTCTTGAACAAAGTTTGTAGACTGTTAGAGTTAAAAGCGATCATAAACATATCCATTTTAGCCACTTGCGGACATAGTTGAGAGCTGCTACTGTGGCTGCTATTGATGAAGGTGATGATGAAAAATCTAAAGATGATAATTAGAAAGATTGTTGATGAAGCAAAAAATTTTCAAGAAACTTTAAGCATACAAATTGTCAAGCTTTTTGGAGAAAAATAATAAAATTTCTGTAAAACCTGCAAGTAATCTATGAGCAGGAATGGTCTTAGTATATAATCATTACTTTCTGAAATTTATAGTTATAGAAACCTTTCAGTTAGGGCAAAGGCAGTGGAACAAAACTATATATGTGAAACCAAATGACCACCAGACAAATTCACTCGGAAATTAAGCAGACCTCCAAGCTTTGCCTGAGCAGCCTCTTCTCTGAGTAGGAATATGCTTTGGGGAAATAATTCAAAGTGAGGACAAAGAATTAAAACTCTGAAAGTCTAAGTAAATTTTATTATGGAACACTTATTTATTTTGAGCTATAATGAGGTCTGTATAGGAAACTGATAACAGTGAAGGCAACTTATTCATTGCTCAAAACCATCAGTGTAAAATGAAAAATCTCATCTAAATACCCCATTTTCAGCATTATTGCCTTTTGTAACAGCCACAGCAGCATAAAGAATTTGTTTGTAGTTGAGGAGTCTACCAACAGAAAAGGGGCAGAGCTAAGTTCTCACTCCTATGTTATAGCAGACGCAACCAGTGCTGGCTCTTGGGCAGGAGCATTCTGGATGACCTCATTCCACTAGAGTAATGACAATGGCAGCACTTGGGAAGAATTTCTCTAGATAGTGAACATTCTGGATACCTCCAGCTTTGTGACTATATCAAGCAATGCAGCGTGATACTCGAAGCCACCTACTTCCAGAAGTAGTTACGAACTTGCAAATTTTCAGGAGTGGTTTTTCAAAAATCTGGCTCAAATAATGAGACAGAAATAAATGGCATTTGTCATTTAGATAAACACCTGGATGACTTTCGCCAAATAAAGAAGTAATATCCTGAAGAGGGAGAGAGGCCTGAATTTTCTGCAGTTTGAATACATAAAGGATCTAATTATATCTTTGAAACACTGGGTGAAATTGGGGATTGAGGGTTTTTTGTACCTACACCCGAAAAACAGAATATCATAGAACTAGAATAATACATTAAATAACAGTATGTAGTTAAGGATTCAAAGCTATTTCTCTCTTATTATAAAGCCTGTGACCTTCTCACCATTTCATCTTGTTTTTAAATGAGAGAACAGAAAGAAAAATGATTTGTTCAAATGAGATAGCTTGAATTTTTAGAAAAAGTTTAAAACTTTAGATGGAGTACTAGAAAGGGGTGTGGAAGAAAGATTGGAAGTCACTGGTGCTTGGCAGATGATAATGATGACAAAATAGGAACAATAAAGTATTTGGCTTTTAAAGCTTTAAAAAATGTTTTTATAAGCAAATGCAAGCCCAGTTTCAAAGTCACCTAGGAAAATAAAGGCTATTCAAGGTGTATGCTAAAAGATCTATTTGAAATGGACAGCTTTTGGCACTCTCATTGTCTTCTGGAAATATTCGGTTATACATTGGTTGTAGTGCAACCTATATAGGATATTTCGATTACATTACTGTTACATTAGAGACCTAGGATTTAATAATTATTATTTACTTTTAAATGAGCATTGTGTTTAGGACACTTGTTCCTTGTTTCTGCCTATTTCCTTGATTTTCTATGCTGTCTAGTTGCCATACAATTATACATTCTGCTTGTTTTAAATGACCTACAGAATTCTGTATTTCTGTGACAAAAATATGAAATCATGTTACCTCGCTGATTTTCTCTCCTAATTTTCCTTTCTTCTGCTCTCAAAATCTGTGTTTTGTATTATGCTGAAGCTACAGGTACATACAGGCCTTCCTTAACTGAAAGTTACTTTCTAACTACTAAGACCCATTACTCTAGTGGATTTCCTCTACACCATGGATTTCCTCGACACCATAATCATTTGGCTTTAAGGCAAAACAGGCTGAATAGATTAGTTACATTAAGTCAATATATTATTACTGTTAGTCTATGCTTCTCCCATGTGCTTTCTACTCAGATCCTGAGAATTCTATTTGACCAATGGGAAAAAGACTTGAGAGATTTTGCCAACAATAATTCTAGTATATTCCATTAACTGTCTATCAACAATGCTACCATTATAGTAAGCATTGAACATAAGTGTGGCATTGAATTGCACAAAGGAGAACTCGAGGGTTTACTTCCTTAGCAAGAGCAATTCTTTTGGTGATAGCTAGACTGTGCAGTACCCAATGTGAATTCATCCGATTATACTGAGTCCATATTCAAAATCACAGTCCTCCTTTCAGCACTTCCTCTTCCTTTAAGCAATTTCTCCAAGTTTTGAAGTATGAAACCAAGTCACTGATTGAAATCCTTCACTCAGGTTTCTCCAAGTTCCTCCCTGTGTAAGTTCTTAGTAGGTGTTAGCCCATTATGTTTTTCTTTATTAATGTTCATATATTTATGGACACCTACTGAATGAATGCAGGTATTATGATTGGTTTTGCAGATGAAAAAGATTTCTTATATGATTTCCCTGATGTTAGGAATATTTCAGTTCAGCGGGAAATACATATTAACAAAACTATGTTAGAGTAATAATAATAATAATAGCTAGTCTTATATAGTTCTTACTAAGTTTCGGACACTTTGTAACATATCTGCATATACTACAAATTTTTCTTCAGAGAGAGGAACTCAAGTCAAGAGTTTAAGTAAATTGACTAAGTTCAGTCAAATCACTACACTCTATGACAGTGGAAAAAAAGTCTCCCTGAGAATCAGAGAACGCTTGTATTTGGAAGTAACACTTGAACTGGACCTTACATTATTTAAGATTAAAATGGAAGAATACTAGGCGGAAGAATGTTACATGATTGGAAGGGGAACATCACACACCGGGGACTGTTGTGGGGTGGGGAGGGATAGCGTTAGGAGATGTACCTAATGCTAAATGACGAGTTAATGGGTGCAGCACACCAACATGGCACATGTATACATATGTAACAAACCTGCACGTTGTGCACATGTAACCTAAAACTTAAAATATAATAATAAAAAAAAATGTAAAAAAAAAAAAAAAAGAAAATGCATGGTTCTTACTTGGAGCTGCAAATCAGCCAAATGGTAGCTTGAAATGAATAATGGAGATTTTGGGGTTTCAAGATGATGACTCCAATAGTTTGTGAATAAATTATTATGAAAATGAGTAAAATAAATTAATTAGGATGATATTAAAATTGCCCTTATGAAAGATTAATGTAAGATTGAATGAAGGCAGGAGAGTGAAGCTAAGGACCAGAGAATGGTAACAGGAATAATTATGAGGCTACTAATTGGATGGAATCAAACAGTGAGTGCCTGGAAAGAATTGGGAGTAAATACAGGAGGGTAAGGGACCAAAACTGCACACTTGAAATGTATACACAGAAACAACGCTTAACATGAAATAATATATAATATACAATGGATTTAAATTTTTAAAAAATCTTTTCTATAAAGAATAGTCATTGCCTAAATTATTGGTACCAGCATGTCTCCCAATGACCAGTTTCTTAAATTAATCATTGTAGTATGCATAAGTACACATAATCAAATGAAGACCTAGCGTGTCCATGGTTCATTTCTAGATATTGGAGTTGTGATTTGCATTGCTTGTGAAGTTATTTTAAACTGCATATGATAAAAAAGCTCCTCATTTGTATGCATAACTGACCCTAAAGTGATGATTTGCAATATTGTAGCTTTGTATTTCCTCTAAATGACAATGAACTTAAAAATGACAACCAGCTGCAAGTGGTGGCTTCCCACTTTTGGTACTTTGGTAGGCTGAGGCAGGAGGATTACTTGAGACCAGGAGTTTTAGACCAGCCTGGGTAACACAGTGACATAGCAAGACCCTATCTCTACCAAAAATAAAACAAAATTAGCCAGCTGTGGTGGCACAGGTCTGCAGTCCTAGCTACTCGGGTGGCCGAGGCAGGAGGATTTCTTGAACCCAGGAGGTCAAGACCATGATCACACTAGGGCACTCCAGCCTGGGCAACAGAGTGAGACCTGTATCTGAAAAAAGAAAAAAAATAAATAATCCTCTAAACTTTAGTGAGCAATATTTGAAAAACAAAATAAGTTTTCTAAATGTAGCTAGTTAGCTTAGAGTCAAGAAAAAGAGTAACATAAAAAGCTTTCCCAAGCTCTACTCAAGGAGCTAGAGCATCTAGGAAGGTAGTCCACATTTATAGCTGAAATAGAGATAGAGACATAATCAACCTTTTCAAATTTATTCTAAGATTAACAATAAACCTTCTGATTATGACTTTACTTTCCATCCTTGAACACTTTTCTTTAGTTATAGGGTAACCCATTTTGGTTTGTCATAGTAAACTAGTAATTTACAATTTTGTTTAAGAGTAGACTTTTCTATAATTCTGTTTTATCTCTTGAGCCTAGTATTCAATGATGAAACAGAATCATTTAATAAAATTACATTTGGGAACTGGATACGAGATTAATGTCAAATTTATGGAATTTCAGCAAACCCTCTTTAAAGCCAAGACAGAGTAAACAGTTTTTCTCCCCACAAAAACAAAACAAAACAAAACAAACAAAACAAAACAAAACAAAACCCACCTCTCCAAAACACAGCTGGCTAAGATGTACATAAGCATCATGTGCTGCCGTCAAGAGGAAAAATTGTATAAATACCATATAGTATCGAGCACCTACTGTGTACCAGACATTACTCGCAACCAACACGTAAGGCAAATATTGCTACAAATTTAGTATCCTTATCTGAAATGACTGGGACTAGAGGTGTTTTGGATTTCAGATTTATTTTTATTTTGGAATATTTGCATATACATAATGCAAATATTCCAAGATAATGAGATATCTTGGGGATAGAACCCAAGTAAAAATACAAAATTCATTTGTGTTCCATATATAGCTTATACACATAGACTCAATGAAATTTTACACAATATTTCAAATAATTTTGTTAATAAAACACAGATTGTGTAACTGAGATATCAGAGAGCAAAGGTGTTGTTGTCACAATCTAAGGTCCCCATGTAGACAATCTAGTTGTTTGACATCACCCTTATTTCTGACTCTGAATTTATACGCTACTGATAAACAATCATTTTCTTACACTTATTCACACATAAGTACATAACAGGAAAAAATATTATAATATAGTAAATACAGTGAAAGAAAAATAATGTGTTCAGGGTAATTAAGTACAATAGCATCAACAGAATACCTATATCAGCTGTTAAACAATAGCAATAACGAGCAACAGCAGGCTTTCAGTCTTCTCCTAAAAGGCTGTGCTTTGGTTAACATTTTTTTTAGGTGAGTTGAAACATCACAGGCAGTTGAAGGACCAGGAAGTGAGTCCTCTAGGGAAGAGGAAGCATTCCACTGGATGGTTTTTAAAAATGTTGCTCCTAGAGGCATCTGCCTAATCAACAATGTGCTTTTTTCTTTCTTAGAAGTCTTTTTGACTTTATAAACTTACCTGATTTCTTGTTCTGTTGTGAATGAACACTGGTGTAGCCCTCCAAGAAGCCCATCACACAATTGACATCCTTCAAAGCCAGCACCTTGTTCATCATAATCACTGAACATAGTTGTAGGCCAGATGTTGGGTCCAGGCATGCACAACTGTGTCTTTAGTCATTGTTTTCCAACAGTTGGCAACAGAATATATGACATCCTTCATACTAAACTCCTTTTGAAAAACTTCCATACTCATGCCTCTGTTCCCTGCTGCTAGCATGATGTTCAAAAAAGTATCTCTATATTTACTCTTCATTTACCTAAGGATACTCTGGTCACATGCTGAATTAATGAAGTCACATTTAGGGAAAAGTACATGGCATAAACATTATTTTTGATGAGAATTTCAGCTGGAGAAGGAGCAGAACAGTTGTCAAGGAATAAGAAAATCTTGCAGTTGGCATCCAGTCCAGCTTCCCTGCAGCGAGCAAGATCTGTTGGGACAAAATGTTTAAGAGACAAATCAGGAAAAGATGTCCCTGATGAGCCATATCTTTTTGTTAACATAATAATTAACTGGTAAGAAATTCCCTCTGAAAAAAGTGAGGACTCAAGCTTTTGCTTATCACAAAAACTTTACACTTATGTCTGTCTGCTGCATTAGCACATCTCAGCACACTTATCCTGTCCTTGACATCCTTAATTCCTGTAAGCGCTATCTCATGAGTGTCTTGCTGGGACAACAATGCCAAAACAGTGACATTTCATGCATTGAAATTATAGATTTGTCCTGGCATCCGATTTTCATTAGCGATGACCTTGGCAAACTCATCAAAGAACTTCTCCACTGCTTCATAATCAGCCGATGCTTTGTCACCACAAATCTTTAAAAATGTAATGTCATGGGTGTTTTCTTACATTTCTACAACAAGTCTGTTGAATATTCACAGTTCCCTTCCATTTTCAGTTCATCATGATAGATCTTTGCTTGTTTCATAATCAGCATACCATTAAGTAGCATATATTCACTTGTGATGTTGATGGATCAACTCTTTCAGTACATAATGGAATCTTCATTTTTAGTTTTACACACTATTTAAAAAATTTTCACTAACTTCTGTTAATCACTTCCAGCATAGTGCTTCAACAGTTTATCCTTCTGTTTCTTCAGATGATACGTGGTGGTAATTTCAACCATCTTATTTTACTCCAAACGTCTTACACTTACATAAGACATTTCACATTTACATTGCTGTCCATTTTCTCCAAGTTGACTTTCTGTGCTACAGATAAATGTTAAGTGCTTACTTTTTTCTTATCACTGTTATCCATAGGGGAATCTGCAGGCTTTTTTGGACATTTTTCAGTAAAATCTTTGAACCACAAAGCAGAGAATAAGCAAAAACCACAGAGAATAATGCACATTGTTCTTGGTCCCAGGTGGAGCATGGTGAGGAAACTGCTGTTGGTTTATTCAGCCTGGACACAAGCCATTCTATTACCCTTTGTGGATATACTAGCATGGGGGAATATGAGTGTGCATGGAAAAGATATATCACAGATGAACTGGGGCGGGAAGGCCCTTTTTCTCTTGGGGACACTGAATTAACTATATGTTGTGCACCTGTGTCTTGAACATAACCCATCATATGAAGGTCACCTGTGGAAAATTTCTACTTGTGGTGCCATGTCAGTGTTCAAAAAGTTTCAGACATTGATGCATTTTGAATTTCAGATTTTCTGATTAGAGTTATTCAACCTGTATTCCTTCTACTAGTGCAGAAAATTAAAATGTGTAGGTATAATCAAAATTTGTTTGCAGTTACTCAAAAAGCCAGGGGCCAAGATTCTAAATCAGGTTTAAAGGCAACAAAATAAATTTTCTTTTCAAAGCACTTTGGGAACATTTCATACAGTATTATGGCTAAACAATCACTTCCACTGGTAACCCAGATTCAAGGGTGAGCAGATGTGAGAAAGACCTCAGCAACTAATCAAACTCATAACAACTTTTTTTTTTCTTTTTCTTTTTTTTTTTTTGACACAGAGTCTCATTCTGTCACCCAGGCTGGAGTGCAGTGGTGCCATCTTGGCTCACTGCAGCCTTTGGCTGCCGGGTTCAAGTGATTCTCCCACCTTAGACTCCTGAGTAGCTGGGATTAGAGGAGCCCACCACCACACCCAGTTAATTTTTGTATTTTTAGTAGAGAAGGAGTTTCACCATCATGATCAGGCTGGTCTCAAACTCTTGGCCTCAAGTGATCTGTCTGTCTCAGCCTCTCAAAGTTCTGCAATTATAGGTGTGAGCCACTGTGCCCGGCCAAAAACTTTTTATAGGAAGTATAAATTTACTCAATTTTGAGACTATGGATTGCGACTTTAATAAAAAAATTATTATTGTATATGAATATTTCAAAATATAATAAATAAATGGGCTATGATCTCCTGGTCTTTCTATATCATACAATATTGACCTATTCAGTTCAGAAAAGACACTTTTTTCCCCTGCTCATTTAGAATTACCTCCAGACTTTTGGCAAGCGCTAATAAAAATACAAAAATACATAGATATAACTTTTAAATGCTATTTTAGCTAAAGGTAGATAAAATAATCTCCAATTATGCATTTGTCATTACATAATTTTTCACCAAGAACATTGAGATGACTAATTTTATGTATTGACTTGACTGGGCCATGAGGTGGAAAAGAGAGGTAGTAATTAAGTGATAAGGATCAATTGTGTTGCTTCTGGTTTCCATTCCAACATGAAAAAAAAAAACTTGGATGTTGTCATGTCCATTCTTACAACAACAGAAAGCTGGAAAACCTGAAAATCAATGACTTTTCTTGGATTTATCAGAGAACTGAAATTTCAGCGCAAACATTTCTTCCTCCAACTCTCCTCCCCCAAAATCTGCAGAGAGAGGCACATTGAGAGGGTCACAGCCAATATTTGGTTACCTGGAACAGAAGCCGCTGGATCTATAAACCTGTAATTTTGGTGAATTTCTGGAGGCTGAAGATGGACTAGCTTGAGAGTGAAAAAATCCTGGGGAAAATACTCTCAAGGGAAGCCCAAACTTCCATGGATTTCACTTTCTGACACTCATCATATTCTCATAGTGAGTATGCAAGGAAGATTCTTTCATGGCTCTTGTGATGGTAAACAAAATGTAATTGCTTTGAAGTAAGCCCAGAGTATTCAAAATAAAGGTCCATTCTCTAGGAAATAAGATTTTACCAGACCTTTATCCCAGATGAAGAAGGGCATGCCTCACATTCATATACTTTAATATTTCTGTAACATGTAAAGTTACACAGGGAATCACTACTACTGGAGAAACACTTGTAAAAATCACAGCCCTGTGATACAGGCCCCTTGAATGATTGAGATTTCATCAGAAAGCTATAAAAGAAACTTTATTTTACATACCTTCCCACTACAAGAGTTTTCCAGTATAACAGCACTACAGCTGACAGAGCTGTAAGACACAGACTGTCTCTTGGGAGGAGATCCTACAGGAGCCTCCAAACATGGGGATGATAAAAACAAGAACATAAGAAGAATTTGAAGCCTCTGCTCTCTACTGCTACAACAAACATTAAACACAGCCCAACTCCTAGCCAGAATGATATCAAACCTCACACTAAATGCCTATTGACCTCAGTTCCTATTACCTGGTACAACACATCTAACTTTCAACAAAAAGTTACAAGGCAACTACAAAAAGTTACAAACAAAAAGTTACAAGGTGTGCTAAAAGGCTATAGATAGATAGATAGATTTTAAGCAGATGAAGCAAGCATAAAACCAGACTCAGATATAATGCAAGCACTGGAATTATCAGGAAATTCTAAAATGACTATAATATGGTGTTAAGGGGTCTAAAAGGAAAAAATAGACATAATAATTGATAGGTAATGCAAACAGAGAGAAACTCTAATAAAGTATTTTTAAAAAGATACTACAACTAAAAGCACTGAGAAAGAAATGAAGAACATATTTGCTTACCAGTAGACTAGACACGGCCAAGGAAAGAATCAGTGAACTTGAAGATGTGTAAGTAAATAGTAGATACTTCCCCAACTGAAAGCATAGAGAAATATGAATTTAAAAAAGGAATAGAATATACAAGAACTGTGATGCTGTTTCATAAGGTACAATCTATGTGTAACTGAAATTACATAGAAGAAATGAACAATAAGCAAAAAAAAATTTGAAGAAATAATGGCTAAGAACTTTCCAACGTAAATGGCAGACACTAAAATATAGATCCAGGAGGCTCAGAGAGCAGCAAGCATGATAATTATTCACAATATATTTACAATGGATACATTGTTAACAAATAGCAATTATTAATTAATCCAATAAGTCATTTAAGCATTATTATGTTTCAGGCTTAATGATATGGAAGTAACAGAGGTTGAAAAATAAATTCAATTTGAAGAAGAAAGGCAGTAAATGATAACAGTTTTTGTTATTGTATCATATAGCAGTAATTTATAAGTTCCACGAAGAATTTTAAAGCTGGGTGAAGAAAAGAATAGGCCTAAGGGGTAAAATTTTAATTAGAACTATGAGCTCGGTCTCAATGAAAAGGTGACATTTAGGAAATGAAGTAGGTTAGAAAGCATACCAGACTTATATCTGAGGCCAGATAATTACAGGTAGATGATACATTAAATGCAAATGCCTATAAATGGAAGGATAACTGACTTGTTCAAACAGCAGAGCCAAGGTCAGTGTAACAAGAGTGGAGTGAGAAAAGAAGTAAGTCATATGAAACAAGGTCAAAGATGCAACAAAGTCCAAATCATGGGGATCTATAGGGATGAGGCTTTTCATGGCTTTTACTGTGAATGAAAAAAATGAAAATTATTTGGGGGTTTAAGCACATCAGCACTTGATCCAAATTTCATTTATAAGGAACAGTCTGGAAGCTATATTGAGAATAAATTGTAAGGAGAAGGCAGTGAAAAAAAGGAGAACGAATAGGAGATCAGGTATTGCTGTAATCCAAGCAAGAGATTTGATTAAGGGGATAGCAGTAGAACAGATGTGAGCAATTGAATTCTTAATATTTTTTGAAGTTTGACCTAATACAGTAGCTTAATGGATGTTTTGCAGAATATAGGAGAAAGAAACAAGTCAAGGATGATTCGGAGATGTTTATCTTGAATCATTGGAAGATGGAGCTCTTTTTATCGAAGAATAGGAAGACTGATGATGTAGCAGTTTTGTGAAGGGATTTCATGCTAAAATTTAACAGTATTGAGTAAGGGATTTCTATTTAGGCATCCCAGTGTAGCAGTAGAGAAGGCATTTGCATGTGTGAGTCCAAAGAACCAGGGTTGGGGTAAATATTTGAGAGCTATCAGACTATAGAGATATTTTAAATTAATGAGGTCTGTAATGAAGTGGGTCTAAAAGAGAAGAGAAAAGTTCTAGGGTATAAGTGCTTTAAGAGTTTAGGAATAAGGTGAAGATTAACAAGGAATATGAAAAAGAAGTCTCTGTGGGAGAATCCAAGTGAAGAAAGTATTTCGAGGAAGAAAAAGTGACCAGTTTTCTTAAACACTGTTGGTACTTGAAATAAGACGATGATTGAGATTTGGACATTGTATTTATGAAAAAAGGTTATTGGTGACATTAAGAACAATCTCAGTTGAATTTCTTTTTTTTTTTTTTTTTGAGACGGAGTCTCGCTCTGTCACCAGACTGGAGTGCTGTGACACAATCCTGGCTCACTGCAACCTCTGACTCCCTGGTTCAAGCGATTCTCCTGCCTCAGCCTCCTGAGTAGCTGGGATACAGGCACGTGCCACCATGCCTGCCTAATTTTTGTATTTTTAGTAGAGACAGAGTTTCATCATGTTGAACAGGATGGTCTCGATCTCCTGACCTCATGATCCACCCTCCGCAGCCTCCCAAAGTGCTGGGATTACAGGCGTGAGCCACCGTGCCCAGCCTCAGTCGAATTGTTAGATTTTACCGAGAAAATCAAATCAAAAGAAAATAGCATACAAGGTCCTGCCTCCATAGATTGAGTATGGGGAGGAGATGGTTGAAGTTTGAAGAGAAAGGAGTGTATACAGTAATAGGTAATGTTGCAAGACAGGAGGTGGGTAGATAAATTAGACTAATGTAGTCCAATGGCCCAGTATCATTTAAGGTCTGCTTGAAGTTTACGTCATAGCTTTAAAGTGTGATGTGTCAACATGATCATATTTTCCCAGCGATTTTCAAATATGTGGGTACAGGTAGAGAACCAGAGGAAAGTAAGTTAAATCAGGATGAAATTGTATTTTTTTATTACAACTCATAGCTACACCCCCAACCTCATATTCTTAAGAGCTTGAACTTTTTCCTTTTGTATGTTAAATATATCATATAAACAAACAAAACTTGTCTGTAGCAGTGGGTGAAATTGAAATGGAAAAAAAAAACAAGAAAAACTGGTTTGATAATATAAAATGACTGAATGGATATGTATCGCTGTGCCTATATATAAGCGTATTTGTAAGTACAACCCAAAATTAACTATTAGAAATTGCCAAGTCATAAAAAATAATAACTGACATTTTGAGCATTCACTTGACACTCTTATAAGGAATTTGTCTGTGTTAATTCATTTAATCATCAGAACAACATAGTGAGTTTGATAGAAAACCAAAGGTTCCAAGTGTAAGTGTAATTAATTTGCCTGCTGGCAAATGGCTTGCAACCTGAGGAGCATGAACTAGAACCCAGTCTAGCTTCAGAGCACAATCTCTCACAAATGGACAGTTTTTGGATTTTATTTAATTGTGGCTTTAAAACTTACATCTCAGGATTCTGAGTCAATATGGCCGACTAGACTCAGCCAAGAGGAAGAGCTCTCATGGAGGGACTGGGATATCAGGAAGACTGGTACACTCTGAGCAGATCTTTGGAAGGAAGGCATTGAGAATAAACAGAAGGGCCGGGCGCGGTGGTTCACGCCTGTAATCCCAGCACTTTGGGAGGCAGAGGCGGGCAGATCATGAGGTCAGGAGATCGAGACCATCCTGGCTAACACAGTGAAACCCCGCCTCTACTAAAAATACAAAAAAATTAGCCGGGCGTGGTGGCGGGCGCCTGTAGTCCCAGCTACTCGGGAAGCTGAGGCAGGAGAATGGCGTGAACCCGGGAGGCGGAGCTTGCAGTGAGCCGAGGTCGCACCACTGCACTCCAGCCTGGGCGACAGAGCGAGACTCCGTCTCAAAAAAAAAAAAAAAAAAAAAAAAAAAGAGAATAAACAGAGGGAGGACACAGAGGCAGGGCTGAAGGAGGAGGGAGCTGGGAGCCCTGCATGGGGGCTGCTGAGCACAAGAATGGATTCTGGTCCCCAGTGACTACTAGAAAAGGGGTGAGTTTAAAAAGTGAGGAGTGGGGGCCTGCTCTTACCAGGGACCTCCAGAATCCTAGAAGCCTGAGACTCCAGATTCCCATAGGCACTTGAGCTGGCAAGGAGAGCTGCTTAGAGCAGGGACTGAACTCCACACTGCAGAGCCCAGAGGATTTAACGCGGAAATGGCTGTAGTGGAGCACAGCCAGACACACCTATGCCCCAAAGCTTTGCCATGCTCCTCCAAAAGGTTTTAGCATTTGGGTGACTGACAGACCTGGATGGAGGAGGGCAGTCTTGACTATGATACAGCGCCAGTTGGCTCTGAGAGCCCCCTGTCTTCCAGATACTCCTGGGCCCCAGCCTGGCTGCACCCACTTGCAATGCCACCTCCAGTGCCCTATCAGAGTAATTCCTGGGGGACCTCTTCATAGCTTCTTTGCTGGCCGACCATGCCTGACTGTTAGAGTTCCAGCAGATTGGCCCCGCCAATGTGCACCAGCCCACTTGTAGCCTCCCCCACCACAGTATCCTCCCTGCCACCCTGCTGCTGTACCAGCATGCTCTTGCCCATGGCACCAGCCACGCCTTGCTGGAGCACAGATGGGCGAGGGGGGCCCTTGCCTCCCCTTCCTTTTCAGGGTGTGTGTGTGTGTGTGTTTGTGTGCACCCACATGCAGCCCACCATTCCATCGCTGCCAGCATGAGTGTACCCTGCCCTTGTTGACACATGATTGCCACGTCGTGCTGATGCTGCTGGTGTGAGTGTGAGCATGGTCACTAGTAATCTTGCCCCTGCCAGCACCCTGACCTTGCTGTGACACTGCCATTGGTACAGCCATAAATAGGAACACTGCTTGCAGAAGTCCATGCAGAAATGCTGCAGCCTGCTCCTGTGGGTGTGTCACCCTGGCTAACATGCATGCACTTTGTAGTGCTACTACAGCTGCTGACATGCACAAATGAACACTGATCCTGCTGCCATCACTCCAAAGAAGTGCTTCAATTGGCACCCCCCATCAGACAGTCATGGACAGTGGCCTGGAAACACCTTGGCCCTCCAGTGCAGCAAGTTCCTGACCTCGAGGATTAGGGAATAAAGCTGGGGGCCCAGTACCAGCCCCTCAGAGATAGAGCATGCAGCCCAAGAAAGCTTAGCTGAGCACTGGCCCCATAAAATCCTAAAAAAAATGAAGTCAGTCGACCAAAACAACAATCAAACACCCAAGGGCATCAAAGAAAATAAAAGCAAAACAACTCATCCAAAGGACAACAATTTCAAAGAAGAAAGGAACTTCAGCCCGCACAGATGAGAAAGAACCAGTGCAAGACCTCTGGCAACACAAAAAGCCAGAGTGTCTTCTTACATCCAAAGGACTGCACTACTTCCCCAGCAATGCTTCGTAACCAGCCTAAAATGGCTGAAATGACAGTAGAGTTTGGAATGTGAGTAGGAACAAACATTGTCTAAACTCAGGAAAGAGTCAAAATCTAATACAAAGATATAAAAAATACAATAAAATGATACAGGAGCTAAAAGACAAAATGGCTATTTTAAGAAAGAATCAAACTGATCTGATAAAGCTGAAAAACTCACTAGAAGAATTTCATAATACAATTGTAAGTATTAACAGCAGAATAGCAAAGCTGAGGAAGCAATCTCAGAGTTTGAAAACCAATTCTCTGAGTTAACTCAGTCAGGTAAATATAGAGAAAAAAATAAACAAAATCTGAGAAATATAGAATTATGGAAAGAGATCAAAGCTATGACTCATTGGCATCCCTGAAAGAGAGGGAAAACAAGCAAGCAACTTGGAAAATATTTGAGGATATTGTCCATGAAAATTTCTCAAGCCTCACTAGAAAGGCCAACATTCAAATTCAGAAAATGTGAAGAACCCCTTCACAGAAAATGTGAAGAACCCCTTCACAGAAAATGTGAAGAACCCCTTCACAGAAAATGTGAAGAACCCCTCAGAGAAAATGCGAAGATACTATACAAGATGACTATCCCCAACACACAGTCATTGAATTCTCCAAGTTTGAAAGGAGATAAAAATATTAAAGGCAGTTAGAGAGAAGGGGTTGGTTACCAACACAAGGAACCCCATCAGGCCAATGATGAACCTTTGGCAGAAGCAGTATAAGCCAGAAGAGATTGGAGGGCCTATATTCAGCATTCTTAAAGAAAAGGAATTCCAAACAAAACTTTATATCCAGCCAAACTAAGCTTACAAGCAAAGGAGAGTAAGATCCCTTTTAGACACACAAATGCTGACTGAATTTGTTACCACCAGACCTGCCTTACAAGAAGTCTTTAAGGAAGTGCTAAATATGGAAATGAAAGACTGCTACTGGCCACCACAAAAACACACTTAAATATATAGATCACTTACACTATAAAGCAAGTGATACACCATCAAGTCTGCATAATAACTAGCTAAAAGTACAATGACAGACTCAAATCTGTACATATCAATATAAAGCAAAAAGATAAACAAGTCTTCCCAATTAAGTGATTCCAATTAAAAGGCACAGAGTGGAAAGTTGGATAAAGGAGCCAGATCCAATGCTATACTGTCTTCAATAGACCCATCTCACATGCAATATCATGCATAGACTCAAAATAAAGGGATGGAGAAAAATCTACCAAGCAAATGGAAAACAGAAAAAAAAGCAGAGGTTGCTATTCCAATTTCAGACAAAACAGACTTTAAACAATGATCAAAAGACAAAGAAGGGCATTACATAATGGTAAAGGGTTCAATTCATAAAGAACATGTAACTATTCTAAATATATATGCGCCCAACACAGGAGCACCCATATTCATAAAACAAATTCTTAGAGACCTAAGAAGAGATTTAGATAACCACACAATAGTATTGAGAGATTTCAACACCCCACTGAGAGTATTAGACAGATCATCAAGGTAAAAACTAACAAAGATATTTGGGACCTGAACTTGGCACTTGACCAAATTAACCTAACAGGTATTTCCAGAACTCTCCACCCAAAAACAATAGAATATACATTCTTCTCATCTACACAAGGCACCTACTTTAAATTTGACCACACAATCAGCCATAAAAAATTCTCAGCAAATTAAAAAAAAGCAAAACCATACCAACCACACTGTCAGACCACAGTGCATTAAAAATAGAAACCAGTACTAAGAATATCACTCAAAACTGTATGATTACATGAAAATTATACAACCTGGTACTGAATGACTTTTGGGTAAACAATGAAATCAAAGCATAAAATATGAAATTCTTTGAAACTAATACAAAATAGAAGGATCCCTGGGAAACAGCTAAAATGGTGTTAAGAGGAAAGTATATAGTGCTGAACACCTACATCAAAAATCTAAAAAGGTTTCAAGTTAACAACTTAACATCGCACCAAGGGGAACTAGAAAAACAAGACCAAATCAACCCCAAAGCTAACAAAAGACAATAAATAACCAAAATTAGGCTTAACTGAAATAAATTGAGACATAAAAATCATACAAAAGATGAATAAAACCAGAAGTGGGTTTTCTGGAAAGAATAAATAAGATTGATAAACCACCAAGTAGACTAGGAAAGAAAAAGAAAGAAGATCAAAATAAACACAATTAGAAATGACTAAGGGGACATTACCATTGACCCCACAGTGATACAAAAATCCTCAGAGACTATTGTGAACACCCCACGCACACAAACTAGAAAACTTATGAGAAATGAATAGATTCCTGGAAACATACAACCTCCTGAGATTGAACCAGGAAGAAATTGAAGCTCTGAACAGACCAATAACAAGTTCTGAAATTGAATCAGTAATAAAAAGCTTATGGCCGAGCGCGGTGGCTCACGCCTGTAATCCCAGCACTTTGGGAGGCCGAGGCGGGCAGATCACGAGGTCAGGAGATCGAGACCATCCTGGCTAACACGGTGAAACCCCGTCTCTACTAAAAATACAAAAAATTAGCCGGGCGTGGTAGCGGGCGCCTGTAGTCCCAGCTACTCGGGAGGCTGAGGCAGGAGAATGGCGTGAACCCGGGAGGCGGAGCTTGCAGTGAGCCGAGATCGCACCACTGCACTCCAGCCTGGGCGACAGAGCGAGACTCCGTCTCAAAAAAAAAAAAAAAAAAAAAAAAAAAAAAGCTTATGAATCAGAGTAAGCACTGGCCCAGATGGACTCACAATTAAATTCTGCAAGATGTATATAAAATAGCTGGTATCATTCCTACTGACACTATTCCAAAAAAATGAGGAGAGACTCCTTCCTAACTCATTGTAAGAGGCCAGCATCATTCTGATCCCAAACCCGGCAGAGACAGAACAAAAAAGGAAAACTTTAGGCCAATATCCTTGATGAACACAGAGGTAAAATTATCAACAAAATACTAGCACACAGAATCCAGCAGCACAGAAAAAGTTAATCCACCACAATCTAGCAGGCTTTATACCTGAGAGGCAAAGTTGGTTAAACATATACAAATCAATATATATGTGATTAATCACATAAACAGAAACCACATGATAATCTCAATAGATGCATGAAATGCTTTTGATAAAATTCAGTATTATTTCATGTTAAAATCCCTCAACAATCCAGGCATTCAAGGAGCTATCTTTGACAAAACCACATGCAACATCATACTGAATAGGTGAAAGGTGGAAGCATTCCACCTGACAAGTGGAACAAGAAAAGGATTCCCACTTTCACCACTCCTATTCAAAATAGTACTCAAAGCCCTAGCCAGAGAAATCAAGGAAAAGAAAGAAATAAAAGGCATACAAATAGAAGGAGAGGAAGTCAAACCATCCCTGTTTGCAGATGATATAATTATATACCTAGAAAATCCCCCAGTCTCTGCCCTAAAGCTGCTAGATATGATAAACAACTTCAGCAAAGCTTCAGGATACAAAATAAATATACAAAATCAGTAGTGTTTCTATACACCAATAACATCCAAGCCAAGAGCCAAATTAAGAACACAATCCTATTCACAATGACAACAAAGGGAATACAATACCTAGAAATATAGCTAACCATGGGGGTGAAAGATGTTTACAATGAAAATTACCAAACATCGCTCAAAGAAATCAGAGATAACACAAGTAAATGGAAAAACATTCCATGCTTATGGATAGGAAGAATCAACACGATTAAAATGGTCATACTGCCCAAAGCAATTTACAGATTCAATGCTATTCCTATCAAACTACCAATGATATTCTTCATAGAACTAGAAAAAAACTATCGTAAAATTAATATGAAGCCGAAAAAGAGTCTAAATCACCAAAGCAATCTTAAAAGGAACAGAGCTGGAGGCATCACAGTACCCTACTTCGAACTACATTACAAGGCTACAGTAATCAAACCATCATGGTGCTAGTACAAAAACAGACACATAATCCAATGAAACAGAATAGAGAGCCAAGAAATAAAGCCACACGTCTACAACCATCTGATCTTTGACAACGTCAGCAAAAACAAACAATGGGGAAAGGATTCCTTATTCAATATACGGTGCTGAGATAACTGGCTAGCCATATACAGAAGACTGAAACTGAATGCCTTCCTTACACCATATACAAATCAACTCAAGATGGATTAAAGACTTAAATGTAAAATCTAAAACCATTTAAAATATCCTGGAAGAAAATCTAGGAAATTCCATTCTGAACATAGGCCCTGGCAAAGATTTTGTGACAATGATGCCAAAAGTAGTTGCAATGCAATAAAAAATTGACAAATGAGATCTAATTAAACTAAAGAGCTTCTGCACAGTAAAAGAAACTATCAACAGAGTAAACAGACAACCTACAGAATGGGAGAAAATATTTGCAATTTAAACATCCAACAAAGATCTAACTTCCAGAATCTATACAGACCTTAAACAAATGAACAGGGAAAAAACAAACAAGCTCATTACAAAATGGGAAAGGACATGAACAGACACTTTTCAAAAGAAAACATGCATATGGCCAACAAACATTTTAAAAAGCTCAACATCAATAAACATTAGAGAAATACAAATCAGAACCACAATAAGATACATCTCACACCAGTCGGAGTGGCTATTATTAATAGTCAAAAAATAACAGGGGCTGGTGAGAGTGTGGAGAAAAAGAAATACTTATATGATGCAAGTAGGAATATACATTAGTTCAGCTATTGTGGAAAGCAGTGTGGCAATTTCTCAAAGAACTTAAAACTACCATTCAACCCAGCAATCCTGTTATTGGGTATATACCAAAAGGAATATAAATTAGTCTGTCATAAAGACAGATACACATGTATGTTCATCACAGTACTATTTACAACAGCAAAGATATGGAATCACCTTAAATGCCCATCAATAATACACTGGATAAATAAAATGCAGTACATATGCACCATGGGATATTACACAGCCATGAAAAATAATAAGATCATATCATTTTCTGTAACATGGGTGGAGCTGGAGTCCATTAAATAACCGAACTAATACAGGAACAGAAAACCAAATACCAGACGCCCTCACTTATAAGTGGGAGCTAAACACTGGATACACATGGACACAATGAAAGGGAACAACAGACATCAGGGCCTAGTGGACGGTGGAGGGTGGAAGTGTGTGGATCAAAAAACTACCCATTGGCCACTATGCTTATTACCTGGAGGACAAAGTAATCTGTACACCAGAACCCTGTGACATACAATTTACCTATATAAGAAACCTGCACTTGTACCCCTGAGCCAAAAATTAAAAATTTTAAAAATATCTTTTACACCTCAGAAACTAGCTTGTTCATATAAACTTAAACCACAATGGAATGGAACATTCACTAATCCAGAAATGTTCTTCTTTATAAAAAAATTACAGACCATTTTAATTTAAAGTCAAGTAATAAATATTTTCTGGGACACAAAAACAGATATTTTCCAAAACGTGGATTATGAAAGTGAAGAAAAATCTCGATTTGATTAGACCAGTGACTCTTCACAAGCCTTGTGAAATTTTAAGATTTTCACCAGTTTTTTAGTGAGGAGGAAATGAAAAAAAATTAAAACCTTACCAATATATTTATATATTAGGGTAGGGAATCAATGGAATATTTCTATGAATACAGATTATCAAAGTGTCAAAAATTAGTTAATGAATAACTATTCTAATTTTTTTATCCAAATGAGACACAGAGAAAACTTAAAAATATATAAAGTCTTTTTAGTCAATCCTGATCTGAGTTTGCTCCAAAGATCCAACAAATATTGGACTAATTATACAGCAGAAACCATGAATGAGATCTCTTATTCTACCCACTAAAATAAATTTAGTATAATCCCCACAAAATATTTGAGAAAGTAACTGCTTTCTTATGGAAATTCTGAGTTACCAGTGAAATGCTTATTTAGGTACTACAAATGTTCAGAATACTCTATATAGATGCCAACCTATGTATTCATGAGCACACGGGATGATTTTTATTTTACCATTAGTGAATCATTCATTATCACATTTCAGACCCACAGTTTCTTGAGGAACAGTTTCTTCCATCTTTAGAATATTTCTAACATGTGACATTTGAAACTTGGTGATTCACATTGCATAGGGCTGAACTGACTCATAACCTTGGATGCTTTCAGAAGTTGTATCAATGTGAAGTTGCACAATAGAACTCAGGAGTATATATTCTAAAAACTTCACTTATAGGTCGGGCGAGGTGGTTCACGCCTGTAATCCCAGCACTTTGGGAGGCAGAGGCGGGCGGATCACGAGGTCAGGAGATCAAGACCATCCTGGCTAACACAGTGAAACCCCTGTCTCTACTAAAAATACAAAAAATTAGCCGGGCGAGGTTGCGGGTGCCTGTAGTCCCAGCTACTCTTGAGGCTGAGGCAGGAGAATGGCGTGAACCCGGGAGGCGGAGCTTGCAGTGAGCTGAGATCACGCCACTGCACTCCAGCCTGGGCGACAGAACGAGGCTCTGTCTCAAAAAAAAAAAAAAAAAACACTTCACTTATAGTAGCAATAGCCATATACTTTCTGTATAGAACTTCCAAATAAATAAGGTCTATAAATATTTTTAGATGGAATGACAAGCAAATTGTGAATACTTCTAAATTACATGTAATAATTATATTTTATTTCAAAAGTAATAAATGACTTCTTTTACATTTTAATAAAATATTATATTTTACATGGAAGGAGAAATACCTAATATCTAATAACCTAAAGAAAAAGTTGAAGTGTAGGAGGTTTACAAATATTATATATTACATGAAATATGCCGTAATGAAAACAAGAATGTATTGCCTTATGGAGAGAAAAATAAGCTAGAAATACTACAAAGAGCCCACTATTTGGTCTGTTTATAAATAGGAATTTAATACATGAACAAATTGGCATTTCAACTGAGTGGGGTAAAGTATGTTTAGCAATAAATGGGGCCATAATTACTGATTAGTTACAGGGAAAGATATTACTTCTACAATCAACCACAAATAAAATTAAAATTTTACATAAACACTTTTAATTTTCAAATTTAATTAAATGATTTAGTATAAAATAAACATCTTAACATTTTAGCAGTGATAATTTAATTAATACATATGATTAAGAAAGAAAAATTTGATAAAAATTTAAATTATTTACAAATATGGTGTGAAGTTATTCAGAAAATATGTAAAATATTTTCAGCAAATATAAAAAAAAAGGGATAATACCTATGCTTTACAACAAACCCACAAAAATTAATTAGAAAAAGATAATAAGTAGTAGAACATGGGAAAATATATCAATAAGCATCTCAGTAAAATCAACAATATTCAAGGAATTGCACATTAAAGAAAAAAATGAGATGCTATTTTTCACTTAATAGATTAGCAAAAATTATAAATAAATTAAGAACTTTGGTGCAAAAAATAAATAAAATTAAATTACTTAATGCTGAATGGAATAACAAAAAATAATAGATTTATACATTATTAGCACAATATATATTAATTTATAAATCCTTAAAATTTTGATCCAAAAAGTACACTTATGAGCTCTTTCATTCATTCATAAACAACAAATCATAATAATGCATACAAAACAATGAGTCTTGCAGTTTTATTGATCAAGGCAAAATCTGGAAACACAGTGAATGCTTACCCATTGACAGATGCTTGAATAAATTCTGATTCTTCCACTTAGTAAAATATTATACAGCCACTAATGGCTGCATAGTGCCAAAATGCAAACATGACCTTATTTTTGTAAAGTGAAGAAAATGCATAGAGGCATATACATATTACTACAATATTATAAGTAGAGTTGCTTCAGATTTAAATATTTAAACACACAACCATGCACATGCTCATGCTCACATACATTAAAAATATATGGGCCAGGTGCAGTGTAATCCCAGCACTTGGGAGGCCAAGGAGGGTGGATCGTCTGAGGTCAGGAGTTTGAGACCAGCCTGGCCAATGTGGTGAAACCCCGTGTCTACTAAAAATACAAAAAATTAGCCCAGTGTGGTGGCCAGCGCCTGTAATCTCAGCTACTCGGGAGGCTGAGGCAGGAAAATCTCTTGAACCTGGGCAGCTGGGGTTGCAGTGAGCCGCGATCATACCGGTGCACTCCAGCCTGGGCAACAAGAGCGAAACTCTGTCTCACACACACACTATATATATATATGTATTTTATATATTTATTATATATATATGTATTATATATAATATATGTATTATATATATTATATATATGTATGTTATATATATATATTATATATGTATTTTATATATATATGAATTGTTTGTCCCTGAAATATTAGTTGTAGATTTCTTAGTACAGTAGCATTACAGACTTGTTAACTTTCTTTCTTAAACTTTTTGTATTCCATGAGCTAACTTAATATAAACAGGTATAGGTGAAAAATTAGTAAAAAAAAAACAAAAAAAAGCTATTCATTTCAAAGGTAAAGAAAATATAATAAGTAAATTTGATCACTGTGGAGCTGAGGTGACTATGTGAAATTTCCTTGGTTACATAGGTGAATGAGCCATTGAAGAGGAATAAGAGAAATCCCTACAAAAAGAATAAGTAGAATTAAAGGGAACACATAAAAATTAATTCTTAATGCTGAGGGAATCATTTTATATTGTTACTTATAAGAGCTGCCTGTAGTCTTAAAGATTAAATTTTAAATTGTACAGTTTAATTTGGAAGGGAGGAGAATTTTATCTAAAATAAACTAGCCCCATATAAAAACATAGCTAAGTAATTTTTTATAATTTCTCCCTCACCTGTGTTCTAACAGTTAGGCTATGATATATCAGTCAAGCCAGGCCATCAATCAACTGATAAGCTCTAGTCATACCAGAGATTATAGCAAACATAGCTTAACAGTAGATCTCATTTATTATATAAAGGAACATTTTTCTTTCCAGTTTAAATAGATAATAAAGTTCTCATCACACACTGAGAGTCTATTTAAGGTAACATATAAAATAAAACAAACAGGGAAAGTTGACATAAAAAAGTTCAAATAGATGTGAATAAGAATCAAGAGTTACTCTGAAGGATTTATGCTCCAAATTCCAGCTTTTTCAATTTTTATTAGGGAACAGTAAAAATTATCCTATAAAACAAATGGCTTATATTTTTCTAAGATATCTATAATAATATCTGTAAGAAATAAATTTTATTATTATTTTTGAACTACAATAAACAGAAGACAATTTTATTGGAAGAAAAGTTTGAATGTCATGTTTTCATTAGTAATAATTTTATCAATATGCATGACCTTTTCACAACTGGAGGCTAATAAAAGATAATGCCCTCTAGCAAAAACATATTTAAAATCATTTTATTTGCAAACATACTGAAATAAGATATATAAAAATACTTTTGTTTACTTCCAATTTAAATTATATCTCAAAAAGAAAAATCTCACAGCTAGAGGGGAGAAGTGTGGCTAAAGGGTTTAAAATTCCTCAACTATTTACCTTAACAAACTTATATGAGTCAGTTAGCCCCTTTAGGACTGTTTCATCTTTTAAAAATTTGATGCATCATCACTAGTCATTAGAGAAACGCAAATCAAAACCACAGTGAGATACCATCTCATGCCAGTCAGAATGGTGATTATTAAAAAGTCAAGAAACAATAGATGCTGGTGAGGCTGTGGAGAAATAGGAACATTTTACACTGCTGGTGGGAGTGTAAATTAGTTCAACCATTGTGGAAGACAGTATGGTGATTCCTCAAGGATCTAGAACCAGAAATACCATTTGACCCAGCAATCCCGTTACTGGGTATATACCCAAAAGATTATATGTCATTCAACTATAAAGACACATGCACACATATGATTATTGCAGCAGTATTTACAATAGCAAAAACTTGGAACCAACCCAAGTGCCCATCAATGATACATTACATAAAGAAAATGTGACACATATATACCATGGAATACTATGCAGCCATGAAAAAGAATGAGATCATGTCCTTTGCAGGGACATGGATGAAGCTGAGAGCCATCATTCTCAGCAAAGTAACACAGGACCAGAAAACCAAACACTGCATGTTCTCACTCATAAGTGGGAGCTGAACAACGAGAACACATGGACATAGAGAGGGGAACATCATACACTGGGTCCTGTTGGGGGGTGGGGAAAAGGGGAAGGAGAGCATTAGGACAAATGCTTAATGCATGCAGGGCTTAAAACCTAGATGATGGGTTGATAGGTGCAGCAAACCACCATGGCACATGTATACCTATCTAACAAACCTGCACATTCTGCACATGTATCCCGGAATTTAAAGTAATTTTTTTTAAAAAAGTATGCAATAATAATGCTTTCTTTTTAGTTCAGAGAGTTATTATTCACATAGTGAACTCTGCACAGTGTCATACAAATACAATAGTATGCTTAAAACAAGATAGAATTGGGATTGTGATCAGTTTCTAACTCTTCTAGAGTTACAAAGACCTCACCAAGTCACTTTGAGCAAGCTATTTATCTTGGCCCCTGTCTTAGTTCATTATTTGCTGCTATAACAGAGTACCTGACACTGGGTAATGGACCATAATAATTTATTTATAATGAATAGAAATTTATTTGGCTTACTGTTCTGGAGCCTAGGGAGTCCAAGAGCATGGTGTTGGCATTTGATGAAGGTGATTTTGCTGTGCTTATAAGATGGCAGAAGGCATCACATGGGTGAGAGAGAGCACGAGAGAGCAAGAGGAGGCAGAACTTGCTGTTATAACCAACCCACTCTCACAGTGATATATATAATCACCCAATATAATTACATTCATCTATTCCTGAGGGAGGAGCCCTCATGACCTAATCACCTCTTAAGGTTCCACCTCTCAACATTGTTTCATTGGTGATTACGTTTTCAATGCATGAACTTTTTGGGACACTAAACCCTAGTAGTCCCATTTTCCTTATATGTGAGGTTATTATAAAAGAATAGAAGGGATAATATATGCATTTCTTAGAATAGGATCCAATAAATGAGACTTTCTTCCTCCTTCCATTTAATTAATCTTATAATAGTTTTTAAATAATCTTAAAATGGGGATATATATCTATGAAATTAAAATATATTTATTAATCATTCTTTTTATTCTATTTGATTAGAAGAAATATTCTTGTTACCTATATATTATTGCTCATCTTTTTCTTTACATCTCACAATTATTCCCTGTAGCGATTTTAAATATATTTTCAAAGAAGCAGTTGGAAATTGTTGCTGTTTAAATGCATCCCACAAAGTTTATGTGTTAGAAACTTAATCCCCACTGCAACCGTGTTGAGAGGTGAGATTTAAGAGGTGATTGGCTCATGAGAGCTCTGCCCTCATGAATGGATTAATGCTGTCATGGTGGAAGTTGGTTAGTTATCCTGAGTGGGTTCCTGATAAAAGAATGAGTTCAGCTCCACTCCCTCTCTGTGTTGCACATGCTCTCTTGCCCTTCCACCTTCCCTCACGGGATGATACAGGAAGAAACCTCTTGCCAGACACAGGCTCCTAGATCTTGGACTTCCCAGCATCCAGAACGGTAAGAAATAAACCTCTGTTTTTAAATAACTTAACCAGTCCTCGGCATTCTGACAGCATAAAATGGTCTAAGATAGAAACATAGTCCCTTTTCATTTAATATTTTTTCTCTTCATTGTAATAGGACTTTTCTAAATATCATATGGTGCCAAATTTACCTTTATTCTCAGCAACCTATGAATTTTGGAAGAAAGAAGCATATCTTTCGTTCAGTAAACAGGTAAAGCTTGTGGTGACGGCCGGGCGCGGTGGCTCACACCCGTAATCCCAGCACTTCGGTGGCCGAGGCGGGCGGATCACGAGGTCAAGAGAAGGAGACCATTCTGGACAACATGGTGAAATTCCCTCTCTACGAAAAGTACGCAGATTAGCTGGGTGTGGTGGCGGACACCCGTAGTCCCAGCTACTCGGAAGGCTGAGGCAGGAGAATCGCTTGAACTCAGGAGACGGAGGTTGCAGTGAGCCAAGATTGTTCCACTGCACTCCAGCCTAGCAACAGAGCGAGGCTCCATCTCATAAAAAAAAAAAAAAAAAAAAAAAAAAAAAACTTGAGGTGACTGATACACTGTTGTATAGAATCCAGCTAAAAACTGAAGTAGCCTTTTAATTGGTCTCTGAACCCTCTCAGAATATGAGTCAGAGGGATCAGTAGTAAAAAGTAGTGATATTTTTTATTTTGTTGAAGATATGATATAACAATTTCTGATGCAATTGACAAGAATATATATCTATATAGTTTGCTGATTTTTATTATGCACATATATAATCAGTATGCATATTGGTGTTTCTTTTAGTATTTGCATTTTTTCAGTCTCAGAATTCTGAGGGGAAATGATATAATGCTTCTTTCCAAGACTTAAAAAATATGTTAATCCTTAAATATTGCCTGAAGAACCTTGAAAGATTCATAAACTTTCAAAGTGCTTTGCTGGATACGTAATTAACAAAGATCTAATTCAATTTGCTCATAAAAATCACCAAACGAACTGGAACAAACTGATTTATGATTACTGAATATTTCATTATTTGGATATGTATCATAGAATTTTTTTGTTGCTTTGCACATGAGTATTCTTAGCAGAAAACAATAAGAGCTCAAATACTTTTAGTATCTTTTAGGTCAAAATATACATATTATATTTTATCATTGTATATTTTTATTATTACAAAGCTCACACATCTATCACCTTATGAATTTTAATAACTTCATTAAAAGAGTTTAGTTGGAAAATAATCTTTGGTATTCAAATTTGAATTGAAAAGCTGAAAAGTAGTCTGAAATATCAGTTAATACTAACTACAATGCGTTTAGTTATGGGTTAATAGAAAGGTATAATGTCCCATCTAACCCGATAATTTCTTTTGCTTGGGCAATTACTTTAAAAGATTTGTTTACAAATGCATAATTTTAAATGGAATAAATATGTTCATTGACTTGAATATCATAAATTTGGAATTTTAATGAGGACCAAGTCATGGCCCAGTTTGCATAATTAAAGAAAAACAACAACTGGTGGTCCTATAATAAATAAATATTTATTGTGCATTTACTATAAATAAAGCATGATGCTAAATAGAAATGAAACCACTGTTCAAACTACATTCTCTGACTTTTGCAGGCAATAGGAGCTCTAAAAGTACAAGACCATAAAAGACCAATTATATAATAACATTCAGCAAATATCACTTAAAATTTACAACTTTGAACTTTGAGGATCAATATGCTTTTACAAACAGAACTGGGACATTTATATGAGCAATAGTTTTAATCATTTGAAATCAATCTTTTAGAAGAAAAATACTTGTGTAAATTTATTGTTATAAAGTTTTTTTTTAAGAAGAATTTTTAATAATTGAATTTGAATCTGAAAGCTACCGGTAATTTAAAAGTTTGTAATTAAAATGAAATTGAGGTTTAGAAGTAAATATTTCCAAATGTCAAGTTCTAGAATCAATCCAAGTGGGCATATAAATCTGAAGAAGTACTTCATTGTAAAATGGGTGATCTAGACTTTAACCTACATATACATTTTCTATGAAATAATGACTTCCGAAGTCGCTTTTTAATTGATATTATACATAGTTTTGTAACAGATTTGTGCAAAGTTGCATATGTTTTCATTTTCTTCTAATTATTTCAGTATTTACCTCCAGCCCAACAGAAGTTTGGCTTTCTGATCTTTGTTTCAAAGCCATGGAAAAAGAGGTTAGTCAATAAATGCTTACTGAATTGAACTGAATTGACTTCTTTTTCTTGAACATATAGAAATAGTTTTGAATAACCATGAAAAAAGAAATAATAGACAAAATGTACAAAATATTTATCAAATAAAGAGTCACCATGCTAAACACATAATAAATATTATCTTATTTAATTTCAACAATAATTGTTTGAGGTATTATACATCAAGTTAAGATTATGTTTAGCCCACATTCACAGAAAACTTAAAGTAACAGTAGCTTAATGCAGACAGGTGCTTATTTCTCTCAAAAATAATTCAAGAATTTATGTGATCATTCTGTTCTATAAAATCCTCATAGGCTGAGGCTCTTTCAAATTGTCTGCTTCACAGTGAGGAACTGAGTTCCTGATGGATAGTGTGGTTGAGGTTGAGAAGGAAGGATGTGAAGAAAAGAATGAGGAAGAAAAAAAAAGCAGCTTTCCAGATACAGACTCATGACAGCTTGATTTGTCAGCATTAGTCATACATAAGGGAAGGAAAAACAGAAAATATTGTCTTCATTTTGAAAGATTATACATCCAAAAATCCTTTCTGAGAAAGGAGTATCTGGATATTGATGGAAAACTAGCATGTCTATAAATATATTTCAAGAGAATGTACTCAAATTTCTCAAAGTTAAAACAATTAATAAATGGTGGAGCACATACAGACAGCAAGTTTGTCTGCAGACAGTTTTTCATTACTTTTTTTAAAATTTAGAATTTCTGATAACTTCACATTGGTTTTTACACAATGTGTCTATATGTTTTTCAGAATTATGCTGAGAAAAATACATTAATTGTCAAAAAATAAGTGAGGCCAGGTGTGGTGGCTCACACCTGTAGTCCAGAACTTTGGGCGACCAAGGCGAGTGAATTGCTTGAGCTCAGGAGTTTGACACCAGCCTGGACAACATGGAAAAACCCTGTCTCTACAAAAAATACAAAAATTAAGCAGGTGCGGTAGTGCACAATTTTAGTCCCAGCTATTGGGGGGCTGGGCCAGGAGGATCCCTTGAACCCGGAAGGTGAAGGCTGCAGTGAAGTGACATGGCGCCACTGCACTCCAGCCTGAGTGACAGAGCGAGGCCCGGTCTCAAAACACAATAAATAAATAAACAAATAAAGGAAATACAGAAAAACCTCCCAAAATATAAGAAATACCTTAATCTTGCCAGTCAGAAATGACACCTGCTATTGACTTTTGGTGCATTCACTTAATCTGTTTATTTGTTTCTTTGTGTACTCTGTCTATCAGGAGTATGGAGAAATTAAAATTCTTACACAATCAAGTCATACTTCTAAATTGTACCTGCATTAGTAAATGAATTTACAGCACATATTATTATGTATGCAGACCTCTCAACATGCTCTACTTATTGTATTTCTTAAATAGATAATAAATGTGAAATATAAAATTAGAGAATACTAAATATAGATGAAGTGGAGAGAAAAGTAGTTGGACCAGTGGTGCTGAGTTATAAAGACTAAATTTATTCTGAAAATCCAAGCATTTCATTACTTTATAGTTAGTAAAAATGATTTGACTTATGTATTTTAATTCAGAATATTTTGCTAAATCTCAAGCAAATCTGAGTCCATGTGTTACTCACCAGTCTGAAGAAATGTATTTTGCAGCTTCTTGAGAGTAACTGCTTGCATAAATTCAAGGTGCTAGTGACAAGATCAGCTTGTTCCAATAGCACCTCTGTGAAAGAAGTCTGTGAACAGTAGATAAGAAAATAGATTTATTATATAACAGTTCTTCAAGGCATAAGATTTAAATACATTGCTTTAATTCATTATCGCAAAAATGACATGATATTTATTGTTTCCGCCTTAAAATTGGATAATTGAATTACAGTCCTTAGGAACTGAGAATATGTATTCAATGTTACTAATACTTAGGCTCTCCAGAATTTCTCTTCTTCCTGAACACATGGAATATTAAAATTCTAAGCTTTCTTGCAGCATGGTTTGAATGTGTGACTATTTCAAGCCAGTAGACTGTGGAAAAAATTAGTAGGTGTCATTTGTAGGAGGAATTATAGAACAATAGGTGAGGTTTAACCATATTCTCTTCCTGAGTTGCAGCAAATGGCAATAATATTGTTGAGCCCCAGCGAACCTAAATTTATGAATAACTACTTGGAGCATTGTTCCTTACCGTTGCCCATCTCTTTTGCATTAAACATTTAGTGTAGATGAGGAAAAAAAAAAAAAAAACCTTTCCTGATTTAAGACATTGAAGTTTTGGATTACTATATATTTCTGACAGCAAAACTAGCATATTATAATCAACACAACTTGGAATAATTAGAGCTCTATGTTTTCTTTTTATTTAATTTCTGCAATCACAGAAAAAATGTTTACCATATAATATTAATGTAAATATTGTATGATATGCAATTTATTTCTGGTGTGAATCAGAAAAATTCCTTATTATTATTAGTTTGTGAAAATGTAATTAAATTTTGAATTATAAATAACTATGTGTTGCTTATATATTTTCTTTTACATGTAGCTACAAATTTATTTCATGTATTATTTTGGCATAATGTTGAAATAACTATTATAGAACGAGGGTGACAGAGAAAAAGCATTCACTTGTTGACTTACTGTAATAGGTTATAAATTCAGTCATAGGCTCTTCAGCATTCACGTTTAAAATAAAAACTCTTTTAGCAATAATAATGGCATCCTGTTTCTCATTCAAGGTTTCTTGCTAACCAATTTGCATAGACATTTTCAAAAGCAGAAACGAAACAAAACCCAAATTTCTCACATTGTGCTATCAACTGAATATTTGTTTCCCCCTCAAATTTATATTTGAAATATAAAGCTCAATGTGATGGTATTTGGAGGTAAAGCTTCTGGGAAGTGGTCAGGTCTTGACAGGGGAGACTTCTTGAAGGGGATTAGTGCCCTTACAAGGAACTGAAGGGACTAAAGTTCTTCCTTTCTGCTATGTGAGGACACAGGGAGAAAATAACAGTCTATGAGCCAGGAAGCAGGCCCTCACTAGACATGGAATCTGTTGGTACCTTACTCTTGGACTTCTCAGCCTCCAGAAATGTAAGAATTAGAATTAAGTTGTTTTTAAGTCACCAGGTCTATGGTATTCTGTTATAGTAACCTGAGTAGACTAAGACATGTTGCATAGACTATAAGGAAAACAATTATCAATTTTTCAATTCAGAACCAAATATTTGATTTTACAGTACTGAATTTAAACATATTTTATGAAACCATATTTTTTGTATGAGTTGTTGCTTTGAAGATTACATGCATAATTTAAAGAGAATAGCAGAGAGGAACTTTCATTATTTTATGCAGTACAGTAGTCATTCTTAAGATGTTTAAGATATTTTTGTCAAGAAGTTTAATATTTTGTTTCAGGTAATCTGGTTTGATTTACTTTGTGAATGTGAGGGAAGGGGAAGTATATTGTCCTATTCAATTTGATTTTCATTTCATGGACTACAAGTGTAACTAAAGAGTGGCAATTTTAAAACTAAGGCTGTGGTACTCTTATAAAACCCTTCATCCTTTCTCAAATACAATTCTTACAGAGAAGTAAGCCCTAATGTTCTTAGACATGCACTAAACATAATAAATTTACTGCTTCTCTATGCATCTAGAATGATACAACTTATGTACTATCCTTTAAAAGTTGAGAAAATAGTCAAATCATTTTCTTATTCAGTATAATTGAGCAAGTCTGCAAGAATCAGTCCATGTTATCCATAGGATAAGTAAGTCCAAGCTTCTTAAAGTGGCATATAAAAGCCTCACTGACCTGGCCTTGGACACCTTGCCTAGATTTGTCAGCAGCTCCTGACTCTAGCCTACAGTTTTCTAGCTTACAGCTTTCTCCACATGCACTGATGTCTCACTTTTACTACATGCAACATTTTTGTCAGCTCCATTTAACAGCTTAATACACATTCATTTCTTCAAGAAAACTTCATGGATCTCTTTCCCCAACAGGAGGTTAGCTTATAGCCTGTCTGTTATTTCTGAGTTAAGTCTCTTGCAGCAAATGCCAGCCTACACAATTATTTTAATTATTATTGTCTCGTGTCTTTCAAGTGTGGGGGGCATTTGTATAAACCAGAGTCTTTGTACCTGTGTTCCTTTCCCATTTATCTACCACAGGCAAGCATCTTAATAATTGGGAAGCTACATCATGCCAGAGATCAGCACCATGCCAGCAGTTGTCACCATCCTATTTATACCAACAATATGATCCTTGTTGACATCTGACACAATTTTTAAAGCTCATTCTGAAGGACTGTTCTCTAATGCCACTGTTGGTAACTCTCTCAACTTGCAATCCATTCACTCCTCCAGACTGCCAAACCTCCCATGGAAAGAGAATGGTGAGACACAAACTTATATGCAGTTTGTTCATTTGAGAGGCAATCCCAGGAAGCATCAGTGAGTGGGGAAAGTGAGGCATTGAAATAAGGAAAAGGGTGCACCAATGAACATTTCACCACTGTGGGAAACTGGGACTCAATTATATGGGAACACTCTGAGAAACTGCATGGAACACACATCACGATTATACCACCAGAAAACAGAAAGCTGGGGAAATTTTCTATAAATACCAGCACCTAGTAGTTGAGGGCGTCTTCTCATGTGGGTATGTTAATTTCCTTAGTTTCCACCTTGAGTCTATAGTGGTAGGTGGAATAAAGTTGCAAAGTGCTGAAAAATGTGCAGGCAAGGGGTTTCCAATGAAGCTAACAGCCTACTGATTACTTTGGATCATAAGTGCAGGTGAATTCAGGTGGGATGAGCTGATACAGATCATGACATTAACAGTATCTGCTATACTGCCCCAAGATACTTCGGATAATGTCACATATTTATAACTATTGATATTATATTTTCCATGCTAGACTGGAAAATCTGAGAGAAAATTACATATGATAATCCTTGGCCTATGGTGTTCAATATGATAACTGTCCACAAGTCCTAGTGATTAAATTTCCTAATTGTCCTACAATCCTACATATTTCATTATTATTTTCTACCTGAATACTATAATACCTTCATACCTGATTTCCTATCGCTTGTCTTGTTTTCCTCAGTCCAACTTCTTCATTGTTGTAATGGTGTTCATTTTTAAAAGTTCAACTATATCAAGATTCTATTGCTTAAAGTCCTTAAAATGACATGCAAGTTCCTTATATTCTATATTAGCAGCTACTGTTTATTAAGTCTATAAATATAAGACCAATTCAAAGAACATAGCATAATCTTATAAAATTACCAATTATAAGAAAATAATTACAAGATTATATGAAAATATCTGTCTTTGGGAGAAGAACAAATTTTAAGGAGTATTGCTCTTTGAAATATTTGTATGTCAACATAGACCACAGCAGACTCTAGCAAAACTTGACTTCCTGTAGCATAAGTAACATATTTCTCTGGATCTAGTCCCTGCCTATTACTTTAGGACCTTACCAACGTAACACTTCACAACATTTCCTCCAATACTGCTGAGTATTCTTTATGAGTAACCCCTGTTAATCTATGAAACTGATCTGCCAACCCCCATGAAACATAACAGCCTCTGTAGATGCCACTGATCAAGGTGTCCACCAAATATGACAAGTGGAGAAATGCTGTATTTCTTGTTTTGTCTTATTTTATTGAAAAAATAGTATTTTTATATGGATAAATTGTTCAGCATTTCCCTCTGAAAATATAATATATTAAGCTTTTATTAAAAGACCTCTCTCTAGAAAACACATTAGTCCATGAGAAGTTCAACAGGGAACAGATGAGAGAGGCCGAGCTCTGCTCCTCTCAGAAACTCCTTCTTTTTAATGCTGAGGGTGTTGTAACTCCTCTATACCTTTCAAATGCTTATCAAGAGGCTTTCGGCTGCTGGGTCCATCAGTTTATAAAACATAGTCATATCTACATCTCAGGGGACAATGTGGCTGAATTTCTACTGTATTCTCAACTGGAAATTATGTTATTAATGGTTTATATTACAGTATAAAATTAAGTATCAAAAGTACAGTATCTTATATAATCTCAAAAATTTCATGTTACTCTCCAATCCATATCTGAATGCAAATAAAATATACACTAATTTGTGAAAGTTAAAAATGAAAAGAGAGTTTACAAGAATAAGCGATTTAGTTCTCAAACATTTAAAAGCCTATTCTGAATGCGTACTTTTCTTATAATACATAACTAGGTATGTGAAATATACATTACTGTATGCTGGAAAGCTTGTGCTTTTTTTTAGGTAGAAGAAACTAGAGGCACATGACTGACTGCAGATCAATTCAGAAGCATGTGTTCATTTTCAGAGGATATATAGTCATGGTTGAACAATGGTTTAATCTCTTCAATGGAAGCTGCCCACAGAAATCTACAAAGCCGTATTTGCCACATTTCTGCCAGGAGTGGCATAGAATTTAGAGAGCTGGGATTGTATCTTTTAGAAGTCAAGCTCTCTAGCTCAGTTAATAGATTGTTGCATTTGAAAATGCCTTATCCTACTGTGGAACAAACGAGATATCCTTCAAAGGGAAAACCTATAATGGTTCCTTGTCAGAGAGGTCATGAAGAGGATTTTTGTTTTAGAATACATAACCCTTAATATCCCTTGCTGCCCTAAGTTTCTCTGAATTAATGTTATTTTCTGGCCGTTACTCGTGTCTCTGACATGATTTATTTTCAATTTATGTGCATGTTTGCTATATAACTTGCTCTGGGTTACCTTCAATAAAGGAAATGTGGTAGGTAAATAATGAAAGTAACATTACAGTAAGATTTTTAACATAGAACACTGAACCCACCAAGAGAAGAGGATATTACTGTAGCCAGTCAGAGATGTAACCACGTAACAGAAAATTTACAAGGTGGGTCATTCAAAACCAGGTAACTAAAGCATTACTAGACTGGATTTTGGAGTTTGAGTAGAAAGATAACAGAATTTAGCTTGTATGAATGCTTTTATGTGATTTTATGATTTATCCCAGCAACATGAATATGAGGCATTGGAAAGCTGGTAATATCAGGGAGATGCTGCTTGTCAGATAGAGTAAAAGAACTTCAGAAATTATCTGCATTCTGTATTACATCTCTGAAATCCAAATTTCCACTAAAATTAGTCAGAACATTTCACTAATAGAAAATGTCCTCAGAGCTGGAACACAAGGAAATATTGGATATTGAGTAATGAGTCTTGGTTCAGGCACTTTTAAAAATGCATTACTTTAAACTACTGATGTTACTTTGTCGTCTGCAAAGTGGGATTATTAACTAGCTTACTAAAGTCATTATGAGGAATTAACTAATTAAATGTGAAAATGGCTGGTATATTTGAGGAAACTCAGTGTTAGGTGAGTCTTAAACTGTTAGCTAATCATGAAAAAAGTATATTATTGTTTTATAAATAGGGAATTTTGAATCATTCTTGACATGCATGCTTTAAAATAAGCACTAGGGCATTTTTACTCCTTAAAAGGAAATATTTTTTATTTACATGAAGGTTACTCAGCAGCACCTTTATTGCATCTTGTAATCCTGCAGTATCATTAGCATTACTACATCTTCACCTCAATCTTTACCATAATCCTCTCCTGGGGCTTGTGTGCCATCTGATGCAATTTCATTATTTCTTCAAAGTACATCCCACATTTACCGATCTCTTAATACATCCATAAACCTGGTCACAATGTATCCTTACCCATTCTCTATGTGTAGCTAAAAAAAAAAAAAAAAAAAAAAAAAAAAAAAGAAATGGGCTTTGACTCAGGATAGAATGAGTCTGAATTATGTGAGGCATAGTTTTAGGTTGGGGTAAAGGGGAGAATTAGAACATGTGTTATGCATACATTACATGATTTGAAAGCAAGCAAAATAACCAAAAGCAGCATTCTTTTTTTTTTTTTGAGACGGAGTCTCGCTCCGTCGCCCACGCTGGAGTGCAGTGGCGCGATCTCGGCTCACGCAAGCTCCGCCTCCTGGGTTCACGCCATTCTCCTGCCTCAGCTTCCCGAGTAACTGGGACTACAGGCGCCCGCCACCACGCCCGGCTAATTTTTTTTATTTTTAGTAGAGACGGGGTCTCACCATGTTAGCCGGGATGGTCTCCATCTCCTGACCTCGTGATCAGCCTGCCTCGGCCTCCCAAAGTGCTGGGATTACAGGAGTGCAAAAGCAGTATTCTTAAGTTTGATCGTACTTATTGGACATATCAAAATGTCCTAATAATTATACATATATATTTAGCAGTTGGGTTGAAAGCTGTTGACACAGAGGCTAGTAGGTATAGGCTAGTTGGCATTAATAAGTTATTATTGCCACTATGAAATGAGTGAATATTAATTATTATTGGGGTTTCTTGAACTATGGTAGCTTTCCCCAAGTAAATTTATGCATACTGATTTTATATTCAGGCAAACAACACCATTCCTTGAAAATGGTAATTCCATGTTGAAGAGGATATATTTGCAAACAGATGACAATTCTTCGTGTATGCAGAATGCACACACATGGACTTTCCTAAAATATGAATGATGCCTGGTTCATGAATAAATTTCAGAATTACAATATTTATCTTTGGTAGGTTCTCTCACTGTTTATTTCACATTGATTAATAAGTTCGTGAGACAAAAGCGTGTGTCTCAAGACTTTTTAGTTCAAAATCAAAGAGACAGGAATTTAAATCTAGACTGGATCTTATTAGTTGTACCCTTTGGGCAAATTACTTGTTCTCGGAGTCTCAATGTCTTTCATCTCAAAATATATAGTAATATGGACTTTCCTAACAAACAAGTTTTCTAAACACTGATTTAGAGGATAACTAAAAAGGCCTGAGAAATAATAGGTAAGTACTAGTCATAGATTTCCTCAATAGGCAGAAACCAATTCATTTATTGATGATAATATTTTTATAACTGTATTGAATTAAGAATGATTACCTTGTTTTAAAAACTGATCTACTGTAACTTTATAATACTGACATAATAGTAATAGCTAATTTATTACATAACTTCATTATATACACAGTAATTTTGCATACATTATTTCATTTTATAAGTAAACAAAGCTTATGAGGTTAATTAGTAATGTAAAAATAATTACATAATTTCACAAGTCAAAAAAACTGAAACTCATAAATAACTTGACTAGAATGACAAACATATTGAGTGACAGAGTTAGGACAAAAACCCAGGTATTATTTTCCCATTTTATTGATTCCATCAAAATATGCCTTAAGTTGGAATAATATTTGAGTTTTGGGAAAATAATTCTTAGCAAAATAATTCTCGCTACATAAAGACAGTAAAACAGCAAAATGTCTAAGCATTGTCAAGAAGTTTCCACGAGTGATCAATTACAAAGAATCAATGACAGTGTAACTAAAGATAATCCTTCTCTTATTACTTTTATATTAGTGAAGAAATATGTTCGTGTATTTTTCCAGTTTCATACTCTGAAATTAATTTGTTATATAGACAACTTAGGAATTTTGGGCTATTTTCTAATACATGACAGTATTCATGCATAAATTAGTATTTACTTTACAAGTCAACTTTTTACATTCATTGAGTGAGTTGGTAATTGTGAATTACAGCTCACAATCTGAAATAGGTGAAGTAATTTGAAATGAATTGTTTAATTTTCAGGACAGAAAAATCAAAATGAAGGTGGACTTTGTATGTTAGTATGATAGAAGAGTCAACTCATATATATATATGTTACATATATATGTTATATATATATATATATATATATATATATATATATATATATATAAAACAAACCAGACCCTATTTCCTTTGTACTCTGTTATATTTCTGTATTCTATGTTCTGTAATAAAGTGAAAGAAACAATGGGTGCTTCACATACTTTGAAATAAAAGTCAATTTTAAAGACAAAAAACTGATTATTAAAATTTTTCTGAACTTCCTTATCCTCAGTAGAGGTTATTATAAAATCTGAATGGCATACCTATTTTATACCTTGTAAGTCTTCATACACATGATATTTTACATTTTTAAAGACTTATTATTAGAAATCCAAATTAAATATCTATTAAAAGTTCAATCATGATACAACCTGACAGTGGCCAAGGGAATTCTCAGTAGCTTAAAAAGCATGAGGAATATCAGCATAATAATATGTGTGAAGCACGAGCTTATAAGTGGACAAAAGTAAGAGAAAGTTAATGTTATCCATGTATGCTAGTATATACACATACGCTATACATGTATTCATATTTATGCATTGTCTTTTGTGCCAGATAATTACTTTGATTCTGCTTCATTTGAGGTTATCTTAATAACTAAAATGAAAGTTATTAAAACAGATTTGCCTGGATGAATCTCAAAGTATATTCATTGCTTTAGGTCAATTTTAGAGTTTCTAAAGTATACCATTGCTGGTCAGGGGAACACCTCAGCATAAACAAACCAATATGAGTGGGAATTCTTCCCCAGCACAAGGCATCATTCCACAGACAGGGAAAATTAATGTTTATTGAGTACTTATCATGTGCCAGGCACTGTGCTAAATGATTTGATTACTGTTTTTTTTTTTTTTTTCCATTTACTTCTCACCTAGCCCCTAAAGTATAAATATAGTGCTTTTTTTGTGTGTGTGCCAGTTACATATGGCTTGCAAATAGTTTGACTTAAATTTGCTCAGGTTTCTTTCTTTGCCTTATCTCTACCTACCGTCTATATCTTCCTTTATAGAGTGAGGGCTGTGGGGAGCGATGTGGTAGTGCTTGACGACTGAATAAACTGGCTTATGCCAATGTTTGAATTCAGCAAGTTTGAGTGGAAGCGCCCATGTAGACCAGGAATGGAATTTTAAAAACCCACTGAAACAAAAGCCTAGGAAACACCAGGGTTCAAGTCTGGGATACTGCAATTAGTATGCAAGTCCCACAAGAAAAAGAAAACAATATCAGGGAAATAAAAACAATAAAAGATAGACTGGTTGATGATAGTTGAAATTGGGTTGGATTAGAAGTAGGACAAAAACAAATTAAAATACATGAGAACAGCGCACAGAACTTGGGAAAGGTATCTGAAGTTTCATACTTAGGGAAGTAGCTATTTCAACTATCCTTGAAGAATAGTTGTGGATAACATTAAACCAAAATTAAAAATTCATGGTTTTACCTCTACATTAACCATTAAAACAATGGCTTATGCCTTCGTTCTCAGCAAACTAACACAGGAACAGAAAACCAAAACCGCATCTTCTCACTCATAAGTGGAAGCTGAACAATGAGAACACGTGGACACAGGGAGGGGAACATCACACACCGCAGCCTGTTGGCGGGTGGGGCGGGGCAAGGGGAGAGAATGCATTAGGAAAAACACCTAATGCATGTGGTCTTAAAACTTAGAAGACGGGTTGATAGGTGCAGCAAACCACCATGGCACATGTATACCTATGTAACAAACCTGCATGTTCTGCGTACATACCCCAGAACTTGAAGTAAAATAAAAATAAAAATAAGAAAATGGCTTATGAGTTTATAAGTTCTGTGCTGTTTATTCTCTGTCATATTCAAGATAGATCAATTTTCTATCGTTCTTTGTCTTGTTTTTTTACTCAAAAGAGCTGACCTTACATGGACATTCTTGCCCTCTACGTTCTTGTTGGTTTTGTTAAATGGAGGACACTGGCAACAGGTCTGAGGTGAAGAGAATATAATATGAGTATGTACCCCCTGTTCCCATTATTCCTGCCAGTTGTTACATCCTTCTAAGGCTACACATTGGGCAGCCCTATTTAGTGACTGCAGGATCCAGCAGCTCTAATTCCTCTCCTGCTACATGCAATCCGTTGTTCTTCTCTGGTTCCCTGAAACTGGTACACAATAAAATAAATCCCTTAATTACAGTATTTTCAAAATTAAAAACCTGATTTTCTTCTAAGATACTGATTGATAAAAATTTCTACCTAGAAATGGAAACAGAATAGCGAGAATAATTAAAATAAAATAAGGTAAGAAAAAGTAAAGATAACAAAAAAACCGGTCAAACAGCAAACAAATACAAATATACAAGTAATTAGACTAAATGTTTATGGACTAAATCATCCAGTTGAAAAAAACTAAGATTAACATACAGAAAAAAAACTAACAAGTGAGCAATCTGTTAAAAAAAAGATTCATACACATTACTGAATACAGGTTGCTGGAAAGATGCTCAGTTAAATACTTGAACATATAAATAGCAACGTAAGTGAGTTAATCTAGTTGTGGTACTTTGTGAAAATCGCCAAAATATCTCACTACCTGGAATTTGCACCCCTGCAAAGTAAAATTGCAGATCTTCTCATCAAGAAGTGGAGTCTACTTTCTCGATCCTTGAATCTGGCCTTGAGACTTATTTTGGGCAAAAGGACATTGACAAATATGATATGAGCAAAGCCTTTAAAAGCACAGTACTCTGAGGTTTGCTCTTTTCCGGTCTTGGGAACTCTTGTAAACATATGTCAATGAGCCCGACCTAGCCTGCTGGAGAGAGGAGGCCCCATGGTAAAGAACAGAAAGAGCGGTCATCCAGCCCCTAGATTAACTAGAAACAGATTAAATATATAACTGTGAGCCTATCTGAGAACATTTGTGTGAGCCTGGTACAGACCAGCAGTACAGTGGTCCATTTGAGCCCAGGTCACTGCTAATCCACAGAATGACTAGGTAATAAATAACCATTGATGTGTAAAGCCACTAACTTTTAGAGTAATTTATACAACCAAAGTTAACTGATACAGTAATTAGGAATAGTTACTGCGGATACATCTAGAATCATTATTATAATAGAAAAAGAAGAAAATCTGGTTTGGAGAAGACAAAAGTTATTTCCAAATTAAAAATATTTTTTTTCTGAGTAGATTGTAGGATGTTTATTATGTAAGAGTAAGGCTATTTCTCTTTGAATAATTTACAATCTCTATACATATTTTTATCAGCTTTAAAATAAAGAAGTTGAAGTAAGATTATCATTATCGTCTCTAATATTCCATGGCAGTTTATGGCAGCAAAGTCACCATAGATATTGACTTTTATGATGAACTTCTAAGTCACAGCCCATAAGCAAGAAAGTATTGAAAAAGGAGCAGTGATTCTGCGCCTCAGCTCTCTATCTAGAATGTAACTGAAGTGTTGTACCAAAATTTATGGTCACAATAGTTCTGCATTACTTCTACTTTTCTGCTAATAAAATAAGACTCTAGCTCTTAAATATTTGTATTAGGTTCTTCAACTTCAAATTATTAGAATTTTGTTAAGATATGGTAATAGCAAGGGCAAAGTTGATAGAGAAAGATAAAGAGGATAGGAGGTATTCAATCCTTTTTGGAGTTTACAGAAATCTTTATTGCACTAAGTCAGCCTCATAAACATACACTGTCACCCTCATAAACGCACTGCATTCCATTATTATCAGTAGTAATATAACCAGGATGTCATTCGAAAAGTAGATGTCTAGGTTCTTTCTCCCACTTTCTTAAGGGGCATTTCTGAGTATTAGGAATTGCCAAAAATGTTTCTGAACCTTTAGTATACCTTTGAATCATCTAAATTCTTGGGACCTGAAATTAAATAAGGATATACTAGGTGTAAGATGTGAGTTTAATCCATACTTTTACAAAGAATTACCAGTAATAAAATTACATGAGGAATATTATTTCAAATAGCTTTTCATTAGTTGCATTAATTGACGGCTCCTAGGTAACATACTTAGAGGAGTACCTCACTGTAGAAAGGGCCTAAGTGATATTTGTCATTGACTTGATGAATCACTTAGATCTATTCTCTTTTGGAATGGGCAAGACAATGTTATTTTGAATTTTTAATGTGAAATTAATTCTTTCTAAATAAACACACACTTCATATACTTCATATATATATAAGTATAAAGGAACATTAAATTTTGTTTCATCTAGTTGTCATAGAAAGGAAACTAAATGCAAGTAAAATAAACTAAAAGGTTACGTACCAGTCTTACTGAATGATTAAGACTGCTAAAACTTTGATAATTTATAAGAGATTCAAAATAAAATTTCATTCATTAATAGAGGGCCAATTAAATTGTTTCTATAGTGATGGAAGCATATTTATTGCTCACTCTTTCTACATTGTAGTGCAATATCTGTACTTAATATATACTTAGTGGGTTATATATTTCTTGCTGACAAGAATAAATACGAATAGCTGCATTAGATATAATCCCCTTCCTCAGAAAATTTTAAATGTTACATAAATCGATATATTGATTTTATTATACTGCTTACAGATCATTGGTCTCTCAAACTCGTGATGAAAAATGTGGCACAGCCTCTCTTTTATTAAAATATTGGATATCCTTATTTTGTAGGTGAAAATTTTTTAATAATGCTTTCCCTTTCCTCTTGGCCTTAGATTTCTAAGCTGTTTAAGATTAAAAAAAATCACAGGGATCAACTAGTTATTTACCAAAATGTATAATATGTCATCTCTTGAAAATAGCACCAAAGACATTAGTGTAATCTCAGCTAACAACTTGCGAATCATATTTAAAATGTAATTAAAAATCTAAATCTTGAAAAAAGAAAGAACCTCTAAAAATTAATAAGTTACCAATATGTTCACCACCATACCTTCAAAAATTTCTGTCATTAAGAAAATATTTTAATTTTGACTATACAGATTTCTCATTTGCTACTATACTACAGTATTTATGGTATAGAATTTAATAAACTTTGTAATTTTCTTCATCATAGTTTGCTGTTAGCTGTAAAATAATTTATAAAAGTTCTGTTAAAGAATATATTAAAAAGCTAAGTATATTGATAAGTGCATGATTAAATCTGAAATCCTCTTAATATTTATTTGTATTATTTGGGACATCTTTCTATAGGAAACTCAGGCAGACTGTTGGAGAGAAGTGATCAAGGATGTCATTCACAATAACCAAGGTTGCCTCTCACTAACAATTTAATATGGCTACTTCAAGTTTTTCACTATAGAAGAGACAAGGTCAATTACTTAAATGAATAAATCAGAAATCAGATTGAATTTACCATCCAAAGTTTCCTTCACCCTTCAAACAGAAATTTAAGTCAAATTAACATAATGTTATAGGGTTCTCAATACAATCTAAATAATAAATAAAACACACATAGTATTCCACAATTAATGAGATTTACTTTTTAAAACATATTAAACATTTACTTCATTCCAAACAGCACACCACTCTATGTGAGTTTACATATTTCAAAACTAAATCATTATTTCAAAACTAAACCAAAAGCTTTCCTCTACTTTTAAAAATTGCATTTGATGCCTTCCATTATAACTCTTAAGTGTCTGTGTCATGGTAGAGCTCACTTTACCACAGGTACAGATGACTAGAGTGTGGTTTAAAAAGTTACATGTTTTCACCAAGGACTTGCAGTACTAAATGCTGGAGTTGGATCTATCAGATATTGCTAGGAAATGCTACAAAATAAACAACCTAAAATTTTTGGTGACTTAGACATCAAATTGTTATTTCTCTGTCACGTCACCTTTGTCTGCTGTGACTTTGCTTTAGGATGCAGTCCAGGTTTAGGTCTGCATAGTATGTTTTCAGATTTTGTTACCCCAATGTGCAGAACTTTGTGGGACGTATCCTTCTCATAGGCACAGGGCACAGGAACAGAAAAGGCCATGAAAACTTGCAGTGCATCTAAAATGTGTGTTTGGATGTGGTGTAGATTCCTTTCATTCACATTGTGTTGGCCGAAGCAAGATAGTCCTTCAAAATCAAAGAGAATTAATAATTGAAAGTATGGGGCAGAATTGTATAATCTGCCTGTAGAGAAAGAGTCAATAATTAAGGACAGTAATACGATCTACCATTCAAAGTTTCATAAATACATTTTCTGGCCATACACCTATTTTTTGCATAGAATCGCTGCTCTGTCCACGGTGATGTATATGATATGAGGTATTTCGTATCTGCTCTTTCCACTGTGAGATATATAGAGTGCTAGGGTTTGGAAATCCTAGGGGAGGTTTAGTTCTGCTTTACCAATGAGCATTCATAAAGGAATTTTCCATTAAAAATTAAAACATAGGACCCAAGCAAGTTATAAAATAAATTGTACATTTCCTAGGAATTCAGAGAAAGAAAAAAATATTTTTTTCTGCAGATGGAAGAAGATGCTACATTGAGGAAGTGGAAATTGAATTTTTAAGAAATGATGAATTTTTATTGGCAGAGAAGAAATAAGAAGATATTTAGGTGCAAAAAGAGCATAGATATGCCTGAAATGACCTTGATAAACATGGATAGCACTATGGAGATTTATTCAACTCACAGAGAAGGTTTGTGTTGTATAATTAGAAAATGTAATCAAATAGGTAAGTTAGAATCAGTCATTGCAGAACCTCAAATAGAAGGAAATGATATGAATTGATTCATAGGCAATAGCAATCTTCCCTCCCAAAAGCATAACCAAAATAATGACATGATTGATAACAACACGTCATTAGATTTACCCTTTAATGATTGTTATTTTTTCATCACAGTTTTATGGAAATTTATCTCAAAGTTTATGTAAAGTATTCTTAAAACACTAAAAATTAAAACAAAAATATTTTAAGAATGAGTTGGTTTTGTGGTACAAAAATTTGTTTGATATAAACTAACATTGTTTGCTTAGAATGTTTATAATATTCATCACATTTCTTGCTGATTCACTTTTAAAATTTTATTTTTAAATATATAATAGATTTACATATTTGGGGGTACATACGATAATTTAATATATTCATATAATTTTTAAATATCAAATCTGTATAATTTGGATATCCATCACCTTAAATATTTATCTTTTCTTTACACTAGAAACATTCAAATTATTCTCTTCTAGATATTTTGAAATTTGCACTAGATTACTGTTAACTATAGTCACCTTACTGACCTGTGAAAGACTAAGTCTTATTTCTTCTATCAAACTATGTTTGCACCCATTAGTCAAGTTGTCTTTATTCTCTGTTTTCTCCTACTCTTTTTAATAAGCACCAATCTATTCTCTATCTTCATGAAATCCACTTTTTTAGTTTCTCCACATGAGTGGGAACATGTGATATTTGTCTGTCTATGCTTGGCTTATTTTACTTAACATAATGACCTTTAGTTTTATCTATGTGCCTGCAAATGAAGTGCGTTTCATTATTTTTTACAGCTGAATAGTATTTCATTGTGTTTATATATCACATTTTCTTTATCTACTTATCCATTGAATGGGAATTTAGGTTGATTCAACATTTTGGCCATTGTGAATAGTGCTGCAATGAACATGGGAGTTTAGGCATCCTTGTGAAATACTGCTTTTTTTTCTTTTGGATATATACCGAGTAGTGAAGTTGTTATATCATATAGTAGTCCAATTTTTGATTTTTGAGGAATTTCCATATAGTTTTCCACAGTTTCTTTACTAATTTACTTTCCCACTAACAGTGTACGAGGTTTACCTTTTCTCCACTTCCTCATCAGTGTTTGTTATTCCCTGTCTTCTCGATAAAAGACATTTTAAGCTGGCTGAGATGATATCTCATTGTGATTTTGATTTTCATTTCTCTAATGATTGATGATGCTGAGCATTTTTTATATATCTGTTGGCTATTTTTGCGTTTTCTTTTGAAAATATCTATTCAGACCTTTTGCCTATTTTTAACCAGATTATTATTTTTTTATAAAGTCATTTGAACTCCTTACATATTTTGATTATTAATTCCTTATCAGATGGACAGTTTGCAAATACTTTCTCCCATTTTTTGGGTTGTCTTTTAACTTTTCTGATTGTTTTCTTTGCTATGAAGAAGCTTTTTAGCTTGATGTTATCTCATTTGTCTATTTTTGCTTTTGTTGCCTATGGTTTTGAGGTCCCAAAAAAAAATGTTTGCCCAGATCAGTGCCCTCGAGGATTTTGGTGATGTTTTATTCTATTAGTTTCATGGTTTTAGGGCTTAGATTTAAGTCTTTAATGTTTTTTATTTTATTTTTATATATGGTGAGAAACTGTGGTCTAGTTTCATTCTTCTGCGTATGGTTGTCTGGTTTTCCCAGAAATATTTATTAAAGAGACCATCCTTTCCCCATTGTATGTTCTTGGCACCTATGTCAAAAATGAGTTGGCTGTAAATGCATTGATATTTATCTGGATTCGCTATTATATTATATTTCATTTAGACTATGTGTCTGTTTTTATGCCAGTACCATGCTGATTTGGTTACTAAAGCTTCGTAGCATATTTTTGAAGTCAGGTAGTATGATGCCTCCAGCTTTGTTCTATTTGCTCAGGATTGCTTTGGCTACTCAGGGTCATTTGTGATTTCATATCAACTTTAAGATTTTTTTCTATCTCTGTAAAGAATGAAATTGGTATTTTGATAGGGATTGTATTGAATCTGTGAGTTGCTTTAGGAGTATTGGCATTTTAATAATATTTATTCTTCCAACCAATGTGCAAGTAATACCTTTCAATTTGTGTGTGTGTGTGTGTGTGTGTGTGTGTGTGTTCTTTTCAATTTATTTCCTCAGACTTTTATTTTTTCTTTGTATAGACCTTTCACTTCTTTGGTTAAGTTGCTTTCTAGTTATTTTATATTCTTTCCAGCTATTGCAAATGGGATTCCTTTCTTGATTTCTTCTTCAGAATGTTCGCTGTTGATGCATATAAATTCTAGTGGTTTTTTTGTGTGTTAATTTTGTTTCTTGAATTTATTTAGTCATTCTAACAGTTTTTTGGTGGGCTTTAGGTTTTTCTGTTTGTTTGTTTCTTTGTTTTTTGAGATGGAGTCTCACTCTGTCACCCAGGCTGGAGTGCAGTGGCACGATCTCGGCTCACTGCAAACTCCACCTCCTGGATTCACGCCATTCTCCTGCCTCAGCCTCCTGAGTAGCTGGGACCACAGGTGCCTGCCACCAGGCCGGCTAATTTTTTGTATTTTTAACAGATACAGGGTTTCACCATTTTAGCCAGGATGGTCTTGATCTCCTGACCTCGTGATCTGCCTTCCTAGGCCTCCCAAAGTGTTGGGATTACAGGCGTGAGCCACTGCGCCCAGCTGGTGGTCTTTAGGTTTTTCTAAGTTTAAAAGATCATGCCATCTGTAAAGAAGGTTATTGTGATTTCTTTTTCAATTTTGATGTGCTTCATTTTTTTTGTCTTGCCTAATTGCTATGGTCAGGACTTACAGAATTCTGTGGAATAAAAGTGGTCTTTCACTTTTCAAAGGTGGACACCCTTGTCTTGTTCCAGATCTTAGAGGAAAGACTTTTAATTTTTTTCTGTTTGGCAAGATGTTAGCTGTGAGCTTTTCATATAGGGCTTTTGTTATTTTGAGATATGTTCCTCCTACACTTGGTTGAGGAATTTTGCCATAAAGGGATGTTGAATTAAATGCTTTTCCAGCGTCTATTGAAATTATCAAATAGTTTTTGTTCTTGGTTCTGTTTATATGATGTGTCACATTTATTGATTTGCATATGTTGAAACATTCTTGCATTTCTGGCATGAATTCCACTTGATCGTGGTGAATAATCTTTTTAATGTGTTCAATTTGCCATTATTTTGTTGGGAATTTTTGCATTCATGTTCGTAGAAAATATTAAACTGTAGTTTTCTTTTTTTGTTGTGTCCTTGTCTGGTTTCGGTATCAGGGTAATGCTGGCCTTGGATAATGTGTTTGGAAGTGTTCTCTTGTCTTTAACTTTCTTTATAATTTGGATAGAATCGTATTATTTCTTGTTTAAATGTTTGATAGAATTCAGCAATGAAGCTATCAGGTATCAAGCTTTTCTTTGGTGAAAGCCTTTTTATTACGGCTTTGATCTCATTGCTTGTTATTGGTTTGTTGAGGTTGCCTATTCCTTCATGGTTCAATCTTAGAATGTTGTATATGTCCACTAATTTATCTATTTCTTTTCAGGTTTCCAAATTGTTGGCATATAATTGTTGTAACAGTTTCTAATGATTATTTGGATTTGTGTGGTGTCAGTTGTTATGTCCTCATTTTGCTCCTGATTTACCAAGATCTTCTCTCTCTTTTTCTTAGTCTAACTAAAGTTTGTCAATTTTATTTATCTTTCAAAAAATCCTTTCTTTGATCTTCTGTACTTTGTGTCTCAATTTCATTTATTTCTATTGTGATATTTATTATTTCTTTTCTTCTACTAATTTTGGGCTTTTTTTTTCTTGCTTTTCTAGTCCTGTTAGGTGCATCATTAGATTGTTTATTTAAAGCCTCTCTACTTTTTTTTTTTTTTTTTTTGAGACAAGTTCTCATTCTGTCACCCAGACTGGAGTGCAGTGGCGCTATGATGGGTCACTGTTGCTTCAATCTCCTGGGCTCAAGTGATCCTCCCAGCTCAGTGTCCTAATTAGCTGGGGCTGTAGCCATATACCATCATGCCAGGCTATTTTATTTTTATTTTTTTAGAGGTGGCGTCTTGCTGTTGCTCAGACTAGTCTAGGACTCCTAACCTCAAGCAATCCTCATGCATCAGCCTCCCAAAATGTTGTGATTACAGGCATGAAGAACTACACCCAGACTTTACTTTTTTCACACAGGCATTTATTGCAAACATCTTCTCTCTTAGTAGTGGTTTTGTCTATCTCATATATATTTTGAGATGGAGTTTCACTCTTGTTGCCCAGGCTAGAGTGCAATGGCATGATCTTGGTTCAACGCAACCTCTGCCTCCCAGGTTCAAGTGATTTTGCTGCCTCAGCCTCCCAAGTAGCTGGGATTACAGGCATGCACCACCATGTCCAGCTAATTTTTTTGTATTTTTAGTAAAGGTTGGGTTTCTTCGTGTTGATCAGGCTGGTCTCAAACTCCTGACCTCAGGTGATCTGCCCACCTCAGCCCCCCAAAATGCTGGGAATACAGGTGTGAGCCACCACACCCAGCTGTATCTCATAGATTTTGGTATGCTGTTTTTCATTTTCATTTGTTTCAAAATTTTTTTTTTAATTTCCTTCTTAATTTCCTCATTGACTCATTGGTCATTCAGGAGTATGTTCTTTTATTTCCATGTTTGTGTGATTTTCAGTGTTCTTCTTGTTTTTGATTTCTAGTTTTATTCAATCATTGTCAGAGAAGATAGCTGCTATGATTTCTGGTATTTTGGATTTGTTGAGACTTGCTTTGTTGTGTAAGATATGGTCTATTCTGTAGGATATTCCATGTGCTAATAAAAAGAATATACATTCTGCAGCAGTTGAGTGAAATGTTCTGTAAATGGCAGTTAGGCCTATTTGGTCTAGTGTGTAGTTCAACTCTGATATTTCTTTGTTGATTTTCAGTCTGGATGATCTGTGCATTACTGAGTGTAGAGTGTTGAAATCCTCTACTATTTCTATCTTGCAGTCTTATCTCTCCCTTTAAAACTATTAATGTTTGTTTTATATACTTGGAAGCTACAGTGTTGGGTGCATATATGTTTATAATTATTATATTTTCTTGCTGAATTGACCACTTTATACGTATATAGTGACTCACTTTGTCTCTTTTTAGTCTTTGACTTTTAGTCTATTTTATCTGATATATACGTATAGCAACTCCTGCTCTTTTTGGTTGCCATTTGCATGGTATACCTTTCTATCCATTCACTTTCAGTCTATATGTACCATGATAGATGAAGTAGGTTTCTTGTAGGCAGCATATAGTTGGGTGTAGTTTTATTTATCCGTTCAGCCAGTTTATGCCCTTTAACTGGAAAACCGAGTTTGTTTACATTTCATTTTATTGTTGATAGGTAAAGACTTACTACTGCCATTTTTGGCTGCTTATTTTCTGGTTGTTTTGTATTTTGCTGCTTATTTTCTGGTTGTTTTGTATCTCCTCTTTGCCCTTCTTCCTGTCTTCCTTTGCTGTTACATGATTTTTTCTTGCTGTATGTTCTATCTGTTGCTTTTTATTTTTAGAGAATCTATGATAGGTTTTTGCACTGGGCTTACCTAAGGCTTACACAACTCTCATAACAAGTTATTTCAAAGAGAACAACTTATCTTAGATCACAAAGAAAAAAAATTTTAATCAATTAAAAATGAAAAAACAAACCCCTACATTTTAACAAACTCTCCCCGCATTTTAACTTTATGTTGCCTCGATTTTAATATTTTTATATTGTCTATCTCTTAACAGGTTGCTGTAAATATGATTGTTTTTGATAGATTTTTATTTTAGTCTTCATACTAGAGTTATGAGTGGATTACACACCACAATTACAGTATTAGAGTATTCTGGGTTTGTCTATGCACTTATTTTTACCAGTGGGTTGTACACCATCAAATGATTTCTTTTCATATGTTAATATTTTTGCTTTTCTCTCAGATTGAAGAACTCCCTTTTAGCCCTTTTTATAAGATGCATATGGACTGATGATGGTTAATTCTCTCAGCTTTTGTTTGCTTAGAAAGACTTTATCTTAGATAAATGAGCTGGATACAGTATTGTTGGGTGGCAATTGTTTTGTTTTGTTTTCAGTACTTTAAAAATGTGATCACATTTCCCCTGGCTTGTATAGTTTACATTGAGAAGTCTGTTGCCCAATGAATTGGAACTCTTTTATATATTATTTGCTTCATTTTTCTTGATGCTTTTAGGTTTCTCTTTTTGTTCTTGACTTTTGAAAATGTAATTATTACATGCCTTGGGGTAGTCTTATTTGAGTTGAATCTATTTGTTGTTCTCTAACCTTTCTGTACCTGGATATTTATTTCTTTCTCAAATTTTGGAAAGTTCTCTGTGATTATTTCTTTGAATAAGCATTCTACCCTTTGATTTTTCTCAACTCCCTCTTGAACAATAGTAATTCTTAGTTTTGGTCTCTCGAGGTAATTTTCTGTATCTTTTGGGTGTTTCTACCCATTTTTTCTTAATTTTTTCTCCTCTGGTCATTTTCAAATAGCCAATCATCAAGTACACTGATTATTTCTTCTACTTGATTCATTCTGCTGTTAGAGCCTCTAATGCATTCTTCAGTTCACCAAATGTGTTTCTCAGTTTCAAGATTTCTGGTTTTTTATTATCATTATTTCAATCTCTTTGCCAAATTTCTGTGTTGCTTTTGTGTTATTATGGAGATCACTGAGTTTCCTTAAAACTACTATTTTGAATTATTGATCAGAAAGATAACGTATTGCCATCTTGTTAGGGTCAGTCACTGGTTCCTTGTTTTGTCCATTTGTGGAGGTCATAGTTTTCTGTTTGCTGTCATTTCTAGTGGATGTACATCACAGTCTTTGCATTGAAGGATTAGTTATTTATTTAAGTCCTCTCTATCTGCTTTGCTTTAGTTTGTATTGGTTATGTTTGCTTAGAGATATTTTGAAATTTACCAGTTGATTTTATTTCTCAACTGTATATAACATTTTAGTTTCACCTTAATATTTGTTCTTTGGTACTTTAAGGGTGATGTTTCGTTTTCATCTATTTTTAATTTCTGATAAAGATTTTAGTGTCTTTTCAATTTCTCGTTTTCTGTATGTAATATATGTCTTTATTCTGGCTGCTGTTGGATTTTTTTTCATCACTGGTGCTCAGAAATTTGATTATGATTTGCTCTAGTGTATTTTCTCTTTTTTCATCAGTTATTCTGGGACTTTTGCCAATAAGTCTTTCCTTATCTAATCAAATAATTTTATACCTTTGTCAAAAATAAAATGATTGTATAAACCTGAGTTCAATTCTGGGTTCTTTTTTGGTTGATCCTATGCTGGTAACTGTCTTGATTATGGTAGCTTTGTATTATGCCTTGATGTCAGGTATTGTAAGACCTAAAAATATGTTCTTTTTCAAAAATCCTATTAATAGTCTATTCTGTTTGTAGTCTACATACATTTTAGAACACAATTTTAAATTTCCAACAAAAAATCCTGCAGGGATTATATTTTGGATTGCTTTTAATATACATACATACATTTGCAGAGAATTGACTGTTTAATGATATTGAATGTATGAATAGGCATATTTCTCCATATTTTAGGACTTCTTTAATTTCCCCTTGTAATACTTTTTTAGTTTAGTGTAGAGACGTTGAACATCTTTAAGAAAATTTATTCCTGATTATTCTGGTTTTGAGGCTATTGTGAATGGATTGTTAAATATATTCACAATTCAGTTTTCTATTGCTAGTACATAGAAATGCAATAGATGGATGTATTTTAACTTGGTATACTCTTTTTCTCTAAATTATGTTGTAGTTTTATATATTTGCATGATCATAATACATATAAAAGTCTGTCAAAATTATGTAGAGGAAGATTCATAGATGCAAACTTTTGTAATAGACAAAATTAAAACCATCCAAATGTTTATCTACCATGGAATAGATACATAAATTCTGCAGATTAGTAGAATGTGATACAGCAACAAATATGAATAAACTACTACACACAACAACATGGATATGCTTCCATCTTAGGTCATTTATGCTGATTTCTTAAGTTCTTATTTACTGTGTATGCTTTTTTGTATATGTAAATAAAAGTGTATTTCCTAAATCAGTAATGAACTTTTGGGTAATCTTTATTTTTGAAATAAATCACACTTTTCTGATAAAATATTTAATAATGTGAAAAGTTTATAATAAAGAATTGAGTTGGACACATAAAGAACTGTGGATTAAATAAATATTGCCTCAGGGTTTTCCATTCCCTTTTATATAATTTCTCTGCCAGTTAATCCAGAGCTTACTGTTTGTGTAGAATATCTATGTATCTGCCTAAGGTGACTATATATATGAATTTCTAAAAAAATCAAGGGAATGTATTAAAATATAGTACCATTTAAATATAGATGATTTAGAAGTCTTTTTTTCTTTTTTTTTTGAGAGAGGGTCTCACTCTGTCCCCAAGCAGGAGTGCAGTGGTATGTACATGGCTCACTGCAGCCTCAACCTCCCAGACTCAAGTGATCCTCCTGTCTTAGCCCCCCAGGTGCACACCACCATGCCCAGATAATTTTCCTATTTTTTGTAGAGATGAGGTTTCACCATGTTGCACAGGCTCGTCTGGAACTTCTGAACTCAAGCGATCTGCCCACTTTTGCCTCCCAAAGTGTAGGGACCACAGGAGTGAGCTATGTGATTGGCTCAAAAGTAATTATTTATTTAACTAGAAAAAGATAAATTGAAAATACTTCAGCTGCAATAAATACATACATATTCAGATACATAAAACAGGGAATAATCGGATATTACAGAAAAGTATGAAGTGTTTTATTACTTCTTTACATTGCCTATAAATTCATCAGAAGTTAGTTCATAATTAAATTCGTTTCTCTGTTTAATTTTTACTTATAGATATTGTTATTCTTATTCTTAAAAATATTCCATATAATATTGGAAAAATTATTTCTATTTCAATATAAACTTAATTATTAGCCTCCCCAGAACATCTACATATAGTTCTTCATATCTCATTTTTAAATTTTACATTTTTTTTGTTTTTTTTTTTACTGTTTTTTCTTTTGACACATATTCTCTCAGGTACTTGGCTCTGAGCGTAGCGTGCCGGGGGTGAAACTGAGAATTAAATAACCTCAAAACTGCAAAAACCCTTCAGGCTCATGATATTAGCTAAGCCTTAGCTTAGAGAGCTATTGTCAGTGTCCAAATAAGAAAGCAACTCTCCACTAAAAATATTGTTTATAGTTAAGAACCAGAGACATCATCAGATGGTTAAGACGTGGCACATGCTCAGAATATAAGGAAATAATCTTTCTTCAGCAGAGGGTAATAAACAGACTACATGGGAGTGATAGCATCAGGAATGGTCCCTGAAACTATGGGATCTGTCAAGCAGTTTCTAAAGCAAATTTGGGAAACTTATACAAGCTGTGGACATTAAACCATTGGCAGCCCCTTATGGGCTGATATTAGAATACCTGGCTCATATGTATGAACATTGTATTAATTCTTACCACATTAAAGACAGCTTTCTTGAACACATACCTTCTAATAGAAGAGTTATTCAGTCCAGAAAGCTGCTACATACGTAGAAAGCTTCTACTTATATGTAGAAGGCAAAACAGGCCACAGAGATGTCATATTAAAGTTAAGGAGGATCAAAGCAAAGAAATAACTCTAAAGTATTAGAGGGTTGCATGGATTCAAATTGTAGATAAGAAAATACAGGGTGACATTCTCAAAAATAAAGACTTGAGCATTCCAGGAATTTAAATTCTGTGGCACTTTCCGGAATGTTAAATTCTGTGTTATAGAAGAAAGCCATACTGACAAACTCTCATATATACAGTTTTAAAATATGCCACTCTTGATCCAGAGGCCTGATGATCCACTCCTAGGCATCACTCCTAATTGCTAGCAGTACACACTAGCCATACCTGAAGTTTTCAGAGTTTACAATACCTGTCCTTGCATACCAGGCCCAGCTCTTCCCTACTCAGGAGGGGAGGGAAGCTGGAACCAAACCCTGCACAGGCAAGCATTCCACAGGACATCTGCCTCATTTAACAGTTTAAAATAATCTACATAATGGGGGGATCCTTTTTTTTTTCTAATTAGGAGGATTTGGCCATTTGATCCCAAAAGTTTCAGGAGAATCTCAAGAGACATTACCCAGATATCCCTATTGCAAGGTTCCCATTCCTTCCTTTTCAGGGTTCTGATATTGGACAATTGCTAAAAATGAGACTTCATTATTTTCTCAATTTCTGCCACTCTTAGGATCGGGTCCTGAGTCTGGTTCACACATTGGTAGCACTTAGGCTATAGTATATGAAGATTGCTTCCTTTACAGGCCATCTGCTGTCTTTTAATTGGCATTTACTTACTTAAAATAGTAATATTTTCTCTTCAAAGCATCAATAGTGTGCAACAATAGGCACCCGATTAACAGTCCTTATAATTATTATTTGCCAGTTACCTCTCTAATGTCAGAGACAAGCCAGTTTGTCTCCTTCTACTCTCCAAGTTCACCACCTAAAAATCTTAGTAGTTACATTCTACAGATGTTAACAAGCATTGATACCCCACTATTAGATATGGGATTCTCATTTCTCACTCACTAGTTAGTGATCAAATGCAAATATCCTTAGAATCTGCTTCTTAAGGCCATTTCTGGGACCATCTGCCTTAGATTAGGTTTCCAAGAAACAAAGACTGAGACAAGAATCTGGGCACACAAGATCTATTGAGGATTTTCTGTGAGGAGAAACAGTTTCCTTAAAAAACCAACGAAACAACCAATCAACCAACCAACCAAACAGAAAACACAGAAAAGTCCAGTGGAGGAGCAACATAAAGACGTGGTGTCAACTGGAGTCTAAATTGTATGAATAGCGACACAAAGTTGATCCTATCTTGAGGCAAAGGGACCAGAATTTTCTGTTTCCTTTTTAGTCAGTCATCAGCTGTAGGCTACCCCTGGGTGGAGAAAACCTCTCGGAGGAGGCCGCTCCTGTTTCCCTAAGGGCAATTCTTCAAAGAAGGAGGAATCTATCAGCCATTAGCAGTCAACACTCAGAACAGCTGGGGATTGGGTGTACTGGCCCAGAAAAGAGGATTTGCAATCCTGCTACAAGTGAGTTATGACAAAGTGAACAATAAAATTTTGAAATTAACATGTAATTTCATAACTTTCAACTTACCAAAGTAGTTATTTCATTTTATCAAAGAAAGACAAAAATATCTATACTGAATGTTTTATTTTCTCTTAATAACTGACTAGTGAAGTACAGATGTTTTAAAATGGTATTACATAATAATCTTATTTTTATAATCCAAGATCATTTATTACATCCTTTGTAATTAGTAATAAGATAATGTTTACTTAATACTATCAAGTGGCTAAATCATTGGTGATACCACCACTTGAAATCTTCTATCTTGGGTACAAAACCAAATATCTACAGAATTAAAAAAATTAATATGAATGCAAGGAAAGAATATTTTTATTATAATGTCATATTTATATTCTTTGTTAATAATATTCTTTGAAAATTGTCTGAGGTTTATGCTAATATAAACTATCTATAACACACTATAGATATATATAATTGTGGTTCAATATGCATTCTTCAGAAAATCTTCTGGAATGGCTAATGAAGAAGTTGTGCAGGGGTTGAGCTTTTACATATTCATCAATCAGGCTCAGCTGTCTATAAACAGGAGGCCCTACTAACAGCTTCTGTCAGTATCCTGAGGGATTTCACTGGATTTTATTTGTAACGAGAAGACAGATGAAATGCTCTATTGTTGGTCCTTTTTCTTCACTAGATTTATCAAGTAGGCTACTTACCAAAATCACACTACTCATTATTTCATCTGCACACTGCTCATTTGTGTTTTCGGAAGAGGATGAGAAATTTCTAACAATAAAAGGAAGCCCATGAAATGGTGATGCAAATTTATATCTTATAGCACTGTATAGTCTTTCAACCATTGTCACATTTTCCCTCTCATTTAAACTTTGCAACTGCACTATGAAGTTGGCAAGGCATACCATGTATGGATTTCTTTTTTGTTTCCTTGTTTCATGTTTTTATGGAAAACAGACATTCAAACATATCCAAGGTAAGGTAGAAAGGAAGTGCTTGATCCAAAACCAGACTCTAGCCCATTTCCAGATAGCCCCAAGGTCTTCTAACATTTATAATATTACAGTGTTTTTTCTTAACAGATAACAAAGTATTTTAAAATATATGTCTGTAAAAATACCTTACATTAGTTTCTTTTTATGAATGAAATATGTCAGTCGCATAATGCTAGAAGTTTAATAATACAAAGTTAAGAAGGCCCCACTTGATACTTCCCTGTATTTGAATAATGACAGTTTTACTAATTACTGCCTTTTCAGTTGGTAGCAGCAGGACTTAGATATGGCTGAGGATTTTAGCAATGGAATAATACTTAGTAAAGTGGTCTGAATTCAGGAAGCAAACTAAAGAGAATGGCAACACAATTCAAAATACCTTCCCGGCAGGAAACAGTTTAACTTGTTTGCTCTGTACAGTTGACTGTGTGGTGCTGCTTAACTCAAAGATCACCTAGTGCTTCTCCCGCCCCTCTAAGGAGGAGGCAGCAGGTGCAAAGATCAAGTTCCTTTCCTGATGTGGAAACACGGCATTCAGCAGAGTAGGCAGGGGCTCAAATCAAACAATGGTTGTCAAGAGCATCAGCCCTACAGAAAATCTGCCAGCTTCCTGTACTCCTCAGACCTCTTCACCTCCAGCTTACACCATCTTCCTGTTCAATTTGATCTTTAGGCATAATCCCAACAGTAGGGAATAAACAGCAAAGGTTCGAGACAATAAAGAGAATGAGACAGCTAGATATTTTTACTGCCCATTTAGGCAGGCCCTAGCAGTGTTATATTTGGGAAGTGAGCCACAAGGCAAAAAGGGGAAATCTAAAGGGTTAATCTCCAGCTTCATTATGTGGCAGCTGGTTTAAATCTGAGGCATTGTGCTCATGCCAGTCTCAGGCCTAGGTAATTTATAATAACCTAAAGTTCCAATATAAAAAGCACATAGCTGCAGGGAGACTTGTCAGCTTCCCTTACACAGCCTGTCATTTCCTTGGAAACATAATAATTAAGATGTCTCGTATAACTGCTTCTGCCAGAAATATTTTTAGATTTCAGCCCATTTCAAGAAATTCTAAATTCAAGGAGAGAATTATTAAATACTGCATGACAAACTATGGCAAGTACTCTTACAGGTTTGTTCTGTCAAAAGGAACAGATACTTCATCTAAATCTCTTGATAGTAAGTAGAGAAATACCTAGACTTGAATTAAAAGTAAAAGGATTGGCATTGGTTTGATTAGAGCAAGAGCAGATGAGACGAGAAAGAAATATGCACACTTAATCAAAAGCATTTTTCCATGTATAATACTGACACAATTTTCAAGGTAGAGTGACACCATCCCCCATCCTCAAATTAATGCAATTGCCTTTTTGATTATCCATATTATTTGTAAGCAAACTACTTATCTTAGCATGGGGGTACTACAGAGGATCTTACTCAACATCCATTTGCTTGCAACTATCAGAGGAGGAAACCCTTGACCCTTGTATGGTAAATTAATTTCCTGGATGTATGATAAAAGCATGTCTGCTGCATTAAAATCATTTACCTTGTAATACCTTTAACTTAAAAAATATAATTTGACAGTTAAAAGAAGCATTTATATCCATAGGTTAAAATAATTAAAAAGTGGGGCAGCTAAGTACTCCTTAACAATGAATGCCAGTTTACTTTAACATTTTCTTGGTTTTCTTAATAAAAACTCATTATGGCCTAAGGTGAGACCATCAATGCAATTAAAATAAAGGAGTCAATATGCATACTATGATAACAAGGACAATATTACATTTTTCTGATGAATTTCAGGTGAAAGCATAATTAAAGGGGCATTCAGACTCAATTAACATTTTCTTCCAATCTAGTATGTTCCAGATAACATGCTGGGTTACCACTTCCCACATATATTATCTCATTTACTCCTCACAACTATCCACTAAAGGATGCATTCTCTTCCCATTTTAAAAGGAAGAAATTAAATCTCAACATCATCACATAATTATTAAATGGCAAATCTGTGAATTTTCTCAACTACATTTAGTGACTGTTTTCTTTTTGAATTACCTTTTTTTATTTTTTTTTGAGACAGAGTTTCGCTCTTGTTGCCCAGGCTGGAGTGCAAATGGTGCGATCTTGGCTCGCAGCAACCTCCACCTCCCGGGTTCAAGCGATCCTCCTGCCTTAGACCCCCGAGTAGCTGGGGTGACAAGCATACACCACCACGCCCGGCTAATTTTGTATTTTTAGTAGAGATGAGGTTTCTCCATGTTGGTCAGGCTGGTCTCAAACTCCTGACCTCAGGTGATCTGCCCACCTTGGCTTCCCAAAGTGCTGTGATTACAGGCCTGAGACACAGTGCCTGCCCGAATTACCTTTTTTTTTTTTAAGAAAAAAAAAAAAGTTTTGTTTGTTTTCATGGAGGACACGTTTGTTTTCACAGTATGCTGAATTCTTTGTTTTGTCAACAATAAATATTAAAAGTTAAAACTCTATAAACATTTACCTTAACTCATTGCACAAAATAGTACTCTCTGAATGTGAAGTATTCTTTGAGGGCCTATTTAAGTTATAATAATACTAGGTAAAAGAGATTCTTATTACAAGTATAACTTGGAGGTTTATATAGACTTTGCTGACACCAAAGAAGTAGAAATTTAATAATATCACTCTCACTACCTTATCTTGCTCTGTATTTCTACACTGCTTTCCTTATCTCTCTCTGTCTAGCTGTATCTCTATCTCTATTTGTATATATATCTCTATCTACACATCTATTTATCCATCCTTCTACTTATTATCCATGCACTTATTTTGCTATTCTTACCCCTCCTCTAATAAAAACGTGAACACCTTGAATTTACCTAATTGGTTCACTGGTATTTCCCTTTGCATAATTCATAGTAAGTTCAATAAATATTGATTGGATGAAAAGCTGATGCACTTACTGACTGTCTTATCGGAATGTCTGATGTACAGGTATAGTGGGTCGAGTGTTCTCCCCAAAGTTATATCTGCCTGGAAATTCAGAGTGAAATCTTATTTGGAAATAAAGACTTTGCAGATGTAATTAGTTAAGGATCTGGAGATTAAATCATCCTGGGTTTAGGGTGGGCATAAAATCCAACAACTGGTGTCTTTCTAAGAGGAAAGAAACAGATACAAGAAGAAGAAGGCATGTGAAGATGGAAGCAGAGATTGGAGTTATGCTGCCGCAAACCAAGGAATGTCTGGGCCAACAGAAGCTGGAAGAGGCAAGGAAGAATTCGTCCCTGGAACCCTCAGAGGGAGCACTGACCTGCTGACACCTTGATTTCAGACTTCTGGCCTCCAGGGATAATACATTTCTGTTGTCTTAAGTCAACTATTTTGTGGTACTTTATTATGGCCAGTCCTAGGAAACTAATACAACATGGAAGTTCTTTTTGTATTTCAACACTATGGACAACTTCGGCTAAAAGAATAATTTGCAAAAGTCCACGATCCCCAGAGAACTAAGCAAGGAGTGTGGGATACAGAGGTGAATAAGATTAAGTGATACCTGAGGAACGTACAGTTTCCTATGAGAAATAGAAGAAGCACATAGGCAATTGCAAATCACAGTGACAAGCAAAGTTTGCTAAATGAGAGGGGACAACGAAGCTAAGAGATGAGAGAAAATATTTTTTCAGTTTTGAGAATCTGAGAAAAAAGTTGACTGTATTTAAATATGTATTTTGGGTTCTCTGATCCTAAATAACTACAGCTACCATGAACACATACACATGGAAGTTGGTGTGTATAGTGTGTATGTGTGTGTGGGGGGGTGCATGTCACAAAATTATTGCATTTGTCAATTGTCATTGTATGTGTATTTGTGTGTGCATATATATGCACATACACATGCATACACATATGGTCACATATGTATAATATATGGATGAATATGGAGATAGAGAGATTATTAGAATGCCTGGCCTATAGGATATAGATTTAAAGTAAATAGTTGTTTATTTGTCCTGGTTCACCTTTTTGTTGTTGTTGTTGTTGTTGTTGCTGCTGTTTTGAGACAGAGTTTCTCTCTGTGGCCCAGGCTGGAGTGCAGTGGCACCATCTCAGCTCACTGCAACCTCCACCTCCCAGATTCAAGCGAGTCTCCTGCCTCAGCCTCCCAAGTAGCTGGGACTACAGGCACACACCACCGCATCCGGCTAACTTTTTGCATTTTTAGTAGAGACAGGGTCTCACCATGTTAGCCAGGCCGGTCTCAAACTCCTGGCCTCAAGTTATCTGCCTGCCTTGGCCTCCCAAAGTGCTGGGATTACAGGTGTGAGCCACCATGGCAGGCCCCTGGCTTACATTTAATTGTCCTAATTTTGAATTAAACTGATACTTATTTGAGTTATTTACTTCCAGGTCTCAGACTGGATTAAGCACTTTCTGGTATGTGTATTTCAAAAAGTGTTTTATCCCTCTGTCTCTAATTTGCAATGATCAGTCCTAAAATCATGGCACCAGTACACACCATTCTCTGCTCTTCTATTTACTGTTTTTCTTTTCTAAGTTCTGCTGAATAAATCTGTGCAGGACACCAAACACTTGTCAAATTATACCATTCTGCAGTTGTTAGCAGGTTCTTCTGCCTTGATTGGAACTAAAGGGTGCTTTCTCAACTTTTACACCCACCCCTCTCCCCGAAAGAGGTTATCATATTCTGGCTTGATTGCTGCTTTGCAGACTCCTCTATTTTCTGAAGTACCTGTCCTTTCTGCTGTTTTACCTCTGCAACCAATTGCAAAACACTTTCTGTCTTTGGACTTTTATTTGGGATCCTATGACCTATGTGACTTCCTTTGCCAAATATATACGGCCCCTGTTCCCAGTGGCACACCACATTGCATGTTAAATAGAATCCTTCAGGGATTATTCTCAAGGAAATCTTTTCATTGTTTCATCAAATATTATTTTAAAAGCACATTTAATGAGAAGTACTAAATGAGGATGAAGAGATAAAATAATTAATCAGAGTGAGAATGCTTGCCCTTGCATTCTCAACAATGTATTCCCGATGAAGATCCTTAGTTCTTCGGGTCTAACTTACAACATTTTTCCATCTAGACAGGAGTAGGCACCTCTTAAAATATACATCAGAGGCCAGGCATGGTAGCTCACACCTGTAATCCTAGCACTTTGGGAGGCTGAGGCGGGCGGATCACGAGGTCAAGAGATTGAGATCATGCTGGCCAACATAGTGGAAAATGTCTCTACTAAAAATACAAAAATTAGCCGGGCATGGTGGTGCACACCTGTAGTCCCAGCTACTCAGGAGGCTGAGGCAGGAGAATCGCTTGAACCCAGGAGGCAGAGGTTGCAGTGAGCAGAGATAACACCACTGCACTCCAGACTGGCGACAGAGCAAGACTTCGTCTCAAAAACAAAACAAACAAACAAACAAACAAAAACCCACAAACAAAATTATGTATCAGATTAACAGTATAGCCATTGGGATGATAGTCTATAGTATTTCCAAACAGGTAAAAATTAATGTTACTTTAAAAATCTACTGCTTACACTAGCACTCAATGTTGATATTTTCTACTATTTTTTTCCTACAGCGAACTAAGGCCTACCACAATATTAATTATTTACATTCAAATTTGTTTTTGAAGCTGGTGATGCTAGGAAGAACTACCTTTTAATAGAAGCTATCGAGTCAATGAGGCCATGAAATAAAATATTTGATATATGTTTGTATATTTTTGTTTTGTTTATAACTTTAAATTAGAACTATAATATATGCCCTGGATTAATTATAGCTTGGTAGATTATTTCTTTGGGAGATCATGCCTAGCTTTCAAAGATTCACTTATAATTCCTTGAGCGTCGTTGGTCCAGTACAATATCCATGCTTTTCTACATCCATCTGCATTGTTGCCAGTCTCACATCACAATTCCCATTTGGATCACATTTTACTTCCTCTCTACAAGTTTAAATCAGGCCCATTTTAAAAAATTTGCTTAATTTTCATTCCCTTTTTGACAGTTTGTAAATTGTAAAGTATGAATAAATTCTACATCGTTTTAAAAACTGAAGTACTTGACAAAACCATGATTCTTGATAACTTTATCATAATAATGAAGTTATTTCAATGAACGAGTTGTATAGTCGTTTAATTCTCCCTGTCGTAATAACCACTTACTAAGACAGAACTAAACAAATCTTCAATAAATAGTACTATGATATATACTATACCTGTAAAGATATAGCAATAGAGTCATATATAGAATAGGAAGAGTGTATATTTGAGATGACCATTGCTGAAAAGAGTTATTTCAAATTTTCATTTCATATGTTTTGTAATGTGTAGCCAATTTGCAATTAAATTTGTCATTAGAGGTGAAAATATCACCAGTACTTTTTGTAATTTGGAAGCACTGGCGCTCCTCTCTGTCCATTCTTTTGCAAATCATCAGAGTTAGAAGGCTTTTTCCTTTTTGCTCTCATGACGCTTTGCTTACTCTTTTTAGCTTAGACTATATACTGGACTGCAATTTTTAGTTTATGTCTCTGCCATTCCCCAGTCTATGAACATTGTAAAGGCAAAATCTGATTTACTTGTCTTTTAGTCCTTAGCAACCTGAACAGAGTGCAACTAGACAACTCTTGCATTTTATAAACAAGGATGTTTGAGTTTGAAGAGGTAAAGTGAGTTGCCTCAGAAAATAAAGCTGCCACTTGACAATAAACTAGGTCTTTCTTCTTTTCTAAAGTACACATTGATAACAAAGACATTGACAGAAAACTATGAATGATTTTGCATTTAATAAATTCTACTTTTTGTCTAAACATAGCCAACATCATGCAGTAATGTTTAAAGCAATTTGCATATGCCACTGTAACACCTATGTTGCAGATTTTCCACAGTAAATCACTTTTGTGACAACAACTATATTCTGATTGACTTTATCTTGCCATCATGGTGAGAAGGGGTACTGATTAATTTTAATTATAAAATGTATCAAATTGAACTATGAAGCTAAATTTCCCTCCTTAAATTCCAGGTATAAAAAAGAAATGAATGCGAAAAAAGCTGTACTCTAGTTCTGAATGGGTGGACTATCATTTGATAGTTTTCCTTGAAATGTCTACGAGAAGTAACTGAATTCTGTTACCTATCTGAGATGTTTAAATGTGATTGATACATGATTATTTAATGCAAAATTTTAGTTTAGACCTCTCAGAATTTAGTTTGTTTTATAACCCAACTATTGCCCATTCAGAACACTAAGGATGGCATTATGTGCCATGAAGGGGAAGTCATTTTATTTTCCATTTTGATAGTGTTATACGCACAACCTCATTCTTTGAGCCCCTTATGTCCTCTGGAAGTGGAAGCTGAACCATGTGCCATAGGGGGTATCTCTTGCACTGCTCTTTCCCTTCCACTTTCACAGTCAGAGTAGATATGTTGATTTACTACCTTCAAATAGACATCAGACATTATCATTAAAAACCCATTCCTGAAATAGTTTTCAAAACTTCATTTGTTTTTCATGATTTTCCCATGGAGCTTTTCAACAAAAAGGGAAAATTCCCATTTTAAACGATTAGAATAATTGTCACAAGCTTCAATTCTGTGACAAAGTTAAATAAAGGCCACAATTACACTATTACAATAAGGTTTCGGAGAAGCATAAAGGGAAAATAAAATTGGCAGTAAAATTTCTGGTCATAAATATATTCATAAAACCCTATTCTTTCAATTGAGAACCTAGCATATTTCTGTTTCAACTGTGCCAATAACAGAAGAAATCTGAATTAGTTTAGATCTGTCTTTGCATTGTCAGCACCTAATTGGCAAGAAGAGCTTTGTAGCTTTCCCCAAAACTATCAAATGGCAATAACAAAAATAAAATAAATCTATATTTCAGAAAAACCAAAGCTATAATTTTGTCTAGTGGGAAAGTTACACTAAAATTGCAATAGAACCAAATCTCCCTTCTAATAATTATATTCATTAGACAGGGTCATATTTTGACAGTGGCTTACAAATACTGCAAAATAAAATATGAATATACTTTAATAATTAATATTTTAAAGAATAACAAAATAAGCTCTGAAATTAATTAATATAATTTTATCAGAAGGAAAACAAATATAAATGAATTCTTCCTCGCTTACCTTATATTCTCATGAAATTGTTGAGTTAGGTTTATGGAATGTTAACCAGTTATGTCAATATGACTCTAGCTACAAATTTTAAAGGCCCTTGGTGTAGTTAAAATACATATTGTGAGATCAGTTCTGCCTCCTGGAATGCAAGCATAGTCTTTTGGAAAGTGTTGAAATAAGTAGTTACTGCACTAACATAGAATATGTCCTTCACTATATTTTCTACAGTTGGGTTGATTAGTACTTTAAAATTGTATTTCTATATCAATTATAATTAGCTATCTATCTTTACTATAGATTTCAGAAAAATTGTTATCTTGATATGTATTCTTTTATAAACAATAAATAGAATTGAATGTTAATTACAAGTATGCCTTTTTTACTTGCTTTACTTTGAATTACCAACACTAAGTCTGGGTATAGGTTTTCTCTTTGACATCCACATTTCTAACAAGATGCTATTATCTGAGCTATGATATGTGAACAATTCATTTTAGAGAAAAACACATTTAAGAAAGCAAATTAGATGGCGAATTGGCAAGTGTTTCATCAGTCCTTTTGTCATCGGGGAATAGAGTAACCATCAAGAGTCCGAAGCACTTCCTTTAAGCACCAAATTTAGTATTGGTCATAACATAGGCATTCTTCTAAAACTGATTGCACTTATTTATGGAAATAATTTCCTAATGTAAACATTTTCTTGATGCTCAAGGATTATAATTATAGATGTCATTGTATTCTTTTATATAAAATAACTTTAAAACTGCTAAAGTCTATAAAATTATTTACTCCTATATTTAAATGCCCTAAATTTTTATAATTTGCAAATTCTATATCAGTTTTTTAGAATTTATACCATCTTTGTAAATGACAGAATGCCAAACTGTCTTCTTTCTTATAGCTGTGATTAGTATTCACTAGTCATTAATACAACACAAGCTTGGCTTCATACAAATATGGGTTTGTGTGCAGAGTGTACCATAGAAATTGGCGGTTAGTAATGAATAAAATCTCAATTTCATCATCAGTAAAATGGTGCAATATAATGTAACCTAAAGTGTTGTGCTGAGATTTAATTAAAATAGAACATGAAGGGTTCCTAGAGTAATGATCAATAAATTCCATCTATTGCCAATGTTGTTTTATTAATTATATATTGTTTTATTAATTACTAGTCCATATGATTTTAAGAACAGTGCTTTCTAGATTTAACATTTGAGCTGAGATATGAGTTGAGCCAGGCACATGAAAACTGGACAAAAGTTTTTAAGCAAAGTTGAAATTAAATGAAGAAAACTTTTAAGTCACAGAGATGAAGCCAATATTGCTTTAGTAAAACTGAAAAGTTGGAAGTGTAATATAAGGGCCAGTTCATAAAGGCCCTATAGAACATGAGAGGAAACCTGATTCTTCCTTGTGTAGCCAGAAGGCATTGCATAAGTTTAAATCCTGGAATAGTCATGATTTGATTTAGGTTTTTAAAAATATTACTCTCATTGCTTTTTGTATAGGGAACTGTACATGAATAAGAGTCAAAATACAAAGGCAACAATATGTGTAGTGTAGATAAAAAATAATGATGACGCAGATTAGGATAAGTTTTCATGGAGATTAAGAGAAACATGATAGAAATGAATTATGAAGATAAATTCAACAGTTCTGATAGAAAAGATATGTGAGTGGGATAATTTTTGGTCCTCAAAGTTATTTTTGTTAATTAGTTTTAGGGAAGAAACTTATAATTTCTAGATTGTAAAGGTAAGATTTTGCACAAGCCTGCTTGTTTCACTAACACAAGTTATGTGGACATTTCCTGAGATTTCCATCTGTGATACAAGCTTTTGGCTGAGTACTAAATTTTGGAAGATTGAGATCTCCCGAAATTAATATTACTGTTATGTGAGTGTTGATATAGAATATTTATTGCTTGTTTAACTTACATTATTATGTACCTATGTCAAATCATATTGCTATACACGAAAACATGATGTAAGGCTGTAAAAGATTTCATGATCCTCCTGCAAATCCCAATATTAAGGTGGGTAGTCTGGGTGGCACTTAGTAGTTCTTCAGTTATATTTTTAAAAAGAACACGGGGAAAATAAAAATGACTTACTATTTTCACTGTCAATAAAGAAGTCTTATTAAGTATTGGATAAAAATGTGCATGTGGTTCATTTAATACACACGCACTCACGCACGCACGCACACATGCATGCATGCACACACGCACACACACATGCAAACACATGCATGCACATGCATACACACGCAGACCTGTGCTTTATTTCCTCTAATTTCTTCATTTCCCCCTAATGTTATACTATAAAGATGACTCTACATCTTTCCTTAAAATGAATCGTTTTTTGTATTTAATTTTGTCCTGGGGTTCCGTTTAAAAAATTCGACAACATTTTATGCTGTATGGATAAACTATATTTTTCTGCCTTATGTTTTGGGTATTTAATTTGTTTCCAACATTTTATTAGCTAAAACTACAGTGTTACTGTCATTCTTACAAATAAATCTTTGTATTAGTCTGTGACATTTTGAAGTAGATTAAAATTTCATAATTTCAGACATGAAGTAAAGATGGAATATTAATTACATAGCCTACAGAAGAATAGGTAAGTAGAAAAATAGATCGATGGAAAAATAGGGAAATGGACTGATAAATAGGCAAACATCCTGTTTTTTTAAAATACCATTTGATTTTTATTTTTAATTAATCATATATTTAATTGATATTTTATGCTTCTCCATATGTTCTTTAAACAAATTTTATCTGAATAAATAAACTTTCTTCAATTGTATATTGTCTATTATTTTGCAGCATCTCAATTCAAAGCTATTTAGTAACATTAATAAAATTATAGAAAATTATAAAATACACTTCTATTAGATTCATTATATCTTCCCTTATGTCAAAGAAAGTAAGCAGTTATAGTTGAATACCTCCGAGAATATATTTAATTAGGCTTACATTTCATTGCTTTGATTTAGTAAAATTTCATTTCTGATTCTCTATGGAAAGCATAGGTCTGTTCATATTTTCATGGCTGGGTGCTTACCACAAGACAGTGTTCTTGTATTTAAGTATATATATATTTACATAGAACTACTTTATAAAATTCCTATTTGTTTGTTATGGATTGAATTGTACTATCCTTTCAATTTCACAGGTTGAAGTCCTAATCCCCAGTACCTCAGAGTGTGACCTTATTTTAACATAAGGTCATTACAGTTGTAATTATTCAAGATGAGGTCATACTGGAATACAGTGAGCCCTATGTATGACCAGTGTCCTTATATAAAAGGGGAAATTCGGAGACAGACATGCACACAGGAAGAACACCAGGTGAAGACTGGAGCTATGCTGACACAAGGTGAAGCTCTAGAAGAGAGGCCAGGAACAAATTCTTCTCCAGTGCCTTCAGAGAAAGCACGGCCTTCATGACACCTTGATTTTGATCTTCCAGTCTCCAGAACTATGCCAATAAATTTGTCACAACAATAAATTAATGTTGTTCTAAGCCATCCACTTTGCTATGACAGCCCTAGCAAACTAATACAGAGCTATATATTATGATCATCTTGAAGAAATGGTGGCAAACAGGTTACATAATCTAAGGTCACATAACAGTAAATATTAAAGCTGAGGTTAAACCTAACAATCTGACTCCAGAGAATAAACACTTAACAATGATGTGAAACTGCCTCATTAAGGTGTCTCTCAACCGTAATGAAATAACTTCTGCTTCTCTGTTTATTATCTGGTGCACATAAAACAGATTCTTATAACAATTAAAATATTTATGAAAATATTTGTAAATTTGAATTTGTAAACTTTGTATACAAAATGATAAATTAAGCTTCAAATAAACTATGAAATATTTATTATTTGAAATTAATAATAATCTTTGTAGTTATGATTTTAACATGTTATGAAAGAGTATATTATAAGTAAATTTTGTTTAGAAAATTATTCAGGTTACACTCTTTAGTCATTAATTGAATGTCAGATACTTTTAATAATGAGTAGTTGGTCACTTTTCAATTAATGTATTTTTAAAGATATTTGACTAACTCTGAAATTTAAAAGAAAGTTAATGTTTAGCTTTTTATCTCCCAATATAGTACAATTGCCCAACTGTTCTTTAATATAACATATAGAAATGTGATATGCCAAGTAAATGTATTTGTAATTTACTTTTAGCCCTACACTTTTATGATTGTTAAAAGTTTAAGCACAAAACACATCTTTCCATCTGTAGCAGTTGTTAAGAGTAAGGAGCTAAACCAAATTTAAAAGTTTAAGGGGACAGGACAGTGATCTTTTACAAAATTTGCTTGTTTTCTGAGCTGTTTTAATCAGTAATATCTTATACTGTAGTTCTGTGCTGATATGGTTTGGCTCTATGTCCCCACCCAAATCTCATCTTGAGTTGTACTCCCATAATTCCCTCGTGTTGCGGGAAGGATGTGGTGGGAGATAATTGAAGGATGGGGGCAGTGTCTCCCATACTGTTCTGGGGTAGTGAATAAGTCTCATGAGATCTGGTGGTTTTATAAGGAGAAACCTCTTTTGCTTGGCTCTCTTTGCCTGCTGCCATCCACATAAGATGTGACTTGCTCCTCCTTGCCTTCCACCATGATTGTGAGGCTTCCCCAGCCACATGGAACTATAAGTCCAATAAATCCTTTTTTCCTGTATAAATTACCCAGTCTCGGGTATGTCTTTATCAGTAGCATGAAAACAGACTAATACAGTAAATTGTTACTAGTAGAGTGGGGTGCTGCTAAAAAGATACCTGAAAATGTGGAAGCAACTTTGGAACTGGGTAACAGGCAGAGGTTGGAACAGTTTGGAGGGCTCAGAAGAAGACAGGAAAATGCAGGAAAATTGGGAACTCCCTAAAGACTTGTTGAACGGCTTTGCCCAAAATGATGATAATGATATGGACAATGAAATTCAGACTGAGGTGGTCTCTGATGGATAATGGGGACTTGTTGGGAACTGGAGCAAAGGTGACTTTTGTTATGTTTTAGCAGGGAAACTAGAGGCATTTTGCCTGTGGCCTAGAGATTTGTGGAACTTTGGACTTGAGACAAATGATTTGGAGTATCTGGTAGAAGAAATTTATAAGCAGCAACGCATTCAAGAGATGGCTTGGGTGCTGTTAAAAGCATTCAGTTTTATAAGGGAAGCAGAGGATAAAAGTTCAGTACATTTGCAACAACATCAATGTGAAGAAAATTCCATTTTCTGAGCAAGGTGGCTGGAAAAATTTGCATAAGCAATGAGGAGTTGAATGTTAATCCCTAAGACAATGGGAAAAATGTCTCCAGGGAGTGTCAGAGGTCTTTACAGCAACTCCTCCCATCACAGGCCCAGAGGCCCAGGAGAAAAATGGTTTTCTGGGCCAGGCCCAGGGTCTGCTTGCTGTAAGCAGCCTAGGGACTTGGTAGAGTGCCTCCCAGCCACTCCAGCCATGGCTGAAAGGGGCCAATGTACAGCTCGGGCCGTGGTGCAGCTTGCACCTCCACAGGGTGCAAGCCACAAGCCTTGGCAGCTTGCATGTGGTGTTAAGCCTGCATGTCCACGGAAGTCAAGAATCGAGGTTTGGGAACCTCTGCCTAGATTTCAGAGATTGTATGGAAATGCCTAGATTCCCAGGCAGAAGTTTGCTGCAGGGGTGGGGTCCTCATGGAGAACCTCTGATAGGGCAGTGCAGAAGGGAAATATGGGGTCGGAATCCCCACATGGAGTCCCTACCTGGGCACTGCCTAGTGGAACTGTGAGAGGAGAGCCCCCAACATCCTCCAGACCCCAGAATGGTGGATCCTCCAACAGCTTGCACCGTTTGCCTGGAAAAGCCACAGACATTCAATGGCAGCCCACGAAAGCCGCCAGGAGGAAGGCTATACTCTGCAAAGCCACAGCAGTGGAGCTGCCCAAGGCCATGGGGACCCACCTCTTGCATCAGTGTGACCTGGATTTGAGACATGGAGTCAAAGGAGATCATTTTGGAGCTTTAAGATTTGACTGCCCTGCTTGATTTTGGACTTGCATGGGGCCTGTAGCTTCTTTATTTTGGCCAATTTCTCCCATTTAGAATGACTGTTTTTACCCAATGCCTGTACCCACATTGTACCTAGGAAGTAACTAACTTGCTTTTGGTTTTGCAGGCTCATAGATGGAAAGGACTTGCCTTGTCTCAGTTGAGACTTTAGACTGTGGACTTTTGAGTTAATGTTGAAATTAGTTAAGACTTTGGAGGACTGTTGGGAAGGCATGATTGGTTTTGAGATGTTAGGACATGAGATTTGGGAGGGGCTGGGGAAGAATGATATGTTTTGGCACTGTGTCCCCACCCAAATTTCATCATGAATTGTACTCCCATAATTCCCACATGTTGTGGGAGAGACCCAGTGGGAGATAATTGAATCATGGGGGTGGTTTCTCCCATACTATTCTTGTGGTAGAGAATAAGTCTCATGAGATCTGATGATTTTATAAGGAGAAACTCCTTTTGCTTGGCTCTCTTTGCCTTCTGCCATCCACGTAAAATGTGACTTGCTCCTCCTTGCCTTCCACCATGACTGTGAGGCTTCCCCAGACACATGGAACTGTAAGTCTGACAAATCCTTTTCCTGTGTAAATTACTCAGTCATGGGTATGTCTTTATTAGCAGCATGAACATGGAATAATACAGTGCTATAAATTTTAAAGATTATATTACATTAAATGTTGAGTCCATCTTATAATTACTCAACTTTAAAAGTACTTTTTATTTATTAAGTTCAAGAGTGATTTTACTTAACATCAGGTTAGAGAAAATGATGTTTTGTTTTAGTGCAACAACAAGCATCCATAAAGAAAATAATTCCTGAAGTTAAAAAAGTTATCTAATCCCGTCATCTCGTACTATAGAGGAGGAATCGGTCTTGAAAAGATAAATTTGCTGGCTGAATCCCCAGAATGAGTTAGCAACACAGCTTAGTACAATGGCACACTGGATTTTTAACTCTCAGATTTATGCACTTTTCACTACTGCCTCTCTTGACTTCACTATGTTAGAAAATCATATTTAAAAAATTGTCTTATTCTATACCTTGTCAACTTGTACCATGTACTAACTCCTCATCATTTGAAGAAGAGCCAATGTTTGGCCTTGCTATTTACAAAGTCTACTCATTTCTTAAACATTGCTATTGCATCTGCCCCACAATTTTTTGGTTTCAAGTTTCTTAAGAATGTATTTTTCTTAAATGATGAATTTTCTATTATGCATAGAAAAATCACTTTTGTTTTATTACCATTTCTCTATCTGTTGCCCTTGAGATATGTTCCCTAATTAGTAAAATGTTTGCCACCTAATTAACTGAACTCAAATTTTGATCTGTTGCTCACTACCTTCTTCTTGAGTAAAACAAGCCCTCAGGATATGAAAGCCTGCCATAATAGTTTCTGAATGTGAAGGTTATAGTCCGCAGAATCCCTGAACATTTTATTTGTCATTCAGCCTTTTCCTAACCTCTAGCTAAGAAAGTATGTACAACTTGCCACAAATGTACGGTGCTTATCTCTCTTAACATTTCTGACCCATGCTAACTCATCATTGCCCAAGCTAGATTACAGTCACTGTGTGCACAGTTTCTATGTTGAAGTCAAAAACATATGTTGTAATTTGAACACCTCTATACTAAATATATTTTTTAAAGGAATAAAGGACAGAGGAGAGGTATTGGAGCATTCCCCTTTTCCACATACCGTTTTTTTTTTTCATATAATTCAAACACTATTGAAAAAGTATCTATAGCTAGGATGAAAAATTTTTTCAGGTTAGCTGGATTTGGATGGCTGGCCATAAATACAGTGAAGGGACTGCCTCAATTTTAATTATGCTTTCCACTATCTGAACGTCTTGCTTATCATTTTGTTTGAGAAATGTAATCATGTGACTATAAAGCATATGTCACACGAATATGGTTAGTGGCATTGAAAAAGCAAATTGAGTTTAAATTGATAATTATATTCTTCTATAAATACCTAGTTATCTCCTTAATTGCTACTCACATGCTTGGCTGAGTGGTTGCCTTATTATTTTTTTTTCTTTTTTCAGAACATAGTTATAATCACCTAAGAGAAAGGAGACAGTATATCTAAGTAAATGCTCCTTAAACAACATGGTTTTCCTGTAGAATAATGCATTTTCCTAGGTAACACCTGATGTCATAGAGACTACCTTAGCAATTGATAGAAACTGTATTATTTAACGTATTAATACATCAATGTACAATTTGGGGAAAATAATCATTGCAGGTCACATTACCTTTAAAACAGAATGCTCATCAGGGAAGGGCAGTAGTTTGACATCTTTTCACACTGTGTTCTGCTGAGTAGTTAGCAACACGAGTCATTTCAGCAACCTTAGGGCATTTTTCCTTTTGGATTTCAGAAGACCAATGTTTTCATTGAGGTAATGAACACTTACTACGCATTCAGAAAACTCTTAACATTTTATTATCTGATCTGCCCATTATGAAGCTATTCTCTCATTCTTTAATATATTTGATGATTACTCTCCTAAAAAATGAAGGAAAATTGTTTCTACCATTTAAGGCATTAGTCGTGTAATTAAAATTAGGCCCCCACTCCCACCCCAAACAGAGTTCACCTGAGTTTGTCAGTGAGTGCATCAGGATCTACCAAAAAAAAAAAAATCTCTAAAATGTTTGTTTCTACACCCTCTCCTCAACTGTCTAGGATTCATAAGACTGAGGAGATGTAACACTGAGACTTTTAACATTTATTCTATTCACCTTATAAACATACATATTATCCAAGACATAGTCATGCAATATATTAAAAATAACTCAGAAAATACAGATGTTAAAAAAACTCCCTAAATCCAATCACAAAAGTGAGGCACTCACATTTTTGTGTGAACTTTTAGTTTTTTTTCCCCCAGACTTTATATATTAAGTTGGTGCAAAAGTAATTGTGGTTTTGGCCATTCCTTTTAAATGGCCAAAATCCCAATTACATTTGTACCAACCTAATAGATAAACTACTGTCATTACAACACACTGTTTTATAATCTTCACTTGCTATGAGATATTTTTATTATTCTTTCTTTATCAAGAAGTACATAACTACATTTCCATTTTTCAAGGCTGCGTATATTTTAATAGTCTTCATATTCCACAATTTTGATATGCAGAATTATCTGCTTAAATTGACCTTCTATTGTTCCCCAATTTATGTAACTATAAAACTATTTACAATTGCCCTCTGATATTGTTTGGATATGTTTCCTCACCCAAATCTCATGTCGAATTGTCCTCAATGCTGGATATGTGTATGCCTAGTGGGGGTTGGATACCTCATGGCTTTGTGATATCTTTGTGATAATGAGTTCCAAAAGATATGGTCATTAAAAGTGTGTGACATCCCCCAACACCCACTATTGCTCTCTCTTGATCCTGCTTTCGCCATATAATGTGCCTGCTCCTGCTTCACCTTCTGCCATGAGTAAAAGCTTCCTGAGGCCTCCCCCAGAAGCAAAGGCTGGCATTATACTACCTGTATAGCCTGCAGAACTATGAGTCAATTAAATGTCTTTTCTTATTAATTATCCAGTCTCAGGTATTTCTTTATAGCAATGCAAGAACAGCCTAACATAGCTTTTTACATATGTGTATTCTGACACTTCACAGATTATTAGTATAGGACAAATTTGAAAAACACAATTCCTTGATTGAGATATTTATTTTTATATTGTCTTAGAGAAAAGCTATATTGACTGACACCTGTGTACTATATACAAAAAAGCATGTAATTTGCCCACTTCTAAATTCTGCATTTCAATCTGTACTCATTCTGATTTCATACAGACATGTATAAAATATATGTAACATTCTACTTTCCTTAGTTTACCAGATATTCAACAAGATTTTTATAACATTTCATTTTTAGCATATACCATATTATTTTTTATAATGGGATATTTTCCTAGATTTTCTTTTATTTTCACTAATTGTTGTCACATGTTGATATTATTGCCAATTTTTAAAATTGTTTACTGGTTTATTATACGGAATATTGCAAAGGATACAGATGAATAGGTGTATAGGGGGAGGTGTAGGGGAAGGGGCTCAGACCTTCCATGCCCTTCCTGGGCACACCACCCACCAGGAACCTCCATGCGTTTAGCCATCTGGAAACTCTCTGAATCCCGTCCTCTTGGGTTTTTTATTGAGGCTTCATTACATAAACATGATTGATTAAACCATTGACCATTGGTGATTAGCTTGACTTTCAGCCCCTCTCCCCTCCCTGGAGATTGGGGAGTGAGACTGAAAGTATCCACCCTTTAATCCTGCCTTGGTCTTTCAGGAGACCAAACTGAAATGTCAGTCCATGATATTATATGGAAGTGTCCCATGGTGAGGCCACTCCAGTTTGCAGGTTTTCTCTCAATCTTGTCAGGTTTCAGAAGCAGGAGTGGTCTTGGGAAATATACAGCTTTATACTTTCAGGCATCTGGGATAATTAAGCTAAGAGATGATATCATTTCCTGCTCTGAGACTCTTTTGCGTTGTTAATGTAATACTGAATTTCTTTCAATTAATAACCCATTTATTCATTTCTTTACTCTCAGATACTATTTCTCTTTCCATTCATAAATATCCAAACTTTTTCATTTTTGGAAGGGACATTAGAATTACCACTGTGCTGGTCTAGATTGCAGGCAGAAATACTAGTCTAGCAATTACCAACTCCTCATTTCACTCCCATTCAGATAAGGTAAAGTTACACAGGTCGAGGAGTTGTGAGCTATTTTAACCACCAGGCAATACAGCTGCATTTACTCTTAAACTCAATTTTGCTAGATGGGGTGATGGCACAACCCACTTCCATCATGCCCTTCGAAGTTCTGACATAAGGTTTAAAAATGTAGTTACAGTTTTTTGTTTATAAATCATTCCTGCTTTTTGCACTTATAGTTGTAACCTGGTACTAGGACCACTATACCAGGTAGGGGAGGAAAAATACAAAAGCAATTCTGAAGGTGATCTGGGGAAGAAAGAAAAAGTTATAATCATTAAACCATTGTACTCTTCTCACGGCAAGAATTGCATAGTCATACCAGCATCTGCCCTGCACTTCTGCCTCAGATCAACCAGAAAACCAGAAAAATCTAGCAAGGACACTCTAGTGCCACTCATGCTGACTGTGAGCACACACTCACAGTCCTTCCTGCTTTTATGTCCCCATGTTTTAGACAAGCAATGTTTTAATTGCCCATTCTACTTCTCTATCAAACTGTTGTAGGATACCCTTCCTCCCATTGCTGGGGAATATGGGCTGTACAGTGTGTTCCTCGGTTTGAAAAAGCAGCAGTCAGTTGTCCAAATCCATACAATAGCTTCTGTTCTGTTTTTTTTTTTTGTTTTTTTTTTTGTGTGTGTGTGGCACTCTGAGCATTTGCATCTTCCACTGGATAGGCAAAGGCCCAATCCATAGCCAGTGTCTATTCCTGTCAAGACGCAATTGTAGCCCTCCAGGGCTACCAGCATCAGTCTGCCTTTCCAACTTTCTTCAAGGCCTTCCCAACTTTCTTCAAGGCCTTCCCACCAGTGAATCTGCTACATAGCAACTGGCAGTCTCTGACTCTCCTGTTGACAAACAGAACAGTTCATACTGGCATTCTGTGCCTAAGAGGGTGCAAAAGAAACATGTCTAGATTGAACTCATCTCTACATTGCTGCAATACCCCCATATCACTCATTTCATGGACCCATGTGCCACTTCAAGGGAACAGAGGATATCTGTTTGTCGATTCCAGTCACCTTCTGAATCTGGAAGGGAGTTCTTCTGATGGTCATTGATTTGTTCTACTTTGAAGCACCCTTCAAATTTTCATAGGACCATGCTCCATAGGAAGTATCCTTTTAACAGGCCAGATTTTGATTGTCCTTTTGCCTGAGTCTCTGGTCGTGCCATTGGTCACTGACCATGAGTCAGGAAAAACCCAAACACAGGGGCTTTCCACTACTGTTCAATTCTTTCATTACTGTAAGAAAAACTGCATGCAATTCAGCCCAGTGAGCTGATCTGTTTTTACACTGTTTCATCAAAAAAACTTGGAGTCACCTAGGTGTTAGCAAACACTTTGTGTACCGCTGACCTAATGATTTAGATATGTAGTCCATGTTATCTATAGAATGATTCTTTCACCAAATATTTATTGAGTGCTTTTCTAGTTTGTGAGGCTACATCAGTGAACAAAAACATTGAGTCCAATTCATTACTGTCTTTTAAAGAGCATGAAGAATATGCTCTTTTTGAAGCCATGGTGCTTAAATATATATAAATAGTCATGGTACATAAAATTTGAGTAGAAGCTGATCAGAAATATTATAGATGTGATTTCCAATAAATCGATTTCTATAACTACTTCAATTTTAAGTGCAGCTTTAAAAAATGGATGGCTGGTTCATTATAGATGCGTAGTTTTAGATGAATTAAATGTGTTTAAATAGGGGTTTCACCTTTTGATTCCACTCTGGAAAGTATTCACTGAATTAACTATTTTAGAAATATTCAGTAATCAACATAGAAATATGTTCTGGTGCTGCCTACCTTTAGAGAGTTAATATCAACAAAATTTTGTCAGCTAAAATAAGAAAAAGGACAATGTCTTAGATACTGTAAAGAATCTGGTCATAGTAAAATTCACAGACAATAAAGCTTAATAGTGGATTGCATGGTCTTCTTCTGAGTTCCCAGTATATTCTCTCTCAAAGTCCCAATTAAATACCTGTTTTCTTGGGTATTTATCTATTTATTCAGTCAAATTAAATTTATTTATTCAATAAAATAAAACACAGGAAAAAAGAGCAAAATTAAAAATTATATAGTTAAATAATTGAAAACTAAGAGTTATGACCAACCTATTTCTAAAAAGTGAGATTTTTCTCTAGGTTAAAAGAACTGGAGGCTTACCAAGAAACATAATTGGTGGCTTGTGGATGCGGCACTGTATTCATCAGAAAACCATGCTTTGCTTCTTAGTAACTAAGAAGGTGTAAGCCTTCCCAGCAGATTACTGCTTGCTGGTTTTGAGATACTTTATTTTTACCAACCATAAAAACTGGGCAACTAAAAATAAATTATACTCTTCATCTTTATCAGTTTATATATTTCCAGAAACTTTCTGAGACTGCGTCTCTCACATTCAATTTATCAGAATGCTGGGTAGGAACCGGTGGCCACAGTTTTCATCTGGACGTTACAGCCCCACCACATAACATTTACGGGCAAAAGCAAAATCAGAAGGAGCCATAGGGGAATATATTTTCAAATTAAAATACCTAAAAGGCAGTCCATTGTAAAGTAAGAGTACCCAAGTCGCCCTGGGGCGGTGCCTCACGGTGAAACTCTGTCTCTACTAAAAATACAAAAAATTAGCCGGGCGTGGTGGCGGGCGCCCCTAGTCCCAGCTACTCCGGAGGCTGAGACCGGAGAATGGCGTGAACCCGGGAGGCGGAGCTTGCAGTGAGCCGAGATGGCGCCACTGCACTCCAGCCAAGGCGACAGAGCAAGACTCCTTCCCCCCTCCAAAAAATAAATAATAAATAAATAAAAGAGTACCCAAGTCTAGGAACGTTTCACCATGTAAAGGTAACACAGACATCTGGCTTTACGTTAAGAGAGATATCCATCCACTTCAGACTGTAGATTAGAAAGCAGGATGCTCCAAACACCCATATGAGCAGTGGAAACAGCAGAGAAATACTCCCATATTTTCTTTCTCGGCAAACACTCCATCTGTTTGGGCATCTATTTCACAAAAAGGTAAATAAGCAGAAAAAATATTTTAAATCTAAAATATGAAATATATTTTGAAAAATAAGACAAAAATATCTTATAGACTAGTAGGAAAAGCTACCTCAAATTGACCAACTTAAGGAAAAATATTTAGAAAGATTAGATTTATGCTCCTAATAATGTACAAGACAATATCACCTCTGTGAAATGAAAGTGAGAGACTATAAAGCCACATCTGAAAGAATGATCACAGACCCAAGATTCATAACATCCTATTGAGTTACAAGCACTCAAATGGAGGTAGGGAAACTAAAAGGTAATTGTAAATGTAATAGCAAAATTATTATCCATTCACTTTGCAGGCTGGATAAAAAGCACACTCAGGAAAATAACAACACTTATTCTCAGGACATTTTGAGAAGTTCTTTTAGAATCACAAGTGTAAGGCCGGTAATAAAAACTTTCTAAGAATGAGATGTTTGACATTAGGGATAAAGAAACAAAGATAAAAACTTATATTATTAGTTTGTTAACATATAAGAAAGGAAAAATAATCAAACTTATAATACAAAACGAAGATCTTCCAGATTGGAAAAATTACCTGGATAGGTATCCTCAAATTGTTTACTAAATCTAGAAAAAATTCCTGAAAAGAGAATCATGCATTATATTTTGAGTTACAGTGGCAATGGAAAAAAGAATCAACATGTATCCATACAAAACCGCAGGTTACTTGCAAAACAAAACCCCCAAATGCATGCGAAATTGCTTTCCAACTTCATCTTGAAAAGACTAAATGTCAGGAAAGTGTCAATCAATATTTAGAGGTTTAAAAAATTTTATTTTATTTTTTGTTGTTAACTACATACAACATTGGGTACACAAAATGAGTGCAACTGCATACTCAGCCATCACAGAAGAAAAAGACCGAGTTTGCAATATAATTGGTGCCAAGAAGATTGTGTCCTGGCCTAAGAAATTGACCTCTTCACTCACTGTGGCAAATACATTCCTATTTTCTAGATGGATGCCTCAGAATTTGTAAGCTTGTCAGTATTAAAATTTCAGATTATTTTACTATCTGATTCTATTCTCCTCAAACAAATTCTTGTTAGCCAATTGTCTGCTAATGTAAGATACCTAAAAAGAGAAATTTTTTAGCAGGAAAAATTGCATCCTGATATCCTTTGAAGTTATAACTTTGCAGCTCTTGAATATGACATATGACTGAACACCAATGCAGAATATTTTTAAGTGAATGAATCCCTAGGGAACAAAACATATTCTTTGTGTGTGTGAAAAGTCCGCCTCTAAAAGACTTGGGGCAAAATTTTGAACTGCTAAATATTTACTAATGGATTTCAGGCTTCTGAGAATCTGGCTATCTGGTTTTTACCTTTCTTACTTAAAATTCTACTTTAGGTATTAGGTTACAAGCATCAGTTTATTTCATTTCATAGTAACTGCAGAAGAAAATTCTACTTTTTCCTTTATGTCTTATATGAGATAGTTGAGCCTCCAAAAGATAAGAAAATTGACAATATTCATAGTTTGTTGTCTTGAAAACCACTATTGTGTATTATATAGCATATTATATAGACATTTGTGCAATATGCAGACAATAGAAATTAATTTCCATATAAATTTCACCACCACCTTTAAAAATCCTGCTTTGGTAAATTAAAATTCAACGTACTCATTTTAATTCCTGGCATTTGCTTACAAAGAAAATAATATGAACATGTTATAAATGTTTAAAAAATGTTATATCTTGAAGCAAATAATATGGAGTTTCCTGAAATCTGATGTACAGCAAAATGTCTATCAATCCTACATCATTACAGCAACATTTGTATTGCCCCAGCTTCTCCTAGGCATATATTCAATGGATAAAATTGGAAATAATAGAAGTTAAAGATTTCTTACTAGCATCATCAGTGAAGCATCTATCATGTGTTTAAAAGCATAAGCTCAGATTTTTAAAATGAGATAGTATAGTTCATTTTAGGCATTTTAAAACAATGAAAATGAAAAGATGAAAAGGCTTTTCTGAAAATGGTATTGAGAAAAATGCTAATTCCTTGATTAGAGTAAAAATCTGGGAATGATATGCTGTGGCTCTTGTATCTGCTTTCTGAGTAATAACACCTTTTTCAGAAATGTAATCCATGTTTGCAGCTGAATGCCTTTCTTTTTTCTGTTTTTCTTTTGTAGATACTTGATGCGTTTGTGCAAGCTTAACAAATCTAACTACAGCATTGGTGGAGGCTAGTTATCTTTCGGCTAAGTACGCATATTAAAATTCATTGAATCACATGGTGAAGGATGTGGCTACTTGAATTGTTATATTTTATTCGGGTAGAGGAATATGGAACTTAAATGGAATGCAAAGCAAGCATGAATGTTTTCTGAGATTGAAGCTTTGAATACACCCAGGAAGTGAAACTTGCCATCATATCACCTTTTATGTCTGAAATAAAGGACTTGTTGAAATGGGACCACTGAAGTCAGGAAAAATTGTTCTGTCGCATATGATAGTTTTCTGGTATAAGTCATATTTCTTTTACGTGGGGAAAAGATGGAATTCCTTACTTGTGTTCATATGCAAGGACTCCTTAGCAAAAACCATAATGGAAAATAAAATTATCCCTTTTCATCTGGAGACAAACTGCATGTATCAATTATTTATCACTGCATAACAAATTATCTCAAAATTTGTGATTTGTAAATATTGGCTGGGCTGTTTTGAACTAAGTCTCATGAGACATTGCTAACAGACATCACAGGGCCACAGTCTTCTGAAGGGCTTACTGGGGCTAGAAGATCCACTTCAAAGTTTAGTCATATGCCTGGCTGGTAGTTGGTATTGATTGTTGGTGTGAAGTCCTAGTTTCTTTCCAAGTCGGCATCTGTACAGAGATGCTTCAATGTCCATATGGCATGTTGGTTGGTTTCTCCTAGAGAAGTAATATGAGAGACAAAGGCAGAAGGTTCAATGTGTTTTTTGGCATAGCCTCTGAAGTCACACACCATCATGTCCACAATATCTAACTGGTCCACAAATCAACTTTATTCATTGTGGAAGGAAAGTACACACATGTAAATACAAATAGACAACTGATTAGCTCAGTCCACCTTTTGACCTTGGATGATTCATGCCTTCAAACCTGCTCCTTCATAAAAAATCCACATCTTCTCTCCAAATTCTCATTCATTTCCAATGTCAGCTCAATTACAGGATATTTGCTACAAAATCAGGTTCAGATGGGGTAAGACATCTCAAGTGTGGCACTTAGAATGCAAGCCTTCTTAATATAAGGACCTGTAAACAATAGACACAAGTTCTTGCTTCCCGTCGTCCCCACAGGCCCAGCAAACAATCGTGGAACAGGCATAAAATAACTGGCACAGACCTTCATTTTCATAATGTGGAAAAATGAGAGACACAGTCGTCACCATTCCCTAACATTTCTGAAATCTGGAGTGGCACATGTTGCAAGTTCCTTGATTAGGGCTCAAAGTCTGAGAATAATGTACTGTGGCTCTTGGATCTGTCCTCTGAGTAATTTCTCCTTTTTAATGACATGTTGCCCATATTTGCTGCTCAGTAATGGCTTTCTGAACCTGCTTACTGCCTATGGAATTGTTAGCGTACATCAGATCTTTTTCATCTTGTGCTGTCATTGTCCCTTTTGGTTCAAGTTGGCAGTGTAGTACAGTTCTCTTAAAACACTTCTTGAGGATCCTAGGACTGTTATGGACTGGGCTTCACTAGACAAAAGACACACCTGCAAATGCTTTGAGCTAAATCCTTCCCTATGTGTGTTTCTGGGGCTTAGGCTGCTTATACTGCCTTGTATTCTTAGAAGTTATTGGCATATCAGATCTCTGAGGCATTGCCCTAGATATTCATGAGATTTTAATAAAGGATTTTATGGTCACACCTTGATTTTACTATTAGACCCTTGTGGGAGGCAGAATATTAACCTAAAAAGTTGTCCTTGTCCTAATCCCTGAAACCTGTGAATATGCTACCACGTATGATAAAAGAAAGTTTTGCAAATATAAGTAACTGAAAGGTCTTAAAAAGGGGAGATTATCCTGGGTTATCTGGGTGGGCCAAATGTAAATACAAGGATCTTTATAAGAAAGCCAGGAGAGTCAGAGTCAGAGAAGGGGATGTAATGACAGCATCAGAGGTCAGAGTACTGTGGCCATGACCCACAGAAGGCGGACAACCTCTGGACGCAGAAAAACGCAGGAAACAGATTTTCCATTAAAGCCTCCAGAAATACATGGCTGTGCTGACACCTTGGTTTCAGCCCTTTAAGTCCCATTTTGGACTTCTGACATCCAGAATTTTAAGATAATAAATCTGTGTAGCTTAACATCTACATATTCATAGCAATTTGTTACAGCAGCAATAGGAAACTAATAAAACTTCATTTTCCCTAATATGCCTTCAATTAATTTTTGACCAAAATATATTACTTAACATTAAGCATATTTTACAACCTGAAGAACCTGAGAATTTTCAAACCCTGGGGGTCTTTACTTTTTTATATTCAATTATTCGTTTTTAAAAATCAGTCTCTTGATTTTACAGTAAGCATCAAGAAGAAACCACATGGCACCTTTTACACTCTGCCTGGAAATATCCTTATCTAGACTACACAGTATATTATTTTTTTCTCCTTTCCAAATTGTAACAGACACACTTTCTGCTACTACACAAGCTCTGCTTTCTTATTTCCAATGACTACAAAATCACCATTACCGTGTCCACGATATTCTGCTGGTCTCACAGAGTAGTCCTATTCAGGGTGAGAGCATTCTACACTGATGTGGATATTAAAAGGTGAAGGTTACTGATGGTTATTTGGAGATCACCTGAGGCTTTGAGACCACCAGTTAGATTAGCAGTGGTGTTTCAAAAACTTGAGAAAACATAGTCAGAATGATACTTTCCGAACAATATTCTACACTAATTGTTACCATAAGAGGTAATATCTTAGTCCCTTTGGGATGTTGTAACTGAATGCCATAGACTGCATGGCTTATAAACAATAGAAATTTATTTCTTACGGTTCTGGAGGCTGAAAAGTTTAAGATCAAGAGGCCGGAAGATTTGGTATCTGGCGAGAGCTAACTTCCTGATTCACATAGACAGCCATCTTCCCAATGAGTCATCACGTAACAGAAGGGCCAAGGGAGCTCTCTAATGTCTCATTTATGTGGGTACAATCCCATTTACGAGGAATTTACCTTTGTGACCTAATCACATCTCAAAGGCCCCACTTTCAAATACCATTACATTCGATATTAAGTTTCAACATATAAATTTAGTGGGGACATAAACATTCAGTCTATAGCAGATGGTGTGCATGTGTGTGTGTGTGTGTGTGTGATATATGTACATACACATACACACTATCTGCTATAGACTGAATTTTTCATATATATATATATACAGTCTGGACATATATATATAAGTCCATATATACTTAATATATTATATATACTATAAAATATATACATATTTTATTTTAATTATTTATATATTTACTATTTATATTTGTTATATAAATATATTTTAATATTTTATAAAATATAATAAAATATATTATGATATATTTTAATAAACTATATTATAAAGTATGTGAATATTTTTATAATACATTTTATAACAATAAAGATATTTGACATATTTTATAAAGTGTGGACTTAACCAAGAACCACTCTCTTTCAATTACCACTAAAGTCCTGAGAATATGTCATTCAGAGGCCATATATAAAATGTTCTATTATTTTATGTCAGTTCACCTCTAGAGATTTGAGGCAAACATCTAGAGATTTTGCCATTTATTATGAGTAGATCACTGAGACTTATGTAAATGCTTTTTCTGACTGAGAACAGGGTAAATTTTATAAGAAACAGTTTCAAAAAGAATGAGAGTAAGTATGTGCTATAGCTTTATATTTTGTAGAAGCACTGAAATAATAAAGAATTCAAGTTAATTATTTGGACAATTCAGTTTCAAAACCCAACTATTAGGATTTGAAAACAAGAATTCTATTGATAACTATAGATCTAATTCATATAATGGCTATGCTGGTATTGTTACAATTTATCAAATATTTTATTTGATAATTTTTATTTTGTAATAATTTTATTTATTTTATTTACATGTATTCTATTTTGCTATAGTTAATTAAAATTTTATTTAGTTATTTAAATCACATTTGTTTTCTTCAATACTATATTAAATTACATCTAAAATGCATTTTAAAGGTAGAGCTAAATCGTATTTTGATTTGCATAGTAATCATATTTATTATGCTTCTCAGCACAACATAAGGTTGCTATTCTATAAAGCATCTATATACAATTTTATTTTTTTCAATTATGTGCATGTGTCTTGGTGGAAGTGTATTTTGTTTAACAGTTTGAAAAAATCTTGGAATTATATTCTTGATAAATACATGTCATTAAATAAAATTTTCAGTGTAAAATACATTTTTTACTAAAATCATATATTTGATTTAGTATAAATGAAACTTTTTTTAAAAATGTGTACCTACTCTTATTATTTCTCTAAGAAAATTTCTACTTGTCTTTTCTCTTGCTATGTTTCTCATATAATTCATCTCACCACTGATAAAGAGCAGAACCTGTAAATCACATTTTCCCCTCAAATTGCTCTTAATTGGACAGACACAGAAAGGAGCATGATGATGTTTTGTTGATAATTCATATGTATATATGTACTCAGCAAACATCTATCTGATCTAATTTCTATATTTCCAAAAATCCAACCTGTTACATCCAGTCTCTCCCACAAGACTAGCATTCCTTCCCAATTTTCTGCTCTAATCATCACTGTTTAAATCCAATTGTTTTGTGTCTGGATATGTGACATGAGATATAAATACAACATTTAGATGGTTAACACGCTCAGCCACCAGCAGCAATGCTTGTACATTCCTGAATTAGTTGGTCATGAGGAGTCAAGGTCTGAACATATTTAATACAAGTCAGGTAGAATTATCTGGACTGTACCAGTTATGAAGCATTGACAGAGACTTGCTGACTTGCATGGACACTAGAGCATGGAGAGCATACACATCAAGGGGTCAAGACGAGGACACTGAGAACTTCAAGTTGGATCCAGGGATGCTGGAAGGGAGGTGAGAGAGCACTGAAAACAAACCCGGCCTATTTCAAAATTTTGCCTACAGCTGTAACACATCTCTGTAAATACCTCCATCACTGATGTGGGCCTGTCACACCTGTCATTTTGACGCAACATCATTGGAATCTACATCTTTGTTATAGTGTGAAACTTGGTTGCTACTAACTGCCCATTCCGATGCTTTAAGAAAATATCCTTGTATTTTCTTCCTCATCTCTGATTTTGGCCTCTAATTTCTCCTCTGTGTCTCCTCCACTTTACTGCATTAACATTTAACTTTATAATTGACTTCTATTCTTTTTCCAACTTAGCAGCTCTCATTTCTCCCTTGTGATTACTTACTTACAATTAAATACTTCTTGATAGCTGTAATTTCTCCAATTTAAAAAAAGAAAAAAATAATAAAGGTAAATGCAAATCTCTAAGAAAAATACAAATAACTAACTGGAAGTACCACTTGATTGTTGATGCCATGTATAAAATAATTTAATATATGACTAAAATAACTAGACAGATTTATATCTGTTGTGTGTGAATATGTTTAAGTATTTTCTAGCGAACTCAAATATGCTAATTCAAATATAAAAATTGGATCAGATTAAACCAACCATATGATGATAACCCGAATCTGAGTATCACTGTATTAGATCATATTGTTCTAGTTCTGATCATTTTAGAATTCAGAAAAGTTAAATGAACCAAACTCATCGGTTCCTCAAAACTCTATTTCTCTGTTCTGTTTTTTTTTATTTAAAGAAATGTCAAGTAAAACATCATTTTTCTTTTTTTTAACAGTTAGAGTTAATGTTAGGCAGAACTCATAATGTATGGAAAGAACATTTCATAAGTGTCACTGAAAAAATTGCTCACAACAAAAATCTATGAGTCATCCTTGAATTTTTTCCCCCTCGTCTCCATGTTCAACACACAAGCAAGTCTTTTGGCATTACTTCTAAAATACATTTTAAACATATCAATTTATATCCATTTTTAGTGCCACCATTGTAGTCCAAGTTATCATTATTTCTTTTCTAAAGCACAGTAGTAGTCATCCCACTTTTTCTTTGCTTTTCTCATGCCTGCTGTTACCTCCAACTGCCTAATCTATCCAGGCAGTCTTAACATTTTTCTCGCAGTCTGGTTCAAACTATGGGCTGTTTCCCAGAATAATTGCTTTTAAAATAAAATATTTAGAATTACAGGAAAAGAGGACTATATTCAAAGATGTCCTAACTTATCATTATGCAATGATTTATATTTTAGTAAATCAATTTATGTCACTATTCTGTTCAATGGAACCTTATTAAACTAAAAGAAAAACTAAACTACTTATCATTATCAACTAGATTTAACTACCTGCCTCTCCCATATCTATTATTCTCTCCCTTGCTTACCAGTCTCTGGCTAAATATATTTCCTTTCTTTCAACATCCAAACCCTTTCCTTCCTCATGGTTATTAAATTCGATGTTCCTTATTTTTGTTTCACATGTCACCTCACCTTAAATCTTCTGACAGTACTATTTATTATTGTACATTCAATTTCCATAAAATAAAGGTGCATAAAGTGTTGGTTCTAATCCTCTTATTGATTAAATTAGAAATGACAAATATAAAACTGTCATTGCATTCAAAGGCTATTTGTTGTAAGCTTTGTTCCAAAAACGTTTAGATTTTTTTAAAAAATGATATTTGCATTGTGTGAACATTTTGACTTTTTCCAGTACCATATATAATACATTTAATTTGGACATTATAAAAATACAATATGTTTTCTCAATAAGTGTTACTGATAGATTTAAATAAGGATAAAGTTTTAAAATTAATCATTTGAAATTGCTTTGTCTATTTTTCCATAAGATATTAAAAAACACAGTAACAGACATCTTTCTGCTGTATATACATAGCAATATGTATATTTTCTATATATATGTGCTATATATATGAATCACAAAATTCAAATATTAAAATATATTACTTTTGCTTTTTGACCTAATGAGGTCTATACAAAAATAAAGTTATCCTTTAGTATATGCTGTTATTTAAATTAGTAATTCATGAATATATCACTGCTTAATCTGCTAAGCTCAGCAGTACACAGTAATTATCAGTGACAGAAAGCAGACTTAAGAACACTTGCTGCCTGCAAATTATTGAAGGGTAGTCCAAGAAAGATTAAGCTGGGTGTGAGTTATTTATGAAGAGTAAATGAAACAAAGTGCCATAGCATTCATTAAATTAATGAGAAAAAACCCCTAAAATCGCATTTTAAGGGCGTTTCCTTGGGGTTAGAATTCAAAAAAATGCCATTTTTGTTCTCATGCGGTTCATTGTAACTTAGTCAGGCATTTAAAACAATTGGTATAATATGATTAGGTAAAGAAAGGGGGTATGAGATTTTTGTTAGATATATATTTTTTAAAAGTACAAGTATCATTATAACATAGTTTAAATTTCAGATGAAATTTGAGATATTTCTATCCAAAATAATAAATTTTTGCCAATGCTGGATAAATTTCTTGGTGGTTTTTCTGCATTTGATCTTGGAGATTAAGTACAAATTAAAGAGCAAATTTTCTCAAATTTACTTGCAAATAATGATATAAGTAAGAAGATCACACATGAGACACAGTATATAAGTTATAAAGTATATCCACAGATACTTGCTAATTTATCCCTTTCCAAAGAGCATATTTATGATAGTAAGACTAATAGATGTGTCTTTGTCACATATGTTTATACATACCTGAGGGGAAAAGAACAATTTTCTTCTTATAACTCCAAACTCCATGACTCCATTTTGGAAGAAAAATAAATAAATGCATGTGTTCCTCAGTTATTTTGTTATTTCACCAACAGAGTATAAAGAAAATCCATAAGTAATAACATAAACAACAACATGATTAGCAGAGACATTGGGAAAAGAAAACTTTCTAAAGGAGATACATAATTAAGATCAAGTAAGAATGGTACTAATATATGTAGCTCAACCTATTGTTGTCTTCATCAATTCATCAGTAGTCATTTAGAAAGATATGTAGGGGCTGGGCATGGTGGCTCACACCTCTAATCCCAGCGTGTTGAGGCAAGGAATTTGAGACCAGCCTGGGCAACAGAATGACACCCAGTCTCTATAAAAGTATATATATTAAAAAAATTACCTGAGCATGGTGGTGAGTGGCCTGTAGTCCTAGCTTCTTGGGAGGCTTGGGTAGCAGGATTGCTTGAACCAAGGAATTTGAGGCTATAGTGAGCCAAGATTGTGCCACTGCATTCCAGTCTGGGCAACGGAGTGAAACATCATCAAGAAGAAGGAAGGAAAGAAGGAAAGCAGGAAGGCAGGAAGGCAGGAAAGCAGGAAGGAAAGAAGGAAGGAAAGTACTGTAATTCCTCAATAAACATTGTAGGGGAATATTTAACAAAGAACAGACTCTATTGTACACATGTTCTAAATTGAGGATGAAGTAGGGTGAAAGCTAGTTTTAATCTTAAAACATCACAGTCATAACATGGTTGTTTCTTGTGTTAAGAAAACAGAGTTGATGATCATAACTCAAAGATTTTGAAGACCAATGACACACATCAGGTCTATACCTGTGCACTACTAAATAGATTTTGAAATTCCTCCCCCAACAATAAAATTCCTCCTTCAAACAATGTTTCACATGAGGACATTGTTGGAAATATCTCTCTATATGCTCTGTTATCAGCATTTTATTCTGTGATTATATCCCTAAGATTCTAAAATGTTTTGTCTCACACAATTTGTTATCCTTGAGAAAAGAAGAGGAAAAACATAACAGCACTTCTTAACTGGTTAACAACATCAATTGTGAAAATATCACTATTATTTTATTTGAGCAAAAGCCCTTCTAAGATTAACTTGACCACTTTATAATTTCTATGTGTTTCTGTTTTTCTTCTGATAGTTGAATATACTGTGAGAGCATAAGCATATTTTTGTTTCTTTCTCAAGAAAATAAACATAAAACTGTTTTTCTAATTATAATTGTTATTTGTTTCTCCTAAAAAAATGCACCAGGTGCACTCCTGACAATATCTCTCCAGTGTGAGGGAGTAGTAAGCCATGATCTCTCTAAATTTTCACTACTATGTTCTTTTATTATGACAGTGAAACCTTTGTCCCAGAACATATCAATCAGGAGATACTGATACAAATAATTCTTCCATGGGGACACAGAGAACAGACAGGAGCACAGCTGGGCACCAGCCTGACTGGGCTTAGCAGGGAGCCAGGAAAAGCTCTCCAACATGGAAAGGGGTGAGTGAGTGAGAGCCCTCTAGGGGATTCTTAGTCTCCCCAGGGACCTATGCAAGACTGGGAATGGGGAAATCCCCCTTCCCCCTGCACCTCCTCACCTAGCCTCTAGGCTGAGGCAGAGAGCCATGTGGACATTTTGCAGGGGCAAATTTTAAGTCCAAGGGGATCTCTAAAAGCCTCGGACCCCAAAGCAAACCGTCGTTGGTGCCATAGCCCCAGTAGAGGCCACAGCTACAGTGCCTGAAAGCAGCAAGATTGCTCTACCCCCTACTCACCGGAGAAAGCTCAGTGCCAGCTTCCAGCCCAGTGATTCCACTTTTGTGTGACCTCAACCAGTGGCTGCAGCCTCCTAGTGTCCCAGGAAGCACCTAGATGGTAGGTCAGGCAACCCCACCAACCCCCGCCACTAGTAGCCAGACAGGCAACACCTGCTAGATCCTCTGCCCAGAGGTCCTACTTCAGTGTGAATGCAGTAAGTGGGAACAGCCTCCTGTTGTACCAGGAATCAGATAGATGACAGAGTGGGTGGCTTGACCCACCCCTGCCTCTCTAGACAGGTGAGCCATGCCTAGTGGAGCTTCCAGTCCAGTGGTCCTGTTTCTATCTGAATCTGCCCAGGGCTGCAGCCTCCTATTTCCCTAGAAACACCCAGATGGCAGGGTGGAAAGCTCCAATCACCCCACCTCTTTTAGCTAGATGGGCCACACCCACTAGAGCTTCTAGCCCAGTGAACCTGTTTCTGCCTGAACTCTGCAGGCAGGCACAACCCTGTGTTCCTTTGGAAAGAATTCGGACAACGGAATAGGGCAGACGTGGCAAAGATATGGCTGTCTTCCAACTGTGACCTCTGCCTGAAGGAGCCCTGTGAACCAGAACACCCAACAAAAGAAGGTACTGGTACAAAAACAGACATCTAGACTAATGGAACAGAATCGAGAGCTCAGAAGTAATGCCACACACCTACAACCATCTGCTATTTGACAAAGTAGACAAAAGCAAGCAATGGAGAAAGGACTCCCAATTCAATAATTAGTGCTGAGGTAACTGACTAGCTATATGCAAAAGACTGAAGCTGGTCGCCTTTTTATGCCATAAACAAAGATCAACTCAAGATGGACTAAGACTTAAATGTAAATTCTAAACTTATAAAAACACTGGAAGATAACCTAACAAATATCATTCTGGACAGAGGCTGTAGCAAAAATCTCATGATGTTGATGCTAAAAGCAATTGCAACAAAAAGAAACATTGACAAATGGAACCTAATTAAACTAAAGAGCTTCTGCACAGCGAAAGCAACTATCAACAGAGTAAATATATGACCTACAGAATGGGAGACAATATTTGCAAACCATGCATCCAACAAAGGTCTAATATTCAGAATCTATTAGGAACTTAATAGACAAAAACAAGCCCATTACAGAGTGGGCAAAGGACATGAACAGACACTTTTCTTTTCTTTTTCTTTTTCTTTTTCTTTTTTTTGAGACAGGGTCTCGCTCTGTAGCCCAGGCTGAAGCGCAATGGCACTAACTCAGCTCACTGCAACTTCCGCCTCCAAGGATCAAGTGATATTCTCCTGCCTCAGCCTCCTGAGTGGCTGGGATTACAGGCACGTACCACCACACCCAGCTAATTTTTTGTATTTTTAGTAGAGACGGGGTTTCACCTTGTTAGCCAGGATGGTCTTGATCTCCTGACCTTGTTATCAGCCCGCCTCAGCCTCTCAAAATGCTGGGATTACAGGCATGAGCCACCACACCCAGCAGATACTTTTCAAAAGAAGACATACATGTGGTCAACAAGGAAAACATGCTCAACATCACTAATCATTAGAGAAATGCAAATCCAATCTTGAATTTCTCAAGTGAGATACCTTCTCCTGCCACTAAGAATGCAAATCAAAACTTGCATTTCTCAATGAGATACCTTCTCGTGCCACTAAGAATGGCTACTCTAAAAAGTAAAAAAATAACAGATGCTGGTGAGGTTGCAGAGTAAAAAGATGGCTTACACACTGCTGGTAGAAATTAGTTCAGTCATTTTGAAAAGTTGTGTGGCAATTTCTCAAATAAGTTAAAACGAAACTACCATTTGACCAGGCAATTCCATTATTGAGTATATAACCAAAGGAATCTAAATTGTTCCACCATAAAGGCTCATGCATGTGTATGTTCATCACAGTACTATTCACAATAGCAAAGATATGGAATCAACCTAACTGCCAATGGTAGACTGGATAAAGAAAATGTGATATATATATATATACATACCATGGAATGCTAAGCAGCTATAAAAAGAATGAGATCTTGTCCTTTGCAAAAACATGGATGAAGCAGGAGGATATTTTCCTAAGTGAACTAACATAGGAACAGAAAACCAAATGCCATGTGTTTTCACTTGTAAGTGGGAGCTATCTATTGAGTCATATATGGACACCAAAAAGAGAACAACAAACACCAGGCCCTGGTTGAAGGTGGAGGTTGGGAGGAAAGAGAGCATCAAAAAACTATCAGGTGGTATGCATATTTTCTGGGTTATAAAATAATCTGATACCACACCCCCGATACTCAATTTAGCTATATAACAAACACGGACATGTACGCTTGAACCCCAAATAAAAGTTAAGAACAGCATCAAACAAAACAAATGCTTCAAGAACTAGTGGCTATGACTCACCTGTGCTTCATGATCTAGTTTTCTTTCTTGCCATGTTATATGTGTCACTTTTTCTCTCTCCTGTCTGAAGCCATTGGGGCATAATAATTATTTTCTGCTGTTTATGTTCAGTTAACAATGACAGCAGGACCATAAATATCCACTTAAGTATCAATGCAGCTGTTTTCTCTTGATGTTGAGAATCCTGAAACAGAATAGTAAATTGTCTTTCACAGGTGGCGAATACATCAACACCAATAGTGTTGATACATCAACACTCAATGTGCTAAATATTTGTTTTCACTCCCCTTTTATTTTATTGAATATTTTATTTTATTCATATATATTTTTTACATTGTGCCCATCAGAACTTACCTGGAGGACAACCTTGAGAACAGTAAACACATTCCACCATTTAGAATCACCCTTCTCTCCAATGCTGACAGAATGAACATGAATCAAATTTGTAAGATTCTATTTTTTCCTTCTGGTTAGTTACTTCTCAGGAGGCTCCTTACATCTTCTTGCCTGAGCAAGCTTGACATTTAGGATGAGCACAATGTTGTTTTCAACTTGTATTTCTGCTGTTCTGAGTTATGCCAGTCAATTCCCTTGACCATGACATGAAAAATGATGTAAAAAACAGTGTGAAACAAGAAACCATAGGGCATGTCCTGCTGAATATTGTATAATTAACACAAAAATAGTGTCACTACTCTGTTTTCCTTTTATAACCAAAATCACTATTCCAAGATTACTCTGCTTTAAAGATATACTATTTATTTTCTACAAATTAATATTGACCTCTTTTTGCACTTTTGTTCCACTGAAAGAGAAGAAGAAAGGAAAGAAAAATGTCATTGCAGTTACAGTGTTTCATAAATGAGTCTATTGGCACATGTGTATATGTGTGTGTGTGTGTGTGTGTGTGTGTGTGTGTGTGTGTGTGTTTAAAGCCATACCAGGTATTCTTGAATGGAAAATCAGGAAATGGAATAGGCAAGTAGATAATATCACAGTAAAAATATTTTCCATTCATTTTGCTATATTATCTTAACAATGTTAAGCAAGTTATGTTCATCACTATTCTCTTGCTGAATGTATTTTCCCCAGAAAATAAATGAATATTATCATTGCAACAGCAAATTTAAAATAGGAAAAGCTAAGTGAATGCACTTCTGTCATTTACACTTGTACATTTATTCTATGTTGTTGGCCTGGATTTGCTCTGTAAATTATCAACTATGTTCAGTTCCTCTTATGCTAAGCACGGTTTTTGGCTTTTTCAATATAAACTAAAGTTTTTTCCATTACTTTTGGTTCTGCAGAGAAATTACAAACTCCAAATAAACTAAGTTCTACAATCCTATGTTTCTTCTTTGCTTAGGAAATAACATTTATCTATGACTGATAGATTTTTGTTTTTTTAATAACTGCATAGCAATTGATTCTCCATCCCATTTTAATAGCATTAAATTATTTACTTTGAACTTGCCATGATTAAATTTCATAGCAATTTTTTTACCATATCCACTTTCTTTTTAATATTCAAATTTGCATTATTTCTGACTAATAGGCAAACACCTAACTGTTTATGAAGTACAAGATAACATACTGCCTAATTGCAATAATAATTTTCAAATTTAAAAATTTTAAAAATATTTATATTCAATAATACCCTATCTTCCTGTTTGGAACTCTAATGACCATGTGGGGAGCTAGAAAAGACCAAGGACGTAGCCGAGACTTCCACACTTGCCAGGCTGTAATAAAGAAGCCCAATCCCCCTACTGTAGAGATTTTGCTAGAAGGTGGAGTAGAGAGCTGGGACTTTCATCCCCACTAGGCTGTAATAAGCCCCAAGGTACTAGCAACAACCATGTGGGGAGCCTGAATTTCTACCTACATCTGGTAATAATGAAGTATAGTTCCCTCTCCCTCTGTGGTCATGTCTGAGAGAGTCTATTGGACTTGTCCTCACCACTACTCAGTAGTAAGGAGGCTACTTCTCCCTCCCACCTGTGGAGGCCATGGGAAAATTCTACTTTCTTCCACAATAGAAGAAAGATTTTTCTATGCCAATGATCAGATATCAAACAGGCATGACATTTTTAACACTTATTTTCAACATCTGTGAATAAAACTTAGTAATTATATTTTTAATGAATGTTTAAAAATTAACAAAAAAAGATTAACCACACGGGAATAATAAATTCATTCAGAAATACAGAAGTACTTGCGCCATTGTAATAGGGAATTGACAGAAGGAAAAAAGAAAGAAAGAATGGAAGTAAAGAAGAAAAGAGAAGGGGAGGGAATGAAAGGGAAGGGAAAAAAGAAAAGAAGAAAGGAAGGAAGGAAAAGACAGGTTTGCAGAACAATTTAGATATGCTTATTGAGATTACAGAGAAAAAGACTGATGAAAATGATGAGACAGGACAAAATGATAATAAGTACTTGTAAAAGTGAGAGTCAAAATTAGTTTTGCTTTCTATTGGCATAATGAACCAATAGCAATAAATTCAGATATTATAGAAATTATTAATCATATTGTAAAAGAAAAGTTACTAAAATAAACCTAATCTAAATATAACCTAAATACAAACTAGGCAGGTGTCTTAATATGCTAAAAAAATTCTCTTCAATCTATAAAAACACTCTCATACATAAAAATGTTTGCTCTCTATTTATCCTTATACAATTTAAAATATGTGACTTTTATGTATTATTATTTCATTTTATTTTCATGGAGAAGAATTATTGGGGACTGATATAATTAGGCTCAGTGTCCCCACCCAAGTATCATCTCGAACTGTAATCTTCAGGTGTCGAGGGAGGGACTAGATGGGAGATGACTGGATCATGGTGGTGGTTTCACCTATGTCTCATGATAGTGAGTGAGTTCGGACAAGATCTGATGGTTTTATAAGTGTTTGACATTTTCTCCTACACACATTCTTTCTCTCTCCTGCAACCTTGTGAAAAAAGTGCCTGCTGCTCCTTCCACCATGATAGTAAGTTTCCTGAGGCCTCCCCAGCCATGCATAACTGTGAGTCAATTAAGCCTCTTTCCTTTATAAATTACTCAGCCTCAGGTAGTATCTTTATAGCAGTGTGAGAATGGACTAATAAAGTAAATTTGTAGCAGTAGAGGGAGGTGTCACTATAAAGATACCCAAAAATGTGGAAGCAACTTTGGAACTGGGTGACAGGGGGTTGGGACACCTTGGAGGGCTCAGAAGAATACAGAAAGATTTGGGATTTTGGAACTTCCTAGAGATTTGTTTAATGATTTTGACCAAAATGCTGATAGTGATATGGACAATGAAGTCCAGGCTGAGGTGGTCTCAGATGGAGATGAGGAGCTTCTTGGGAACTAGAACAAAGGTAACTCCTGCTATGCTTTAGCAAAGAGACAGGCAGCATTTTGCCCCTGCCCTACAGATCTGCGGAACTTTAAGACAGAGAAAGGTGATTTAGAGTATCTGGTGGAGGAAATTTCCAAGCAGCAAAGCATTCAAGAGATGAAAGATTGCAAAAGTTTGAAAAATTTGCAGCCTGATTATGTGATAGAAAGAAAAAATGCATTTTCTGGGGAAAAATTCTAGCCTGCTGCAGAGATTTGCATAAGTAAGCTAGGAGCTGAATGTTAATCACAGAGACAATGAAGAAATGTCTCAAGGGCATGTAGAAATCTTTGCAGCAGACCCTCAGTCCCAGGTACCTAGGAGGAATAATTAGTTTCCTGGGCCAGGCCAAGAGCCCCTACTGCTCTAGGCAGCCTTAGGACTTGGTGCCCTGCGTCCAGCAGGGGTTATAAAGGCCAAGGTACAGCTCAGGCTGTGGCATCAGAGGGTGCAAGCCCCAAGTCTTGGTGGATTACATGTGGTGTTGGGCCTGCAGGTACACAGAAGACAAGTATGTAGTTTTGGAAATCTCTACCTAGATTTCAGAGGATGGATGGAAGTGCCTGGATGACCAGGCAGAAGTCTGCTGCTGGGGTGGAGCCCACATGGAGATCCTCTCCTAAGGTAGCTCAAAGGGGAAATATGAGGTTAGAGCCCTCACACAAAGTCCCCACTGGGGCCCTGCATAGTGGGACTCTGAGAAGAGGGCCATCCTCCTCCAGACCCCAGAATGGTAGATCTACTGACAGCTTGTACCATGCACCTGGAAAAGCTGCCAACACTCAATGCCAGCTGTGAAAGCAGCTGGGATGGGGGCTGTATTCTGCAAAGCCACAGGGGTGGAGATGCCCAAGGCTGTGAGTGAGCACTCATGAGATCTGATGGGTTTATGAGTGTTTGACATTCCCTCCTTCACAAGCTGTCTCTCCTGCTGCCTTGAGAAGAAAGTGCCTGCCTCCCCTTCTGCCATGATTGTGAGTATCCTAAGGCCTCCCCAGCCATGGAGAACTGTGAGTATATTAAAACTCTTTCCTTTATAAATTACCCAACCTCTTTTATTTCTTTATGACAGTGTGAAGACAGGCTAATACAGTGACCTTTTGCATGTAAAAATGCATTTATATTGCATTTTAGACATCATTTATGATGTCTATTGCACATTAGACATCATTTGATTGGGTAGAAATCATACATACTTCAGTTATTGTGAACTTTTTATTAAGGGTCAATTATTTCGAAAAATCATGTGAGATAGTAATTCACTTAGTTGGTGTCTGTTTTTAATAGACTTTGTTTTTTAAAAAGTTCTAGATTCATGGCAAAATTCATGGAAAATACAAAGAGTTGTTGTACCCCCTGACCCTACAGGTGCATGTATGGACATAATTTTCCATCTGACTTGAGTAAAAATGCCATGATGCACAATTACTGAAATGTATGATAAGTATGTTTAGTTTTGTAAGAAACTGCCAAACTGTCTCCCAAGGTGGCTATTCCATTTTGTGTTTTCCACCAGCAAAGAATGACAGTTCCTGTTTCTCCACAGTCTAGCTGACATTTAATGTTGTGAATGTTTTGAAATTTAGCCATTCAAATAGGTTTATAGTAGAATCTCATTGTTTTAATTTGCAATTATCTACTGACATTTGATATTTAACATCTTTTCATATGATTATATGTATATACATGTAATTATAGGTACATATTATCTGCATATCTTTTTTGGTGAGGTGTTTGTTCAGATCTTTGGCCCATTTTTAAAAATTAAGTTGCTCCAGTGAGCCAAGATCATGCCACTGCATTCCAGCCTAGGCGACAGAGTGAGATTCTGTCCCCCCAAAAAAAAGTTGAGTTGCTCACTTTATTATTGTTGAATTTTTACAGTTCTTTGTATATTTTGTATATTTAAAAGCCCTTTATCAGATATATCTTTTGCAAATATTTTCATCCATTTTGTGGCTTGTCTTGTTTTTCTGTTGAGAGTGTCTTTTATAAAGCAGAAGTTCATCATTTTATTGAAACCCAGTTTATTATTTATTTAATAGATTGTGTCTTTTGTGTTTTATCTAACATATCATCACCAAACCCAAGATTAACTCTAGTTTTGTTTTACATATTTGAAAACATTGATAATATTGTATATCAACAGTGAATCTTTTAATTGGCCTTCAATAACCAGTCAAAAGTAGACTCATAGTATGGATATTTTACACAAAGTGAGTTGTTAGATAATGATTTTTGTACTAGATGTAAACCTAAAACAAGGTTTGGTTAAATGCAACTTAGCTATTTAGGTACTGGGAGAAAAGTGGTAACTATATAGGTAAGTGGTTACCAGCTATATTTTAACACTGTGTATTTGAATGCACACCCCGCACTTCTGCTCTTTCCTCCTCCCTTACACACAGTTTCTTCCGTATTTCGAACTGAACTCCTTTCCTTGGTTAATCTACATGTTGATTTTCTTTGGGAGAAAAAAAAGAGGTAATTGTTGTCTTTTTCTTGGAACTGTTTTGAACTTCTTGAGGACACAGAGGCTAGCGTACCACACTAGCAGTCACATTTTTATTATTTTAAAATAGCTTTCATGTGTATGGTAATTTTCTCATCTCCTAGTTGCAAATTTCTTTGGGCAGTATGAGAAGGCTCTCATTTACTAATTTTCACATTTCAATGCAGCCATAACTGAGTTAAGATATGAGTTCTGAGGATGATACAGTTAGCAGATATTGGGTACTATACAGGAGGGAAATTATGGAGAGATTATATGTCTTTTCAAGATCCCTTCCTCCAAACAGGTTAAAGAGATAAAGGATGAGCAAAGCTGTGAATGAAACAAAACAATAGAATGGGAAGAATTGTTTTTAAGGTAAAGATCACTAAAAATTATTATTTAGAGTACAGGAATTATGGAACAAAATTATTCCCTGTTAAACTTGATTGTAAGAAATAACAAGAGTTCAGAGAGGCATCCATCCACAATGGCAAGTACTTAAACCTCAGGAAACGTGCTTGGGAAAATAGTCCTTAATAAGAAATGAAAAGCTTAATTAAAAATATCTCATTCTTAGTTGAGAAATGAAAATATTTAATTAATATTAATATATTTAATTATATCAAATTTACTAATATCAAATAATTGTAGTCAATAGTCAGAAAAATAGATATTCCAATTACTTGTTAGTCTCTCATAAAGTATCTTATAAAAATAATTGAAAGGAGTGTCTAAGAAGATCTAATTTACCTAAAAGCATTGAAACTTTCTTCCTTTACAATCCCCATAAATAAAATATTATGTCTAATAACACTTAATTGTACTTAAAAGGCATCATCTTTATTTTAAAAAACTAGAGAAGGAGATCCATCACTGAATGCAGTCAGCTCAATTACAACTCCTGTCATCTTGCAAGGAGATCAGAAAATGAGGAAAAAATAAAGAACACTTTATGCATTTTCAGTAAGTTAAGGTATTTACCATTTTTGTAGGAAAAAAATGCCATCATTGACATAGAGTATGTTTTTTAATGTCACTAAAGTTGAGCTTGACTATGTGACTTACTTTGGCCTATGGAATGTTGGTAAATGAGATATAAAGCAGTATTTTGAAATATTCATGTGGCAAGGAACTTTCCCTACTGTGCTTCTGCAGTCATCAAAAAGCAGAGACTCCTGGAGGGGAACTATCTCAGGCAAACCACAGTAAGAAGCAGTGCCATACCAATCAGCCTTTATATTTGTGAGTGGTAAATGTTTTATTTGCAGTATTTTGAAGTGTTTACATATTAAAAAATTAATGCAATGAGAAACAAGTGCATGGTGGCTGGAATTCAGGATAAAAGGGGAAAATAATTTGAGGATAATAATAGTAAAATTATGACAAAGTGAACAATGTTGAAGGCCATTCTGAATATATATGTGTGTGTGTGTGTGTGTGTGTGTGTGTGTGTGTGTGTGTGTATGAAACCTGCCCCTCAACCCTACCACAGTCCAAAACTTTGCATATAACATTTGACTTTCCAAAAACTTAATTACTAACAGTCTGCTATTGACTGGAAGCATTATCAAAAACATAAAGTCAATTAACACATATTTTGTATGTTATGTGTACTATATAATGTAATATTATAATGAGGTAAGCTAGAGAAAATAAAATATTCAGCCAATCATAAGGAAGATAAACTATATTTACTATTCATTAAGTGGAAGTGAATCATCATAAACGTCTTCATCCTTGTGATGTTCATATTGAGTAGGCTGAGGAAGAGGAGAAAAGGGTTGATCTTGCTGTGTCAGGGATGGCAGAGGAAGAAGAAAATTTGCATACATGGTATATATACTCAGTAACTGCATAATGACTTTTTGATCAGTGATGGACTATGTATACGAAGGTAGTCCCGTAAGTTTATAATGGAGCTGAAGAACTCCTATTGCCTAATGACATCATAACCATTGTAACATTGTAACATCAATATTACTTTTTAAAAGTATAAATTTAGTGTAGCCTAAGTGCACAATGTTTATAATGTCTGTAGTAGTGCTAATGTTCTAGGCAAGGGGTGTCCTGGGAGAAAAGCAGGTAATTAGATAGGTAACTTGTTACCAGTTATATTTTAACACTGTGTATTTGAATGTACACCCCTCCCTCCTGCTTTTCCCGCTTCCACTACACACAGTTTCTTCCTTATTTAGAACTGAACTTGTTCTCTTGGTCAATCTACATCTTGAGTTACTTTTGGAGAAAAAAGGAGATAATTGTTGCCTTTTTCTTTGAATTCTTTTGAACTTCTTGAGGACATATAGGTTACAGTACCACACTTGCAGTCAGATTGCTATTATTTTAAAATCACTTTCATGTATGTGACAATTTTCTCATCTCATAGTTACAGATTTCTTTGGACAGTATGAGAAGCCTCTCTTTTACTGATTTTCACATTTCAATGCTGCCATAACTATTTGGCTTCCCTGGGCCACATTGGAAGAAGAAGGATTTTCTTGGGCTACACATAAAATACATTGACAGTAGCTGATGAGATAAAAAAAATCGCAAAAGAGTCTTATTATGTTTTAACAAAATTTACAAATTTGTGTTGGGCCACATTCAAAGGCGTCCTGGGCCTCATGTAGCCCTCGGTCCACAGGTTGGACAAACTTGTTCTAGGCCTTCACATTCACTCATGACTCATTGACTCATCTGGAGCGACTTCCAGTTCTGCAAGCTTCATTCATGGTGAGTTCCCATGGTAAAGATGTAACAAGTTTTATCTTCACACAGTATTTTTGATTGTAACTTTTCTATGTTTAGATACAAAATACCATTTTGTTACAATTACCTACAGTAGTCAGTACAATAAGATAATGTAAAGGTTTGTTGCCTAGGAGTAGTAGGCTATACCATATAGCCTAGTTGTATAGTAAGCTATACCATCTAGGGTTATACAAGTACACTATATAATGTTCACAGAATTCAAATAATTGTTTAAAAATGCATTACTCAGAACATATCCTGTCATTAAGTGACACATATCATATATACTATACTCTGATTTATTATTTAATATATAAATAAAACATATATAAACTTCTTGGGTATATTTATGTATTATATATGTATATGTGTATTTTTATTTATGTATGTATGTATTTATTTATAGGATAAATAGATATTCTAAAATAATTGGGAGCTATTGAAGTCTTTAACCCAGAGAGTGACAATTTTAGATTTGTGCTGCTTATATCTGCAAATTAGAAATAAGAAAAGATTTTCCAATATTACAGAAATCAATATTTTATCAATGAAGTTGTAAGTTATTTTGAGACTGCTTCAATATAGCACAATCAGAGGGCTGGAGAATGTTGAAAGAAAATTTCTTCCTAGAATTAAAATAAATCCATTCAAATGACATTATTTTGCAAATTGCATATTTTTAAGCCTATCAACTGAAAAAGGAGAAAATTATTTCTTTTCAAATATTAATAGATTTGGGATTTCACTCTGGTTTCTATAATAAGAGTTTCACATTTGAGGGGCTTTCAGCCTTTTATATAAGGAGAAGGCATTTAGAACTAGAAGTATTATGCTGCCCATTTGGACCTAGATATCTGTAATGAACAATTTCATCTGGAAAACATAAAGCCTGGCAGATGATATTGTGATCCAAGGGAGTTAATTTTGTGATAATTATGAATCACTAGGCTTACTATAGAATCTTATTTACAAAGAGCTTTCCTATTAGAGTTCCAGGTGATTCCTCTGATAACTGTCAGGACTCTAGATATTTATTGTTTTCAGATAACTTCCAGTTAAATCTGTCTTCTGCTTCCCATCCTACTCAGGCAGTTTTGTTCGCAAAATTGCCCCTTTGAACTTCAACCTTGAGTGACTTCTTCTTGATACAAGTTAAATTCTAGTAAAGCTAAGATTTCAGTCATCAAAAATTGGAAGCTATCTAGTGAAGCCAAACTCTATTACATTTCTTCATTAATTTTTCTAACTTGAACTCTACCTGTGGTTAACATGTAAGCAGCTTTTGTTTGTAATTTTCTTTCCATAAAGCATATTATTAGCATTTTTCTATTTTAACAATATCTGAATCATTTTAAAACAGGTTATTTATATATTCTAGCTTTTACCATATTTCAATTGTATCTATGGATGCTTCATTGAAATAAAACAATAGTATTATAGAACAACACAAAATTTTATGAGCCTTTGTATGATGTGTGAACTTGTAAATTTATTAAACGATTGTATGCTATCTTTCTCAACATTTCTACATTGATAAAATAACTGTCTTGATAAGAAAATTATAAAGTGAGGAATACACCATTTGGAAAAAAGGGAAGACATTGTTCCATGAGGTTTTTTAAGTCTTAAAACGAAATACACACAGCGTTCCTTTGGGAGCAAGAAAGAATCTATATGTATGTGTGTGTGTGTGTATATATATATATAGAGAGAGAGAGAGAGAGAGAGAAAGAGAGAGAGAGAGAAAGAGAGAGACTCCCTCTGTCACCCAGGCTGGAGTGCAATGGTGCAATCTTGACTAACTGCAACCTCGACCTCCCAGGTTCAAGTGATTCTCACACCTCGGCCTCCCACATAATTTTACATGTCAACTTGGCTGGACCAGGGGTGCTCATGTATCTGGTCAAACATTATTCTGAGTGTTTCTGTGGGGGTGTTTTTGGAGGTTAATATTTGAATTGGTAGAAGACTTAATAAAGCAGATTTCCCTCTCTAATGTGGGTGGATATCATCCAATCCTTTGAAGGCCTGAGTAGAACAATAAAGGCTGACCCTCTTCTGAGTAAGATTTCTCCTGCCTGACAGCCTTCAAATTTGGGAATCAGCTTTTCCTGCCTTCAGACTTGAACTAAAACATTAGCTCTTCCTGAGCCTCCAGTTTTCCAGCCATTGGATTAGAATTATACCATTGCCATCTTGAATATCCAACTTGCCTACTCATCCTGCAGACTTTGGGAATTGTCTGTTTCCATAATCATATGAGCCAGTGTTTATTTTACACACACACACACACACACACACACACACACACTTCATCCCTATGGCTAGAAGGGCTTACGGGATCAAGTAGGGTTAACAGAGATAAGGAGCTGGGACTACACAGCTGATGTTGGAAACCTGGCTGGCAGAATTTGGGACTATGATGGAGGTTCTAAATATTGAAAACTGGAGCCATGAAGAAGCACCAGTCTTTACCAAACATGTTACTCAGTGTAGGGAGTAAGTATACCCTGGCTTCTCCCTTCCACCTGTCCTCCAATCACCCACCAAGACTTTCCACTGTCTTAATAGAGCTGAAATTAGTTTGCTAAGGAGTCAGGAGAATTATTTCCTAGCTCCATAAAACACAGACAGAAAAGGGAAGCGAATGAATCTCAAAGGAAAGGCAGATGAACTCTACACCAAAGGATTACAAATCATGCTGCTATAAAGGCACATGCACACGTATGTTTATTGTGGCACTATTCACAATAGCAAAGACTTGGAACCAACCCAAATGTCCAACAATGATAGACTGGATTAAGAAAATGTGGCACATATACACCATGGGATACTATGCAGCCATAAAAAAGGATGAGTTCATGTCCTTTGTAGGGACATGGATGAAGCTGGAAACCATCATTCTCAGCAAACTATCACAAGAACAAAAAACCAAACACCACATGTTCTCACTCATAGGTGGGAACTGAACAATGAGAACACTTGGACACAGGAAGGGGAACATCACACACTGGGGCCTGTTGTGGAGGGGGAGTAGCGGGCAGGGAAAGCATTAGGAGATATACCTAATGTAAATGACAAGTTAATGGGTGCAGCACATCAACATGGCACATGTGTACCTATGTAACAAACCTGCACATTGTGCACATGTACCCTAGAACTTAAAGTATAATTTAAAAAAAAGGTGTAAGACACAATACTCATATAGAAGATTTACGTTTGCATTGAAATTCATGAGCTTAAAGGAAGAAGAAACATTGATAGCATTTGGAAGTCTTTTTACAGTACTTTATATTTTGATAGTTTTACGTATAAATTCCATGGATAATACAGACCTTGTAATTTTATATTATTTTATAATATAGACCTCGTGCTACTATATTATATTATAAAGAGTTGGAGGAAATCATCACAGAATAAAAACATTTGCAGAGACATATAATGAGTTTGGCTAGATAGAAGAGCAGGTAGCTGTTGTGTAGTGATTAAGCGAACAGGAGCATTAGATGAAGCATGTAACTGCATGTAGGAGGCACATTATCCGCAGTAAGAATTCTGAATTTTATCCTATATGCAAGGGAAAATTATTAAAGTGTTTTAAGCAGAGAAGTGACATAATTATACTTTTACTTTAAAGAGAAGTGTGGTCACTAAGTGGCAAATGTGCTGGAAGATAACTGCAGAAGGGTCATCAAAGTCAGTCAGGAAATTAGTCATTCCAGGAAAGGATAATAGTATCTTGGACTTCAAAACTGAAAGTAAGAAGGAAAGAAAATAAGAGATTGAGAAAATGTTTTAGAGGAACACTATGAAAGCTGAATTATAGTTCTCCCTCCAAATATGTTCGCATCCTCTTTCTCAGGACCCGTGAATATGATAGGTTAGTGAAAGAAACTCTGTAGATGTGATTAAACATAGGATCTTGAAAGAGGGAGAGTATCTTGTATTATCCAGTTGGGCCCCATATAATCATCAGGGTCCTTATAAAGAAGGAAGCAGGAAGAGACAGAGGAAGAAATGTGATGAAGGAAGCAGGCGAGAGAGGGAGCGGGGTGGGGGGTAGGGGAGAGAGAGACAGAGAGAGAGAGAGAGAGAAGGCTACACTGCATGTCTTGAAGAAGCAGAAAGGGATCACAAACCAAAGAATGTAGGCAGACTCTAGTAGCTGAAAAGGGCAAGAAAACAAGTTCTATCTTAAAGTCTTCAGAAGGAATGTAACCCTATCATCACCTTGATTTTAGACTTTTGGCATCCAGAACTGTAAGAGAATAAATTTGTGTTGTTTTAAGCCATTAAGTTTTAGTAATTTGTTAACATGGCAATAGGAAACGAATATAGACACTTAAAGGAAGTTGCTGTTGGTTCAAACATAGAGAACGAAGGAGAGAAGTGTCAAGAAAAAGTCTTAGTGGCTAGTAAATACAAGTAGTATCTGTTTGAGGTATGGGACACTGAGAGAAGCATTTTTTAACATGTGGGCATGGTACCTGAGGTATAAATGATATGACCAATTGTGAAATCAAGCACACTGCTGACTTTGTGGGTTGGAACACAAAAGCAAAGATAATTCTGAGTATATTAATGTTGGGATTATTATTCCATAGATGGAATTTAAATTATGCCAATAAATGAGATTTATTTATTTATTTTTTTTTACATTTTTTTTTGAGATGGAGTCTCGCTCTGTCTCCCAGTTTGGCTCACTGCAAGCTCCGCCTCCCAGGTTCATGGGATTCTCCTGCCTTGTCCTCTGGGTAGCTGGGGTTACAGGTGCCCACCTCCACGCCTGGCTAATTTTTGCATTTTTAGTAGAGACGGGATTTTATTATGTTGGCCAGGCTGGTCTTGAATTCCTGACTTCAAGTGATCTTCCCACCTTGGTCTCCCAAAGTGCTGGGATTACAGGAATGAGCCACCATGCCCAGCCAATAAATGAGATTTCTTATGAAAGAAGTGATATGTGAGAAGAGGGTCAGGATTGAACTCCAAGGCACTTTAGTCTTTACAAATTAGGTAGAGAAGACAGGGCTCACATGATGTTAAAAATTAATCTGAAATGAAGGAAAAACAACATACATTATTTTGTTTTAATGGAAACCAACATAAGAGAGTTTAAGGCAAGCTTGTACAACACACCTTATTTTGTTGTTTGCTCTATTTTGTATGAAGGATGAAGAAGGGGCTTTATTGGCCAAAACAGAAACGGAAACTAGGAACCCATGACTGTAATTGCTCTCTTGGACACCGCTGGTTTATGAGGTAAAATATTGAATTATGAATAGAATATTAAAACATAGAGAAAAAAATAAATATCTAACTTTATGAAAAAGTTAACTATGAATGGAAATGCATTACTTTATCTCCCTGGTTTATCTTACATGAGGAGGATAAGACGAATGGAAGTCAAAGTGTAATCCAGAGAAAATAAGATGGCCAGAATTGTCCTGTTCCACTTACTTTCCCTTTCCGTTGTGAAAATAGGATCCCAGGTACTAAGGCACCACTTTTGATTTTCCACTTTTATGTGCTTTGAGGGCTTGAGCACTTGGACAAAGGTATCTTAGAAGAGTAATTCAAAATTATATACTAATTTTGTGAAATAACAAAGCAAGCTCCCATGTGCATATAACTGATGCTGATTCTGAAAGTTAAGAAGTGGAATGAGTGTGATGGCTAATTTTATCTGCCAACTTGTCTGGGCCATGGTGCCCAAATATTTGGCCAAACATTGTTCTGGATGTTTCTGAAAGGTGCTTCACCTTTTGGATTAATTCTTATCTATCTATCTATCTATCTATCTATCTATCTATCTATCTATCTATCTATCATCTACCTATCATCTACCAAGAGACATTCACATCTTATTGTTTTTATTTCTCTGGAGAACCCCAATACATTGAGCAACAGCACAGGTGAAAAACAGACATATTGGAATATTGATGGAGGTGGAAACTTTTCCATGTGTAATTTTCAAAAATTGTCTTCAAGATTCAAATTTCTCCCCATGATGGCACTACCTTTCTGCTGGTACAATTGTTGTGAATTTCCAATGTGAAAAAACAAATTGATTTTTGACAATCTATGAAGACAGTCGTTTCCCATCCTAATGGAAATGGAGAAAGAGTGACAGGTTTTATCACTAGAGGTTTTCAAATATAAAGCAGAAATGTTACAGAAAGAATGCATGCCATTAATTTGTGGTAGAAACACTTAGGATGTTACAAGTTTGAGACTCTCAGTAGAAAACAATAAAAAATCCCAGATATGTCTATGTAGTGGAACACTACATCAAACGTTTCAGTTATTTTTCTGTTAAAATTTTTGCCTATTTTTCTACCCCATATCTAGTTCCCATTTTGAGCTTTGATTTTTGACTTTCTTTTTATTCTGCTTTCAACTATTTTTTGTCTGCACATGTGTTAATTACATCTTCCTTCAATTTCTATAGGTTTCTATTCCTACATTTGCAGCACAGGCATTGGATTTCCACACTTGCACATGCAACACACAAACACACACACAGAGCCCTCAAATCTCCAGAGTAGGCAAAACACAGCACTCTGTTAAGGAACAAATGTTCTGCCTCAGTAGCTCAATTTTGGATTTAATATTTAACTTAACATGACTTAATTTTTTTCTCTTTTAGAGATAAAATAATGAAGAAGGCATAGTTCAGATTCAAAATCCAGCTTGGCTCTATTTATCATTCCTTAATTTCAATTTCCAGTTAAGTCACATCCCTCAGTGTCATAGTGTGATAGCAAGTATAAATGCATTTATTGGTTACTTGAGTTAAACTTAGCTCTTTCATAGCACAAATTTCCTGAACTTCTACCAGACATGCTTATGTCTTTTGGCTTGTTTTTTTTTTTAATCTTTTAAAATCCAAAGAGATGTCATTCTTTTCTATAGACATTAAAATATTTTCACAAATTTGAGTTACATTCAAGGAACCTCCATATCTTATTGTTGAAATAATTGGTTAATGAGAATAAAGAAGTCAGGCTGGGCACAGTGGCCCACACTTACAATCCCAGCACTTTGCAGGATTGAGGCAGGTGGATTGTTTGAGGCCAGGAGTTCGAGACCAGTCTGGGCATCATAGTCAGATCCTGTCTCTATAAACAAAAAGAATAAAAAAATTGGCTGGGTTTGGTAGTGTGCACTTGTAGTCCCAGTTACTTGGGGAGCTGAGGTGACAGGATCACTTGAGCCCAGGAGTTCAAGGCTGCAGTAAGCTATGATCATCATGCCACTGCACTCTGGCCTGCGTGACAGAGAAAGACTTTTTTTTTGTTTGTTTTTTAAAAATGTCATCATTCAGAAAATTAACTGTTTGTGGTAAAAATAAGACATGCCTTGGAATTATTTGAATTATTGCCAGCATAGTAGTAACTGAAACTTAAGTATTTCTGGTCCCACTAGGTTATTGACTTTCTACATCCCCATCTGTTTATTCTTGAGTAAATATTTTTCTTCTAACAAACAGAGCCAGGATAACGAATAGAATTATACTTGATTATACAATTGGGGTTGCTTTTTGATAGATTGCTATTTTTAATTTTTGTTAGATTTCACAACCTCATTCAAGATTACAATTTTTAAGTCATTTTTTCTGTAATTTACACGTTAATCAAAATTTATTTGATGTCTTAGTCTGCTATTTGTGAAAAATAATGTACTCTGTACGTATTGCATGTATTCTTTACCACTGTCATTTGTGACAATTACTGATAAATCTAAAGAATTCTCAGTATCCCTAAAGAAAAGATACTTATTCAGTGGCCTAGATTTTTTCCAACATTTTTAAACTATCTGACTGTGACTTTTTAGTGTGCGTTTGTTTGATTTTGTTTTTCTCTTTTACCTGCTTCTGTCAGATCTCTCAGGAGCTATTCAGCTTTTGAATTTAAGAGAAGTTGACATATGAATGGCTCCTTCTGTATGCCAATATAATGAATCCTTGCAGTTGGAAATATACTCAAATTGATGACTTGCATAGCGGAGCAATGTACTTGTCTTATTTCAATGCCTACAAGTATGTATTATTGCATATTTTCTCCAAAATTTATAAATTGATTTTTGGAACTTCATTTCCACCACAAAGTGAACAATTATTTATAAAACAAAACAAAATTATTCAATATACGTCTTCAGTAAATGAAGCTAATGAACTCTAATAACTATATATGACACAGAAAGAGAAGAAAAAAGAGTCCTATAGATGTATCATATAATGTTTTATTCAAACATTACAACTTAATTAATGAAAAGGTGGTACTAATTAGGTACAAAATGATAGCTTAGAGTGTTAAAAATAATAAATAGGTGCTTATTCATTTATAAATATGTCATACCCACAAAGGCAGAATTAAAATTTGAATTATGTATGCATTTGTTATTTACCAATTTAATATGTAAAACTAAAATTCACATTAAATGTCATGAAAGAAAAAAATTCTCATGTTAAATTATTCAAATCTGAAGACTAAAGTATATTCTACTATGTTTTCTGTTAATAATATATGCAATTTTAAATATTATAAGCATAATTCAATGTCTATTGTTCATATTAGCTCTACTGTAAGTGTGGCTATCTTAATTTATTTACACAAAATGACATCGTAATAAAATGATTCTTTATTTGAATTCCAAATGCTTGATTTCCCATCTAACTGATCCCAGTGTGTTTTTTTATATCTTATCCTGAATTTTATTGGAAGTTGCTTTTTAAAAGGTGAATTATAATATGTACTTTTCTCACTTTATAGGTTTTAGATGAGACCTAAATTATATACTATATATGAATATTAAATAAATACAAGTTGTATAAAAACATAGTGTGATTTAAGTAAACCCGGCTGAAAATTCATAAAAGATTTGCTTTTATTGTTAGCATTACCCTTGTGTTTTTTTGCTTATGTTTACTGCTTATTTAATTATTTTATTCAGGTGACATTTTTAAATTTTGCATATAGCCTAAGCTAGAACAAATTCTAACCTTTTCTTGCTTCCTAAATGCGCTTTATACTATACTAAAGTATAGTCATAACAAAACTTCCATGTTTGAGATTCAAAGTTAACATTCAGATATAATAAAATCTACAGTAGAGCATAAGTATCTTAATTCAGTAAGTTTGTTCCAAACTCATTTATCTAGAAAGCTTTTGTATAATGAATTTATTGACATCTCCTGGAATTATAGAGTATTCATCTTGACATTATAAAATATAAAGCTGTAAAGACTACTTCCGATTTACAATAGCCTATATTTTCTTCTCACCTTATAAATGAAATTATTTTTAGTTTCAGGAACTCACATTGGAGAAAGTGTGCATTATAATAATCAAATATTTGATAAAAGTTCATTTAATACTAAATTCATATCTTTAAACTTAATCTAGCTTTTGGCAAGACTAAAGTTGAAAACAATGTATATACAGATTTAACTCTACCTTTATTTACTTTGTTATTCATTAGTAGCTTCATGTTATTAGAGAGGACATTTTAACTCATGTTAGAATGTTGTTATGGATGGAATTGTGCCCTCCCAAAACCCATATGTTGAAGTCCTAACCCCCAGTACTTCAGAATGTTTACTACACACAGCCCATTACTTATAATGGTTTGATTTACAATTTTTCAGCTTTGCAAGGGTACAAAATAAATATGCATTTGATAAAAACTGTACTTCAATTACCTATGTAACCACCTTCAGTATAATATTCAATAAATTACATGAGGAATTTAATACTTTAGTATAAAGTAGGCTTAGTTATACATGATTTTTGCCAACTGTAGGCTAATGCAAGTATTCTGAGTAAATTTATGGTAGTTTAGGCTAAGTTATGATGTTCACTACATAGGGGTATTAAATAAATCCATTTTTTTACCTACAAGGTTTTCAACTTACAGTGGATTTAGCAGGATGTAACCCTATTGTAGGTTGAGTACCATCTCAACCTTACTTTTGAGATAAGTCCTTTAAAGAAGTAACTAAGTTAAAATGAGGCCATTAGGGTGAACTGTCACTAGTGTCCTTATAAGAACAGGAGATTACAACATAGAAACATGAGGAGCCTGCATGCACAGAGGGATGACCATGTGATGTGGCAACAAGAAGGTTGCTGTTTGCAAGCCAAAGAGAAGCATCAGAGGAAATCAGCCTTGATACTGGACTTTTAGCCTACAAAACTATAAGAAAATACATTTTTGTTGTTTAAGCCATGCAGCCTGTGGTCTGTTGGTATGGTAGTTTGTTATCCTAGCAAACTAAAGCATATACAATTATTTAAAGTATCTTGGAAAGAAAGGAAATAGAGAAGAAAGAACAGAAAGAAGGAACCAGCCTTCTTCTCAGTAGAAGCAACCATTGGCCCCTCTTGTTTATTTAGTTTCATTATAAGAAGGACATCTTTCCTGTTATCCCAGAACTTTGGGAGGCCAGGGTGGGTGGATCACGAGGTCAGGAGTTCAATACCAGCCCGACCAAGATGGTGAAACCCTGTCTCCTCTAAAAATACAAAAAATTAGCCGGATGTGTTGGCAAGCGCCTGTAATCCCAGCTACTCGGGAGACTGAGGCAGGAGAATCACTTGAATCCAGGCAGCAGAGGTTGCAGTGAGCCAGAATTGCACCACTACACCGCAGCCTGGGTGACAGAGTGAGACTCTGTCTGGAAAAATAAATAAGAAATAAATAAATCAATCTTTAAAAGAGAGCATAATAATAGAGGTTTAATAAAAAAGTTATTTGACGCTTCTTTGGGATAGAAGTAATGATTATAAAATTACAATATGTAGCTTAGGGGTTCTGCTAACTAACAATGTGTTTGGGGAAAAAGTGTTACTATGACTTAGAAAACTAGGTCAATATCATCTATTGATTTTAGGCCTTATGAAAAGTTAAAAACATTCTTGTGAAAGCAATGACCTAAACCAAATATTTATCCTTAATTATCTTTGGAACAGTCTGCAAATTTGCTTCTTACTTTTAATATTATGACTGCTATGTTCTAGGTGGAACAGAGATAATGCACAGAGTAGGCCTATGACTAGAATCAGGGCATGGAAGCTGAGAAGGAGCTTCCTCAGAGTCTAAACACATTCTCTGCAAGTGAAAGGCAATAGGCTGATAAAGAAGTAGTCAGAGAAAAAAAATCTAATCAAACTTGCAAGAAAGTAGGGCCCTCACTGCTTAAGGCAGGTTTTGGAGGGGGCAGTGAAGTAAGCTAATGATCTTCGGAGGAATAGAATGGCTATTAGTGAGAGAAGAGAACAAAAACTCTGGAGTAACCATGAAATCTGGTATCCACATTGCAAAGCAGAGGGCTCTACTACTCTTAGGAGAGTTGATGTCTTGGATGCAGATTATATAGTAAATGCCAGAATCTTCACTGTGCTTAGATCTAATGCTCTTATGACACACAAGCCCTGATAATGCCTTCAAAATATTGGAAGTTAGTGGCGAGCTGAATCAAACTGAGGCAAAAACAAAGCCTAGATTCACTCAAGTAAACACTCAATTGACTGTCATTCTTACTAGCTAGATGAAAGGCAAAAGGGGCAAGACTTTTCCTTGAGAAAATGATTTTTATTTCTGTGTCTACATATTTTCAGCAAAATATCTAGAATATAATCAAAAATCAAGAAACAAAGTAAAAAAATTTGATCCATTGTTAACAAAGGAAAATGTTAACAGAGGCTAAATATGAACTAGATGTTGGAGATAGCAATGGCAAAAATAGAGGTTAAAAAAAGTTTAAAAGAACCTCCAGTATTTCCCTAAATCATATGTAAATTAGCTAAATATGTATTATAGATAACTTACAGCCAAAACTATAAAACGTATAGAAGAGAACTTGGGTAAAAAAATTTTTGTCATCTTATGTTAGGCAATTATTTCTTAGAGAGGATACAAAATTAAAAACTATATAAGAAAAATAATGAAAATTTTATATTCTTTAAAGGTTACTTCAAAGAAAATGAGAAGGCTCTTACTGGTGGCTTTTCATAAATAAGGACAAATATATATTTGATACCCAACTTGTTTATATATTTATATAAAAAGAACAGTCAGAACTCAATAATATAACAACAAACAGCCTAATAAAAATTAGGCAAAATATTTTAGCAGACATTATAAAGACATGTGGATGGTAAATAAACACATTAAAAAATGCTCGACATGATGAGTAATTAGGGAAACATAAATATAGGTACTAGAAATCTCATGCACAGCTGCTGAGAATATAAAATATAAAACGGTTGCTACTTTCTTAAAACCACACATATACCACATGATCCAGCTATTTCACTCTTATTTACCCGAGAGAAAGGAAATCATATGTCCAAAACAAAGACTTGTAAATCTAAAGTTACACATGGTATGACTCCATATATACAGTACTCTGGAAGAGTCCATGCTACAGAAATCCAATTCAGATTATTGTCATTGACTGGAGGTGAGGGAAAGTAATTGACTGCAAAGAGGAATGATAAAATCTTTAGGGAGTGAAGAATATGTATATTAATTGGTGTGGTGATTATAAAATTGCATATATTTCTCAAGACTCATTGAGCTGCAATCATAAATATGTTGAGTTGTATGTATGTAAAACCACAGTGTATCTGACATAGAGTGGTGGTTAGCAGGGTCTGGGAAGGGTAGTTGGGAGGAGAGGAAAAAAGTGGGGATAGTTAAGGGGTGTAAGAATATACTTAAAAGAACAAATATGATTATTGTTTCAATAGCAAAACAGGGTGGCTATAGTCAACCATATACAATATAGTCCATTGTACATTTTAAAATAACTAAAAGATGGGAACTGAAATGTTCCTACTACAAAGAAATGATAAACAATGAGTTGATAGATACCCCAGTTACCCTGATGAGACTATTTCACATTTGTATGCTGTATCAAAATATCACCTGTACCCTGTAAGCATATATAACTACTAAGTATCCATAAAAATTTAAAAAATAAAAAAATATAAGCAGAAGACAAATGAAGTGGCTATGTTAATATTGATAAATTAGATTTCAAGACATTGACTATAAACAGAGATTATAAAGGAAATTATATGATTATAAAATGTTAAAATCATCAGACATACATAAAAATGCTGTTATATATACATTGGATAACAAAGATTCCATTTACATGGAGCCCAAACAATTTGACAAGTAATTTAGTAAGATATAGAAAGTAAAATGACAATATCAATATCCATAAATAAACAAAATGACCAATATCAATACAACTCAGTCAATACCTTGCCTAATTGACATTTATGAAAAAATTACATTAAAAATGTTTTAGAAAAAAAATGTTCTTTCAAAACTTGGAAACAACCAAGGTATAGTATGTGAATGGATAAACTGTGGTACAGCCAGACAAGAAAACATTATTCAGTATTAAAAATAAATGAACTATCAAGCCACGAATAGAAAAGGAGGAACCTTAAATTTATATTACTATGTGAAAGAAGCCAATCTGAAAAAGATACTTAAAGTGTGATTAAAACTATATTACTTTTGGCAAAGGTAAAACTATGGAGACAATGAAAAGATAACTCATGGCCAGGAGTTAGGAAAAGAAAGGGATAAACAGACAGAAAATATTTCTAGGCAGTGAAACTAATCTATATAATACTGTAATGATAAAAACCTGTTGTTACACATTTGCCCCAACCAACAGAATGTACAACAACAAAAGTAAATGCTAGTGTAACCAATGGGTGATAATGATGTGTCTGTCAATGTAGGTGAATCAGTTGTAAAAAATGTGCCTCTATGGTGCAGGAGTTTGTACTGAGGGAGCTAAACATGCATGAGGGCAGTGGGTAAATGGGAAATCTATGTTTCTTTCTCTCAATTTTGCTATGAGACAAAAATTCTTCTTAAAAAAGTATTTTTTTAAAAGTTTACATGTCACATTTCACCAAGAGAGACAAGCATATTGTCAATATGTTTGAAGCTATAACAAGTTTCTATCAATTTCAAAAGATTGAAACTTTAGGAACAGGTTATTCAATTTTTATGAAATTGTGTGGTTTTGAGTAAGTTTCTTAGTCTTGATTTCTAATTAGATTGTGCTGTGATCTAGAGATTGTTTGTTATGATTTTCATTCATTTGCATTTCCTGAGGAGTGTTTTACTTCCTATTATGTGAATAGCTTTAGAGTGCCATGTGGTGATGAGAAGAATGTGTATTCTGATGTTTTGGGATGGAGAGTTTTGTAGATGTCTATCAGGTCTATTTAATTCAGTGCTGAGGCCAGGTCCTAAATATCTTTGTTAATGTTTTTAATGTTTTGTCTTGATGATCTGTCTATATTGTTAGTGAGGTGTTAAAGTCTCCCACCATTATTGTGCAGGAGTCTGAATTACTTTGAGGGTGTCTAAGAAATTGCTTTATCAATCTGGGTGCTCCTGTTGGGTGCATATATTTAGGATAGTTAAATCTTCTTTAACCCTTTACCATTATGTAATACTCTTCTTCATCTTTTTTGATCTTTATTGGTTGAAAGTTTGTTTTGTCCGAAAGTAGGATTACAACCCCTGCTTTTTTCTGTTTTCCATTTGATTTGTAGGTTTCTCTCCATCTCTTTATTTTGAGCTTATGTATGTCATTGCATGTGGCACTACCCTTCCCAGACTCTGCTAACCACCACTCTATGTCAGATACACTGTGGTTTTACATACATATAACTCATCATTTTTATGATTGCAGCTCAATGAGTCTTGACAAATATAAGCAATTTTATAATCACCACAACAATTAATGTACATATTCTTCACTCCCTAAAGTGTCTCTTGAAGACAGCATACCAATGGGTCTTGGTCCTTTATCCAGTTTGCCACTCTGTGTCTTTTAATTGGGACATTTAGCCTGTTTACATTCAAGGTTAAAATTGATATGTGTGGATTTGATCCCGTCATCCTGATGTTAGCTATTTATTCTGCAGACTTGTTTATATGGTTGCTTTATAGTGTCACTGTTTTGTGCACTTCGATGTGTTTTTGTAGTGGCTGGTAATGGTCTTTCCTTTCCATAGCTAGTGCTTTCTTCAAGAGCTTTTATAAGTCAGGTCTGGTGGTAACAAATCCCCTCAGCATTTGCTTGTCTGAAAGAGATCTTATTGCTTCTTCTCTTATGAAGCTTAATTTGGCAACATATGAGATTCTTGATTGGAATTTCTTTTTTTTAAGGATGTTGAATATTGGACCACAATTGCTTCTGACTTGTAGGGTTTCAGCTGAGAGGTATACTGTTAATCTAATGGGTTTCCCTTTGTATATGGCCTGTCCTTTCTCTCTAGCTGCCTTTAATATTTCTTCTTTCATTTTGACCTTGGAGAATCTGAAGATTATGTGTCTTCGGATGACTTTTGGGTAAATAATGAAATTAAGACACAAATCAAGAAGCTCTTTGAAAATAATGAGAACAAAGATACAAAATACCAAAATCTCTGGGACACAGCTAAGGCAGAGTTAAGAGGGAAATTTATAGCACAAAATGCCCACATCAAAAAGTTAGAAAGATCTCAATTTAACAACCTAACATCACAACTAAAAGAACTAAAGAACCAAGAGCAAACCAATCCCAAAGCTAGCAGAAGACAAGATATAACCAAAATCAGAGCTGAACAGAAGGTGCTTGAAAAACAACAACAAAAAAATTAAACAGATCAACAAATTCAGGAGCTTTTTAAAAAATAATAAAATGGACAGACTGCTAGCTATACTAATAAAGAAAAAAGAAAGAGGACTCAAATAAATACAATCAAAAACAACAAAAGTGATATTACCACTGACCCTAAAAAAATAACAATAACCACCAGAAAATATTGTGAACACTCCCATGCACACGAAGTAGAAAATCTAGGGAAAATCAATACATTCCTGGACACATACACCCTCCCAAGTCTGAACCAGGAAATAATTGGATTCCTGAACAGACAAATAATGAGATCTGAAATTAAATCAATAATAAATACCTTATCAACCAAAAAAAGCCCAGGACAGACAGATTCACAGATGAATCTAACCATTTGTACAAATAAGATTGGGTACAATTCCTGCTGAAACTATTCCAAAAAATTGAGGAGGAGGGACTCCTCCCTACATCATTCTATGTGTCCAGCATCATCCTGATACAAGAACCTGACAGAGACACACACACACAAAAAGATAACTTCAGGTCAATATCTTTGATGAAAATTAATGCAAAAATCCCAAAAACAATACTGGCAAACCGAATTCAGCAGCACATCAGAAAGCTAAACCACCACAATCAAGTAGGTTTCATCCCTGAAATGCAAGGTCAATTCAACATACACAAATCAATAAGTGTGATTCATCACATAAACAGAACTAAAGACCAAAACCACATCCCAATGATTATCTCAATAGATGTAGAGAAGGTTTTCAATAAAATTCAACACACTTTCATGTTAAAAACACTTAATAAAGTAGTTATTGAAGGAACATACCGCAAAATAATGAGTCACCTATAGCACACCCACAGCCAACATCATACAGAATGACCAAAAACTGGAAGCATTCTCCTTTAAAAACCAGCTCAAGAACATCCTCTCTCACTATTTCTATTCAACATAGTATTGGAAGTCCTGGCCAGCGCAATCAGGCAAGAGAAAGAAATAAAATGCATCCAAATAAAAAGAGAGGAAGTCAAACTATCCCTGCTGAGAGAAGACATGATCTTATATCTAGAAAACTCCATGATTTCAACCCAAAAGCAGTTAAGCTAATAAACAACTTCAGCAAAGTCGCAGGATACAAAATCAATGTACAAAAACTACCAGCATTCCTATACACCAAGAGTCAGGCTGAGAGCCAAGTAAGAAATGCAATCCCTTTCACAATTGCCACAAAAAGAATAAAATACTTAGGAATACCACTAACTAGAGAGGAGAAGTTCTCTACAAGGAGAACTACAAAACATTCCTCAAGGAAATCACAGATGACATAAACAAATGGAAAAACATTCCATGCCATGGATAGGAAGAAGCAATATCATTAAAACAGCTACACTGCTAAACACGGTATAGATTCAATTCAAAGCAATACAGATTCAATTCTATTTCTGTTAAACTACTATTGAGATTCTTCATAGAACTAGAAAAAAAAAGCATTTAAAAATTGATATGGAGCCAAAAAAGGGTTTGTATGGCCAAGGCAATCTATAAACAAAAAGAATCGACCTGGTGGCATCATGCTACCCAACTTTAAACTACACTACAGAGCTACAGTAGCCAAAACTGAGTGGTACTGGTACAAAAACAGACACCTAGATCAGTGGAACAGAATAGAACACACAGAAATAAAGCTACACACATATAACTACCTGATCTTTGACTAAACCTGACAAAAATAAGATATTGGGAAAGGATCTTCTATTCAATAAATGGCATTGAGATAACTGGCTAGCCATATGCAGAAGATTGAAACTAGTCTTCTTTCTTATACCGCACACTAAAATAACTCAAAATGGATTAAAGACTTAAGTGTAAAATATAAAACTATAAAAACCCTGGAAGACAACCTAGACAATACCATTCTGCAAATAGACATGGGCAAATATTTTATAATGATGACACCAAAAGCAATTGCAACAAAAGTAAACATTGACAAAAGGGATTTAATTAAACTAAAGAGCTTCTTCACAGCAAAGGAAACTAGCAACAGAGTGAACAGGCAACCTGCAGAAGGAGAGAAAATATTTGCAAACTATGCATCTGACAAAGGTCTAGTATCAAGCTTCTATAAGGAACTTCAACAAATTTACAAAAAAAAATTAAAATTCGGCCAATAACATGAACAGATGGTGATTATTAGAGTAATAGAAGTCAAAACCACAATGAGATACCATCTAACACCAGTCAGAATGGTTATTATTAAAAAGTCAAAAAATAAAGATGCTGGTAAGATTGTGCAGCAAAAAAAAAGCTTGTACAATGGTGGAGGGATTGTAAATTAGTTCAACTATTGTGGTGATTCCACAAAGACCTAAAAACAGAAATATCATTCAACCCAGCAATTCCATTATTGAATATTTACCTAAAGAAATATAAATCAGTCTACTATAAAGACACATGCACACGTATGTTCACTGCAGCACTATTCACAATAGTTAAAATATGGAATGAACCTAAATACCCATCAACGATAGACTGGATAAAGAAAATGTGATACATATACACTACGGAATGCTATGCAGCCATAAAACAGAATCATATAATGTTCTTTGCAGGAATACGAATGGACCTGGAGGCCATTATGCTTAGGAAACTAATGAGGGAACAGAAAACCAAATACCACATGTTCTCAATTATAATTGGGAGCTAAATGATGAGAATACCTGGACACATAGAGGGGAAAGACACACACTGAGGCATATCAGAAGGTGGAGGTGAGGAGGAGGGAGAGGATCAGGAAAAATAACTAACAGGCATCAGGCCTAATGCCTGTGTGATGAAATAATCTGTACAACATACCCCCATGGCACAAGATTACCTTTATAACAAAACTGACAATGTACTCCTGAACTTAAAATAAAAGTTAAATTTATAAGAAGGATTGGTAAAGGAAAAAAAGAAATGTTTACAGAGTATGTTCTATGACCACAACAGAATTAAATTGTATAAATCCAGATTTAAATAGTCAACTGAAATTTTAAAAAGTCACCAAAGAAAACAAAAAGCAAATGAAAATCCTTTCAAATTATAGTGCTGGAACAATTTCATATCCATAATGAAAAAAATGACCCACAAGCCCTTCCTCATGCCACTTACAAAAATTTAATTTGAGTTGGATTGTAAGCCTAAAATCAAAGTTAAAATTAAGAAACTTTTAGAATACAACAGAAGAACCACTTTATAATTGGGAGAAGGGCAAAGATTTCTTATAAAGGACTTTGTAGGTTCGTTGGCAATAGTCTCAATTTTTCTTTTTCTGAAAATGTCTATTTCACTTTTATTTTGAAGGATGTTTTTGTTGAATATGAAATTATGGGTTTATTGTTTTTTTTGCAGTTCTTTAAAGATGATGTTTTATTGTCTTTATGTTACTATGACTTCTGTAAGTGATAATCCATTATTCACATCAATTTTTACTGTATATAATGTGTCTGTCCACTTTGGATACTTTCAGGATGTTCTCTTTATCACTCATTTTCAGTAATTTTCTTGTGTTCTGCCTAACATAAAATATTGTTTATGGGCGATACCAGTTATTCAATTATGAAAAGAAGTCAATTCATTGTATATGTAATGCATTTCTTAGCTCTAGCCACAGAAAGGGCCTAAAAATGGTAACAGTGAAATTATGTCAACTTAATGCACAAATCTTAGTTATTAAATACCTGGGCCACGAAATGATGTCCGTGGCCCTTTGGAGAAAAATACCACACTTAGACTGAGACAGAGAAAGAACAAGGTGAGATGGGCATATCTTTTCATGATAAAAACATGTCATTATCACAATAGATGCAGAAAAAGGATATGAAAACACTTAGCATCCCTTCATTATAAGAACTTTTAACACAATTGCATAGAAGAAACATACCTCAAAGTAATAAAGGCCATATAGAACAAACCTGCAGCCAATATCCTATTGAAAGAGGAAAAGTTAAAAGCAATTCCACAAATCACTGGAACAAGGTAAGATTGCCCACTTTCACCACTTCTATTCAACATAGCTTTTGAAGTCTTAGCTAGACCAATCAGGCAAGAGAAATAACTAAAAGACATCCAAATTGGAAAAGAATAAGCCAAATTATCTATGTTTGCTTTTATCATCTTACACCTAGAAAAACCTAAAGATTGCTCCAAAAGCCTCTTAGATTTGGTAAATAAATTCAATAAAGTTTTAATATACAAAAAGTTAACATACAAAAAAACAGTAGCCTTTTTACACACCAATAACAATCAAATTGAGAACCAAACCAAAAGGCAGTCCTATTTGCAGTAGCTACAAATTAAAATACCTAAGAATATATTTAAGGAAGGAAGTGAAAGATCTCTACAAGGAAAACTATGAAACACTGATGAAAGAAATTGTACATGACACAAACAAATGGAAAAACATCCCATGTTCATGGATCAAAATAATTATTATTGTTAAGATGACTATACTACCCAAAGCCATCCACAGATTCGGTGCAATCCTTATCAAAATACCCATCTTACTTTTCACAGAATTAGAAAAATCAATCCTAAAATTTTTATGGAACAAAAATGAGACTGAATAGCCAAAGCAATTCTAAGGAAAAATAACAAAGCTGTAAGCCTTACATTACTTGACCTCAAGTTATACTGTAGGACTTTAGTCCCCAGCCAGGCCTGGTGGATCATGTCTTTAATCCCAGGACTTTGGGAGGTAAAGGCAGGTGGATCACTTCAGCTCAGTAGTTCAAGACCAGCCTGGGCAACATGACAAAACCTTGCCTCTACGGAAAAAAAAAAAAAAAAAAATTAGCCAGGCACAGTGACTTGTGCCTGTAGTCCCAGCTACTCTGGAGGCTGAGGTAAGAGGATCACTTGAGCCTGGGAGGTGGAGGTTGCAGTGAGCTAAGATCATGCCACTGCACTCCAGTCTGGGCAACAGAGAGAGAGCCTGTTAAAAAAAAAAAAAGGACTATAGTAACCAAAACAACATGGTACTGATAGAAAAATCAATGGAACAGAGTTTAGAACACAGAAAAAAAGTCACATATCTACAGCCAACTGCTCTTTGACAAAGTAGACAAAAACATACACTGGAGTAAGGACACTCTTTTTAATAACTGATGCTGGAAAAATTGTATTTCCATATGCAGAAGAATGAAACTAAACCCCTATCTCTTACTATATACAATAATTAATTCAAGATTGATGAAAGACTTAAATTTAAAACCAGAAACTATGAAAATATTAGAAGAAAACCTAGAGAAACCTCTCCTGAACATTGATCTAGGCAAAGATATCTTGACTAAGACCTCAAAAGGAAAAGCAACAAATATAAAAGTAGACCAATGAGACTCAATTAAGCTTAAAAGCTTCTGCAAAGCAAAGAAAATAATCACCAGAGTGAAGAGACAACCTGTAGAATGGGAGAAAATATTTGGAAACTATGCATCTGACAGGAAACTGATATCCAGAATTTATAAGGAGCTCAAACAACTCAACAACAGCAAAAAACAAGCCCCTCTAAAAAGTGAGCTAAAGACATGAATAGACAATTCTCAAAAGAAGACACACAAATGGTCAACAAACATAGGAAAAAATGCTCAACATCTTTAATTATCAGAGAAATGTAAGTTAAAACCACAATGACATATCATCTCAGATGAGTGAGAATGGCTTTTATTAAAAAGTCAAAAAATAACAGATATTGGCAAGAATGTGGAGAAAAAGGAATGCTTACACACCATTAGTGGGAATGTAAATTGGTACAACCCCTGTGGAAAACAGAATGGAGATTTCTCAAAGAACTGCAGATACACCTACCAGTCAGGCCAAGCCTTTACTTCTGTGTGGGGATAGCTTTATTTATTCAGTGGGGAGTCCTTCCCCCATTGCTTGTTTTTGTCTACTTTGTCAAAGAGAAGATGGTTGTAGGTGTGTGGCATTATTTCTGAACTCTCTATTCTGTTCCATTGGTCTATATGTCTGTTTTTGTACCAGTACCATTCTGTTTTGGTTACTGTAGCCTTGTAGTATAGTTTGAAGTTGGGTAACGTAATGCCTCCAGCTTTATTTTTTTGCTTAGGATAGTCTTGGCTATTCAAGCTATTTTTTGGTTCCATATGGATTTTAAAATAGTTTTTTTCTAATTCTGTGAAGGATGTCATTTTTAGTTTAATAGGAATAGCATTGAATCTGTAAATTGCTTTGGACAGTATGACCATTCTGTGATCATTGGTATTTACCAGAGAAACCTTGAATTGTAACTACCTGAAGTAATGCAACATGATATATATGGCATCATCTACAAAATATGCTTGTCAAAAATACTTAAATGGCATCTAGACGTGACTATAGAAATACCTTCCAATTTACTTCAAATGACAACAATAGTGGAACAGTTAAACAACACCATGATGAAGCAATCAAACACTTGAGAATGAGGCATTCCATAAGACAATTTACATACCTTGTAAAATACATTATCATCATAGTAGGGAAAAATATTTAGAGAAATATTTAAGTTTAGAAATGTTTTAAATAGATGCATTATGTAAAAAACCAATGCAATATGTAAACATTGTTTAAATCTTGGCCCTCAAGGTAAATTTATAAGACCTTTTTTGGGAAGAATGGATTAAATGTGAATATGTTATAAATACTAACATGATACAATATTTATGGCCAAAGTTGTGTGGTATCTGAAGTTTACTTTCAAATGGTTCAACCTACCTATCTACAAATATAAATCTGACACTTATTATATGTATGTATGTATGTATATCCATGTCATTTGACCTTTGTATAAATCCTTTAACTGTTTTATGTATTTGAATTTTTCTCATAATAAAAGTTGAGCAACAAGGGAGCATGACAAATTCTTCTCCTTGTGGAACAATTATATTTATTTCAATAATTAGTTTGAGATAAACAAAAATAACTACAAAATAGTTAATAGTGCAACATAACCTAGTGGAAATTACATTTAATCTTTTATTGATGGAATACCAATATCCTAATGTTCAAAAACATGTAGTCTTTTCACTTCTTGTCTCCATGGTGTATTACTAATATATTAAAATTCATATAAAATTTGCATCAGTATTCTCATAACATAATTCTTGTTTTATATTGAAATATTTCAAAACATTTCATTTGTGTACATATCCATATTATTTGTAAAACACATGTACTTTTGAGAATTATGAAAAACATATAAAAATACACTTTATGTTATAAGTTGTGTCAAGAGCTATATTTAGGCTGAAAGGACATGCTAAACTCAAATACTGATTTCAAAGATTTTTCATATTCGTAGTCAAAAATTAGAAATAAACATTAGAAACAAACATTTCATATTCCTAGTTGAAAAATTAGAAATAAAAATTAGAGACAAAACAAAAAACAGTAAAGGTATATTTATAAGACAATATATGGATATTAAATAAAATGAGTGTGATGGATGAAATAGAATGGCAAAAATAAATAAAAGACATGATGTAAATACACTACACTATTTTATTATTTGAGAAATCATCAGTTAAGGTTTCCATAAAATTCACAGCACCAAAAAAATGAGACAGAATGGCTTAAAAATTGTTTAAGTAAAGGAGTTTTCCTTAATCTAAATTCATTTTACATTCCCATCTTTCTGTAGTCATAGCTGGCATATAATGTTTTGAAAAGAAAGCAAGCCTTTAAAGATCACAAACAACCAATTTCACACTACAAGCAGTCATAAATAGAGCTAAATTCCCTTTAGTAATACACTATTTATCTTTGTGCTTCACTGAGTTCAAAGAAAAGCATTATTCAGAGTGTAAGCAATTAGCTTCTCATTTTTTTTCTATTCCAGAAAGGATGTTATCAAAAAAGCATGGGATTAGGAAGCTACAGAGCTATCAGAATTATTCTTAGTGTATGAAATTTCAATTTAGCAAAACATGTAAAACCCTAAAGGCAGTTAAGACCCAATACAGGGAAACCATTTTGTTTTCACAGTATATTTATTTTAGATAATCACTGACCCTACAGATTTCTGCTGAATTGAAATGAGTAGGTATTAAGTTCAGGAATTATTTTGTACTGTATATTCATCACCAAATCAATGCTATGGTTTACCTAGAAAATTCCCTAAAAAAGCATTATCTGCCTACTTGTAGAAAGGAAGGCTCACAATGTAGACATTTTACAAATCTGACATCAAGATTCTATTTCAAAATAGGCTGAAATGGTAATACATATGTTTATTAAATATGTACTTCATATCATTATATTAGAAATTGATCTGTTACCAAATACCTACACATTAGAAGAATTATATTTTTCCCTATGCTTAGTGAAATCTATTTTACTATTCATGGTTGATATAATATTACAAAACCAATAAAAGTTATTGGGTATTTCTTATATGTTAAGACAATATTATAGGTGTTTTGTATGTATTAGGTATTACAATAAATGTTGAAAAATTGAGAAATACTTTGTTAGTGCAGAAAAGCAGCCCCAAAAGCAAAAATCTAGCTCCAGTTGTTACTCACTATGCTGTTTTGGCTCAATGGCTCTCTGACAAAAATATATCAGATTTTACCTAAAAAAGTTCTTAATTGTTTAATATTTAGTTTTATACAACCGCAAACACTGTAGAGCTCATGATAATTCAGATGTAGACTCATATCTTTATATATCTATGTGATGAGCTGAGTATTTGGTTTACTATCATTCTCTTAGAAGTGCATATTCAGAAACACATCATTGATGAGAAACCAGAAGGACAATCCCAAATATTCAACAAAACAATGAACCAATGCTACATCTTTCCTGGAAAAAGTTCTTACAATTATAATCTTGATGACTCAGAGAAACATAAAAATCAGAGTTTAAAAGTAGTAAAGGAAGAATAAAATTGAAATAAAAACTTTGGTAAAAAAAAAAGCGGCCGGGCGTGGTGGCTCACGCCTGTAATCCCAGCACTTTGGGAGGCTGAGGCGGGCTGAGGAGGTCAGGAAATCGAGACCATCCCGGCTAAAACAGTGAGACCCCGTCTCTACTAAAAATATAAAAAAAAAAATTAGCTGGGAGTGGTGGCAGGCACCTGTAGTCCCAGCTACTCGGGAGGCTGAGGCAGGAGAATGGCGTGAACCCAGGAGGCGGAGCTTGCAGTGAGCCCACATCACGCCACTGCACTCCAGCCTGGGCAATAGAGGAAGACTCCGTCTCAAAAAAAAAAAAAAAAAAAAAAAGGCAACTTTACTTTCTTCTTTTTTTTTTATTTCACAATTTTTGCGTTAAGTAGTACATTAGTTTTATATATATGGTAAATCTTATCACATGGTGGTAGTTTTCTTGATTGTTATGTTAAGAATGATTCTGAGACTGTATCTGGGTTATTCAGGTAATATTACCTTGATGAATTTAGGATGTTTTCATTTCTGTCACTACAGCTAACTATGGCTTTAAAACTGAATATATCAAGTCTTCTTTAATTCCATATAAATAAGCCACAGACATCCAAAAAATAGCAATTACTATTTAATATCTTTTAGTTGTAAAAGAATAAGGAAAATGTCCTGTTTTAAAATTTTTATATTAGCATATTGAATTATAAATGGTACATCTATTATTCTATTTTAAAGTCTCCATTAGAAATATATTTTAAACTGGATACGGGAATATTTTATTTCATTGTAATTTGCTTATTGTGCCTCACAGATATTGCATTATTCTTACAAATTAAAGATTTGTGACCACCCTCTGTTGAGGAAGCCTAACAATCCATTCTTTTCAACAACATGAGTTCATTTCATGTCTCTGTGTAGCCTTTTGGTAATTCTCTCAATATTTCAAACTTTTTAGTTATTATTATATCTATTACGGTGATCAGCTATCAGTGACCTATGATGTTACGCTTCTACTTGTTTGGGAGCACCATAAATTGCACCCATATAAAATGGCAAACAATGAATAAATGTGTGCATCCCAACTGCTCCACCAATCAGCCATTCTCTTCTTCTCTCTTTCCTTGAGTCTCCCTATTCCGTGAAGCCCAACAAATGAAATTAGGCCAATTAACAGTCTTACAATAGCCCCTATGTGTTCAAGTGTAATGAAGATTTGCACATCTCTCACTTTAAATCAAAAGCTAGATATGATTAAGCTTAGAGAGGAAGTCATGTTGAAAGCTGAGATAAGCTGAAAGCAAAGCTTCTTGAACTAAAATTAGCTGAGTTGTAAATGCAAAAGAAGAGTTCCTGAAAGAAATGGAAAGTGTTTCTCCAGTGAACACAAAAATCATGAGAAAGCACTTAAGAGACTACAGTATAATGTAAACATAACTTTTATATGTTATGCAAAACCAAAATTCATGAGACTCACTTTGTTGTGATTTCCTTTATTTTGGGGGTCTGGAATTGATCCTGCAATATCTCTGAGATATATCTGTACTTCCTATCACCTGAAATAGTAATAACTGCAATGGCGTATTAATTTTCTATGACTGCTATAACAAATTATAACACAGTTAGTGGTTTAAGACCAGCAATTTATTCTCTTGCTGTTCTGGAAGCCTGAAGTATGAAATCAGTATCACTAGGCTGAAAACAAGGTGTTAAGTAGCACCTCCGTTTGGAGGCCTTGAAAGAAAATTTGTTCCTGACCTCTCGCAACTTCTTGTGGCTGCCATCATTCCTTTACTTCTGTGGCAGCATCATGGCCACAACACTAATATTGTGCCATGATTGTGTGAAGTTCCTTAAGCATAATATCTCATTTAATTTCATACAAGCCCAATGAGATTGCATTTTTCTATGGATCATTACTTTAGAACAGCAATAAGAACATCTTACAAATTCAGAAATAAGGGCAAGTGAAATCAGTGTGTCCACTGGGACACAACAGCCAAATTTGGAAATGTTTTTAAAAAATGGTGGGATTTTGTACATTCAGTATGATATTGGCTGTGGGTTTGTCATAAAGAGCTCTTATTATTTTGAGATACACCACATCAATACCTAATTTATTGAGAGTCTTTAACATGAAGGGCTGTTGAATTTTGTCAAAGGCCTTTTCTGCATCTATTGAGATAATCATGTGGTTTTTGTCTTTGGTTCTGTTTATATGCTGAATTACGTTTATTGATTTGTGTATGTTGAACCACCCTTGCATCCCAGGGATGAAGCCTACTAGATCATGGTGGATAAGCTTTTTGATGTGCTGCTGGATTCGGTTTGCCAGTATTTTATGGAGCATTTTTGCATCGATGTTCATCAGGGATATTGGTTTAAAATTTTCTTTTTTTGTTGTGTCTCTGCCAGGCTTTGGTATCTGGATGATGCCGGCCTCATAAAATGAGTTAGGGAGGATTCCCTCTTTTTCTATCGATTGCAATAGTTTCAGAAGGAATGGTACCAGCTCCTCCTTGTACCTCTGGTAGAATTCGGCTGTGAATCCATCTGGTCCTGGACTCTTTTTGGTTGGTAGGCTACTAATTATTGCCTCACTTTCAGAGCCTGTTATTGGTCTATTCAGGGATCAACTTCTTCCTGGTTTAGTCTTGGGAGGGTGAATGTGTCCAGGAATTTATCCATTTCTTCTAGATTTTCTAGTTTATTTGCATAGAGGTGTTTATAGTATTCTCTGACGGTCATTTTTTTATCATTCATTTTTTATTGGGTCTATTTGATTCTTCTCTCTTTTCTTCTTTATTAGTCTTGCTAGTAGTCTATCAATTTTGTTGATCTTTTCAAAAAACTAGCTCCTGGACTCATTGATTTTTTGAATGGTTTTTTGTGTCTCTATCTCCTTCAGTTCTGCTCTGATCTTAGTTATTTCTGGCCTTCTGCTAGCTTTTGAATGTGTTTGCTCTTGCTTCTCTAGTTCTTTTAATTGTGATGTTAGGGTGTCAGTTTTAGATCTTACCTGCTTTCTCTTGTGGGCATTTAGTGAATGGGTAAAAACTGGAAGCATTCCCTTTGAAAACTTGCACAAGGCAGGGATACCCTCTCTTACCACTCCTATTCAACATAGTGTTGGAAGTTTTGGCTAGGGCAATCAGGCAGGAGAAAGAAATAAAGGGTATTCAATTAGGAAAAGAGGAAGTCAAATTGTCCCTGTATGCAGATGACATGATTGTATATTTAGAAAACCCCATTGTCTCAGCCCAAAATCTCCTTAAGCTGATAAGCAAATTCAGGAAAGCCCCAGGACACAAAATCAATGTGCAAAAATCACAAGCGTTCTTATACACCAATAACAGACAAGAAGAGAGCCAAATCATGAGTGAACTCCCATTCACAATTGCTTCAAAGAGAATAAAATACCTAGGAATCCAACTTACAAGGGATGTGAAAGACCTCTTTAAGGAGAACTACAAAGCACTGTTCAATGAAATAAAAGAGGACACAAACAAATGGAAGAACATTCCATGCTCATGGATAGGAAGAATCAATATCATGAAAATGGCCATACTGCCGAAAGTAATTTATAGATTCAATGCCATTCCCATCAAGCTACTAATGACTTTCTTCACAGAATTGGAAAAACTACTTTAAAGTTCATATGGAACCAAAAACAGCCCACATTGCCAAGTCAATCCTGAGCCAAAAGAACAAAGCTGGAGGCATCACACTACCTGACTTCAAACTATACTACAAGTCTACAGTAACCAAAACAGCATGGTACTGGTACCAAAACAGAGATATAGACCAATGGATCAGAAAAGAGTCCTCAGAAGTAATACCACACATCTACAACCATCTGATCTTTGACAAACCTGACAAAAACAAGAAATGGGGAAAGAATTCCCTCTTTAATAAATGGTGCTGGGAAAACTGGCTAGCCATATGTAGAAAGCTGAAACTGGATCCCTTCCTTACACCTTATACAAAAATTAATTCAGGATGGATTAAAGACTTAAATGTTACACCTAAAACCATAAAAACCCTAGAAGAAAACCTAGGCAATACCATTCAGGACACAGGCATGGGCAAGGACTTCATGTCTAAAACCAAAAGCGATGGCAACAAAAGCCAAAATTGACAAATGGGATCTAATTAAACTAAAGAGCTTCTGCACAGCAAAAGAAACTATCATCAGAGTGAACAGGCAACCTACAGAATGGGAGAAAATTTTTGCAATCTACTCATCTGACAAAGGGCTAATATCTAGAATCTACAAAGAACTCAAATAAATTTACAAGAAAAAAAGAAACAACTCCATCACAGAGTGGGCGAAGGATATGAACAGATACTTCTCAAAAGAAGACATTTATGCAGGCAACAGACACATGAAAAAATGCTCATCACCACTGGCCATCAGAGAAATGCAAATTAAAACCACAGTGAGATATCATCTCACACTAGTTAGAATGGCGATCATTAAAAAGTCAGGAATCAACAAGTGCTGGAGAGGATGTGGAGAAATAGGAACACTTTTATACTGTTGGTGGGTCTTTAAACTAGTTCAACCATTGTGGAAGACAGTGTGGCAATTCCTCAAGGATCTAGAACTAGAAATACTATTTGACCCAGCCATCCGATTACTGAGTATACACCCAAAGGATTATAAATCATGCTGTTATAAAGACACATGAACATGTATGTTTATTGTGGCACTATTCACAATAGCAAAGACTTGGAACCAACCCAAATGTCCATCAATGATAGACTGGATTAAGAAAATGTGGCACATATACACCATGGAATACTATGCAGCCATAAAAAATGATGAGTTCATGTCCTTTGTAGGGACATGGATGAAGCTGGAAACCATCATTCTCAGCAAACTATCTCAAGGGCAAAAAAACCAAACACCACATGTTCTCACTCATAGGTGGGAATTGAACAGTGAGAACACTTGGACACAGGAAGGGGAACATCACACACCGGGGCCTATCGTGGGGTTGGGGGAGGGAGGAGGGATAGCATTAGGAGATATACCTAACGTAAATGACTAGTTAAAGGGTGCAGCACACCAACATGGCATATGTATACATATGTAACAAACCTCCACATTGTGCACATGTACCCTAGAACTTAAAGAATATTAAAAAAGAAACACAATAATTATAGCTGATATTAAAACATAAATGCAAAATAATTATTTAAAAAATAGTGGGATTTAATTACATATGCAAGCAAAATGCAACAGAAGCACATCAGAAAATAAGAAGAGATGTCTTTAGGTCTGGGCACGGTGGCTCATGCCTGTAATCAAAGCACTTTGGGAGGCAGAGGTGGGTGGATCACTTGAGGCCAAGAGTTCAAGACTAGCCTGGCCAACATGGCAAAACTCTGTCTCTACTAAAAATCCAAAAATTAGCTGGCATGGTGGCACACACCTGTAATCCCAGCTACCTGGGAAGCTGAGGCATGAGAATTACTTGAATCTGGGAAGTAGAAGTTGTAGTGAGCTGAGATCGCACCACTGCACTCCAGCCTGGCAGCAACAGAATAACACTCTATATCAAAGCAACAACAACAACAAAAACAACAGCAACTACAAAAAGCTGTCTTTATAAACTTGGTGCTGAATGACTCCGGGGTAAATATAATGAAATTAAGGCAGAAATCAAGAAGCTCTTTGAAACCAATGAAAGGAAAGAGACAATGTACCAGAATCTCTGGCACACAGTTAAAGCAGTGTTAAGAGGGAAATTTAAAGCACCAAATGCCTACATTAGAAAACCATAAAGATCTCAAATTGACACAATTAAACAAGCTAGAGAAGTAAGAGCAAACAAATCCAAAAGCTAGCAGAAGACAAGAAATAACTATGATCGGAGCAGAACTGGAGGAGATACAGACATGTGAAACCCTTCAAAAAAAATCAGTGAATCGGAAGCCGAGGTGGGCGTATGACGAGGTCAGGAGATCAAGACTACAGTGAAACCCCGTCTCTACTAAAAATACAAAAAAATTAGCCGGGCACGGTGGCGGGCACCTGTAGTCCCAGCTACTCGGGAGACTGAGGCAGGAGAATGGCATGAACCCCGGAGACGGAGCTTGCAGTGAGCCGAGATTGCGCCACTGCACTCCAGCCTAGTGACAGAGTGAGACTCCATCTCAAAAAAAAAAAAAAAAAAAAAAATCAATGAATCTAGGAGCTGTTTTTTTTTTTCCAAAAAATTAACAAAGTAGACTGCTAGCTAGCCCAAGAAAGAAGAAAAGAGAGAAGAATCAAATAGACACAATAAAAAATGATAAAGGGGATATCATCATTAACCCACTGAAATACACACTACAATCAGAGAATACTATAAACACCTCTGCACAAATAAACTAGAACATCTAGAAGAAATGGATACATTATTGGGCACATACACCTTCCCAAGACTAAACCAGGAAGAAGTCAAATCCCTGAGTAGACCAATAGCAAGTTCTGAAATTGAGGCAGCAATTAATAGCCTACCAACAAACAAAAGCCCAGGACCAGATGGATTCACAGCAGAATTCTACCAGAGATACAAAGATGAGCTTGTACCATGTCTTCTGAAACTATCCTATACAATTGAAAAGCAGGGATGCCTCCCTAACTCATTTTATGAGACCAGCATCATCCTGATACCAAAACCTGGCAGAGACACAACAAAAAAAGAAAACTTCAGGCCGATATCCCTGATGAACATCATTGTGAAAATCGTCAGTAACACAGTGGCAAACCGAATCCAACAGCACGTCCAAAAGCTTATCCACCACGATCAAGTTGGCTTTATTCCTGGGATGCAAGGCTTGTTCAACATATGCCAATTGATAAACATAATTCATCACATCAAAAGAACCAATGACAATAACCACATGATTACCTAAATAGACGCAGAAAAGGCCTTTGATAAAATTCAACATCCCTTCGTGTTAAAAACTCCCAATAAACTAGGTATTGATGGAATATATCTCAAAATAATAACAGCTATTTATGACAAACCCCCAGCCAATATTATACTGAATGGGTAAAGACAGAAGCCTTCGCTTTGAAAACTGGCACAAGACAAGTCTGCCCTATCTCACCACTTCTATTCAACATAGTATTGGAAGTTCTGGCCAGGGCAATCAGGTAAGAGAAAGAAATAACAGTTACTCAATTAAAAAGAGAGGAAGTAAAACTGTCTCTTTTTGCAGATAACATAATTCTATATTTAGAAAACCTCATCATCTCAGCCCCAAAACTCCTTAAGCTGGTAAGCAACTTCAGCAAAGTCTTAGGATACAAAATCAATTTGCAAAAATCACAGGCATCCCTATAAACCAACAATAGACAAGCAGAGAGCCAAATCATGAATGAACTCCCATTCACAATTGCTACAAAAAGAAGAAAATACCTAGGAATACAGTAAACAAGGAATGTGGAGGACCTCTTCAAGGAGAACTACAAACCACTGCTCAAGGAAATAAGAGAGGACACAAACAAATGGAAAAATATTCCATCCTTGTGGATAGAAAGAATCAATATCGTGAAAAGGGCCATACTGCCCAAAGTAATTTATAGATTCCATGCTATTCCCATCAAACTAACATTGATATTCTTCACAGGATTAGAAAAACTACTTTAAATTTCATGTGGAACCAAAAAAGAGTTTGTATAACCAGGACAATCTGAAGCAAAAAGAACAAAGCTGGAGGCATCACGCTACCTGACTTTACACCACACTACAAGGCTACAGTAAACAAAACAGCATGGTACTGGTACCAAAACAGAGATATAGACCAATAGAACAGAACAGAGACCTCAGAAATAACACCACACATCTACAACCATCTTATCTTCAACACACCTGACAAAAACAAGTGATGGGGAAAGGATTCCCTATTTTATAAATGATGCTGGGAAAACTGGCTAGCCATATGCAGAAAACTGAAACTGGATCCCTTCCTTATACCTTACACAAAAGATAACTCAAGACGGACTAAACACTTAAATGTGAAATCCCAAACCATAAAAACCCTAGAAGAAAACCTAGACAATACCATTCAGGACACAGGCATAAGCAAAGACTTCATGACAGAAATGCCAAAAGCAATTGCAACAAAAGCCAAAATTGACAAATGGGATCCAATTAAACTAAAGCTTCTGCACAGCAAAACAAACTATCATCAGAGTGAGCAGGCAACCTACAGAATGGGAGAAAATTTTTGCAATCTACTCATCTGACAAAGGGCTAATATCCAGCATCTACAAAGAACTTAAACAAAGTTACAAGAAAAAAACAACCCCATGAAAAAGTGGACAAAGGATGTGAACAGACATTTCTTAAAAGAAGACATACATGTGGCCAAGAAATATATGAAAAAAAGCTACACATCACGATCATTAGAGAAATGCAAATCAAAACCACAATGAGATACTATCTCATGCCCGTCATAATGGCAGTTATTAAAATATCAAGAAAAAATAGATGCTGGCGAGGCTGTGGAGAAATAGAATGCTTTTATGCTGCTGCTGGGAATGTAAATTAGTTCAACCATTGTGGAAGACAGTGTGGTGATTCCTCAATTTGACCCAGAAATCTCATTACTGGATATATACCCAAAGGAATATAAATCATTCTACTATGAAGACTCATGCACACATATGTTTATTGTAGCACTATTTACAATAGCAAAAACATGGAATCAACCCAAATGCCTATCAATGATAGACTGGATAAAGAAAATGTGATACATATACACCATTGAATACTATGTAGACATAAAAATTAATGAGATTATGTCCTTTGCAGGGACACGGATTAAGCTGGAAACCATCATCCTCAGCAAAGTAACACAGCAACAGTAAATGAAACACCACATCTTCCCAGTCATAAGTGGGAGTTGAACAATGAGAACACATGGACATAGGGAGGGGAACAACACACATCAGAGCCAGCTGAGGTTAGGGGGCAAAGGGAGGGAGAGCATTAGGACAAATAGATAATGCATGTGGGGCTTCAAACTTAGATAACGAGTTGATAGGTCCAGCAAATCACTATGGCACATGTATATCTATGTAACAAACCTACACATTCTGCACTTGTATCTCAGAACTTAAAATAAAATTCAAAATAATTTAAAAAATAAGTAATGCCATTTAATAAAAATATTGATATTTGAAGCAAACACTAAAATATTGATAGTGCAGAGGAAAATAACACTAAATATATATCATTAATAAGGCATAGCAAGTTATAGCACTACTCTTATATTTAGTAGTCAAATATATGGTTATTACTATAATTTAGAATACAGTGAAAACTTTCTTCTCAACACGGCTTCCTTAAACACTGGTGTACTTTACTACTTTTTGTTGCTTCCAATCCACTAAAGCAAGAATGACAGACAAAAGGAAGTACAATAAGCTAGGAGGTAGACAAAGTAGAAGGTGATACATTACTAAGCTTGTCCCAGCCTCATGAGAAACTTATTTGGTTTCTTAGTCACATTAGTAATCCCTGGAGACTCAAGAACCATTCATCTGGTCCAAAAGAATGAGAAAATAATTTTCTGGCCTCTTCCAGTCTCCTTTCTCTCAATGCTAAGTGTTCACCCTATGGCATTTAACTTCACCATACACCTAGACTCTCAAGCAGCCCTTCCTAGCAGACAGAGTTCCTCAGATTCAGGATTATGTTATTCAGAACTTCTGTAAAGATCTACTCTCTGTGAATTAGGTTGAGTCAGACATGGGTGCTGGAGTATTTGTAACCTGATTTAATTATAAAAGTGAAAGTTATACTGAAGCCTGATTCTTGCCATTGAAAGACTAGGACAGGTATGTTGTAGTGATGTTAGGCAAAGAGGCAATAGCAATGGTGACCAAGATTTCAACGTACAGCTGTTCATCAGCCAAGACATACAGCATATGGCCAAGTCCCAGGGGCAAGTAAGGCTGATCAACTTTGGGAGGTGCATAGATTGATGGTGTTATAGACTACCCCTATAGCACTCGAATCTATTTGTACTTTCTTATGATACCTGAATCCTCTATGAGAACAGCTGTCATCATTTTCTTCTCAAGAGCATAGGTATAATCCCAAAACTTAAAGGAGTGACCTGTTGGAACTCTTGAAAGACATTAGAGAATATAACCAAACCAAGCTACCTTATCTACCAGACACTACAACTGGTCCTATAGCCTTAACTAATATTCATACTTTTCTTTGTTTCCCACCCATTTTAAATTTTTCTCCCTTCAGCCAGTGAGTCAAATAGTTTGCTTCATTTGCTTCATGTAGTATCTCAGGACAGTCACCCATTAATTGCTTCAGAATCCTTCTCAACATAACATTCCATGGAACCACAAGCAAATAATTAGTCAGCACATGAGATGAAATAATTTCTTCTAATATTAAGCAGGTAACAAAGATGACAAAAAATCTGAGTGTATGAAGCAATATGAAAGATTGTTGAACACATAAGGCAAGATGATATCTGGAATTAATGTAATTAATAACCTGTTAAATCAATGACTGTCAGCTTGGTTAAAAAATTTATCTACATGCACTTTACAAGAGAATACATCATAAAAGGAAAGGTCAAATAGAATAACATGGACAAAGATTTATCAGGTAAATGCATCAACATGAATAAATAATGTTATGATAAGGTCAGAATACAGGGCAATAATCATTAAAAACAAATATGTGATCAATTTATTTTGAGATGAAAGTCAATTATGTAAATTTTTTTCCTTAAGCACTCTCTAATACAGTAAAATATAGAAATCAAGACAAAGTAAAAACTAAATAGACAATGCTGGAAATTTTAACATTACATGAAATCAGCTTGACAAATTAAAGACAGCAAATACCTTCATATATAGAAATGTTGAGTGTTATTATATAGTTGAATTTATAGATACTTATAGAACTTATTAATGCCAAAAAATACCCTATCTCAAGCAACAAAGTTTATAAACTTGATTATACATATCACTAAAAAATTGTGTAGGATGAAATGAATGCCTGTGAAAAAAGATTAATGTCCAAAATTTAATTTAATAAGAAAAGAGTAATAAAAGAATAATGATGCATTATATTTCATGTTATATTATTTTTTATATCACATAAAACAATGAAAGCTCCTGAATAGAGTTTATGAATGTAGAATTTCTCTGGTGTTAGAAAACATCAGATGCAAAAAAAAATATTGCTTATTATAGAAAGACCCTAACTAAAATAAAAAGCTGCAGTTGGGGTACATTAAAAATAATTCCCACTATAATTAAATAAAACTTATTTCAGGAATTCAAAGCAAGTATAAGATTATAAAATTTATTAATATAATATTCCACATGTTTAAGTCCAATTAGAAAGCCTGATGACCTTTTTAATAGATGTCAAAACTGAACTTGATATAATCTATTGCTATTTATAAGACATTAAGAAAAATTGGAATGAAAACACTATAAACTAACAGCCGACATATTTCCTAATAAATAAATTTATGAAATATTTTTGATACAGAAATGTAGAAAAAACACATAGTAAACATCTGTGTAATCAAAATTCAGCTTAATATGTTAATATTACCAATTCAAATAATATACCCCATACATATTTATGCATGGTAAGTATATCCTGATAGTGTCATTAGTTTCACTTCAGCATAGTCTTGAAGAACATGTACTTTAAATTTATAAAATTGTATCTACTAATCTTTTCCTTGAGTGTTTCCATTTTTATATATTGTTTAATAATAAAGTCAATGCAGTTTTTAAACCATTTTATTACTGAAAATTTTAAACATATACAAAAATAAGTAGAATTTTATAATGAACCCCAATATACCCATTACCAAGTTCCAATAATTATCAATTTGTGACCAAACTTGTTTATACTGGCACTAGCTCCCCCATATCCAGTATATTTTTAAATTCTTCTTTTATTTTAGATATGAGGGTAAAGGACTCACTATACAATCAATGATGCTGGGATAATTGGCTAGCCATATGCAGAACTCAGTTTTTCCTTAAATATTGTAGAGTTTTGCTTTTTCACATTTAGTTTTTAATATATTTGGCAACCATTTCAGACCATGAATAACAGCAGTCCAATTTAATTTTTTCCATATGAATACTCAATTGATGCAGAACCATCTACAAACCTACAAGGAAAAATTAAATATCACTGGACTGTTTGTGCCCACATATAGCCCTGTAACCTCTCCTCTGCCCCTTTGGTCTTTCCATGGTTTTCACTGTATCTTAATACTGTAGGTAATTAAGTATAGGTTTTCAATAATTTTGGTATCTAGTAATGCAAACCCTGAACAGTTGTTATATTTCTTCCAAATTATACTATTTTTCTTAGTTTTAAAATTTATCCATATTAAGTATAGAATCAGTTTTGTCACATTCTATGTGCAAAACAAACAATGCTGGACCTGCACTGAATTCTTAGATTGATGTGAGGATAATTGTAATCTTTAAAATTGTGAGCTTCATTGCCAGGTTCAGGGTGAATCCTTTCCTTTATTCAGGTCTCCGTTAATACTGCTCAATATATTGTTATATTCTTATTCATAAAATATATTCCACATATTACCAGAGTGACTTTTATTGATATTAGAAATTATCTTTCTAAAAGTACATACTAAGCCAACACCAAGAGAAATCTTTGTGGTGATGTAACTGTTCTGTATCTTGACTGTAATGGTGGATAACTCAATCTAAACACTTGATAAAATTGCATAAAGCTACACACACATGCATGCATGCACATAGGTATGAGTATAACTGTGAAAATATAAATAATATGGGTTTTTATATCAATGTCAAATTTCTGTTTTTGATGTGCTACAGTTTTGCAAAATGTTATCACTGGGGGAACTGGGTAACGGATAGAGTAAATCTGTCTGTATTACTTATTAAAACTGTAAGTGAATCTATGATTATTGGTTTTGGCAAAGACTCCAAGACCAAGAACCCCAAAGCAAATGCAACAAAAACAAAGATAAATAGATGGGACTTAAATTAACTAAAAACTTTCTGCACAGTAAAAGAAATAATCAGCAGAGTAAACAGACAACCCATAGAGTGGGAGAAAATCTTCGCAAATTTTGCATCCAACAAAGGACTAATATCTGGAATCTACAACGAACTCAAACGAGAAAAATTATCAATTTCATCAAAAACTGGGCTAAGGACATGAATAGACAATTCTCAAATGAAGATATACAGATGGCCAACAAACATACGAAAAAGTGCTCAACATCACTAACGATCAGGAAAATGCAAATCAAAACCACAGTGCAATACCTCCTTACTCCTGCAAGATGACCATAATCAAACAATTTAAAAATATTAGTTGTTGGTGTGGATGTGGTAAAAAGAGAATACTTTCATACTGCTGGTGGGAATGTAAAGTAGTATAACCACTGTAGAAAACAGTGTGGAGATTCCTTAAAGAACTGAAAGTAGATCTACCATTTGATCTGGCAATCCTACTCCTGGGTATGTACCCAGAGGAAAAGAAGTCATTACATGAAATGATACTTACACATTTCACAGCATAATTCGCAATTGCAAAAATATGGAACCAGCCCAAATGCCCATCAATCAACAAGTGGATAAAGAAAATGTGATATATATACCATGGAATACTACTCAGCCATAAAAAGAAACAAAATAATGGCATTTGCAACAACCTGGATGGAATTGGAGACCATTATTCTAAGTGAACTAACACAGGAATGGAAAACCAAACATCGTATATTCTCATTCATTAGTGGGAGCTAAGCTGTGAGGACACAAAGGCATAAGAATGATTCAATGGACTTTGGATACTTGGAGGAAAGGGTAGGAGGAGGTTGAGGGATAAAAGACTACACAGTGAGTACAGTGTACACTGCTAGGGTGTTGGGTGCACCAAAATCTCAGAAATTACCATTAAAGAACTTATCCATGTAACCAAACAGCACCTGTTCCCCAAAAACTTGTTGAAATAAAAAAATAAGAATTAAAAAAAAGCTGAAAAAGTAGAATGAGCCACTTTTTTTTTTTACGTGCTCCCGAAGTATGTATTCTAACTGTTCTTTGTACATAGAAATATGATGGCTTTCATATTGATGATGCATCCATCATGGCTACTGAGTTACAATTTATGATTAATTTCTTTGTAAATTTATGAGACATGTATGTAAGCAACCTTTTTATCTGAAAATAAAGAGATTTGTATTTCTTTATCATCTTTATTCTATTGTTTATTTTCCTTATCTCACCACACTGCTGAGCCATCCAGTTAAAAGGTAAATGAAAGTAATGAGCATTTTTAATCAGCTTATTTTACATACAATACATTTTAATCTCTTGTAAGTTTAATGTAAGTTTTGTTGGATACCTGTCATTCAGATTAAGGAAGTGTATTTTGTTTCTACCTTTAGCCATAAGGCACTGGACCCTCCCCACTGCCTTAAATAATGTAAAAACAGGGAAATACATAAAGCAATATTTTTATACATAAGACAATATATAGCACAAAATAGTGATGTGCAAAATAAGGGAAAAAAATAAGACGAGTTTCTTTCTAATTTGCTCGTAGGCCACAGAACAGGGAGAGGGAACAGAGTCTGGCAAGCTTGGTGAGTTGAAGAGACATACATCAGAGTTCAGAAAAAAACAGGAAAGCTAAAATTTGTGAAGCAAAATATTGAAGATGATGCAGCTGCATATTGACTAGAATTCTAGAAAATTGTAGAAGAGGGAAGCAAAAATTGGCTCATATGTACAGCTAAACCCATGGAAAGAGTCACCAATAAAGAGGTGGACCAAACAAATTGAAGCATTAGGGGAAATACAAATTTCCACTCTTAGGAATGAAAGAGGAGACACCATTCCAAATTCTGTACATATTAAAATGATAATAAGAAAATGCGGTTAGCTGATTCTTAAAATAAATTCAACAATTTGGATTAAATGAAAAAATTCCTCAAAATACAGACTATTAAAATTTATTTGAGAAAAATGTGATAACCTCTATACCTCTCTATTAAAGAAGTTAAATTTATGTTTAGAATATGCCTCACACACATAAAATTTCAGACCCTCGTGGCTGTCTACTCGCTCTGTTGATTCTTTACTATGCAAAAGCATTTTAGTTTGCTATATTCCCATTTGTCTATTTTTCTGTTGTTGCTTATTCTTTTGTAGTCTTACCCATAAAATATTTGCCTAGACCAATGTCCTGAAGTATACATCCTATGTTTCCTCAAGTAGTTTTATAGTTTTGGTCTTACATTTAAGACTATACCCCTTTTTGAGTTGATTTTTATGAGAGCAAAGTGATTAGTTTCATTCTTCTGCATGTGGATATCAAGTTTCCAAGCACCAATTAATGAAAAGGGTCTCCTTTCTGCAATGTACATTCTTGGTACCTTTGTTGAAAATCAGTTGGTTGTAAATACTTGGATCTTGTAATTCCTGTATCTTGTAAATACTTGGGAATTTTTCAACTATTATTTCATTATAAGTTTTCTATCACTTTTCCCAACTCTTCTCTTTATGGAACTTCCAAAATTGAATATGTGTTCTCTTAATGGTGTTCCAATATCATGTGGTCTTTTTTCATCATTTTTATTATTTTTTCTTCATCTTTTTGTCTGAATGAGTTACTTAAAAATTTGTCCTCATTTCAAAAATTGGTTTTCTATTATTTGCATTGTCTGGGTGTGGTCTCTTTTAACTTACTGAGTTTCCTTAAGATTATTATTTTAAGTTCCTTTTCAGACATTTTGTAGATTTCCTTTTTGAGGGAATCTGTTACTGGATAATATATTATCTTTCTTTGTAGGTGTCATGTTTCCTTGCTTTTTAATGTTTCTTGTGTGCCTATAGTGATGTCTGCACATCTGGTATAAGTTTATTCTTTCATTTTTATGGAGTAGTTTTTGTAAAGACTTTTTTTTCTGCTGATGTATTTTTAGTGTTGGTTGGGTAGGGTACTGTGGCTTTGGTCTGGGTGGGCACAATAGTGTAGTCTTCATATGATTTATTTGGCTACAGTCAACATTGGCTGTGTATGCAAGTTCCTCAGTAGCTCAGGCTATGGTTGTTTGTGAAGGTCATGGTGTAGCTTTCCTGAGAAAAGGGACACTGTGTGGGATAATACTCAGGCCTCTACAGGGTGTGTGCAGGCACTAGCAGTGGTAAAAACGAGCCCCATGGAGACCAGTTTTGGGGCTCCTATTTGTTGTGCTGCTGGATGTGGAGGGTTGGCAAAGCAGTAATGGCAGCCAGTGCCAGGTGGTGTAGTCCTCAGGCCCCTGGGTGGTATGTGTGGGCACTGGCAATAGTGGTGGTAGTCCCCAGTTAGGTGATTTCTTGGGCTCACGGGTGCCATGCACAGGAACCTTCAGTCCTTGAGCCCCCAAATGTCATGTGTGAGCCAGTTCAGGGCCCTCAGATGGTATGCATGGGCACTAGTGTTGGCAGCAGTGGGGCCCAAGGCTAGGCAATTTTTCAGTCCTTTGGAGGTGTGTGCAGGCTCAAGTGATGGCTATAGCATGTATACACGTGCATCTTGGTGGCAGTGGTGGCAGGCCCCAGGCAAACTGGTTCTTGGGCCCCCATGTGACCAGTCCTTAGGTCCTCAGGCAGTGCTCATAGACCTGTGTGGGCCAGTTTGCTGGCCTATAGATGGCACCTGTGGATGCATGTTGGATCCACCACTAGAGAACTGATGTGGCCACAAAGAGTGGCAGGCCCAGATGGCTCTCAGACTTTGCAGAGTACACCCTTTGACTTCCTATGTCCTAGGGGCAGCCTCAATGATGTGCTTGAGATCTAGGCCAATGAGGGAACCTCATTGCCATGGACATGGTTAAACCCTTGTGTCCAGCTGATGTCATGTTGCTGCAGCCCTCTGAATGGATCTAAGGGGATATGGGGAGAGCCTCAGGGATGTGGAGATACAGGGGCTCTTAGGCCCCAAGTCAGGGCAGACTGTAGTATGATGGTAGCTTCACTCTCAAAATGACACTGTACTGAAGCAGCTGGGGGACTTGGGTGTGTCTGGAGGGTTTCAGTGTGAGTTATTTCTTTAGAACATTGCAGTCTCATGGACTCTAGGCAACTCCTTATACTGGACTCAGGGCCTGTGAAGGATGATAAACTCTGCTATAATGTGGATTTCAGGCATCTGTGGTGGAAGTGTAGAATACTGGGGCTTTCTCTTTACTTTTTTTTCCACGGTGGGGTGTCTTTCTTGGCTCCAAACCAATCCTGGCTGACTGGTGTGCTTCCCTCTCTATGTTATCATCTGGAGTTTCTACGTTTTAAAGGGCTTTTGTCACTTCTTTTCTGAATTCCAATGTTCACTCTTAGATACTCTATTCAATGTGTAGTTATTTACTTGCTGTTGGGTCCTTCTTTTTGGAGAAGGCAAGTGCTGGATGACTCTGGTCAGCCATGTGGATGACACCTCCAGAGGTACAGATTTACACTGACTCATATACAGTGATTATGAGTTTGGTTGAATGGTCAGGAATGTGGAAGGAATATTATTAGAAAATTGAGGAAAGAGATATGTGGATGAAACTCTTCTAATGAGGACAAAATACACAGATAATTGTGTCTTATGTTCGTATTCATTGAATATAAATCTTAGCAATGAAGATCTTAATAATCAAGTGTATAGGACAATCTGTGCTATAGTTATTAGAAGACTTCTTTTCCCAGTTAACCATGTTTATGCTCAACAAGTTTAGAAATAAAGTTGTCAACTCAACAGGGTTATAGTACACATTGGATTCAACAGCATGGATCTGCAATCACTAAGGCCTATATGGTTAGATCCACTGCTGATTGTCAAACCTGTTAGTAGGAAAGACCAACAGTGACCTATCAGTATGGCACATTCCTGGTGCAACCTAGTGACAAATTAATCACATAGAAACATTTTGAAGGTCGTGGAATTGACCTTCCACATAGGTAAATAGATTTGCCTTTCTTACACACAATGCTTCTTTCCAAAGCACCACCTGTAAATCACTAAAATGTCTTTCTTACAATCATGATGTTTCACACACTATTGCTTCTGACCACAGAACATATTTTATAGCAAACACACTGTGGCAATGGGGTTCTACTTATTGGTTTCATTTAGTCTTCTTATGTTCTCTGTCACTGTAAAGTAGTTGGCCTAATAGAATTGCAAAGTGGCTATTTTTAAAAAATAATATATTTATTGGGAACATGTTAGATTTAAAGGTTTCAAAGATAATACAGAAAACTCTCATATATCTCTCACTAAGTTTCAGTTTCAATTAACATAGCATTTAGTTAATGTTATCTTTTTACTATGGTACATTTGTCAAAACTAAGGAACAAATATTAGTATTACTATTAATTAATTCTAGGCCTTATTGAGATTGTATCAGTTTTTCTCCTAATGCCCTTTCTCTTCCAGTGTCCAATACATGATACTATTCTGCAATTAGCTATCATGTCTCCTTAGTCTCTTTTGTTCTGTGACAATTTCTGAGTTTTTCTTAAGTTTCATGACTTTGACACTCATAGGAGTACTGGTCAGTTATTTTGTAGAATTTCTCTCAATTTGAATTTCTCTGATGTTTTTGTCATGATTGTACCTGGATTATGGGTTTTTTTTTATAAAGAATGATGCAGAAATGATATGCCCTTGTCATTACATCCTATCAGAGGGCACATGATATTAGTATAACATCACTGGTGATGTTAACCTTAATCATTTATTTAAGGTGGCATTTGCCATATTTCTCCACTGTAAAGTTCCTATTTTACCCTTTCCATATTTCACTTTATGTCTAGTCCACCACAAAAAAAAAGTGAGGGAGTTTAAAGCTCAGTTTCTAGAGGAAATAGTATCTACTTATAATAGGAATTCTTCTTTAAAAAAGAGTAGTTTCCTCTTTCTCATTTCTTTATTCATTCAATCATTTATAACAGTATGAAAACATACATATTTATTTTTATACTTTGGGTAATAATCCCATACTTTATTTTTCATTGTGTTGTTCAAATATCATGGTTCTGGACATTGACAGCTCTTTCCTGGTGGCTCCCGGGTCCCTTTGACATGCCATAGTCCTTTTGAATTTTTAGCACTTCCTTTCTTTCTTGTTCTCCAAGCTAATCTTGAATTTTTGTGGATCCAGACTATCAGCAAGTTTTAAAAGCTCAGTTTTCTTGAGAGGTTGGTTTAATAAACACCACCAAAGATATCTAAAGGAATTATAAATATTCTTTTGGGAAGACAGTTACCTTGTTTTGGGTTATGCAACAAATCATTTGTAACATGTTATTAAGAAGTGTGATTTCATTGTTGTCTATTTGGAAGTTAACCATGTTTTAAAAAGTATGTAGATGGCATGTTGAAAGAGTGTGAACTGTGGCGGGCTTGGAATGCATCAATGTAATGTCAGGATAATGTATATACATTGGTTTTTGTCCACTGTTCCTGGAATCCCACAGCCTTTGTTAGAGTCTTTATTATAATGTCAGTGTGATTTGGCCTCAAGATCAGACCGCAGGAAACAAAATTTCTCTCTCTGAAATTCTCCTGTCCTTTTATTTGGCCAAGATAGGACTCTAATCTTTTTTTGGTTTAAAAGATCCTTATTCCAGAGCAGTCCTGCCCCATACATATAGGATGAAATCATAGTAATAGCCATGTGCCCTTTTGATGCAATCACACAGCTACATGTGGACACCTCTATATGTGATTGGACAAAAAGGCTGCATGGTTGTCAGTCACACCTATTTAAGCCTCCATAAAACCCCCAAAGGACAGGGTTTGAAGAACTTCTGGAGAGCTGAACAAGTGGAGGTTCCTGGAGGATGACTTGCCAAAGGAGGTTTAGGGAACCTAGGTGCCCCTTCCCTCATACTTTGTCCTGTGCATCTTTTCACCTGTATCTTTTGTAATATCTTTTAAAATAAACTGGTAAACAAAAGTAAGAGTTTTTCTGGGTTCTTTGAACTGCTTCAGAAAATTAATGAAAGCCAAAGATGGAGTCATGGAAACTTTGACTTGAAGACGGTTGGTCAGAAGTTCTGGAGTCTAGGACTCGTAATAGATCTCTAGTGGGGGGCATACATCAGGACTGAACTCTCAATCTGAGGGATCTGATCCTATCTCTAGCTAGTGTTGGAACTGAATTGTAGAACACCCAGTTAATGTCCGCTGCAGAATTTATTGCTTGCTTGGTGGTGAGGAGAACCCCACCCACCTACATTTTATAACAGCAGTCTTCTGTGTTGATGATTGCTGTGGTCTGAAAGCAGACCAAAAACCAAAAGATTAAAAAAAAAAAGTCAACTTAGTTAAATTAGTAGTGAAATGTTCTAGGCATAAGCTTTGCTGCATAGCTCCAATACAGTATTAGCCACAGAACAAATTGTGTGCATAATTTGAAATGTGCATGTAAAGGGCAGCCATATTTTTGTATACTGGGAATGTTGGAACAGGGTGCTGTGAAGCTTCTACTGCTTGTGCACATTGTCACTGATCTGCTGGCTTATTGGTTGTTGTGAAAAAGCAGCTCACCTTAGAGTTCTTCCAGTTCTCACTGATTATACTCCTTCAGCTTTTCTAAGTCCTTGGCCAGAGCATGCAACACTGCAGCATTAGTAGCCAGGCTCTCAATTTCTCCGTGTTTTGTTGCATCCCTTCCTTGAGTTTCTTTGGATCCTGGTTCAAGTCTGTGCTTATCTCTGTGAGGAAAGCTTCTCCTGAAGTTCATCTGCAACATAGGGATGAAGGCAAGGAGGCAATGAGAGGCTGACCCAATTTTCGGCTCCTCCTTGAAGGTTCCATTTCTCTTTGCTCCCCCTGCCTCACTTTACGTTCACCATTCCTTCACAACCATTGGCTTTGCCAACCTCAAGCCCAGTAGCTGAGGAAGAAGCAATGATTGTATATAATCTGCGCACCTAGCCCCAACATTTTTTTAAGGTAACATCTCCATAGTTAATTTATTTTGTATTATTTATCATTATTCCATTTCAGTAATCAAATTCTCACGGGTAAACTATGAATTTCGAATATGAGGTTACCTAGTCACACATGTATTTCTAGTGGCCGTATGAGCTTTTTCCTGTCCTCCTACCCACTGCTTCATGGGATATCTGACCAGAATAGTAAGTGGGAAAAACAGGATTTAAACCTATGCTATATTGATTTATATGCACTTATGCTTTTATTTTTACTTTTATTTTACTTTTTCAAACTTTTATTTTAGATTCAGGGGTACCATACAGGTTTGTTTTATAGGTAAACTGTGTCACAGGGGTTTGTTGTACACATTATTTCATTACCAGGTACGAAGCCTAGTACTCAATAGTTATTTTCTCTGTTCCTCTCCTTGCTCCCACCTTCCACCCTCTGGCAGGTCTCTGTTGTTCCTCTCTTTGTGTTCATGCTCATTATTTAGCTCCTACTTGTAAATAAGAAATGTGATATTTGGTTTTCTGTTCCTGCATTAATTTGCTCAGGATAATGGCCTCTAGCTCCATCCATGTTCCTGCAAAGGACATGATCTCATTCTTTTTATGGCTACATAGTATTCCATGGTATATATGTACAACATTTTATTTATCCAGTCTACCATTGATAGGCATTTAGGTTGATTCCATGTCATTGCTATTCTGAACAGTGCTGCAATGAACATACACGTATGTGTGTGTCTTTATACAGAACAATTTATATTACTTTGGGCATATATACAGTAACAAGTTTGCTGTCAATTCTTAGTCCCTTTTTTGGCTCTTTGACGAATTGCCTTACTGCTTTCCACAATGACTGAACTAATTTGCACTCCTTCCAAAAATGTATGAGCATTCCCTTTTCTCCACAATCTTGCCAGCATCTGTTATTTTTTGACTTTTGGGTAATAGCCATTTTGACTAGTGTGGGATGGTATCTCACAGTTTTTATTTGCATTTCTCTAATGATCAGTGATATTGAGAACTTTTTCACAGGCTTGGTTGGCTGCATTTGTGTCTTTGGAAAATGTCTGTTCATGTCTCTCGCCCACTTTTTAATGGGGTTGTTTGCTTTTTTTCTTGTAAATTTCTTTAAATTCCTTACAGATGTTGGATATTAGACCTTTGTCAAATGCGTAGTTTGCAGTTATTTCTCTCATTCTGTAGGTTTTCTGTTTATTCTGTTGATAGTTGCTTTTGATGTGCAGAAGCTCTTTAGTTTAATTAGGGCCCATCTGTCAATCTTTGTTTTTATTGCAATTGCTTTTAGCATCATCATCCTAATATTTTTGTTGGAGCTTTTGTCAAGAATGATATTTCCTAGGTTATCTTCCAATGTTTTTATAATTTTAGGATTTACATTTAAGTCTTTAATCCTTCTTAAGTTGATTTTTGCTTATAGTGTGAGGAAGGGATCCAGTTTCAATCTTCTGCATATGGCTAGCCAGTTCTCCCAGCACCATTTATTGAATAGGGAATTCTTGCCTTATTGCTTGTTTTTTATCAGGTTTGTTGAAGATCAGGTAGTCTAGGTTTTGAGGGAAACTACCTCAAAATAATAAGAGCTATCTTTGACAAATCCAACATCATACTAAATGGACAAAAGCTGGAAGCATTCCGCTTGAACATGGGCACAAGACAAGGATGTCCTCCCACCTCATTCCTATTCAACATAGTATTGGAAGTTCTGGACACAACAGTTAGGCAAGAGAAAGAAATAAAGGGGTATCTAAATAAGATAAGAGGAAGTCAAAGTATCCCTGTTTGCAGACAACAGAATTCTATATCTAGGAAACTCTATAGTATTGGTCCAAAAGCTTCTTCAACTGATAAACAACTTCATCAAATTTCAGGATACAAAATCAACATATAAAAATCACTAGCATTACTATACACCAACAACAGTCAAGCCAAAAGCCAAATCTGGAATGCAATTCCATTCACAAATGCCACAAAAATAATCAAATCTACAATGAGAATTACAAAACACTGCTCAAAGAAATCAGAGATGACACAAACAAATGGAAAAACATTCCATGCTCATGGGTTGGAATAATCAATATTGTTGAAATGGCCATACTGCCCAAAGCAATTTATAGATTTAATGCTATTCCTATCAAATTACCAATAATGTTCTTTACAGAGCTAGTAAAAAACTATTTTAAAATTTGTATGGAACAAAAAAAGACCTGGAATAGTGAAGGCAATCCTAAGCAAAAAGAATAAAGCTAGAGGCATCATGCTACCTGACTTCAAGAGGGCTACAGTAACCAAAACGGGATGGTATTGGTACAAAAACACACACATAGACCAATGGAACATAATAGAGAGCCCAGAAGTCAGGCCACACACATACAACCATCTGATCTATGACAAAGCTGTCAAAAACAAGCAATGGCGAAAGGACTCCCTGTTGAATGAATGTGCTGGGATAACTGGCTAGCCATGTGCAGAAGATTGAAACTGGACCCCTTCCTTACACCCTACACAAAAATCAACTTAAGATGGATTAAAGACTTAAATGTAAATCCTAAAATTATAAAAACACCGGAATATAACCTAGAAAATACCATTCTGAACAAAAGCTCTGACAAAAATCTTAGGTGTTCATTATAATCTGTGATGATTATTTTTATTTCTGTGCAGTCAGAAATACCCTCTTTGTCATTTCTGATTTTGTTTATTTGTTTTTTTTCTCTTTTCTTCTTTATTAGTCTAACTAGCAGTCTATTTCATTAATTTAAAAAAAAACAGCTCCTGGCTTCATTGATCTTTTGAATGGTTTTTCATGTCTCAGTCTCCTTCAGTTCAGCTCTGATTTTTATTATCTCTTTTTCTTCTGTTAGCTTTGGGGTTGGTTTGCATTACATAATAATGCTTCTCCAGTTCTTTTAGTTGTGATGTTAGATTGCTAATTTGAGTTCTTTCTAACTTTTTGATGTGGATGTTTAGTACTACACATTTCCCTCTTAACACTCCTTAGCTGTGTCCCAGTGATTTTGGTATGTTGTATCTTTGTTCTCATTAGTTTCAAATAACTTCTTTATTTCTGCCTTAATTCCATTATTTGCCCAGAAAGTCATTCAGGAGACGGTCATTTAATTTTGATGTAAATGCATGGTTTTGAGGGATTTTCTTCATATTGAATTCTGTTTTTATTGTGCTGTGGTCCAAGAGTGTGGGTGGTATAATTTCATTTTTAAAATTTCCTGAGGATTTTTTTATGTCTAAACGTGTGGTTGATTGTAGAATATGTACCATGTGCAGATGAGAAGAATGTGCATTCTATTGTTTTTGGGTGGAGTATTCTGTAGATGTCTATCAGATCCATTTGATCCAGTGTTGAGATTAGATCTTGAATATCTTTGTTAATATTCTGCCTTGATGATTGTCTGATGCTGTCAGTGGGGTGTTGAAGTCTCCCGGTATTATTTTGTGGGAGTCTAAGTCTATTTGAAGGTCTCTAAGAACTTGCTTTGTAAAATCTGAATGCCACTATGTTGAGTGAATATATGTTAAAAATCATTGGTCTTCTTGTTAAATTGAACCCTTAACCATTATATAATGCCCTTGTTTGTCTTTTTTTACCTTTGTTGGTTTAAAGTCTGTTTAGTGTGAAATTAGAATTGAAACCCTTGCTTTTTTCTATTTTCCATTTGATTGGTAGATTTTTCTCCATTCATTTATTTTGAGCCTCTTCATGTCATTGAACATGAGATGGGTCTCCTGAAGGTAGAATACCATTGGGTCTTGGTTCTTTATCCAGCTTGGCATTCTGTGCCTTTTAATTTATGATGCAGGCCCCTAGGACGTACCTGGGGGCTTCACTGCAAGCTAACATGGCCAGGCTGAGGTCCCAAGAGAGACCAGCAGACTGAAGGGTGCTCATGTCAGATTGTCCCTGTCTGATGGGCAATACTGTCCTGAAGAGTTCAGGTCTGAGAGTTTCCCTAGGGATAAAGTCTCCTATGGGAGCAAATCAAGCCTAGAAGAATGGGCATCCCTGTCTGTGCTCCACCACAGACACTCCCACACCAAATTCTCTGGGCTCTGACCTGGCTGGAGTTCTGCCCCTACCACTTCCTTAAGTAGCTTTCCCTGCCAACTCAAGTGTCCATAGTGGTTGAAGGGTCTCCTCCTTTTGGGATTCCAGAGGCCTGTGGTGAGAATGAGTTGCTCCTTTTCTGTTCAACTCATGCCCTCTGTGAGAGTCACTGGAATCCAGGAACAAGTCTCAGTGCATGGTAACCCCATGTAGGGTCCCCAGCTTCTTCCCCCTTCAGCCTAGTCTCTGTTTCTTCCCTCCACCCAGTCTCAATGGCTTCCCTCTGAAGACGTGCTAGCATTGTGTTAGAATTAACAAATATCCCTCCTGTTGGTAAAGAAGGTAACTATTGAATAAATTAAGAAAACCTTTCTCATTTTTCAATTTAGTTATTGTCATCAGTTAGTACACATAATTTTTTTCTTTTTTTTTTTTTCAAGATGGAGTCTTGCTCTGTCACCTAGGCTGGAGTGCAGTGTCATAATATCGATTCGCTGCAACCTCCACCTCCCGGGTTCAAGCTATTCTCCTGCCTTAGCCTCCTTATTAGCTGGGACTGCAGGTACCAGCCACCACGCCCAGCTAATTTTTGTATTTTTAGTAGAGATGGGGTTTCGCTATGTTGGCCAGGCTGGTCTCAAACTCCTGACCTTGTGATCTGCCTGCCTCGGCCTCCCAAAGTGCTGGGATTACAGGTGTGAGCCACTGTACCAAACCAGTATTTATAATTTTAAAAATAAATTTACAATATCAACTTTAACATTAACATTAAACACAAGTTATATTTTTAGTAATGACTATGTTGTATGAAGGAAGAAAAATGGGTAGAGAGAAATGCTAAGATTTTGAACAGTTGTTGGAAGACATACAATTAATCCATAGACATCTATTGGTGTGGATACCATGTGAAAAATTAACTCCATCATGAGTATGGTAAGTTATAACCCACTTATAAAAAAAATTTATGGCTTTCCTTATAGTTTAAACTGTAATATTACTGAGAGACTCATGAATGTCTGCACAAGTGAGTGTGTGTTTGTGTGTATGTGTGTGCAAAGTTACTTGGCTGAACAATAAAAAATAATGAAATATAGCTACAAATCAGCCTGCTGGAATGAACCCAAAGGAAATAAATCTTGGAATTCCTGTTACTATGGATCCACTCTGACTCATAGGGCACAGTTGGAACCTTTCTGCAAAACATGCAGTGCCATAGTTTCCTTCACTCTTCCTTGCTCTCCCAACAGTTTTTGGAGATATTTGTTCTAAAGATGGCAAACTTGTTTTTGTGGAATATTTGGTCTCCACCTGGAAGATTTGGATCAAATTTTTAGGGAATAATTACTCTCTACCTTTCCGGATGATAGATCCTAGATCAAGACTAATGCTTATGAATATGGAATGTAACACTTAGGTTAAAGAAAAACATACCTTTGCAGACAATTGCAGAGTCTGGGACCAGGTTAGAAGGTTAAAATCCACGAAGTGACCCAGTATAATAACTTTTGTAAGGTTTTTACTCTTTGAGGGTGTTTACCTTAAACTATAATGGTAGGGTGGACACCTCACAATTTTTCCCCAATGACACCTTACATTTAGTACATATTGTTTATTATTTTTCTCCTTTGAACTAAGTGTTACATGTAGAATTTGAATACTTGAATGAGCTTATATGCTCGAAGTAAGAAACATAGTCATAAAAGGACATGTAGCATGCTTTGTCTTTTCTTCTTCAACTTACTCTTGTGTAAGTAGCGACATTGAGCCTAATGGGACTTTAGTCTCTGTGTCAGTGCCATGATAAACAATAGAGTTACCAGTGACCTCTTGTAGAGAGCAGAAGGTTTGGAATACACATTTCCAGTAGACAGAACCCACATCCCTTTGAGACTCTCTTTCCAAAATTATTAAGTTGAGGTGGGATATGGTAATCATTTAGGTTGCATGTAAGACATAAAAAAATAACAAAACCAAATTCAGCTAGAATTATCTGTAGGAAAATTCATAATCAGATAATAATACAATTACTCACTGTAAATGTACATATTTAAAATAAAAATACGATGCAAGTTATGGTCTAAATTATATAGTGGATTCTCATATAGTTTGTTCAGAAGGATAAAAGCAAAAAAAAGACAGGATTGTCATTTACAAAATAGAGATAGGAATGACTGTTTCCTATCAACTGCACACAAGTGTGTGAATCAATTAGAGATTGATTTCAGTTGGGAGTGGGAAAAACCTGTAAAGTTCTTAGCTCCTTTGAGATGTTCTGGATGACCTTTAAATCATTTTCTTACTTTTTATTGTATTGTAATTATCTTACCTTGGCAATTAGATACATTCTACAAATGCTTTGCTTACAAAAATATCTGCTTTTGAAATAATAAATTTTAGATTGAATTATGGAGACATAAAAAGTGTTTCTTTCTAAACACTGTAAATTATATTGGTATAACATATTTCTCCCCCAGAATAATAAATTCACTAGAAAGAAATGTCTAAAATTTGAATTTTATTTTATAAAAAAGAATTAAATAAATAAAATTATGTTAAGTCCCAGGGATGTTTTGCACAATGTTTATGTCAAAATTGTTCGGCTTTCCAATTAAGGCACCTGTGATATATAATTTTTACTAAAACTGTGCAAAGGGGAAAACAAGCTACTCTGCATTTAACTAATATACACAGCTTTTACTTTACATGTATTTTTAAAATGGTTAGAAACTAAAAATGTATTAATTTAGAATGTTTTGAGTACATAAAAATGCTAATTCTAGAATATCTCAAACAGTAAATGAAAACAAGAAATTTAAAAGTCTTTTTAAAATTTTGCATTTAAATAATCATTTACTCTCAAATTTTATGTTCAGGAGTATGTAACCTTAAGGCAATTAACGTATTGCCTTTGGGGACTGTATTAGTTTGTTCTCACACTGCTATAAAAACCTGCATGAGACTGGGTAGTTTATAAAGAAAAAAGGTTTAATTCACTCACAATTCCACAGGCTGTACAGGAGGCATGGCTGGGAAAGCCTGAGAAAACTTATAATCATGGCAGAAGGGCAAAGGGAAAGTAAGCATGTCTTCACATGTAGCAGGAGAGAGAGTGAAGGCAGAAGTGCTACACACTTTTAAACAACCAAATCTCATGAGAATTCACTCACTGTCATGGGAACAGCAAGGGGGATATCTGCCTGCCCCCCCCACTCCCTCATGAACCAATCACCTTCCACCAGGTCCCTCCCCCCAACACTGGGGATTACAATTCAACATGAGATTTGTGTGGGGACACAGAGCCAAACCAAACCATATCAGGAACTTTTTTATTATTCAAATTAGCAGTTAAAAAACAATTGATATACATACTAATTATTCACTTTATGATGACAGAAAATGTTTTTTATACTTCTTTCTACAAAAGAAAATTTAGATATCTTATATATACATATCATTGCAGTTCAAAATACATCAGTTTATTGATGAGATAAATTAATTCAATTTTACCTTGAAAAGAATAGGCATGACATTTAGAGAGACTTTTTGACATTTGTTTTATATCAACTTCTAACATTCAAAAAATAGTCTGTTTCTGAAACTCAAGTTTGAACTGAAAAGGCAGATTTCATTTCAGCCTCTTATGATAGCATATTTTAATCTGTGCATTGTATTTACAACAAAACAAAATAATGTTGAAAAACATTTATTTTCCCTTCATCTCACTTTCAAGTCTTCAAATCTTGATTATAGTTTAAAGAGTGAAAGATTCTTTTTATATATATATATATATATATATATATAAGATTTATATATATGTATAAGATTTGTATATATATATATCTATATAAGATTACTGTATTCCCTTAAGAGGAACGTTTCAACAAATTTTACAGGTGTCAATCAACCCTTGTTCAAATTGGGCACACATCAAATCTAGCATCATGGGTGTTTTATTTGGAAGTGAATTTTAACTATCAATACAGATGCCAAGATACTACACAAAACATCTACAGGAACTTTTTTCATCTTTTTTTTTTAATTGTACACAAACATTTCCTACATAATCCAACATACAACAGAGAAATGGTACATCTTTTTCTTTCAATTTGCATACAATGGAAAAACAAATATATGTATATTTTACAAAGTTTAACTAATAAGACACTAGAGCAAGTTCACAGTTTAAGTCTATAGGTGAGAAATTATCTAATAAAAATAATCAATTTTTTCAGCATTAGTCACTTCCATAACCAAGTGTTATTCTGACTAATAAAACTTGCTGCCAATCAGAATTCTGGTATATACTCATACCATTACTCAACTTGTAGTACTGCTCCCCACCTTAGTTCTTCACAGCTACTAACATAGAAAATTATTGAAAAGTAGGGGCAAGCATTTGCAAAAACAAACAAAAAATCCCCAGCTTATTATAAGCATGAATATGTATGATGGAATTTCTTCCCAGCAATAGACTTCCAAACTATCAAGAAATCACCAGAACTAAGTTTGCCAAGTTATTTTGCCTATGTCCAACAAGAGACACACTTACATGTCCAACAGAGGAGCTGAAAATTAAACTTAGTGTTTAGTTTGGGGGTGGGTTGGAAAATTCAGCCACCATTTTAAAATGACTGTCTTAAAAAAATGACCACCAAAAATAGGTTCACTAAATTTATTTTAAAAATCATAAAACGTTTCTTACAAAAGAGCATTACATTCTGCACACTGCTCTGAACAGATACCAGGGACATGTGGACTATTGTTACTTTTCCTCCCTGTCCCACCCCCAAGTGTTACAGTGACCACAAAGCAAGGTGTTCACAATAATTACATGGGGGGAATTTTTTTAAACCACCAACAATAACAAAAAATAAAATCCACTCACTCTGCTGCTGTTTCAAAATTTCAGTGTTAGTTTTTGCACACCCTTCCCTGGCCCAACCCTGTTTGTAAGGAACTAAAACATTACATCTGGTGAACAGCAAAGATTTCACTACACCTCAAATGCAGAACACCTGTGAAGCAGAGGCGTGTTGGCTTTTTAAACAGAAGCAGATAACAAAAAAAAAAAAGACGTAGTTCTTCACTAGTCTTAGAAAAACTTTCCAGAATACTGCGTCACACTATAAAAAAGAAAAAAATATCTTGCATTATACTCCTTCAACATCTGCACACTGCTTCACACTGTTCTGCAGCAAATACTGTGCATTCTGTATCTGGTCCTGTGTTTCTCTAATGGTAATGATCCAATCTTCCAATCCTTCTAAAGGCTCATCAATTTTGATCGAAGCTCCCGACTCATGACGGATTTGTTTAATCTGCAGACCACCTTTGCCAATAATAGATCCAGCCAAATCTTTGGGAATCGTTACTTGTGTAGTAATAATAAGTCCACCAAGATTACCATATGAGCCACGACCCCCTGCATAGGAATAATCATATCTGGAGCCACCCTGTGGTTCATAAGCCATCTGCCATTCTGATGGGCTCCATGTATCTATTGCAGAGTCCCAAGTTTCATCAGCACTGAAACCAACCATGCCATGGTAACAGTCTCCAGGTCTCCCTCTTCTGTCATAGGCCATGAGGTCTCCCCCTCTAGGTGGTGGTGGAGGAGGAAGAGGAAGATTCCGAGCTCTGCTACCACCCTCACCACCTTGTCCTGGAGGAGGTGGAGGTGGTCCTTGACGAGGGCTCATATCATCATAATCTCTTCTAGATGGAGGCATGGGACGCCCACCCTGACCAGGAGGCATTCTGTCAAAACCACCTCTTCCCCGCATGGGAAATCCCACTGGGCGTCCACAGCGGTCATCAAACATAATTGTAAAACCACCATAATCATAGGTTTCATCATAAAAATTGGGATCATAAGGCTGTGCACGTCCTTTGATGGGAGACTCATATATAAGATCAAGGATGATCTTTATGCACTCTACAACCCTATCGGGTTTTCCTCCAATAAGAACAACTCTTGTCAGTGGAATAAGGACAGCATTCCTGGAAAAGCTTGATGGTGGTTTGAGTGTTCTCTCGAAGTTCTTTGATTTTAGCACCTTCGACCCCAATAATTCCTCCTGCTAGACTCTGATGAATCAACAGCCTCAACTCGCAGTCAAAGTCACTTCCTTTATAGTGTTGGTAACTTAAGCATTCCACAGCAACAGATTCGAGCGGCAGCTGGCTGGTTGCAGTGGGTGATGGAAACTGCAGGCCCTCTTCCAAGGTAGGGATGATTTTCTTCAGAATTTCTCCAATTGTGTCAATACCAGCACTGATACTCAATATGTGCTCGGGGCCACTGCTGTCTGGGACTGAAACACTGGCATTGTAGTCTGTACGGAGAGCCTTGATATTCTTGCCTCCTTTTCCAATCACTGCCCCAGCATTCTTGGTCTGAAGCAGAATGCGTAATTCAACCATCTCATCAGTGTTTCTAGATCTTTTAAATGCTTGTTACTCTTCCATATCTTCTGCAGGGTGTTTACCAAATTCACCATTGGTTTCAGTGTTCGGGAAGGTTTCTTCCGGCTGTTCAGTTTACATATTCTTTTATTAAATGGGCACACCAATCAGTTATTATATATCCTTGCAGAGCAGAACTGAAGCGTTCTGGGTGGGACCAACAACTGACACCCCAGTGCTGCAGTAGCCTATAGTCAGTGAACAAGTGGGCCACAGGCAAGGCGTCGAGGTCGGTGCAGCAGAGAAACAGAGGATAATGGCGTCTGCCGAAAGATCCTTTTTATTTGTTTATTTGTTTTCAACTTACTCTTTAAATCTGAGGTGGTCTATACTTAAATTTCAGTATAAGGCTAACGTAGTAATGTAACTTAAAAGGCCATTTCATAAAGAAGAACATCAAAAAAGGTTTTGAGATTTACTTATTGTTAAAATACCTTCCTTGAAGGATTATTGTGATAACTAATTAAAATATCTTAAATAAGAAATATGACACTATATATGCTTCTTGACAAATTTTGACACTCACACATACCCACACTTGTGTTGAATATCTATACATGAAGAAACAGGTACAACTCAAGCTGAAGCAGTCTTTAGCAATTTATCTTTACCTTTTATTTTGAATTTTCTACCAGAAAAGGCAAAAATGAAAATTAAAGGTTATGTAACTTCAATTGTATCCAAAGGAAAAAAAAAGAAGCTGAGAAGTTGCAACACATGATTAAGATTAGCAGATTTTATCCATGTCAATAATTCTAAAATAATTAGCAGTAGAAATCTTTCTTATATAAGGTGAATTGAAAGACAATGCAAAGTATATAATTGATTTCTAAAAATGAGCAACAAAAGCCAAAAACACCTTCTTTCATACTTTTTTCCTACATAGATCCTTTGTGAAAAATATTCCAGTATATTGAAGAAGAAAATGAGAACATGGGTATAAGTGTTAGATTCAATTAGCCCTAGTATTGCCTGTTGCTAACTAACAATGATCCAATTAACTAATTTCTCTATTATTCTGTGGTTTTGATTGTTTTTCCTCTTGTTTTAACTATAAAACAGAGGAAATTAAACTTGTTCTTTCATTTCACTTTTTGGTAAAATTTTATCTTAATGTAAATTTTATGATTAATATTTTTATCAATGTAGCATACCTTTCTAATGAATTCATGATAAAAAACATTATTAGTATTTATAGATTAATATATTATGTATTATATGTTAATATATTATACACATTTGAAAATAATATGGTGAAAATATAATTAAAAGTTATATATTTCCATATTATATATTTATCTATATATCATATATTATTTAAATATAACTATATTATGATCATATATTAATTATATAGAACCTATTGTTTTAAGCAAATTTGTTATATAAATTATATACTTTATATCATTGATATTAATATATTAACTGACAAATCTTCAATATATTATTTAGTGATAGGCAAATATTACACATGAATTTTTTTGGAAATGCATCTATTATGAGATTAATTATATTATAAATATTAATAATATTTATAATGCCATTTAAAAATTTATAATTTTGTTTCACAATTAATTTGTGTATCCATGACAAATTTTCACTTAATGGTGCAATAAGATAGATTTAGTTAAAATTCTATTTCTGTAGTTCAGTTTTATAATACAAGCAACTAGAAAATATTGTTCAAATAAGTATATAGAAATGAAAGGAATTTCATTATAACAACATCATAAACTCTTTAAATTTCTTCCAAGATTTTAGCCAAAATCACAGATTAGTTTATCAATGAATATCATTTTTTTATATTTTTAATTGATATTCAATTTACAGGCTGTAAAATGTCACTGGTTTTGTGTTCAATTTTGTGAGTTTTCCAAAACATATAATGTCATGTAACTACGACCAGATCTATGACAGCTCCGTTGTCTCTGCCCTTCACTCTTTCTGTGGACGTTTGTAGGTAAAACCGCTGTTTAGTCACAGCCTCAGGCAAATAGTCATCTATTTTCTTAAAGTTTTTCCTTTTCCTAAATGTCATGGAAATGGATCATACTGTGTACAACCATTTTTAGTCTTTCTGTCATTTAGCATCATATATTTGTGGTTCAATTATGTTGTATATATCAGTAGTGTGTGGTTTTTATTGTTGAGTAATTCCATTTTATGATGTACCTTAATGGTTTATCCATTAAGCAGTTGTAGGGCATTTGGAGTGATTCCAGTTTTCCATAATTGCTATTAAAGCTGCTGTAAACATTACTATATAGGTTTTTGAATGGTCATAAATTTTCATATTACTTGGCTAATATTTAGAAGGTAAACTGTTGGTACACACGTTAAGTAGATGTTTACCTGTATAATCAACTGTCAAATTGTTTCCCAAAGTGACTGTATTATTTTGGATTTCCACTGTCAAGCTATAAGAATTCTAGTTGCTCTGCATCCATAACAGAATTTGAAAAAATTAATTGAAATTAATTGACTACATCTATGGATCAATTTCCAGACTTTTTATTTTGTTCTGTTGATATGTGTTTATTCTTTTGGCAATACATACTATATCTAGTAAACTATAGAGTTAGATTAACTCAAGAAATTGTGCAGTGTAAGGCTAACTTAGTTCTTTCTCAATTTATTTTGGATATTCTAGTTTCTTTCAAAGGAATTTGTTGATTTCTATAAAAACAATTTCAGCCTTCATTTTTACTGAGATTGTAAAATATTCATAATGCAGACTGGGGAGATTGCCACAATTGGGATTTCCAATATGTAAAATTAGTATGTATCTCTATTACTCTTTTGATTTCTTTCATCAATCTTTTATATCTTGATATACATAACTATTTCATATATTTGGTAATATGTAAGTTGTACTTAAAAATTTTAATTTTCAATTAACTTGTTAGTGTTTAAAAGTATAATTGATTTTTGCATATTGATTTTGCATGCTGTCATGTTGTGAAACCCTTACATTTACTTAATAATTCAAATAGCTTTTCTTTTGTAAATCCTGTGGAATTTTTTACATAAAAAATGTTAGCTGTGAAGAGACAATTTTAATTTTTCCCTTCCAGCACATACACCTTTTATCTATATTTTTTGTCTGATTGCACTAGCTAGGACCTCCAGTATGATATTGAATAGAAGTATTTACTTAGTAGTGAGAGTACATATTCTTACCTTGTTCCAAACTTTGGGAAAAACCAGTCTTAGTGATGTTAACTGTAGTTTATTTGTTTATTGCTTTTGATGCTGTTGACTAGATTGAAGATATTCCTCTCTATTCTCAGTTTGCTTTGACTTTTTATTATAAATGAATGTTGAGTCTTGTTAGGGGACTCTGCTACATCTATTATATGTGTTTTTATCTTTTGTCTGTTAATGGTGAATTCTGTTGTTTAATTTTCAAATATTGAACCAGCTTTGCCTTTCTGGGAGAAGCCAAGTTTGGTTACAATGTATCATATTATCCTTTTCACATGTAACTGAATTTTGTATTTTATGTATTGCTATATTTTATTTAAAATTTTTGTATACATGTCCATGAGGGACATCAGTCTGTAATTTTATTGTTAGATTTTGTCTAAATTTTGAATGAAGGAAGGAATAGTCTCCTAAAATAATTTAGAAAAGATTTTCTCCTTTTTCATTTTCTGGAAGAGTTTATATAGAATTGATACTTTTCCTTCTTTAAATTTTTGATAGAATTCAGCAGGAAGGGCATATAGCCTGGAGTTTCCTTAGTTTGAATACTTTTGAACAAAGATTTAATGTCTTTATTCATGTAGAACTATTCAGATTATTACTTTTTGAATGAGAATTGCTAGTTTTGAACTTCTTAGGAATTATATCATCTCCTTGAAATTTTCTAGTCAATAAGCATGAATTTGTTTATATTTTCTTATTGTCCTTTTTTTTTAGATGGGGTCTCACTCTGTTGCCCAGGCTGGAGCGTGGTGGAGCTATCATTGCTCACTGCAGCCTCGACCTCCCTGGGCTCAAGTGTTCCTCTCACTTCAGCTTCCTGAGCAGCTGGGACTGCATGCATGCACCACCACCCCCGGCTAAATTTGGGGGGATATTTTTTGATGATATGATATTTCACCATGTTGTTCAGGCTGTTCTTGAACTCCTCAGCTCAAGCAATCTACCCACCTTTGACCTCCCAAAATGTTGTTAGGATTACAGGCATGAGCCACCACACCCAGCTTTATTATCCTTTTAATATTGGTAAGATGTGTGGTAATTTATCTTCTTTTCTTCCTAGTATTTGTAGTTTTTGTCTTGTATTTTTTGTGGTGACTCTGGTGAGAATTTTTTCAATTTTAGTGATATTTTCAGAGAACCAGTTTTTGCTTTCTTTGATTTTTCTTCTTCTCCTTTTAGACTTTATTTTTAATATCACAGATAAATTGTTCTTTGATATTTCTTTTCTTGCCCTTTTTAGGGTTTTATTTGCTCTTCTTTTCTTCTAGATTATTTAACAAACTTAGATCATTTATGTGAGGACTGTCTTCTAAAAAAGCATTTAGTGCTATCATTTAACTGCACACTATAAATTTTAATATATTTTGCTTTCATTTTTATTCAATTAAAATATAATATGCCTGTCATATATTCTTTGACTGATTATTTACTTAGAAATATGTGTTGTTTAATTTAAATATATATATCTTTTAAATATCTTTCTATGAATAATTTCTAGTTTAAGTATGTTATAGTTAGAGGTTTAATGGCAAAGAGATCCAATCATTCTCAGATTCTTTAAATCTTCCCTTCTGAGGTAGTGACATGTTGGCCTATGCAACTAGGAATATTCATCTCTGAATCTAGACTTTACATTATCACAAGGAGACAAGGCCACATAGTACCACATAGGCACATACAATGTGCCCCATCTTCCTTTTGACTATGCCGGTAGACTCTCCTCAATGTTCTCCTTAGAACATTAAATTCTTTAATGACCTATAATGCAGGTCTGGTCTTTCAGAGGAAACATCAGATAAAGATAACTGATCAACATTGCTCTGAGTAGCAAGCATGCAGAAAAAGCGATAAGAAAAAAAAATGTCAACTATTAAGTGACTTTTTAAATGGAGAATACCACAATCTGAGATTTTCTGGGTGGGTTTAGGTTTTCCTATGATTAACCTCAGTGCATTACTTGCTTCAAATCCTCTGGCTTTACCCTGACCTATAGCTCAGGGGCTGGGTACTCAAGAGTTCTACATAAAGATCCCATTTCACCCTTAGCTTTAAGCTGTTCCTGTGAGCCTGATTTTTCAGAAAGATTTGCTCTTCTTCTCGTGTCTAACTCAGTGATAGGCTGCTGTGGTGTGTTTCCTAGAACTTGCTAGCTTTTTAAAAATAGGGTGGAGATAGCAGAGTGTTTTTTTGTTGTTTCATTCAGCCTAAATTTAATCAGGGCTTGTGTCTACCTATATTCAGGGTCTATGTCTCTGAATCTTGAAAATGGGACTTTCTAATTGATCTTGCTCCTATACAGTGATTGGGTACCTCCAATAATCTGGCCCCAAAAGTATTTCCTGTCTCTTTCCTGGGAATAGAAGTGTTTCATTGTATTTCCCCTTCTCTTTGTCCCAGTGGATTTTCTCCATCTGCCATTAGGGTGACAGAGTTTGCTACCTAGTAGTTTTAAGTCTTCTGTAGTGAAGACTACGGGTGGAGCTTGTTTGTTCTTTCTCCCAGGGCCTGATGCTTTCCTCTCCCAGGTCTGCAGCACGAGGGATTTTCTATCCCTCTGTCAGCCAGTGTTTCTTGTGAGCCAATCATGAGGTTTTTGGAGAAGAGTCTTCGAGTGAGTATAAATTTCCCTGTTGTCTGTGGCTCAGTTTTCTATACTCTCATCCTAGCCTGAAGCCAGCATTTAGTAATTTTCTTAACAATTTAACTGCATTGTTCTTACCATATTTTATGTGCACTTGGCATTCCTTTCTCCAATGCACTGCATTAGATGTGTAAGCGCTTGTATCCAATCTCTCCTTGACAGGATTTGTATTTCAATTTCAGGATACATTATTTCCTGTGACTTTAACTCTATAATGAGTTAAAGAAAAGTTATGATTTTGTTGAAAACTCAGCTCTGTGTGTGTATGTGTGTGTGTGTGTGTGTGTGTGGTTGGAGAAATCCTCTTGCCACCTCTCAAATATTACTTTTAATATCTATCAACTGACAATTATTCAAGTCTTCCCTTACAAACTTTTGAAAACAATGTCAGCCATCTGAATTGTGAAAATTATTTGTTAAATAAGGTATTTAATGTGCATATTATTACTTTTAATATATAACAAATATTTTGAAATATTCTTTTTGTGAACCATTTTATGATTTGTGGAAAGTGACAAATTCTACCTTTAGTTTCAAGATATGGAAAAAGACTATTGTAAAAGGGAAAGAGAATAGGGGAATGAGCAAGTAATAGGGATTTTTGTTTTTGTTTTTGTTTTGTTTTGTTTTGACAAGGTCTTACTCTGTTCCCCAGGTTGGAGTGCAATGGTGCAATCTTCAAAGTCCCTGGACTCAGGTGATCCTCCCACTTAATCTTCCCAAAAATACGTGGGACTACAGGCATGCTCCACCCTACTGAGCTAATTTTTCTTTTTTGGAAGAGACAGGGTTTCACCGTGTTGTCCAGGCTGGTCTTAAACTCCTGGATTCAGGCTATCTGCCTGCCTCTGCCTCCCAAAGTGCTGAAATTACAGGCATGAGCCACTGTGCCTGGCCAAGTATAGGTGTTTTAAGAAATCTCAGTCTTAGGGAATGTGACATTTGAAAGTTGTTCACAAGGAAATTGAAATATTTAAAATTAAATATTGCAACATGCAAGACACATTTTTTAAGAAATCTTTCTGTACCTCTGGAGATGAAATAACCTATTTTGGAGACTCACAAGTTAATTAATACCAAGATTAAGCTGAACACATGGCATATCAAGAATTTTCAATAAATATTTACTATTTTTATTATTAATAAAAACCAATACAATGGCAGATTAGAATGTCAAGGGTGGAGAATTTTAAAACAGTCATTGAAATAACAGAATTATGCAGCATAGCATATTGATGATATGGATTGATTCAGTTACACAGGTTAACACAACTACAGCATTAATTGTTCGAAATACTGTTTTTTTAACGTCTTTCCTAAACATGTGTAATAGGCTTGTGAGAGGTAAATCATACTTGATATTACCTGCAGGCATTTAATCCAAAGAGATTTAATGTTTTTCATCAAAGTAATGTTGATATGCCATGAGTATCAGGCAAGTAGAAGAATTAAATAATGTCTCCTTATGAAAATCAAGGACTCTAAATTATACATGTTCTAAAAACTGTTTCATTTTTTCATAAATAGTGGAAACATAGATACCCTCAAAGTGTTAAAATATTAAAAATTTATTTTTATTCATGCATGTGTTCCAACAATTACTTAACTGAATTCTTGAGATAAAACTCACAAAAGATGAAAAAGATGACCTTGATGTAGATGCTGTTATGAACAACCACGAAACAATTTTCTACCTTTATATGATTCTTACAACTGAATCAAATCTGAGGAGTTATCTGTCCCAGAGCATGTTCATGATTAAGTTAACTGCAAAATGTACACCCAAATCAAATAATAATATATGAGTGATAGAATTTTAAAATACTATCTATCTAAATATGCCTATACCTTTCAAAGACAGTGATTTTAGTGTGGCATAATACATTTATGATCTAGCTAACTTGTTTAATGAGATAATTTCCGGAATAGTTGATTAGGGATGCACCACTGGCATTTAAAAGGCTGCTTATCTTTCCCAAACATTTAATTACAATGACCCAGTGGCATTTCCATAAATACCTACAAGAACATCAACTGTATGATGTTCTAAACTATCAATTCATATACCTCCTCCTTCTCACATTATAATCAAAGTTTATGGCAACCAGGTTCATCTTTCTTGGTAATTTCTCTTCTTCAGCATTGCAGTATACTTATCCAAAGGGCATTAACTTCTATTAATTTTTACCACCTAGATTAATTTCAAATGTATTTGTTATTTTTTATTAAATGAGCTCTGAATTAAATTAGATCTGTAATCATCTTAATTGGAATACTGAAACAAACATGTTTGCTTCATGGTCTTCCTACATCAGAATTCAGCAAGCCCAACAAAGGTGATTACATTATTGTGCCTTTAAGTGGTGTGACAGGAATGTTACTGTATTAGTTAGTTCTCATACTGCTATAAAAATACTACCTGAGACTTGATAACTTATAAATAAAAGAGGTTTCATTGACTCACAATTCTGCCTGGCTGGGGAGGCCTTAGAAAATTTACAATCATAGCGGAAGGGAGAGGGGAAGCAAAGCATGTCTTACACAGTGGCAGGTGAGGGAGAGAGAGAGCACATGAGGAAGTGCTGCACTTTAAAACCATCAGCTCTCCTGAGAACTCACTATCACAAGAACAGCATGGGGAAAACCACCCCCATGATCCAATCACTTCCCACTGGGTCCCTCCCTCAACCCGTGATTGCAATTTGAGATGAGAATTGGGTGGGGACACAGGTTCTTGGGCTTTCAATGCAATAGAAATTGACTCAAGACCAAAAGAGTTTTCCCAGACAAAGCTTTATTGGAGCTTATGTCCAAACATAAAGAAGGCAGTACATGAGACAATTCTCTGACTGGCTACCTAAAGAGAAGAGAGTAATTTTAAAGAGGCTAAAGCAGGCAATTTTACAGTCTGGTAACATACTTCTTCATGCATAGCATAACTCATTAGTATGTTAAGTCTGCACCCCTGGGTGTGATTTTTAGTATTATAATGAACAACAGGGAAATACCAATCATTCTTCTGGTCTTGGGTGCATATGGCAGATAGAGTTATCCCCCTTGGGTAAAATTTGTGATAGGACTCTGCCTTTTACTCCCTTGAGTAAGATTTATGATGGAAGCTGCCAATTTTGGTCTCTTCAAGGTCCTACAATCAATGGGTAAGGAGCCTTAAGATTTATGATGCAGGGTCTGAATGATCTGGTTGGGGTGCCTGCTGCCCATGCCCCACCCGACCATCAGCTTGCATTAGAAGTCTTCAGTAAGGCAAAAGGTTGGGGAATGAGTCCCATGCCTCATCTGTCTCATTTCCCCCTGAGAGATTTTATGTTCCTTATTCTTAAGGAAAAGAATCAGAGGTTTCATTTTCTGGAGTTGTTTCTTGGTGAGCCAAGCTATCGACCCTGACTAAATTTGAAAGTTCTGCAAATGCCTTACTGACTGATCTATTGATTTATAGTGACTAGACTCCCCTTGGGATGGTATGAGTTGAAATGCTTGTGACTTCATCAGCTATATGTGGAACCATTGGAGCTTGGAAGATATAAACTTTACCAAAAGGTAAAAAGACAGGAGCCAAAAAAAATAATAATAAAATGATTATCACTGGTCCCAGAAAAGGCAGGAACCACTAATGCTTGGTAGATTTTTTAATAGAGTCCCAGATGGTTTTAGCAGAGGGGTTATTAAAATTATATAGCTGTATTAGTCCATTTTCTTACCACAGATAAAGACATACCCAAGATTGGGTAATTTATGAACAAAAAGAGGTTTAATGGACTCACAGTTCCAGATGGCTGGGGAGGCCTCACAGTCATGGTGGTAGGTGAAAGCCATGTCTCATACAGTGCCAGACAAGAGACAATGAGAACCAAGTGAAAAGTGTTTCTCCTTATAAAACCATCAGCTCTCGTAAGACTTATTCACTACCAGGAGAACAGTAGGGAGAAAACTGCCCCCATGATTCAATTACCTCCCACTGGGTTGGGTCTCTTCCACTACATGTGGGAATTACGGGAGCTGATATTCAAGATGAGATTTGGATAGGGACACAGCCAAACCATGTTATTCCACCTCTGGCCCCTCCCAGATCTCATGTCCTCACATTTCAAAACCAATCATGCCTTCCCAACAGTCCTCCAAAGTCTTAACTCATTTCAGCATTAACTCAAAAGTCCACAGTCCAAAGTTTCATCTGAGACAAGGCAAGTCCCTTCTACCTATGAGCCTGTAAAGTCAAAAACAAGTTAGTTACTTCCTAGACACAATGGAGATACAGGCATTTGGTAAATACAGCCATTCTGAATGGGAGAAATTTGCCAAAACAAAGGGGCTACAGGCCCCATGCAAATCCAAAATCCAGCAGGCAGTCAAATCTTAAAGCTCCAAAATGATCTCCTTTGACTACATGTCTCATATCCAGTTCACGCTGATGCAAGAGGTAGGTTCCCATGGTCTTAGGCAGCTCCGCCCCTGTGGCTTGCAGGGTACAGCCCCATGTTGGCTGCTTTCTTGCACTGGCATTGAGTGTCTGTGGCTTTTCCAGGTGCACAGTGCAACCTGTAGGTGGATCTACCATTCTGGGATCTGGAGGATGGTGGCCCTCTTCTGACAGCTCCACTAGGCAGTGCCCCAGCTGGGACTCTGTATGGAGGCTCCAACCCCACATTTCCCCTCTGCACTGGCCTGTCAGAGGTTCTCCATTAGGGTCCTGTCTCTGCAGCAAACTTCTTCCTGGACATCCAGGCATTTCCACACATCCTCTGAAATCTAAGTGGATGATCCCAAACCTCAGTTCTTGACTTCTATGCACTCACAGGCTCAACACCATGTGGAAGCTTTCAAGGCTTGGGGCTTGCACCCTCTGAAGCCACAGACCGAGCTGTACCTTGGCCCCTTTTAGCCATGGCTAGAGTGGCTAGGATGCAGGGCACCAAGTCCCTAGGCTGCACATAGCAGTGAGGCCCTGGACCTGGCCCAAGAAACCATTTTTTCTCCTTGGTCTCTTAGCCTGTGATGGGAGGAGCTGCCAAAAAGCTCTCTGACATGTCCTGGGGACATTTTTTTCCCATTGTCTTGGTGATTAACTTTTGGCTCCTCATTACTTTGCTCGTTTCTGTTGCCGGCTTCAGTTTCTCCCCAGAAAATGGGTTTTTCTTTTCAATGGCATCATCAGGTTACAAATTTTCCAAACCTTTATGCTGTTTGCGTTTTAAAACTGAATGCTTTTAACAGCACCAAAGACACCTCTTGAATGTTTTGCTGCTTAGAAATTTAGAAATTTAGTAATTTCTTCTGCCAGATAACCAGATAAATCATCTCCCTCAAGTCAAAGTTCTACAAATTTCTAGAGCAGGGGCAAAATGCCACCAGTCGCTTTGCTAAAACATAACAAGAGTCAACTTTATTCTCGTTCCCAACAAGTTCCTCATCTCCATCTGAGACTACTTTGGACGTGTTTTCATTGTCCATACTGTTATCAGTGTTTTGGTCAAAGGCATTCAACAAGTCTCTAGGAAATTCCAAACTGTCCCTCATTTTTCTGTTTTCTTCTGAGCCCTCCAAACTGCTCTAATCTCTGCCTTTTACCCAGTTCCAAAGCCACTTCCACATTTTCAGGTATCTTAACAGCAGTGCTCTACTCTATTGGTACCAATTTACTGTATTAGTTCATTTTCACATGCTGATAAAGACATACACAAGACTGGGTAATTTATAAACAAAAAAGTTTAATGGACTCACAGTTCCACGTGGCTGGGGAGGCCTCAAAATCATGGTGGAAGGTAAAGGCATGCCTTCCGTGGTGACAGACCAGAAAGAAGGAGAACCAAGGGAAAGAGGTTTCCCCTTATAAAACCTTCAGATCTCCTGAGACTTATTCACTACCAAGAGAACAGTAGGGAAGGAACTGTTCCCATGATTCAGTTGTCTCCCACTGGGTCCTTCCCACACATGTAGGAATTATGGAAGCTACCATTCAAGATGAGATTTGGGTGGAGACACAGCCAACCCATAACAATAGCCATGTAGCCTGTTGGAGGATGAGTCCTGTCCTTTGTTCTATTTCTCCAGTAACATTAATGTAGAAATAATAGGATATATTTGTAATAGCACATAATTCTCTTTTTTTAGTCAGTAAGTAATCAAAGGTTAATTGATGGTCTAGGATCATTGAAGCCAGGGAGTCTAACAACTTTTGTATGAGCTTAACATTCTGTCCCATTCCAGCTGCCACTGTGGATATAATGACTGTAACATTTTGTGTGACGGTATTGTTGTAAACTATTTCCCTGGCTAGTCCTATCAAGGAATCAATTAAGGTTACTATTTCATTAATTAGAATACCAACTGCTTGCTTTGACTTTCTTGTTGGCCGATACGTACTATCAAGGCTATTGGAGAATACTTTGATTTTTTGGTGGGGTGGTGCAATATATATCACAGCCCAATCACTGCCAGTATTGTTGGGATCAAGGCATTAAACTGCTATCATTTTCCCTTCTAACAGTCAAGGAAGGAAAGGGATTACAGCCTTGCTGAGCAGCATGGTCTATTTCCCTATACCCAACAAGGACAAAGGAAATTTTTGTCCAGGGGAGTGGGCTAAGAAAAGTCACAAAATATCCGCAAGGCAATCAATATCATCAGGAAAATCATCAGACTTAGAGACAGGTAATATATTTGTCTGTAAACTGGCCTTCTTGAACAGGTACTTGAGGTCCTCCATGGGCTCACCTCTATTATAAGAAATAAGCTTCAGCCATTAGTGTTATTTTGGTCTGCAGAAAAACTTGGAAATGTAAGTTAGGAGACTGGTAGCCCAGAAATAACTTGAGATGTAGTCTAAATTATAGAAAAAATTCAAAAAACTCAAAAACAATGGAAAAGGCTGAAATCTAAGAACAGTTTTATTATAGTGTTTTTTGAAACATTATTTTTCTCTCTCCAGTTTCCCATTTTTAGACAAAACTAATAGGACCAATTTGTTTGCAAAATAAGTTTTAATGTTATTATAGTGGCCTTGCTTCTTTGCATAAAGTGTACCAAGAAAAAATATTTGACATATAGATTTATAGTCATTCTGTTTTGTTTTGTTTTGTTTGTTTTTTTTTTCAACTTCACTTTGCTGAAACTCATTTTCATAAGGGATCTCAGATTAGATGTTTTCAAGCCTTGAGCCAAGCCACAGATTTATCTGTGCCTGCAAATACCTGTATGAATTGGGTGAATGCCTGTCCTGTTGAGATCCCAATATAACTTGGGGTTTCTAGACCTGTTAGAAAGTGCCATTCTTTACTTACCACAGGTGGGAAATCCTGTACAAGGACTATATACTCAAGGTATGAGGCCAGTTTTTCCAAAGGGTTTTTATCAGGTCTATAAGTCATCTTCAATTTATAAAGCATGCCATTGCAGTTAAAGCTTTGGTAAAAACACAAGTCTCTAAATGTGTCTTGTTAGAAAAGAAAATTGATTCTTATTTCACTTATGCTAAAAACTGTATTGACATAAGTTAAGAATACACAAAAATAGTTTTTATATTCTGGAGAAATTTGGTAGAGATAAAGAAGTATGTTCTAAATTTTGCTTCTAGGAGTATATTTTCCTCTATTGTTGAAAGCTGTAAAAAAAAACTAAAAAAAAAGTGTTTTGGCTCTGAAAAACAAAACAAAAAAAGCAATAGCAATTAGAGAAAACACAGTCATAAGAAGTTTTTTTTAAAACTTCTATTAGTTTAGTTCATGCAGGTAACTCTTGTTTTAATCAATATTTAGAAACATATTAGTGCTTCAAGAGGGACTTTGAAGTTTTTTGCTCTATCCTAATGGCCCAATCTCTAGTTATTAGAAACCTGCATTCAAGAGCAACTGTCAGAGACCTACAGCTGATTATAAAACCACTTTCTGAGAAGGATCAAAAAGTAAAACAACAATTGCAGATGACAAAAATTTCAGAACAACCATGGTTAATGACACAACTGAAAATAAAATTTGGTTATTTTATGATATACAACAATTTAACGTAAACATAAATATTACTGAAAATATTATAATTGAGACATATCCAAAATAACGGAGTCCTGTGGAATTCTGGAACACATATTAATAATACTTTTATTCAAACATTCCTCCATCAAAGCCAAACATTTATTTTACACTTGACAATGTTTCTTGTATAATTTTAATATGTTATATAAGCCAAATGTCTCTTTTTGACTTGATTTTAGAAATTTTGTCAAATATCAAAGGTTTAAAACACTCAACATCACAAAATAGGATCTCAGGTTATTTATTTAGCCAAAGTGCTAACTCAAACATTTCAAAAAAGTGAAATCCTTTAGTTATTTATACAAGGGTGACTCAGCTTTCCAAATAACAAGACCTAATAAAGACAGAAAAAAATAACCTAAAAAATCCCCTTCAAATTTTGGCTAGCTTTCTTCCACACCTAACTTTCCTTATAAGATTAAACTTTTATACATCTTTTATAACCTGCTAAAACTTTAGTTCTGTAGTATTATTCTTTGAATTTAGGATGATCTGTATAAGCCTCTAAATTCAAGAAAATTATTTTTCCTATAACAAAAGCCATATTTCAATACCTTTTTGTGACCTTTTATTAAAAAAACACTTTTTACTTTACATACTTTACATGTAAAACTGTTTTTCCAGTAGTCTCACTTAGAAATGTTACAATATTATCTCTTAACAACTTTTAATTTTAGTGAAAAACTTGGTTAGTAAAAATTTTAACCATGTATCAGATTGCAGAGCCCAGAACAAGGACAGAGCTGCAGACAGTATCTGAGTCTTCCCAGCCTAGCCAGGGCACATAGCTAACTTCACATGTCTCCAGGCCTTACCTAGATTCTAATAGCTGTAAAACAGACAAGTGAAACAATTATCAAAAATGTCATAGAATCAGTTTATGACCTTAAAGCACCTTGTGAACGAAGTTTCTGACCTGCTTAATTTAGACCAAGGCTAAATAGTGAAGAAGTTTTAAATTTTATTTTACCAAAAATCTTTAAAATTGTCTGTATTTATCAACAATTGTTGAAGTCATATGAAACGAAAGAGCAATGGATTTAAGTTGCGAGTACTCATTTACTTATAAGCCAATTTGGTATTCTGCTAGACAAAACATATATCATAATATATGTACATAAACACATCTAAACATGTGGACATACACATAAACAAAGATTCAATAGCTTTTACCTTGGAATTCTAGTCATTTTATAAAAGACAGCAATATGAACTCACCATTTTATAAAATATAGCTGGATTCAAATTATTTTTCTAACAAAATTGTAACCTGTTCATATGGCTAAACTTTTCCTGTCCTGATAAGTAATCTAAGGAAAGCTGTGTACCAAATTTGGATAAAGTAGCCTGTATGGTAGTTTAGTTTTAAAACTCTCTTTTACCTCTTTTTTTCTTTAGTTTTAAACAAGTTTTTTAAAAGTTTACATTTCAGTTAAACCATAAACATTGAGTCTTATCTCATCACCAGCAGCTTAACAATAGCAGATGCAAAGCAGGCAGAAAAGAAATAGGGGGAGATAGAGAATGTTAGACGACTTGACTTAAATCTGTAGTTACAGATTATTAGCATTCTGAACTTTTTTTATTGTGCAGAAAACCAATAATTACTGTCACACTCAGATGTGCCTGGTGCCTTCCTGAAGGCCAGAAGTGTGGCAAAGAGAAGCAAAGCATTAATGATGAGTTTTACACAAAGATACAAAATCAAAATCTAGGTACATAAGGAGAGAAAAAAAAAGGGAGAGAGAGATATATATTTCCTGGGACTCAAACCCAAATCAACTAATGTGAAGGATGAAGTGAAACCCATCTCACTGACAACTGGGTTGATTATACTCAGATCAGCTGTTTCAATCTGTCCTTTATAAATATATATTCAAGTGTCCCAGACTGGTAAAACTGAGTTGACTGTTTCAACTTGTCTCATATGGATGTCCATTTAGATCCAACTTTCTGTGTTAAGAAGTGAGGAAGAGAGGAGGGGCACCCTGAGTGGCAGAAAAGATAGGAAAGGGAAAAGAGAGTAAAGAGAGAGGAAGGGAAGGGAAAAGAGCATGGCTCAGTGGAGGTGGCAAGGAGCTCTGGAGGTTGAAGAAAGACTCACCAGCTGTGGTGACACTGAATCAAAGATTCAGGGGGCGTCTCACTAGCTGTGTAGTGATCTTGTCCAGCAGTCCTTTTAGCCCACGAATCTCCCCCATCATGGGAGAAAGGGCGCTCCGTGTCCCATGATCTCATATGAGCCCCCAATTAATATATTACCAAACACAGATTCTTGTGCTATCAATGCAATAGAAATTGACAGAAGGCCAAAGGAGTTTTCCCAGCAAAACTTTATTTGATTCTATGCCCAGGCATAAGAGAGAGAAAATTCTCTGCCTGCCTCTCTGAAGAGAGTCAGGAGAGTAATTTTAAAGGAGCTAAAATGGGAAGGAAGTGACATGTAAGCATTTAGAGGTGGGGAACGTCTGGTATCTGGGCAGTCTGATAACATGCTTCTTCATGTATTGCATGTCTCATTAGCATGTTAAATCTCCACCCCTGGCTGTGATTTTTGATATTACAGTGAGGCAAAGGGCAAAGACTGATCATTATTTTGATCTTCTGAGCGTATGGGTAATATGGTTATCTTCAGCGGGTAAAACTTATAGTGGGTCTCCACGTTTTAATTCCCTTTAGTAAGATTTATGGCAAAAGCTGCTAATTTTAGTCTCCTCATGGTGACACAGTTGGTCAGTTAGGTACCTTGAGTAAGGTTTATGGTGCAAGGTCTGGACAGTCCGGTGGGGTCCCTGCTGGCCATGCCTGCTCCACCAAATTAGCTTGCAGTAGACGTCCTTGGTGGGGTATAGGGAGGGGCTGAGTTCTGTCTTTACTCTGTCTCAGAAAGAGAAAGAAAATCCCACTATAAGAGTAGTCTTTTAAGCCATTCTGACGTACATAGGCAAATTTAATTCCTACATTTTCTATTTTCTATTATATAATATTTGGTATTCATTTCTATTTTAACAGTTTGTAGTTTTATATTTAGACTCCGAAGTCCTGAGAAATACATTTTCTTGTTTTCATTTTCATTTTGGAACAAAGTAGCTAGTACAAAGTAAACATTCCATAATTTTAGTTGAATTAATGAAATAATGAAATCATAGAATTTTAGACTTAGAAAGAACCAAACATGTTTGACACTAATGTGAGTCTCATATTCTTTTTTTTTTTTTTTTCTTTTGAGATGGAGTCTCGCTTTGTCACCCAGGCTGGAGTGCAGTGGCGTGATCTCAGCTCACTGCAATATCCACCTCCCAGGTTCAAGTGATTCTCCTGCCTAAACCTCCGAAGTAGCTGGAATTACAGGTGCCCACCACCACGCCTGGCTAATTTTTGTATTTTTAGTAGAGACGGGGCTTCACCATGTTTGCCAGGCTGGTCTGGAACTCCTGACATCAAGTTATCAGCCCACTTTGGCCTCCCAAAGTGCTAGGATTACAAGCGTGAGCCACCGCACCCGGCCTCACATTCTTTGAGTTCAATCTTACTATTGTTAGGGGTGGCAAATATCTGAGCCTCACAGCACCACATATGTTACCAGTGGCAGGTATCCGAGTTACCAGTGGCCAATTGTATGGGTCTGCAGCAAACTCAATTCTTGCCTTCTCAGAAGAAAGAATTCGACTGAGAGGCATAAGGCAGAAAAAGAGAACAAGGCAAGTTTCAGAGCTGGAGTGGAAGTGTATTTAAAAAGGCTGTATAACAGGAAAAAAAGGAAAGTACACTTGGAAGAAACCCAAGTGGGCACGTGAAGGTCAAGTGTGGTGTTTAACCTTGATCCTAGGGCTTTACAGGCTGGTCCCTTTCCCATGATTATTCCCTTAGAGTGGGCTCCCCACATGGGCAGTGCCCTCCTTAACCTTGGGATGTGAGCATGTGCAGTGTGTTTAGGAAGTTTTACACATGTCCACCTGAGGCTTTCTTCCCTTTTCCACTCGTGTCTCCAGAAGGTCATACTCCACCATTTTGTCTCTTAATGTGTATGCCCAAGAAGTTACTTCTCCTTGGCACCTGCATTTAATTAACACTTTTGTGCAACAAGTATGGACCATCAGGAAATGGCCTCTCCCTGGTGCCAGCTGCCAATTTATCAGTTTTAGAGAGGCAATGTGAAAATTGCCAAACCGTCACCCTACATTTCTATCTGGTGAGGGAGAGCCCTCTCCTGGCCTACTTATGCCTAACTACCTATAACAATATAATATTCAACTATTCATAACTACCTGGTATTGGTGTAATGTGTAATGATAGACAAACAGATTTAAAAAAAGAGAATTGGTGTAAAAAATTAAACATACACAACTGAGTTTTGATAAAATACCCAGGACAAAGGCTAGTCTTTTCAACAGATGTTGCAAGAACAATAGCTACCAATATGGAAAAAAATTAAATGTTGACCTTAACCTCACTATAAACACAAAAATTAACTTGGAATTGAGCATCACTATTAACATAAAGGCTAAAATTTAAAAACTTCTGGAAAATATCACATTTCTACAAGAAGCAGGACACACCATGACCCATTTACAAGGAATTGAGGGTAAGTGAGCAAAGGAAATACGCAGACTGCTGGGGGTGATGGAAGTGTCTGTGTGGTACAATATGAAATATAAAATGTATTTGGTCTTCGTCCTAGGTTTCTGTCACAGAGCTCCTAAAACCCCCTAGTGATAGGAATGTCTTTTGTTATTCATGAGTCCCTTTATAACACCTGAGCTTATGCTAATGAGATGACTTGGGGCAGGGCCTCTAGGTAGCCTCAGGTTGTGGCCATTCACCAGAAAGAACAAATTATTAGAGAATTGGAGGGTTGGAACTTTTAGCTCCACCTGCCATCATATAGGAAAGGGTAGGGGTGAAAATTAAGTTCTTTGAAAACCCTTGAACAACAAGATTTGATGAACTCTCAGGTTGCTGAACACAGGAAGGTGCTGGAGGGGTGGTGCCAACAAGAAGGACATGGAAGCTCTGGGATGGTCTCCCCCTTCCCCACCATACTTTCCCATGTTCATCTCTTTATCTGGTTCTTTGTCTACATCCTTTATACAGTCCATTAAGTTAATCCAGTAAATGTATGTGGAGTGTTCCCCTGAATTTTGGGAACAGCTTTAGCAAATTATTGAATCCTGGAAGGGAATTTGTGGGAGCTCAAATTTATAGTTGGACTGTCAGAAGCAGAGATCACAACCTGGCACTTGAAATTGGCATCTGAAATTGGTGGGGGAAGCTATGGGACTGAGCTTTTAACCTGTGGGATCTGACAATATCTTCAGGTAGACAGTATCAGAAATGAATTGAATTATAGGACACTCAATTGTTATCTGCTAGAGAATTATTTGGTGTGTGGAGAGAAGTCCCCACACATCTGATCATAGAATTGTTCTTTGGTAAGCATGAGAGTAGAGAAAAAAATCAATATGCTCTCTTCCCTTTACAGTCTGTCCTTTCAATACTGGTGGTTTCATGGCGTCACACATTTATGAAAACTTATTCAAGTATACACTTAAAATGGATGCATTTCATGATATTTAAATTAAGCTTCAATAAAGTTGATTTTCTTATATCCATTGAACATGTATAGCTTTTTTACATAGCCAATACATTTGTAAGAGGAACATTTTATAATGAGATAACCCCGCAACTACGCACACTTAAATACACACACCTGAATAACAAAAAATTTTAAAAGTAGGGTCATACAACTGACAATACCAACTGTAGGGTAAGATTCATAATAAGTAGACCTCTCATACTTTACTGATTAAAGTCTGAAATGTAAAAAAATGGTTTGGCAGTTTAATAAAAATTAAATATGTATTTACTCTCTGGACCCAGCAATTCAAAAATTTAATCATCTTGTAGGTATATAGCTAATATACACTCACAGATATACATACCCATACATCACCCTTGATCTTCATTATTTGTGGATTTCCTATTGGCAAATTTGCCTACTCACTAAAATGTATTTGTAACCCTAAAATCAATACTTGTAGTACTTTCATGGCCATTCATGGACATGTACAGAGCAGTGAAATTTTGAGCAGCTTAACATGCATTTTTCCAGTTGAGGATGAATAAGGCAGTGATTTGCCTTCTGATTTCAGCTCTCATACTGCAAACAAGTGTATTTTTCAGGGTTCATTTAGTGCCACATTTTTTGTATTGTTATTCTTTTTGTTGATGATTTCACTCTTTAAAATGGTTCTCAAATGTAGTGCTGAATTGCTGTCTAGCATTCCTAAATGCAAGAAGACACTGATGTGCCTGATGGAGAAAATGCATGTATGTATTAGCTTAGCTTCCTTCAGGCTTGACTTATTGCACCATTGACTGTGAGTCCGATGTTACTGAATCAACAATACATATTAAATAAGGTGTCCTTAAACAATAACATACATAAAACAAGATAATATACTGATTCTTAATGAAAATGTGACCAAAGCCTCAAGGGGACCTAACCATGTATTTCTCCAAGAGTAATGTTTAGTATTCGCTAATTCAAGGCTCGTGGTGACTTTATAGAACATAACTACCATGAATAACAAGACTGTATATATATATGACCATAGATATAAAGCTCTCTCTCTTTCTGTATATATATATATGTATATCCTTCACAGAAATATTTGAACACAGATATTTATGGCACCTTTATTCATAATAGTTACTGTAAACAATCTGCATTTCACTAAAGATGTGAATGAAAGACAAATTGTATTATACCTATACAATGCAACACACTATTGATGCACACAACAACTGGCTGAAACTCTAAAAGATTATGCTTCATGAAAAAAATTCATAAAAGAATATATTCTGTTTTACTTACTTATATAATACTATAGTATATACAAACCGAACCATATTGATAGAAAACAAATTAATAACAGCCTGGGTGAAGGGTAGGAGAGGATCGATAGGATGGATTGTCAAAGGTCACTGGGAAACTTTATGGGATGGTGAAAATATTCTATATCATGACTATTGTAGTGATTTCAAAAGGTAAATTTTCATCAAAATTAATTCACCTCTGTAGTCCAAATGAGTATGTTTATTGTATATAAATTATAACTCAATAGTTGATTTAAAATTTTTAAATATATTATGAAAACACATTGGAAGAAATATGATGACCAGAGAGGAGAAATCTTTAATAATATAGATGAAAGTACATGTGAAATTAAATAAGAGCAGCAAGTGTAAAGATAACAGAGGATGAAATTTTATAAAAATCCATTCTACATGTTTCTGAATAAATACAACTCAAGTAACAGAGGGGCCTTTCTGGGGGGAGTTGGATCACGAATGATACTAAATTTTTCAGCATATTGAATTGAAAGTTTTAGGGAGCATACAGCACGTGCACATGTATGCATGCACAGGCATACAGACACACACACACAGACACAGACACACACACACACACACACACACACACACCCCTTTGCATACTATTGGGGGAAATTCAGCCAGATATCTGGCGAAATTCACCCCCGATATTTCATGTAGATTCTTTTCTATTTTCTCTAAGTGTTGGCCGGTCTGAAAACTAAAGGGACAGAGTACAAAAGAGAGAAATTTTAAAGCTGGCTGTCCGGGGGAGACATCACATGTCAGCAGTTTCCGTGATGCCCCCGGAGCTGCAAAATCAGCAAGTTTTTATTAGTGATTTTCAAAAGGGGAGGGAGTATATGAATAGGCTGTGGGTCACAGAGATCACTTGCTTCACAAGGTAATAGAATATCACAAGGCAAATGAAAGGCAGGGCAAGATCACAGGACCACAGGCCCGGGGTGAAATTAAAATTGCTAATGAAGTTTTGGGCACGTGTTGTCATTGATAACATCTTATCAGGAGACAGGGTTTGAGAGCAGACAACCAGTCTGACCAAAAATTTATTAGGCGGGAATTTCCTCGTCCTAATAAGCCTGGGAGCGCTATGGGAGACTGGGGCTTATTTCATCCCTACAGCTGGACCATAAAACACGGCCGCCCACCTGAAGCGGCCATTTCAGAGGCCTACCCTCAGGGACGCATTCTCTTTCTCAGGGATGTTCCTTGCTGAGAAAAAGAATTCAGTGATATTTCTCCCATTTGCTTTTGAAAGAAGAGAAATATGGCTCTGTTCCACCCGGCTCACCGGCAGTCAGAGTTTAAGGTTATCTCTCTTGTTCCCTGAACATTGCTGTTATCCTGTTCTTTTTTTGAGGTGCCCAGATTTTATATTGTTTAAACACACATGCTCTACAAACAATTTGTGCAGTTAACGCAATCATCACAGGGTCCTGAGGTGACATACATCCTCCTCAGTTTACGAAGATGATGGGATTAAGAGATTAAAGTAAAGACAGGCATAGGAAATCACAAGGGTATTGATTGGGGAAGTGATAAGTGTCCATGAAATCTTCACAATTTATGTTCAGAGATTGCAGTAAAGACAGTCGTAAGAAATTATAAAAGTATTAATTTGGGGAACTAATAAATGTCCATGAAATTTTCACAATCCACATTCTTCTGCCATGGCTTCAGCCGGTCCCTCCATTTGGGGTTCCGGACTTCCCGCAACAGTATGCCCTAGTACTTAACAGAGGGCTTAACATATAGTCCGTACTTTGTGTCTGTTGACATAAATTTTCTTGAACAAACTTCAGCCACTGCCAGCAAGAATTTGTGAAAAGCCTTTCATTCTATAATAAACAGAAAAACTTATATTCAGCTGAGTTTCTTAAAGGGTTTTCTGCACAGGTTTGGAGTCCACTTCTTTTGCTATAGTCCTGATATTCTTGAGATGCTTTAAGGATTAAAAGTCACAAACATTATAGACCAAATTGATGGTTCAAGTTCCCTTGGAAACATTTTAGCCTTTGATCTATTAGCATACAGTTTCCACATGAAAGTAATTGCAAAGGCCTTTGTTAAGTACAGTTCATAAATCAGTAATCTGTCAGTTATTTACTAATTCTACTATTAGGTTTAGCATTCTCTCCCAAATTAACTGTGGCTACCTTTAAGTCCTTTGGTACAATAAACTTGATTTCAATAGAAACACTTTAGGTCTGATATTTACTGCTTTGTCTGCCCAAAATATCTTAATGAGAGGTGTTTGAGAAAGGTTTGAAGCCTTATCTCCTGCAAAGGCTATTTTTCAGAGCTACATTAAATTGCTCTCTACCTTTATCTCTTTTGAAGGGATTTGCTAAAACCTGTATTCAACATGCAACCAAATCAATATTCACACTTTTCCCAACCAGTTCAACTATTATTACAGTGTCTGTTGACATGAAGTCAACTATCACAGGTTACAGTTTGAAAATGTTTTGTAATAGCATATCCAAGTTTAGCAAAGGTTAGGGTCCAGTGCTGAAAGCAGAAACTATTCTTGATATTAGTGACAGAAAGTGACTTAGTACAAAGGATTAGGTGCTTACAAAATTGTTGGAATTTCCAGAGGTCACTCAATAAGAAGGGGAAGGTGAAGAGTGAGTGAGTTTATGTAGACAGTGTCCCGTTTTACATGTTCACAGCTATGCCCATTTACCGTCCCTCAAATTGTCCTCTCTTTCTATATATTGGTCAAAAAAACATAACTAGTTTAAAAATTTATATTCTGATGTAAATTTATTTGATATTGTTTGGTCTCCTATTAACATATACCTAACACACATTTCTTTTTTTTTTTTTTTTTTTGGTTTGAGACGGAGTCTCTCTCTGTTGCCCAGGCTGGAGTGCAGTGGTGCGATCTCAGATCACTGCCAGCTCTGCCTCCTGGGTTCATGCCATTCCCTGTCTCAGCCTCCGGAGTAGGTGGGACTACAGTGGCGGGCGCCACTGAGCCCATTAGCGTGGGCTCAGCTAATTTTTTGTATTTTTAGTAGAAACGGGGTTTCACCGTGTTAGCCAGGATGGTCTCCATCTCCTGACCTCGTGATCTGCCCGCCTCGGTCTCCCAAAGTGCTGGGATTACGGGGATTACGGGCTTGAGCCACCGCGCCTGGCCTCCTCTTTCATTTTTAAAGAGAAACATACTATATATGTAATGATAATATTTAACTCATTGGAGAATGTTATTTTAGTACTGAGCAAACTTGTAAGATTGAAGTAGAAAAACAAGTCTAAATAATGTAACAATAAATTTTGCCTTTATATCAGTCTCATAATTCTCTTTTTGTTATTTCTGAAAAACGAATTGGAAATGTTGTTGTAAATAATGATTTCCAATGAATGTAAAAAGTAGTAATATTTATATATTTCAGTCATTTTCATATTAATAGGTTCTAATATGAATGTACATAATTATGAATACAAATGGATTATGCCTGCTTTAGTGTATTATTCATGGAGAATATTTAGATTTGACACCTTAAACTTATTTATATTTTAATACAGGGGCTCACAAACTAGAACCCATAGGTCAAATCCAACCCACTTCAATTTTATAAATAATGTTTAATTGGAATACAATCATCCTGCTTTCATGCTACAATGGCAAAGCTGGGTAGGTGGAACACAGACAATCTGACTCACAAAACCTAGAAATATTTACTAGCTGGCCTTTTATAGAAAAAGGGTGCCAATCGTTGCTTTAAAATCTTGCTCTGGAACATAAGCGAAAAACTGCCTGGATGAGTCTTTCAGGAAATGGGTAGAGTTTTTATTGTTCATTTGCATTGCAGGATAATTATAAAAAGAGGCTATTTCTTCTTGGTAACTTCCTAAAACTCATTTTCAATTTGGATTTTCAAGGAAGGCAGAAATACATTAAAACTAGTTAAGCTGGGTTTGTTTCACAATAGTTTAAGTATAGCCTAACATTGTCCCTGAATACAACGCGGCTGAACTCAAAGACAACAATAAATCCTATGCCCCAATACCTATATTACAGTGAGCAAATAAATTTCTACAGAATGACAGACACACACACACACACACACACACACCTTCACATACATCCTCCTGCACATTTTTTTCTCTATCAATCATGAACCACAAGCGAGCCCCATATTCTTGCTTCTTACTCATTCATTACATCCCACTAAAGCACAGCATCCCAAAATAAATGAGACAGCTAAATCAAACTTGATACAAAACCAATGATCACCCACCAATGAAACATTAATTTTCAAGACAGAAAAAATAGGTTTATAATTTCTTTGTGAGACTCAGAGCTCCCCATATGAGTTTAACTCCAATCTTTGAGTTTAGTACAAAGGTGGGTATCTAAAATGCTGTGAATTTAAGTGGTTTCAAGTTCTGTAATGAAAAGTTTGAACATCTTTCTCAGAGAAAACATTTCCTGGCAGAGCTTCAAGAAAAGAACATGTGATTGCTGGGAGATTAGAAATTCTGATTGCATTAGGTCTCCATCATTCTGTGGGATAGGCTTGTTGTCAGTGGTGTGTCAAAAAGAGTGACAGTTCTGTATCGACAGCTTTCATGAAAGCCTAAGATGGACAAGCCTCTAAAGTTCTAACACAGTAATATGCTATTTTTTTGGCATCAGGTTAAATAGCAATATTGAAACCACTGTAGTTTTTTTTTACCTATTTTGTATTCTATAATAATTAAATGCATGGTGTTTTTATTCATTATCATTGAAGTGCATGTTGACTACTTTCAATTTTATTAAAGGTGGCAAGGATAAAGGGAATGTAAAAATTTTTTTCTTCCATCTCAGAAAAGAGGCATATGGTCACTGCTGGTATTGAAAGAGTAAAACGTTTTCAATTTATCAATTAGAAAGTTAAGCAATATAGACAAAGCAATGATATTCTGTGCCTTTCTTTAACTTCAAGGAACCTACAAATAAAACCATATATTCCATGTATTGTCACAATGGATGGAAATATTTCTGTATGTAAACAAGTATGGTTTCCTTATCATACAGCATATTACACAATAATTCAAATCATTTTATTTCTACTCATGGCAGAAAGATAAAGATAAGGGTGTCAATTAAGAAGAGAAATTAAAATTACTACTTGAAATTTACTGTCTTTATAATTTCTGATTAACTTTCCTCCTTTCTCTTCTTCTTCTCCCCCCGCCTTCTCCTCCTCCTCTTCTTCTTCTTGTTCTTCTCCTCTTCTTCTTTTCTTCTTCTCCTCTTCTCCTTCTCCTTCTCCTTCTTCTTCTTCTTCAACAAGGTCTCAATCTGTCACCCAGGCTGGAGTGCAGTGGCATGATCTCAGCTCACTGCAATCTCCGCCTCCTTCATTCAAGCCATTCTTATGCCTCAGCCTCCTCAGTAGCTGGGATTACAGGCATGCACCACAACACCTGGCTCACTTTGTGTGTGTATGTGTATTTTTAACAGAGACAGGCTATTACCCTGCTGGCCAGGCTGGTCTCAAGCTCCTGACCTCAAATGATCTGCCCGCCTCAGCCTCCCAAAGTGCTGGAACTACGAACAAGAGACACCGCGCCTGACCTTATTTTATAATTATAACCCTGATATACATTTGACTAATAAGAGTTACAATTATGAAAAAGATAAAGGGACAGTAAAGGTAAAGAGGTTGTATATGTTTAGTTTTTAATAAGAAATTGACAGACATATGAAGAAGGACACTACACAACAGAATCATCTCATGCCGGGATAAAAGCAAGTATTGCCATTAATAATGGAAGATCAGCTGAGTTCATCCAAAAGAGAAGTAATTTGATAAATCATTAAGTTATAACTGAGAGAAGCATAAATTCACCCTTTAGTTATACTTGTATAATAAACATACCTCGTGAAGATGAAATATCAAAAAACAGAGATATTCTTCAATTATTAAAAAAGTTAATTATGAACTTGAGTTGCTGGTTCAAATATTTCCCACGTTTGAATAATTCAATATATATATTACTAAAGTATTTTCAGAAATATTGTACTGATCCACATTCCAATCATCATTGATAGTGATCATTTCCAAAACATGGCATATACGCATGCCCTCATTTAATCTTTTCTTGTTTTAAATATTAATTTATTAAAATTATCTTTCATTTTCTATATCCATTGCAATTTATTCCTTTTAAAACCACTTATTCAATATTATTTTTCTACTGGGATATTGACATTTGACTACTGATTTACAGTAAATTTTTATTTGTTAATTTTTAAATGTATATTTATTTTTATTCATACTTTGTTACATTATAAAGTTATGCCAATACAATTTTTAAAACACAAATTCAGTGGTATAAAAGTAAAATAGAAAGTATTAATACTTCCATCTATCTGTATTAGTTAGTATTGATTTTGGCTGACTATACCAGAAATAACCTCTAATAACAATGATTCTCAAGAGAGAGAATTAAATTTCTCTGCCATATAAAAAGCACTGATGTAGATAGGAAAGCATGGTGGTTTCACATTTGTAAGTGGTGCAAGCTAAATCGAGATGTGTATTCTCCCATTTAAGGAATGTGATCCATGCCTTCTTTTTTTTTTTTCTTCACTTTTATTTTAAGTTCAGGGGTATATGTTGCAGGATAATGGCTTTCAAGTCCAGCCATGTCCCTGCAAAAGACATGATCTCATTCCTGTTTATGGCTGCATAGTATTCCCTGGTTTATGTCTACCACATTTTTTTATCCGGTCTATCATTGACGGCCATTTAGGTTGATTCTATGTCTTTGCTATTGTGAATAGTGCTGCAATAAACATGCACGTGCATGTATCTTTATAATAGAATTATTTATATTCCCTTACATATATATCCAGTAATGGGATTACTGGGTCAAATGGTATTTCTGCCTCTAGGTCTTTGAGGAATTGTCACACTGTCTTTCACAACAGTGGAACAAATTTACACTCCTACCAACAGTGTAAAAACATTCCTTTTTCTTTGCAACTTTGCCAGCATCTGTTGTTTTTTGACTTTTTAATAATAGCCAATTCTGATTGGTATGAGATGGTATCTTATTGTGGTTTTGATTTGCATTTCTCTAATGATCAGTGATGTTGAGCTTTTTTTCATATGTTTGTTGGTTGCACGTATGTCTTCCTTTGAGAAGGGTCTGTTCCTGTCCTTTGCCCACTTTTTAATGGGGTTGTTTGTTTGTTTTTTGTAAATTTGTTTAAGTTCCTTATAGACTCTGCATATTAGACCTTTGTCAGATGGATAGATTGCAAAACTTTTCTCGTGCCTTCTTCCTTATGATGTCTTTTGGGGGATTTAGCCATCATGTCTGAACTTCTGGGACCATTTAGGAAGCTGGTAAGTATAGTTAGCCCTTTCTCTGTTAGAACACTGTTCAGAAATTTCAGAGATACTTTTGTGTACATCTCACTGAAGATACCTAGGTGTAAAAGAGGTGAGAACATTTTGTTTCTTTTTTTGGTAATTGGTGGACATATGCCCAGAAAAGTATCAGGAGAATTTTCTAAGGAGAAAGGAGAGGAGGCTTGTTGGAATATAAATCTATCAATTTCTGCCACAGGATCTAACAGTGTAGATTATTCCACATATATTGTGAAATATGGATGAGATGTGTTTGGGAGTATAGAGTGAATTAGGACATAAAATTGTTCTATGTCTTCACTTTTGCTCTAGAAATGTTATGGTCAATCTTTTTAATTTTTTAAATCATGTAATCACCATAAGAAAAGATGTTAGTAAACACCTTTGACTGGCTGATTTAATGCCCATCAACAGTCCCTTTCTACTTAAGCACTTTTCCATTAAGAGTGACTTTTGAAAAAAAAAAAAAAAAAGAAGCAGAAGTCTCCTGGGTGAGACTTCTGTTTTAGCTTTTGTTTTCCTGATAAAATTAGATTGACTTGGCTGTCACGGCACTTTCATATTTTGCTTATTTATTCTTCCTTTTTCTGCCTGGCTGGAACTCGACCATGGTACCATCAGGCACAGTCTCTATCCTGCAGTCATGAAGTTATGAACATAAGAAAGACCAATACACTGATGATGATAATTTAGCAATTTAAGTCAGTCTGGGAGCTTTCTTTGAATTTCTTATTTTTGAGAAATAGAATCCTTGATCTTTAAATCACTGTAAATTAATTTGTCTGTTACTTGTAATGAAGCATATTCCAAATATATGCTAGTGATGCCCTTAAAAATATGGAGATATATAAATATCTATAATTTAAAGACTACAGCTTGTTAAATTAAAATTACCTGCATAATTTTTAAATAGCCCAAAATAAATAGGCTAAGAAAAAATAAAGGAGCATATAGAAGCAAGATTACATCAAAAGCTATGTAAAAAAAGAAGAACATATGTCATAAAGGTTATACACTTTTAGAATATTTTGAAATAAGAACAAGATATTTAAAATAGTTCTAAAAAAACTGAAAGTCAGTTATAAATAGCATTATAAACAGCATTTTTTCTCAAAAGTAAAAATATAGAGAGATGTAAAAATAAGTACCAAATAAATGTATTCACATCCACACAAAACAAACTAGGATGACTCTATTAATCTCAAGGAAATTAGAATGAAAAGCAAAAACATTATTTGAGATAGAAGCTTCAATTAATGTTGATAAAAGCTCAATTAAATGGTTTCATGCCATTCACAAATCTAAATAGCATAGCATAAAGTTTCCAAGAAAAACAGAAGTAAATACTAGAAGTAGGCCAAAATCTTATATCAAATACAGAAACTAAAGCAATACTCTAACAATGGAAAGATCTAAATAACTGTAAGTGTTGATAAAGATACCTTAAATTGAATCTTAAATTATTAATTGTTTTTAATAAACATATCAAGTATTTTGCCATTAAATAAGGGACACATTTTATTTTTAAATGTTCATGGAAAACTTACCAAAGTTATACAGATCAGACTACAGAAGTAAAATTGCCTTCAAAGCTGATGAACACAGATTTTAGTATTAGTATATTAAACTGAAATTCACTTGGGATTTTAAAACACTCTTTCTTGTTTAAATGATTAAATATAAGTACAATAGTAGCTTATATTAAAATCAGGATAGGACAAGTCTATGTGATAAAATGTCAGATGGAGATATGTTTGCTCTAATAAAAAAATTCAAATTTCAATGACATTTAAAATAAAGGAATATTAAAAATGATTTAAGTGCAAAATCCTCAAACAAGATAAAATATCCAAGATATCAATGAAAAGAAATAAACATAAATTATTTAATTAGGCACTACTAAAACAGTACAATTGATAAATAAATAAGGGCTAGTCTTTAACATGTGAAGAACAGCACACAAATGTGGATTAGGCTGTTCTTGCTTCATTGCTATGAAGCAATAACTGAGACTGGGTAATTTGTAAGAAAAGAGATTTAATTGCCTCATGGTTCTGCAAGCTGTACCAAAAGCACCGTGGCATCTGCTTCTGATAAGGACTCTGGAAGCTTCCAATCATGGCTGAAAGCCAAGTGGCAGCTTGCATGTCTCATGGTGAAAGCAGAAGCAAGAGAGTGATAGGGGAGGGGCTACACACTTTTAAACAATCAGATCTCATGAGAATTCACTCACTATCCTGAGGACAGCACCAAGAGGGATGATGCTAAACCATTCATGAGAAATCCACTGCTGTGATCCAGTCACCTCCCACCAGACCCCACCTCCAACCTTGGGGATTACATTTCAATATGAGATTTGGGCAGGACAAAATAAAATCAAATTATATCAAAATGCTAGCAATTTGAATAAAGAAAAAACTGAAGGAACAAAATATTTAATTTTGATATGAATAATGTGATGACACATAGAAAATTAAAGAAAATAAACATTTATTACACTCAGGGAGAAAATGAAACACATTATATTTAAGGAAAGTAGGTTGACAAAATCAAAACTTAAAAAATTTAATAATAAGAAAAGAACATACAATTTGAAAATAAATTACACTTAATAATGAGAAAAGAACATGAATTTGAAAATAAATTACTGTGTCTCCACTAAAGATGCTGGCTAACATAGTACATTAGTTGGAGTTCTCCAGAGAACCAATAGGATACACACACACACACACTCACACACACACGCACACACACACACACAGTTGACCCTTGAGCAACATGGGTTTAAATTGTAAAGGTCTACTTACATGTGGATTGAAAATACAAGATTCTTGGGATGCAAAACCTGTGTATAGGGAGGGCTGATGTTTTGTGTAAGCTCATTCTGCAGGACTGACTTCAGGGCTTGAGCATGTATAAATTTTGGTATGCACAGGGGTCCTGAAACCAATCCTCTCTGTGTATACTGTGGGATGACATATGTACACATATGTTCCATATTTATGTATATGTATATATAAACATATATATATATATCTTTATTAGACTTATTATAAGAATTTGGGCTCATGTAATTATTATGAAGTCTAGCAAATCCAAAATCTGCAGAGTAAGCTAGCAGGCTGGAGACCCAGGAGAGGTGATGTTCCAGTTTGTGTCCAAAGGATGTCTACTGAAAAAGTAGAAAGAGTTTTTTATTGGAAGATTAATTGAAAGGTTAGCTTTTTGAAAAGTTAAACAAAATTGACAAACATTTAGCCAGACTAACTAAAAAAGAGAGAGAGAAAACACAAGTAAATAAAATCATAAATGAAAAAGGAGACATTATAACTGCTACTGCAAAAATCGAAAAGATCCTTAGAGCCTACTATGAGCAACTATATGCCAATAAATTAGAAAATCTAGAAGAAATGAACAATTTTCTAGCCACATACAACCTACCAAGATTGAACCAAGAAGAAATCCAAAACTTGAACAGACCAATAACAAGTAACTAGGTTGAAGCCATAATAAAAAGTCTCCCAATAAAGAAAAGCCCAGGACCTGATGGCTTTATTGCTGAATGTTACCGGACATTAAAGAAGACGAAATACCAGTTGTACACAAACTATTCTAAAACATAGAGGAGGAAGAAATAGTACAAAATTCATTCTATGAGGGCAGTGTTACCCTGATACCAAAACCAGATAAAGACATATCAAAAAAAAAAAAACTCCAGGCCAATATCTCTGGTGAATATTGACAACACATCCTCAAGAAAATACTAGCAAACCAAATTCAACAATGCATTAGTAAGATCATTCATCATGACCAAGTGGAATTTATCCCTGGGATGCAAGGATGGTTCAACATACATAAATCAATTATGTGATACAACATACCAACAGAATGAAGGATAAAAACCATATGATCATTTCAATTGATGCTGAAAAAGAAAGTTGATAAAATTCAACAACCCTTCATGATAAAAACCCTAAAAAAACTGGGGATAGAACGAACATGCCTTAACATAATAAAAGCCATATTATAGAACAGACCCACATTTAGTATCATACTAAATGGGGAAAAACTTAAAGTCTTTCCTCTAAGATTTGGAACATGACTAGCATGCCCACTGTCACCACTGTTATTCAAGGTAGTACTCAAAGTCTTGGCTAGAGCAACAGACAAGAGAAAGATGTAAAGGCATCCATTCTTGGAAAGGAAGAAGCCAAATTATTCTTGTTTGCAGATGATATGATCTTATATTTGGAAAATCCTAAAGAACCTACAAGAAAACTATCAGGAATAATCAACGAATTTATTAAAATTGCATGATGCAAAATCAGCATGCAAAAACCAGTAGCTTTTCTATATGCCAACAGTGAACAATTTGAAAATAATAAAATAAAATATTCCTATTTTAATAGCCACACAAAATATTAACCACCTAGCAATTAACCAGGAAAGTGAATGATCTCTATAATGACAACTGTAAAACACTGATGAAAGAAACTGAAGAAGACACTAAAAAATTTTTAAAAATTATGTTCATGGATTGGAAGAATCAATATTGCAAAAATGTTCATACTACCCAAAGCAATCTACAGTTTCAGTGCAATCTCTATCAAAATACCAATGACATTGGTCAAAATAGAAAAAGAAAACAATTCTAAAAGTTATATGGAACAATAAAAGACTCAGAATAGCCAAAGCCATCCCAAGCAAAAATAACAAAACTGGAGGTGTCACATCACCTGACTTCAAGTTATACTACAAGGGTATATAGCAACTAAAACAGAATGCTACTGGCATAAAAACAGACACATAAACCAATGGAACAGAATAGAGAACCTAGAAACAAATCCATACACCTACAGTGAATTCATTTTTGACAAAGGTGGCAAGAACAGTGTATGTTCTCTTCAATAAGTAAAGATTTCTTCAATAAGTAAACAATCTCTTCAATAAGTGGTGCTGGGAAAACTAGATATCCACATGCAGAAGAATAAAACTAGACCTCTATCTCTCACTGTATACAAAAGTCAAATCAAAATGGATTAAAGACTTAAATCTTAAGTCCTCACACTATGAAACTACTAAAAGTAAATATTGGGAAAATCTCCAGGACATTGGTTTGGGCAAAAATTTTCTTGAGAAATACCCCACAAGCACAGGCAATCAAAGCAAACATGCACAAATGGGATCACAGCAAGTTAAAATGCTTTTGCACCGCCGAGTGTACAATCAACAAAGGGATAATACAACCCACAAAATGGGAGAAAATGTTTGCAAACTACCATCTGCCAAGTGATTAATAACCAGAATATATAAGGAGATCAAACAACTCTATAGGAAAAAATCTAATAATCTGATCAAAAAGTGGGCAAAAGGTTTAAATAGACATTTCTCAAAAAAAGACATACAAATGGAAGACAGGAATACGAGAAGATGCTCAATATCATTGATCATCAGAGAAATGCAAATCAAAACTACAATGAGATATCATCTCTCCCCAGTTAAAATGGCTTATATCCAAATTACAGGGAATAAAAAATGCTGACCAGGATGTGGATAAAAAGGAACTCTTGTACACTGTTGATAGGAATGTAAATTATTACAGCCAGTATGGAGAACAGTTTGGAGGTTCCTCAAAAAACTAAATATAGAGCTACCATATGATCCAGCAATTCCACTGATGGGTATATACTCCAAAGAAAGGAAATCAGTATATCAAAGAGATTATATTTGCGCTCCTATGTTTGTTGCAGCAGTGTTTACAATAGCTAAGATGTAGAAACAACCTCAGTGTCCATCAACTGGACACTGAATGACTGGACAGGCTACATGGTACATATACACAATGGAATACTATTAAGCCATAAAAAGAATGAGATTCAGTTAATTGCAACAACATGGATGGAACTGGAGATCATTATGTTAAGTGAAATAAGCCAGACACAGAAAGACAAACATTATGTTCTCACTTATTTGTGGGATCTAAAAATGAAAACAATTGAACTCATCAACATGGAGAGTAAAAGGATGGTTACCAGAGGCTGAGAAGGGCAGTGGGCAACTAGGGGAAGGGGGGATGATTAATGGATACAACAAAATAGAAAGAATGAATGAGACCTACTATTTGATAGCACGACAAGAGGACTAGAGTCAATAATAACTTAATTGTACATTTTATAATAACTTAAAGAGTATAACTGAATTGTTTGTAACTCAAAGGATAAATGCTTGAGGGGATGAACACCCCATTTCCATGATGTGCTTATTTCACATTGCATGCATGTATCAAAACGTCTCTGGTGCTTTATAAGTATATACACCCACTACGTACTCACAAAAATTAAATAATATTAATAACATTAATAATAAAGGAAACCATGCCTTAAAAAATAATGATAAAATCTCTGAGAATGTAATGTGCCACTGTTTTGACATGATCGAAATTTGATTTAGATATTTACTATAAATAATATACATGAAGATAATTGAATACATTTGATTATAACAACATTTTCCTTTGCAAGTAATATTGTAAAAAGGAATTATTTTATATTTCATGAATGTATAAATAGCAGACAGAAAAAATGAATACTGCTTTTCATGCTTATAAAGAACCTAGAATGACTTGGAAAGTGCAGCATCTGGTGAAATTCACCCCAAACAATATGGACTATAATTTTTGGTTTTAAAATGACATCCACTCTCCTACGAGAATAACTTTTAAGTCCAATATCTTCCTTGGATGTTTGCCTTACGTTATAATTTGGATTTCTTTATTTTTAAAAATTTAAAATGGTTTTTCAACCGATCCACACCCAATCCAACTATTTCATAATTAGAAGAGGTAGGATAGACAAAGTAAAATACTTCCAAACTGAAATATCAGACATATTTAATCCTATCCTTATCTCTGCCTAGACGCCCCCAAAGAGATTGTTAATAAAATTGTTTATATATGTAAATGTTAGGATATATAAAGAATGTCTGTCTTTATAATAAAATGAATTTATTGAGAATATAGATCCACAAACTAATGATAATGCTACATATTAAAGATCAGTTAAAATGATAGCAAAGCAAGTATTAGTAATATTCAGGTGATTGCAATAATGGCTGAGTGAATTAGAAGACATCCACATATAACAAAATATTAAAATATTAAAGTGGTAGAGCTAAACAGTTACACAGATGATACAGCACTAAATAACAAATATTGGCATTGCTTGACACTTAATATAACTTAGATTATATTGATATTGAAAATGGTGAGCCTTCATACCATTTTACAATTCTTTGCATAAAAAATTGTTTTCATTTTTTTATTTCTAAAGAGATAGATACATATGATAGTATAGAAATCAAGAGGGTAATCACACTAGAAAAAAATAGTATGTAGAATCTTCATGTTAGAAGTCTATATGCATAACGCTAGCTACCCATCAGTTATCTATGGAAACAGGCAATTTATAAGGTTTCAGGGCATAAAATAAATAGTTCAAGAATTACTTGACACAATTTTCTGTGCTTATGAGTAAAGTGTTAATCAAAGACTGTTGTGAAATATGCTATTTAAAAGTCAAACTCTGGATGAATGACAGCAAACTATTTAAAATAACTAGATATAGATAGTATCACTTTGGCTAGATCATTTTTAAAGCCAATACGAATTTAAATTTATAGAATTTTCCAGCTTTATCATAAAAAATCAAGAACATCTATTTATGAAACGATTAATTTTAGGAAGTACACATTTGAAACCTCCTCCTTAGGGCAACAGATAGCAAGAAGGATCTCATTTTATAATCTACTTATAAAAATTGTATGCTTTGAAATAAAGAACAAACTTATTTTTATTATGTTGAAAATCACAGCAATATAAGATTTGAGGGACACCTTAAGTATATATTGAATCATAAAATGTTAGAGGAAGTAAAGCGTTAGGGCATAATATTATACCATTTTGAACAAGAATAAGATACATTTTATTTGCATAAATATTAGCATAGTATTATTTAAATATAGTAGTCACGCCTTATCTATGCTTTTTCTTTCTGTGGTTTTAGTTACCTGCCTTCAACTTTGTTCCTAAAATATTGCAGTATTTCGAGATAGAGAGAAGGAAACCACATTAACATAACTTTTATTACACTATATTTTATGTTTTATTTATTATTAGTTATTATTAAACTCTTACTTTGCCTAGTTTTAAATTAAACAGTATATGTTGGATTTGGTATTAACCATTGTATCAGGCACCCTCTGAGGGTCTTAGAAAAAATCTCCCACAGATAAGATGAAACTACACTGTATTCTTGTGTAATACTGATATTTATAAATTTTGATAACTTTTCATAATTTCTATTTTAGTTTAAAGTTCATTTGGAAATTATACATAGATAGTAAATGTTAGTATCTAGGATTGAATTTTTGAAAATTAAATTAATATATGTATGACTTTGTAATCAATAATTATTAGTTTTTCAATAAGACCCACATCTAATGCAAAGCCTGGTGGGCTCAAGTAAGAGAGAGGCTTCACGGTTTATAAAGAAGGCATTTTTTTTTTTCAGTCAATGATGCCTTCATCACAGACTTTACTCCATTATGTCTTTTCTTCCCACAAGTTAGGGACTGATGAGGTGAGTGGGGACAAGAGATATGGAACAATTTATGGAAGAATTGTTGTCAGACATATGAACTCAGATCCTGGCAGGCAATGGAGAAGTTTGAATGTCCCACTCCCTGTTTGGATACTGAAGGAAAAACAGTGCCAAAAGTGACTCTGTGTGAGGTGCATGCATTGTCAAAGGCAGTACTGCTGAGAGAAAGAGAAGGACTGAATCTGCACTTCAAAGTGTCCTCATTCTCAAGTAATGTAGAAAGGATTCAGGAGTTTCTAGAGGCTCTATGAGGGATGTAAGTGGACAGCTAGTGCTATGGTTTGAATGTTTTTGTCCACTTCAAAATTCGTAGGTGGAAGCAATCACCAATGCAACAGTGTTTGGGAGGTTGGGCCCAATGGAAAGGGGTTCGGTCATGAGGGTTCCACCTTTGTGAATGGATTAAAACTGATGTATGCCTAGTGTTCTATTATTGGAACATTAAGCATGTGGGAGTTATTTATATCCTACTTCTCAAGGTTCTCACCAAGATCTGATTGCGAAAATCCAAAAAATTGCAACCTCAGGCATAAATGGGTTTAATGCCACTATTAAAAGGGCTTATAGGAGTGGGTTCTTTCTCTCTGTTCTTCTGCCATGTAGGGACATGATGTTCATCCTATTTTGTTCTTCTGCCTTCTGCCATGTGAGGATGCAGCAAGAAGGACCTCATCAGATGCCAGTACTTTGATCTTGAACTTCCTAGCCTCCAGAACTCTTAGGAAACAAATTTATGTTGTTTATGAATTACCCAGCCTCAGGTATTCAGTTGTAGCTACTCAAAACAGACTAAGACATCTAGGAAGCCTGCCGTGGAGATGTCTGTGGCAAGTGGCAAAGCGATGCTACCACAAATATGAAGGGGTAGGAAGAAGCCAGGAGGAGAATATAGATGAAGTTCAAGAACAGTTTACAGCACCAAGCATGATTGATCCAATTCAACCACAAAAAGCATCTAAAAACTATCCAGAGAGAAAACAAAACAACACACACACACACACACACACACACACTTAAAACTTAAAACACATCTCTAACTTAGGTAGTTTAAAAGGCCCAGGAAAAACTAGCAAGAATTCACAGGAGTTAAAATCACATGTTGCTAACAGTCATAAATCACCAAATCATCATTTACCAGTCCTTCTAGCTCATATACCCAGAGACTATTTATAACAGCAGCATCAGAAGGGAGAGGCATTATGAGACCAAGAATTTGCCTAAGTTTAACTAACTTGGAAGAGATTGTTTTAAAGGGAAGAGAAGGAATTACTCTAAAATGTCAAGTATAGAAGAAACAGAAAAGTTAGTAAAATTTATCTATGGAGAGTAAAAAGGTTATATTTTCTTTGGAAATTTGAGCAAGTTATATCAAAATTGGGACCTCATTTCAATACCATAGTGCACAGTGATTGCACACTCTGATATGTGACATAGAGAATGCTAGCAGAAAACAGTAGGGATAAGACAAAAGAGTAAATGCTTACAACTGTGTGTATGTCTGTGTGTGTGTGTGTGTGTGTGTGTGTGTGTGTCTGTGTGTCTGTGTGTAGAAAATCAGAAATTTCTGGAAATTTATGAAGCTATGTTTTTTACTTATCTAGAGATTTCACTAGAACAGGTAAGAAGTATGAATATACTTCTCTTTTTGTACCCTCCTTCATGCCACAATCTAGTACCACAAACTAAATCCCTTTATAATAAGCTAAAATGTCTGTTACTGACTTGAGTATCACCCTTTTCAGAAAGTCGCTGATGACAATATTCAGCTATTGGCCCATTTAACAGTAAGTGCTAATAAACTCATATTGACCACACCTCAACTGACACAGTTTAAAAGCTATACATTTATAGATGCTGGTTAATGGAGACTCTATAAGTAGAAAAGATTATGAATTTCTTGACAGTAAAATTAAATGCAGGAAAAATATGCTTTAACATATTATAAAATTTAAGAAAAACTTTAAAAAACAAAACAAATCAAAGAATAATTTTAGTTACTAGGAAATAAGTGTTAGAATCTCTCATTTATATTTGATAAGCAGGTTGTTTTTATTGCCATAAAGATATTGGTATATATGTATTATATTTATTTATCTTTCCATACATGCATATATCTACACCTATATTTATAGATATAGATAAATATCTGTGAGTGAGATAGAGAGAAAGTGAGAGAGAAGTTAGGTTTTTTCCCCCTTTACCTAACGTCTTATGTTTTGTCTGTATTCAGAAGCATGTTATTGTCAGAAATTTGCTTGTTGAATGCTCTTGCAATTAAAATATCTATAAATGGTCAAAATATATCTTGAGCCTTTTAAGATCAATACAAAACTTAGATTGTGTGGTTATCTTTGCTAAAACTAATGTTGAAACTATATGCAAATACAGAGAGGTAATGCTATCTTCAACTGAGTTTTTACATGTAATTTTGACTGTACTGTAAAAGGGAGAAAAAGAACTCTCAAAAGCCTTTGCTGCTCACAAGGTTTCATTTATTTAAAGATTAATAATATGATTGCATTACAAAAATCAACCAGATGAATTTAAGTTTATTAAGGGTACAATAGGGAGAAATAAACCTAGGAAAAACTTCAGTAAGAATTTACGTTCCAAAGGATCATTAGGTAGCTTATTATTAGGGTTAGTAGGCAATTGATGGAATGTTCAATAAAACCTGAAATAGTCTAATGTCCTTAGGGGATTGATTTAGAGAGTAAAACTATTCCCACATCTCTGTTTCCCTATCTAATTTACATATCAAATGAATGCTTTTTTAAGATTAAATGATTTTAAATCCCTAGTTTTTGTATTTGAGTCTAAGGAAGTACCCAGAGGTTAAAAATAACATAAATGTAGCATATTCTGTCTTTCAGAAACTGAGTCTCATATTGACAATTAAATCTGAAAATACGTTTTTTTTTAAAAATCAGCCTTCTAGGACGCTCTTGCTGTGTTGTTAGAAGGGAAGGAAATTGACTTCATTGCTATTTAAGTTTGTAATTTCAGTTATTATTTGTTGAGCAAAAAAAAAGTATAAGTAGTTCTAGATCAGGACACTTTTCTATTCCTTTAAGTATTTATAAAAATTTCCATCACTTTTCAAACATTACACTGTAAAACTGTATTCAAAGTGTAATATTTTCCAAGGAGTTCTCAGAAGACAAATGTTTCTAAATGTGTAGCAAATGGCTCCAAATGGTTTGAGAGTATTTGGAGCAAAAAGGTAATAGATTCTTTGAAGACATTTTTTCAGGGATTTAAAAATTGTGATTTTTTTTTTAAATAATCATATCAAGTTCTTATATAATGCATTTTTACAATTTTCTCAAGTTTTAAAAAGACAGTATTCATCAGTTCAATTCAGTCACCAATGGGTAGCTTATTTAAATAAATGCATTTTTGAGTTCTGTGCTTAATATTATATACATTGCATATTTTGATTTGTATTATTTTAATAGGCATCATGTCTAATATTCCAAAAATGTATAATTTTCTCAAAACTGTCTATCTGAAATATAAAAGTAGATATGAAATAGTACTATAAGTGCCAAATGTACAAATAATGCTTTATATAACTGTTTTGGCTAAAACATAAACAATGCATTTTAGAATTAGAATATCATTGTTTTGTAATACATAATAATAACATTAACATAGGCAATGATTATGTTACTAATCATTACCTTTACTAATGTACTTCTTTAAAAAAGAGACAACTGAAGTCATGTATTTTTTTTGCTTTTCAAGCAAAAAAAAAGCACCAATGTAAATAGCATCAAATTTGTAGATCAGCATTATTCAATAGAAATATAATCCCCAATATATTCTAATTTTAAAGTATCAGTAGCAACATATAAAAAATAAAATGAAACCAATGAATCGGATTTTAATAATGTATTTAATGCAGTAAGTCCCAAATATTATAATTTTTAAAGATAAAAACATTGTAAAATTATTTTAAAAATATTTTACCTTGTTTTTCTATAGAAATTATTTTAATATCAATGTGCATAATAATTTATATTTATAGCTCAATTTTCATTGAAAATACTTAATTTGAATTTAGATTCCATGATATTGGCAGTTTAAAAAGTAAATTCACATAACTAAGTGGTTCTAAATGTTTTACTTTTTTCTAAGAATTATTAATAATTAAGTACCAAGAAATCATATTCCTTAATATATACATCTAGCAGCTTCCTTGCATTAGCTAGAATACAGGTTAGGTTGCTGTAATAAATAATCGCCAAATACTATGGATTAAATAGGATAGAATACTATGTTTATATCTCTGCTATGCAATTTCTCGAGTTAGTTAAATGAGGACTTGTATAGCTATGTAGTCAACCAACTGCCAAGCACCCAGGTCCATTCCATTAAAGCAATCAGTGTTTGGCCTTGTTCACATTGACAAAGATGTCTCACAAAGATATGCGTCTTCAAATCTGTAAGAAGAGGGAAACTTTTCCTTGAAGTAGAGTGTTACTATAGTGAAGGGAGAGTTGATGGTAGCTTTGAGCTAGGGGTAATAATAGAGTGGTGAGAGGTATTAAATGTTAGCCATGTTTTGAAGAAGCTGCCAACAGGATTTTTTTGAGTTTGCTTATTCCATCCCTCAGTACCCTATTATTCCTATTCCAATGACATTCACTGTCCTCTTAGAACATGCAAAGCAGGCTCATGCAGCAAGACCTTGCCCAGCACCAATGAATGTTCAAAACAACTTAATTAGCTGTCTTCTTTTCCCCCACTAAAACTTCAGCCTTTCTCTTTGTCTTTGGACATACCTAGGGGCTAACCTGGCTTGTGTGTCCTGATTTGTCGTTCTAACAGAGTTTCAAATAAACTCTTTGCCTAAAGATTCATCTCTCTATATTTTTATTTCATGTTAACAAAATGAAGCATTCCAAGACTAGCCTATTGGAAATTATACCTTCTATGTAAATGGTTTGCTTCTTTTATTTTTCAATAGCATTCAAAGCAATTATTTATTTATTCATTTATATTGACAAATTACAGTTGTATATATTCATGGGGCACAAAGTGATGTTATGATTTTGAATACAATGTGAAAAAATTAAATCAAACTAATAAACCCATCACCACAAATACTTGAAATTTTTGTGATGGAACATTTGAGTTTACTCTCTTGGTGATAATGAAATGTATGGTGCTCAGTTATTAACTATATTTACTACACAGTACAATAGATCTCAAAAATAGAAAAATCCAACTATTTAAATTTTGCTTTATTTTTTTCTGTACCTTCCTGCTAGAATATAATCTCCACAATTTCAGATTCTCATATGTTTTGGACCCTGCTATATTACTCTATATCCAAAACAGTTCCTGATACATACCAGGTTCCAAGGCCTATTTGTCCCACTGAATGAATAAATGCATAAATGAATGTATGAATGAATAAATTCAAGGTATGAGTACAAATGCAGTTACGTTGTTGGACATGATAGCAGATGCATGAGGAAATAATCTCCAGGTGCCTTCTTTTATTTTCTCTTAGTAAAAAAGAAAGCAAGATCATTGACTGAAATGGAGGATGAGGAAAAGAGACAGTGCTAGAAATTTAATAAGTATGAAATAGCCCTAAGAAGAGTTGAAGAATAAATAGGAAATACAGTTGAATTACTAGATAGTTCTAAGCTCATTTGATACTAGCGCATGTGAATTTTTATTAACTCATCTTTATGAAGCCTTCACCTTAATTTTAATAGCTACTTCATTAATATATGACCTGCATTTCTAAAATGGGCCAAATAATAAGTGTTTGGCTTGATCTTAGTGCTAGATCAAGAAATAGAAAATGACCTATCACTCCTGAAATTTTTTTATGTGTCCTTGCAATCGGTGGCTTCTGCTCTAAGGGTAAATACTCCTCTTAATTCTACCAGCATAAATTAATTTTTATTACCTTTAAACTTTATATAAATGAAATCTTTAGTGTATGCACTTTAATTATGGCTTCTTGCATTCAATATTTTGATAGTGGGGTCTATTAATGCTTTTGCCATGCTGACCAAATCAAAATTCTCTGGTATGTGCTCCTTGTATAAAATCTGTCTTCCTCCTATTATTGCTCTTTGAGAATGTACCACTAATTTTCCCAAAAGCAAGTCCTATCCCTCCAATACTATCATTCCTCTGCTGGGCAACCGACAGATTTCACTATGTCTTCCAGGCATTGGCTACATCATAACGTCTGCTATAGCATAATAACTTCTTTGCAGCTGCTCTGGTAAGTATTTCTACCAATACATCAGAATGGATGTGGAATAGTTCATGAATAAGTGAGCAAAATGCCTATCTTCTTTATTCCATGTCATACTAAGTCAATTTGATATGTAGTCAGCATGCTTTTGTACCCATATTTTACTCTTAAGTTTATGAAAATGGCTACTGAAACTCTACTGCAATCAATTTCTCCTTGGGGAATAGACACTAGTCTATGGGGCTCAGCTAAGTAAACTTCTTCTCTCTTGTCCATTTCCTCTAATTTTCTAAAACACACACACACAGATCTCTTTCTTATATCTTCTGTCACAAACAAGATGTGATAGTTAATACTGAGTGTCAACTTGATTGGATTGGAGAATGCAAAATATTGTTCCTGGGTGTGTCTGTGAGTATGTTGCCAAAGGAAATTAACATTTGAGTCAGTGGACTGGAAAAGGCAGACCCACCCTCAATCTGGGTGGGCACAATTTAATCAGCTGCTAGCTCAGCTAGAATAAAAGCAGGCAGAAGAAGGTGAAAATACTCGACTGGCTTAGCCTCTGAGTCTACATCTTTCTCTCATGCTGGCTGCCTTCTGCCCTCGAACATCAGACTCCAAGTTCTTCAGCTTTAGGACTCAGACTGGCTTCCTTGCTCAGCTTGCAGACGACCTTACCTCGTGACCATGTGAGTTAATACTCCTTAATAAACTCCCCTTTATGTATACATCTATCCTATTAATTCTGTCCCTCTGGAGAACCCTGACTAATACACAAGGCTTCATGCAAATAAAATAAAATAAAATCTTGAGAATCCATGTTTCAGTAATCCAGCCACCAATTGGTAGTTTATGACTTGAATTACTTGGCTCTCAATAAAGATTCAGTAGACACGTTATACCTGGAAGAGAACATTTTATTATTTGTAAGAATACCCTAACAGAATTTTTATTTATTATGATGATATTGAATTTTATTAAAACTATATTGTTCAAAGAATCCCTTACAGAACAATTAATATCATGAATTACTCAGAGATATTAATGAAAGAAATAAACCAATATTTCCCATTGCAAAACTGGAATGCCCTCTCATTAGAGAACGAGCATTTTGTCCAGGTGTGGTGGCGCATATCTGTAATCCCAGCACTTTGGGAGGCAGAGGCGTGCGTATCACGAGGTCAAGAGATCAAGACCATCCTGGCCAACATGGTGAAACACTGTCTCTACCAAAAATATAAAAATTAGCTGGGCATGGTGACGGGCGCCTGTAATCCCAGCTACTTGGGAGGCTGAGGCAGGAGAATCACTTGAACCTGGGAGGCAGAGGTTGCAGTGAGCTGAGATCGCACCACTGCACTCCAGCCTGGGTGACAGAGTGAGACTCTGTCAAAAAAAAAAAAAAAAAAAAAAAAAAAAAAGAAAAAAAGAAAAGAAAATGAGTATTTTGTAATGTAATATATTTTCCTCTTACTTGATCTTGCAGAAATGTTCGAACAAAGCTTTGTGCTAAATTGATTCTAGGTTTTCTGGTTCAATGCCCTTCCAACATATCCATCTCTTCCATTTGTTTTAGCACACACTTTAGTTTACTAAACCTATAGTGTCTGATTTTTCTTTTTTATAGGTTAACTCATATTTTACTTAGAAGTATTCATAACATAAACTCTCTATTTTTTTAAAAAAATTGAGCCTATTTTGAAGTACCAATGCCTCCCCTGTGTCAGTGTCCCTCCATATCATTTTTACTTCTTCCCGTTTTATGTTTGTCTTCCTTCACACTGTAAGTGGCTTCTCTTCCACTTTTTTTACAATGTTTTTAAATTACTGTAATTATCAAATAGTTCCTTAAAATATAAACACTAATTTTTCTTTTTCATCACATCCTCTCTGTTTAATATTGTTTCATTATTATCAGACAACTGAAACCACTTTAAGGGTCTCAATCATCACATTTTAAGTATCCATTTACAATGACATTTTCTCCATCCTTCTCCACCTTAACCTTTTAAAGTATTTAACTTTATAGAGTAAATTTCATAACTTGCTTTTTTCCCTTTTTTTCATTTTTCAGTGTTTAATATATGTTTGAACAGTTATTAAATGGTATATGATCAAGGAACTGAGAGGATACCAACATTTTACTTAAATCTTTATTCCTTTCCGTTTAGCCTAGGTTTTCTTTTTCTTTTCTTTCTTTTCTTTTCTTCTTTTCTTTTCTTTTTAGGTCTTTCTGATTCTGTTAATACGTTACTGTTTTTCTAATTACTGAACCTTGAGGTCCTCATATTTGGCTCTTTCATTTACTTCCAGTCATCAAATCTTGTGCATTCTGGTGCAGACAAACCTCAACCCTGCTTTCCATTCTCTTTGCTTCCTGAAGAAAGTCCTTATTGCCTCTAACAGTATTTTGATACTTAAGCAAATTCTTGATTTCTAGTTATCAGTCCCTTTTAATTATTTTAATCCAAAGTTTTCCTATCAATTCACTGAATTTTATTTTCTAATATCAGGTCAAATTTGCCTAACCTAAAATATTCTATGATGACTAGTTGTCTTACAAAGAATCAAAACTCCTACAACTGATACTAAACATCTTTATAATTTATGCTTTTATAAAAAATATATATTATATATTATGCTTTTATAAAATCTAGCAAAGATATTATCTTGTTCATTCTTACTGAACCCATGTCCCCTACAGCTGAAACTATTACAGCTAATATTTATTGACTATTTGTGGAGTGCTAGTTGTGTTTATAAGCACTTAGCATGATAAATTTGCAATCATACATAGGGTTGATGATTAAGTTTTGGCCTAGAATGTTTAAGTTATACAATTAGTGAATGGTAAAATTTGAATTTGATTCCTGGCTTCTGTCCTCAAATTTGTGCCTTTAATCACTGACACAACTTTATAGTTACCATTAGGTAAGTGAAAATTATGTTGAAACAGGAAAAAGCTACTTCATTAAAAAAAGCATAATATATATTTTTCTATATTTCATGGAGTATTGTGTTTAATTAGGTATACAATTTTACCTATTGCATTACATGATAAAGTCCCTATGTATAGTCTAGGTTAGCTTTTTTTTTTTTTTTAATTGACTGATGTTAAGTTTCAAACATATGCCCTTACAAAGATTGTTGATATTTTGGTACACCTTGCTAATTCAGTAAAATAACTCAAATAAATTGATGTTGTTTTAATACATACACATACACACTACTATTTGACTGAAGTTTTAACTTTCAGATAATTATAATATGTGGATTTAATATCTTGTCGCTCTGCCATCAGATTTAATTATGTCACTATAAAGAATGTGATTTTTGTAGTTATGCTATTCCTTAACATCTTACTATGTATCAAGGTGCTCCATGTACTATTCCTTCATATCCCATAGAATGGAGGTGGAACAGATGTTGCCAATTCATGGCATATGGACTTATTCTTTTTATTATAATATATTTCCATTGCAGTATAATGGAAGCTTTTACAATAAAGACTTTCTCTTCATAACCCAAATAACTGGACCATGAAGAGACCTACTGTGTCTGGAATTTATTCCTTCTGGTGGGTTCTTGGTCTCGCTGACTTCAAGAATGAAGCTGTGGACCCTCGTGGTGAGTGTTACAGCTCTTAAAGATGGTGTGTCCAGAGTTTGTTCCTTCAGATGTTCAGATGTGTCCAGAGTTTCTTCCTTCTGGTGGGTTCGTGGTCTTGCTGATTTCAGGAATGAAGCCGCAGCCCCTTGTGCTTAGTGTTAACAGCTTTTTGGTTGTGGACCCAGAGTGAGTAGCAGCAAGATTTACTGTGAAGAGTGAAAGAACAAAGCTTCCACAGCATGGAAGGGGACCCGAGCGGGTTGCCACTGCCGGCTGGGGTGGCCAGCTTTTATTCCCTTATTTGGCCCCACCCATGTCCTGCTGATTGGTCCATTTTACAGAGTGCTGATTGGTGCATTTACAATCCTTTAGCTAGAAAAAACGTTCTCCAAGTCCTCACCCAACCCAGAAGCCCAGCTGGCTTCACCTCTCAATCCCCACTCTAAACAGGACACCCCAACTGCTGTTGGGAATTGGCCGATGACCTCTCTAGCTACTTCCTGCTGGATGGGGTGAAGAAGGGGCCCTGCAGTTGTAGTGTCCTCCAGAGGGGAACTCTTTAGGCCAGTGAAAGGGCCAGTGGGTTGGTCCAGGAGTCCTCGGTAGAAGTTGTTAGTTGAGCTCATTTGGGGTTACATTTGTAAAATCATCTGTAGCTTGATGGCCTCAATCCTAGAGGAAACAAATTTGACAAGGAGGTTAAAAATACAGGGCCTGAAGGTAAGTAATAGCAAGATGGCTGCCATGGGACCTAGAAAGGGGAGAAACCATGTTGCCCAATGCCAGAGTTTGGTATAAGGGTTTGAAAGGTGTTGTCTGATTTCAGAAGCCTTTTCCTGTAAATGCCAGGTGACATCTTGTACTATCCCTGACTGGTTAGTGTAAAAACAAAATTATTTCCCTAAGAGGGTGCAGAGCCCTCCTTTCTCAGCAGTGAGGAGGTCTAGGCCTCGGTGGTTTTAGAGAATCACTGCTGACAAAGAGTCTATTTGGGATTATAGAGTAAGGATAGATTTCATTATTTCTTGCAAACTGTCTGAGAAATCCTTTGAGAGTGTGTGGTAGTAGGATAATACATGTTACACTGTTAAATTTTAGCAAACTTTACTTTTGTTGAAAACCTTGTAAGTTTGGGATTTCAATTATTCTTTGCCATTAATAAGACCTTGTTCAGTTCATATTAACTTAGAATTGGTATAGATGACTCCTTCCTGATTTTGTGAGTAGTTTAAGGTTTGGCTGAGTGCAAACAACTCACACTTTTGAGCAGAACAATTATTAGGCAATTTTCCTAACTACTTCTACAAGAGTTTCCTTCTCACTTACTGAATACTCATTGTGTCTTTTTCCCTTAATCACCTGGGAGGAACCATCTATTGTCCTGAAGGGAGTTCCTCCTAGGTCTGGTTGGACCTTTGTTTGGTAATTAATTAAGATTTAGATCCCCTGTTAGGAAAACTGCTGGGTTAAGGACTTTTGATGGGAAGCCAACTTTTGATTTGTCAGTGGCCTCAGTGCTTTTGGGCTATGCCCTTGTTTACACTGACAACAAGGTGGTATTGCAGTGATATAGGGTCACAGAGAAGACCTTCAATTATCAATTATAGCTTTAAATTTACCCTGGCTTTTAAAGGAATAGCACTGTTTTTTCTTTACTACTTCCATCTCTTTTTCTTTCTCTTCTTTTTGACTTCTTCTTTGTCTCTTTCTCTCTGACTTCCTCTTTCTTTCCTTTCTGCTGGTCTTTCCCTGCCTCCGCCAGCCACTTATGCTGCTATTTTCCCAGTTACAACTGAGGAGGTGGGAGAAATACCTGGTTACAGGCTGTCCCAGGATTCCTTGGATGGTAATGGACCTTGAGGACGGCTATCCAGGACAGGAGATAACACTGAAAAAGCCACGCCAGTGTCCAGGAAGAGGTGAATTTCCTGGCCCTCAATGGTTAAATGTACCCGGGGCTCGGTGAGGGAGATGACATGAGCTGACACTTGCCCCAGGCACCCTCAGTCCTGTTGTTGGATCATCTGATTAGTGGCTTCTGGCCCAGAGAACCTTTGTCCTCTTGAGCAGTGTACCTTCCAGTGATTGCCTTGGCATAGTGGACATGGATGAGGGGGCAGTTTGTTTCTCACTGGACAATCTTTTTTAAAGTGTCCTTGTAAACCACACTGATAACAAGCCCTGCTGAGTGATTGGCCTGCTCCATTTTCTGTCCTCTCTGAATCACCAAGGTTTGTTTGTCTGGGATCCAGGACTAAGTCTCCAGCCTTTCTCTGATCTCGCTTTTCCTTTTGGGCCTGTTCCTCTTGGTCCCTATTATAGAACACCAAGGTTGCCGGGTTTAATAATGCCTCCAGATTTTGTTCAGGACCCAGGGCTCACTTTTGGAGCTTTCTCCTGATATCTGCGGCTGATTGGGTAATAAGCTTATCTTTTAGGATCAATTGACCCTCGAGTGAGTCGGGTGACAGGGGAGTATATTTTCTTAAGGCCTCTCGTAGCCGCTCGAGGAAGGCAGAAGGATTTTCTTCCTTTCCCTGAGTTTTGATGGACATCATTGAATAATTCATGGGATTTTCCTAATTCTCCTTAGTCCTTCTAGAACACAGGTCAACAGATGTTTATGACTCCAGTCCTCATGATCTGAGGCAAGGTCCCAGTGGGGATCCATACTGGGGATGGCTTGCTGACCGGTAGGGAATTTGTCCCTTTCTTCAGCTGTCATTCTATCATTTACTTGACTAAGATACCAGATATCTCAAAACTCTCAGGCTGCAGCTAAAGCTGCATTCTTTTCATTAAAGGTCAGGATTTGATCTAACAATAGCATGACATCTCTCCAAGTGAGATCAAAAGTTTGCCCTATACCCTGTAGGACATCTATGTACCTATCAGGATTGTCTGAAAACTTCCCCAGGTCTGCCTTGATCTGCCTTAAGTCAGAGAGGGAGAAAGGGACATGTACCCAGGTTGGGCCAAGTTCCCCTCCCCCTACAGCTTAAAGGAGACGTAATAGATAGCCCGGGGGTTTTTGCGGTCCTTTGGAGATTTCTTTGCTTATTTCCTTCTGGGTGGGGGAGATTAGAGGACACTTATCATTAATAGGAAGGGGAGCTATAGGGAGGCTAGGATATGGGGTAAGCTGAGAGGTCCTCCTATGGGATATAAGTTGCAAGCTTTGCATAGTTGTGGATTCTCCTTCATTGAAAAGAAAGCTTGGACATAAGATATTTCACTCCATTTGCCTTCCCTCTTACAGAAAAGGTCAAGCTGCAGGATAGTATTGCAATTTATACTTCCCTCAGGTGGCCATTTTTCCCCATCAGAGAGAGAATATTGGGGTCAGGCCATAGTGCAGAAAAAATGAGCCAACTCTTTTTCAGGGTTTGCAGGTCAAATTGGTCCCAATAGCTTAGGATGCATTTCAAGGGTGAGCCTGTTGATGCCTGAGCGTTTCCCATCTGAAAGAAAAACGCTCCCATGGTTTTGGTTTGTTTGGTTTCTCCCCCTGCCCAAGAACCCACAATGGTCCCTGTACCTGGCTGATGAGAATAGTTGTGCTCACCAACACAGCAGCAGAAACACCTCTTGCCCAAGAACACGCAATGGTTCCTGGAATCTGCTGATCAGAATAGTTGTGCTCACTGATGCAGCAGCAGAAACACCTCTTGCCCAGGAACCCAAAATGGTAGCTGGACCCTGCTGATCGATATAGTTGTGCTCACTGACACAGCAGCAGAAACATCTCTTGCCCAAGGACCTGCAACGGTCCCTGGACCCTGCTGATAGAAATAGTTGTGCTCACTGATGCAGCAGCAGAAACACTAGTTTTCCTCCTAGACCACAAGGAGGACTGAGAAAGGTCGGATTTAGTGGCCCTTACCAATGCATTCTCAAAAACCTGTTTGAGCCCCAAGTGTTCTCCTGTTAGTACTGGGAACTTACTACTGTCCTATAAAGATGTTATGCCCCAAAAATGAAGTGGAGGGCCATACCCTGAGGGAGGGAAGGATCTCCAGAGTTGGAAGAGTGATGCCTTTTTGTCTTCACTTATATGAATAGGAAAGATACCATTTCTGAAGCTCCCCATATCCTAGCTTCAGGAATAGCTTTTGTTAGGGCTGCTTGTCTGAGGAGGGATCCTAAAATTCCAGACAGTCCCCCCTGTGACTGGGCTTTGGTCAAAAATTATGTCTTTCTGATTGGTGAGCCCAGGTGCCTAAAGAAGGGAATAGAGTCCTGGAGTTTATACTAGAAATCATTCTTATAGGATAAACTAGAAAAGCACCAGAGACAGGGAGTGGTTTTTAGAAGTGGGACTAGCCTCAGAGAAGAGAGGCAAGAGGAAGTTTGTTTGACAGGCATTAGGACCCAGGAGGCAAGGGTCAGGATAGATAGGAGAGATGGGCGAGTCTTGCTTGGGCGATATGACTTTGAGAGTTCCACTCATGGCTGCGGGGTCAACCAACTTGCTGTCAGGACCCTGGAGCTGAATGGCTTTCCTCTCTGTCAACCCTTGGCTCAGCCCAGAAGTACAGGTAAAGTGGAAGCTGGTTCCAGGCAAACCAAAGCTCCCAACCCTCAAGAGTCAGGGGTTGTTAGAGAGCCCTTTCCCAGAAAGCCTGACACCCATGTCTTTAGTCCAGTGGCCAAGCTAGTCGCTTTTAACTGGTCAACAGGTGCCCAGTATTTAACCCCTGAATTCTAAGGAAAAATAGGGCAGAATAGCAAGCGAAAGGGGTCTGACGGTACTCACTGCTTGGCGATAAGCAAAAATCCCTTTGTGGTTGCCAAAATGTGTCCAGAATTTATTCCTTCCAGAGGGTTCTTGGTTTCGCTGACTTCAAGCATGAAGCCACAGACCCTCGCAGTGAGTGTTATAGCTCTTAAAGATGGTGTGTCCGGAGTATGTTCCTTCAGATGTTCAGATGTGTCCAGAGTTTCTTCCTTCTGGTGGGTTCGTGGTCTCACTGACTTCAGGAATGAAGCTGCAGACCCTTGTGGTGAGTGTTACAGTTCTTAAAGGTGGTGCCGACCCAAAGAGTGAGCAGCAGCAAGATTTATTGTGAAGAGTGAAAGAACAGAGCTTCCACAGTGTGGAAGGGGACCCAGGTGGGTTGCCACTGCTGGCTGGGGTGGCCAGCTTTTATTCCCTTATTTTGCCCCTCCCACGTCCTGCTGATTGGCCCATTTTACAGAGTGCTGATTGGTCCATTTTACAGAGTGCTGATTGGTGCGTTTACAGTCCTTTAACTAGACACAGAGTGCTGATTGGTGAGATTTTACAGAGTGCTGATTGGTGTGTTTACAATCCTTTAGCTAGACACGAAGCACTGATTGATGCATTTACAATCCTTTAGTTAGACACAAAAATTCTCCAAGTCCCCACCTGACCCAGAAGCCCAGCTGGCTTCACCTCTCACTACTAATAGAAATGCATAATTTGTCAGATGCATTTTCTTCAAATATTCTAGAATTCATAAAAGCTTAAAAATATACAGTAGCTGCTGCTACATTTTTTCTTGATTCTTTAGGGAAAAAAGTTAATTACACATTTACATGGCAAAGCCATATGTTTGATAGCTGACTTTTGGCATCAAAAGAAATCCCTTTGATACCAATAATTGCTTTGTGGAGGCTGGAGAAAAATCTACTCAGAAGACTGACAAAAGAAATCAATAATAAACTCTACATGACGAAAGAATTTTTCTCCAATTTTACTTTGCCAAAAGCATCTTTAGCTAAGGAATTGTTGCAAAGCTTCTCTTTTTGCTAGGTGATCAATATATTTTTATAAAAATGCTGCTTATTTCAGGTTTTCTTTAAATATGAAATCTAAATCAAATATATTCTGCCTAATTTTGACTCACTTATGCTTAAAAGTTACTAGTGATCAGGATTTTCATGATATAACTTTTCATGGTTAAATGCAAAAATTGACACAACCAAAAAATGCTAACAAAAAGTCTGCTACTTACGTTGTTTCAAATTAATATTATTTAACACCAGGACAAGGTCTTCATGAGAGCAAGCATATTTGTTTATGGATGGCTATAATCTAAGACCTAACATATACGTGGCATATTTCAAGAACATAAACACTTGCAGAATTATTTGGAGGGGTAGCAAGAATACTGTTAATAAAAGTTAACTTTTGATTGGAATACAATAAGCATTTATTATCTCTCTAATACTGATGTCACTTTGCCGTTCATTAAATCAAACTAAAAAGACTTCTTAATGTATATTTTTATCAATGTGAAATTATAATTTATTATTAAAATATTTAAAAATCATTCAGACATTCAAACATCAGTATTTAAATATTCAAATTTGTATGATGGATTTTGAATAACTGATTAATTTTTGTTTACCTATTCAAGTATTTATTTTAGTCAGATTAACCTTGATCATCTGTGAGGTAGTTAAACTGAAATAATGTAATACTCATCTGAGAGTTAGCAGTCAGAGGATGAGGAAAAAAGTAAACGTGGAATATTTATGGGTAAAAATAAGGTGCCAATGGAAACATATAGCATCATTTTTTATGAGCAGGCAAAGTCATAGAAAAAGAAAATTAAACTAAAACTGCTTTAACAAGAGTAACAAAGACAGCTTACCTTTACCTTATTTTAAACAGTGAACCATAATCAAGACCTGACAAGGCAAGTGCCATTACTGAGGAGATACCAAATTCCTGGAAAGGGAAGGCACAGCAGTTCAAAACAGGAGCATATAGGAAAACAGCCACCAGTGTAAGGGTGCTGCATTGATACTCAAGCAAATTCTTGATTTCTAGTTATCAGTCTGTTTTAATTATTTTGATCCAAAGTTTTCCTATCAATTCAAGGGAGAGATGTTTTGCTTTTTTTTTTTTTTTCCTTTGAGATGGAGTCTTGCTCTATTGCCCAGGCTAGAGTGCAGTGGCGAGATATCGGCTCACTGCAACCTCTGCTTCCTGGGTTCAAGCAATTCTCCTGCCTCAGCCTCCTGAGTAGCTGGGACTACAGGCGTCCGCCACACACCCAGCTAATTTTTCTTTCTTGTATTTTTAGTAGAGATGGGGTTTCACCGTGTTGGCCAGGGTGGTCTCAATCTTCTGACCTCGTGATCCACCTGCCTCGGCCTCCCAAAGTGCTGGGATTACAGGCGTGAGCCATGGCACTCAGCCGGGAGAAACGTTTTTCTTGGAAAGCTAGGATGCTGTGGCCTGTGAAGAAAACAAAGATAACACCTGATGTCTTCTACATTGTCCAGAAAAAATGAAGGATGCAACAACTGTAGCTGAGATGAGTACCTTCTAAAAATAGAGAATTATTAAGGAATTATAAACATGTTATGTTTATACACTGTTTTCTGTTAAGCCTCTTTATTTTAATATAATCTGCTGACAGTTACTTTTGTTATTGTAGCTATTCCAAGAATAAGTGTCAAACTGACACTATATTTTAAAAGTAATTACTTGGAGAAAAGTGTAAAAATAAAACTATACAGATATTATACTAAGTAATTATCATTTTATAATTTAAGTAATACTAGTTATGTTACGTGATATTATCTAAATATTGCCTAAAGAATTGTAGCATACTAAATATTTATGTTATCTCTATACACACACACACACATAAACTTAGTTTATGTATAAACTAAATAGATATATGTTTTGTTTATAATAAAAATTTTTCAAGTTTCTGGCTTGAAAATCAGGCTGTGTATATTGTAGACATAGTTTATATCTTTAGTTGAATTCATGCTTCTTCATAAGTATTTTAACTTTGTGAAATAATTTTAAAAATTCAGTGAGAGGGACATATTTTGGTATAAATATCAAAATTTGCTCATCTCAATCCATCCAACATTCTTTATTGAATTTGCCCATTGTTTAAAAATATAGACCTCTAGTTAAACTTGTCTTTATTTCCATCTTATCTTCAAATCTCCAGCGTAGGCAGCACTGAAGAGAAGATATCAACACAATTTTGGAAGATGGAAATAGATGAGAGAAATGGATGATGTAGCAGTGCAGAATAATTTGTAATTTAAATACTTCGAGAGACATTCAGAAGAGAAGGGAGCCAATTCTCCCTTCAGAGGCCGGAAAAATTTTAGCAATCAGAGGCTAGACTCTGAGGTTTCCCTGTAATATAAGCTAGAGAAATGTGCAAGATTCAAACCTAGGTTAAAATTATGTGCATCAGATTGCTTTGTATTATCTGGTTTGTAGTACAGGTATTTCAATTTTGGCTTATACATTTTCCTACTCCCACGGTACAGAAGCCATATACTTTAGATATTCTTCATTGTGTAGACATAACATTGACTGATTAAATGAAACATTTAAAATGGCATAGTTGAAACATGTTCATTTCTTGTTCCTCGTGAGACTGTACTAATAAAAAAATGCATGAATAAAGGAAATACTGTGCTGTGAACTGAATATCTGTGTCCTCCTAAATTTATGTATTGAAGCCTTGATCTCTAATGTGATAGTATTTGAAGGTAGAGCCTTTGGGAGGTAATTAGGTCATGAGGGTGGAGCCCTTGTGAATGGCATTAGTGTCCTTACAAGAAGAGGTGTGCAAAAGATGCTTTCTCTCGCTCCACCATGTGAAGACAGAGAGAGAAGGTGGCCACCTACAGGCTGGAAGGAGAGGCTTCACTTGAACCCCACTATGTTGAAACTCTGACCTTAAATGTACAGCCTCCAGATGAATGAGAAATAAATGTTTGTTATTTAAGCCAGTGAGTCTATGGCATTTATTATAGTAGCCCGAGCTCACTAAAAGAGGTTCCAACATAAGAATAAGCATTGAGGCCGAGCGTGGTGGCTCATGCCTGTAATCCCAGCAATTTGGGATGCTAAGGCAGGCAGATCACCTGAGGTCGGGAGTTGGAGACCAGCCTGACCAACATGGAGAAACCCTGTCTTTACTAAATATACAAAATTAGCCAGGCGTGATGGTGCATGCCTATAATCCCTGCCATTCAGGAGGCTGAGGCAGGAGAATCTCTTGAACCCTGGGGGCAGAGGTTGCGGTGAGCCAAGACAGCGCCATTGCACTCCAGCCTGGGCAACAAGCGCAAAACTCTATCTAAATAAAAAAAAAATATATAAAAAAAAGAAAGAAAGCATTCAAAGTTTCTTTTTGTTACTTTTAAAACATTTTTTCAAAAGTTTTGTAATTATGCAATGTTGGAAGCTTTTCAATGCCTTTACTGTTCCAAACCAACTTTCAGAAAACCAACTTAGATCTGATGAATGTTCGTTTTAACATTGTCTTTGAAATCTCCTCAGGAAAAAGTTATAAAATCAATTAAAGAAAAAATAAGAATCCACCAGGCTTATAGTAGCAATCATTAAACCAGCTTGCCTTTTGATCTACTTCCCTGTTGCTTATTGTTTACTACCCCAGGATCACGTGGCACTTGTCACAAAACTCTTTGTTTTTGTTTGTTTGTTTGTTTGTTTTTTGTTTTTTGGTTCTATAAGTAAAATCTAAGACAGTGTGGGACAATAAACCCTCTGTTTGAGCTTCTTCTGTAGGTTCTGGATACTGACAGACAGCAGCTGGTCTAATGGGCCCAGTAAAAATCTAACTCATAGATGCAGTTACCACATTCTGACAATTTCTTCCCCCTACCTGACCAATTTATGACCCCAAATTTTCCAGCCCCTCACCCTTCACAAATCCCATTAAAAACCCTTCCCCAGAACCCCTCAATGAAATGGATTTGAGGCTTGAGAATTCCTCCCATTTCCTCGCTGGGCACCTTGTGATCATTAATCGCTTTCTCTGCTGCAACCCTGCTCACAGTTTATTGCTATGCAGTGGGCATACGAACCTGGAAGTCCTGTAGTAATACTCTCTACTCTCCATAGATAGAAACACTGGAAAAATTCTAGGGATATTTTGGCACTACTTACAATTTTGTCCATCTTCCACAGAATATTTGTATTCAAGGGCTCCAGACAAGCTGAACACTAGCTGGAGAATATTCAATGGACATTACACATTCCATTTTGTTGTATTCTGATAAAAAAAAAACCTGGAATCTAAACAGCGATTTTATTATTTGTCCTAGAAAATTAAAACAAAAGGTTCTTATTGTAAAGAGAAATTAAGTAGTATAAAAGGAGAAAATATACCTTAACAGTTATATTTAAAGAATACTTTATTAGAGCACATCCCCAGTGCTGATGGTTGAAGGCACAATGTCTTGTCTTGCTTAGTTTTGGGAGTGTTCTAAAACAGCACTAAAACAGCCTCTTAACCTATATTCAGAGTCATTTCCATATATAAGCATAAAACATTGTGTCTGCCTTAACAATACAAAGAAATATATAAAGCTGCCAGCATAATCGAGTCTCCAGCAGGAAAACAATAAAAGAAGTACTCAAGTACACATAAAAAATGAGAAACAAGGAATCTATTATTAAAAATAATTGCTTGAGAGAAATCATAATTTTCTTGTAAAGGTCTCACTATACCAACATGGTTCTGTTATCTAATTAACATTCTAAATATATAGGTAGAATATATCAAGTTGGTTATTATCAGTGTTATTAACAGATTTTATCAATTTAGTATTTATTAAATACTATCCTTTGAAGCATTTCTATTTGTCAAGGAATTTCAGCATTTCTGTGTATTGTTTTGCTGTATTTTAAAACACACTTAAATGTTTTTAATGCAAATTATTTTTTTCATAAAAGATGATATGCAATCTTGAAATTGTTTTACCTTTGAGACAATATTTTTTCTCCCATTTGGGATTTCAAAATAGGAAGGCAGAAAGGAGAGTTGAAGGCAGAAAGGAGAGTTTCAGGCAGAAATTAAAGAAAGGAAGAAGTACAAAAAAGAAAAATAAAGAATAAAAAACCCTGAACTGTCAACATTTACTATTGCTTGCATCTATGAATTTAAACAACATGACTAAATTGAGTTAATTTCTACATAATTCCTGTAATTCCTGCTTATTCTCATGTCTCAGGAATTTCAACTAAAACTGTTGTAATAGGGACACATTATTTTATTTGGTTTTTTAATTTTTTGAGCTAATAAAATCTTTCTCCTTTTTTATTCCATTTGTTAACTTTCTTCTGAATAAATAAATTTTGATACTTTTTTAAATACTGTACGCAAACTCCAAAACTTGCTTGTGTGTGAAGGAATGCAATAATATCCTTTAACAATAATTTATTTTATTTTGGTTAGTACTTTGTAATTTCATCATAGTAAAGTCAATAATCCCAGATTAAAACTTTCTGCATATGATCACCTCTGCTTTGTTCGCCAATGCAAAATACTAAAAATGTGAAGTCTTTTATTCCATATCTAATATTTTCTAATTTAATTCAACATTTAATATGAGTTTTAATCTAGTCTTATCACAGAATTATTTGTGACAATGGTCAAGTAATTAAATGTACTCTACTATTCCTTTTGCTTATTGCTGTAACTAGCAACACAAGTATTATTTTTCACATAACACCAGTAACGAAAACTGACATTCTAATATTCTTTAACTTTTACCCTTAATATTTGGTGGACAAATTTTTTTTCTATTGAATCAAGTCTTCTTCAATACACTGTATTGTTTTCCTTTTTTGTTTGCTTGTTTTTGGTTTTGAGACAGAGTCTTGCTCTGTCGCCCATGCTGGAGTGCAGTAGCACAATCTTGGCTCACTGCAACCTCTGCCTCCTGGGTTCAAGAGACTATCCTGCCTCAGCCTCTCCAGTAGCTGGGATTACAGGCACGTGCTATCACGCCAGGCTAATTTTTTGTGTTTTTAGTAGAGGTGGGGTTTCACCATGTAGAACAGTCTGGTCTTGAACTCCGGACCTTAGGTGATCTGTCTGCCTTGGCATCCCAAAGTGCTGGGACTACAAGCATGAGCCACCACACCTGGCCTGTTTTCCTTTTTGAAAATATTAGTTGATATGTATTAAATCATCTATATTTTAGTAATTCTGTATTTCTGAAAATGAGTCCACTCATCTTTGAAAACTACCAATTTTTTTGTTTCCATGAATGCTAAGACTACCAGTTCTAATATAAGTGCTGAATATGTAGGTAATTTTTTCTATAAAGCAATTTTGATGCTAATAGAGGATAAAGAGACTTTCTAAGTGATTTTAACAGAACTCATATTGTTAAAGAACACTAAGTATTTTCACAGTTATCAAGTGGTGTTGACAAATTTTATTCATAAGTTTTCTCAAAATTGATGTAAAAAGTTGCCACACTTGAGAATTCTACCACTGAACCACCAAAGCAGCAGTCATAGTTGCCACATTTGAAAGTTATATAGTGTATAGTGTGTAGTTATTCTAAGCAAAGATTGAACAAACATTGGCAAAAGTAACTATATACATAATATTATAATTGGCTAAAGAATTATCTAGTTAGATATAAAGAAAAAGAAAATAATAGCTTATAAAACCTATTTAGCCTTTTGTTTGAATTTGGTGAAAATGTTGAAAGCATAATAATGTCTTGCCTTACCTAGCTTTTGGAGTGTTCTAAGAATAAAAGAAAGAGTGTCTGTGAAGAGACATTGACCTATGTAAGACCAAAAAATGGGGTAATTTGCATTTGTTTTGGGTGGTTCTCCTAAAGCAGAACTTGAGTTGGGTAATTGGATGCTAGTGTTTTATTGAATGAATGTTCCCTAGAGAACAGGTAAAAGAGTGAGAGAAGCAGGATACAGAAGGCAAAGGAGCCATGCAAAAATGTATTTTGAGGTAAAGTCTAGCTGAGTTCATGGAGAAATCTGGAATGCAATTTGAACTGTTGATTTGGTTCACAAATGTGACAGGGAAGTGGGCCATATATATCTCCACTCTAGTGAGTTAGTGCCTGCATAGTTTTGCTACCAGTTTTGCTACCAGCATAAGTGCCAGGACCAGAGGGCTAGGCAGCTTTGATCACCAGAGGATATCTCTCTGTATTAGTCTGTTTTTATGCTGCTGATAAAGACACACCCGAGACTGGGAGGAAAAAGAGGTTTAATTGGACTTACAGTTCCACATGGCTGGGGAGGCATCAGAATCATGGCAGGAGGTGAAAGACACTTTTTACAGGGAGGTAGCAAGAGAAAAATGAGGAAGAAGCAAAAGCAGAAACCCCCGATAGATCCATGAGATCTCATAACACTTACTCACTATCATAAGAATAGCATGAGAAAGACTGTCCCCCATGATTCAATTACCTCCCCCTGGGTCCCTCCCACAATACATGGGAATTCTGGGAGATAAATTCAAGTAGACATTTGGGTAGGGACACAGCCAAACCATATCATTCCACCCCTGGCCCCTACAAATCTCATGTCCTCACATTTTACAACCAATCATGCATTCCCAACAGTCTCCCAAAGTCTTAACTCATTTCAGCATTAACCTCCAAGTCCACAGTCCAAAGTCTCATCTGAGACAAGGCAAATGCTTTCATGTATAAGACTGTAAAATCAAAAGCAAGTTAGTTACTTCATATATACAATGGGGGTACAGGCATTGTGTAAATACAGCCATTTCAAATCGGAGAAATTGGCCAAAACAAAGGGGCTACAGGCCCCACTGAAGTCCAAAATCCAGCAGGGCTGTCAAATCTTAAAGCTCCAAAATGATCTCCTTTGACTCCATGTCTGAAATCCAGGTCATGCTGATGCAAGAGGTGGGTTCCCATGGTCTTGGGCAGCTCCACCTCTGTGGCTTTGCAGGGTACAGCCACCTTCTGGCTGCTTTCACAGGCTGGTGTTGAGTGTCTGTGGCTTTTCCAGGTGCACAGTGCAAGTTGTAGGTAGATCTACCATTCTGGGGTCTGGAGGATGGTGGCCTTCTTCTCACAACTCCAGTGGGTGGTGCCCAGTAGGACTCTGTGTGGGAGCTTCAACCCCACATTTCCCTTCTGCACAGCCCTAGCAGAGATTCTGCATGTGAGGTCTGCTCCTGAAGCGAACTTCTGTCTGGGCATTCAGGCATTTCTATACATCTTGTGAATACTAGGCAGAGGTTCCCAAACCCAAATTCTTGGCTCTGTGCACCTGCAGGCTCAACACCATATGGAAGCTGCCAAGGATGAGGCTTGCACCCTCGAAGCCACAGCTCAAGCTCTATGTTGGCTCCTTTCAGCCATGGCTGGAGCAGCTAGGATGCAGGGCACCAAATCCATAGACTGCACACAGCATGGGGACCCTGGGCCCTGCCAATGAAACCATTTTTTCCTCCTAGACCTCTGGGTCTGTGATGGGAGAGCCTGCCTCAAAGGTCTCTAACATGCCCTATAGACATTTCCTTATTGTCTTGGGGATTAACATTTGGCTCCTTGTTACGTATGTAAATATCTGCAGCTGGCTTGAATTTCTCCCCAGAAAATGGGTTTTTGTTTTCTACTGTATAGTCAGGCTTCAGATTTTCCAAACTTCTATGCTCTGATTCCCTGTAAAACTAAATGCCTTTAACAGCACCCAAGTGACATCTTGAATGCTTTGCTGCTTAGAAATTTCTCCCCCCAGATACCCTAAATCATCTCCCTCAAGTTCAAAGTTCCACAAGTCTCTAAATGCTGCCTGTCTCTTTGCTAAAACGTAACAAGGGTCACCTTTTCTCCAGTTCCCAACAAGTTCCTTGTCTCCATCAGAGACCACCTCAGCCAGGATTTTATTGTCATATCATTATCATCATTTTGGACAACGCCATTCAACAAGTCTTTAGGAAGTTCCAAACTTTCCCACATTTTCATGTCTTCTTCTGAGTCCTCCAAACTGTTCCAACCTCTGCTTGTTACCCAGTTCCAAAGCCGCTTCCACATTTTCAGGTACCTTTTTAGCAATGCCCCACTCTACTGGTACCAATTTACTATATTAGTCCATTTTCACACTGTTGATAAAAACAGACCTGAGACTAAGAAGAAAAAGGTTTAATTGGACTTATAGTTCCACATGGCTGGGAAGGCCTCAGAATCATGGCAGGAGGTGAAAGGCACTTACATGGTGGTGGCAAGAGAAAATGAGGAGGAAGCAAAAGCAGAAACCCCTGATAAACCCATCAGATCTCATGAGACATATTCACTATCATGCGAATAGCACAGGAAAGACCAGCACACATGATTCAATTACTCCTCCTGAGCCCCTCCCACAACACGTGGGAATTCTGGGAGATACAATTGAGATTTGGATGGGGTCACAGCCAAACCATATCACTCCCTAAAGGTTTACACAATGTCTAATACTTAGACATTAGTCTAAGTATCTAACTGCACCAACAACCACAAAAGAATGGGGACACCAACCTATACTGTGATCTGGGGTGGGGTGCTGTATTAGTTTCCTTTCTGTTTTGTAGCAAAGTAGTGAAATTTCATTGACTTAAAATGATACACATTAATTATTTTACTATTCTGTAGGAAAGAAGTCCAAATGCGGGTTTCAGCGAACCATATTCAAGGCATTGGGAGTCCTTGTGTTTTCCAGTTTTTAGAAGCATTCCATGACTTGCAGCTACCTCCTCCATTTCACCACTAACAGAGTAGTATATTCCAATCTTTTTTCAGTGATTATATTGAGTCCACTTGGGTAATCCAATATGATCTTTCATCTCAAAATACTTAAACAAATAATGCATTCCTTTTATCATGTAAAATAACATAGTCACAGATACCAGGGATTAGGATATGAACCTCTTTGGGAGTCATTATTCTGGCTATCACAGGCACCAAGAGACTCTAGCTATAACAGTTTGTCAATAACAAGTATAGTAGTCATACTGAGATTTACTCTTCAGAGGGTTGAAAAAAAATTTCAAAAATTAAACAGATTAATGTGTATAAAATAAAAGGCAAGATAAACCCTCTTGTTCTCTTGTAGGATTGTTTCTTTCTTGACTGCATGACCGTGTCATGAAGCTAAGCAGCCTGCATTGTCTGGAACTGGGTAGTATTGATTCATGCATTCTATATTTAGTGAAGAGGCAGTATTGATTTGCTTATTTTGTTTCTGAGCATAGGAGTTAGCAGATAATAAAAAATATATTGAGCTATATCTGTTTCATTTCCAGATATGTTGGCAGATGACTAAAGAGAGGCAAATTGGAAGGGAAAGGCAATCCTTTTATTTATGTTTTGGAAGCATATATGTACATATAATATTCTTTCTGAATTATCTTAATTCTAGGTTACAAGCATCAGTTCCCAGCAAATAAAACTTCACGAAAGTTTGTTTGAAAACAAAGACAGAGTAGTAAAACACCTATATTTATTTATTTATTTATTTATTTATTTATTTTGCTTGGTCATCCCCAGAGGATGCAGTTGTTTTTATTTATTTATTTATTAAATTTTATTTTATTATTATTATACTTTAAGTTTTAGGGTACATGTGCACAATAACATCTATATTTAAATTGCAAAGTGTCTTAAATAATTGCAGCAGCAGGAGTAACAAAGCAATGCAAGGAATTTAGGAATTGTCATTCTGAAAATTTAAAATGATAGTGTTGACTTCAGATAGACATGGCTGCGTATTGGTGCTAAAATTACACTACCAGATTTCAGGCTTGTTTTCTCCTTTTCCTCATTCGGTACCTGGATTGAATTTCCATTCAGATTCTCTTCTAACAGTTACAATTTAATTGAAACAATAGAGGCTTCATTCTATCTTCCAATCATTCCAAGCATAACACCAAAATGATCCAACTACCCAAATATTTTAAAGTAAAATATTGGGAAATGGTCACTGTGGTGGTCCAAATAATGGATGTCCAAGATGTCCATATTCTAGTTCCTGAAATTTGTGACTGTTACTTTGTAGGGAAAAGTCTTTACAAGTGTGATTAAGTTAAGGATCTTGGGATGGAGAGATTATCCTAGATTATTGTATAGGCTCCAAATGCAAACATAAACATTCTTATAAGAGGGAGGGTTGAGAGAGCTATAATACAGAAGAAATGAAAGTAATGAGGTCTTGAAGGCAGAGGTTAGAGTGATAATTTCAGAAGCCACCAAATACAGACAGCTACAAAAAAAAACTGTAAGAGGCAAAGAACAAATTCTCCGCTTAAAGGAGAAAGTGTAGCCCAGCAGACACCTTGATTTCAGCTGATTTTGGACTTCTGGCCTCTAGAACTGTGAGATAATAAATTTCTGTTATTCTAAGTGACGAAGTTTGTTTTAGTTTTTTTTTGCAGCAGTTAAGAGAAACTAATATAGTCACATTAGCTAGGCTATGAACATATCTGTGAACTAGTAAATGTGACTCAAAGGTAACTTGCATTAATTGGTCTGGCATGGATTATGTATGCACAGCTTGAGCAGAGTTACGGGGTGGAGTTAAGTCCCATGGACTGAATATGAGAGCAGGATGGCTTCCAAAAGAAATAGGGAGCTGCTTTCAGAAGTTGGGTTAGTGGAAACTGGGCATTTATAAACAGCACAATTCATAAACAGAATATACTACCATATCCACCTGTCATCCAGTTATCTGCATGACTGTCTAGGGGATTCTGAGTTGTGCTGTGGAGACAAGGCTCTTAGGGAACATAAAACTTAGGAGTGAGTGGAGGAAAATAAACATGCATCTTTTCTTCCCCTCTCCCTTTCTCCCGCTCCTCTTCCCTCGACCCTCCCTTTCTTTTTTTCTTTCTTCTTTCTTACTAAGAGATATGCTGGTTTACATAGGGAAGATTTAAGATTAATCTGAAGCAGAAAAAAATAGACATAAAGTAGAAGTCAACTAATGCATTCAAAACCAGCACTTCATCTTGATGTTTTGATTCTTATTTTTATGAAAAATACTTTTAACCCTGTAGTTAATCCTAATTACTTTCCGAACTATAGTAATGCAATTCTTCTGGATTATTCTCTGGGATGTAAAAATATGCCTAAAATGGACATTCTTTTCATTTAACTGGACCTAGTTTTTTGTTTTAAAAATAAGGAACACGTTAAATTTATGGGCTCTATATTTTAGAGTGAGTTATCTTCCTTTTTTTTTGCCTTCTACATCTGAATAAACTCTCACCAACTTTGATCACTTCTTCAACCATAGTGATGTATTTACTTTTTGTTACCGTTAAACCAGTGATGATAAGGATTCCATCCCTTCATTTACTATTGCTCTGATTTTCTAACTAATCTTTCTGACTTCACATGTATTCTTCCATACCCAACCAGGGAGATACTTAGAAATTAATTTTGAATTACATCCTGAATAAAAATTTTCTTGCAGAAATAAAATAGCTCTCCATGAACTATAAGATTAAATTCAGGATGCATAGCTGCGCATTCAAGACACACTAGATCTGGATCAACCTAATCTGTGAAATAGCTATTAAAATCCTTCTCATACTTTGAATTGCTGTTACACTGAAATGTTTCACGTTTTTTATGCCTGCCTTTCATGGATCCTACATTGTATATTTTATGTGCGCTTAACTTACCTTTTAAAGCAGTGTCTCCCAGAGTGTGGACTGAAGTTCATCTGCAGCAGAATCTTCTGCAATGCTCTTAGCAAATTCAGATTTCTGCTTTATAACCTGGAACTACTTATATGAAATCCTGATTCATGTCAAGCTTCGCTATTGATTCTTTTATATATTCAAGTTAAGATTCTGTTTCTGAAGTTGACTTACAGTCCATTTTCTTCTCAAAGCCTTTTTCAGTCATCAAAACACAATGTAATATGTATTTTTCCACTTTTAATTCTGTATTTGAAATGTAAAAGAATAGTCTTATGTACTACGTATATTTTAATGAGTGGATAGTTTTTATTTTTCAACATTTAAGGACTGAGTAGTTAATTGTTCATTTAAGATTCTGACTTAACTAAAGAAAAGTCCTTGACTATAAGTCAAACTTTCTAAAATGACAGAAATATGTTTTTTTAATAGTCTGTTATATATTCTAGAACGCATATTAAAAAAATCATAATTCCAACTCAAATTCAATCATAGAAAATACAGAACACAGCTTGACTATTTTCTTGAGCACAGTATACTCTACATCTACATCTGATACACTCCTTACAAATTAACTGAAAAGTGGATACTATCAAAAATTTCCATTCTATCAATTAAGGTCTTTAAGAAGCCTTTAGTTATAAATTACTTATAATTGTCCAATGCGAGTCATGGACAAAGTTACCTAGTGGTTCTGTTTGGATTTATTTATGCCTAGATAAACCTCATGGGTTTTATCCCTATGAGACGTTGCTTTGCCCGAGTCATTCTGTGTTGAGCCAGTTTAACAGGGTGGCTAGCAAGGGAGATGCAGAGGGCATTAATTTAAAAGGGACACTAAAATATTATTGTAAACACATTGGATTTATGATGCCAGTTAACTGTGGTTTTCACATAGAAACTTCTGTACAAATTGTTGAATATACATTGTTCAAATTCCTGCAGATTCAGACAGCACATCAAAAAGAAAGATGATTTCACAGGTGGTGGAAGATCTCAGGTTATTTTTTTTTTGACAGAATGACTGAAAACATAGGTTGTGCTAATGAAGATGAGAATAGTTGCTAATAAGTAGTCATCCGAAGTTAAAATTTAGTTTAAAACCAAATAATATATAAATACATAGTGTTAGTTAATTGAATTTACTTATTTTGATTATTTATTAAAGCTTTGACAAATTTTAAATATGTTAAAATATGTTTTCCACATAGCTACCTGCTGAAAAAATGACATATTAAATATTATGGTAAATATTTATTTAAAATGTAAATATGTCTTTTGTATTTAGCAAAATACACATTTCCTTCCACTATCAGTAGCTATTATATAACTTGAATCGGGAGCCCTAAATATGTGTTTATAGTCTTCGGAATTATTATTATATTTAAATGTGCCATTTGTTGTTACATTAAATTGCTTTCAGCAATGCGGGGATTTTTTTTTAACCTTGTGCCTGTATTCCTTTTGAGTCCTAAATCCTCCCTCACTGTCAAGATATTAGTTATTTTTTGCATCTTCACTGTGACTCTAGCATCCAGATGAAATAGATCATTTAAAATTAAATACCATATACCCAGCCTCTTGAAGGTGCTTGTTTATAATCTGATGTGCCCTGGGATTCCAGATAACAAGTTCGATGAATAATCATATAAAAATTACAGACATATTCAACTAAAGGAAACATTGAGGGGGATTCTTTTTACAAGTCGCACAATTTCAAATACTTAGCTATTAGTATCTATTTTACATCTTCAGAAGATTCCTTGCATAGAACTTACTTGTAATTTCTTTGTCATTTTAAAGATAGTTGTGTATGTATGTGGTTTAATTTGGCATTGGACAAATTATTCCTAACTGTATTATGCTGACTAGCAATATATATGTTTAATATTAGTGCTGAATACATTGTTGGATGAATGAATGAACAAATTATTCTATTATTTATTTTTATAGATACTCAATATTGTGTATAAATAAGAAAATATGAATATCAACATTTAATAGATGACCCAAAACACAAGAAGGTCAATGGATTTTAAAGGACACATCATCAATAACTGACATACACTTTCAAGTACTCTGTACAGCAGTTTCTAAATCTACAAAGAGACTATGGGTAGCCTTAATAAATACAAACAAAAAAATAATTGTTTTAGGAAGAAAATATATGGAGGATAATAATAGAAAGTGTAGGCAATTTTTATAAGACATTGAACTTTAAAATACCTGTCAGAAAGAGTACAACCTTCAAAATTCATGATATATAGATACAGTATTAAACCTGTTTATAAGGTTCTAAAATGAAAGATAATAGGTCAGCCTAATGTGTAGATATTTATCTTTTCCTATTTAATAGTGATTTCTGCTTACAATTTATTTTCAAAGTACTTTGGAAAATATTATAATATTTTACGGTATTTTCAATGCATGAGAAGAAAAAAACACCCTTCCCTGAAGTGTGTATGTCAGCTTATAAATCACTCTCTTTGGAATAGCATTTAAATTCTGGGAAGTACCATACACATAAACATAACCGTGAATATAGAGGTACAATAATAATAAATAATAAACATTTTAGCTACAAACTCTTTTTATTCAAAGATATGCATGATGTTACGATTCTGAAATAAAATAACATAATTCAGATAGCTAAGAATTACTGTCATTATAGTAGAATGTAATTTTTCTGTCTACGATTTAAATCACACACATTAGAAAAGAAAATCTACATTGAAGAATGATGTTATTTAATGAAATTGCCTTTTGTGAGGACTTGGTGATGTATTTCTCTTCATTTAATGAAGATGTACACTTAGTTGTAGAAGTCATGGGATTCAAATAGCCTTTTGCTTTTTACCCTTCCTTTTCCTTCTTGTCTAAAATAGAATGTGATGAATGTAATTGTAGCAGTTATTTTGATCCTACGAGAAAAAAAACATGAGAACTTCTAAGATCTTAATCCTGATATTTTTCAACATCCAAATCACTATCATCACTACCCCTAACTGCCTGCCTCGGACTAACTAATTATCTAAATGATTTTGTGTTTAGTCCAGTATAGTTATGACTCCATTATTTGCGATTAAATGTACTACCTAATTAATTACTTTACCTCAGAGGAAAAAAAAGGCTTAACATCTTTATCATTTTCAATTACCAACAACATTATTTTGTAAAAGTCTTCTTTCATCTTAACATAGTAATAATCATTTTAGTAAAGATTGGGATTTCAGAAACAGTATGAAAACTGCTTTGTCTTTTCAGGGAAAGTAAACAAGTTCTCTATTTTTTATCAAATTTTATCAAAAGAATATTATGAGAATAACTCAGAGTAAATATAATGAACTATCATTCACATTGATGGTTTGAGACTCATAAAAGTTCTGGGAGCCAGCATCTAAGCCACTGCTATAACAGATAGCAAAAACTACAATTAATTTCCAAAGGGAAGTAAAGAGAGTTCCACTGGGATTTTATACACTGCAATGAGAACACAGAATTAATGAATGCATCTTTCTTCAAGTTTCACTGCTGGTAAGAATAATAGCCAATGGTACATTGCCTTCCCATTAGAGTTAGAAACCTCCAGAGAGACTATGAAGGCAAAGCGCGATCCACAAAGTTGCTATTTGATAAGGGTCATTGGTAAGTATATCGAGTTTCTTCTCTGCTATTTCAGAGGGAGAATTTACAAAATGTTATGGCTGCTTATTTGCCACTGAAAGAGGCTGAACTGAAGATTTCATTTATGAATATGTTAGAAGCTCATATTGCTGCATGGCAGCTGATAGAATATATTTTAAAATTTAAGGAAGAAAAAGGCCAAGATGCAAACCTAGCTCTGCCCAGGGGAGGACTACCTATTGTGTAGGTTCATTACCTGAGTGAATAACAGGAAACTGCTCAGCTTCTGTGTTAAGGCTGATAAGCCTGCAGGTTTATTTTAAAAGTCCACATGCAGAAGATACGCTACAACTACTTCCAATATTACAAAAAGCACCCTTGAAATGATTAGCTCTGAAGAATGTTTGCACTGTCTACATATTTCAGACAGCATTTTAGGTGCTGAATTGAATTTTACACACACACACACACAGACACACATACACAATCAACATTATCATTATCATCATCATCATCATCCTTCAATCTCAAAAGACTTCTTGTGCAATCCAGTGCAGTAACAGGAAAAAATATGACCTAGTTTAAGATTGTTGATAGCACTTTGGAAGGGAATCAACAGTGACTGCATTAAAAAATATATACTAGGATTCACCTGATGCTGAGTTTGGCATCATTTCATGCTGCTTTAAATCTATAAGTGGCAAGATATCATAGATTGTTTCTGCTATTGATAGACTTTTGATATAGGTAGTTTAGGAAGAAACTTTTAACCAAAGAATCTAGTATTTATTTAGAGTATTGTTACTAATATGCAGCAAAAGAACCAGGTTTTTCTGATTTATTTTATAAATACTAGGTTGGTGCAAAAGTAATTGCTGTTTTTGATATAACTTTTAATGCATCAACCTAAAATATATCAATTATTGGTTATTCCCAACTCCTTCCTTTAAGCTAGGAAATTTTCGTGTGATAACAATTTATCTGATTTAATATAACCACATAAAATAAATCAGATGAATATAAAATGAAGTACTTTTTGTCTTTTTTCTTCAATAGATTTGTTGTTTTATTCTTTAATTATTTGTTATTCACTCAGAAAATAGTAATTGAATTTATATTTGGTTTGGGAAACTGTGAAAAGATGCAAGACATGCCATTGTAAACCCTTGTGAATATAGTTAAAGGAAAGTGAAAATTGATCTCTTCTTTTGCACCATTTAAAATATTTGATCAGCCTTTCTTTTAATCAAATTTAATTCACTAGACTAAAGAATGTGACTGGAATAGGACAGGTTTGTTAAATGAAGGTTGAGGAGCATCTAGAATATTCATACATGTATATTGGTTTTGACAAATCACTTGAAATAATTTACAAATGATAGTGTGTAAGTTAATTTCTACCTTTTTGATGGAGAGGGAGTCCATGGCCTCTAATAATACCCTAATATACCCCGTTCTTCATCCAACTCTATTGTAAAACCCCTGGTATAAAAAAATCTATTATGGAAATTTCTCTGTATGTTACTTTTTTTGTTGCAACAGAACCACCAGTAATGTTATTCAATGGGAATAAGCTAGCTGTGAGAAGACCCCTTTGAAAAATCCATGGAGAATGACATTTAAATAATGTAAGCAAAGCTGCCTTACTTTGGGGCTCCAAGCACTTCATGGACAGCTTCTGAAAAAATCATGCATGTAAAGTGCCCATTACCCAAAGAGACTGACTCCTTTGATTATTAAATCTGTATATTTAATCCTTATACATTTTTAGTTTTAATTGAATAGATATGACTGGAAGGCCTGGTGGTGGCCATCGAGGAATGGAATAAAGGAAGATTATTAAATATATTGGCAACAATAAGACTTTAGAGCTCAAATAAACCACAACTATGTTTATAGACAAATGAAGTCTGGGTGTGAGGATAGTGGTTCAGGAGATTTGTGGTGGTTTGATTGTAAATATCTGATATTTTGTTGTAGGAATTAACAATTAGTTTGAGCATTAGTTCTTAGCCCCAGCCTTAACTATATTTGATTTGTAGAAACTATAAAATTATTTGATAAAAAGTTGTAAAATTATTCCAAGCATTAATGTAAATCTAATGTAATTAGATTGAATTACATTAATATCATGTAATCCAATCTAATGTAATTGGGATACATTAGATGCTAGTTTAAATATAGAAAAATTGGGTAAAATCTTCCCCAAGAACTGTTTTTTTTTTTTTTTTTTTTTTTGAGATGGAGTCTAGCTCTGTCGCCCAGGCTGGATTGCAGTGGGCACTGCCCTCGGCTCACTGTGAGTTCTGCCTCCCGGGTTTGTGCCATTCTCCTGCCTCAGCCTCCCGAGTAGCTGGGACTAGAGGCGCGCACCACCACGCCCGGCTAATTTTTTTTCCGTATTTTTAGTACAGACAGGGTTTCACCATGTTAGCCAGGATGGTCTCGATCTCCTGACCTCGTGATCCGCCTGCCTCAGCCTCCCAAAGTGCTGGGATTACAGGCGTGAGCCACCGTGCCCGGCCAAGAACTGTTATTTTTAGTTTATTTCTGTTACTAAATGCTACTAATACCAACTTGAAAGCATATATTATGTAATGAAGACATGAGAAACAGGATGGATTTAGAAAATAAAAATTACCCTGAACTTGAGACTTGAAGTCTGTAACTTCATCCTTATAATAGGATGCAGGTTGCAGACTGCATTTTTAATTAATCAGCACATATTTAGCTATTTCTAAGCCCAAGGTAGAGTTTTGATTTTATAATGCTTTTAGTTCATAAAAATAAGTTTAAACTCTACTTTAAAGCATTTTATATTTATGTTGCTGTGGTCAGGGTAGCAGTGGGTAGTCATGTTCGTAACATGACTTGTTGAAAAAACACCATTGCTGTATTCCCATTGATTCCCAAAATTTTGAGAGGAGCATTAAATCTTTTGGGTCATCATTATATAGCCTATTGAAGCAGTACTTATTAAATAGTCAGTAAAATACTGCCTGTTTGAAAGTTAACTATCTTTGGAAACTGCATCAGCTGTTATAGGTCACCAGAATAGTGTTAAGTAAGTTACTGCTTCAGTGCACTAAATAGCACTTGCTTGTCTGAAAGAATAGAGGCAGCCTCTAAAGGCCACTGACTTATGATTAGGGATGAGAATACACAGAGCAAAATCACTTCAACTAGGAAACATACACCTCAGAACTACAACTTGATGAACAGGGCTTTTGAGCCTTTAGACATTAAATAAATAGATAATTAGCTTTCTTATTTACATGGAAACTTTATAATACGACGATTTTGAGACACAAACTGTTCTTTTTTATGGCTTTCATCTTCTGTTAAAAATGCCAGTTGTTTTCAGTAGCTTTACCATTAATAGCCTTCACAAAATGTTGCCATTTGTTTTAATAAAAGAAAAGAATTATTAAATTACTGATACTATACAGCAAGCTTTGAATTAACTAAAATTAAGGTCTAAAATGGAGTTTTTAGTGGTATTTCATTTTTATGAGTTTGCCTCTTTCCAACTGGGTTGTATTAAATTAATTCTTCTCTGTACCTATATAATATTTCTAAATAGTGATTTTAAAAACAACATATATAGTAGGAAGAAAAGTGCCTCTTAGAAACACTCATTTAGTGAACTATTTTTGCAAGCTTGTCCAACCTTCGGCCCACGGGCCACATGAATCTCAGGATGGCTTTGAATGTGGCCCAACACAAATTCGTAAACTTTCTTAAAACATTATGAAAATTTTTTGTGATATTTTTAGCCCATAAGCTATTGTTGTTGTTAGCGTATTTTATGTGTGGCCCAAGATAGTTCTTCTTCCAGTGTGGCCCAGGGAAGCCAAAAGATTGGACACCCCTGTTTTAGAGTTAACCTATAGATGAGGATGTGTTTCTTCAGCATTAGTGCAATTGTGCGATAAGTAAATAGGATGAAACTGCCTAAAAATATGGGTGTTGGAAGAAGAAGTTCCATGTACTGTTGAGGACCATAGCTCCCTAGTCATATATTTCAAAGGAGGCTACCTGACTAGCTAGGCATAATTCAAAACTAGTGGCTTCCTTGGTCTAAGTTTGCTTACTCAAAATAGAACATGCATTACAATAATATGATGACAACACAGTTAGCATTTAATTAAAAGTTTCTACCTGGTAGAATTTTTCAATTGTTTTATGACCATTAACATTTCCAATATTTATTTTGATGTAGTCTTTATTATAAACCCCATTATATGAATGAGGACCACAAAACACAGAGAAAGGAAGTCATTTCTCAAGATCACATTGTTGGTAAGTGGTAGAGTCCAGAATCATGCTCTTTTACCAATAGGATATTTTGCCTTGCTTGTTACATGCTTAGACTGTTTATGCATAAAGTATAAAAATACATCCATAAACAGATATGCATCTGCAAAGGTACAGAATGACATACAAAAAAATCGTCAAAATCATATTAATAGGGCGTCATTATCCTTTGTACAGATGAAAACAGAGTTGAGAACCAGAAAGATTGAAGAACAAGAGGTTTTTTTAAATTTTTTAAGAAAGCAGAAGTTTAATTACTTTCCCATAGATGTCCCGAAGCCAGCAGCCCACTGGGCTGCTATGATAGCTCCAAGACGGCATTTCATGGCTTATTACAACTGATGAAAGAAGGCAAACAACGTTTTTCTCCAAATAACTCAGGTTATTCTCTATTTTTTTTTTTTTTTTTGAGAAGGAGTTTCACTCTTTTTGCCCAGGCTGGAGTACAATGGTGCGATCTCAGCTCACCACAACCTCCGCCTCCCGGGTTCAAGAGATTCTCCTGCCTCAGCCTCCCGAGTAGCTGAGATCACAAGCATGTGCCACTATGCCCGGCTAATTTTGTATATGTAGTGGAGACAGAGTTTCTCCATGTTGGTCAGGCTGGTCTCGAACTCACGACCTCAGGTGATCTGCCTGCCTCGGCCTCCCAAAGTGCTAGGATTACTGGTGTGAGCCACCGTGCCTGGTCGTATGCTCTATTTTTTAAAGATTTTTTACCCCAAATCAGATGTTAAACATGGGTAGCACTGACAAAGAATGTGTGTCTTTTGGACCACAAGGAGATATCCTGTTGACACAGTGGGCTGCCACTTATATCTCCTTGACCTGAACTTGGTCATCGCCACATTGAAATGCAGGTGAGTAAAATATATAGAAGCTAAAAAATCAGGGCTCTGTTATTAAACTAGTAAGGGAAATGAATATTTGGAGGTAGTTACCAACCTCTGTCACAGCATGATGAGGACAGAAAAACCAGACACTGCAAGTTCATTCTCCAATATGGCTGCCACCCATCACAATGTCTATTTGGCATTTTAAATGTGGTGTTCCACTGATTTAATAATTTCATAATGTACACATGTATCAAAATGTCACATTGTACTCCATAAATACATACAAGAACTATCCATCAATTAAAAAAATTAAAAGATGTGGCTGGTTCAAACTGAGATGTGCTGTAAGTATAAAATACGTATAGCATTTCAAAGACAATGTGAAAAAAGAATGTAAAATATCTTAGTCTTTACATTGATTAAATATTAAAATGATACTATTTGGGATATACTGGGATAAATAAAATATGTCATTGAAATTAATTTCACCTGTTTCCTTTTACCTTTTTAATATGGCTACTATAAATATTAATGTTATGCATGTGCCTTGCCTTATACTTGTTTTTTCATTATACTTTGGCAAATTATACTTGTATATATTTATAGAGTATAAATTGACATGATGATTTCTAATACAATGTGCAATGACAAAATCAAGCTAATTAACCCATCCATCACCTCAAAGATTTGAGTTTTTTGTGATAAAAACTTTTTAGATTTATTCTTTTAGCAATATTTAGATATATGGTAATCAATTATTAGCTATATTCACCATACGGTGCAATAGATCACACACACTCACAAAATCAAACTTATTCCTCCTGCCTAACTGAGGCTTTGTACCCTTTGACTATTATCTCCCATTTCCCCTATGCCCCAGCCTCTGGTAATCACCATTCTACTCTCTGCTTCTATAAGTTTAATTGGTTTTAGATTTCAAGTATGAGTGGAAATATGCAGTATTTGCCTTTCTTTGTTTAACTTACTTCACATAGTGTAATGTTCTCCAATTCTATGTTATCACAGCTGACATTTATTTTCTATTTTTTTAAAGACTAAACAGCATTCTACTGTGTATATATAGCATATTTTCTCTTCATCCATTCATCTATTGATGGTCACTTTGGTAGATTCTATGACCTGACTACTGTGAATAGTGCTGTAGTGGGTATAGGTGTACACATATTTCTTTGATATAATGATTTCAAATTTGGAGGGTAAATACCCAGAAGTGGCATTTCTGGATCACATGTTAATTTTATTTTTAGTTTTTTGAGAAACCTCCGTATAGTTTTCTATAATGGCTGTACTAATTTATATTCCCACAAAAAGAGTAAAAGGGTTTCCTCTTCTCCACATCCTTGCCAACACTTGTCTTTGGTCTTTTTGATAATAGTCATCTATCAGGTGTGAGGTGATAACACACTGTGGTTTTAAACTACATCATTATAATGATTAGTAATTTTTTCATGTACCATCTGTTAGCAACTTATATCTTCTTTTGAAAAATGTCTCTTCACTCCTTTGCTCATTTCTTAACTGGATTATTTGTTTTGTCTTTATAGAGTTGTTTGAGTTCCTTATATATTTTGAGTATATATCCCTTATCAGATGTATAACATACAAACATTTTTTTTAATCCATAGGGGTTGTTTCTTCACTCTGTTAATTGTTTCCTTTATTGTGGAGAAGGTTTTTATTTTGATATAATTCAATTTGTCTATATTTGCTTTTGCTGCCTTCACTTTTGGGGTCAAACATAAAAACATCATTGCCCAAGATCAAGGTCATGTAGTTTTTCCCCTATATTTTCTTTAAGTAGTTTTACAGTTTCAGGTTTTGTGTTTATGTCTTTAATCCATGTGAGTTTATTTTCTTACGTGATGTGAGATGATGATCCCATTTCATTCTTTTACATGCAGATGTCCAGTTTTTCCAACACCATTTATTGAAGAAATTGTCCTTTGTCCATTGCATATTCTTGGCACCGTTGTTGAAAATCCATTGACCACAGAAACATGAGTTCATTTCTGTAATCTCAATTCTGTTCCATTTGTTTAATGTGTTTATTTGAATCTAGTATCATGCTATTTTAATTATTTTAGCTTTGTAGTATAGTTTGAAATCAGGTAGTGTGATGCCTCCACCTTTATCCTCTTTGTGGAAATGCAGATTTTAGTTTTTCTATATGTGTCATTGAGGATGAGAATTGAAAAGCAACTAGAATAAGTATTGAGCAAGCCAATTCATGGTATCTGCCAAAAGTTGCAATTATTAAAAAAAAAAAACACCTAAAAACGTCATGTCTTATATACCATGGTAATAGAAAATATATTTCATAATTTAGTTGTACAACTTCAAAATAGCTTTTTATGCAATACCACCAAGAGTATATATAAAATGCCCATTGTGTTTGTTCAGTATTGAGTTTGTCTTGTGCATAATGCATTTCAACTTATTTAATACCCCAATCTTAACTGTCCCTAAAATTCAATACATACTTGAGTCTATAAAAGAATAGGTGGCATGAGCTATCTAAAAATTAAATGGGGCAAATAAACAGTTTGAATAGAGGATAGTTAAAGGAATAATAACTCTTATAATACATCTGATAATCAATATCAGTGTAAAAATATATGAAGTATATAAACTTATACACTAAGGACATAAGGAGGAATAATCCAAATCAAATTCCATATTTAGCAAAATAAAGAATTAGTGTTGTAGCAGGCTTTGGCTTCAAATAACCCAATGGGATAAGAAATAATGGTCATTCTCAGCAAGGATCCAAACTTCATTTTATTAAAATACAAATACATTTATCATTATGAAAAATCTTCTGGTTAATTTCAAATTCTAAATCATTACGAAGTGAAATTAAATGCAATAAATTTCTGAATACAAAATGTTGCTTTCTAATAAATTATTTTAGCTTTATTTAATTTGCTATTATAGTATTAATTAGTATCAGAGTTATAAAACTGCAGCATTAGCCCTGGGCTTTTTGCCATTACAAGTGCTGTTTTCTAAAATAAATCTAGCTAAAAATAATTATTTTTACAGTGTGGGAGCTATTATTCTATCTTATGAATTAGAATTGGGAGATGATATTTCAAGAACTGTTTGTGCCACAATATTAGTAGTAACCCACTTATGGAAACTCACAGAATTACAAGTACAAAAATGAATAAATATTCCTTATATACACAAAGAGGTGACTTTGCATCATCTTTCCTATTAAAATTATATTTAACCTTAGGAACATCACATATTGACATTCTTGCTGGTACTCCAAATGGGCTATAACTAGTTCTCCTGGTCCTGGAGAACAATTTTAGTTTCCATAATAGAGACTAGTTCTTCAAATCACTTATTTCTTACCACTCCTTGTGGTTCTAGAATTTGTCTTTTCTGTTCAAACTTTGTTAATTTTAGAGGCACTCGGTTTCTGTAATGCACATGTGTCTCTTCAACATCTTACTGCTTTTTACTTTTTCTACTTACCTTTTCCTAGTTACCAAGTGTGTTCCTTTTCTTCATTTCAAAGGCAGGAAAAATTTACATCGAGGAAAGAGCAGTCTCTTCCATCAGTAGTGCTGGGGACCCTGGATAGCTACATGTAGAAGAATGAAACTAGACTCCTATTTCTCACCATATACAAAAATTAGTTCTAAATAAATTAAAAACTTAAATATGATACCTGAAACTATGAAACTACTAGAATAAAATATAGGGAAAATGCTTCATGAAACTGGACTAGGTGAGGATGTTTTGAAGAAGACGTCAAAAGCGCAGGGATCAAAAGCAAAAATAGAAAAAATGGAATTATGTCAAACTAAAAGACTTCTACACAGCAAAAGAAACAAGCAATAAGATAAAGAGACAACCTAAAAATGGGAAAATATGTACAAAGTATCCACCTGACAAAGAGTTAATATCCAGGATGTATAAGAAACCCAAACAACTCAGCAAAAAAACAAATATTCTGATTAAAGAATGGACAAAATACCTGACCAGACTTTTCTCCAAATTAGACTAACAAATGGCCAAGTGATATATGGGCAAATGCTCAGCATCACCAGTCATCAGAGAAACGCAAATTAAAACTAAAATGAGATATTACTTAACCCCAGCTAGAATGGCTGTAATCGAAAATGAAAAAAAAAAAAAGAAAAAAAAAAAAGAAAACACAAAACAAACAAACAAAAATTCTGGCAAGGATGTACAGAAAAGGAAACTTTTATATACTGTTGATGGGAATGTAAATTAGTACAGTCTCAATTGAGAACACTATGGAGGTTCCTCAAAAAACTAAAAATAGAACGACCATATGATCTAGCAACACCACCGTTGGGTATATACCCAAAAGAAAGAAAATTGGTATACTGAAGAGATAGTTATACTCCAGTGTTTATTGCAGGACTATTCACAATAGCCAAAATACAGAATGTTAACTCCCCTAATTTGATTATTCTACTCTATATACATGCGTTAAAACCTCACATTGTACTCCACAAGTATGTACAATTATATGTTAATTATAAATTTTAAAAATATTTTTAAAAAATTTAATTTATAATAGATAATTCTTATAAATTAGAATTATTAATATATTATACATGGTATATACAGAAAAGAGAAAGGTTAATTTTAAATAAAATTAAAATACTGTGAATGTCACTAAACTCTAATAGTATTTCTGTTGTGGATTTCTTTGGGAGTTTCAAAGAAAACTTTATTTCTCACTAGTTAAAAATTATCTTGCACAATATCATAAACAACATACCACATCAACATATTCTATTCTCTGCTTTTATTGCTAGGTTACACTAATATTCCTATAATTTTAATTGTGAAATCAGCTGTTTTTTAAGCCAACAGAAAGAAAACACACAAAAAGAAATAACAAATGTACTTCTGTAACACATTCAGCATTTAGAATGTTGTCTATACTATCTCCTTTAGTTTCAAATCATTTGTATGAAATCTATTTTAAAAATAAAGTTTTATATAGTATTGCATCCATGTCTGGTTTTTGTAGACATTGTAAGCATTAACAAAAAGTTATCTGTTTGACAGAACATGTATACAATATAGAGATCCACTTCTCAGACTGAAGTCATCATTGGTTTTGGAAGTAGATTTTTGTCTATGGGGTTTCTAAATATAAAAATGTATTTTTATCCAGTTATAATTTTAGTGTATGTAATGCTTTCATTGAACCATATCGTAATAGCTATAAACTAATAGAACAACCAAAATTTCAAAATGCTCATGGCAGCATGAAACTTAAGATACTCTCCCGCTGATATATAATGGAAGTACTCTTTTATCATTTAAAATATGCGAATCCATTATATAATTGTATGGTTATTAAAGGAAAATTGAATAAAACAGATCTCCGTTATTAGGAGCTGTCAGGAAACAAGCAACTGTGAAACTGCATCAACTTTGATATCACATGCACAAACAATCTGGCTGCTTTCCCAAAGTTTACTAATGCTTGTTTTGTTAATAGTATATATATATATATATACTATTATATATTCAGTATATATATATTCAGTATATATATATATTCATTATATATATACTGAATATATAATAGTATATAAATAGTATATATATATTCAGAAATATATATATATTTCTGAAAATTTAGTCAGGAAACATAATAATAATATTATGCTTTGATTTGTTTCCTTTCAATAATGGGAAATACTTATTTCAATATATGTGGCAGATATTTTAATTTAACTAAATTGTATATATCACTCATATAAAGATTCCTTGCAAAAGTGCTTTTTGGTTAAAGGATAAATCAACTGTCTTTGTTTTTTAAGACAGTAGAAAAATGTCTTTCTTATAATAAACAGCTCTGATGTACAACAGGTCACTTCTTCCCAGTCCCTAACAAAGAATAATTCAAAAGTTAACATTTCTACTAATTGAACTTTGACATATCATCAGCCATTTTAGTGAGTAAAATGCTCTTATGGAATGTATTACTATTAAATTTTATAACTCTTAATTACAGAACACCATGCATCTCAAGCAATATTATAATAGTTATTTTTGGCTTCCAGAAGACTTCTGACTTTGCAATTGTGTTGAAGAGAAAAATAAAATTGATGTGCTTTGTTGCAAATTAAACTGTGTCTCCCCAACATACATATTGAAGTCCTAACCTCCAGTATTTGTAATGGTGACCTTATTTGGAAAGTAGGGTCTTTGAAGATGTAATCAAGTGAAGATAAGGTCATACATGATTAGGGCGAGCCCTAATCCAATATCACTTGTTTATAAGAAGAATGATATGTGACGAAGAAGGCAGAGATTGGAGTGATGAGTCCACAAGCAAAGGACAGACAAGTTATTGCTGGAAAACACCAGGGGACAAGAAAAGTCATTCGGTGTTCCGCAGTGAGCAAGTCTATGCAAACCTCTCCTCAAAGGCTAATGGAGCTGAAAGGCTGAAGAAAGAGGCTGCCAAATCCAATTTCTCAGAAAGAAACATTAATAGGGACTTACCAACAGAAGCTATGTCTCAGGTGGCCATGAGATGGTGAATCCTCACACCAGCTCTCCAGCAAGTTTTCTTTATATAGCAAGTTTTTGATAAAACCTGTGCAGCTGATCACACATCACACTTTTTTTTTTTTTTTTTTTAACAAAACTTGTAACCGCTGGGCAGGGTAGATAAACCTCTTTATGAGGGGTTATCTATGCTATGGGAATTGTTTCTCTATGAGAGGATATTTATGCTACAGGCATTGTCTCTTGACCTGGCTGCAGGACTGCCTTGGTACAGATGAGTCAAACATCCCTCTTTATGAATGTATCCTTCAAGATGATGTTGCTCTTGCTGTGCGACAGTCTGTTTTCCTATACTGGGAACCATTCTTGGCATCTTATGATTTCTTATAGAGTTTGCAGTTATGACAGCCCTAGTCACTGGATCATGTTAAGGTACTTTCCCTTTCCGTGTAGCATATTGAAAACTTCTTAATGTTTGTATTTCCTTTCATTGTGTTCCTGGAATCCTACTGCTCAGTAGTGAGAGTCAAGACGCTCTTGGAAAAATAAGTTTCTTGGGTTTCTACTGTCTCTCTAGAATTGCTTAGTCCTGGAACACCTTGCCTGTAGGGAAAAATTAGCCTTAGTGCCTGCAGTCCCTCTCACTGGACGATCAATCTAAGCAGACTGCCGAGATGAAGCTGTTGTGGATGTTTGTGCAGCCTGGACCCCTGTAAACCTGGATAGGAATAATATGTGTGCTGTATGATCATTAGAACACTGTCTGCAACATTTGATTGTGCAGGTCTTGGGTAACATATATTTTTCTATGTTGTATTTTCTTCTGCAGTAGTGAGATATTCCTCAAATATGTCATTTCCATCTGCTATTTTCCTATTTCTTTGAGGAAGATGTAGCTGAGTTTTGAATAGTTTATTCTACTCCTTAAGTTGGTTTACTTCCTCGTCTAAGTAAGGTGGCATATAATTTATTATCTAACCTAGTTTTGTGAGTGATAGGGACAGCAGGTAAAAACCATGACTGTCCTTGGCTATCCAGAAATTTAGTCACACTGCATATAAGGCCAGCATCATTTGCTGGAATGGAAATCCTTTCTTCATTTTAATAGCTCTCTAGCTGAGTTATACTGTTTTTCTAATTTATTTTTCCAAATTATATAATTGGAATCCTTTATATGTGAGAATACACACACACACAGTCAATATTTCAATAGCTACTAAACTTTGTCATTAAAAAAATTATTGCCCCTCTTCATCTTCCTCATTGAGGATAATCTTAACAGAATGTATTTTCCAAATGGCCCCATGTCTAATCTAAGGCTCGTACGACAGTCCTTTGCCTGTTTGTTCGCAGATTCTGTACACACCCCAACCTGCCTCACTTCCTCTTCTTTTCACTCTTTGTTAAGTGGGATGACTTCCTCATTCTACAAATACCAGATAGTCTTGTGCACTGTTTGGCAGGAAACAGGAAAAGAGTCCAAAGGGTTTTCCTTCCTCTCTCTAAAGTCTCAAATAATGCTATGTAGCCCTCTTTGATGCTCCAAATTTCTGTACTTTCTTCATGACCCTTACCTTCAGATACAGCCAGATGACCCCTTCTTCACAGCATTAGTATCTCCTGTCTCATTACCCTGCAGAGCAGCAGTTGGTACTGGAGCTATTAATTGGGCTCTGCCCATCCAACCCTAAAATGCATAACAGCTTCCTATTGTATTTGCCTCATCTTTAAAAAAATTTCTTGACACCAAACTTGAAATTAGTTTCTTATTTTAAATTTCCTTCATCTGTCCAATGTGCTGTTTTTCTGAATATATTCTAATAAATCAGAATTCAATCTAGTATTAAACTAACTGGACCTTTTTAATAATTCTCATTCTGGTATACATAAGTCTAAAGTGACTCTCAGGATTCCTGTCCCCAAGTGTACATGCCCTGTATAATCACCTCTCTTTAAATGTGGATGAGATTTGTGTATATAATCCAATATCACATCTATGATTAGCTTATGTTAAGTGGCAAAAGGCATTTTGCAGATGTAATTAAGCTCCCTAGTCAGTTGACGACTGAGTTGAAGAAAGATCCAAGTAGCACGTAGTGAACTGCTTGTGGAGAACGACAGAATCTAACATCAGATAGCCTTAGTACAACCACAGGCATTGCATTGTGCCAACACCTGACTAATATTAGAAAAAGACTCAGATAAGAACTCCAGTCTGCATGACACATTCATTGCAGCCTCAGGAGACCCAAACAAATGATTCAACTGCAATGAACTTTGATCCAGACTGACTGAAACTGTGGTGTAATATATGGGTGTTATTTTAGGCCATTAAGATTGTAGTAATATGTGATACATGAATAGGAAATTAATTTACTCTTCTTTATTTTTATCTCTTCTTACAGCCTTACATATATTAATCTAGTATGATATTTCACCTAAAGTATCTACCTAATTTATGACTACACCTAGCAATTACATATTTTACATTGATTTTTAAAAGTTTTCCCCTTATAAGCCTTTGCAAATTTGGTAAAAACATCCTGGGGGTGTGTGAGGTTTTCCCTCATTGCTTTATTCTGGACTCTACCTAAAATGTATCATTTCCTAATTCATTGTCTCCTCTGGAGGAGTCATTCTAATCTGCTCTCAAAATCTGGATTCTTATCCTGTCTTTGATTCTACTGCATCCAGTCACCATTTCTGGTATACTGAAAATATTTTTCTCTTTTGGAATGCTGACTTTAAGATCAAGCACTTGGGAGCACTCCCTTTTTTCTTTTATTAGTATGTATCCTGATTTAGACATCTTTTTCATTATAATCACTGTCAGGTTTATTGATTAAAATGCTTGTTTTTATTGTGTTCTATTTTCATCATTCTATTTTTTCTTTTCTGATAGTAAGACTAACTAAACAAGTCATTTCAATTCTCACTTGATTTAATTACCTTGACAATCTTGATTCTCAAAATCAGGCTCTTCCAGGTCCAAATTAGCTTTCTTGCTTGCTTTCTTGGTTTTTCCCTTCTTAGCATTGTTTACAATAATTTCACTGAATTATTTCATAACTTAAACCAAACGACAGATTATCTTTATTATAAGAACATCTACCCATATGTGTTGCTTTGTTATAAAATCTATCATTTTACCATTTCTATCTCTGAAATCTGAAGCCATGTTCAAAGCTCCTGAATGTATCAAACCTTGTAATGACAAAGTGGCTCTCAAGAGGCTATGTCCAAACCATAAAATTATGAAAGAGAAGTGCCTACTTTTGTTCTTCAGTGCAATTAATAGAATTTGAAGCAGCAAATTGAAAATAATGAATTTAGCATACATAGCACTTAGTTAACTCTGCAGTTTGAAATCTTGGCACAGCTGAAAACACAATGAAAACAACATGTTTTGTTCCTTTCATCAGTCAGAAGTCATTTCAAAACTTTTTTAAGACTCAAGATTAATGATCTTTTCCTTAACATTAACCTGCAAACAACAGTCCAAGTGGTGAATCTATTCTCCAGATCAAGACACAAAACCCACACATTAAGATCTCACTTGTTTCTGTAACTATCAGGTAGCCTATATTTTAAGGCCCTCAACTACTGTCATGCATGGCTTAATGACGGGGCGTAAGTTCTGAAAAATGGGTCCTTAGGTGATTTTGTCATTTTGCAAATATGATGTGGTGTACTTACACAAATATAGATGGTATAGTCTACTATACACTTAAGCTATATGGCATAGTTTATTGCTCCTAGGCTGCAAACCTGTCCAGTGTGTTAGTGTACTGAATATTGTAGGTAATTGTAACAAAATGGTAAGTACCTGTATTAGTCCATTTACCTGCGGCTCTAAAGACATACCCGAGACTGGGTAATTTATAAAGAAGAGAAGGTTAATTCACTCAAAGTTCCACATGGTTGGGGAAGCCTCAGGAAAATTACAATCATGGGAAAAGGGAAGAGGCACATCTTACATGGCAGCAGGCAAGAGTTATGAAATGAGCAAAGGGGGAAGAGTCACTTATAAAAGCATTAGATCTTGTGGGAACTCACTTACTATCATGAGAAGAGCATGGGGGAAACACCCCCATTATCTAATCATCTCTCTTCAGGTTTCTCCCTGTACACCTGGGGATTATGGCAACTACAATTTGGATGAGATTTGGGTGGGGACACAGAGCCAAACCATATCAGTACCTATGTAGCTAAACATATCCAAACATTTCAAAAGTGCAGTTAACATACAATATAAAACATGATTCACCTTTATAAGACACATACCATAAATGGAGCTCACAGGACTGGAAGTTGCGCTGGGTGAATCAGTGAGTGAGTGGTGAGTGAATGTAAAGGCCTAGGACATTCCTGTACACTACTGCAGGCTTTATAAACATCGCACACTTAGGACACACTAAATTTATAAAGAATGTTTTTCTTTCTTTAATGGTAAATTAACATTAGCTTAGTGTAACTTTTTAACTTTACAAAGCCTAATTTTTTAAAAACCCTTTTGACTCTTGTAATAACACAACTTAAAACAGAAACACATTGTACATCTATATCAAAATATTTTCTTCTATCCTGATTCTATGAGCTTTTTTTCTATTTTTAGAATATTCTTTTTTTTTTACTTTTTATTAATATATATTTTTGTTAAAATCTAAGACACAAGCACACACATTAGCCTAGGTCTACACAGGATTGGAATCCTCAGTGTAACTTTTCTCCAACTCCATATTTTGTTTCACTAGAAGGTCTTCAGGAGCAATAATACACGTGGAGGTATAATCTCCTATGATAAAAAATGCCTCCTTCTGGAATACCTCCTAAAGGACCTGCATGAGGCTGTTTTATAATTAACTTATTTTTTAAAAGTAGAAAAAGTACATTCTAAAATAACAAAAAAATATATAGTAAATACATAAGCCAGTAACAGTGTCATTTATTATTAAGTATTATATGCTACACATAATTATATGTGCTGGACTTTTATATGACTGGCATATAAAACTTACTAAGTTTGTTTACACCAGCATCACCAGCATCACCACAAACATGTAAATAATGTGTTGTGCTACAACATTACAAGGCCTGTGACATCGCTAAGCCATAGGAATTTTTCAGCTCCATTATAATCTTATGAGACTACTGTTGTATATGCAGTCCATCACTGGCCAAAATGTCATTATGTGGCACATGACTGTATTCAAAAACCATTCAACATCTGTAACTACTACCTGTAGTTATCTGTCAAACAGACGTGGTGAGTGTGAGTATCCTTGCCTTGTTCCAGATCTTAGGGAAAGAGCCTTCACGTTTTCAATGTAGAGTGTGATGTTAGCTGTGGACTTGTCATAGGTGGCCTATACTTTTTGAGGAATATTCCTCTTATACTTAATTTGTTGAAGATTTTAATCATAAAAGTATATTTAATTGAAAAATGCTTTAATGGCAAAGCAAGTTAATTGATTTGCATATGTTGAATTAACTTTGCATTCCAAGATAAATCCCACTTGTTCATGGTGAACAAGTCTATTAATGTACTGTCGAATGCAGTTTGCTAGTATTTTCTTGAGGATTTTTCATCTGTGTTTATTAGTAATATTGGATTTTATTTTCCTATTCTTGCAGTGTCTTTGTCTGGCTTCAGTATCAGAGTGTTGCTGACCTCATCAAATGCATTTAAAAATGTTACCTCTTCTTCAATTTGTTTGGAAGAGTTTGAGAAGGAGTGGTATGAGTTTTTGTTAAAATATTGGATAGAATTCAGCCATGAAGCCTTCTGGTCCTGGGCTTTTCTTTGATGAAAATGTTTTTGGTACTGATTTAATCTCTTTACTTGTTATTTGTCTGTTCAGATTTCCAATTTCTTTGAGATTCAGTCTAGGTAGGCTGTATGTTTATAGGAATTTATCCATTATTTTTAGGTTGTCCAATTTCCTGGCATGTAATTGGTTGTGGTAGTTTCTTATGATCCTTTGTATTTCTGTAGTGGCAATATCTTCTCTTTCTTTTTTTATTTTATTTATTGGAGTCTTCATTTTTCTTAAGTAGCCTAGCCAAGGGTTTGTCAATTTTGTTTAGCTTTTCAAAATCCAACTCATTTTCATTTATCTTTTCTATTTTTTTCTAGTCTCTATTTCATTTATTTCTGCTCTGATTTTTATTTCCTCTGTCTGTTAACTTTGAGCTTAATTTGTTCTTTTTCTCTAGTTTCTTGAGCTACAATGTTAACTTGTTTGCAATCTTTCTTCTTTTTGATGTAGGTGTTCTTTGCTCTAAACTTTCCTTTAAGAAATAATTTTGCTGAATCTTGTTTTTATATGTTTTGTTTCCACTTTTGTTTCCCTAAAATATTTTTAAATTTCCTCTTTGACCCAGTAGTTGTTCAGAAACAAATTGTTTAATTTCCACATATGTGTTAATTTTCCATGGTTTCTTGTGTTATTAATTTCTAATTTCATACAATTGTGGTTTAAAAAGGTACTTGATGTGATTTCAGTCTTCTTAAATTTGTTAAGTCTTGTTTGGAGCCTAACATGATCTATCCCAGAGAAGGTTTTCTGTGTACTAGAGAAGAATATGTATCCTGTTGCTGTTGGGTGGAATATTCTATATATGACTGTTACATCTATTTGGTCTAAAGTGTAGTTCAAGTCCAAGTTTTCTGTCCTCATTTTCTGTCTAGATGATCCGGGCAATGTTAAAAATGGGATAATAAAATTTCCTATTATGATTTTCTTGCAGTCTACATCTCTCTTTGAATCTCTTAATGTTACTTGTAATATTTATGTTCTGTGATGTTGAGTACATGCATATTTTAAATTGTTATATTTTCATGAAGAAATGACTCCTTTACTATATAATAACCTTCATTATCTCTTTTTAAAGTTTTTGACCTAAAGGCTATTTGTCCAAAATGAGCATAGCCCCAAGACTGCTGAGATTACAGGCACAAACCACTGCAGTTGGCCCTGCAATTTTTAATTTAATAATTTTAGGCCATGGTTGATGACAGGTAACTCAAACCACAGAGAGAGAAACCACTGATTGGCATGGGGAGGCAGGAGACTTATGTAGTATTTTTTGGTGGCCAGTTTTTCTCTTTCAGGATTTTGAATGTATCATCTCACTCTTTTCTGGCCTGCAGGATTTTTGCTGAGAAATTTGCTGATAGTCTTATGGGTTTTTAAAATATGTGACAATTTGCTTTTTCTTTGTTGCTTTCAATATTTTTGTCTTTAAATTTTGACAACTTGAGTTGTCAGTGTGTTTTTGTATGAATCTCTTTGGATTTATTTTATTTGGTGTCCTTTGGGCTTCCTGATTCTGACTTTCTATTTTCTTCCCTAGTCTTGGATAATTGTCTGCTATTATTTCTTAGAATATGTGTTCAATCTTTTTCTCTCTTCCTTCTGGCATGTGAATAATGCATAAGGTTTTCCACTTGATGTTGTCCATAAGTCTCCTCAGCTATCTTCTCTTCCTTTATTTTTTTTTTATTTTTTCCTCCTCAAATTTTTTTCTAATGTCTTTGAGTTCACTAATCTTTTTTTTCTTGCTTGATGTAGTCTGCTCTCAAACCACTCTATTCAGTTTTTAGTTCGTTTATAGTATTCTTCAGATCTGTGATTTCTGTTTGATACTTTAAAATACTTTGTATCTCTTTGTTAACATGCTCAGTTTGTTTTTGCATTGCTTTTTTGACCTTGGCGAACAACTTTATAAACATCATCTTGAATTCCCTGTTGGGTAAAATCACATCTTCATTTTACTCAGTTGAATTACTGGAGATAGATTTTGTGTTTTTATTTGGAATATATTTCCCAATTTCTTCATTTTTCTTGACCGTGTTGGTGTGCATTAGTTAAGACAACTACCTCTCCTAGTCTTGTCAGACTGGACTCATGAAGTAGAAAGATTTCACTAATCTGTCCAGTTAGAGACTTTAATGAGTATCTCAACTCTTTGTTTGTTCAGACTACTGTCTTTGTTTAAGGTGATCTCCTAGAGTTTAGGATGTACCATGTTTGTAAGGATACTGAAACAAATAAGGTACAAGCCAGACTCTCTAGATAAATCTGGAAATGTTGGGATGTTAGATGTGTATTCCAGTTCCTTCTATCTTGATGAAGATAACTTTTTTCATCAAGATGGAAAAAATTTTAGTGAACTCAAAGACATTAGAAAAAAGTCCAATTTGAGAAGGAAGATAGTGAAGCTGACTGAAGATGCTTATTTCCCATTCTTTCTGCACTAAGCTGGGGAGAGGATCTTTGGAAAATGCCTGGTACTCACTTTCAGGATGCTCTGATCATGTGGGGATGGCTGCTGGAAGAGGGCTCATTGTATATCCAAATCTTTGTTTTTTTGTGGCCTAGGGCCACTCGGAAATGCAAACCTCTATTGACCCCAGAGCTAAGTCATGAAGGAGATAATTCCTTGGGTGGGAACTATAGACATTGTAGTATTGGATGCGTGGCCACACTCCTTCTAGGAAGAATGGGTAGGTCTGGTTTTATCACTTGGGCAAGCCAGAGAGAATGCTTGTGCAGTGCCAAGCTCTGGCTGTGGGTGCTGAATGACTCTTGTTTGTTTGCCCTGTTAGCTCCCTGAAGCAAGTTTCTTAGAAGCCAAGATAACAAGTAGCCACTGGAAGTATGTGCCATAATCCCCTTCCCCAGAGGAAATCAGAGCTACATGTTTCCACCCCTTTTCTGCAATACCACAAGGGATTGTAGTCGTTGGAAGTGTTCTCACACACCCATTTAAAACCATCTGTTTTGTCATCTTGGGATACTTGCATGTGTCTAGGCCCTTCCGTCCACAGCTAAGAGGTTTAGGATGGAGTTCTTTGATGGGTAGCTATAAAAGTTGGTGCATAAACTCCTTTTGGGGATAAACTGGGTGCTGCATTTTTAAATCCCCTTTCTGCACTGCTAGTAGGGTATGAAGCCCCTGAAAGCACTTGGGCACCTATAGAAAACTACTGCTTTTTTCCTGTGGTCTATAGACACTCATGTGTGTCTAATTCCCTCTGCTGACGAATTAAGCGATAAACGGTGGGGGATCTTAGTGTGAATTCCAATTCCTCCTCTCAACAGGGAAAAGCTGGATGTTGGGAATTACTTACCCTATTTTATGGTGCAGTGCCCAGGGCAAGCTCTGTGCCTGAGTGTGCCTCAGCTTTTCTTCCCTGTCATATGTGGATATTTTCCCGGTTGTCCATTGGTTAAAATCTCTCAGCTAGACTCTGACTCTCTCTCAGAGGCGATTGATCCATGAATGCATATTTATTTGGTGCTTTAGTGGATGGAGGGAGAGTCAGGGGCTTCCTATTTCCCCACGTTGCTGATGTCACCTCTGAAAGTATTATGTTTTAAGGTTTTTTCATCATAGGTAAAGCAGTGAAATATTATTTGAAAGTAAATTTTGTTAAAGATGTCAATTTCATATTCTAGATCTAGCTGTCACCTTAAATGAAGAAAAGTGAAGGACTAATAAGCCACTAGTGGAGATAAAATGAGCATCATTAAAATATAGGAATATTAATACACATACACAAAAAGAAAATTTTTTAAAAAATACAAGAAACAATAAAAATCAAATAGGAAGATATGATATTGAAACCAAATAAAATTTTAATTGCATTAAATTAAATAAAAATAAATAAATAAAAATATTAAATACATAAATATAAATAAATAAAATATTAATAAATATATCAATTAAAGTCAAAGCTTATCAAGTTGGATAAAAAGGCAAGATTCAACTATTTGATCATCAAAAGAAGTCCACTTTATATTTTAGGAGACAGGTAAGTTAAAGAGGAAAATAAATACATCATTTCAACAAGTTCCAAGTGAAAAGAAGAGTGGCTATATGAATATCAGACAAAGCAGATTTTAAAATGTGAACTATTACTAGAGATAGAGTTAATTGGTAGTGACAAAACTTTACCAAAAATTTACTAAAACAACAACATAATAAATAATCATATTTTTTTCTGTAAAAAGTCAGGGAGTAAGTATTTTAGGTTTTTTGTTCCATAAAGTCTCTAACTAGTCAGCCTACCATTTTAACCTGAAAGAAGCCATAGATAATACATAAGTAAATGACCATGGCTTTGTTCCAAAATTACTTTATTGACTACATAAGCACAGTCAACAAGCATATGAAAAAATGCTCAACATTATTAATCATTAGAGAAATGCAAATCAAAACCAAATGAGATACCACCTCACACCAGTCAAAATGGCTATTACTAAAGAGCCAAAAAACAACAGGTGCTGGCAAGGCTGCAGCGAAAAGGGAATTCTTATTCACTACTAGTGGGAATGTATACTAGTTTAGCCACCGTGGAAAGCAGTTTGGCAATTTCTCAAAGAACTTAAAATAGAACTACCATTTGGCCCAGCAATCCAATTATTGGTTATATACCCAAAAGACTATAACTTGTTCTACCATAAAAAACAATTATAGTTCATCACAGCACTATTCACAATAGCAATGACATGGAATCAACCTAGACGCCCACCAATGGTAGACTGAATAAAGAAAATGCGGTACATATACACCATGGAATACTATGCAGCCATAAAATAATAAGAACATGTCCTTTGCAACAACATGGATGGAGCTGGAGATCATTACCCTAAACAAAGTAATGCCAGAACAGAAAACAAATACATGTTTTCACTTATAAGTGGGAGCTAAACATTGAGGACACATGGACACAAAGAAGGGAACAATAGACACTGGGGCTTACTTGAGAATGGAGGGTGAGCAGAGAGCGAAGTTAAAAATCTGTCTATTGGGTACTATGCTTATTATAATACCTGGGTGCTAAAATAATCTGTACACCAAACCCTGGTGGCACGTAATTTACCTGTAAAACAAACCTGCACATATACCCCTGAAATCAAAATAAAATAAAACTTTATTTATAAAAATAGTGGTGAGCCATATTTGGCTTAGAGGCCATAGCTTGTTGTTCCCTGTCATAGACCAATCATTAGGCCTATGGATTGGTCAGTTATGTGCCTAGTAATTACAATCAGTGACAGGTGAAAGGTAGAGACATCTGAGAAATAATAATGCCTTGGAACAGTCCCATCAGTTACAATTATCAGCAGGGACATTGCAATTAGAAGAGGGTGTTAATAAGCCACTCAGTAGATAGTCATATCAAAGGAAAAATGTATATTTAAACAGAAAAACAGGAGGTATTTGTATTTGTATAATGGAATTATGTTTTCATAGTGGCCATTATATTTTTCTACAGTTATACAATAATTTGTATGGTATACAAATACCAATACAAAACACAAATATTTACATAAACATAGTATTAGTTAGAATGTCATCATTTGAAATTGGAAATACTAAAACTAAACTCCTCCATATAAAGGAGAGTAGTTAATGAAAATGCCAGATACATCTATTTCATATGCCAGTGTAATCAGTAAAACAATGTATGGTGGATGCCAGTTTGAATGTCTCATATTTCAACCTTATTTTTCATTTCAGGAATATACCAATGTTTCAACTTTAGTGAAAGGCAAGCAATGCTTCTCTCTAAATGACTAAATGTTAGTTGACAGTATTATATAACTCTGTGGATTTCATAATAGGCTTATATTGAAAAGGTATATTATACTCTTTTCCTAACTCAAAGATTAAATTTCAATATGATCTTTATACATTTATTTTCATAACACTTAGCAATAGATTATATAATATATGTAGTCTATAAATATTGCCTTTCATAAAATCTCTCAAAACTGAACATAAAATAAAATCTTCAAGATATTAAAAAACTCAAAATAGTGAATATTCTTACCAGGAGACAGCACTGAGAAAAAACACACAAAAGGAATAATATGAATATGATAAAATAAAGTAGAAATTAAAAATAACTAAAACAGAGGAGATAAATGAGAAGAGATTCAAAACAACAACATGTTGAAAGTTTTCTTTCTTTCTTTTTTTTTAGATGGAATTTGATATTTATTGTGGAAGTTTCACCTCTAAAATTATGTTCTATAAATACAATCTAGAGATGACTTTGTCTAAATTGGCCCCATCTTTATGTTGTTCAAAATGTTATTTTGCATAGTTTATTCCTTTGAATTTTTTAAACAAAGTTTGTTAGATTACAAGTAGATAGTATATGTATTGATTTTTAAAAATCACCTGGATGTTGAAAGGAAGCTCTAAGAGAAGCAATAAATCTATCATTTCCATCATAATAAAGCTTATAAATTTATGTTATGTACTAAAATTGTCTCTTAAATATAAATATCTTCTGGAAAGTAGCAATTTAAACTATTATTTGCCAATAAAATCTTAGTAGTATAACTAACTTATTGGAATTTGAACATTTATTTTTTAGTTTAATTTTTATTTATTTATTTATTTACTTCTGAGACAGTGTCTCACTGTCACCCAGGCTGGAGTGCCGTAGTGCAATCCCTGTTCAGGGCAGCCTTGACCTCCTGAGTTCAAATAATCCTCCCACCTCAGCCTCCCAAGTAGCTGGGACTACAGGTACAGGCCACCACACCTGGCTAATTTTTCTGTAGGGACAGGTTTTGACACATTGACCAGAATGGCCTCGAGCTTCTGGTCTCAAGCAATCTGCCTCTCTTGGCTTCCCAAAGTGCTGGTATTGCAGGCATGAGCCACCCCGCCTGGCCTGAACACATTTTACCAAGTAAGAAAGCTTATAAAGTCCGTGGCCAAAGACTATGAAGAACATCTGGAAAGATCTGATGACAGGGCATTGGGACAAAGTGGGGAAGAGCAGTAGGAGCATCAGCATCATGTTTCTGGTGGTGGTAAATGAGCAGAGGTGCCGTGATTAGAAGATATCAGCAGAAGGGATGTATGAAGTTATCATAAAGTTGATATGTATTTTTAGTAGAGATGGGGTTTCACCATGTTGGTCAGGCTAATCTCAACTCCTGACCTCAAGTGATCCGCCTGCCTCAGCCTCCAAAAGTGTTGGGATTACAGACGTGAGCCACTGAGTGTGGTGGTGGGCACCTGTAATCCCAACTACTCAGGAGGTTGAGGCAGGAGAATCAGTTGAACCTGGGAGGCAGGGGTTGCAATGAGCAGAGATCAGGCCACTGCACTCCAGCCTAGGTGACAATGTTAGACTCTGTCTCAAAAAAAAAGAAAAAAAAGTTCATATATAGATGAAACTGTAAAGAGTAAGTTAAGTATGTCTTCCAATTTACCTAGTGCTAAATAACAATTTAGAAGTTTTTTAAAATAATAAATACATTTAATCATTGGACATTTGTATTTTGGGGTGTGTTTCAGTTCCTCCACTAAGGTAAGGTAAAAGATCACACTTTTCATATTTCTAAATATAGTCAAATATGCTTCAGATAGTTTTGGTTTAGACATTCCAAACGTGGTCATTTTATGTGCACACTAACCCTTAGGGATTTCCTAAGATGAGGACCCACTGAAAAAAATGATGGTGTATTCGTTAAGTGACTGGTCCCGTTGAGGTGGACAAGTCAACTGTCAGCATCTAACTCCTACACAACATGCTTGTTCACTGAGACATTTATTGCATCTCTCAAATGTAGGCCTTAATTGTCAGTTATCAGGTGGCTACCCAGCCACTGAACCTCTTGGATGCTACCTAAGATTGGACCTAGATTTCTGTTCCTCACCAAGCCATCACTCTCTGTTCTCCAAGTATCTTGAAAATCTTATCTCCCTCCAATCATCAGGCCATTCTCACTTCTCCGTATTACACAGAAGCTCCCAGTATTTCTGCTCTTTTTTTTTTTAAATCTCAATTGGTGTGTGACCATCTTGAAATCAAACAAGTATATTTAGACACAAATCAAGATTTCTTGACTAAAAAGAATGCATTTTAGTTTTTCATGTAACATTTTCCCGTTGAAAATTATATTTGTCCATGCCATGGTCTGCTCCCTCCTAGGCGTTCTCATTCTTTGTTGAAGACGAAGTAGCTAGAAAACATTGATCTCTATCCCATTCTCCAGCTTGTCAGTCTTGCTTAATCCAGCTTGTCAGTCTTGCTTAACCCACTAACCTTCCAACACCCACCAGACTCATATCAGCGTTTATTTTCTGTTTATAATGGGACCACCTCAGATCACTTTTCTGACTTGCAATTTAAATATATACATTTGTAAATAAAGCCATCAGCCATTTCTTTTATGTGATTAGCTTGTACTACATTTATAAAATTATAAAAATAATGTTATAATTTCTTAACAGAGTTTGTATAACAATAATGTTATAATTTCTCAACATAGAGTATGTTTTTGATTATAGTGAGTGCAGAGTAAATGCTGTTCAGTAGTAAATGTCAATGGTTAAACGCATTCCTCACATAAATTTCAATAACCACCTTAATTCTTAAAATATACCAGTGAATCACCTTAATGTGAGTTTTTCAGAAAATGAATGTTTTAAGGAAATTATGTACATTTTTTATCTAGTACAGGAAAATTAAAATTTTCATTCAGACCAAGAACTATAATATAAACCTAGAAAGATATAAATGTGGAGAGAACCAGACAATATATGTAACTATATTTAATATTATAAAAAAGTTATAGCAAATAATTTTGAGGTTAAGAAATTCCTACAAAACAACTGCTAAAACAAAATCAAAAGCTGTCGAAACCAATACTGAGTGATTCTGATGTTGAGATATGTCAAATCTTCCCAGTTATATAATCTTCAAAATAGAAACAAACGTACAAAAGTAAAGCAATTCAATTTTTCTCATGTTTATAATTTTACAAACTATAAAATGTGATAATACAAATACATTCAAATTTTTACTAATAATATAACTACTAGCAATCTTATTAAAATGTGTTTTATTTTTGCAAATTATTTCTTACATTATTCAAAATCTCAATTATACTGCCTGTGTTATTTCTATAATTAGAAAATGCTTTAGATTATGTTCTTATATACTACCTACAGCATTCTGAAATTATATTTTTCAAAACTATAAAAATGTGGAGAAAAACCTGACAACTTGTGAAAATATGTTGTCACTTTTCAGAGATGCTTTATAAAATTGCAATACGAGATCGACACCTTCCTGGCTAACACGGTGAAACCCCGTCTCTACTAAAAATACAAAAAATTATCAGGGCGTGGTGGCAGACGCCTGCAGTCCCAGCTGCTGGGGAGGCTGAGGCAGGAGAATGGCATGAACCCAGAAGGCAGAGCTTACAGTGAGCCAAGATCATGCCACAGCACTCCAGCCTGGGCAACAGAGCGAGACTCCGTCTCAAAAATAAATAAATAAATAAAATAAAAAAATAAAATTAAATTAAAATACCTTCTAAGATACAAATATAAAAGTTAGAAATTAGTTAAATGTATCTTTGAGAATGGCGTGACTCTTCCTCATGTTAATATTTACTGATCTCACTGGGATAAAATTAAGTAGAATTTTAATTAATATAACACTCCACAGCAAACCAGAAAGACACTGTAAATTTCAATAGAGTTATAAATGCTGCTATCTCAAGGAACTTTTATTATAAATCAGTATAATGTAAACGGATTATTCATATTATGCAACATTAGGTAGTTTCAACAAAAAACTCAAGTACTGGGGATATTTCTTATTTGAAATTGTTTCTATAGAATAAACTGCCTAACAGCAATTTATGAAATAGAATGCTTATGATTCTCCAAACCATTCAGATACTCTTGGGTTACATAAAGTGTTCAATTAGTTAGTTAGCAAATGTTTATAGTGCTATATGTTTTCATTTTGTTCACCAGAAAAATAGCGGCATTATATTAGAAAAAAACTACTATTTACAGTGTACTGGGAATTTTAATGTTTGTGATTTATGTACTGTTACTACAAAATAATAATAGTGTGAAAGCTTTTGATGTGAGTTTAATGGCTTAGCCTATAATTTATGATGATGATTATTATTATTATTTTTGAGACAAAGTCTAACTCCGTTGCCCAGGCTGAATGCAGTGGCACGATCATAGCTAACTGCAGCCTTGCCCCCCTGGGCTCAAGCAATCCTCTCATCTCAGCCTCCCAAGTAACTGGGACTACAGGCATGTGTCACAATGCCTGGGTAATTTTTTATATTTTTGTAGAGATGAGGTCTTGTTGTGTTGCCCAGGATAGTCTCAAATCCCTGGACTCAAGTGCTCCTTCTGCTTTGGTCTTCCAAAATGCTTGGATTACAGGTGTGCGTTACCATGCCTGACCCAATTTTTAATTCTATCATGATATTTTATCATATATATTCTTAGACAAGGAATACAATTAAACTTATATCCTTATGTATTTAACTTCTTAAAATTACCTGCCTGGCTTTGTAGTTACATGGATTCATACCAACAATTTGTAAGTTAGACCCTTTACATCTCAGTTTACTGTTCTGCAAAATGGGAATAAAAAAAGCCTGCAATCTCCTTTAGCTGCAGTGAGGGATAGATTGAGTTGATGCATGTAAATAACCTGGTGACTGTTTGATATCTCATATTTGGTAAATGATCGCTCACTTCCAGATTTAATTCTTAGGCATTTGTAAGCTTATCAACTGACATTCCTCTGCAGTTTTTCTCAAAGTCAGCCTGTGTCATTTAATATTCTGTGTAATTGTTGTTTCTTTATCTTTTTAAAATTTTCTGGTTTACTGAGCAGCTGTTTCCTTGAAATGGAAGGCTTTTATATTCTACCTGGCTCATGCCCTACACACATTGATGTCCTTCTTATCTTTATATATACACTCTAAAATGTAGGTCCATCTTTTTGCAGAAGACAACTCTTGTTGCTCAAGTTGATTATATATATAAATATATGTAATGTATATATATACATTACAATGTATATATACACATATATACAATGATGTGTGTATATATATATGTGTGTGTATGTGTATATACACACACACATACACACACACCTCTTCGCATGTTTTATAAAAATACATTTTTATTTCATGTTTGGGATCTTTACCTTGTAAAATTACTTATATCTATCCTACTGGGATCCAGGCTTTTGAAGGTAATATACACATTTAATTCATGTTTGTATTATTCTGCCACCATTTTTAAAACTGTTAACATATGTTCTACTCAAATGTTATGGATAGAATTAACTCTATACATACAAAATCAACATAAATGATAAACAATAATTTACATTAATCTACTAAGTGTAGTTTCTGGAAAGATGGCAGGTAGTATCCATCTCTATGGCTTCCATTCTCAATTTTCATCTGAATATTACCCATATCTCCTGTGCTTCATCACTACAGAGGCAAATAGCCAAATAATATCCAAAGCATGTGAAAGTCAGGAGGTCTTAAGAAATGTACTTAGTCTGTTCATATTTTTGTTTTATTTTTTATTTTTATTTATTTATCCATTAAGTGTTAAAACAGACACTTAATGTTGGTACCAAAACAGACATAAAGACCAGTGGGACAGAACAGAGACCTCAGAAATAACACCACACATCTACAACCATCTGATCTTTGACAAACCTGACAAAAACAAGCAATGGGGAAAGGATCTCCTAATGAATAACTGGTGCTGAGAAAACTGGCTAGCCATATGCAGAAAACTGAAACTGGATCTCTTCCTTACACCTTATACCAAAATTAACTCAAGGTGGATTTAAGACTTAAATGTAAAACACAAAACCATAAAAACCTTAGAAGAAAACCAAGTCAATACCATTCAGGATATAGGCATGGGCGAAGACTTCATGATGAAAATGCCAAAAGCAATTGCAACAAAAACCAAAATTGACAAATGGGATCTAAGTAAACTAAAGAGCTTCTGCACAGCAAAAGAAACTATCATCAGTAAACAGGCAACCTACAGAATGGGAGAAAAATTTTGCAATCTACCTATCTGACAAAGGTCTAATACACAGAATTTACAAGGAACTTAAACAAATTTACAAGAAAATAAACAAACAACCCCATCAAAAAGTGGGCAAAGAATATGAACAGATACTTCTCAAAAGAAGACATTTATGCAACCAAGAAATATATTTTTGAAAGCTCAACATCACTGATCATTAGAGAAATGCAAATATTTCTGTACCATGCTTCTGGAATTCTGCACAATGCTTTCTTTTCCTTAATTGTAATAAAGGGTTTTTATTTTTGGTAATTTTCGATGGGCAAGTTTTTTAAGATAACTACATAAGATATAATTAATGCACAGCCATAGCATATTGATATCAACATAATATATTTTAAACAATATATGGCATATATGAATATTTAATGTAAACCTAAATCATATGTATATATCCATCAATATAGACATATAGACCAGTGGGACAGAATAAAGAGCCTAGAAATTAATCCATGTGTATACAATAAAGAAAAACTGACTAGGGTGCCAAGAACACACAAAGGGAAAAGGATAGCTTCTTCAACAAATAGTGTCAGGAAAGCTGGATATTCACATGCAAGAGAATAAAATTGTATCTTTACCTTATACCATACGCAAAAATCAACTCAAAATAGATTAAAGACTTAAACATAAAACCTGAAGTGACAAAACTATTATAGGAAAAAAGCATAGGGGATAAATCTTATTTTGGGTCTTAGCAAAGATTTTTTGGATATAACACCAAAAGTGTAGGCAACAAAAGCAAAAATAGATGTTGACCACATCAAAATAAAAAGCCTGCACAGCAAGGGAAACAATCAACAAAATGAAAAAGCAACCTGTGGAGTGGAATAAATTATTTGCACATATATCTGCTAAGGGATTAATGTCCAAAATATATAAGGAACTCATACAACTTACTAGTAAAATAATAATAATATAACCATTTTAAAATGTACAAAGGATTTCAACTGACATTCTCCAAAGAAAACATAAAAATGGCCAACAGGTATATGAATAGATGAATAGGTGCGCAACATCATTCATTATCGGATAAATGCAAATAAAAACTATAATGAGCAGCTCACACCTACTAAGATTGCTGTTAAGCACGCGTGTGCACACACACACACAGTGAGAGAGAGAGGGAGAGAGAGAGACATAACAAATGTTAGCAAGGATGTGGAGAAATTGGAACCTTGTGTGCTGCTGTTGGGAATACAAAATGGTGCAATAGCTATAGAAAACAGAATGGAGATTGCTTAAAAAATTAGAAATAGAAAGACCATATATGTTTAGTCCTTTCCACTTTTGAGCTTGTGAGTGAAAATGAGGGTCTGCTGATCAGAGAAATTATCCTCTAATCCACAGAATGAGAACTGGAAACTTATTAGATGGTTCTGCACATCTCCAAGCATTTAAAGGATAGCCACCACACAGATGAACATTTACTAAATAAATGAACAAAGGAAAAACTAAAACAAACAAACAAAAGCAGAACAGGCAGCTCTTTATACTCCAACTGCTGGGAGAAACAAAAACTAACGTGAATAAAATATATCGAGAACATATAAACTGATCATTACACATTTCATGCCTGTATCAAAACAAGCAGGCCTGTGCCTCATAAATGTATACAACTATTATATACCCATAATGATTTTTAAAAACATTAAAAAAAACTGGTATGTATATAGACGCACACACAAATCAAATATATGAACATAAAAGACATTCTGTAACAAGCAAAAAATAAATTTATAAGAAAACATTGCATTTATACCACAATAACTCACTAGATTATTTGAAGTATAACAGTATAATATATACATGTAATAACTTATGATGTCAAGTAGAAAAAATGTATCACAGGAAATAGTAAAACAAAAAAATAAAAACAAGAGGTAACTTTAATAATCAATTATGTGTTTCTACATATTTTAAAACATTTATTTACATTTTATTTTTTAAAGCTTTGTTTTTGTTTTTCTTTCTCTTTCATTCATCATTACAGTTGTACTGTACCACATTGTCAATAGAATGTTTTCTTCAAATTATTAAAGTATATAGTATAAAATTCTGTGCAGGATAGTCTTAATGTAATGATTTGAGTTATGAATATCTTGTTAATAGCAGCTGTACTTATTTCAAATTAATATCCTTTTATATTCTTTGATGATTGATTATTATCTGTCTTGTCTGAAATTTAAAGCATTTTTCTCATTATTTTACCCTTTCATATAAAAAGATCAACTTCAAAGATGCTAAATAACTTCTAATATAAAAATCACAAAATCAAATATTAGAACAAGTTTTTATTTTTCACAAGACTATGTTTATATTTTAATAATTAAACCATACTTTTTGGCTGTGAATACTGACTTACTTGAATTAAAAAAAATTTAAACCTATAATGTTGGAAATCTGAACTATGCTTCCCATTTCCTAATTTTAATGCTAGATTTTGATTTTTGGTAACTTTCCATGAGCCAGTTTTAAGGTAATTACATAAATAATCTATACACTTTCATAGCACATGGTTAGCAACATGGTAGGTTTTTAAACAATATATGGCATATATAAGTATTTAATGTTCTGCATATATCATATTTACATATGCTTTAAAATATTTACTTTTACTAATCTAGAAACAGGCATTATTACCAAGAATTAACTTTGATTTAGATAACTCTAAATTATGCTAAATCAAGTAACTCTTTTGGCACAACTAAAAGACCTAGGTTCTTTTAGTTTTACTTTTAAAAAAGTGCTACAACACATATTGATTGAACACCCAATGGGTCAGCTTTTGACATAGTGATGGAATAAAATGTGAAACTGCATTCCACCCACTGAGTTAGATGATAGGGAGGCTCGTTCTATAAGTGATTTAACAAAGTGTTCTTACCTCTGTAGCCAAAATAACGTAAAGACTGGTGGAAGTCTTAAGGGTTCAAAGATCTTTCTGTAAGATCAATGTCAATTTTCAGGACATTTGATGCCACTCTGAGGTTTTATCACACCCAGCACACAGCCAATAAAGCATCCATTTAAAAAATTATTAACAGCAGTTTACTTTATCATTGTCTCAGCCCATTGCTTCCAAATTCCAAATACAAACGGTGTATCTTCACATAATTAATAGTCCATTAAGAAAATTTTACTAAAGAATTATTTTACATGAATTCTGCTTTACCTATAGAATATAGAAATAATTTAAAGCCTCTTTTAGAACCACATTTTTTCTTATAAGCTGGTTAATAAGTCACCATAATTAGATAAGTTTAAGCCATGGGTATAAATCATCTCTGAAAATTTTAGAGATGCTCAGATGTAGTAGAGTGAACATTTTAAACATTATGATTCTTAAATGCAAAGTAAAATTTAATATTATGAAAACATTTATTCCTACTTCTCATAAACTGCTACCATTCTATGTAGTATGTAGTAAGCATGTGGGAGAGTGTTTGTAGGAAGGCAGTGTAGCAACCTAAACTTGCTAATGCAAGCTATTGAACTCTTTTCAAGTTTCAAGCAACTGCTTACAGCTAAACACTTACTCTACATGAAGTTCAACTGTGTCTCATTCTATTGTCTCCTTCCCTTTTAAGATTGTGTCCAGATATCTAGAAAAGCTAGTCATATAATTTTGGAGATGGTATTGGATTTCAGCTTATCTTTGTTATGGAGTGGCTGGTATCAGCAGGAGTATTTAAAAGTAAACGATATACAATAAAAAGCATATTCATTTAATATAATGCAAATAAGATCTTTTATGTACAGAATTAACAGAAATTGATGACTCTTATGCTTTTGTAATGTCACAATATTATTTTATAAGAACTTACAGAATAAGTTGAATGCTTAAAGCTTTGTTTAGCTTGACTTTAGTTAAGTAACAAAGCCAAGCTATTTATTTGAAGTACTATCTGAAGTCATGAAATCATTATATTGCTTTGATATTAAAAAATGTGACTTTTAAAACTTTATATCCAAGTAATTCATCAAATGAAAATAATATATTTTCTTATAATATTCAATAATAAACCAATCGTTATGGTTTTATTCATCTGTATTAATTCTTAAAATCACAAATATTGGTCCATATTATTTTCTCTCTGAAGGTGGCAGTTTGAAAAAATGGTACAAAAATTTTTCACAGTCTTCCCTTGAGAGGTAGAGTCTGTATCCTTTCCTCTTCGTCTGGACAATATTATGAATGTTTTAGGTAATAAAATATGGCAGAATTTATGACAACTGCCACCCAAGGCAAGGTCAGAAAAGACTATGCATCTTCTCCCGGATTCTTGTGGAATGATCACTCTCATAGAAGCCTTCCTCCTGAAACCCAGCCATCATGATGTAAACAAGCCAAATGGAAGTCAACACACTCCAATTTCTGAATTGTGTCAGCCCAGAGAGATATGAGAGCAAATAATCTATCTGGAAATTGAACTCCTCATCCTCATTTTTCCAGCCCCACTCAAACCTTTGGAGTCATCATCAGATATTTCAGTCAATCCCTGTAATTGAGTCTTTCCAGATGAGATCACAAACATTATGCAAAAAAGATAAGTCATCTCTGCTATTTTATGTCTAAACTTTTGATCAACAAAATATTGAGACTAGTAAAACTGCTATTTTATGCTACTAATTTTGAGTAGTTTGTTATGCAACAACAGCAACCAGAAAACTGTATCTTTTAATTTGATTTAAAATCTGTATAATATTATAGGGTATGGAATTATTAAAGCAGCTGTTTTTCCTTTTCATTTAAAAACAACGTTAAAAAGTAGTTTAAATTATTTAAGCCAGTGTATGTAAAATATAATTTTAACATTTAATATAATAAATGCTATGATATTTCATAAGAGAATTTCAAAGGTTTGTGGAAAATGGAATTAAATAATAATAAACTTTATTTTTCAATATATGCTCTGTCAAGTGGAAGACACTTTTATAAGCAATAATACCAGCCATTGATACCAGCCATTTAGTCCATGACTAAAGAACAGAAGGTGCTAGGAATTTAATCATGTCCATACAGTCATTTTTACATCATAAACTGAAGAAAAATGGGTGCCTTTTAAAGACTGTTAAAAACTTTCTAAAAATATTTTTCTTTGGAGATGAGGTCTCACTCTGTCACCCAGGCCAGAGTGCCGTGACACGATCATAGCTCACTTCAGCCTCAAACTCCTGGGCTGAAATAAGAGGACTATAGGCATGCACCACCAAGCCCTGCTACAAACGTCTCTTTATATAGGTATAATATGAGCATCTTTTCCTACAAGTATAGATCTGCCTCATTCTATAATTATATAAATGTATCATAATGTTAGTCTCTTCATTCACAGCACATTGAATATACCTTATTAATAAGCTCTTCTATTACCATCTTTAATTATCAGTCCATCAGTCCACTTTTGTGCCTGATTTATAGATCCCAATCCCAGTCATGCTTTTATTCATATTACATGGTACAAACAGGTAATCAACTCTTATGGGATAGTCCTGACTTCAGGTTTTCTGTCCTATATTTACCATAATTGCTACTCAAGCCACATGTTCTAATTTTGTGGTTATAGTCAAAATAAGTTTTAAATTTCAATTTGGCTTTTTTCCTCACCATTTTGTATTATATATTTTTAAATAACACTTTGGCCAAATGTTTTAACTTACTTTCTTCCAAGTTTATTTGCTTTTTGAAAGACAGCATTTTATGGAATGCTGCTAGAGGATTAATCTACTGTCCCCTATTTTTGTCCCCATAATTGCACTTTGGCTGTGGGGTAGAGCATGGGATAGGCAAGAACGTATAACTGTGACTACTTCTGGGGTAATGGAGGGGCTAAGGTGAATTTTCAGTAGCCACTGTCACCTTCCTTTCACTACCTACCATAGCTTGCAAAAAAAAAGTAGTTTCATTTTAGCATCCTACCTCTGAAGCTCATTGGTTGACCAAGCAAATCAAATTTGATGTAGAAACATATGAAAGACTAAGAGAAAATATGAAAAGTTGTACTCAACATCCAACAACCTTCTTCATGGAATGCCTGTGCCTTCAACAGAGGAATTTGATAGGATGATTATAGACTTGAGAAAAGCAAATAGAAAAATGAGACAAATATAGCTGGAAATGTCCTTACAAAGATGATTCAGATATCAAGTACATTAATGAAAAGAATGCTAGGCCAGGTGCGGTGGCTCACACCTGTAATCCCAACACTTTGGGAGGCCAAGGCGGGTGGATCACCTGAGGTCAGCAGTTTGAGACCAGCCTGGTCAACATGATGAAACTCCGTCTCTACTTAAAATACAGAAAAATTAGCCAGGTGTTGTGGCAGTCGCCTGTAATCCCAGCTACTCAGGAGGCTGATGCAGGAGAATTGCTTGAACCTGGGAGGCAGAGGTTGCAATGAGCTGAGATCACACCATAGCACTCCAGCCTGGGCAATAAGAGCAAAACTCCGTTTAAAGAAAGAAAGAAAAAAAAGGTTAATTCAACAGAAAGGCCAAGCATTATATAGGAAATATACAACTCAAATTAAAGAAAACCTGAAAACAGATCTACCTGTCTAATCTTCAGGAACTGTTTTGGCTGCCAAATTGTACCAGTAAACCAGGATTCTGTCTATACTTTTACTTTTATAATTGGTAAAGAAATGTTCCATGGATCTCTGTCTATTTTCAAGTTTATATATTTCTCATTATTCACTTGTTTTACAAAAGCTTGTATTCTATTTCTGTGTTTAAAGTGTATGTTTAATGTGTGAAGCCTGCTGGGCTTAAAATTCTTAGCTACAAACATGAGAGTCATTGTTGTCTTGAAATTTGTTATATACCTGACATAGAGTTGAACTTGGGTGCTTCAGATTTTTTCTTATTAACGAAGCTTCTTTGTCTTTTTAAGACTTTGTAACTTTTCCAGCTCCTATAGCTCCAATCCACCAATCATGGTTTACTTTTTGGTGTAGACACTTTTTTTCCTGCAGAATGTATTGAACAACATGGTAAGGGTATTCTTACATATTTGTATTCTGTTGCTTTGTAGTTTCACATTTCATTCTAGTTTTACTGGATAGTAATCTTTCTTACAACAGCATAATAATTTCTCTGCTCCAATTTGTATCAAAACTATATTTATATGATGGATTTCTTATGTGCCAAACACTTCATCATTTGTGCTCACAGAAGTTTGACTTAAAAATGCTTGTGACTAAATAGATAGCAATAGTTTCTATTCATTGCTCTCAATTCACACTTTCACAGGCAAATAAATATTCAGTATTCCTTCTATAACAGAACACTGTTTTCTTAATAGAGTAGTTTATTTAAAAAAAAGAACAAAGAAAAATAACAAAATTAAATGCCCACTGCTGGGCAAATATCTTACACTTTTACTTTTAGAAATTAATATATCAAAGTTAAAATTAGCTCAATTATTTTTTAGAAAAGTTTTATTCTCTGTGTGTGTGTTTGTGTATGTATATATATGTTTCTGTGTGTGTATATATGTAATATACGTGTGTATATATTATATATGCACATGTTTATATATACATATATGCATATGTTCATATATACATACACACATACATGTATACACCTATCATATATGCATGTACACACATGACACACACATATATATCACCACATATATTTATATGTATAAGTATACTATATATTTAAATTAATATACATTTTCATAGAATCAATATACATTTTCATAGAATCAATATATATAGGAATTTTGTATTAGTATAATTGATGATTCCTAAAATGGAACTGAAATTATAAAGTGCTGGATGACTCCTGAGAAGGGCATATGGCCTTGGTGTGTCACTAGCCCTAGATCAAGTAGATGCTGCAAAGTCACTAATTGAATGGGTACCCTAAACGTGAAAATAGCAATGCCCCATCTAAGTGAAGTTGGAATGCTAGAACAGTTGTGGAGAAATTATAAGACTTTGGAAAATGAGTGTACTGGAATAGATATATTATGTATAGTTGGAAGACCCACCAGATGATTATGTTCCAAGGAAAAGACCAGATGGCATACCCTATACCTAGTCTATAATGCATGTAATTGTGAAAGGCACACCAGTATCCTTAAATAATTTGGTGATGATTTTCTTCTGTAAAGTCAAGGCTGATTGTAATAGTGGCTTTTACAGACCTTGTCTGATAGAAATAAAGATTACAGTAACTCAAAACAATAGAGGCCAGATCACTTAACTGTCAGAAGCCAGAGGATTATAATTATGTTAAAAATATCAAGGTTGAAGTAGTGACCAAGAATACCTGGCTTACAAAGAGTTGTGGAGATGATTAATAGAACACAGCAGCGCTAGTAGTAAATAAATGTGTAGATATACCACAGGAAAAAACCAAGAATATATAACCAGAAGTCTGAGGGCAATCACCCCAATGTAGATTCATAATCCCTTGCTTAGTTTTCAGATCTGAGAATGTTTTCAGATCCAACATTCATTGACTGAAGAGGTGGCTGCCACTCCAGGATGAAAAGACTTTGCAATCCCAAGTCAATTATATGTGAGAATGAATCTGTCAGTAATTCCCCAAAGAACTCTATAGTAAGTCAAATGAGTAATTCTGCACTAGGGTAAGGAGAATACCTGAACTTTGTTAGAAATGTTGTGTAGAAGTACCCAATTGTCACTGATATTTAGAGACCTAAAGTGTCATCATGGCCCTCCTCTTATGTAGGAGCACATATAAGCCAAGTAATAAATCAAATCTTTGCTAAGGTTTGACTTTGAGCTAAAAGCTAGTCCCTGAATCAAACTTGTGGCCATTTCCCTGATCCCTGAATGTAGAACTGGAATAGACCTAGTTGGCAGTTTGCACAGCCTTCATATTCTATCCTTGATCTTGAAAGATAAAAGGCATCAATGCAGGAAAAGCAAATAGAAAGTCTGTTTAACTAGAACTTTCTCCAGGTCTAACATATATACATATATATATATATAAAATAGATGTATGTATATAAAAAGTAATATATGTATATAAAAAGTAATATATATGTATATAAAAAGTAATACCTAGTTATATAAATGTGTATATAAAAAGTCATATCTTATTGTAAGGTCATAAGAAGACTTGTGTCATCTTACAGACCTAAAGGATGCAGAGGTAGTCTTCAGTCCCCTATTGATATGGTTTGGCTGTGTCCCCACCCAAATCTCATCTTGAATTGCGACTCCCACAATTCCCACGTGTTGTAGTAGAAACTGGTGGGAAGTAACTGAATCACGGGGGTGGTTCTTCCCCTTGCTGTTCTCGTGATAGTGAGTAAGTTTCACGTGATGTGATGGTTTTAAAAATGAGAGTTTCCTTGCACAAGCTCGTTCGCTTCTCTTGTCTGCTACCGTGTCAGACATTCATTTCACTGTCCACCATGACTGTGAGGCCTCCCCAGTCACATGAAACTGTGAGTCCATTACATCTTTTTCTTTTATAAATTACAGTCTCAGGTATATCTTTATCAGCAGCATAAAAATGGACTAATACACCCATATTCCCCTATTTAATTCAGTAGTTAAACTCCTTTAAAAATTGGATGAATCTTGGAAGATGACTGTGAACTACAAAAAAGTAATCAAATGAAGTATTTTTGCTAGATCATATTAAAATGGTACCAGGGCATGGTATTTAGACATTAATTTAATGAATGCATAATTTTTTAGCTCAATGAAAAATGATCAGAAACAGTGAATGAACAACTATATTCATTTAGTTTTATACTAACGTCAACTCTTCTTTCTTTTCTTTTCTTTTTTTTTTTCTTTTTTTGACATGGGGTCTCACTGTGTTGCCTAGGCTTCAGGGCAGTGGCACACGATCTCAGCTCATTGCAACCTCCACCTCCCAGGCTCAAGTGATCCTCCTACTTCAGTCTCCTGAGTAGCTGGGACCACAGGCATACACCACCATGCTCAACTAATTTTTTTGTATTTTTGATAGAGACGTGGCTTATGACTATGACATGACTAGCATTCTAAAAGTTTTGGTAAGATACACACATTTTAGAGGGTGAGACATTAACCCTGTGGAGATTCAGGGTCCTGGCATATTTTAAAACTATTTAGGAATACTTAATCCAGGGTGCTCTGGGTCACCCTCTCCAAAGTAGATGCAAAGTTATTGCACCTGTGCCTCCTACGAAAAGTAAGATAACACAACTTTCAAGGCACTAAAGGGTACCCCAGCATCCGTTCCTGAATTCACATCTATGGTTGATGGGGAATGCCACATGACCACTTGAGTAGGTACAAAAATGCTTAAGTTTAGCTTATAGATTGGTCAGCATTGTATGAGTGCATATAAGAAATGAAGAGCACTTATATTATGGCCTAGTCAGGAATTAGCTTGAAAGTCAATATGTAAAAAAAAAAAAAATTCTTTTGGTAATATACCTGGTTTAAAATTTTGTGGAAAACAATGCATCAAAGTTAGAATATAAACAGTTTTGGGAATAGATATAAAGCTCCTGGACATTTAATCAGGGACTTGGAAGAAAAAAATATGGGGAAATGTGGGGCAAGGGGTTTTGGGATAAAGACATGTGAATCAACATAGTCAAGTAAGCATGACATTTGAAGGGCTTTCTAGCTCACATTGGTGTTCCCCAGAGAGTTTTCACCATGGAAGAGATACTAAAAAATTAAATAAAACTACTGAGCTAGTTGACACCAGATAGTCTGTATTAATGGCCACAACAGTGCTGGTATAAAAGGATATAGCAGAAGTGGTTATAGTGGCAGAGACAGAGACCCAACGTGTCTCTGAACTCACAATTATTAAAGATAATCCAACCTGCCAGGAATAGACACCAACAATGACCACACCCTAAACAAATTTGCATTCTTTCCAGATAAAATCTACTGCATAGCTGGTGGTAAATTTGTTACATTGGTTCCCCTCCATCCTGGTAGGGTTAAAACTTTCTTTATATATATATACATAATGTTATATATATAAAATGTTATATATAATATATAGTTATATATAACTATATATATAGTTATATATATAGCTATATATATAACTATATATAAAGTTATATATATAGCTATATATATAACTATATATAAAGTTGTATATATAGCTATATATATAACTATATATAAAGTTATATATAGCTATATATAAAGTTATATATATAGCTATATATATAGCTATATATAAAGTTATATATATAGCTATATATATAACTATATATATAGCTATATATATAGCTATACATATAGTTATATATATAGCTATATATATAACTATATATAAAGTTATGTATAGCTATATATATAACTATATATAAAGTTATGTATAGCTATAGTTATATATATATAACTATATATATAGTTATATATATAGCTATATATATAACTATATATATAGTTATATATATAGCTATATATATAACTATATATAAAGTTATGTATAGCTATATATATAACTATATATAAAGTTATGTATAGCTATATATATAACTATATATAAAGTTATGTATAGCTATATATATATATAATGTTTTATATATATATAATGTTATATATACATAAAGAAAGTTTTAACCCTTCCAGTATATATATATAACATTATATATATATAACTTTATATATATAATGTTTTATATATATATAACTTTATATATATATAATAATATATATATATAATATATATAAAATATATTCTGAGTAGATTTCCTATCTTATCAGTAGGGCATTGGCTAGTACCCATATCAGAGAGCTTACGGAGCATTTGATCCATTGATATGGGATCACAGCTTTATATCAGACCAGAGGGTACATATAAATCAAAGAATGTGGGAGATGAAACCCACATCCACAAGACCTTATTGTTCTGTCTCACATTGTACCACGCAGAAGCCACTGGCCTGCTGAAGACACTTTTGAAACACAGCTCTAAGGAAATATTCTGTAAGAGTAGCATGTCTCATCCACTATGCATAATATGCATTAAACAAAAATGTTTATTTTGCACTTTTTCTTCAAAGGAAGAGTACATGGGTCTGGGAAGCAGGACATGAAAACGAGAGTACCTGAGTTACCATCACTCCTAATGATCTACTAGGAGATTTTGTTATTTCAGTTTCTACAACTTTGGGCTTGCAACATTAAGGGCTGTGATCCCAAGAGGGCACACTCTCGTCGGGGGAATGAAAGAGTCTCACTGAATGGTTATCAATATCTGCTTCCTGGACACTTTGGTAATTCTGTGTCCAGGGAATATCAAGCAAGAAGGAAAGTCATTATTTCTTGCAGGTGTAATTGTCAGTTGACACTGATCATTAGGTGGTATATTCTGCACGATAAATGTAGGAAAGAGTGCAGATAATCAGCTTGAGGGATTTTCAATACTTCCTTTCCCCACCATTAATATAATGTAACCTAGCTTAACAAGGTTATATTATATTAATATACAGCACCATTAATATACAGCAACCTAGCTTAAGAAGGTCATGGTGAACTGGGGATCAAGTACCTGGGGGATACGTTTCTAGGTCACACCAGTGGATAAACCACCAAGACTAAAAGAGGTAGAAGCTGAGGGAAGTGAACTCTAGAATGGACAGTGGAGGATGACAATGATGCATATCAGTTAAGGTACCATAACCGACTGCACTGGCAAAACCTGAAGTTCATCCCTCCTTCAGGTTTTCTATCAAGAAGAGATCTTCAAGGAAACCCTGAAGGAGCTGCTCCCCAAAAATATATGGAGTAGATCCAAGTAGCACAAGTGCTGGAAAGAGGTCCATATTGAGATGTGCTAATCCAGGTCCAACTTCAAGAAAGGATGTGCTGCCTAACTCTGAGAAATGTGATCAGCAGACAAACTTCAGCTCTTAACTTCTTCAGAGTTTGTCCTAGCTGCAAAGACTAACCCTGCCTAAAGTCACACTTTTTAAGGCAATCTTGCATCCAGTGACTAAGCAAGGCAAGAATAGAAAGATTTGGCCATTTTGGTCCCATCTGGTAAAACTAATGGACAACAATCTCTCTAGAATATCTCCCAAAGCTGGCCTGGGCTTTGTCCAATTGCATCACAACCTGAGTTGTTCCTATTCTGAATTCTGCCTCTTCCTTCTTCTAATAAATATATGGCACATCAATCTCCATCTCAGAATCAGTTTTTAGCTAACTGGACATTCCTCTTATTACACTAGTAATAGAATAGAAACTTGAAGATGCCACTTTCTATGGGGATAAGCATCAGAAATATGATGGTAGATCTTCCATCATATTTCTGATATTATAATTAGCTTCTAGACAGAATCATAGCTACCATTTTAATAAATCATCAACTTTCTTGTAAAATCCTGCCTTAATAAATAGTCCTCTGTAAAGTGGCTCTGGCTATTACTCAATTGTTCTAACTAAACGATGTGGAGACAATCATGAATAACTAATAAAAAACATGATTATAATTAGATTTCCAATTCTCTTTGTGCCTCTATAAAGATCTTTTATATTCCCCTCTCCCACCTTAATTCTCTCTCATACTAGAGCTGCTATATTTCTGTCTTTGGCATATGTTTAATGATTATAGCTTCAGCATTTTTGAACTGAATAATGAAGCTTCATCAGACAACTGCTACTGGTAACATATGTTTCATTTCTGTGAACAATGCTGCTCACTGACTATACATTCCAATTTCATATAATGTTGTAAATTAAATCAACTGCAAATAATATGCTTTAAAATGGAATATCTCATTTTAAAAGGAGAGTTGTTATTTATATCTAGGATGTTGGTTAACTGAATAATTAATGTATCTCTATTATTTTAATATCTATGTCATGGTTTTTGTTTGCCTTTAAGTTTCTGTTTCCTTAATCAATTCAACATTTAAAATAACTTCTATAAATACATATATTCATAGATATGAAAGTTAATAATTAAGTTGTTTACCTCCTTATATCATAAAACAATTGAGTGATAAGTCCCCTTATTCCTAGTACTGTGCCTTTTCCAGTATATAAACTCTCTCTCTAACATGTGTCTTCTTTCATGAATTAATAACATGATTTTTAATTTTTATTGTATATATTGACTCATCATATATATAGATATACATCATATCTCTCTCTATATATATCTCAAATACATATATATACACACACACAAACATGTGTTCCTTTCTCTTTGAGACAGAGTAAACGTGTTTATCAAAACCAAACACAAAACAATACGTAACAAAAGCTTATTTATCAATAGTAAGGCAACAATATGGCCAACTGGCTAAACATCTAGGTTTGTCTATAAAATATAATATCAATATCAAGCTTTTAGGGAAAATAAAATTGTGAGTGTGTGACCAATCGTGTGTTATAACATCTGTCAAAATACACAATGAAGCACTGTGGTTACATACATATCTAAAATGCATGTACAGCTATTCACAAATTCATATGCATGCAGCCTCTGTTCTACATACACACAGCATGTATATGTTCTGCAACAAGCTTTCTCTCTTGCTTCTCTGCTATCTCCTCTACTATCTTACAAAAATGAGTCATACACAGAGCAGCTAGAGTCTTCTGAAAGGAATATAAATCGGATAGATTATGACACTCCCTGGCTGAAAGCCCTTAGATGATTGACTCTCGTACTCAGAGTAAAATACAAACCCCTTTGCCAGTGTATTAGTTTGCTTGGCCTGCTATAGCAAAGTACCACAGACCTGGAATCTTAAACAACAAAAATTTATTTTCTTACAGTTCAGGAAGCTAGAAGTCTGAGATCAACTGTCAGCAGGACTGGTTTCTTCTGAGTCCTCTCTTCTTGGCCGACAGATGGCCATCTTCATGCTCACATGGTGTTCTTCTGTGTGTGTGTGTGTGTGTGTGTGTGTGTGTGTGTGTGTGTGTATCTCCTTAATTCCTCTTCTCATAAAGACGCTGGTCATATTGGATTAGGATCTGGTCTAATTACCTGATTTTTAACTAAATTACCTCTTTATAAACCCTATCTCCAAATACAGTCATGTTTTGAGGTGCTGTGGATTAGGACATCAACATATGAATTTGGAGGAATGCAAATGTTTGGGAGGTCAGCCCAAACATTCAGGATGCTAAGGTTTATGTGACCTAGCCTCCATCTTACTTAACTATTCTTTTCCTGGACCACTTTCCCCCCTAGCCACTCTGGTCCGTGCATAGGCAGCCTAGATATCTTTTCAGTTTCTCAAATAATCAAATCGATTTCTACCTTGACATCATTTCCTCTGCCATAAAAGCTCTTCATGCTGATTTTAACTTAGCAAGACTTGCTCTTTCATGGCATTAAAATTTCAATTTAAATGTTAACCTCTTAAGGTATAGCTTTTATAATAACTGAAGTAGAAATCACTATCTGTTAAACACTAATTTTCCATGTAACGCTCAATAGTATCTGAAATTTTCCTTTTTAGTTATGTGTTCAATTTATTCTTTCCAATTGAATGTAAATAGAGGGAGAGAGAGAGAGAGGTAGTGAGGGAGAGAAAGAGAGAGGCAACTTTTCTTATGTCCATGACTGAACTCTTAGTGAACAGAGAAATCTCTGGCGCATAGGAGGTAGGTAGCAAGTACCTACTCATTTTATGACTTAACAAATGAATATGTAAATAAATCTATTTAATTAAAATAGATCACTTCAGTTAACACATACACTGAAAATTATGTTTAATTTTTAATAGAGAAGTCATCATTTAAGAGAAAAAACACATAACAACATTGAATAGTTAAAATTTTTATATTTAAAATTATTCACAAATCAGAATTACAATAGCTTAATGAATTAAGTTGGTCAGACATTATTTTCCCTATTTAAAAGCAAAGCTGAGATTTATAGATTTCAAGTTATTTTCTCTATTTAAAAGCAAAGCTGAGATTTACAGATCTCAAGTTAAATGCCCATGACCATAAATTAAGTTGATAGAAGAATAAGGACTTAAAATTTCCATGCTCTGCTTCAAAATTCAATGCTTGTTGCACTGTCAGATATCCTCCCTTATATACATGAAGAGATAGTTACTTTCTCAACAGTATTGCTGCATCTTGACAATGGATTTTAAATAAAATGATTTTGCTTCTTATTGCTTATTTCAGAGGAATAGTAGTGTGAGATATAGACTTGGAAGGAAGGGGTAGCTTTTACATGATTGAGGTTGGCATGAAATGATTGGGGGAAGGGTGCTAACATTTCTTTATACTCATTCATTTAATAAACCTGTATAATTTATTTCCTATATTAGACTCCATGATTACATTTATAATGTACACAGCTCTAACCTACAAGTAGCTGAGACTGGAAGCAAAGCCAATGTCATATAATAAGCCAAGTCATAGGTTTGTCTCTAATTGAAGGACAATTGAAGGAGGATACTAGGGGAAATTGAAAGTGCACTAATATGAGATAATAAAAAGTCATTCTTCTCCCAATGAAGCCAATTTCAGACAGATTTTCTGACAACTCTTTTGATTCTTAGGTATCTTCAATGTGTGTTCTTTGATTCCAGCATAGATAGGTGTTGGCCTGGTCACGGTTAAATTTTGTAGGGCCTGAGATGCTTGTTAGGATATTAATTTTGAATATTTACAAATTTGGTGTATTTCTTTGGTTATTAAGAAGATACAAATATTCCCAGAATATTCCCAGTTATCTTTTATAGAGACACTGAGACACATTCTTGTCATTCTGTTTTCATGTGTCCCTAAAAAAAATAAAAATCCCCATTCTATGGAACTAAATCAATTTGGATATCTTTAGTCTTTCTCCACCTCTAGTAGGAAGATAAGCAACCAGTAGGAACATAAGCAAACTTGTTTTTGGTTTTGTATCTTAAGATATACGTACTTAAACTTTAATTCCAAAATCTATGTCTAGGTTATCCAGAATTTATTAAAACCCTGAAAGACAAGCTTACTAAAGTCACCATTTTCACATCATTTTTTTAAATCAAAAAGCTGGTGTATTAGTCCAAGTTCACACTGCTATAAAGAGATACCCAAGACTGGGTAATTTATAAAGGAAAGAAGATTAATTGACTCACAGTTCCACATGGCTGGGGAGGCCTCAGGAAATTTAAAATCATGGCAGAAGTTGAAGGGGTAGCAAGCACATCTTACATGGTGGCAGGCAAGAGAGATCCTGTAAAGGAGGAACTGTCAAGTAATTATAAAACCATCAGATCTCATGAAAACTCACTATCATGAGAACAGCATGGGGGCAACCACTGCCATGATCCAATCACTGCCATGATCCAGTCACCTCCCACCAGATCCCCCCTTAACATGTGGGGATTATGGAGACTACAATTCAAGATGAGATTTGGATAGGGACACAGAGCCAAACCGTATCAGCTGTTGTTTAAATAAATAAATTTTGCTGAATATGCATTTTTAGTTAAAAAACATATATAAACCCAAACTTTAAAATTTGTATTAATACTCATCTTTAAACACAAACTTATATATCACTGCTTAGCTTTTTCATTCCATATTTACTTAGTCTAATGATTTATAAAGGATTTCTTCAGATATTGATTTATTATTATATAGATATTTAAATTTCAAAATAAACAAACTTAGATCTTTGCTTGAATCAGCATCCTCTATATAATTACAATCTAATTATTAAAATATATTCAATAATTTTATTTTATTCCTGCAATTCTATTTATTAAAATTTCTCTTGTGATTTTACCACATTATCAAGCATAAAGTGCATTTCTACCCTAAGATTTGTTTGTGTATATTGATCTCCTATCATTGCCATTATTTATATTGTTTCCTTAAGATTTTTCTACAATAGTTGACAATGTTTATCAACAACACAAAATTGTCAACATAACAGAAAAGCTGTCTCCATCTAGAATTAGATGTAGCTATGGCAGAAAGACTATAAACTGTGCAAGCAATTGAATGAGGTACACACTGGGAAATCCAAATAACAAATTATTAAAATCTATCAGGAGATATCAACCTTTAAAACGTGCACATAAATATAACTATTCTGATTAAAATAAGTAACTGAAAATATTGCCCAGTAAATCAGAAATGTCTTTTTAGAATAAAGAACAATGAGAATTGCAAAGCAATTTTCAATATTAATTCTATTTTTCACAGTAAATAGTACACAGGAAATGTATAGGTATTGCTGACTAAAGTCTATAGAGGAAAGTATAGGTACATACAGCAAGATAGCTGGCATGTCACCTGGACAAGGATTAGTCACATTACCTCAGTAGATTTCCTATGGACCGTGGTTTGTGCTTCATCTTTATAAGCCCATAAATTCAATAAAAGGAACGCTAAGAATATATGAATGCAATAATAATAATAATAATGTGATAATTATTAAGCCTACTGGGGACCACTTTGTGATAAACATGCTCACTCAAAAAAATGGTGCATATGAAAACACAGGTGTTGGTGAGGATGTGAAGAAATTGGAACCCTATACACTGTTGGTGGGAACATAAAATTGTGTAGCCACTAATGGAAAACAGTATGAGGGTTGTTCTAAAGCTGAAAAATGGAACCTATCATATGATCTAGCAATCCCACTTCTGGGTATATACCCCAAATAATTTACATCAGGACCTTGAAGAGATATTAGTACTCCTATGTTCATTGCAACAGTGTTCACAATAGCCAATATGTGGTTACAATGTAAACGTCCATGGACAGATAAATTGATTAAAAACGTACGTTGTATACATACAATGGAATATTATTCCACTTTAAAAAAGAAGAAATCCTGCAACATATGAAACAGGGATGAACCCTGAGGATATTATGCAATGTTTGTCCAAGTCATCCACTCTGTAGTATTTGTTATAGCAGCCTGAATTGACTGAAACATAGGGTGATAAAACTACTCAGCAGAAAACATGTATTACCTTTCTATGGAAAAAGCTTCAGGACTAGAAGGAAGATTCACAAACCACAGATTATCCTTGGACTTTACAACCTAATTTTACCCATCCAGCTGAATTTCAGAATTGTTTAGGACTTACAGCTCTTTTTAATCCTCCTCATCTTTCTCCTTGTGAATGGAAATGTCTATAACTTGTGTCCTTTGCTTGTTCTATCAGTGTACTTTGGGAGCAGATAATTTATTATCTAATTCCACAGGTGCACAGATAAAGAGGAATTTTGCCTCAGAATGCATCATACAGAGTTACATCCATACTTGACTTAGATAATTTTTAATGATGAGATTTAGAACTTTTGAAATGCAAAGATTAGATTTGGAATCTTGAGTTGATGCTTTAATGGGTTGATATTTTTGGAGATGTTGGGATGAAGTGAATGTATTTTCCATGTGGGATTGATGTGAATCTTTGCTCATGAGTGTATTGTGGCAGGCAGAAGAATACATCCCCTCCCTCAAGATGCCTATTTCCCAACCCCAAGAATCTGTGAATTTGATATCTTATAAGGCAAAATAGATTTGCAGATATAGTTAAGACTCTTCAATATGAGCAGATCATTTTGGGTTATTTGGGTGCATCCAATGTAATTAAAAGCATCCTGTTAATGGGTAGGTGGAGTATCCACATCAGAGGAGGTGACGATGGAAGGCAGGGTCAGACAGAAGAGGGCTTTGAAGCTGTTGTGCTGCTAGATTTAAAGATGGAGAATGGAGTCCCAACCAAGGAATCCAGGCAGTCTCTACTGGCTGGAAAAGTCAAGTTAACTTCTTCCTCTAGAGCCTCTATAGGGAATGTAGTCCTTCCAAAAAATCTTGATATTAGTCAGTAAGACCATTTCAGACTCCTGACCTCTGGAACATTAAAATAACATTTTTGTTTGTTTGTTTCAAGGAAAATGTTTCCCAGGGTGCACTGAGAGAAAACTTGTTCTGTCAAAATAAGAAATTCTCAAAGAAAGATGGTTTTTTAAACTATTTTTTCATTTATTGATTTTTGGATTAAATAAATTGGAAAAATGCCTAAGTAGGCTAATTAACTACAAGTCTTGTCCTCAAATTTAACAACCACTCTTTTACGAATCTCAGTGAGGGTTCTGATATCTTGGTTAAACTTATTTTATTGGACTACACTTTTTTTCTATCTAATATTCTTGCAACTAATAATATAACAAGTACACATTTTACAATTCTTAAAATTTAGCTGTGGTGGAGTATCCTTCTAGAACATTTCACTACTGAGATCTAGTATCAGATAAAACAGATGCTGACATTTTTTCTTACCAATTTTTCCACCAATCATTCTTTTAATAACGGATAATGCAATACATAGCTAATAGTACCTAGTGAAAACATTACAAATTATTTGCATTTTTTTCATTCCACAGACCACTTGAAGTTATTACTGAAGCAGAAATAAAAAGAGGCTTTTATTGCTTATTATAACTTTCCAAAATATAGTCTGTTTCTTTAGTACTATTTATCCTCTGTTGTTTAAAATAAATTAATCACTGTATTATTATTAGATGAATTCTTATTTTTATAACCTATCACAAAAAATTGTATTCTTTTTCAAGCTTCAGATTAAAATAAAATTTGATTTATACCTCAGCATGCTCAATTAATAAAATTCAATTTAGAGTGAAATAAATTTTATGCTTTTAATGTTATACATATTTATACAGAGCAGAGAAGCAATTTAGAACAAAAACTGTTTTCCAAGAAAAAGTTTATTTTAATTTAATTGATATCAAGTTCTTTTAATTCATCTAATTGTGCTATTTTGGTTTTCAAAATCAACTACACACCAAGTAGAGTGAATTATTCATACAGTTTTAAACATTACTCTAGGAGGCAAATGGTTTTTCATTCATTTTGTTTTCTTCTGTTTGAAAAGAAAAAGAAAATAAAATCTTCTGAAAAAAAGGGCACCATTAGTTGTTGAGTCTTCCTTACTATAAATAAGTATTATCACCAAAACACATTAACATATAAAAATGGTATTTATTTTTTGATGTGCCGGTTAATTTTGTTTCATCTTCAAGGTATCAGAAAGGTAAATTGCCTCAATGGTCTGCATACATATACAAGTTATTGTCCATTAAAATAAAATTAGGTCTTTCATTTTTCTATGCCTCTTCCATGTATTATACTTAATTTATTTATTCATTCAAATATGTTTCCAGTGCTACCTGCATGTAAGGTATTTTATCTGGTTTTAAAGAAACCAGATAAAATAATTTTTAAAGCAGATTTTTTTTCTATCCAAATTGATGTGTCAATAATCTGGCTTCCCCTGAACAGTCAAAAGTTCTCTCCAAATTCGTTATCCTTAGTTCTCAATTTCATCATTCATAATCCCCTATTTTCTCCCCATCTATCATAGAGTGTAACATTTCAAGCTTGTATTGACATTTTAATTTTTACATATATACTTTAAGCAGCTAGATATTTAATTATTTTAGCATAAATCTTAGCTATTTTGAGTTTGTCTCTTGAATGATCTTATCTAAATAATACATAGTTGGCACAAATGAAGTATTCATTAAATTGCCAAGTGCAATGATCATTATTCATTTCTACTTTAAATTTATTTTCCTCTGACATTTTGTCAAGTAGTCATGTGTCCAAAACTGGGGCATGATAACCTCCAGAGGTCATGTGTTGAGCCACAGGATCAACATGGTCCGATATTATTTGTCTATCAAAGTTTGAGGAAAATCTCAACATATTAGTAAAATCTTTGTAATATTTAAACAAATCTGCACATAATTTTGGATGGAAAGATTCTCATTACTTTTAAAGATAAACGATGAACTGATATTTTACTTGTGATTGTATTCAGATTTCATCAATAATCATTCTGTCTTCCTCCAAAAATAATTCTATATAATTAAGGATACTATACATTGTGAAACTTTCTCCTCTCTTACTATTAGTATATAACTTAGAACTGGTTCTGTTGCCTTTCATATTTTTTTTGGTCAATTTTTGTTCTCAGCTTTATTTTCCTTCCCTATCTTTTATGTGCTGTTTTTGTACTTCTCATCCTCAAGACCTTACGGATAACCTGGTTGAGTATTGTTAGAATTGAGTGGAACTCTCAATGAGGTGTAAGTTCTGCACTGAAAAAAATCCACAAGGATTGTAAATTTTGGGTCATTTTCTTGTTGATGTTGACAAGATATAACTGAATATGAAGATTGTTGACAATAATAGAAAAACGTATCATTAAGCATTTGATATTTGTGATGTTTGTAGAATTAGTCAGTGTAGCTAGTGATAGCTACCACAACAGACAGCTCCAAAATTTCAAGGAATTAACAAAACAAACTTTTATTTTTCACCCACACAAAATCTAAAGGAGATCAATCAGCCGTTTGTAATCTTGTAGCTCCTATCTCTGGGAAATGAGAGTTCTAAAGTTATTCATATCTGAGAAAGAGAGAAAAGAGAAAATTTGGCCTAGAATAAACATGTATCATTTCGACTAGATAGATGAGTAATACAGACTCAAGCTTAGCAAAAAGGAGGCTAGGAAACATAAAGGCACACAAGTGGATGTTTGGTAAACACTAGCTATTTGCGTCAGGCTTCATTAGTAGAGCAAAATCCAAACTGATGTAATACCAACGATCATATTTATTATGAGACAGTCTGAGAATGCTCTCAAATCTATTGGAATATAATAGCTCAATTTATACAATTTATCAAATACATTTAATATATGTTATAGTTTTAAGTACACTAAAATGGCAGAAGTTAATTCAACCTCAAATTCTCATATTTTTAGTATTTTATTATCATGGAACTCAGGCTACTGGCTGCAGGCTTTGCTTCCATTTGTTCCCTGTTATACCTCTGCTAAGCTCTGGGCAAACATGATTCTCCTGGGCAATATGGAGTGAGGTTAGGGCTGAAGGTGTTGCCAGTTAGCGCTTTGAATTGTTTTTGCTGCAAATATAAAATGACTAACAGCACATTTCAGATATGTAAGAAGCATATTTATGAACTATGTCTTACATTAATAATTTCTATAGCATATTGATAAAATCCCAAAGACTGTACATAGTAGCTGCCCCTCTCTTTTGTTTCCTTCCCTCAAATTTACCATAGCTTAGGACTACTATCTGCTTAGGGAAGGAAGGTTTTTTTCTCACAATATTTTGAAAAGAAAAACTAAGCAACTTTCTTTATTACCTATCTATTTCTTTAATTCCTTTTCTGTCTCTCTCTAAGGTATGTATCAACAGTGCCCATGAAGCTTCTTTTTTAAGATAAAAAATGAGTCTCCATGGTATTCTTCAAATTACAGGGATGTTGCTCTTATAACACAGCATACCATGCAGTGGGTCATCTTGGATCAGAATCTTTGTGGGGAAAGTAATTTGCTGCAACGAAAGAATATAACATTTTTTTCTAGTTGATATCAATTCAACTTTTCACAATATAAGATAAAATGTGATGTAAAGTTTCAAGAGTGCTATTTCTCACTTTAGAATCAGACATAAAAATAAGATCAGGAAAATATTATTTCAACTTTCATGCTTCTGGCAAAATGACTGAGAATGAAGAAAAAGTATAATGAGCATAGGTATCAATCTTTTTCTAAAAAATGTGAAGGGCAATATGTTTGAATCTTTCCAAAGGCAGCATTTATGGTATTGAAAAGACTTACAGAATTCCACAAAATACTTCTCATTCACTAATTATGCTCCTTTTATATAAATAAGCCCCAATTATGCAGACAAAAATAATATTTCATAGTTAATTGGTACAAAACCTACTATTAATATCAAAAGTGTTCCTTTTTGCTTTATGAAAAAATACTGGATTTGATTACATGTAACCTAAGGAATTTGTATACAATAAAGGCAACTGTAGAGATATGACATATTGGAAAAAAACCACTTGCAACATTTAAGACAGTTAGAAAATTAAAACAAACAAACAAACAAACAAACAAAAACCTTAAAGTAGGAAAAAGAAAACCCAGGATAAATATAGTTATCGCATAGGAACAAACAGTTCACTGAGAGGAAATCTGAAGTACAAGTAACCACAGCCACGCACTGCTTGACAAAAGGAATAAGTTCTGAAAATATGTCTTTAGGCTGGGCATGGTGGCTCACACCTGTAATCCCAACACTTTGGGAGGCCGAGGCGGGCGGATCACGAGGTCAGGAGATCAAGACCATCCTGACTAGCAGGGTGAAACCTCGTCTCTACTAAAAATACAAAAACATTAGCTGGGCGTGGTGGCGGGCGCCTGTAGTCCCAGCTGCTTGGGAGGCAGAGGCAGGAGAATGGTGTGAACCCGGGAGGCGGAGCTTGCAGTGAGCAGAGATCGTGCCACTGGACTCCAGCCAGGGCAACAGAGTGAGACTCCATCTCAAAAAAAAAAATTGTCTTTAGGTAATTTTATTGTACAAACATCATGAATGTACTTACACAAACCTAAATGGTGTAACCTACTATACCCCTAGGCTATGTGATATAGCCTTACTATTGCTCCTAGGCTACAAACCTGTACAGCTTGTTACTATACTGAATACTGTAGGTAATTGTAACACGATGGCAAGCACCTGTGTATCTAAATACATGTACAGACTTAAAAAATGTACAGCAAAAATATAACATAAAAGACAAAAAATGGTACTTCTGTATAGAGCACTGTCCATGAATGGAGCTTGCAGGACAGGAAATTGCTCTGGGTGAGTCACTGAGTGAGTGGTGAGTGAATGTGAAGGCCTAGGACATTTCTATACCTCACTGTAGACTATAAACACTGTACACTTAAGCTACACTAAATTTATAAAAATTACTTTTCTTTCTTCAATAATAAATTCACATTATCTTATTGTAACTTTTTACTTTATTAACTTTTTAATTTTAAACTTTCGAATCTTTTTAATGACACTTAGCTTAAAACATAAACAGGTTTACAGCTGTACAAAAATAAGTTATTTTATTTCCTTATTCTATAAGCTTTTTTGATTTTTAATATTTTGTTTTTACTTAAAAAATTTTTAATGTGCATATTAAGGCACGCACACACACATTATTCTAGGCCTGCACAGGGTCAGGTTTATCAACATCACTGTCTTCTACCTCCACATCTTTTCTCACTGGAAGGTCTTCAGGAGCAATGACACTCATGGAGCTGGCTTCTCCTATGATAACAATGCCTTCTTCTGGAATAGCTCCTGAAGGACCTGCCTGAGGCTCTTCTGGGAATGTAACCATTTTTTCAGAAATACGTCCATAATGGCTTTTTTGTTTTGTTTTGTTTTTTCAATCACAGGTTTGCTTGTAAGCTGATAACGCGCCATGAACATTTCTCTCTATTAATGAAAACCTTCTGGTGTTGGGGCCCAGGTTTTCAAACTTTTTAATGAGCTTGCTGAGGTCCATAATATCTTCTGCTAAATCTTTCACTGTGAATTTTCCTGGGGGTTCTTCTCCTGTGATGTCCTTTTCTCTTGTCTCTTATTCAGCTCTGCATTCCTGATCCAGTTTCATTAACTCCTCGTTAGTCAATTCCCTCAGGAATCACATCTGGCAGCTCCTCAGTGTCATCCTTTCCCACACCTAGGTTAAAGTTGTTTGTCACTTCGACGACAGCCTTGTTGAATAATGTGTTGCACTAAGATGTTACTGTGGCTACCATGTCACCAGGGTATAGGAATTTTTCAGCTCCATTATAAACTTGTGGGACCACCATTGTTTATGCAGCTAATCGTCCAAAACATCGTCATGTGCTGCATAACTGTACATAGAGGTTCCAATTCACTAGAAGCAAAATGTTTAGTTAAAACAACAAAGAAATATAATTTATGACAATTGGCATGCTAAAAGTTGGATAATAAAAAGGTTTTGTTAGTGGATAGAAAATAGAAACAAATTCCTGGTGAAGTGCACCAGTCTTGCTATTTTGGAAAGAAACCAGATACTATGTATTAACATTATGCATAGCCTGGAATCCCATAACTAAATTATATGCCAGTAAAATCACACAGGTGGTTTACAGGGAATGTATAATCTGCAGTAATGAGAAGATAGAGATAAGTTAGAAAACCGTAATTTAAGAATAGATAAGCAAGATATGGTAGATGGTAGAATACTGTGCCATGATATGGTAGAATACTATGCTATGTGGTTAGAAACGTTAAACATAGGTAATTAAAACAACTTAATTATGTAACTCTAAAGCATAGTATTGTGTACAAAATATGATGAGGATGTAGAATGACTTGATATCTTATATGCTGATAAGTAAAATAATTCAGTCACTCTGGAAAAGAGTTTGGCAGTTTCTCATAAAATAAAAGGAAATTTTACTACAAGATAGTTGTGCTCCTACATATTTATTCTAGAGAAATTAACACATATATTTACACCAACATCAGTATACAAATGTTTACAGCAGTTTCAGTTCTAACAGCAAAGAAAGAAGCAATCTAAGTTATCTTCAAAAGATGAATAGACAAACTGTGATGTATCCATATAATGGAATATGACTCAGCAATATAAAGGAACAAAATATTCATTTGCATAATTTTGTGTATCTCCAGAGTATTATATTGGAGCATAAAAAAAAAGAAGCCAAACAGAAAGGTTAGATATGGTATGGTTTATTTTATATAACTTTCTCCATGTGACAAAATTATAGTAATAGAGAACAGATTAGTGTTTGACAGAGATTAAAGTTTGGGAAGGATGTGATCATTAAGAAGAAGCAAAAAGGAGCTTATTTGTGATGACGAAAAAGCTTTGTAATCTGACTATGTTAGTGGTTACAAAAATCTGCACATGTGATAAAATATTCTCTAACTGTACTGAAATAAAGAGTGCAAGTAAACCTGGAAAAATCTGAATAAGGTGTGTAGTATAGTTAATATTATGAAAAATGTCAAATACCTTATTTTGATGACATAATTTCTTTTATAAGACAATACCATTGGTGTAAACTAGAAAAAGGGTACAAATAAATTGTCTGTACTATTTTGGCCAATTCTTTTGAGTCTAAAATGATTTTAAAATAAAATTTTTGAATTTAAAACTAAAGAAAAAATGAAATTGGAAGTTGGTAGTACTAAATGAAATTTGCAAATTGATTCAGGAAAACTGACATATATGCATATATATCAATTCTTTCTAAACAGGAACATAGTGTCCTAGTATTTCTCATCATTTACTCAAGTAATTTTGTCTTTTCATTCAAGTTTAAAAAAATTATAGATATAGGTATATATATAATGTTTGTATAGAAAGAGAGAAAAATAGAAAATATTTCTAATTTTGTATATACATGTATGCATATATGTATATATTCTATTCAATCTTCTTTATTCTAACTCTACTATTCTATAATTTTATATTTGGGCTATTAATTGAATAATTTATTTTACCTTAAAATATAAAATTTATTATAATGATTATTAGAGATTTTTGTTTCTTCTAATATTTGAAGTTAGCCACATACCTTAATGTATTGGTTTTATTAGTTTTGTGTTAATTCTATTAGTTTCTCCTTATAGAAATCATAATTATTTCACAAATATATCAACAGTTTTAATCCATATTATTTTCTCTCTTAACTCATTAGCTGGTACTTTCAAAAAATGTAAAATGCAAGATAATAATGAAATAATGCTAAAATACTTTATGCCAAATTCCTCATTTCAACATTAATTTTTAGGAAATTTCTTTGAGTATATGTAGAAATCCCTTACTAAAATTTTCCTTCAAGTTTAAATTCAAGATTACTTTTACTGAATGTCACTGATCTGATAAACAATGGTTATTGGAAATGCACCATGAATCAAAGATGTTCCATTAATATAAGTATTATTTTAATTGTGATAGAACCACAAAACATGGCACTAAGCTTGTAAAATAATTGCCTCATACACAGATCATCCTTAGTAGGAGAAAAATCAACCTGGTCATTGTATAGAAAATTCTAAAAAATATTGTAGTGAGTAAGGATCTGTACATCAGAACAATAACATATAACATATACATGTAAAGGACGGGCGTGGTGGCTCACACCTGTAATCCCAACACTTTGGGAGGCTGGGAGGCCAAGGAGGGAGGATCACTTGAAGTCAGGAGTTTGAGACCAGCCTTGTCAACATGGTGAAACCCCATCTCTACTAAAAATACAAAAATTAGCCAGGCGTGGTGGTGCACACCTGTAATCCCAGCTACTTGGGAGGCTGAGGCAGGAGAATCGCTTGAACCCAGGAAGTGGAGGCTGCAGTGAGCCGAGATTGCACCACAGCACTCCAGCCTCGGTGAAAGAGTGAGACTCCATCTCAAAATAAAAATGAAAACAAAACATATACATGTAAAAATACACAACTCTTCTTTTAAATTATTTTACAGCCAAACAGGATTCTTGGAGATTCAGTCATCTCCATTGGATTATCAGCAAAATCTTTGGTTGGTATCTATACAAAGAACCATTTTACTTCTGTTGCAACATGGACTACACTAAGTTAATGCTTATTCATTCTTAGTCATAATCTCCATTATGAAAATTTCTACACTAAGTATTTTTGTTCTATGCATTGATAACTATCCTCATACTAATTATTCACTAAATAATTAATTAAATATTCCAGAAAAGTATTCATGAAATACTCTAGATAAGTCATGGTACATGGAAACTAAAGCAAAAGCAAAACAAAACAAACATAAAGTGATAATTTTAAGTTGAAGAACTCTGTTAAGTAGAGATATTAAAAATTAATAATTGCTGCAGTAGACATTAACAGTATTGAAGAGGGATTTGTTACTTAGCCTAGGGGGTCAGAAACAAATGATGGTCAGAAATTGTGACCTGGAATCGGAATATATGTCTCCTCAAGTGGAAATTAGACATCAGGCTGTTTGAAGTATAGTGAAAAAAATGTGCAATGGTTTATATGCATGAGCACATATCATAAATTGAATTATATGGTTAGTCATTAGGATATACAGAATTAAGAGGGTTAGGTGACTGTTACAGAATGAAATGTACAAATCAGGTTTTACTTATCCAGGGATTGGTATACACAGGGTCTGTAAGTCAAGAATTTGAACATAAAATACTGAGGAGAAAATTATATCAGCTGTTAGCATCAATGTAAGAGTCTGGCAACAAATGGAGAAAGTGTAAAATACAGGTATCAAATTTTGAGTGGTTCAGATTATGAAAAGAATCCTTAATCTCTGAAAAAACTGATGGAAATGCTATCACAACACTGAGAAGAATAACTGAAAGAGACAGTGATTTACACCCTTTAGTGTGTGTTTTTGGTCAATATTCAGAAATTAAATGGTTGAAAAATCTAAAGAAGCAGAATTTGAACTAGAAGGTAAAATCTATAGTCAGAATATGGAAACATTGGAAAAAGTTAGATCAATCCAAAAGGCAACATAATTGCTACAAAGAGTAATATAATGAAAGGAGAGACGTTTTAGTGGCAAGCATGTACATTAAAACTGAGTGTATTGGATTTGCTTGGATAAGATGATATGGGACTGGGGGAAAAAACATAAATAACTACTTCAAAATTGTTCATTTGTCAAAGATTTTAGAATCTGGACATCTGACAAGAATTCAGAATCTTGGAGCATTAATCTCTCTGTTGTGAAATCAGGCAAGGGACAAGAATTCAGAATGCATCAGCAATATACCATGGAACCAGAAAACAATGACTGTAATTTATACTTTTCCTCCTATTTTGTCTTATCAAGTAATCATGGGTTTTCTTGCAATTTCAGGTATTTTAAAGAATCACTGTAGTATTTCTATGATGCCATTACAGATATATGAAAAGTACTTAAGAATATGGACCAAAGTTGGAAGGCAAGGTGGAGAAAATAAAGATAATTGCTTTTCAATGTGGTATAATCAGTGATAATTACCTTTCATAATAAAATTCCTGCTATTGTGACTATTATTTTGTTTGCCCTGTTAAAAATTTGCAGACGAATAAAGTTATTCCATTTAGCTTGATAGCAGGGGCCTAGTTACTATGGGAAACATCTAATTATACTCCAAACATAATGGGCCACAGGAAAAAAATGTATTTTGTAAAATCATATGATTTTGTAATAATAAATATACCTTATTCAATAACAGTAATAAACTTTTTCTGTCTAAATTTTGCTCAATATTATGATAGTAAAAGAAATGAGAAATCCACATAGAAACATGGAATAGACTTAAACACTCAGGGGGTGGATATATGTTATGTCTTAAGCTAGTGATAAGCTTGAAAAGAAAAAATAATGAATCAGTGGCATATTGCTATAAGAACAATTTCTTAACGCAGTAGCTGCTGCTATCAGGCCAAGGAGATGCATTCCAAAATTGTTAAACATAACATACTTATTTCAAAATTACATTAAATTCAGCAACACATGAATTTAAAAAGTTATATAATGTTGTCAGCTAGCTGTGACTCCAGATGGCAGACCAGTGAGACTCACCGTAACTTTTAAAGTGAATAGGCAAATGTAACCAGGTTTACTTGGAGTTCTTTACAATAAACAAAACAAATACAACTCACTGAACAGTGGAATTAAAGAAAGGGGAAAGATCACAAATTTATAATTGCCTCATTTTTCAAAATGGAATAGGCTATGATAATTGGATACCAACTTGCTTTGAGTTAATGCAAAGGTCTCCTATTAAGTATGAATTAGTAGGGTGATTTTCTTTTAGTGAAAGGACAGATAAGTTGAAAAAACAAAGATTAATGCAATGAGAGAAAACATATCATCCAATTTTTTTTTTTTAAATTACAGGTGTGTAATGGTAAAAACCAAGGTACTCAATCGTTTTACTTTAGTCATTAGGCTCAATGTTTACTATACACATATATTTCTCTGCTGGTCATAAATAGAGTAATTTAGCATTAAAGGATAAATTTAATGAGTGAATGAAATTTATATGATAGACTGTCTGATTGAATGTATTATCAGCTGCCCATTTACTGTTCACTTGGCATGTAAACATGGTTAAATAATACAGTGTTATTTGTATTATGTTTATGTTTGCCTGTGAATGTACTATGAGATTTACTTGTTTATAAAACTTTCTATGATGCAGTAATATGGGCCATCTAATAAATATTATACCTTTGTTTTTCTTACTAAATATTTTATAACTAAATTTCAATATAAACTTTTAGTAAACTGGCATCTGTAAGTTCAACTATCATCTAGAAATGGTTTAATAAATGAAAAATATTGAAGATCATATTTCTTTTGTTTAGGAACCTAAAAATACTATAAAGTACTGAAGTGATTATTTATTTTCAGTTAAGAAACTGAAGTCACAAAGTTATTATTGCATAGCTACATAACCATATATTACTACATAATTAAGTGGATAGCGTTTTTTATTTATAATTTCTTTCTACCATTAAGTTGTCACCTCAAGAAATTTAATAAAGAAACTCTTGCTGATGACATGCTCAAAAATTCATGTTCAGTATTGCTACCTATCACATTTATTATTACAAGAATAAAATATTTTAAAAAGCCAATTTTTCAATAAATAATTAATAATTAGTGTTAAAAGTTAAGTACTATTGCATCTTTATTATAACATGCCATTTGCCAATACAGAAGTCAATCTAATCCACTAATTTTCTTTCGTCTGCAATTTCTACTACAATGCCTGATTTTGTTTGCTGAAATTTTGTCTCACACATTTGCACACCCTGTACATTTCACATGATATAAAGCTACCAAGAATAAAATGTGAAATTATGCAGAAATTTTCCTCATTTTTCCCTCAGTGAGTGAGCCATTGATTGGATTTTTAGGTTAATTCCATTTGGCTTCATTTTAGTGGGTCATTATTGCCAGTTCTGTCAATAGTTTCAACATCATTACACCACGGTTCTATTCAATGCTTCTACAACCCCAGAAATGCTTATTACCATCCTGCTAGTAAATGTATATAGATTTTTCAAACAGAAGATTGTCTCTGCTTCCCCCAATATCTCTCTAGTATTTTCTTTCAGTAATTCCCTGGAGATATTAAATGTTGGGGTCTCTGCTCATTTCTGGAATTTAAACATTTTAAATCTGATTCGATAGCGGAGTTTTATAAAATTGGAAAACTCAGATTACTCTTTTAGTAATCACTCACGTTTTCTATTTAACGGTGTTCCAAGGTTTCATATATTAAATGTCAGTAACCAGCACCATACTGCAGCAGGTTCACACTGAATCTCAAAAGAGTGCATTGTTGTTTCAATAATAACAATTTGAAACTCCCTGATAACCTCCAATCTCATGTAATAATAAGGTCTTCCTTGAATGTACTATTAAATTACTGACTCAGTCCCAGTGGAAATAGTGGGTTTAAGTATTTGAAATTAGTGTGTGTACATCGCTCTGTGTGTATGTGTGTGTGTGTCTGTGATCACAAACACACATATCCAGCTAGTAATCAAGTGGTGGATATATATATACATCATATACACAACTGCCAATTGTGATAATATAATAATATGAAAAAATAGTTTATTTGATAGGATCTACAAAATGAGGAATTTAAAATATATTCTATTTAATAATAAATATGTGTTGAATTAATGGTAAACTGCAGTCATCTATAAAATTGCGACTGAATTGTATTACTTTAGATATGTGTCTCTTTATGTTTGGATTACCAAAAAGTCTACAGAGTGATAAGGGGACTCTCCTTCACAGCTAAAATGACCAGGCAGGTTTTTTTTTAGCCCTAGGCATTACCTATTATCTTCACCTCTCATGGAGACCTCAATTCTCCAATAAGATTTAAAAAAACAAAGCTAATTATGTCTTTTAAAGGACATTAGCAAAACTCTGTTAGGAGACCTGAGAGCTTAGAGGTCTGGGTTTCTCTCCTACTCAGAGCCCTTTTACATGTGAGGATGGCTCCAAAGGTAACTCTAAAGTTTAGTCCATTTGAAATGACTTACAGGAGGCTATTTTTAACTTTAGACCTCCTGTTTGATAAAAAGACACATAGAATGCTCATCCATATTATCAACTTAGCTAGGTTCAGAAGGTTTTTCAAGCATGTAAAAACAAAATATCGCCCCCTCCCAAAACGAAAAGAATTAATGTTCCCCACCCCCATCCATTGAACCAGGAGATTGATTTTACTAAAAATTTGGAACAACAGGATCTCTCAAGAATCAATTACAACCAAACTAGAAAGTCCTCTATCAGGTGTTGTTCAGTACTCCTACTGCTGTTAAACTTCAGACAATAACAGTTGGGTACACCTCTCCAAGATTAAACCTATTTCTTATTAGTCATGGGCACAAAAGGAAGACACCACGACCTACATCTGTGAACCTTTGGAAGGCCTCCCTTACCTATTTAAAAGAATCAATACAGCCAGAAATAGTAAACTGAGGCTTTGAATACAAATAGAAGCATTAATTGTTCTCTTCTTCTTAATTGTAATACTTTTTTTCTGTTGCTTTGGCCAACTGCCTCCTCCTGGGAAATATCTTTTGTTCTTGTTGGGGATACAGGCCACTCCAAAGCCCAACCAGACACCATGCTGCCACTGTTAATCCTGTTTGCTCTCCCAATTACCCTGATTTATTGTGAGTGGGAAAAACTCTATAGGAAACATTTCAAAAATTATAGTGGTAGGGAATCATCTTCGTAGTTGCTGGATTTGTCATCAACATCCCAGGATAAAAAGTTCTACCTTCTGGCCCATCTGAAAAATCTTGTGGTCATCTCCCCAGACTTCCTAACTAACCATAGCAATTCCAAAGCACCCAGACTCCTACTTGCTAGGTGAAATTCTCCCCAACTTAACCAATTCCACCTGAACCCAGTCCCACCACTACTACCTGGACTTGGGAATTTGGGTATCCGTATCTCCACTGCACTAATGATTCTCTCTTTTACATCCACCATTTTGTTAATGACACAAAAGTGAAAGTTTCCCTGTGATGCCTTAATCCAACTCTAATTGCCAAGTTCCCAAGGGCACAGCATGGTAAATGGGATTCTACTTCTGAGTAAGAAAGCCATATATGGGGCCTTATCCTGCACCAGAACATACAGTTGAAAAAAACAACTGCCTAATCTGGAAAGGTGGGAGTACCATCCACTTATGGAAAACAAAGATTATTCAACCGGTCATATTAAAACATGTGAAGAATATTCCTATGGACCTAACTTGGCAGTGAAGAATAGACATCATACCCGAAGGATCTCTAATTGTACCCCACTGAGCTCATTATTGTTTGTGGCCATGAAAGTAAAAAAGTCACACCCCGTAAACACTCTTGACTTGCAAGGGAGCCACCTGCTCTTTAAGGAAGAGCCTTCTCTTATATATCAAAACTTGGAACAAAGGTAAATGTACATTGGCCACCCTTCCCCTGCTAGGGGTCATGGTCTATAACTCCATGAAACCTAGGAATACCAAAAATAAATGAGCAGTAGGATTAATTCAGGTGGGAATCAGGGTGTCAATAGGACTAACACCACCCTGAGGTGTCTTTGCCTACCATAATTCAACCCTAGAAATCTTGACTGAAACCCTAGAATCCTTAGTTGTCAAACACAGGTCAGACACTAAAGAGAATTTAAGACTCCCTAGACCCTTTGGCAAATGTAATTCTCAATAATAGACTAACGTTGGGTTATTTACAAGCTACACAAGGTAGAGTCTGTGCAGTTATTAATAAAACCTACTGTATACAAATTAACAACCCGACAGGTTGAGGTTAACATTCAAATGATCTATGAGCAAGCTACCTGGTTACATAGATAGAACCAGGGCCCAGACCCCAGCTATATCTGGTCGACTATCAAAAGTGCCTTCCTTTGGCTGGGTGCAGTGGCTCACGCTTGTAATCCCAGCACTTTGGAAGGCCAAGGTGGGAGGATCAGTTTAGCCCAGGAGTTTGAAACCAGTTTGGGCAACGTAGCAAGATCCCATCTCTAAATAAAAAATGTTGTTTTCAACAAGTGCCCTCCCAAGTGGCAGCTGGTTTTTACCTCTTCTAGGACCTTTGATAGCTATCTTGTTATTATTAGGTTTTGGTTTTCTCTTGTTTAACCTTTTAGTAAAGTTCCTGCCTTCTAAATTACAACAATTCCAGGTAAAGACAATGCTGCCACAAGGCTTTTAACTCATTCCATCAGCTGTCCCCGAGAATAAAAGTATCCTGTCTTTGGGCCCCTTAGATTAGGTATACAGAGATTTTTACTCCTCCAGTGCTAGGAAGAACCTATTCCCATAAAATCAGCAGGAAGCAGTTACAGAAGATGGACCTCCACCCTTCTGCAGCTCCCTTAAGTTTATGGAGAAGTATCTAATCTCTGAGTGGGGAATGAGGTAGGAGGCAGGACTTAATTCCAGACCAAATTAAAGACTAGTTATAAAAGAGAAGAGACATCAAAAACAGCTTTCCATAAGGCACACCCACCAGTGCCATGGCAGTTTACTATTGCTGTGGCAACTTCCAGAATTACTGCCCCAACCGTGATAATGAACAGAAAGTTACCACTCCTTTTCTAGAAATTTCTGAATAACACACATCTTGATGTGCATGTAATTATAGGTGGGTATAAATATGACTGCAACACTGCCCCTGAGCTGCTACTCCCAACACACTGTCTATGGAGTATCTCTGCTCTGTAGGAGCAGTCACAGAGCTGTAACACTGTCATGATAATAAAGCTGTTTTCTTCTACTGCCAGCTCACTCTTGAATTCTTTCCTGGGCAAAGGCAATAACCCTTCTAGGTTAAGGACTAATTTGGGGGCTTGCCTTCCATGCATCAATACCCTTAGATGGTTATCAAGGGGAAACAAAAAGATGTGCCTGTAAAGCAACTTGTACATGAATACCCATAATAGTTGAACCTGTAACAGCCCAAACTGAAAAAAGTCAAATGTCCAAGAGCAGATAATAAATAAACAAATTGTGGTATGATGAATGGCATATATGTAAAATAAAAATGCACTAAAGAATATACATACTATATGATTCTATTTTTATGAAATTACACAAAAAGAAAACAAATATGTAATTACAGAAGACCACACAGTGGTTGTGGTGGCATGGGTTCAGTGGGTGTGAGTGTGATTGACAGCCATGGGAGAAGCACACATGCTGATGAACATGTTCTATATCTTGAATGAGGCAATGGTCATATGAGTGTATACATGTGTCATATCTCATGAAATTGTATATTTCAAATAGGTGCTATATTAGTCATTCTCACACTGCTGTAAAGATACTAACTGAGACTGGGTAATTTATAAAGGAAAGAGGTTTAATTGACTCACAGTTCCACATGGCTGGAGAGACCTCAGGAAACTTACCATCATGGTGGAAGGCAAAGGGGAAGCAAGGCATGTCTTACATGGTGGCAGGAGAGAGAGAGAGAGCAAAGTGGAAACTGCCAAATGCTTTTAAAACCATCAGCTCATGTGAGAACTCTCTCAGTATCATGAGGACAGTTATTGGGGAAAGTGCCCCTATGATCCAATCACCTTCCACCAGGTCCCTCCCTCAGTACATGAGGATTACAATTTGAGATGAGATTTGGGTAGGGACACAGTCAAATCATATCAGGTGCATTTTATTATGAATAAATTAGGTGGCAATATATATGATGTATATAAACGTACTGGAAGAAGAAATGGGTTGAAATAGAGGAATAGATGAACAATTATATTTGGATATTTTAGTACTCCTTCCTCAATAATTGACAGAAAATTAGCCATAATATTAGTAAGAATTCATACACCAGTTAATCTCTACCAACAACATTGGCTGAATTGACATCTATACTGCAACAAGCAACTATAATAATCTTTTCAACTACATTCAGAATATCATGATAATAAACATTATGCTGGATCACAAAACACAGATTAGTAACTTTGAAAAGATTGAAATATTAGGATAGTCTGTGCCTAGAAAATAATTAAGCTAGCAAATAATAATTATAATAATTTTCTAAATAATAATTATTTAGAAAAAGTCATAGTATGTAAAGAAAGTATGTGAAAATTATATAACACACTTAGCAAAAATGGGACAAAGGAAAACACACAAGTGAAATTTGGAAATATTTTGAACTGAGGGATTATGAATACAAAAAAAATGAATCAAAATGTGTTCAATGAAGCTAAAATAATATTTGAAGAAAAATTGACCTGCTCAAATTTTTAAGAGAAATCAATAATATATATTTCCATATTAGTAACCCAAAGAAAATATCAAGTTACAAAAATTAGTTGTAGAAAAGTAATACCAAAGAGAAGAGAAATCAATGAAATAGAAAATAAACAAGCCCAAATGTGGTTTTTTTGAAAAAGTAATTAACAAAATCAAGTAAGACTAATTAGTAATGAAAGTGTACAAACACAATAGCAATATCAGAAAAGAAAGAGAAACAATACAGACTCTACAGATATTAAAAAGATAATAAGGACATTTAGTGGACAACTATTTGCCAATAGACTCGACAACTTAGAAGAAAATGAGAAATTCTTTGAAAAGCACAACTTCACCAAAAAGGACACAATATAAAACTGATGCAGGGCAAGCAAGCACCAAAACTGGGGCTTAGCCCAGGAGGATTATTGGCTTTGCCCAGGGAGAAATTCAACAGTGAAAAGGTGGTACAATAAAACAGTTTTATTTAGGAAGCAATATTACAGCTGTGTGACTGCTCCTACATAGGCAGTGGGTTGAGAGATGCAGCTTGGGGGCAGTGTTGCACTCATATTTATACTCACCTTTAATTACATGCAAATCGAGATGTGAGTTATTCGGAAATTTCTAGAAAAGTGATAACTTTTCGGTTATTGTCATGGAAAAGTGCAGTAACTTCTGGATGTTGCCACAGCAATGATAAACTGTATTGGCACTGGTGGGTGTGTCTTGTGGAGAGTTGTTTTTGGTGTCTCTTCCCTGTTTTAGCCAGTCTTTAATCTGGTCCACAGTTAAGTCCCACTTCCTACTTCCATATTATTATACACGTGTAGTATATATTGATATTATAACATCAGTGGATAATTAAATTTTTAAAATATGTCAAGTCTTTTTTCAAAATGGTTGTGCCATTTTGATTTCCATCAACAATGTGTGAGAGTTCCAGTTGCTTCACATATTGACAAACATTTGGCATTATCAGCCTTTTAAATTTTGGTCAGCCTAATAGGTATATGATGGTAACTCATGTGGATTTACTTTTTGTTTCTGTGATAACTAGAATTGTTGAGAATTTTTATGCTTATTTTGTCCATTTGAATATATTTTGTTAATTGTTCAAGTGTATTGCTTATCGAATTAGTTTGTTAAATTATCATCTGTGGGTAAGAGATATTTATACATTATTCACATTTATAGTACACCTTATAAATATGACATATTTCATTATAAGTATATAAATTCATAGTAACACAAATCTAATAATGTTGGCCAGGCACAGTGACTCACACCTGTAATCCCAGCACTTTGGGAGGCCAAGGTAGGTGGATCACCTGAGGACGGGAGTTTGAGATGAGCCTGACCAATATGGTGAAATCCCATCTCTACTAAAAATACTCTACTAAAAATACAAAAAAATTAGCCGCGCGCATGGTGGCTTGCACCTGTAGTCCCAACAATTCGGGAGGCTGAGACAGGAGAATTGCTTGAACCCAGGAGGCAGAGGTTGCAGTGACCCGAGATCGCGCCACTGCACTACAGCCTGGGAGACAGAGCGGGAATCTGTCTCAAAAAATAATGATAATAATAATAATAATAATGTTATGAATTACTATTATATACTATATCATTGTATTAGTCTGTTCTTATGCTGCTGATAAAGACATACCCAAGACTGGATAATTTATAAAGGAAAGAGGTTTAATGGACTCACAGTTCCACAAGACTGGGGAGGCCTCACAATCATGGTGGAAGGCACGTGAGGATTATGAGAGCTACACTTCAAGATGAGATTTGGGCGGGAACACAGCCAAACTGTATCCATCATTAATATTTATATTCATTTATTATATCAGCTTGATTTTCTTCCATGTTCTTTTCTCAAAAGTTGTATAGTTTCTCCCTAGTTTTGTGTATTCATTTGTGTAAATCACAACTTTTTTTTTATTATACTTTAAGTTCTGGGATACATGTGCAGAATGTGCAGGTTTGTGACATAGGTATACACATGCCATGGTGGTTTGCTGCACTCATCAACCGGTCATCTATGTTAGTTATTTCTCCTAATGCTATCTCAACCCTATCCCCCCACCCTCCAACAGCCCTCGGTGTGTGATGTTCCCCTCCCTGTGTCCATGTGTTCTCATTGTTCAACTCCCACTTATGAATGAGAACATGTGGTGTTTACTTTTCTGTTCCTGTGTTAGTTTCCTGAGAATGATAATTTCCAGCTTCATCCATGACCCTGCAAAGGACATTAACTTATCTTTTATATGGCTGCATAGTATTCCTCAATGTATATGTGCCACATTTTCTTTATCCAGTCTCTCATTGATGGGCATTTGGGTTGGTTCCAAGTCTTTGCTATTGTGAACAGTGTTGTAATAAACATACATGTGCATGTGTTTTTATAGTAGATTGATTTATAATCCTTTGGGTATATACCCAGTAATGGGATTGCTGGGTCAAATGGTATTTCTGTTTCTAGATCCTGGAAGAATCGTCACAGTGTCTTCCACAATGGTTGAACTAATTTACACTCCCACCAACAGTGTAAAAGCATTCCTGTCTCTATTTTTATAATCCCTTATTTATGATTTAGCTGTTTATCATTTCAATATCATAGTGGTTGCACTAGACATTAGACTATGTCTCCTTAAATTATTACACTGTAGTTTATGTTATTATTCTACATAATATATTTTTAACTTCATATGAAATATGAAAAATTTCCAATAGTATAGTTCCATTCTTCTATTTTTGTATTTTGTGTTATCATTATTATGAATTACATCTACACACATAGAAATCATAGAATAATGTTACGGTTTTTGTTTGAAAAAGTCGTATGTTCTTTAACAATATGAGAAGAAAAATAAGCAGTCATATTTATCCTCATATTTTTCCTTTTTCATTGTTCATTACTTCCTAGTCTTGAATTTCCTAGTCATTGCATTTCAGGTTAAGGATGATATGTTTTCCTAGTGCAGATCTAGTGATGATAAATTCTTTTAGTCTTTCTTTAACTAAAATTTTCTTTAGTGTGTTTTCATTTTTGATGAATACATCAAGTATGTATAAAATTATGAGATAGCAAATTTCTTCTGCTCCAGCTTTGAAATAAATTTATGAGAGGGGAAAAGAATCGTTCCAATAATTCCTTCTAGTAAAACTCAATAGGATTGATGCATTTAATTTCTATTAAATCACTTAATAAGTTTTTGTTTGTTTGTTTACATTCCCTGTCTACTCCCTTTGTATCCTCTTTTAAAGCCAATTTGATCAAGATTTAACCTCCATTAATTCGTTAAAAAAATTCTCCTTTCATTCACTAACGATGTCCACACTGTTAAAACCATTTGGAAAAATTATTACTCATCTTTCTTGACCTCTCAGTAGAATTTGAAACCATTGTCCTTTTCGTCCCTCAAAATATACCTTCATAGACTTCTGAAACACTGTGCTATGCTTGTTTCCTACCTCATTAGCTCCATTTTTTCTCTTTTTTTTTCTTTTTTTTTTTTTTTTGAGACAGAGTCTTGCTTTGTCACCCAGGCTGGAGTGCAGTGGCTCAGTCTCGGCTCACTGCAAGCTCCGCCTCCCAGGTCACGCCATTCTCTTGCCTCAGCCTCCCGAGTAGCTGGGACTAGAGGCACCCACCACCACGCCCGGCTAATTTTTTGTATTTTTAGTGGAGACGGGGTTTCACCGTGTTAGCCAGGATGGTCTCGATCTCCTGACCTCGTGATCCGCCCGCCTCGGCCTCCCAAAGTGCTGGGATTACGGGCGTGAGCCACTGCGCTCGGCCGATTTAATGCCTTTTTTTTTTTAATCTTCCTTGTCTTTCTCCTTGTGAATGGAAATATCTATAATTTGTGTCCTATGCCTGTCCCATCAGTGTACTTTGGGAGCAGATAATTTGTGAGCCACCGCGCCCAGCCCATTAGCTCCTACGTTTAACTCACTGTTGGTGATCTTCCACTTCCTCCTACTGTTACCTTTGCAAGGAGTGTTTTGTTGTTGTTGTTGTTGTTTTTGACTTGGCAGGTGACAGTCCAATGGCTACAACCAAGGAGTATTTAACAAAGAAAATTGATTACTTGGAACAAGTAAACAGGACAGCTGGAATAAATCCCCACATCAATGCCTCCCTGAACAGGTGAAAACTGGCCTTTCATTAGGTTTGTTAGCTGAGTCATTGTATCTAGAGGTGGGGTCAAAGCAGCACAGATGCCGTCATCAGTTGTTCCTCTATATAAGCCACAGGTGTGGATAATAGTGACTAAGCTCTTCCCTGGGTGGGGCTTTTAGTGTGGTAATGAGGAGAGCTTGCCAAAGTTCATCTTCAATTCAGGCATCTTTGGATCCAACTAGTTTTTATTTTATTTATTCAGGGCTGAGATTCTTCCTGTAACTTTTCTAAAACATCAAGAACTGGAGGTGCAACAGTTACAAGTGAGTACTTGCTCATTCTGTGTCCTAGAAAACCTCTGGACTGGGGGTTGCATTACTTTTAACTCTTGCAAAGTGTCCCACTTCATCCTCTTTCTAAGGTTGGAGTGACTAGGATCTAATGTTTGGTTCTCTTTTCTCTCTGTACTGACTGTACCCACTCTTTAGATTATCTAAACATGTATATATTTTTCTTATCACTCTTGTTCCCACAGTTTCTAGAATACGGCGCAAGGAGCAGAATATTTGCTTGTATTAGTTTTCTATTTATGTGTAAAAAATTACCAAAATATTTACTCACTTAAAATGACACCCATTTATTGTCTCACAGTTTTCAGAGGTTAGAAGCCCAGGCATGACTTTACTGGGTTCTCTCCTTAGGGTCTCGCAAAGCTGAAGTGAAGGGAAGAACAGAGATATATTCTCATCTAGAGGCTTAACTGGGAAATTATCCACTTCTGTTGGCAGAATTTATTTTCTAATGTTTGTAGAACTCAGAATGTCTTGTTCCTTCAACCTCAGTATAATTATGACTCCTTTTATGTGTTTTACTTATTCAGTTAAGCCCTCTAATAATGTCTTACTTTTACTTAATGAAGGTTCAATGGATTTGGAACCTTAATTGCGTTTGTGTAATCCCTTCTCTTTTCCCATATTCTGTTGGCTAGAATAGCCACATGTTCTGACACTCAAGGAGGAACATAACACCAAGGAACAGAAATTATAGGGCCATCTTAAATTCTGACTACAGTATGGCTCAACAAATATTTGTTGAAAAGTGAATTAATTAATACAAAAGAAAGCCAGATTCTATACTATAATGGGCCTGTATATTACACTATTGATTCTCAGGTTTATCTTGTCACCTTAGCAAGTACTTAAAAAGTATGAAGTAGCAAAGAAAATATCAAATCAGATTCATATTTTGGAACATTAGTTTAACAGCAGTTATGTAATTGTTGGTAGAAAGTTTGCTTATTTTGAGCTAACATTGTCCAGTGATTTAAGAGAAACTGTTAAAGAAAACATTAAATAGAAAATAATGAGACAAATATAAAAAACATTTAGTGAAACAAAAAAATCTCAATGATCAGCTAAATGTGGAAATGAAGAAGACAAAAGTCTTCACAGATACTCTCTGGTAGCATTAACAATTAAAAGAATGTTGATGTTTTATCAGAAATGAAAATATTAAGCAGTTGAGTCCAAGGGTAAGGAACCTAAAAAGTTCTCCAAAAAATTTTAAATATTGTCATAGCACTAAATACTGCCATAGCACTAAATATTGTCTTTTTTTCTAAATACTGTCATAGAACTAAAACCCAAACTTGTTTATCACATAGTATTGACAAAAAGGAATACTATAGTATATACTCTTACTTTTCTGGCTTCTGCACTTAGCTTAAATATTTTTATATTCATTCATGTTGTTGCATGTAGTTCATGTCCTTTCATGTTGAATTTTACAAATTCTCCACAATTTATCATTCACCCTTTGACCATTTTTTAAGTTTTTGATTGACAAATAAGGCTGTCATATTAATATTCACAGTCTTTTCTATTTCCAGTTTGCCAGCATAGCATGTCTTTTGTAAAACTTATTCCCAGCCAATACATGTTATTTAATGCGATTATAAATAGCATTACATTTTTATTTCAATATTTTAATGTTAATTTCTGATATGTGGAAATGTACTTGATTTTTGTATATTGATATTGTATCCTCTAATGTTGCTGAATTTACTAATGAATTCTAATCTTTCTCCTTAGGCTTTTTAAAATCCTCAATCCTTTCATTTGTAAAAAAGTTTTTATTTTCCTGTCAAATTTGTATGACTTGTTTCTTTTTGTTTTCTCTATTGGTTCAGTTCTTAAGTGGAATATTGAAAAGGAGTGATCAGAATGAACATCTTTGCCTTGTTTTGCATCTTAGTAGAAAATCTTTCATCCTATTACCATTAATTATGATGTTAGCTGGCAGTTTTCCATATTATCTTTTATTAGGCTAAGAAAATTCGTTTTTATTCCTAGTTTGCTCAAAGTTATGTTATGACATGTCAGATTTATCAAATGTGTTTTTCTGTACCAGTTGAGATTATTTTTTCTTTTATAAATTAATATAATTAATTACATTGTTTGATATTAGGATGTTAAAACCCATCCTGAATTCCTGGTGTGAATCCATTTATTCATGATGTATTATAGTTTTCATTTATTATCTTATTAAATTCGTCAATTTTTGTTGAGGGTTTTGTGTTCCTATTCATGAGGAATGCTGGTCTTCAATTTTCTTTTTCTATAGTGATTTAATTCTTTTTTTTTTTTTTTTTTTTTTTTGCTTTTGATAGCAGGTTAAAGCAGATCTCTTAATAATGAGTTTGGTGTTATTTCTGCTTCCTCAATATTTTACAATGATTTTTATAAAATATATTTTATATTTTTATTAAATGTTTCATAAAATTGACTAATGAAAGGAAAGGTGTTAAAACTCAATTTCTTTAAGAGACACAGAAATAATCAGGCTATCATTTTTCTTGAGTGACATTGGTAGTTTTTGTGTTTTAATGAATTTGTCCATTTCATGTGAGTTGTTAAATTTATTGATATTTAGTTCCTTATGATGTTATTTTATAGCCCTGTATTTGGTTTTATTGATTGACTCTTTTTTCTCTCTAATCATGAGTTTCGTTTTTCCCTTTCTTTTATTTCACTTTAATTTTTCCTTCCTTTCAGTTTCTTACAGTGCAGGCTGAAGTTACTGATTTTAGACTTTTCAGTAAATGACATTTAAGTCAAGATAGTTGATAATGTCATTCATGTTTTATATATCCTTACTAGTTGTTTGTCTACTTGTATCAATTATTGAGAGAGGGGTATTGACATTTCTGACTATAGTTTTGGATTTATCTATTTCCCCCTTTGTAGTTAAATGTTTTATATAATAGATAGAGATTATCAAAATTATAGTTTCAAATATTTAGGATTCTTAAGCCCTCTTGATATATTGAAGATTTTCTTTTATTTCACTTTTAATTTTAGGTTCAGGGATTTACCTGTACAGGGTTGTTACATGAGAAAATTTTGTGTCACTGAAGCTTGGTGTAAGAATGATCCTGTCACCAAATAGAGAGCATATCGAGCCTTCCAACCCACATGGCACTCCCCACCCTTCCACCTCAAGCAGTCTCCAGTGTCTGTTGTTCCCTTCTTTGTATCCATGTGTATTCAGTGTTTAGCTCCCACTTACAAGTGAGAACATGTGGTATTTGGTTTTCTGTTTCTGTGTTAGTTTGCTTAAGATAATGGCCTCCAGCTACATTCATGTTGCTGCAAAGGACATGATCTTGTTCTTTTTATGACTGCATAGTATTCCATGGTGTGTATGTACCACATTTTCTTTTTACAGTTCTCTGTTCATGGGCATCTAAGTTGTTTTATTTCTGTGCTATTGCAAATAGTGCTATCATGAACATGTGCATGCATATATCTTTATGGTACAATCATTTATATTCCTTAGGGTATAAACCCAATAACGGGATTGCTGGATTAAATAGTAGTTCTATTTCAAGCCCTTTGAGAAGTCTTCAACCTGATCTGCAACATGTCTGAACTAATTCACATTCTCATCAACAGTGTATAAGCATTCACTTTTCTGTAAAAACTCACCAGCATCTGTTATTATTTGACTTTAGAGCAATAGCCATTGTGACTGGTGGTATACTATAGTATCTCAATGTGGTTTTTATTTGCATTTCCCTAATGATTGGTGATATTGAGCATTTTTTCATATGTGTATTGGCAACATGGAGTCTTCTTTTGGGAAGTGTTGCTTCATGTTCCTTGCCCGTTTTTAATGGGATTATTTGCTTTTTCCTGGTTGCTTTAAGTTCCCTATAGATTCTAGATATTAGACCTTTGTCAGATGTATATTTTGTAAATATTTTCTGTCATTCTTTAGGATGTCTATTTACCCTGCTGAATATTTATTTTGCTATGCAGAAGACTTTAGTTTAATTGTGTCCCACTTACCAATTTTTGTTTCTGCTGCAATTGCTTTTGGATTCTTCATCATGGAGTCTTTGCCAGGGCCAATGTACGGAATGGTATTT